>NC_000018.10:59537528-60787528 GCF_000001405.40 Homo sapiens
ATGTGCCTTTTGCCTTCCACCATGATTGTGAGGCCTCTTCAGCCACGTGGAACTGTGAGTTCATTAAAACTCTTTTTCCTTATAAATTACCCAGTCTTGGGTATGTCTTCATCAGCAGTGTGAAAATGGACTAATACAGTGGCTGACAAGTTTCTTACTTCAGCAAGTATATAAAGTGTACAGCCTTCAATGTGTCACCTCAAAAGGAATTTGGTGACTCCTCCTTCTGTTTAACACATTTTTCCATCTCATTCAAACTTGAATGCGTGATATACCTCAATAGAATCTGGTTCACAGCTCCGTCCTCTCCCAGCAGTGTGCCCTTGAGCAAGTCACTTAACCTCTTGCATGTCACTTTCCTGTTTGTAAAGTAGAGATAATAACAGTGCTTATTTTCCAGGGGTATTATGGGGACTAAACGAGTTACTTTAAAACTCCTTGAAGAGTACATAGCACATAGTAAATGAAAAATCTATTTTTTGGAATATGCTTAAAAACAGGCTACATTGTCAAAACAAGGTGGTACTTAAGCAAAACAGCTTGTCACTAAATACGTCCAATAAGATAATGCACCTAAAGACTTATGGTCCCATAAATCAAGGATGTCAAGAACAACATGAGTATATTTAACTCTATTATTGAATAGCTACAGTAAAAGCTATAGAGCGGGTGAGTTCATTCTCAAAAACTCCATAGTAAATTCCCAATGTATCCCAAACTTCAAAGAACTTCAAAGATATGTTCATCTTCAGTTGCCAAAATATACATGCACATTTGTTTCCTCTTAATTTCCATTTCTAAATGTCTCTGATAAAGTTATTTTTCCTTGGAACAGCTGAGCTCCATTAAACAGTTTTGTATCTATTATTGGGATACTTTGAAAAGGCGCGATGCAATGCCAAGAAGCAAATCAATCAGCTGATGTCTCCCAAACTTGCCCTGTCCATAGAGCATACATATTTTCTTGGCCATCTGATTAAGTAACACAAATTTGTCAAAGGACAGCTTAATGGCATTGAAATATATGTATTTCACTGTGGGAATTACTCACCAAAGGGTGCTACACATGACATCCTGGGGAAAAAAAAATGCCTGACGTGAGGAGGGACAAGAGTAAACAGTCAAAAGTGGGCCATAAGTTCTAAAAATGCTGGTGACATTTATAGGCAACTTCTTAAGTTGGATGAGCCTGACAGAATTTAGAGGTCTGTGATAGGCAGACATCTACAATGATCTCAATGATTCTGGCTTCCTGGTATTTATGTCCCTGTGTCATCTTCTCCCATTGGAGGGTAGGGACTTATTTCTAACCAGCAGATATGGCAAGGTGACAAGAAGTCACTTCCATGATTAAGTTATAAAAGACTAGGCTGGGTTCGTGGCTCCCACCTGTAATCCCAGCACTTTGGGAGGCTGAGACAGGAGGACCGCTTGAGGCCAGGAGTTTGAGACCAGCCTGGGCAACATATCAAGATACCATCTCTAGAAAAGTAAAAAACTAGCCAGGCACAGTAGCATGCACCTACAGTCCCAGTTACTCAGGAGGCTGAAGCAGGAGGACCGCTTGAGCCCAAGAGGTCAAGGGTGCATGGACCTATGATTGTGCCACTGCACTCCATCCTGGGCTATAGGGCAGGACTCTGCTATATTTAAAAAACACACACACACACACAAAAAACAAAAAAAAACAGCAAGAAAATAATGACAGACCGTGACTGCCATCTTGCTGGCTCTCCCTGGGGCCTTGTGGCTTGCATGCTTCGATGAAGAACACTGCCACACTGAAGAGGCACATTTCAAGGAACTGAGAGTGGGCAACAGTCAGCGAAGAACTGAGGCCCTTGTCCAACGCCCCATGAGAAACTGAATCCTGCCAATAACCATATGAGCCTGGAAGCAAATCCTTCAAACTTAGAACAGCTATGGTTCAGCTGACACCTGATTGTAGCCTATGAGGGACTCTGAAGTAGAGGACTCAGCTAAACAGGGCCCAAATTGCTCACCAACAGAAACGAAGGGCAAGAAACATGTGTTATTTTAAGCTGCTAAGTTTTGGAGCATTTTGTTATGCAGCAATAGATAACTAACACAAATGACAAAAATCAGACAAGGCATAAGGCTATTGGCAGTAACATCATCATGATTCTCTAAGGCTGGATGAATCTGACCTTATCTTCTGGTTCCTTAAAACTCCCATTTAAATTAAAATGAAAAATTCCTTTTCTCCCAAAATTTACATTGCATGAATATGCTCCAAAACTCACATAAGAATCAACCAAAATTTTCAATTGGTCATGTTTTTCCAGACTAATATTTTTAATTTTACTTTCTATAGTTTACATTTTAAACACAGAGTCTTGTTTGCTTTTGAAAAATAATTTATAATAAATAAGCTTTTTTCAAATTCTATATGTTCTTGCCCCATGGAGAATTCTATTTGGTAAGTTCTCCCTACCCATTAATCTCCAGAATTCTCTTTGATGAATTTAGTTGACTTGAAGATCAGTGTATAATCTTGGACCCATAAAATTTTGAGTTCCAAAATAAACCTTTCATTTCCTTTAATAAGAAATAGGAAGCATTTATAAATGATTAGAATATATTTAATTCACTAATACTATCTCTGAAAAATTGATAAACTTATTATAAGTACTCCTTAACATTTCCTCCATTGAGAGAAATAAATTATAGAAGGCAATTAAACATTAGACTTTTTTTTGTTGGTTTTTAGTATTCATAATGGATCAAACCCAAGAAGCCAACAGCTTAATTTTCATCCATTATCTGAGAAAATTACATATAGAAATATTACATAGGACCCAGAAAGACAGTACAATTTACATCCCTTGTAAATAAATTGAAATAATTCAGAGTCAAATATGTTCCAGTGAAGCTGAGCCCATGTGTCCATGTTCTAGCTGAACTGTGGCCAACCTTGGTATGAAGTGTGTGTGGTAATAGGGAGGAGGGAAATAGGGGGTGTTGCTGTCATTCTATTTTTTGTTTTTGTTCCTTTTGGACTTCCTACAGTTTCAAACTGCAGTGGTTTAGTCCTCTTCTCCCCACTGATTTTCTTAACATGGCTGCTTCCACAAATGAACCCAATCTTTTTGTGTTGCAAGATTTTATGTCTTCCCAAATGAATTCATGTTCTAAAACAGGTGTTGGCAAACTGGCTTTCTGTTTTGTTTGGAACACAGACATGCCCTTTATTTCCATATCATTTACCTCCTCTCAGGTCACAACAGCAGAGTTAAGTACTCATAACAGATTACAGAACCGGTAAACCCTGAAATATTTAATGTCTTGTCTTTACAGAAGAAGTTCATCAATTCCTGCCCCAAAAATCATGATAGAGACCCTAAGAAACTAACAGTGTCTGTCCAGCCAGTGCTTTAGAAGAAAGTAGTTGGGCTGCTGGAAAAATATCAACTCAAAGACCTAGTCCCTAGAGGCAGGAAGAATCACATAAGAATCTTTCCTTCATTCCTTCTCACGTGGGAACATTGGGCAATTCATTTAAGCTGTCTGAGATTGTTCTTCACTTATACAATGAGATCATCATGTCATTAATCGGTTAGAGTAGCCATAATGACATTATAATTTATATATGGTAGCTTTGCAAAACACTCACCTTTTCATTGTTTAGTAGGATGATGTTTACTATTACACTTGAATTAAGTAGAATTGTTTTGAGAGACTTTGTTCACTTAAATTCTATTCAGTACTCTAAGTCAGAGAAGAAGGGAAAATCATGACAAATGTTCTGATGATGGGAAACTAAAAACAAGGACAAACAGGAGAATTTCAACACCATATGTCAGGGAGGTTTATACCAAACATAGGCAAAAAATTCTACATTAAATAATTTAAGTAGAGCCTTGTAATAATGAGGCAGAGATACAGGGATCATTTGGAATCAAAATGGATTCACTAAGGACAGGCACTTCAAATAACCTCACCATCTTTTTGGAGAGGGTCATTAGCCTGGTGGCTACTCCAGTAGATATGTGCAGTTTCCAGAAAAGGGGGGTATAGTTCTGAATGCTGTTATTCAGATCTTCCGAGAAACAGGAGTCAGTCCTAGGTGTCCATATTTAAGGGTCACTGATAGCTGGAGCCATCCCATGGAGATCAGCAGGAGGAGTGAGGAAGCCACAAAACTGGGCCATTGGAGGAAGAGTTGAAGGGAAAGATTTCGGAAAAGGAAGACACAAGATAACACACTCTGTGTTCAAATTGGTGAGGGGATGTGATGGAGAAGACAGATTAGCCTTCTTCCAGCTGCTATCACCAAGCAAGGTTAGAATTAAAGAGTCCAGATGCTAGGAGACATTTCTGCTTAATTAAAAAAAAAAATCTTTGTGGCCAAGCATGGTGGCTCATGCCTACAATCCTAGCACTTTGGGAGGCTGAAGTGGGTGGATAGCTTGAGCCCAGGAGTTCAAGACTGGCTTGGGCAACATGGTGAGACCCTGTTTTACAACAAATACAAAAATTAGCCGGGTATGGTAGCACGTCTGTAGTCCCAGCTACACCGGAGGCTGAGGTGGGAGGATCACCTGAGCCCAGGAGGTCGAGGCTGCAGTGAGCTGTGAGTGTGCCACTGCACCCCAGCCTAAGTGACAGAGTGAGATCCTGTCTCAAAAAAAAAAAAAAAATTCCCTACAATTAGAGCTAACCTTAAAAGAACTATGCTTTCTCAGTGCTGCCTGGGTGCCCTATTGCTAGAGATATTCAGGTAGAAATCTTAATAAATTCTTGAATTTAAGGGGTATCCAGACAGTATGAAATCTAATGACCTTTTACAACACGAGATTCTAGAATTTTTATGAACACGTGGCATGATAAATTACATTCCACAAAGGCAGAATTCTGTTTCTCAAAGCAAAGCTAAAGCATCAAGGATGAGAAATTATATAAAATGAAAGCAACAGATTTTTAAAATTATAAAAACAGACACTTAAAAAGAATTCCTGTAATAGATCAGAAGAAGTGATACTATCAGCTTAATAGGGCTGATAAGAAAGTCATCCTTAATGTTCTATTGCACCATATGCATCTGAAAAAATGGAATATATCAAAAAAGGCAAGCACTGTTTTAAAGAATTTATATAATAGTGCTGGGAAACTAGTACCACTGCTAAAATGTGCCTGGCCAAGAGTCCAAGAAAGTACGGGACTGAGGGTGCTTTGGAATGCCTCTGAAGTGCCATTTCCCACACATCCTTTCCTCCCCGCAGGCAGTAATTCTAGGTTACTCTCCCCTTCTGGTGCCACTGCAGAAGTGCCTCATAGAGCTGAACCTTCTCTGAAGCTCTCACCCACCAACATCCCTCTTTCTCATGGCCGGCCACACATGGCTTCCCCCATGACTACTGAACTCTCGAACCCCACTAGGGATGAAGGCTGATGCCTCCAAGATCTCGCCAAACCCAGGCCACCCAGAAAGTTGCCTTTTCCCTCTTTTTAAAAATTCTTAAAAATTTTTAAAGTAACAAGCCAACAAGTATAACTTAGATTCTCCTCCAAATTTTGGCTTCCTTCTCGGGAAGCCTTGGATTGCTCTAGTTGGATCCCAATGCTTTCCATATTTTACACAAAAAGTTACCTGGGGAACTGGTGAAGATGCAGAGTCCAGGGCCCCACCCTTGACTCCCAGGGGCCTAGGATTCTGCACAAATGACCTCCTCCTGGACTTAATGTAGGTGATCCCCGCACCATACCTGAAGAAATCCTGCTAACGAATCTAGAATTCTGTGCCAGGCCTCTGCAAACATTCATTAAATATTATTTAGGGAAAGTTTTCAGTGAAATATACAGTATTAAAGTATTTTTATTGTTTTCCTCCCAGAAAAAGACTTAAAATTTTCTATATGGCTAATATTTAGGATTAAAAAGAGTCTGATTATGTACATATGATTTTCAGGTAAGCTGTGCAACTTAGAAAAAATGATGCTGGTTAAGTTGAAGACAAGGATTGTATCCATAAAACTAATGCGAGAGGCCGCGAGAGGCCCCGAGAGGCCGGGCGCGGTGGCTCACGTCTGAAATCCCAGCACTTTGAGAGGCCGAGGCGGGCAGATCACGAGGTCAGGAGATCGAGAACATCCTGGCTAACAGGGTGAAACCCCGTCTCTACTAAAAATACAGAAAATTAGCCGGGTGTGGTGGCGGGCGCCTGTAGTCCCAGCTATTCAGGAGGCTGAGGCAGGAGAATGGCGTGAACCCGGGAGGTGGAGCTTGCAGTGAGCCAAGATCGCGCCACTGCACTCCAGGCTGGGAGATAGAGCGAGACTCCGTCTCAAAAAAAAAAAAAAAAAAAAAAAACAGAAAACACTAATGCGAGAATCAGAAAGCAATGAGAGGGACACTCGCAGTTCTGGGATTCTGTTTGTGTTTAAACGAGCATCACCACCTTTCATGCAAAATGTCAAATTTCAAACACACGTATTCTGGAAGCAGGGGTTTATTATGTTTGGTTTTTGTAGTCTATGAAAACAGACTTTCCTTAGAAAGTAAAATATTAAGTGCTCTATTTAAATTTTATCTACATTCATTCTGTAACACACAAAAACTAAAATAATTTATAAAATATCTATCAGAAGATAACAAATAAGCAGCCGATTTCAAAGCACTACAGGAATATTTTAATTGTATCAGCCACATAGTAGGTGATTTTTCTAACTCCCAGAAAGGAGAGCTGATTTACTATGCTCCTTTTTGGCCTCCTTGAAGCTTAACTGATCCTTTCCATGGAACCATAAAGCAAAATAGAATCACTAACTGTATTTGTCTGCTAAAAATCCATTGCTGTAGGCTTTTTATTAAGAAATTTTAAAATTAACCCTCACCATTATGAAATAAAAACTCTGTATTTCTGAACAATTGCTTTTTCCTTACAAAAAGGACATGATTTTATACCATCCTGCAAATGATCTTTTCAAACTACATAAGATGTACTTTTGCAGCTCACATGCACCCATGTATTGCAGGTGCTCTAAACTAGAAGAGGAATGTTTTTCTCTCAGGTCCTTCCCTTTCCCTTTCGAGGTCCTCTTTTCCATTGGTATGGTTTCAAGAGCTTCACAGCACAAAATGAAAAGTTAGTAACGTTGTCTTTCTTAGTAAGGAGATGAGGGAAAGAGGGAAAGAGGTGGGAAAATGGATGACAAAGATTCATCTGTATGACAAAGAAAGGGCATTTTAAAAGGGCTGGTTCAGACTTATATCACAGAAATTCACCTGGGTCTCTTTTTCCATTATACCTTTTAAGAGGAAACCCTGATTTGATTTATACCTATTTCTATATTAGTGTTAGGGAATGCAATGAGTAGTTGATAACGAATTGGAACATTTAGCACAATATCAGGTAGAGTCCTGACTTTTGAAAACCTTCACATCTAATATGAAGTTTAGTTCCAGACATTGACAAAACAGAATATATGAAGCTTTATGTTAATACAATCAATATACAATTGAAAGAGCTCAAAACTAGGTCATAAGATATGCCTTTTATTTAAATTACTAGTTATTCACAGGCCTTAATTTTTCCAGAATAGAAAATAAGCTGAAGAGAGCCTAGAGGGCATAAAGAGAAAGGTTCCATGAGCAGATCTTCAGGTATCCACGGACCTTCCTGGACTCTCTTATACGGTATCTCGCTGTAAATATATGCATCTCTATATATGTGTGTATATATCCATATACAAACATTTTAAAGGAGACTTCAGTTCTCCCCCTATAATGACAGTAAATACCTATTATAAAAGACTCCAAATATTCAGAAGTACGTAAAAAACTCAGTATGCACTCTCAACACAATTTCACTTCTCATTCAGACCCTTTTCTCTATATCGGTGTGAGCACCCACAACATTTTTGTTTTCATGGAAATGGTCACACATAATGCATATTATTCCACTCAAAATATTTGGGATACCATTCCACGTCAGTATATACAGATTTAACTCATCTTATTATGGCTTCTAAGTATTTACTAGTATAGATTTATCATTTACCCATTCCCTGACTCGTGGACTTTCATGTTCTAGTTTATTGCAATTACAAATAATGAAATACCAATGATAAGGTTTGGCTGTGTCCACACCCAAATCTCATCTTGAATTGTACTCCTATAATTCCCATGTGTTGTGGGAGGGACCCAGTGGGAGATAATTTGAATCATGAGGGCAGTTTCTCCCTTACTGTTCTCATGGTAGTGAATAAGTCTCATGAGATCTGACGGTTTTATCAGGGGGTTCCCCTTTTACATCTTCCTCATTTTCTCTTGCTGCTGCCATGTAAGAAGTGCCTTTCACCTCCTGCCATGATTCTGAGGACTCCCCAGCCATGTGGAACTGTAAGTCCAATTAAACCTCTTTTTCTTCTGAGTCTCAGGTACGTCTCTTTGTCAGCAGCGTGAAAATGAACTAATACAATCAACATCCCTATATAATGCATTCTAGGGAGCTTATAGGAATACCTGTATATGTAGAAGTGGAATTGGCCCAGTCATGAACTTTTTCTCTTTTGAAATGCATTGACAACCCTTTAAAAGGGTCAATCTATTCTCTCACCAAAACGTATGACATTCTTCTATAAGCTTAACACTAGATATGAACTATATGCTGAATATTTGTAGATTTTCCAATGAAAATAGCCTTTCGTTTTCATTTGCATTTCTTTGACTAATGAAGTTGTGTATTTTTTGTGTTTATGAGTCATCCCCATTTCATCAATAAACTGCCTGTTCGTATCTGTAGTAGACTGTTACACGGGGGCTTCCCATGAATCACCCCTCATATTCACACTCTAATGTTATCACCTCCTACATTGGCTCTGGGCTTGGCCATGTAACTTCTTTCTGGTCAACAGTGAATTAGTCATCATAGCCCAAGCTGAGGCTTGATAAGGGTTTGTACAGTGGGGTTTTTATCTTTGTGTAGCTCCCTCTTAGAACCCTATGCCATTTCACAGAGGCCCAGTCCCCTGCAGGAAAGGCCATATGAAGAAAGAGCTGAACAACCATTTGAACAAACTATTTGAAGTGGTTTGTTCAACAGCAATAGATAAAAGAAACAAAATCCTTGATCTATTTTTGTATTTTCTTACTAATTTGTAGAAACCTGTTATAGTTAAGAAATCCAAATCCCTTCCCACATTATATCTGGTAAATATTTTCCTTAGTCTGTTCTTTGCATTTTAAACATGTTAATCTTCTATATGGCAAAAGTGACATAGTCAAATATGTTACTTCTAGGCTTTGTGTCTATAGTAATTTAAAACAATCTTTTATCTAAATCAACAGAACTTTGAGTTATCCATAGCAATCTCATCCAATCTGTGGAGCTTGGCCATTCTTTTTCTGTTTTTCTAGCAGTAAAACAGATTAAAAGAAGAAAGGTAGGTGAATTTGTTAGTAAAATATTGTAAAAGCCCAGGTGAGAATTACATGGGGTTTAAAGCAGGACCATCAGGGCTGTGGTTAGAGGAATGGGAGAGAGAAAGAGAGGGGGAGAGAGGGGGAGAGAGGGGGAGAGAGGGGGAGAGAAAGGGAGAGAGAGGGAGGTAGGGAGAGGGAGGGGAAGAGAGGAAAGGAGAGAGAGGGGAGAGAGAGGGAGGGAGAGGGAAAAGGAGAGGGAGAGAGAGGCACAATGGCTCACGCCTGTAATCCCAGCACTTTGGGAGGCTAAGGCGGGCAGATCACCTGAGGTCAGGTGAGGGGAGGGTTATCTGAGGGGAGCAGGGAGGTGGAAAAAATAAGACAGAGCAGTCATAGATCTGGAGTTCGAGTTGACCTTAGAGAAAACAGTAGAGCTCCTGGCAGAAATTAAAACTGGGCAAGTTAAGTTGATTTGGGGGATAAGACAAAGAGCCCTGTTTTCAAGATGTCAACTAGCAGTTGACATGTCCAGAAGGCAATAGCAGACAGAAAATTGGCCCCAGGGAGAGGGCAGCTTTGAAGATTCTGATTAGGGCATCATCAGCCACAAGAACAGAGCAATTTAAATTAGCACAAAAAACTGAAGGTGACAGATGACCAACATCTCACAGCTCATTAAAAGCACTCCTGGGACGTGGATCACACACCTGATAAAGATTTCAACACACAAAATATTTGCTTTGAGCTGAAGACAATTTTGGTCTAATGAGTGCTGACAGTACTTCTGGCTACACTTCATGAAATGGTCGAGACAAAGGAAATGTATGCAAACAGTGAGACCTCCAGTGGTGTGGGCTACGTCTGGGCGGCCCAGAAGCATGCTGACAGAAGCAGAGTGCTGGGGCACTAGGAAGGCTCTTCCTGCTTGGCTGCCACAGCTGATTCAGCAGGAGAAAACCGAGATCATCCTGTTCTCACAGGAAAGTGCAACCTGACCGAAATAAGAACACACGGGCATTTTGGCCAGGATTTTGAAGAATTTTACTTTCACACACTGCACTTTTATTCTCCTTGTGGTTGGAATGAAGAAATAGACACTCAGTGAATTGAAGTGCTTTAAAGAACCGAAAATGTGGTCACAGTGCCATCACGTGATGTGAACTATCTGCTGGATGAAATGTTCAAGAGTGCTGGAGAGAGACCAAGAGTTTATCCAAGACAGTCTCGTCTTATGAGTAAGACAACTGAGGTCCGAGATCATATCACTGGCCAGTGGTTTGTTGGGGCCAAGACTATGCCCCTTCACTCTCACTCAGTGGTCTTTCCTTTAAAAGAAAGATATCTTTGTTAGGAGAGCAGGTGGGAACATTTGTACTGACATGAAGACAATAAAATTATATGGATACTTTCTGATTTCTCTGGTTTCCATTATTTAAAGATAGTGAGTTATATCTAAAGGAAAACTTAAGAGGATGGCTTTGATCTTCCAGCCTATGAAGGAGGTGGGTTAGGGTGAATAGAGATTGCAGGGTGTGGCTAGGTCATCAGGATTCCTTTCAAGAACAAGAACAGAGCAACTTAAATTTCCTGTGATCTGACAAGACGCAATCATATAAAAAAGAAATCTAGGAAGCCCTCCTGAGAGACCCTACATAGGGAAAATCAGCTGCTGTCATGCAAATGAAATCACCAACTGACCAACCCATTGCAGAAAGCCCTTACAACCAAGAACACCACAAGCAAAGAAATACACTTTGGGCCAGGCACAGTGGCTCATGCCTGTAATCCCAGCACTTTGGGAGGCTGAGGCAGGCAGATTACCTGAGGTGTTCAAATAGCCTACCATACATGTAGGCTATATGGTGTGGCCTATGCTCTCAGGCTACAAACCTGTACATGTGACTAATGAATACTGTATGCAATTGTAACACAATGGTAAGTATTTGTGCATCTAAACATAGGAAAGTTACACCTGAGGCCAGGAGTTCAAGACCAGCCTGGCCAACATGGCAAAACCCCCTATGTATTAAAAATACAAAAATTAGCCGGGCATGGTGGCGCATTCCTGAAACCCCAACTACTCGGGAGGCTGAGGCAGGAGAATCACTTGAACCTGGGAGGCAGAGGTTGCAGTGAGCCAAGATCATGCCACTGCACTCCAGCCTGGGCAACAGAATAAGACTCCGTCTCAAAAAAAAAAAAAAAAAAATTCACTTTGCATGGTGAGGGTCTTCTTTTCACTTGGATATATAGACCACACCGTGTTTCACATGTGATCAAGTATAAAATATTCCACACTGCAAAATAGCAAGGTATGATTCAAATATAGCAGTGTTCTAGAAATGTAACATTGGTAAAAAATAATGCATCAGGATGAATGCAAATTTTAGCTAAGCCATTCTTCTTATTCTTCTGTTTTTCTTATTATGCCATCTCCTAAAGAATTTCAGGTCAAACTCCAGTTTGAAGGAGCAAATGATACAAATGAGCACCCCACCAAGGGCTATAAAAACAGGTCCCCCAACGCCAACCGAATTAAGAGCGTCTAATATTTTATTGCAGTAATTGAAGCTGATTTTTAAAATAAACTCCATCTGGTGCACCGGGGCTCAGGAAGGTAACCTCTGTCAGTCAGGTGATTAAGACCTTGGGAACAGCAAAGACCTTACTCCAAGTCCCACTGACTTCTGTTAATACCTGAGCAACTGTCAGGAGGGAGATGCCAGAACACACCAATTATTATATGATGAACAGGCAGGCCCAGCAGTCAAATGTGCTGCAGTGATATAGTACCCAGTTGGGCAATTAACTTGTCCCTAGCAAAATTTGTGGACAACAAAGCACTTATAATCTACAGCTGCTATCCACATTGGTCAGTGATTGCACTGAAATTGATTCTTCTCAATAGGCATGGGGTAAAGAGTACAGCAATGTGACATTAGTGGCCCACTCATTTTGCAGAGTCTGCCCATTATCCTCCCCATCATGCAGATAAGCAAGCTGAGACTCAGAGTAATTTGCCCAAGGATACAATAGAGGACCTTGTGCCAGATGGTTGTTGGACTGCTGCCTGGCTTTCTCTGGAGCCAACGGGCAAGGACATTATTGGAATGGGCACTTTCAGGAATCCTTAAAGCATCTCTGGGTCCAATCCGGTTTGCTTTGTTTATCCCCAGCTTTAGCTTGTTTACACAAAAGTTACCTGGAGACTGTGTCATCATTCAAACCCTATAGATACCCAAGCCAGCAAAACCACCACAAGCTCTGGAGCAGCCTCTTGGTGGGCAAGCTTCCTCTAATTCAGGGATTGGCAAACTATGACCCATGGACCAAATCCAGTCCACTGCCTGTTTTATGAATAAAATGTGCTGGAACACAGCCATACTCATTTGTTTCCACATTGCCTATGGCTGATTTCGAGTGACAACAGCAGAGCTGAGTGGTTGTGACAGAGGCAATCTAGCCTCAAAAGCCTAAAATAACTATCTGGCCTTTAGAGAGTTTTCTGGATCCTAACTGGTGGCGTCGCTGCTCAGAAGGGCCTTCATCTGCACTCAGAAGCCTTCACAACACCACCCTCCGCAGTGGGCTGACTCCCTGGTCAATCTTTTCCTTCCTCAAGTGGACTGGACTCAAAAGTACTCATAGGTTCCCTCAGGAAAGGAAAAGCTGCACCTCAGACAAGTTAGGCCTGCCCAAACCGTGAGCCCTGTGACGTTAGAACATTAGCAGCTCAAGAATCCTAATGCAAACCCCAAACAGCAGGTGCCATTCTCTGAAGGTGTTTTGGAAAACATTTTCCAACTCATGGAGACAGAAAAATACAGTCATGTGGGCTGGGTGCGGTGGCTCACGCCTGTAATCCCAGCACTGTGGGAGGCGGAGGCAGGAGGATCACGAAGTCAGGAGATCAAAACCCAGTCTCTACTAAAAATACAAAAAATTAACCGGGCGTGGTGGTGGGCGGCTGTAGTCTCAGCTACTCTAGAGGCTGAGGCAGGAGAATGGCATGAACCCAGGAGGCGGAGCTTGCACTGAGCTGAGATCGCGCCACTGCACTCCAGCCTGGGCAACACAGCGAGACTCAAAAAAAAAAAAAAAAAAAAAAAAAAAAAAAGAAAAGAAAAGAAAAGAAAAAAAAGAAAAAAGAAAAATAAAAATACAGTCATGCATTATAAGTTCTAAACAATGCATCATTAGGTAACTTCATCATTGTGTATACATCAGAGCATACTTACACAAACCTAGATGGCATAGCCTGCTATACATGTAGGCTGTATGCTGTGGCCTATGCTCTCAGGCTACAAACCTGTACAACACGTGATAATAAATACTGTATGCAATTGTAACACAATGGTAAGTATTTGTGCAACATAGAAAAGGTACAGTAAACATATAAAAAATGATATACCTATTACCTATAGAGGATACTAACCATAAGTACAGCCTGCAGAACCGGAAGAATCTCTGGATGGGTGAGTGAGGAATGAATGTGAAGGCCTGGGACATTACTGTACAATGCTGTAGACTTTATGAACACTCTACACTTAGGCTGCACTAAATTAAAAAGTAAAGCACACCACGATGCCACCATGGCTATATCATCACTAGCTTGATAGGAATTTTTTCAGCTACATTATAACCTTACAGGACCCCCTGTCCTATATGCGGTCCATCCTTGACAGAAACACCATTGTGTAGCACATGACTAAATACTAATTATTTTTTCACTACTGTTGGTCACCATCTGTTTATAAGAGACTAGTCCTTTAAAAAACTATTAACATTTCCAGTGATTCAGGACTTCTTTGTTGAAGTGGAATACTTTTGACATGGACAAACGAAGGGGAATTCAAAGTCAGAAAGACTTACTTAGTTCAAATCTTGACTGTCATCTATGGCCTCTAGAACCCTGGAGCAAGTTATTTAGTCTTCCTAGTGCTCAGTTTCTTCGTCTGCAATATGCATTAGGTATCGATTGCTGTGTAACTGACTACCCCAAAACTCAGTGGCTGAAAACCAGCACCCATTATTTGCTCATTGCACTCCATGTGGCCTAAGCTCAGCTGGGCAACGCACGCCTTGGCCACTCATGGCTGTAACTGGCTCACAGCTGGCCTGGGGATGGAGGGTATAAGATGGCCTCAATTCACACAACTGGTACCTTGGTGCCAGCTACCGTCTGGCCCTTCTCCATGGGCCTCTCATCACTCAGTAGTCTGGCCTGGACTTCCTCAAATGAGGGCAGGGACATTCCAAAAAGTGGTAAGGCTCTTTGTGGCTCAGGCCCTGGACCTCACACAACATCGCTTCGGGCACATTCTACCAGTCAATGAAAGCCACAAGGAGTTAAGAAATGGACTCTCCCTCTTAAAGGCCTGCAAATTATTGTGAGCATTTTTCCCCCAGGATGTTCACGCCTTTGTGTATTATGAAGTAACACACGTAGAGTGTTTCGTCAGAGGGTCAGTTCATGAACTTATATGGGGCACACACAAAAAGAACTTCTCTTGTCTCCATCCAGCTTTTGTCAAGATTATATGTCTTAACAAAGACTTTCCTCCCACTAGCCTACATCTAGGTTTTGGCAGCACCTGGAGCCAACCCAACATCTCTTTATGCTTCCACTCGCCAAGTATCCATTTGCTGACTTAATCATCCAAAAGAAGAGTATTTCAAAGTTGGCAATAGTTCCCACATCGTTTTTCTATCAGTAAACCTGGTTTGGAAAGATCACTTTACTGTGGGAAGTAGTCTAAATAAAAAAGGGAAATACCTGGTCAAATTCATTTATCATAATGTGAAGAGGCAGCTGATGGAAGATGTGTCTGGAGTATTTTCACTTGCCTCTCTAGTGAAAGGAACAAATGTAACCAATCACTTTGAAAAACAAAATCACCATACACTTATGTCTTTGAAATGAATGTTTCGATTTGGTTAAGGAGGGAGTTTCCTCCTTGAATTGATGCTAAACTTCCTCTGATCTATAATGTAGCTGTCCCACCTGTCCAGCCATACAAAGATATAAAACAGTAACACTGAGGAGATAAGGCAGAGATGGAATGGTAGTCTCCTCTAGTTGCATTGCTACACTTACACCTTCTTTTATGGTGTAAGAGGAGGAGGATCTCCTCCTCCATGTGTTGGGATGCACCACCACTAGCCACGCTGGTTATAGCCTGTGTACAGAAGGTTGCCCATCCTAATCTTGAGATCATTAGGACAGCAAACCTCTGGCCAAATTAATGTGACATAATTTTAAGAAGTCCCTGTTCTACTCAGCCAGTCTACCCTGGAGAAAGAGTTTACCCTCATTTCATCACAGTCATTAATTTAATGATCTTGCATTATAGCTCAATTGATGCAACACAGTCTCATTCAAGCATGAGCACATGTAACAGACTTCAAAAGCACAGGGGACATTCTTACTGAACCAAAGAGGAAACTGAGACCCTGAGAGGTTGTTACAGTCATGCACAACCAAAGATTGCTACACACACACAACCATTGAACTGGCCAGGCATATGTAACCCAGATGCAGTTAACAGCCCTGCCTTGGAAATCAACAGATGGGCTGCTGGTCCCTGAATGGATATGGAGTCGTAGCTGCTGGGAAATGTTGATAGTGCCTTTTCAATAGCATCATAAACTCAAGCCATTAAAATCCTTCCTGTTCCTGTGTTGAAGGAAAGAGGATGAAGTTTTGTACATGATCCAGACCAGTCGCAGTGCCACTCCTATTTGGGAAACATACACTTTAGGTGCTCTGTAGGCAGCCTTCTGCTACTGAGCCAAAAACTGACAAGTGGTACTGAAATGTCACTGCTGTTTTCAGCTACCCGGGTCAGCCACAGATTCCAAAGTGTTCCTCCAACACTGCAGCCTCTGCCACCACTATGGCGACCCGGAGGCCAGAGGAAGAGCAATCCTTTTAGTTCTGCAAGTGTAATTAAAATAAATTTGTGTATTACAAAGCATGGCCAATAGCTTTCCCTTTCCTTTCAGATTTTAGAGAAGTCACTGCTGTGGACATAACATCTGGAAGACAGGTCTGGTTAATGATCAATGTTCGAATTAATGAAGATAGAGTGTACTTTTTGTTTTTTTAGAGATAAGGTCTCACTCTGTTGTCTAGGCTGGAGAGCAGTGGTGCGATCACAACTCACTGCAACCAGTAATTCCCGGGCTCAAGCCGTCCTTCTGTGTAGGGAGGTCTGCAGGCACTCCCCACAATGCCCAGCTAACTTTATTTTTTGTTGAGATGGAGTCTCGCTATGTTTCCCAGACTTGTCTTGAACTCAAGCGATCCTCTCACCTCAGCTTCCCAAAGTGCTGAGATTACAGACATGAGCCACCATGCCCAGACTGGAACCAGAGCATACTTCTGTCCAGGTCAAAAGCTTGAATCTGGAGTAATGGCTTCAGGGAGAGGAGCTGGCTCTCTTTCATGATTTTCTACCTTTTGTTTCTGATTTTAAGACCATGTGCATGCATCCCATGTTACACACAGTCTTTCTACATGATGGTATGACTTAAAACTAGATTATGCAGCACAGACAAGGTGTTTCTTGATTTTGCCATTAAGCCAAAGGTCCTCTGAGTAACCAAAATAGCTATATTGTATTGACTGGTTATGTTGTCCCCATTCGCCTTTGAGTCACTAGTCCCAAGAAGCAGGGAGGCCAGAGGACTTGAGATAAAAGGATGAACTCTAGTATAGAACAGGCCAACACTGGCTAACTCTTAAGGACTCAAAAGGCAGATCTGTTGAATGTTCATGGGCTACTTGACTCTCTTCTCTCCCTATTACATGAGAGATTTTATGTGAGAAGGTGGTTGAGAAAGGGTCCCATAGTCCAGCAGGGGTTACCAGCCTCCTCCAGCCAGACAGGACAACCCCGTGGAGACAAAAGAAGGGGTAGGTTCCAGAGTGCAGGTCATGGCCCTTCTCCCCTTGCCTAGCCACTACCTGCAAATGTACTCAGAATGTAGTCAGACCGCAGGTCTCTGACAGAATGCTCCATTTTCTGGAGAGAATAAAGCAGCAGACCTGAAGTAAGCCAAGAACTGGTTTTGCCACTTAGTTGTCAGGGGACATGATTCCTTAGATTTCTCTCATTCTAACATTCATTGTATTCTTCCCCCAACAACTTGCTAGACAGGCATGTATGTGTCCTTCATGTTTCAACATGTAAATTGAAAATGTGACCCATTCCACATGAATAATGAGACATATGGTGGTAAATAATCTCAGAATTTGGAACACTTTTTTCTTGAAATTACATTTTAAAAACACTTTGACAAGGAGAAACACAGATTGCTCAGTGCTCAAATGACTAAAAGTTTAAAAGACCATATGGGTCCTTAGCTCTCTTGGGAGGGAAGGAGTTGAATTTGATGGCACATTTTAATAGATACATTATAGTCAAGGCTATGAAACTGCCCCAAGACCTACATCTTTGGCTTTTGCTGTCTCTTCCAGTTGTGTTTGTGAACAGGTGTCATGTTCCATCTCTGCTCCATAAGCCCAGGTCCAGTGTCATAATTCAGGAATTTGGTTGTGTTAGAGCCTTAGATTTCTATTTCAGGAAAATTAAGACAATGACTTGAAGAAAGCCATGCAGTTTCCTTAGAAAAAAATGGTTATGGAGATATTATACAGTGGAAGTCTTCAGTGCTGCTCAGAACGTGCAGAAGTTTAAAATAAATGCTGCCATATCACATAAGAATGCCAACAACCCTGGGGTCTTTACATTGCATAAAAGAGGGTCAATGTTACAGTCACAGTTGAAACATCCTGAAGAAACAGACCGATTCCATTTCATAAATCTAAGAGGTTTAAAATAAATGCTGCCATACCACATAAGAATGCCAACAGCCCTGGGGTCTTTATATTGCATAAAAGAAGGTCAATGTTACAGTCACAGTTGAAACATCCTGAAGAAACAGACCAATTCTGTTTGTTATAAATGAAGTCTCACCTTGGCACTAAACCCACAGCTCAGGAGATTGGGGGTGTCACAGAAAGTGCCGGAGGGAAGCTGTGCTATATGTAGCTTTGATAACAAAGCACACTTTACAGATCTCAGAGCTTTCAGATTCTCATCTTTTTCAGGATTCGTGCAGAAGAGGGTATCTAGGTCTCAGCTCTGCAAGCTCCCATGTCAGCCTTAACGGGGCCCAGGACCTCTGTTCCTCCTTCCTGATATCCAGCCTCCAGCTTGGTTCCTGCCGTGCATGACACCTTGGCTGACCTACCTGCTGTGGCATTGTCATGGGCTGCTTTGGGAAATGCATGAAATACAGACAAGGTGTCTTGTCCTCAATGAGCCCCTGAGATCTCAGCAGAGCCAAATTGGAGTTGTAGACAAATCCTGGGGTTCTCAGGGCCCAGCTGTGTTTTGTCTTCCAGGAGTGATTAAAGTGGAGGCCATGATTGAGTACAGAGTGCGAGGAGGACTCCAATCAGCAGGACAGGGGAAAGTGACCTGCAGTAACATATGCCTCCTCAGCATTCTTTCCTGCAGATGACTAATGAACGCTCTGGGAGTGACCTTAATCAGATGTGCTGTAATTACTTATTGAATGTGATCCAGCTGCAGAAGACAAAGGGTTATGCAATATTAAAGGCAGCTGGAAGCAGAGTCCCCGCAGCAGGGCACAAGTAGAAGGGCAGGCAATGACCTGTGTGACCGAATTTAATTAAAAGGGTGCTTTTCTGCTCAGAGAACCAGGTATTATTAGTAGGATAAAATCAGTTCTGAAATTAACAATTATTTGGAAAAAAAATCAATACATTGTCATAGTAACTCTTCCAACCCACACTGAGGTTTTTTGTTCCCACTGAAGTGGAAATGTCCAAGGAAAGAGGTATTCCGTACAAGTCAATTTTATGAATAGTTTAAGGTTAAAATAGACAAAGCTGTTTGCATTGTTTATGGGAATATTTATACATTTTCAAACTCTGCTGCATTTGTGCTGCATCAGCCCAGCTAAGCTGGAATTGTATTTCTCAGAATTCCCAGCCCTGCCATGTTTCACATTAGTGCTGGCCACCAGGGGTATCTTGTGTGTGATTTGGAAGATGATATACAGCAGCAACCTGGTTTGCACCCTCTCAAGGTCAGTGTAGGGCACCAGGTGCAGCTCACAGGCCAGCAGCTGGGCCCCAATCCCTCTAACTCCCACTGAGCTCAACTTCTCTGCATCCCAGGCCAGCATGTGAAGCTCCCAGCAGAGGACTCCAGCTTCCCATGCATGTCACAGGCAATGTGGAAGTTAGAGGCCTAGAGCCTCTGGGAGACTGGCATGGATGCTAGCTTGTCCTCCAGATTTGAGCTCATCCTTGATTTTCCCCACTGTGAGTTCATCTTTCTTCTCCAAATACCAGCCCTGCTGATTTGAGGGTCGGCACCCACACAACTGCATGAGCATCCCTCATCACTCAGTTTCTGCTTGTCTGATTCCCTAACTGATACACATACTGAGGCAGGGAACTTCAGGCCGATTCTCACTGACTTCCTAGAACTGAGTCAAAAGGAAAACCCCACCTCTCCACACCCAAGTAACAGAAGGATCAGGGGCTACTCCCTTTGCAATCCCCCCATTTCCACTGTGTTGCAGATGAGAAATACGAAGTACCTCTGATTGGTCCCCTCCTGCAACCAGTCAGACGTTTGCATAGGGTGTAGTAACTTTTTAACTTCACTTCAGCCTCTGTTTGATCATAGGCCACTACTTCATTTATATGGGGTATAACCAAGTAACCAATGGGGAACTTCTAGGGGGGATTTAAACCCCAGAAAAGTCTGTAACCAGTGCTCAAGCCACTTGCTTGAGCCTGCTCCCACTCTGTGGAGTGTACTTTCTTTTCAATAAATCTATGCTTTCGCTGCTTCGTTCTTTCATTGCTTTGTGCGTTTTGTCCAATTCTTTGTTCAAAACACCAAGAACCTGGACCACTCTTAGTCAAGACCCTCCGCTGGTAACAATACCTTTATTAAACTACGCATGGATATAAAGTTTTGTTTTTGATGACCATGTCACTATCATAACCACTCCTGCATTTCAAAGACATAACATGGTAAGTGTGGGGAAGAGAAACCCCTAAAACTCCCCGGAGGTGGAGCCGAAGACTGCTTTCTATTTGGTGACTCACGTGTATCTTATGTCTCCTTTCTAAGGGATTGTCAAGGCCCCTTTCTTAACATCATTCGCAATTCGCTAGCTGAAGTAAAGCAAGATCACTTGGCTTATGGAATCAGGGAACATAATTTTACACAGAAACTGAAGTCCACTTTGAAATAAAGCATGAACACAGTTTCTCTCAATTCAGCAGTCTTCTAGTTAGTTGAGGTTGTTGAAAGTGTGACTTCAGAAGAACAGGACTCCTTGCACAATGCTATTCAGCTGCACAAAATGGTGAAAGTCAAAGAATGCAGAGACTAGATTATGAGAGCTTTCAGATTCACTCATGAATGCTTAAATCTGTAAAGTACCATAAGGTACATGGATGTACTTTGGTCAAGGAATAGGCTGAGGCAGATGTCCAGCCAGAGTGACTCAGTGAGTTTAGAGCACATGTGTATAACTCCACTTGTTATCACAGCCATGTAGCCACAACATGGGAGGACCATCTCTTGGTTCTACACCACTATTGCCTGTAAAAGGTATAACTGCCCTGCTGATGCTGTACAGGGGCTCTTGGGGCTTGGCTTGGCTCAATATGGTTTGACATGGCGGGCATGCTGGTGCCCAGAGAACGAGAGAGCCAAAGCTGTCCATCTTGCAAATGGAGAGGAAGGAGCCAGGATACAGCTTAGCTTGCTTGTGCCCAGAGAAAGAGTTAAGCTGCTGACCCTGAAGGCAAGGAAGAGCTGACTGCACAGCTGTGTATGGGGGTGGCCAGCTCCAGCAGCCAAGACAGGGTGGACAGTGGGAGAGTAAACTGGTGATGAGAAAGCTAGTTTGAGAAAGCTGTTGAAGAGAGCTACTGCTGAATAAAATCACGTTTCACCTGCCTACGGCCCCCTAAGTGCTCTTTCTGTTCATCCACTCACTCCCCTCGGACTTCAGCATGGGCTGGACCTGGACCCCGGGATCTGACAATTGGTGATGAGGATGGGATGAGGTGAGTGGGTCTTCAGTCCCTGAGGGCTCCTAGGTTAGCTGTGTGGCTGCAGCATGGGCTATGGTACTCAGTGGCAGTGGTGCTGCTTGGATGAGCCCCAGTGGAAATATGGGAGGCAGTAGATGGGGTCTCCTGCAAGTGTGGAGATGGCGCTGAAGCATCTGGAAGTGCACAGCAACAAGCTGCGTTTACTGGCTGAGTTGGATGGGTGTTTCTGACTGCACTGTGGGAAGTGCATGTCCAGTCCCTGCAGGACGCAGCACAGGGAAGAAGAAAAACCTCTGTTGCAGGCTTACCCAGTGATCTGTCAGAAAATAGAGCATAAGCAGCTCTTGGGCCCCACAGGTGGACCCAGAGGCCCCCTACTGTGGTGGAGCATACTTCCTGTGGTGCCCGTGCCCCGCCAAGTTGTGGGAGTTAAGCAAGTAATGTCGGCAGTCATGTACAGAGTTAGTGCAAGTCATTCGGAAGAAGGACATTGCTGCGCAACCCAGTCCCATCCAAGCATTCCGGTTCAAAGAATACCTGTTACAGCTGGCGGAAGCATAAAGCCTCTTGTGTTTAATAACAGAACTGGCCAAGGTCCTTGGCTTGGGGGACTCCAAATAACCAAAGACCACGTGTGGACTTGGGAATCTACTGGTCCCTGAACCTAGATAAGTTTCTGGGCAGAGCTGCATTTATTAACAGCTATGAAGGCCAGTCAGTGGAAGTGAAACCTGTGTCTCTGCGTCTTGGCATCAGCCATTTAGTTCTCTGCCTATGCACTGTGCATGTCTCTCCCATGCCTGAAGATATTCTGGGGGTGGATGTTTCACACGGCTTGGCAGCTGTACTCTCTGTCATGGACTTGATGGACCGCTGGACAATGCAACCGGGACAGTCCACCAAGAGCCAGGAACGGTTTGCCTTCATGGGAGGGTGACAATGGACTTTCACAGTGTTGCTGCAGGGCTATATGCATAGCCCTACCATATGTCATGGTCTTACTGATATTATGCTAACCTCTGATTCTCTTGCAGGTTTAGAAGCAGCAGTGCCCCTCTTGCCTGGGAGTTGGGATGACAAGGCTGGAACAGCCTTTCTGGTAGCCAGACTATATAGCAGGCACAAGCCCTACAGGTAGTTAGCCAGGGATGCCCATTTGAAGTGGATGTGCATGTAACCACAGATAGTTTTGGCTAGGGCCTATTGCAGTGCATGGGTATGCCCATAGGCTTTTGGTCCCACCTGTGGAAGGGAGCTGAACTCCAGTATTCCTTAATAAAAAAGCAGTTAGCATCATTCTCAGCAAACTAACACGGGAACAGGAAACTAAACACCGCATGTTCTCACTCATAAGTGGGAGTTGAACAATAAGAACACACGGACACAGGAAGGGGAACATCACACACCGGGGCCTGTCAGTGGGTGGGAGACAAGGGGAGGGAGAGCATTAGGACAAATACCTAATGCATGCGGGGCTTAAAACCTAGATGATGGGTTGAGGGGTGCAGCAAACCACCATGGCACATGTATACCTATGTAACAAACCTGCACGTTCTGCACACGTATCCCATAACTTAAAAAGAAAAAAAGACCTACATGGGATTAAACAAAACAAAAACAAAAGCAGGGTGTGTTCATGAGTAACCACTCCCTGGACTGGAAAAGCAGTTAGTAACTGCATATGCTGCCCTTCTGGCTCATAAGAGTGTGGCAGGGCGGGTTACAGTTGTCACGTGGACAACTTACCCAATAGCAGGATGGGTGTGTTGATGGATAACGACTCCCCGGACAGGGACGGCACAGACATCCACTTCAGTGAAGTGGGGCACCTACTTAGAGCAGTGAAGCATACTAAAGTACAAGTCCCTTAGCAGCAGAGTTACAAAAAGTCTTGAGACCTGTAGTCCTAATGCAAGATAAGGCCATGGGGCCTAAGGCACTCCTAGACCCTGAGCCTTCACTGATAGGAAGAGCGTCCCCCCATTCCAAATGGGACATGGTGCACAGATGGGCCTGCTGGTGTGGTCCAGCCTAGTACTGACACCATATGGTTTAAAACCAAGTGGAAACAGAGTACTGAATGAGCTAAGCTCAGGGCAGTGTAAATGATAATCACCAAAAGGGTAACTCCTATGGTAATCTGCGCCAATAGCTGGGCAGTTTATCAAAGCTCATGTATGTAATGGGCCTGTGTACCCAAAAGCTTAGTTATGTATCAGGCCTGCATGCCCAAAGCTTATGTGTCAGGTTTATATGTCAAGCCTATGTGTATGTATTGGGCCTGCATGCCCAAAATTACGTCAGGCCTGTGTGCAAAACCTGTATATCAAACCTGTGTGTCCAAACCCTATGTCTCCCTCAGCCTAGGGGGTGGAGTGTAAGTTACATGGACGTGCTTTGGTCAAGGAATAGACCGAGGCAGACATCCGGCCACAGTGACTCAGTGAGTTTAGAGTGCAGGCGTGTAACTCCACTTGTTATCACAGCCATGTAGCCATAACATGGGAAGGCCATCCCTTAGCCCTATGCCACTATTGTCTGTAAAAGGTATAACTGCCCTGCTGACACTGTACAGGTGCTCTTGGGCTCTTGGGGCTTGGCTTGGCTCAGCTAAACATGGTTTGGCATGGCGGGCATGCTAGCGCCCAGAGTAAGAGAGTGGAATGGAAGGTACATCTGCAAGACTGACAGGAGGGAGCAAGGACACAGCTTGGCTTGCTCATGCCCAGAGAAAGAGTTAAGCTGCTGACCCTGAAGGCAAGGGAGAGCCGGCTGTGCAGCTGTGTGTGAGGGCGGCCAGCTCAAGCAGCCGAGACAGGGTGGATGGTGTGAGAGTAAGCTCCTGCTGAGAAAGCTACTTTGAGAAAGCTGTTGAAGAGAGCTGCTGCTGGATAATATCATGTTTTACCTGCCTATTGCCCCCTGAGGTGTTCTTTCTGCTCACCCACCCTCTCCCCTCAGACTTCAGCAGGAGCTGGATCTGAATCCCCAGATCTAACAAGTACGTAGGCAGAGAAGATAGGTCTAGGTTTAAGCCAAGGTCATGATTTGTAAACTTGAGTTATTTATTGACTGCTTTAAATAATACTTACACATAAAGATAAGTTAAAACAGTGAAATTCTATCAAAAATCCATTACCTCCCTTAGTCCTTTTAGTATGGTCTTTCATGCATGTGTGTATATACATACATGCAAACACACAAGCTGACTGGCTAGGCATGAACACCTGACCCACAGAAAAACCAATCCATTGGTAAACCAGGAACCAATCAGAACCTATCTTTTTAGATTATTAACTAAGAAATTTAGCAATGTGAATCAGAATTAAAGAGGAGGGTAATCCTCTCCCACCACAGACAAACTGGTACACTTCAGAGACTAGAAAATCAACCAGCTGCACAGAGAGAGGCAGAGACAACAGACCTTGTGGCTCCAGAGAGGTGGAGAAATGACATAATGTGGGCCCACATGGGAACTGATTTCCTACACTCCATCTCCATGTCAGTCCCCTGATCTTTTCAATAATAAACCTGCTTTCTACCCGAGTTACTTTGAGGGGATGTGCACACGCGTACGTTCTGGCCGGAATCCAGGTGTTTTTCCCATCCACACAGTACACTTTTGTTACCTGTTACTCCCTGGCCCATCCTAGTTCTGGCTGGGGTCAAGACTACCTCATGAACTACTGGCACACCCCCTCATCTGGGGTCACTGAAAATTCCCTGAGCACTCAGCTGTCCCTAATTCAGTGGCCTTCATGCAGGGGGTGTGGAAAGCCTCCCTCACATGTTGTGGCCACATGTGTCTCTATGTCCTCTGTGCCATCACTGAGCCTGTGGCCAGGCCGCCTTAGAGGTTTCGATCTCGTTTGTTTCAGTTCTCTTGTTTGTTTCCCAGTTTGAGTGGTGGTGTTCAGGG
Source organism: Homo sapiens (assembly GCF_000001405.40). NCBI lineage: Eukaryota > Metazoa > Chordata > Mammalia > Primates > Hominidae > Homo > Homo sapiens. Next base: position 59,562,950 of record NC_000018.10, read on the forward strand.
AATGGACTCTTCCATATAAGTCACGGATTGCTTAAGCCCAAAACAGAGACAAGACTGTTGGCATGTTTATGAGTTTATGTATTTTTGTTCTCTGATGAAATCTGTATCCACGATTAGACTAGGACGACAGAAGAGAGCAATGCAACCCTTACAACCCCACCAGGTGGGTGAGCTGCCCAGAACATCAAATGGCAACTGCAGAGGTAAAGGTACAGGTCCAGGCATGGACTGAGCGAGAGACACAAGATGGAATGTTGTCTTGTTTCCAATATAAAACCCCAACTCTGCTTGTTAGAATACATGTGGATGGGGGTTGGGGGGAAGAATAGAACAAATCTGCTAAAAATAAGCACAATTAGTTTTTCTTGATTTTTTAAAATACTATTTGTTTGCTACTTGTGCATTCATTTGGCCATCTGGCCAACATTTGGAAGCAGACTATCAGTAGCAAGCATCCAGGGTATTTACGAAATTATAGAAAAATTGAAGTAAAAATTCAGCCATATTTTTTTCTGTGAATCAGGAAGATAACATCACTATTTGATTCTGGCTGTGGGCCTACTCAGACAGGCTCAAAGGGCACCAGAGGCTGAGAAGCAGTAGACCCTACAGGGCAAGGCCCCTGCTGGTATAAGTGGATCAGCTTCAGTGGACGCCTGGAAGCTCAGCACCAGGGCTATGATTCCAGTCACCAAGTCTTTGTTGAATGCCTACTAGCAACACAGAATTCTCATGCCACTGAGGTCATAAAAGATGATCAGAAGCCAGTTCTTCCCAACAAAGGAACTTAGGATTTACAAGTCAGTAAAACATGTGCAACATTTCCAGAAATGTACCAGAGTTGTTCGTGATCATAACCCCAAATCATTGGTACCTCGATGTTTAGAGGGGAAACAGCATTGGCTGGGCAAGCTGGGGCAGGGAACGTGATGAACAGTGGGCTGGAATAAGTTAACTGGAGGAGGGGAGGCGTCTCAGGAAGGGAGAATAGCATGAACAGCAGCATAGACGTGAGAATAACCATCTGGAGTGATGAACCTATGCTGAGTAGAAAGTTCCAGAAGGCTGCATAAGGGAGGTGTGTGAACAGCAGAAGCAGGACAAACCTGAGATGGTGAGACATTCTTCCCAGGGCAATCTGACTCTAGGAGCCACATAAAGACAATCTTTATAACTATCAGCAGCTTAAAGCCTGATTTCCTCTTAACTCTAAAACTTTCCTTTCGAAAGTGTTTCATTTATATTTACAAGTTTAATACAAAGTTACACAAAATTCATATTTTATAGAAATGCATAAAGAATGAAGGGTAAATTCCTCTTTAATCCTATCTAGACAATCGTCATTTGACATAATTCTCTCAACTTTATACTTCCTATGCACTAATTATATAAATGAGATCACAAAATGAGATACTATATATATACACACACACATATAAACACTGTGTTTTTACTTTGTATATTGAATATTTTCCATTGTCAGTACATAGAGCTGCATATTATTTCATCATATGACTAGATCATGGTCATTAAACCATTTCTATACTAGTATATTTAATGAGAAAACTAGAAACAACCTAAATATATGACAATGTCTTCAGTACTTTCTTTGTACCCTTCAGAAGGTATCTATTACTAACTGGCTTGTATTTCACTGATCTTACCAACTATTTTATGAAGTCTTTGGGATTCGTGTGAAACATCTATGTCTTTCATAGCATCTGGCACAGTCTTCCGGACAGAGGGTGTGTTCAAATACTGCAGCTGGAATGAAGACGATGAACACTGAGGCCATATGAGGTTGGCTGGGGAAAGGAGAAACTGAAGACCATTGAGAAAGGCTGATCATTTGCTAATGCAGGGTCAAAGTGATGACAGCCTGGCCTTGGTCCATGGTGGTAGAAGTAGAACATAAAGAATAGATCTAGGAGGGATTTAAAGGCCATCAACAGGGGGACTGCAAAGTATATGTTCAAGCATCAGTCACATGAATCTCAGCTAAAACCCATAAACATGATGGCTTGGAAAATCCAGCGTGATCACTGCAACAGAACTGAGTAGTCAGCCTTGTTCCCTTGCTCATGATGGGCTTGGCTAACACAAGCCCCTGAGGGAGAAAGGTGAGCACAGGGGAGAACAGACAGTGAGGTAGAGGCAAGGGCCACCCTTCAGGGGAGCACGAGGAGTCCACTCTGGAGTCTGTCATGCTTGTGGTCTTCTTGGTTAACTCTGAGTGTCAAAAATGTAGGTAGGTAGAGGAGGGAGGGAGGAAGGGGAGTAGAAAAGAGAATGACCAGGGCTGGGGTTTAGTCAGATGAAGGCTGTCAGAGTTCTAGGAAGTGTTTTGTTCAGAACAGGGCTCCAACCAATGGCACAGGACTGGGGATCAAGGTCTGGCCCTCAATGAAGAGCATCAGAGAAGGGCTGCAAAGGGCTGTGTTGGGTCCACAGCAAGAAAGATGTGGTACGAGGTAGACAAAGGGCTGTCACTCAGGCTGGGTAACCAGGGGCGAGGGGCAGGCTGGGCCACAATGTCCATAACTCACTCTCTACAGCCCAGCCCCACACCTGGCCCCACTGAGGCCTACTGCACATAGTGCCTGACCTTAGAATTAGGACCAGCTTTGTAATTTGCCTGGCCCAGTGCAAGATGAACCTATGGGACACCTCATTTAAAAAATTAAGAATTTTCAAGATGGCGACAGCAAAGCATTAAACTAAGCATAGGGCCCTTTTAAGTAAGCATCAGGCCCTGTGCAAAAACCCAGACCCTGTAGCTAAGAGGGGAAGACGGGTTGTCACTAGATTTTTTTTTTTTCTTTTTTTAAGAACAGTACAGATAAACAGCCTGTTCTCTTCTGAAACACACTGCTGGGTTTTCAAGCTTTTTTCTCCCCAAAGAAAATCGAATGCAAAACTCAACCTAATGCATAAAATAGTCTCAGGTGCATCTTCTCAGGCTGTTACGTCAGGGCTCCTGAACTCCCCCATCCCCCAAATGCATTGCCAAAGACCCCGAGTCACTACCTCTGACCTTGGAGACCCAAAAGGCAGTGTTAAAGCTCACTGCAGTAGGCTCTATTATCTTGCATAAGAGAACAGTGAATAAGAAAAAGCCATATCTGGTAACTGAGAGTGAAATACCCAGGACACACACTGCAACAGCAACCGTGGCTACCAGGGTGCCCCGCAGGCAGCAGGTCAGGAAATCAATCAGATGCATGGTTTCCACATCATTCTACCACAGTATCATTTTCTTTCCACCCACAGGGTGACACACAATGTCTCTTCCAGGGCCATTCATAACATAACCATTTTCATTATTTAAATAAAGTCCCTGGGTCAGTCACTTGTCTCTTGTGACCATCTTTGAGAGAAAATTTCCAGCAAGGAAACAATATGGAGCAGGCTTGCTTAATAGGCTCATATGCATAATCTACCACTCACCCTAATTAAAACTACCTTTAGAAAAGCTATAAAATGGAAGCAAAAATAAAAAAAAAATTAAAAGTCAACCTAAGATGATGGAAGTACCATGACATGAAACAACTGTAACTTTAAATCGCCAGATTTATCCTTAATACATGGTTTTCAGGCATTTGTTTGGAAAAGGCACTGATAAAGTAGGAAAGAAGTACTCAACTGTCTTGAGAAAGGAACTGAGCTGTTCTGTTCTGGTGTAGATTGCCAAAGATCATGTTTGCAAATGCTGCTAATCTTATCTGAACATATTAATAAAGTCCCTAAATCCTCCTATTAAGAAATACTACCACTGACAGTGCAGCTGGCTAACATTTGCTTCTTAAATGCTATCACCACTCTCTTTTTTTGTCCAACCCCCACCCGCTGCTGCCCCAACCCCCAAGAAAAAAAATGATGGCTGCTTCCTGGAATGTTTAGCTACCAAAAAAATCTCTAAAGCCTCAGAAGACATTGTGAGAGAACGATGATGAAAGTCGGGGTGAAATGAACAATTAAGATAAACTATGCAGAATTCTTTTTAAAGAACGAGCCTCATAAAGCTACCATGTTAGGACCACAAATCATTCTGCAGATTATTTCCCCTCTATCTGTAAGCAAAGAGGTGAGAGGATTAGGTCATTTCTAAGGTCTCCTCTCATCATGATGTCCTGGATTTATTGAAAGAGGTTTTAAACGCATTTTTTCTTTTCTTTTCTTTTTTTTTGAAATGGAGATTAGCTCTGGTTGCCAAGGCTGGAGTGCAGTGGTGTGATCTCGGCTCACTGTAACCTCTGCTTCCCAGGTTCAAGCGATTCTCCTGCTTCAGCCTCCCAAGTAGCTGGGAGGCTACCATACCCAGCTACCCTACCCACCACCATACCCAGCTAATTTTTTGTATTTTTAGTAGAGATGGGGTTTCGCCATGTTGGCCAGGCTGGTCTCAAACTCCTGACCTCAGGTGATCCATCCGCCTTGGCCTCCCAAAGTGTTGGGATTACAGGCGTGAGCCACTGCGCCTGGCTGCATTTTCTTTTATTTACTCTATTTCATTAGACATTTCTTGCTTGTGTGCCTAAGTTAGCTAATGGGGAAATCCAGCAGACAGCGATGGGAAGCAAATGATTGCAGTCATGCTTTTTCCTTGACTCCATCTCAAGACCCATCCCACGCTGCAACCCAAGTGGATCGGGTTTTAATGTAGCAATTCTATCAGTGACCCATGCTCTGCTGGTCACTGACACCCCTTCTGTGTGTCATTTTCCAGGGCTGATGATATCCTACGTTCTGCCTAAAATTGTCTGAAACTCTATTCATGACTTGCCAACTACGTGACTTTGCTCACTACCACCACCACACTGTTCTGTTACTGACAGGGAAAAAGATGATCGTACTTAAAAGTCATTGCCAACAGTGTGCAGATTTAAAGCAGGCCCAACAACTCCTTCCAGGTTTTATCAGCAGACACATATCACATACAGAAGCATCCATCCCTTTCCTAATGCTATTTTTAAATTGTTGTATTTTAAAATTTTCTTCATTTGTTTTTGAACTTTCTTCTTGCTCATAGATTTTTAGAAATCGCTGTGGTAGCTATTCTTTTTCTATTTTTTTAAGTCCGAATTCATATAGAGAGAACCACGGTTAGGAGAATCCTTTTCAGGGCAAGAGTGGGTTTCTGCAGGGGTTCTTCTGGCACTTTCCAAACCTGAATGTCTCCAAGTCCTGATATCTCAAATTATCTGGCAGAAATAAGAGGCCTATTTTTTTTTTTTTGGCAGAATGTGAGGTTCTGCCCTGTTGTAACAATGCTGTCTTCTCACAAACTACTCATGTGCCCTATAAGAAGATAACCCACAATCCCTGATTCTGCTTTATTCAATGACTAGCTACTGCACAGACCGTGTAAATGGACAGGACAGCCAGAGAGGTGAGTGGGAAGTTTAGTACAGATGTGACTGAAAACACTTGGTATTACTTCTCCCCAAGACTTCTCGAAAGGAGCTAGCACAGAGTATTGGTGAACAGACTTCTGAGCACCTTTTTCTATGTGGCCTCCAAGAAGAAACCAATGGACTATTTACTTTTCTACTTAGCAAGGTTTCAAGAGACTCTCTAATAACATAAGTCTTCTGATTACTCCCTTTCTTGATCATGAGAACTAGGGAGAAGATGGCTAAACTGAAGCAACTTGGAGCTAGAAGATAGGCTGCATCTGCTCAGTTCACCTGCGCAGACCAAAAACAGTGCACGCTGTAGGCGGCCCAGTCCAGCTGAATTTCATCAGATGGGCATGTGTTTCCTTCCCCAACTGCTGGCCTCAGCTTCTCAGAAGGTAATGTATTGAGCCAAGGTGAGCCCTGCAGGTGATCACCTGGACACCTCTGCCCATCTGTGAGAGTGAACAGCATGCTTACTACTGTGGTAGGCTGCAGTGCCACAGCAAGCTGATTCACACGTAAAGGACATGGGCAGGCCATGAGTTCTCTCTATCCAGGGACATCTTGCCAACTAAACCTCCCACCTGCCACCTCCACCTTAGTCCTGCCTGAGTGTGCTCTCACCCACTACCTTCACGGATGTCTCTGCGTCTCTGTTCACTGGCTGTTTCCACTCTCAAACCTACTTCCTTTTCCTCTCTGCAGAGGGGTGCATCTCGGGTTATCTCCAAACGATGTTCGATTCCACTCTCTCCTTTTATTCAAACAATTCTCCTCACATGAGTGGCTACCCAGCAAGTCTGGCTCTCCCTCCAGCAACCCAATCTAGAAAGCTATAGCATCTGTCTCATAAGGGCTGGGTTGGCTGTGGTTCATTAAGAAGGTATTAAGCACTTTATTGTACCAGCTTGCCAGAAACCGAAGACTCCTTCTAAATCTGTTGCTTCACCTGATGCCGATTTTACTAGCAGTCTGTCCTAAAAATGGTATATCTGGTAATAAAAACAGATATTTTGAGCACCTATTAGATTTCAGATGCCATGAACTATTCACTAGTTGATTTATCTTTTGCATCTATTCATCAATTCCTTTATTTTTTGCACTAGCACTGCAAGCCAGATACAAACTCCCAATTTACAGATAAGAAAACAGAATGTCAAAGAGGAAGTAGCTGAAATAACACAGCTAGTAAATTAGAGTCAAAATGAGGCACAAAGCCCAAATTCTTTTTTACACAATGTTGAACACAGATGTTATTTTTAGCAATTCATCTCCCCCCGCCCTTTTAAAAAAAAAAAAAGAGACAGGGTCTTGCTCTGTGGCTCAGGATAGAGTACAGCAGCACAATCAATCATAGCCTACTGCAGCTTCAAACTCCCAGGCTCAAGCCATCCTCCCACCTCAGTCTCCTAAGTAGCTGAGATTACAGGTGCTCAACACCATGCCTAGCTAATTTTGTTTTTGTAGAGATGGAGTCTTGCTCTGTTACCCAGGCTGGTCTTAAACTCCTGGCCTCAAGTGATCCTCCTGTCTGGGCCTCCCAAAACACTGGGATTAGAGGAGTGAACCACTGCACCCGGCCTCAGCTCCCTTTTCTTAGGCAAGTATCACTACCCAGATAATGCCAGATTCTACAACTTCTTTCTCTCATTCTTAAACAGAATATCAAAGGCATTTTCTACTTTTGAAGATCTGTTACTCTTCATTTGCCTGTCATTTGACAAGCTCTTCCTGAACACACGCTCCACATTGTTTTAGATGTGGTGAGAAATAGCAAAGGGTAAAGAATATTCATTTCCTTTAGGAGCTTAGGATCTAGCCTGGGAGAGGGAGTTTCTGCTAGATCACTCTGATATGAATAATTAAGTAGGAAGCTGCACACCACTGACCAATGCTGTCATCAAGCACAACCCACAAGGGAGAGGAACAATAAGGTGGTGCTGGGGAACATGAACCCACACAAAAGAGACACAAAACGTTTAGTGAGGTCAAGCAGGGCCACCCTCAGACCATCTGCTCTGTGGGGAGGGGCTTTGAAAGCCAGGCCTCAAAGCCAGTACTTAAGATAGTCAGCCACCAGTTTTTGATGAGGGGCATCAATCATGTCTAAGGAGTGCCTGTCTCTGGTCTGCTGGCTGTAACACTTCTGGATTCTGCGAGACTTTGCATACATTCTCTTGGATTTGACGTAAGCTCCAGACAGCAGTGAGCAAGACTTGTTACCAGGATCCCTGAGATCACAGTGAGGGGAAGGAGAGTATTCTGCGACACTGCCAGGGCAGTGACCTCTCAAGAAAATGAAAGGGAAGTCATCCTTGGAGATGTGCTGGCGGGGGTGGGGCAGGACCTCCCAAGGGCCTCAGGCAGCTCATTAACGTGATATTAAATTGCTCTGTGTGTGAGGTTTTCAGAAAGGACAAAGGACAGAACTGCTGCTGAGCCAAGGAATCAGAGCAGAATCCCAGCACACTGGCTCCAGGAGAGCCGGACGTCCCCTAGGCTGCCCACCAACCAGGATGAAAATCGAGACATCAGAGCCTCTGTCATTTATATGGTCCCCTAGCAGTGCCCTGGGCCTGAATCCTACAAAGCTGGTCCTTCAGCTGGGAGCCATATTGCTTCAATTTCATGCTCCATCACAAGAGTAAGTCGACTGCTGAGTTGTAACGTATGAACTTCAGCCAGAAATTCACCCTCCCACTTCTGAGTATAATAGCAGTCAGTCCCTAGGAGTGAAATGTGCTCCTTTTTTGGGTCAACAGTAGAGCAAGCCAGAATTAACGCAGCCCTTTTAGAAGTCATCTTGCTAATGACATCAGGAAAGGTTGAAGCATTTGGCAAGTAATCGTATATTATTGCTTTACATTATTATGTAACTTTTCCTTATGTGTTTCTTCTTGCTTTTAAAAAAATTAGATCTTAAGGTCTTCGATAATAGTGATTTTAAAAAATCTATCCTTGAGTTCATGTCCTTTGTAGGGACATGGATGAAGCTGGAAACCATCATTCTCAGCACACTATCGCAAGGACAGAAAACCAAACACCGCATGTTCTCACTCATAGGTGGGAATTGAACAATGAGAACACTTGGACACAGGGTGGGGAACATCACACACCGGGGACTTTTGTGGAATGGGGGGAGGGGGGAGGGAGAGCATTAGGAGATATATCTAATGTAAATGATGAATAATGGGTGCAGCACACCACATGGCACATATATACATATGTAACAAACCTGCACGTTGTGCGCATGTACCCTAGAACTTAAAGTATCATTAAAAAACAAAATCTATCCTTATAGTAGTCCCATTAAGTACTAAAATGAATAAATGAATAAACATATGGATGAAATGGAAAATCTGTACATATATGGAGGGCTTATAATGAGGTTGATTTAATCTCTTAATATGTTTTATCTCATACGTACAGAAGAGTCATTCTCTCAAAGTATGATCCTTACTTTGGAATTAGAAATGCAAGTTCTCAGGCCTCACCCAAGACCTACTGAATCTGCAACTCTAGGGGAGGGGCTCATCAATCTGGATTTTAACGAGAGCTGGTGGCAAATGTTGTTTAGACACAGTTCACCCTTTAGACTACTGGAAATTCTAGTCTAGTCTTTAATCTCTGGAGAAATCCAAGAACAGCCTACATCCTTTTCAGAATGATCAAAGATTGACACCAAAGTGGGTTTTTATTGTGGTTGTTTTGGCAGACATGGTATCTGGAGAAGAAAACAAAAAATGAAAAGAATTTTTTTACTTGACATTTGCTGGCATTTTCATAGTTACTGAGCATGAAAAGAAATAAACCATGAAGCCCATGACAGTGAGTGAACACACGTTTTTTCAAAATGTCTTGCACTATCAAATCAATCCCTCAATCAGCTTGCTTTTGAGTTTAATCGAGCCAAGGCAGTATTATTGTAGCTGTCACAAATTTTATGGGTTTTTTTCCCCCTTGCCCTGTGAAGCTGGAACCAATTGTTGTTATAAAGAGACTAAATAAAAAAGGTCCTGGATTTCCTGTTATTACAGATCGATTTTTTGAGATTCTAGAATATCATATGGGTTTTTTATAACATAATTAAAACCATGTGAAATGGCACAACATAGACTTTACCAGAGATTGATATGATCATGCTTCCAAATGAAATACTTCAAGAAAATCACTAGATAATAGTTTTCCTTAATATCCTCTATCACAGTTTTATATCACATTGTTCAAAAAATCTGCTTTATGAGAAATGTCAAAATATATAAATCAGTCAGGATAATTTCTATTGGTTGGTTAGCCTTATTCCCTTTCAAAGTTTAGCAAATAGAGATATGTTTGCTTAATAGGGAGGCAGGGACAGTCTTCAGAGGGCAGGCAGCTGAAACTGAATCCCAGAACCATTTTCACAAGAATAAACTATGACTTCTCAGAACATTTGTGCTTCATTGAGGACGCAATGTCTTGAAGACATTAAAGAGTATACGTGTGTGCCCCTAAGATGGTTTTAGTTTATGTGTCAATCCGGTTAGACCAAGGTGTCCAGTTGCTTGGACAAACACTAGTCTAGGTGTTGCTGTAAAGATATTTTAAGATGTGATAAACATCCAGTATCAGTAGACTTTGAGTAAAGTATACTGCCTTTAATACTGTGCATAAGGCTGGGCACAGTGGCTCACACCTGTAATCCCTGCACTTTGGGATATCAAGGAGGGTGGATCACTTGAGGCCAGGAGTTCCAGGACCAGGCAGGCCAGCATGGTAAAACCCTGTCTCTACTAAAAATACAAAAATAAGCCAGGTAAGGTGGTGCGCACCTGTAATCCTAGCTACTCGGGAGGCTGAGGCACCAGAATCGCTTGAACCTGGGAGGCAGAGGCTGCAGTGAGCCGGGATTGTGCCAGTGCACTCCAGCCTGGGCAATATAGTGAGACTCCGTCTAATATATATATATATATATGTATGTATGTGATAGGCCTCATCCAATCAGTTGAAGACCTTAAGAGCAAACACTGAGGCTTACTGAGGAAAAACTCCTACCTCCAGACGGCAACACAAAATCTGCCTGTGTTTCCAGTCTTCAGACTCAAGACTGCAGCATCAGCTCTTACCTCAATCTCCAGCTTACACTGTTTTAACTTACGAAGCACCACCAATTGTGTGAGCCAATTTCTTAAAATAAACTTCTCTGTTTCTCTGAGGACTCCTGACCAACATATAGTCCCCAACCCTAATTTTTAACCCAGAGTCTCCAAGACATTCACACTCTTTTCTCACCATTTTAGTTGAAATAACTTGGTTCAAAGTGCAGAGAAAAAAAAAAATCAGGGAACTTACAAGAATTATCTTAAATCCTACTGCCTACACCTTCACAAGCAGAAAATGGAGTTATTGCTGTACTATCATTACTACAAGTTAGAGTCACTGCCTTAAACATCCAGAATCCTACAGAACTTAACCTATGCTTCCATGATTCCATTTGGTATATTAAATGATTCAGCTATTTACATGCTTAGCTTTCCCATTTCATCAGGAGCATCTCAAGGACAGGAAATGTCAGTTTTAAAAATAGTTTCATGTAATAGGTATGAAATATATTTTTCCTAAATGAATGAACTGTCAAAATCTTCAAAATAATTACCATTCTAAATGCTCTTCTGGTTCTTCAGTTTTCCCTCATTTCAAACAGGACATGTTCTATCTGTGCTACGAGGCATAAATGGAATAGCAGCTGGGACTAAAAAAGGCTACACCCAGGTGCCCAGTAACTCCTGACATAACTCAGAGTTTAGGCATCACTGGTTCACACTAGTGCCTCCCATGTGATCTGATTATAATAATGTTAGATGGCTTTTTCACTGAGTCTAGATTAGACCACAGTGATTCTGAAACTGACCACAGTGCAATATTTTCAAAGAATTTATAGTACGGTTAGTTGCCCAAAAAGTGTCTTTAGTTTAGAACTTCCAATAATTTAGTTGAAAGAAACTGAAGATGTGAAATGTAAGCTCACAGTTGTACCATAAAACATCTTACTTAATAAGCCACACTTACAGGAAATGAATGGCCAATGGGGTGTATTAGAGAAACGGGGTCTATATCTACAACACTGTAGTAGAAATTATATTGGCCTAACATGACTTGTTATAAATTGAGTCAAAACCACGAGCTGATTTCACAAACTTCCTCCCAAAAGTTATTTCATCTTAACTCTACACATATATTCCACAAAAATATAACTTTAAACTTCTATACTCTATTTTTGAGGAAGAAAGTAGAAATAAAAAATGTGCTGGTTAATGTAACTTTCATGAAGCAGATTTGCAGGGATATTCTCTGTTATACTGTAGCCTGGCAAGGTGTTTAGCTTTGTTACATAGGTCTTGTGGCATCCATGTGTTTGCCTGGGGTGAGGACAGACTTCAGCTTATACCTCTAGGTAGATGACTCTTCCTCCTGTTAAAAAGAATTAACACACTCCATTATGGGTTGAATCGTGTCCCTCTAAAATTCATATATGTGGAAGTCCTAACCCCCAGGACTTCAGAATGTGAGGTTTGAAAAGTAGGGTTGTTGCAGATGTAATTAGTAAGACGAAGTCATACTGAAGAAGGGTGGGTCTCTAATCCAATCCATATAAAAAGGGGAAATTTGGATGCAGAGACACACACACAGGGAAAACACCATGTGAGGATAAAGGCAGAGGATCGGGGCGATTCTCCTGCACACCAAGGAACACCAGAGATGGCTAGCAGACCTCCAGAAGGTGGAGGACAGACCTGGAACAGAATCTTCCAGGCAGTTCTCTGAAGGAACCAACCCTGCTGATGCCTTGATCTCAGACTTCAGCCTCTAGAACTATGAGACAATAAATCTCTCCTCTATGAGCCAGCCAGTTGGTGGCACTTTTTAATGGCAGCCCTAGCAAACTAATCCACACTCCTACCTACCACAGAATTCATGGGAAACAGGCAAGGAGGCAGACTGCACCAGGTGTGGATCACAGGGCAAAAGGTGAAAGAGCAGAACAAGGTCAAGGGGAAAGTGCACTTTTCTAGGTTATCCACAAAGCTGCCAGCCAGCATTTGGGACAAACCTACAGGAATAATGATGAGATATTTTAATAAAAGCATCCTCAGACTGAGAATGTTCAAATTATAGTCAGGATTTTGATACTAGAAATTAATATCTAATACAGACTAACACAATATGATCAATGCTGACAAAGGATGGCAGAATTTGAGAGAGGAGCAAGAGAATAAAGACCAGTTGACCCTTGTAGAGTCTTGTGAATATTATGCTTAAGTTCGCTGCAAAGTTCTCATTTCATGCAGTCTTTCCTCAGTCTTTCTTAACCAATCATTTGACCATCATTGATAGGGTCCTAAGTTGCAGTGGCTAGAGGTAATCATCTGGAAGACTGGTCATAATCCACATTGGCAGCTACAATTCTCATGCCCAGAGCAGGTCATACTGGGTAAGAGCCCCTCCCACCTCGCCAATTTTGCATAGATGGAGTTCTGCTGGAATCGATAAGTATACAGCCAGTAACTACCATCACAATGTAGATACAGAACATCACCCTAATCCCACATGTCCCTTTAGTTAACCCCTTCCCCTCCAGCTCCAGGCAAACATTGATTGCTTTTCTCTAGTTTTTCCTGTGTAAGAAAAGTTACTAATCTTTTTGCATTTGGCCTTTTTCACTTGGCATCATGTATTTAAGATCCATTCACGTTCTTGCATTTAAGATCCATTCATGAGTGTATGTTCCTTTTTATTGCCCAGTTAGTGTTCACGTTGTGGATATACCACAACAGCACGCATGAAAGGCATTTGGCTTGTTTCCAGGTTTTGGAGGTTACAGGTAAAGCTGCTATAAATATTTGCATACAAGTTTTGTGAGTGTGTGTGAACAAATGTTTTCATTTCACTTGGGTACTCAAGAACAGAGCTGCCAGGTCACTTGATGAGTGTGAAATTGAACTTCATAAGAGAATATCAGTGTTTTCCGAAATGGCTGTACCATTCAGATGGCTGTTTTTAAAGTAGCTCATTACACTTGACATTCAGGAAAATATTCAAGTCTGTAAATATTTTTGTCAATAAACAGCTTTAGTAGAAATATCAATGTTAAATGGGGACAATGCCTAAGACTTGTGAAAAACCTAGGTGTTTATGACTGGGGCAAAGCTGTAGTGGACAAAGGCATAAGACTAAAAGTTGCCTCTGTCTGCCCTTATTTTGATTGTGACAAAATGTGGAATTAAATTGCTTTTGCTGCCTCCCCTACAACAATGAGCTGTGAGTGAGGCTTGCATGTGGTTTCTTTACCCAGCCATGCCCCGTCTACTTGCTCTGCCAACCTGCCACTCCCTCCAATGCTTCTGTCTTGGTGTGAAACAAATGACTTCAGAAACACAGAGGAGCTGAAATGCATCCGTGTGTCTGGAATCCATGCATGTCTCGCTCAGACTGTGCCTTTCCCTAAAGATCTGTTTGCTGTCTTTTGAAGTGAGAATACCAGCAAGTCTGCATAGTGGGTTTTGCCTACCTGAAAGAGATGTTTTTTCTGACTCCTCCCTAATCCCTTCTCTCTCTGAACTTGACTCTAGACACAGATATGCCTATAAATGCTCAGGACCAAAAGAAAACATGGTACTAAGCTAAAGGCCAGCTGGCTGGCACATAAAAGAAATCCAATACTTTATTTCCTTCTCCGAAGGGTCCTCATGTAAACTTGTGTTCGTGGAGACGCAGAAGTGTTTGCGGTGGGTCTGTTTCTGAGAGTGTTTAGCTGTCTTGGATGTGGAAGAAAATAGGAAAGGGATGGCGAAGGTTGAGAGAGAAAAGGCTGAGCATTGAACATATGATTGGGGCCATGCGAACTTAGGCAGAAAAGCATTTGTGGGGTCACCAGATGGCAGCTCAACCTCAGAGGCTGCTCTAGGTCTCCAGGCAGCAGTTCCAGCTGGAGTTGGTTTTCTCTCCAACAAAAACCAAGTCTGGCAGTGCAGCGGGGGTTTGAAGATTAATTTAATAAAAGGAAAGCCCCCTGGAAAGACACAAGGGACTAGCTTAAGCTGCCCCTGATTGATGGCACTTCTGCTATTCCCCAGTTTCTTAAGCTGAATCATAAAGTCTACCCCAGACATATGAGATCACATTTGATGAAAATATGCTCAAATTTGTCTGCCAGTAGAAAGAGGTGTTAATAAGAATTTGTGGATTTTTAAGAATCAATTCCATATGTATCCATGAATAAATGAGCAGAGGTATAAAAGACAAACCGATGCCTGTACATAGGCACACACCCCATGTGTGTTAGCGGTTCAACAAACGAGGTAGTTGTAGTGTTACTGTATGAAATTTTGAACAGATGTAAATAGAGAAAAATAAATCAATAACATGGATTGACCAAAGTGAATTAGTCACAAAGGAAAGCCAATCTACAGAGCTAAAATAGCTTCAATAGAAGATGCCTGTTTTTCATAAGGCCCAAAACCATAAAAACCCTAGAAGAAAATCTAGGCAATACCAACCAGGACATAGACATGGGCAAAGACTTCATGACTAAAACACCAAAAGCAATGGCAACAAAAGCCAAAATTGACAAATGGGATCTAATTAAACTAAAGAGCTTCTGCACAGCAAAGGAAAGTATCATCAGAGTGAAGAGGCAACCTACAGAATGGGAGAAAAGTTTTACAATCTATCTATCTGACAAAGGGCTAATATTTAGAATCTACAAGGAACTGAAATGTACAAGAAAAAAAACCCCATCAAAAAGTGGGTGAAGGATATGAACAGACACTTCTTAAAAGAAGACATTTATGCAGCCAACAAACATGAGAAAAAGCTCATCATCACTGGTCATTAGAGAGATGCAAATCAAAACCACAGTGAGATACCATCTCACTCCAGTTAGAATGGCGATCATTAACAAGTCAGGAAACAGATGCTGGAGAGGATGTGGAGAAATAGAAATGTTTTTACACTGTTGGTGGGAGTGTAAATTAGCTCAACCACTGTGGAAGACAGTGTGGCAATTCCTCAAGGATCTAGAACCAGAAATACCATTTGACCCAGCAATCCCATTACTGGGTATATACCCAAAGGATTATAAATCATTCTACTATAAAGGCACATACACACGTACGTTTACTGCGGCTCTGTTCACAATAGCAAAGACTTGGAACCAACCCAAATGCCCATCAATGACAGACTGGATAAAGAAAATATGGCACATATACACCGTAGAATACTATGCACCCATAAAAAAGGATGAGTTCACGTCCTTTGCAGGGACATGAAGCTGGAAACCATCATTCTCAGCAAACTGACACAGGAACAGAAAACCACTGAAAACACTGCATGTTTTCACTTATAAGTGGGAGTTGAACAATGAGAACACATGGACACAAGGAGGGGAGTATCACACACCAGGGCCCGTCAGGGCTGGGGGTGGCTAGGGGAGGGATAGCATTAGGAGAAATACCTAATGTAGATGACAGGTTGATGGGTGCAGCAAACCACCATGGCACGAGTTTACCTATGTAACGAACCTGCACATTCTGCACATGTATCCCAGGACTTAAGGTATAATAATTTTTTAAAAAAGATACTTTTTATCAGAAAAAAAATGTAAAGACATAAAAGTCACAGTACAAACATAGATGCTTGTCAAATTACTGGCTTAAAGACAGATTTCAGCCCCAGTGAAGTCTAAATCACTGAGTTTTGCGCTCTCAGAATACTAGATGATTTCTTATCCAACTTCTCCTAAAACTCAATAATCCCCTCAACAAAGCCTTGACAGGTGAGTTATCTTTTTTGACAACTACTGTAATTGTGTATTTGATAAATGCACCTGTTTGCCTCTAGATTTGCTAAAAGTAGCTGGGAAAACAAAAGAAATACTGCAGGAAAATGAAAAAAGCAACAATTCACAGTTCCATATATGTGCAGACAGGACGTGGATCATGCACCTGACAAACATTTCCTATGAACAGCTATTCTCAATCTCAGCTGACCACTAGAATCACATGGGGATCTTTAAAAAAAAAAAAAAAGATTCCTACGTCCCAGCCCCAGACACTCTCATTCAGAGGTCCCGGTATGTCACCTAAGCATTGGGCACTTAAAAAGCTTTTCAATGTGCTCTAAGATTGGAAACTACTATCATTATTCTGGTTCCAACCAAGGACAATTTTAATCAGATTTTATTTTGTAATGCATTTGTCCACATTTATGACAACGGTTCTACATCAGACAACACACAATTCCAGAGGGCCCTCGGCGGTTCCTACATGCTCTATGGTGGCAGCCACCTGCCTGGAGCATGCCAACAGAACGGAATGTTAGGCTCTTACTGCGTTAGTGTCTCTGTCCCTGAGATCTGTCCTGGACTGTCCCTGAACAGCAGCATTCAATTCCTTGTCTCAGGATTTCTATTTACTTTACTGGCACATGCTGACCTGACTTCCCCGACTGAGACAGAACACACCTCGAACATACTGAGCCACCACCTTTACCCCTAGAACAACTGCTGCTGCTGAGCACATGAAAAAAAAGATGCCTCTGGGATCTGAAGAACAGCATTAAGAATAAATCACCCTGAAGCTCCTCTCTTTTCCATAATTTGAGAAGAGCAAATCACATCTGATTCGAATAGGATGGATCTTCTGTGAAAGCCAGAGAGGGAAAAGTTTGGGTCTAAGGGTAAAGGCAGTTGTTGCTCTATTGTAGTATGAAAGGAAAATACTGGGGCCCCGAATTACTAAGCTAAAGGGAAAATTTAAGCTGGGAACTGCTTAGGGCAAGCCTGCCTCTTGTTCTCTTTAAAGTCACCCCTCTGCTGAAATAAACACATATCTGATCGCCTCCTTTGGAGATGCTAATCAGAAACTCAAAATAATGCAACCGTTGGCCTCTTATCTACCTAATAACCTGGAAGCCCCCTCCCTGCTTCAAGTTGTCCCGCTTTACTTTGAGTTGTCCTGCCTTTTCCAGACCGAAACAATGTTCATGTTGCATATGTTGATTGATGTCTCATGTGCCCCCAAAATGTAGAAAACCAAATTATGCTCTGACCACCTGGAGCACATGTCGTCAGGACCTCCTGAGGATGTGTCATGGGCATGAGTCCTCAGCCTTGGCAAAATACACTTTCTAAATTAACTGAGACTTGTCTCAGATATTCAGGGATCAGAATCGAAGGTCTCAGGGTTAGAAAATCTTGGGAATAATCTAGTTCAACATTCTTATCTGTGATATCAGGCAAGGGAGTCCCCAAAATGTAAAGCGACTTGCCCAAAGTAGGAGCTGGTGTCTGGACGAGGGTGGGGGATCCTGACCCAGTTCTTTTTTCCATGGGACTGTTTGCTCACTTCCAACATTTTACATTAAGTCAAATTTTTTAAAAACAAAATAAAAGGGGAAAAAAACTTCCTGTGGAAGAAGTCTAGCCCATATGTTGATGCCACACATCTGTGGGTGACTAGAGAATGCTGAAGTGGCCATGACATGCTGGCCACACTGGGGGGCCTGGCTTGCGACTTTAATCCACCTCTGTGTGCTTTCCATTAGAAGCCATCTCTCCCGTGGATGAGGAGAGGCACCAGAGCTCTGTGCTGCCGCTTTTGATTAGTTTATTTCCTTTAACTTGAGCATCAGTCGCCAACACATCTGAAACTGAAGTGACAACTTTTCATACCGCTTGACACTGAGGGGAGGCTGAGTAGAATATACATTGACAAGAGAAATATAAACTTATCAGACAGAGTTTTATTCTTGTGGACAATGTTCAAGGCACTCCCACTCATGTGGCCTCGGCTCTCTTGAAAAGAAAAGCCCACTGGGAGGCTGAGGTAGGCGGATCACGAGGTCAGGAGTTCAAGACCATCCTGACCAACATGGTGAAACCCCATCTCTACTAAAAATACAAAAATTAGCTGGGTGTGGTGGTGCATGCCTGTAATCCCAGCTACTCAGGAGGCTGAGGCAGGAGAATGGCTTGAACCTGGGAGGTGGAAATCTCAGTGAGCCGAGATCACGCCACTGCACTCCAGCCTGGTGACAGAATGAGACTCCATCTCAAAAAAAAAAAAAGCCCCAAAATAACAGATATTGGATACCAGGAATAGGAGCTATGCCCAAGGGTAACTAACAGACCCTAGTTTGGAAATACCCAGATCCACTGGGTAATAAAGCACATTCTCATCTTCCAATGCTTAGAAATAGCTCATGGTTCCTAACATTTTCAGTAACCTAAGGAAAAGAAGAATAAAAGGGGGCTTTCTGGTTTCTCCAAATACACCAACCACTACAGCATTGTCTACTTCTGTATTACTTACGTTGGGGCCAGATACTTCTTCCCTGGGGAATTGGAAAGGCTGTTCTAAGCACTGTAGGATGGTTAGCAGCATTCCTGGTATCCACCTACTAAATGTCAGTAGCATTTATTATAGTTGTGACAACCAAAAATGTCTCAGACATTGCCCAAAGCCCCCACCTCCCCGCTGAGAACCACTGCACTCAAGTGTCTTATCCAACCACAGCAGCAGTTCCATTTAGTGTTTTGGGTTCTCTGCCTTGTCTTGTTGCTGACAATCCTAACCCTCCTTAGGAATCATGGGCTAAGTGTGAAGATTAAAGGGGAGAACTGGAGGTTAGCACCTGACCCCTAAGACACCCCCCAGGTACAGGGCTCCTGTTCTTCTCACAAAACCTGTGGACCCACTTGACTGGTCTGCCACTGTGCCTCATAGTAGGGTGCTCCTGTACCCTCCGGAAAGCTCTCTTCCTTCGTCTTCACCAGGCTAAATCCTACCCATTGTTTAAGGTTCGAGTCAAAAGCAACTTCTCCTATGAAGTCTTCACCGCCACCTCTCCCCCGTCAGTTAACTTTCTTATACTTTCTCCTGAACTCATATACTTGTGACAAAAGAGAAAACTGCATGGTGACCTGAAACCATGCCACTTCCACTGATTTCTTCTAGGGTCTTAGACTTCAGAGGTGATGTTGTCCAAGCCTGAGGCTTTACTCAGCTGAGCAGGTACCAGTCTAATCATAATCACCAGACCACACCATGAATGCCAAGTACGTGACAAGAAAAAGCTGAAACTTAAATGTTTTGTGCAAACAGACTAAGATTTTATTTGGAGACTTTTGCCAGAGACTGAGGCAAGAGACTCTTGGCTTAAGAACTCAGGCTCTTCAACTCCTCATCATACACACCCTGGAGTAGTGATGGGGGAAGGGAGCCCTTGCTGAGCCTGACAGCAGCAAGATCAGCCCCAATAGCTCAGGGTGGCTGGCAGCCACCCCCCAGTCCACACCCAACCTCTTTCAGTTACTATCTACCCTGCTCCCAAACTCTTTTTTTAACTAGGTAAAAAACTAATACTCAATTTGCTAACTGTGAAGAGATTATGTAATTTTACAAAGGAAAAAGTCAAACTTTCGGAGACATGGTAACTTTTTCTTCCTTAAGGCAGGTTGTCTGTCACCCAGGCTGAAGTGCAGTGGCACTATCATAGCTCACTGCAGCCTCCAGCTCCTGGGCTCGAGCAATCCTTCCACCTCTGCCTCCTAAGTAGCTGTGACTGACCACAGGCATGTACCACCATGCCCAACTAAATAAAAAAAATTTTCTTTTTGTAGAGATGGGATCTATGTTGCCCAGGCTAGTCTTGAACTCCTGGGCTTAAGTGATCCTCTCACCTTGGCCTCCCAAAGTGCTGGGATTATAGCCATGAGCTAATGTGCTTGGCTGGTAACCATTTTTTAAGGCTAATTTCTAACCCTGTGTTGGATTCATCACCTGAACTCAGCACAGGGATGGGTTCTCCCAGTTAAGCACTTTTACTAAATTGAAACTTACACTTTCAACTTTAATTGTAAGCCCACAGAAAAAAACAAACAAACAAAACAAACAAAAAAACCCAGAACACATAGCCTAAACTCTACTGAAGATACAAAATTAGAGATTCTCATGGATGAAAAGGAACTTCAAGGCACTTCCCCAGCTGTCCATTTCAATGCCCACGATTTCAGACATTTCTTCCACTGATCTGACCGTAACTTCTCCTGGGGGTAGGAGGAGGTAGAGGGCAAAACTGTGCCCAAGTGAGAAGCATAGCAAGATGAGAATGTGTTGCCCTTTGGTTTTAGCTTTTCATTATCAAATGGCCAATGCCCTTTTTCTAAAGGGTGATATAAATCAATTTCCATTGAGATTTATTATGAGGAGGAAAAAAGCTTCTCCCCTATAAATAGCAGCCTAAGGCCTTACCCTGTCACTGCTTTGCGTGTGTGTGTGTGTGTGTGTGTGTGTGCGCGCGCGCGCGCGCGCGCGTGTGTGTGTATGTCTGCGACTACTGAGTTGAAGAAGAGATCTTTCCACACAGAGAAGGGCAATTTTTTTGTCTTAAGGGCTGCCTTTTTATTAGGACCCTTTAAACAAACTGATATGGTTTGGATCTGTGTCCCTGTGCAAATCTCATGTTGAAATGTAATCCTCTGTGGAGAAACAGCAACACTTTTACACTGCTGGTGGGACTGTAAACTAGTTCAACCATTGTGGAAGTCAGTGTGGCGATTCCTCAGGGATCTAGAACAAGAAATACCATTTGACCCAGCCATCCCATTACTGGGTATATACCCAAAGGACTATAAATCATGCTGCTATAAAGACACATGCACACGTATGTTTATTGCGGCATTATTCACAATAGCAAAGACTTGGAACCAACCCAAATGTCCAACAATGATAGACTGGATTAAGGAAATGTGGCAAATATACACCATGGAATACTATGAAGCCATAAAACATGATGAGTTCATGTCCTTTGTAGGGACATGGATGAAATTAGAAACCATCATTCTCAGTAAACTATCGCAAGGACAAAAAACCAAACACCACATGTTCTCACTCATAGATGGGAATTGGACAATGAGAACACATGGACACAGGAAAGGGAACATCACACTCTGGGGACTGTTGTGGGGTCGGGGGAGGGGGGAGGGATAGCATTAGGAGATACACCTAATGCTAAATGACGAGTTAATGGGTGCAGCACACCAGCATGGCACATGTATACATACGTAACTAACCTGTACATTGTGCACATGCACCCGAAAACTTAAAGTATAATAATAATAAAAAAAGAAATGTAATCCTCAATCTTTGAGGTGGGGCCTGGTGGGAAGTGATTGGATCACAGGGGAGGTTTCCAATGGTTTAGCTCCATTCCCCTAGTGCTGGTCTTGTGATAGAGTTCTTGCGAGATCTGGTTGTCTAAACTGTTTAGCACCTCCCCGTTGTCCCTCTTGCTTGTGCTTCACCATGTAAGATGCCTGTTCCCCCTTCACCTTCCACCACAAGTAAAAGTTTCCCGAGGCCTCCCCAGAAGCAGAAGCTGCTATGCTCTCTGAATAGCCTGCAGAACTGCAAGCCAATTAAACCTCTTTTCTTTATAAATTACCCAGTCTCAGGTATTTCTTAATAGCAATGCAAGAACGGACTAATACACAAACTCAAAGCCTTTGTATGTGCCCTGAGAGAATCCATCCAGAAGACAAGTTTGATTCTATGACTCTCCTGCTTGAGATTGGCAAGTTAACAGTTTCCTATTGCTGTAAGGCAAAGGATCAGAATGCAACACACATGTTCTGCCCTTCACCTGGCTTGCAAGACGCACCATGGCTCATGACCTCCCAGCTGTCCGAGTTGGAGTCACACTGTCCTGCTTTAGTTTCTGCAGCAGCCCGCCATGTTCCTTCCAGCCAAAAAGCCTTCAACATGTTCCCTCAATATGGAATAGCCCTGGCTCACCCTTCAGATCTCGTAAGTGTCATCTGTTACAGGCAACCCCTTCTGATGCCACCTCTACTCCCAAGGTACCCAGGTCTCTCTGTTACAAGCCCTCTTATCCCCCATGTAATCACCTTCATGGCACTTCAATGCTATCTGAAATCACAATGGCCATTTTACATTTTTGGCCATTTTACATTTATTTGGTGAACATCTGATTATTATCTGCCTCTCCACCAAGACTGCAGGCTCCTGAAAATAAGAATCCTGTTGGGCTATCACTGAATTCCCAAAATCAAGCTCAAGGTTTCACATGTCCCAGAAACTCAGAAAATAACTGGTGGATGAGTGAATATTCAATCAAATCCATTGGGATTTTCTGAGAACCACTTTCAGGTACCTCAAATTCTAGCTTCTCCAGTCAGAGGTGGAAAAGTGGCAAAATATCTTATTTTGTTAAGTATCAGCAAAACAACTTTTTAGCCATCATAAACCCAAGTGGAAGGAAAATTACAAAGAGATGCTGAAGATGCCTGGCACCCTGATCCACTCCTCATCCAGTATTGCATTCTTCATTGTGTGCATCATAGCCATACATTTTCATCAAGCTTGTACAAACAGCTTAATCCACACACATAGGCATTAATATCATTTAAAAATTGTCACTTAGTCAAAGTGGCATGTCCTATTTAAATAAGTTTAAGTTGCCTACATGTATTTCAACTACTATTTCTAAACCTGCTGCCATGATTTTAAGTGTCTAGCAATAAAATTTTAGATCAAAGGAGTAAACTTAGGGTTTGGAAAAATTTGCTACAAAGTTCAGATCAAAATGGAGGAAAATCTTTCTTTTTAGTAATAATATTGGCCTTTTAGTAATTTCACTTTTAATTTGATGCATGTAAAATACAGGTGACATATGTACATGTAAAATAGTACACGAAAACTAGTATCATGGACATGAGAAATGCTCAGCCTAACTTTAATGCTCCACTTTAGTCATAAGAGATTTCTCATGAGTTCAGTCCAATAAAGGACTCAAAGTTTTTAAAACAAAAGTCACATGATACTCCCTGGGAAGAAGAGGGAATGAGCCACTGGATTACCCTCTTCTTTCCATTTCAACCACAGGGAGGCTAGTAGCATGAAAATAGTGTGTGTATGTGGGTGGGAAGAATCAAATCTACACAAACACACTTGAGAAGAAGATAATCTCCATGTCTGGAAATAGAAAAACATAATGGTGAGTGGCTGAAATCCTCTGGCCCATGGGGAGTGGCCCCCACTGTGTTTAGCTTCAACAAGCATGCTTTGGGACACAACCAGAACTAAGCTCCCTGGAAGAAGTAATGAGCTAGGACCAGACCAATGTTAAAACTAAAATATCCCTTCATCAAACCCTAGATATGATCAGAAATGTAATACTCTCCTACGGCCAAGGAGGAAAGAACATCTGCGATGGGAAAGAAAAGTTGGCCAGCACTGCAAGGGAGCTCAGCATCCAGAATGGACCTCCTCTGCATGACAAAGCCCAAAATTTTCAACAAAAGTTTCAGACCCATTCAACACTGTGCACCCCTCATAGACAGGCTAGAGAAACCATGAAAACACATAAGATGATTTCACATAAAAATTATAAAAGCTTAATAGGAAATCCAGTAAGAAACACCTGAAAGGCACAACAGATGAGAATTCATGTGATGCAACCTGATAAAGCATTCTGCAAAGTACCTTAAAAACGTTCTTTATTCTTTGAGAAGGGATAGCAAACTTTCCATGAGTCTGGAGATCAGAAAAAACAGAGGGCAGATATGAAACAGAATGAAATGGAAACCGTGAACATGGAAATAAAATCTTTAAGTTATAAAAGAATAGATATTCATTTCGTTAGGAAGAAAAACTGGTGAACATGAAGGAAGAATTGAAGATGACTTCACTGGTAAGTTCTACCAATGTGCACAGAATATCTAACTCCACAGAAACTCTTTTGGAAAATTAAGATGTACTTCCCAAATTGCTTTATAAACCTTAAAGCCCAGTAACTATGAGAAAGGAAGCTAATCTCAGTCATGAATATCAATGTGAAAATCCTAAACAAAATGTTAACACTCCAAATCTAGCAACAAAGAATATATTGTGGTCAGCTTGGGTTTATTTCAGGAATGGAAGTGTAACACTGAAAACAATAAAAAGGACTTGTCACCTCAACAGACTGCAGAAGAAAAATCATAATCATCTCAACAGGTACCAAAAAGCATTTGCTAGCATTCAACAGTCATGTATGAAAAAACGTTTTACCAAACCAGGAATAGAAGAGATTTATTTTAATCCCGTTATATTAGTCAGGACAGAACATGTTATAGGAACTAACAGACTCCATTTTCAAGAGCTTAACATATAAAGTATATTTCTTGCTCATACACAGTCTGCTTATGGTCTATAGGCTTTTTGGAGTAGCTGTCTTCCAAGAAGCGACTCAGATCTAGGACGCATTTGTCTAATCTATCGCCACTCCTATTCAGCATTTTTCTGAAAGTCTCAGCTACTGAGTTAGGCAAGAAAAAGAAATATGAAAGAAAAATAAAATTTATCTTAATCACAGATAAGATTATAAAACAGAACCCAAAAGAATCTTGAAGTTAATTACTAACATAAGTTTAGCAAGTTTGCTAGATAAAAATTTATACTTGAAATCAATTGTACTTTTTGTAAAGAGGCAACAAATGAATTTTTGAAGATACTATTTTTGATAGCAAGGAGCCAGCAATAAGTTGGAGAAAAGAACTCTACAAAGAAAATATAAAGCTTTGCAATAAATTAGAGAAGGCTAAGAAGAAATCGGATCCTGATAATGAGTTGGAAGACTTGTATTATACATATGTTGGTTCTTAAATTCATCTATAGATTGAATAAAATCCTAATAGATTGTTTTAGCAGAATTTGATGCTAAAATTTACATAGCTCAAAGGGCCAAGAATAGCCAAGATTAACTTTTGGTTTTTGAGGTATAGCCTATATACAAGTAAATTCTATAATTACATTAATCTGAGTGTACAGCCTGATTATTTCTGACATGTGTGCAGACCACATAACCACCACTTGGATTAAGAGGTAAATATTGGCTGGGTGTGGTGGTGCATGCCTGTAATCTTAGTACTTGGGAAGGCCGAAATGCGAGGATTGCTTGAGTCCAGGAGTTTGAGACCAGCTTGGGAAACTTCGTGAGACCCCATCTCATTATAAAGAAAGAAAAAAAAGAGGTAAATATTTCCAGCACTCTGTGTGGTTTCCTTGTGCCCTTTCCAGATTATAACCTCCTAATACTGAACTTTTCCCACCAGTGATTAGCTTTGCTTGATTTTGATCCTCATATAATTGGAACCACGCAGTATGTTTTCTTTTTGACTGGTTTAACTCTTGTAGGTAATTTTTCTACCAGATAGCAAGAAGTATTTCTCTTCTTAATTCTAGAGGGCCCCTCTTGCTGGGCTAATGCAGCCCCTGGTAGCTCTAGCAATGAGAGCTAGCAATGGCAGTATACAGCTCTTCTGGCATCTGGTTCATGCACTGAACCAGAAGTGCTTCTCAGAACCAACCTCCAGCAGTGCCAAGTGACCAGCAATGCCCAGCATTTTTCAGCTTCCCCTAGCATCCTCTCAAGCAGCTGCTCAGTGGAAGACCACCTGTGAGGCACCTCAAAGGCTCCCCTGATGCCCCCTCGGGAGGCTTTGCAGCAGGCTACTGCAGGTGAGGAACCATCCCATGCACAACTTCCCCAGTAACCCCTTGGGTAGCTTCACAGTGATTTGTAAGGTGTGATACTTCCTGACGGATGGCTTTCCCAGCATCCCAGAGGGAGGATGTCCTGAAAGTTCCAGTAGCACAGCATCTTAGCAATGTAACCACGCATTAAAGCACAGCCATGCCCTTCCAGGAAGGTCTGGAACTCAACCCTTGGGGATCCCTGTGGACAGGGAAAGGGAGAGTGAATCTCTTTCCTGGTCTCTATCTCAGCCTTAGGGGCAGTATATCTACTTCCTAGATTGCCAATTCACCAACTTACATTATAGTTATCTAGGAGAGGATAGTTCATCAATATGGGCCACATTAGTGATAGAAAGCTTAAACTCACCAATTTTACATAATAAATAGAGAAAGTTACCTCTTACAAAAGCAACAGGCCCATATGGTTTTACTGAGTATTCTACAAACCGTCAAAGACCAGCTAAGTAAGTCCAATATCACTGATAGCACCACAAAAGACTATTTCAACCAATATCACACGATAATATCGACGTAAAACTCCAAAAGACAATAACAGAATACAATCTCATTAAAAATGTTACACACCATGGGCCAGGCACGGTGGCTCACACCTGTAATCCCAGCATTTTGGGAGGCCGAGGTGGGTGGATCACGAGGCCAGGAGATCGAGACCATCCTGGCTCACATGGTGAAACCCCGTCTCTACTAAAAATACAAAAACAAAATTAGCCGGGTGTGGTGGTGGGTGCCTGTAGTCCCAGCTACTCAGGAGGCTGAGGCAGGAGAATGGCGCGAACCCAGGAGGCAGAGCTTGCAGTGAGCCGAGATTGCGCCACTGCCAGGGCGACAGAGCGAGACTCCATCTCAAAAAAAAAAAAAAAAAAAAAGAAAGAAAAAAAAAATGTTACACACCTTGACCAGCTAGGATGTACTTCAGGAGTGTATATTTGCTCAACAGTAGGAAACGTATCAATATAACATAGCATATTATTAGGAAAGAGAACCATAAGATTATTTCCATAGTGCTAAGAAAAAGCTTCTGACAATTCAGCACCCATTCTTGATTAAAAGACACACACCGACAAAACAGAAATTGATGGATATGTAATTAATCCTAAAGTCAGCATCTTTACTTACCTTTCTTAATGTGAAACGCGAATTTCCACTATAGTCAGAAGCAAAACACAGACACTACCCCCACTACTACTGAACATTATTACTTCTTAACATTAACATTCTATTTAGCCAAATCAATTAGAGGCATAAGAATTAGAACAGTAGTAAAACTATATGTGCAAATGAGACAGTGTATCTAGAAAAACAATGAATATCTCCACAGCAAAAAATTTAGTAAAGAAGCATATAAAATATAAAGATAAAATGCTCAGAAAAAAGCTTAAGAAATTTGAAAAACATAAATGAAGAATGTTTTAAAACACTCTTGAACGGCAAAAAGGTAAACAATAAAAAGATATTCCTTGTTCTTGGGCTAGATGACTCAGTAAGGATCAGTTCTCCTTAATTTATAAATTTCAATAAAATTACAAACTCCAAAAATATCAAATTTTTGTTTTTTTATGGAGCTAGGCATGATGATACCAACTCCACATGGAAAACTGAACATGCAAGAATAGTCAATAAAACACCAAAAAAGAAAAGCCACAGGAGGAATATCCCAGACAGATATTAAAACATACAACCGCATCTTAAGTTAAAACAGGGTTGTATCGCACATGAGTAAGAGGACAGAGACCAATGGATTAGAGCAGAAAATTCAGAATTAGACCTGACTACTTTGGAAATTTTGTATATGAAACATGGTAACTCAAATCACTGGGGCAAAAATGGGTTTTAATAAGTTGTATTAGGACAACTAAATAGTCCATTAGTAAAAAGATAAAATTAGATACAGACTTCACTCCATACATAAGAATAACCTTCAAAGGATCTGAGGTGTAAGTGTGAAAATTTAAACTACAAAAGTGCTAGAAGGAAACAGGGACTCCTCTGTAACCTGGGCATAAAAAGCTGCTAAGTAGGCCGGGCGCGGTGGCTCACGCTTGTAATCCCAGCACTTTGGGAGGCCGAGGCGGGTGGATCACGAGGTCAGGAGATCGAGACCATCCTGGCTAACACGGTGAAACCCCGTCTCTACTAAAAATACAAAAAAAATTAGCCGGGCGTGATGGTGGGCGCCTGTAGTCCCAGCTACTCGGGAGGCTGAGGCAGGAGAATGGCGTGAACCCGGGGGGCGGAGCTTGCAGTGAGCCGAGATTGCGCCACTGCACTCCCGCCTGGGCCACAGAGCGAGACTCCGTCTCAAAAAAAAAAAAAAAAAAAAAAAAAAAAAAAAAAAAAAAAAAAAGCTGCTAAGTATGATCAAGTTCCAGATGCAACTGTTAAAAAGAATAAACTTGGCTACATAAAATTACTTTTGCATAGTGAAAAATGCCATAAGCAAAGTCAAAGAACAAAAGAAAAACTGGGAGAAAATATTTGCATCATGTATCACAAATTAAAGGCTGATATCCCTAATATGTATTAATAATTACATATATCACATATACATCGTATAAACTCAACAACTGGAGGGACTCCAAAAGCCCAAGAGAAAAATGGACAAAATTCATGAACACACAGTTCATAAGATAAAAATGATCTTAAGTGTGTTAAGAGATTTCCAAGTCTACCCATAAGAAGACTGGCAAAAATGAAAGAGCTCGAAAACACTCTGTTGCTGAGGCTGTAGAGAAACAGGCACACTCATACATTGCTGGTGGGCATACAAACTGGTTCAATCCTTACAGAAAGGAAATAGGCAATACCTAAAACAGAAACTACAAGTCCATTTACCTCTTGACCCCAGCAGTCTCGCTTTTAGGTATTCGTGCTTCAGATACAATAAAAATGTGTGTGCACAAGGCTATTAATTTCAGGATTATGTATCGTTACAAAACATTGGAAAGAGTAAATACCTATACAGGTTAAGCCTCCTTAAACCAAAAATGCAAAATGCTCCAAAATCTAAAACTTTGAGCATTGACATGATGCCCCAGATAGAAAATGCCACACTTGACCTCATGTGACACGTCCCAGTCAAAATGCAGTCAAAACTTTGTTTCATGCACAAAATTACCAACAACATTATATGAAGCTGGGCATCATAATGTGCACCTGTAGTTCCAGCTACTCAAGAGGCTTAGGCAGGAGGACCACTTGAGCCTATGAGTTCAAGGCTACAGTGAGCTATTATCCTGCCTGTGAACAGCCACTGCACTCCAACCTGGGCAACACAGCAAGTCTGCGTCTCGAAAAAACAAAATAAATAGTTATTTTCAGGCTATGTGTATAAGGTATATATTAAACAAATGAATTTTGTGTTTAGACTTGGGTCCTAGCCCCAAAAAATCTCATTATGTATATACAAGTATTCCAAAGTCTGGAAAAAATCTGAAATCTAAAACTTTTCTGGTTCTAAGCATTTTGAAAAAGGCAACTCAAAACCCGTATTTAAGAGACAGATTGAATGAACTATGGCATATCAACATAACACAATACTTTGCATCTGCAAAAAAAGAAGATCCTTACAGATATAAAATGACATCTACAATATATTGATAAGCAAAGAAAGCCAAGTGCAAATGCACACACTGTATGCCAACTTTACTATAATAAAGGGGACAAAACTATAGATAGATATATATACTACTATAGATAGATACGTCTACTTATGTTTACAAAAATGAACATGGGAAGGATAAACTAATGAGATTGGTGGACAGGTGAAAATATATTGGAGTAAGGAAGTGACACTTCTCCATATAGTTTTGTTTAGTTTTGCCTTCTGGAACCATGTTAATGTTTCATGTGCTCAAATATCACCTGCATAAGGACGAGTGCACAGTCAGCAAAATTCAAATTGTAGGAACCAATACAGGTCAAAGGGCCTAGGATCTTTAACAGACAAATTGTAAGGGGGGTTTAAAAATAAAAAAAAAGGAAGGAAACCTGCAGATTAAAAAAGATTTAAAAAGCATTTTGAATTAAAAATGGGCAAATTTTAGAGATCAGTGATGCGTACATGGGCAATAAAACTATGAAATGCAAGGAAGTGTTAGGATAGTGGTTAATTTGGGAGATATGGAAGGGTTTGTGCTTTAGGACATGGAGGGACATCTAAGGTTGCTGAAAAGTTATATTTATTGTCCTGGGTGGTGGCCACAAAAGCATGTGACTTATACTAAGTGGCATAATCGTTTGGTATTCTAGATCTGTGTTTTTAATAAATACCTTTTTGAAAAAAGACTAAATGCCTGGCCATTCTTCAGCTGTCCATGTGATGTCCATCTGCAGGCATCCTTAAATCTTCAGTTCACATTTTTCTTGCCACCCAGGACAATTCTATAATACATTCCTTCCATTAGATGATGTGTGATCAGAGAGTGCATTCTAGTTTTTATATTAGCTTAAGAAAAACATGAATAGTAGATTGTAAGTATTGCCAACAATAACTTTTGTAATGCATTCCAGTACCAACTGTAAATTCCAAAGCCTGTCTTCTCTATCAGCTGTTTTAGATTATCTCCATTGCCATCCTCCTTCAGTAGCACAGACAATGAAAATACAATCCCATTTTCTTGAGCTAAATCTGTGAGAAGGTGAAAGAGGCCTAGTGTTCTTACATAAGAGCTGAAATTTTGTGAACTCCCTGGACACACTTATCATCCTGGCTGCAGGCAGTTTTGGCTTGAGTAGTCAAGATTCTTTATTTGTGCTGACATTCAAACACTCACAACATTGTGGGAGAAAAAAAGCAAAATCAAAGCTGTTCTCATTGTCCAACTTCTTTCAGTTAGCTGTATAAATTGTAACTGATTAAGTCTGGGACATGAGTTGACAACCCATTGGTCACTGCAAGTAGCAGCCTCTGGACTAAAAATCAAGTAGCTGTAGGTCTCAGGAGGAACTGCACGGGGTCCATATCCCAAAGAGGGGTGACCTCCCATTCCAACAGCAATGACATATTCTTTCTTACCTTGTGCATTCAAGAACCATGTCCCCCTAAAGCCAGGCAAAACTGCACAGTCTCCCTCTGTCAAGTTCCCCAGAAGTCTAGATGAAGGTACAAGTGTTTGCTTCACCAGCAAGCCAAGGCAGCTTCATGAAAAATACCAAGTTCTCTCTCCTTCTATGGTTCTTGCCATCTTGGGGCCCCCAAAACCAAGGCAAGCTTGATTACCTATCCTCCTCCTTAAAAATTAGATAGCTGTTTAACAATGATCCCAATGCCTTCCCTCCGTCCTCCTTCTACAAATGAATCCGCTACAGATGGGTTCCTGAAAATTTGAGTGCTAAATGTTAAAAAGCATGTAGAGATCTAATTACAATATTTAAAAGAACACAGCCAGGGCTAGTGTAGTCAAATTCAGAGAGACAGAAAATAGAATGAGGATTGCCAGGGTCTGCAGAGAGAAAGGAATAGGAAGTTGTTATTTAATGGGTACAGAGTTTCCGTTGGGGAAACTCAAAGTGTACTGGAGATGGATGATGATTGATGGTTGCACGCGTACTTAATGCCAGTGAACTGCTCACTTAATGGTGAAAGCAGTAAGCTTCTGTTATGTATGTTTTTCTACAAAGTTAAGGCATCAAAAATACCCTTGGGCAAAACAAAATTGTTTCATAAATCATCTTTTAGTTCTGCTTGGAAAGTGAACTTTCTTAAAAGGGGAAAAGATCTTCAACTGGCTAGCCTAGCAGTAGATACTCATTTCCTCGGTGCTACTCACTTTGTCAACAGTACATCTTTAACCCGAGTCTGCACCCTATGAGTAGGGATGAAAGGCGGCATTCTATGTGCAGTCCCAGAGACAGTCCCTAAGGAAGTCATTAAGAATAGCAGTTCTCAGCCGGGCGCGGTGGCTCACACCTATAATCCCAGCACTTTGGGAGGCCGAGGAGGGTGGATCACGAGGTCAAGAGAACAAGATCAGCCTGATCAACATGGTGAAAACCCATCTCTACTAAAAATACAAAAATTAACCAGGCATGGTGGCATGTACTTGTAGTCCCAGCTACTTGAGAGGCTAAGGCAGGAGAATCCCTTGAACCCGGGAGATGGAGGTTGCAGTGAGCGGAGAATTTGCCACTAAACTCCATCCAGCCTGGCAACAGAGCGAGACTCTGTCTCAAAAAAAAAAAAAAAAAAATCCATTCTCTAAGGTGGGTTACCAAAAGCTTGAAGTTGGAACCTCAGACTCCTCCCTTGCACAGGCCTGGCCAGTATCTACTGTTTTTTGCTTTTTTTTTTTTTTCTTGACAAGGACCTATCCTTCCCCCAGACAATTTTGTAAGCTTTCACAACATTTGGGCTCACCTCTGTGGGTCCCAGTGTCGGACAGATCAGATTTTGATCCCACCTCTGGCCTTCGATAACAGGCAAGTTACTAACCTTTCTTACTTTGCCTCAGTTTCCTCATCTGAGAAATGGAAATAATGGTAATACCAACCCTGTGTCCCTATCAAGATTAACTATAATAAATCCAAGAAAACTGCTTGGTACTGAGACTGCTCATTGTAAATTCAATAAATGTTCCCCTTTTACCATCACCATTACCTGAGTCCCTCTAAAAGCCAGATCAAGTTCCTTCAACTGAAAGTATCTTTCCCATTTTCTTGGCCATGTTGCCTTAAATTCCTACAATGAATGACTATTATCAGCTCTCAAATTTTATCAAATAACTTTAAAAGGTAAACATGTATGAATATAGTGTTAATTATCTGCAAACATTTAACTATTTTCCATGCCTCAGTGTAACTGAATATATCAGTTCTTTGGCAGGCAGAGCAAAGGTACTGTAAAGATTTTCAGGATGATTACATTTTAATACCAGGATGAGGGAGTTAAGGCTTTATCAAGTGGGTACCACAGTGGTGGCCCTCTCCATCAGATACTCCAAGGACTTTGCTACCTCCAAGAAGTGACTGAAAAGCAAAGTATGGGTGAATGATGATGTGCAGACTTCTTGAAAATGTCCATTTTTAAAAATCTACATTTTTAAACTAAAAACATATCTACAAGGTGCTCCACATGGTAGTGCCTATTGTCTAGGACTTTTAATTCTATAAACAAATCCCCACATGAACAATTTTGTTTAAAACAAATGGCTAAAGAATGCAGGAAATAAGGGGTCTGAACAGAGTGACTGTTTGCCCTATAACTTTCCTCTCATCCCTATAAAGGAAGCAGAGTCTCTTTTTCAAAAGTGTAGCTCAAACCATTTCAGTGTTTGGCAGCAAGGAGGACACAGGGGAGAGAAAGCTGCTTGGACGTAAAGTACCAATGTCAGGGTCCACTCACCCTGACCCTAGGCCAGCTGAGAACAGCACACAATGGCAGAAGTCTACTTTTTAAAAATAATTTTGTCCAATAATCATTAGTCTTCCTTGTTCAACACTGAAGGTGTCACGGGACTGTAAATTGACCATTTTGGAAGTATTTTTTTCAATACCTAGATCATTTAGTAGTATTTAAGATGAAAGAATATGGTATTTCAGAAGCATGCTAGGTCTAGACTGATAAGACTTTGGTCTTGGCTATGATATACGGCGGAGGAAAAAAGCTGTTAAGCAGCAAATAACTTCAGTCTTAACTACAGAAGCCAAATTCCTGTGTCCAGTGTCCTCCCCATGCCTCAGCCCAGGTTCTCACAATTGATAGCTGAGAAGAGAGCTCATATCCACGTCTCTCGTTTTACACAATTGAGACAGCAAGAGTCCTGAGAAACCTTCTGTCCATTTCCATCACGTAGCAAAGGCTTGACTGTGACCCGACCATCAATGAAGTGTTGAGAGGGCCACAGGTGTGACTTCTGAGGGGGCTAATGAGCATCACGTCGTCAAAACTTTTGTTTCACAGCCAAAGGACACACACCCAGTTACAACTTCCAGACATAAGCCACTAGTCACAAAGACAGTACCAGGAGAACATGTGGATGGCTAAATGCCAATGGACCAACACAGCAAAGTAATGAAGAAAGAAACAGAAGTTCTGAAGATACAGCAAGCAAAGAATCAAAGAAGAAAAGCAGTATACTTTATTCAATAATCAAAAGCTTCCACATGCATTTAATCTTGAGCTGGCCAGGGCACTAGGAATAGAGCAGCAGGCCAGCCAGTGGTTATGAGCCTGGCTCTGTGATCAGGCTAGGGGCTTAAATCTCAGCTCTGCCACTTCCTAGCTGAATGAACAGACAAGTTACACAATCCTTCAGTGCCTCGTTTCCTCATCTGAAAAATAATGAAGTACCTGTCTCATGAGGTTGTGAGGATTAAACAAGGTAATTCATAAAAAGCACTTTGAATGCCTGGGCATGCAATACATGCTCCACTGATATTAGGTATTAGTCAACGTAATGCGGAGTCAGGAAAGGAACAAAATGGGTAAGAATAAGGCATGAGCAAGGAGGCATTTAGAGAATTTACTGAGTGAAACACATACCTACAGCTTCCTATTTAATCTTTACAGCAAATCCATGAGAAATTCCCATCTCCTTCCTTCTTGCTTCCTCCGGTCCTCTCTGTATGACCCAAGGCTCATTGGGTTGAGGGTGGGAGGAGAAAATTAACTACAAAAAAAGTAGTAGTAGTAGTAGAAGAAAGGTGAGTTGGTTAATGAAGAAAAAACGGGGAAAAGTAGCAGTAAAGTGTTCACCTAGAAGTAGGTCTGGTATCGGTCATGGCTGGATTTAGTAACTCTGCCAGCATCACCAGGACTTCATGTTTCTTCATCTTTGGTCTCTGCCCACCTCTGTGTTGGCTTCATTCTCAGGAATGGTTTGCATGAATTGTATCAGTAATAAGACCATGAGGTCTTATTACCATCCAGATAACTGAGTCTCGAAACCATTGAACACAGTTACCTGACGTCAGGATAACTGAGAGTTTCCAAAATATTTGAGGATACTTCCTAGCAATCTTGAAGAAAAGGGTAAATAGTTTATTTCTAATCTCTCTCAAAGAACAGAGCTTGGAGACTCACAGCCTGAATTTCAAGGGAATGGGGAGGGAGAGAAGAAAGAAAGGAAACTAGAGACAGAAAAGAGAAAGTGTAGGGAAAATGGAGGTTAGGAACATTGGTGGACACAGGTTGAGGTGCTTAACCAGTATCATGCCCTCATCTTCCAGTGACAGCACTGGTTAGGGATCAGCAGAGACGACAGAGAGCATACCAGCTAGCTTTAGCACAAAGGGATTTATTACCGAGTATCAAGGGAGTTTCAAAACCAGTGATTTACAAAGCTTGAAGTAGTGGGGACTAGGTTAAGTTGCCAAAATGTCCCTTCACCCCAGAATCACCCCACCTCTGTTGTGATACAGAAAGTCGCCCCCTCACCGCTGTGGGAAGCTGCCATATGAAGTTGCCGGAAGCAGAATCGCACTGCCACAAACATGGTCTGCACCAGCCACATGTGCTGCTCCTTTACTTCCTCACTCAGTTCTGAATTCAGGTTTCACTTGAGTGCAGATGACCGGCAGGACCTAAAGCACACCCAGAATGCCAGGTTTGAGGAATCTGGGAATGCTGTTTCTAGCTCTCCATCCTCTGAAATGTGGAGGCACAGCAGGTGCAGGCTGGAAATGCTATTGAGCTAACCAATCTACAGTACTACTTCTGTGCCCGTTTTCTTTGAAGAGTCACTGCTTCCACCATTTATCCATGTAGCTGAGGTAGGTGTGGCCCTAACTCCTGTAGCCAAGGGCAGAAGATGATCCAGACCTGGCCAGTCAGAGCTCTACATTCCCCTGACCCAAGTGAGCAGTTCTCAGATGGGCATATGTCCCAAGCTGGAGATCGGGCTCAATTCCATGATCTTTTTGAAAACCCTCTCTACTAAATCTGAGGCTTCAAGGATGAGAACCTGGCATTTCTGGAGGCTGTTGAATCCCCACAGCCATGCAACTGATACAATTCATGCAAACCATTCCCGAGAAGGAAGTCAACACAGAGGTGGGCAGAGACCAAAGATGGAGAAACATCAAATCCTTGTGATGCTGGCAGAGTCCCTAAATTCAGCCATGGCCGATATCAGACCCACTTCTAGGTGGACACTTTACTGCTACTTTTCCTCCTCCCTTCTTCGTTAATCAACCCACCTTTCTTCTTCTACTACTACTTTTTTTCTAGTTATTTTTCTCCTCCCACCGTCAACCCAATGAGTCTTGAGTCATATAGAAAGAATGAGAGGAAGCAAGAAGGAAGAAGATGGGAAAAGAGGAAGAAAGGAGAGATGAAGGCTGGGTGAAGGACTTATAAGTCACATTATAAATATCTATAAATTATATTATGTGCCAGGTACCATGCTGGATACCGTTAATTCATAATCTTATTTAGAACTAATTTTAAAAGATAATATATATGCAAGCACTCAGTTGAGAAAACATGCAGTTTGGAATCCATCAGGCATCTAGAATTAATGTAATTACCATACCTGGATAAAACAGAAGCTGCCCTGAATTATATGAAGACTAAAATGGAAACAGCAACTCTTCTGTTGCAGCTCATTTCCTTAATCCTCATCACCACTGTATAATTAATGGAATTCATTAATATGGCTCACTCATATAGTCACATTTCATTCCTGGCCATGACTGAATTTTCTTATCACTTATGGTACAATGGCTAAGAGTACACAATTTGCTATCAGATCTGGGTTCAAAGTCTCTTTCTGACCATGAGATCCTGAGCAGGATTACTTACTGTCTCTGTGTCTTAACTTTTTCATTTGTACCACAGGAGCAATAATTCCTACCTGAAGAATTAATGCAGGCAACACACATAGCTGGGGGTCTATGGATAGACTAGAGTCAGAGACCTGACAGGCTCCGAAACAGACTTAGGCATTTCTAAAGTGGAAACAGTAGTTGGTGGCAATTAAAGCAAATTATTAACAAAATATTCCATGACTTTGGACTAATGGTTTAAAAAAAGACATTGTCACCCCTGGCTCACTTCCATTCCATCCACCATTCAGAGCAAAAACTCACCCTAATCCCACAGAACCATGGTGAGTTTTCCAACAAAACTTTTGCGTCATTCCAGAGTAAGAGCCCCTAGTCTTGCAACTATTGCTTTTGCTGTGTATGTCAGAAAAAATATTAGATATTTTTGTTCCTTTAAATCAGGGGTCCCCAACCACTGGGCCATGGACAGGTCTGTGGCCTGTTAGGAACCGGGCTGTGGGCAAGTGAGCATTTCTACCTGTGCTCTACCTCCTGTCAGATCAGCTGCAGCATGAAGTTCTCACAGGAGGGCTAACTCTCTTGTGAGCTGTGTATGTGAGGGATGTAGGTTGCACACTCCTCATGAGAATCTAATGCATGGTGATCTGTCACTGTCACCCATCATTCCCAAATGGGACTATCTAGTTGCAGGAAAACAAGCTCAGGGCTTCCAATGATTCTACATTATGGTGAGTTGTGTAAGTATGTTACAATGTGATAATAGAAATAAACTGTACAATAAATGTAATGTGCTTGAATCATCCCCAAACCATCCCCCACCTCTGGTCTGTGGAAAAATTGTCTTCTACAGAACTGGTCCCTGGTGCCAAAAAAGGTTGGGGACCACCACTTTCAATGAACAATGTAGGTTCCACTGAAGGATATGTGGGAAGATGAAGAAGAGGGTTACAATTCACCCGGGTTAGCAAAGGTCCTCCATGCCACTAAATTTCCTCTCTCAAAGACAGTGGCTTCATAGCTTTCTCTTTCCAACCATCCCCATCTCCTCCTGCCCACTGGGGCTGGTTACCACCAACTCCTCCCTTCTCAGCCACTCCCTCTCTTTCCTCATGTAGAGTAATGTGGTCCTGATTCTTCAGTTAGCATCTTCACCTCATCCCCTAGCCTTGGAACCAATCTTCCTTCAAGAAGGCTTTAAGGTTGGTAAGGGGTGGCAGGGAGGAGAGTATACATAATGATTTTTCCTTAGCAACTTTTCTAAACCCATTTCCCTTGCTTTCAGAGGGAAGAAGGGGCCCATTCTGTACTATGGATAGGGATCTATTTTATTAGCTATGTGTCAGTTTTTTTTTTTTTTTTTTTTTTTTTTTTTTTTTTTTTGTAAGACAGGGTCTCACTCTGTCTCCCAGGCTGGAGTGCAGTGGTGCAATCTCGGCTCACTGCAACCTCTGCCTCCCAGGCTCAAGTGATTCTTCTACCTCAGCCTCTTGAGTAGCTGGGACTAGAGGCGCACAACACCATGCCCAGCTTATTTTTTGTAGTTTTGGTAGAGATAGGGTGATGTGGTTTGGCTGTGTCCACACTCAAATCTCATCTTGAATTGTAGCTCCCATAATCCCCACGTGTCATGGGAGGGACCAGTGGGAGGTAACTGAATCATGGGGGCAGGGTCTTTCCCATGCTGTTCTCATGACAGTAAGTCTCACGAGATCTGATGGTTTTATAAAGGGCAGTTCCCCTGCACACACTCT
This sequence comes from Homo sapiens, assembly GCF_000001405.40. Classification (NCBI taxonomy): domain Eukaryota; kingdom Metazoa; phylum Chordata; class Mammalia; order Primates; family Hominidae; genus Homo; species Homo sapiens. Next base: position 59,601,419 of record NC_000018.10, read on the forward strand.
CTTGCCTGCCACCATGTAAGACGTGCCTTTGCTCCTCCTTCATCTTCCACCATGATTGTGAGGCCTCTCCAGCCGTGTGGAACTGTGAGTCCATTAAACCTCTTTCCTTTATAAATTACCCACTCTCATGTATGTCTTTATTAGCAGCATTAAAACCAATGAATACACGGGGTTTCACCATGTTGTTCAGGCTGCTCTCAAAGTTTTGAGCTCAAGTGAACCACCCACCTTGATCTCCCAAAGTGCTGAGATTAGACATGAGCCACTATGCCCAGCCCCAGATTTCTTTTAATTGCTTTTATTATCATCTAACATCAAAACTTGTGTGGAGAAAGTGTATGTCCAGCACAGGACATTATGGAATTAGTGAGGGGAGTGCATTCTTTTGTTGAGCCAGATTCTCTATTTAAATCTTTGAAATTTTAGAAGAAATTGTGCCTTGCCACCATACACACCCTTCAACACCCTCCTTGTCACTATTAGTTTTTCCAAAAGATATTTTCCTTTCTACTTTGCCCATCTTTAAATGATTAGCAAATTCAACAACTGATTAGTTAGAACATCCACAAACCTGAAACATTTAAAAATAGACATAGTACAGCAAGACTGGAGTAAGAAATGCCAAAAAAAAGATCCACCTCAATTCAAGTGCCCATCATTTGCAAGAGACCATTTGTTATTACAAATGTGAATTCCTTTTTTTTTTTTTAATATATTTTTACTAACACCACAAATTGGGTCCCATGAAGCTAATGAAAACGTAGGAAAAATGCAAACTCAGATAATGCCAAGATCCTTCTTTAGGGTGATACAATGGCAGAGGATACTGGAGCAGCAAAATGAGCTAAGTTTTCCTGTGACTGTCTGTCTTATTCTGCTTCTGCCTTTCAACAACCATATCAGAAGAGAGATCATGAAGTTATACACACTATTATCATCATCATCCTTATGTGGTTCTCTGTTTTTTCCTTCTATCAATTCATTAGAATTGCAAAGATTCAAGGCACTGATCTTTTATATTTCTTTTGTATCCCTAGTATGTATGCAAAGTATAAATTCAATATAAAACCATTGGATAAATAAGTTTTCCCATCTACAAAGATCTAGGTTTTTAAAAACCACATTGAAAACAGAAAATACATATAATACAAAAAGGGTATATATATGTATGTAACAAGACATTGGATAAAGAGAAAAGTCCTCTGAGTCCTGAGCTGGAAAAAATCTTAAGATGTGATCACCATAAGCTGTAATAACCAGGAAAGGCCTTATGGGAAGCCTTGAGGCATGAGTAGGACTTGGAAGGCAAGAGGCATAGGGAAGAGGACCCCACAGAGAGAAGCAAGGCCTGAACAAGGGTTAAGTGCCAGAAGACTACAGAGTGATCAAAGCTGCTATGCGCTCTGACAAAACTAAAGATGGCGCAGCCTAATGGTTAAGAACTCAGGTGTGAGGTCAGACAGACTTGGGATCAGACTCCAGCTTCACATGCACAGGCTCTGCACCCTTGGATAACTTGCTAAGCCTCTGTGCCTTGTCTCGAATCATAAAATGCAGTGACAATACCAACCTCCGAGGGCTGTCATGGAAACTAAAGGAGGTAAGCTGGAATCACACTCACATGCTCCCAGGAAGAGAAAACTCCATTTGTTAGTTGTTACACATAGAGCACTAATAGGACAATATTTCTTAAACTGTCCCTGAAAAAAATCCAGTGTGTGTATCCGCCATAGCCAAATGCTAATCATTTGCTCAGAAGATTCTGGAATGACCATGAGAAGAAAAGAAGCTGTGACTTCCACCGCCTCAAATATTAGAGCATAGAATTTGGCCCCTGGGGCTGAAATTCTTAAGTAGTTGAAGGAATGAGAGAAGCTAAGTGTTGTGAGGATTCATGAATTAATTTCATCTAGACCACTCGGGTCCTTGGTCATAAGGTTCTTGTAAAGTTTTTATTATTATTTCTAAAACAATCACTCACCTCTACCCCTGTGAGGAGGCAGAATTTGGCCTTTAAAGATAAAGATGGCTCATCTCTCTGTAAAACATCTGATTTAAATATAGTCTCTGGCCTCCTCCAGGGAAGATACCTCCCTGCTTCAAGACCTTTCACATCCTGGGTCATTTTCAAGGTTTTGCTCATCTTTAAGTAATTACAGAATTATCTACTAATTATATGTTCCTGTGTTGTTATTAAATCCAGCAAGAACACAAAATGAAATTAGCATTATCTTCCTACTACAAAGTTGTTGCTCTTTCTTTCTCCCACCCCAGAAAACCTTCCCTTATCTTTCTATAAAGAGACACACCAATTTTATTTTAGGAGAAACAGTACCTCTTATCCTTTTTAAAATACTGGAGACCAGGCAAGTACATTAGAAGAGGAAGATACAAAGCAGCTAGGAAGGAGATCTGAGGAAGTGCCAAGTGTTGGAGGTGGACATCTGAAGCTCTGTCCTGACCTCCTCAGGCCGAAAGGTCCTCAACCTCTCGATGACTCTGTTTCCATATCCAAAAGGGATGCCTTTGTAGTGCTGTTGTAAAAATGAAGTGGGAAGCCTGACACAAAATACATGTGACCACTGATAGAATCTTCTACTTTTTTTAAAAAATGAGAAGTTGGAAAAGGTATCTGTTGTTTCTCTCTGGTACTTTATCTCCTCTTATGCAGGCAAATAAGGAAGGATCCAATGGAGAAAGTAGGCAGAAGAAACTGGAAAACTTATCTAAGGAGGGCCCCTCTTCACCCCATAAGAGCTTCGCTGACGGAGGGTCACATAAGGCCAAAACAGTTATGGAGAGAGCCAGGAAGCAGCATGCTACCCTCTTCATAGGTTCAAGACAAGACACAGAGGTTTGGCCAGTTGTCCAAGGGTGCAGAGCCTGTGCATGTGAAGCTGGAGTCTGATCCCAAGTCTGTCTGACTTCACACCTGAGTTCTTAACCATTAGGCTGCATCATCTTCCATTTTCACAGGGCTAGGGGTAGGAGGACACATAGAACAGAGATACCTATCCAGGAAAAAAAAGCAGATGAGGGTCTCAAACTGGCCCTCTCTATAGTCCATGTTACTGATCAGATATAATAAAGTCAAATTACTACTCCCTTGATATAAGCCAACATACTAAGTAAGTGGCTACAGTCACCTGTATTTAAAAGGAGAGCTGATCATCTACTTCTGTAACAGAAAAACGTGAATTAAACAAGCAGATATGGGAGATTTAGTAAAGAAGGAAATTTCCATGGTATGTGATTGCTTCAATAGGCATTTGTTTCAATGTCCAATTTGGACAACTCTTCAGATGGATAATTTTGAGATACATTAGACCAGGATGTCTGCTTCTCAAAACCTGAAATGTACACTGTCTAGTTTTGTTGGCTTAGCAGTAAATGTACTTTAATAAACAAATGCCAAGTCTCTTAAAATGTATCATTTGTTCTTGGTCAGCTATTGCTAAGATGCTTGATAGGTAGGGTCAAAATGGGGCAAGATGCCCATCTTATCCAGTGATCAGTAGGGGATCCGGCAGCTCCAGGCCCACCTCAAACTGGAGACGGGAGCTCAGTGTCCAGTCACTGCCACCTACACCGTGTTCATCATGCCTGAAGATTAAAGCAATGCCCTCATGAGAGCATGTTCTGGCCTGACTTGATTGCAAAGGCTGGGAAAAGTGCCCACAGAAGGAGTGTCATCTGTTACACAGGAGCTGGTGGTTCTGCCCTAACAGAGGCTGCTCCCCCTAGGAGGCACAGCAGGGAGAAATGGAGAAGGAAGGAGTCTGGCAGTGATATGAACTTTGATCTTTTTGATAAAACATCTTCTACAACATGTTTTAGGGAACAGCTAAAGTCTTTAAGAACACCAAAGCCGGATCTTTCCTCTATTTGCTGAAAGCCAGTCACAGCGATAACAAGAGGAAGATGACAAGTTTTATCCTTATAGAGAACAGGTGGGTCGATGGTTGGAATAAGGCATGAACTAGCTGGGGTGTAGCACAGAATAAAGGGGGCATCTCACCCTACCAGGAGAAGGGCTTTATGGCAGAGGCATCATGCCAAGTGAGCCTGAAAAAGAATGTGGTCCAGGTGGATAACTCTTAGGTTGGCCAGCATTCCCCACTGGTCAGCCATTCTGCATAATTACTAGGTGTTCCTGGATCATCTCTCATATGCTAAAGCTTTGCTGGAAAACCAGGGGAACTAAAGATGACAAGGAGCCTCTTTGACCTCTCAAAAGCCTAGATGGCTACCCACCTAGAGCTTGCAGGGACTCTGCCTCTCATTTCTCCCAAAGGAACATTTCTTGGTGGATGATAAAATACCTCATGTTCCCAGCAAACCCTCAGACTGAAACATAAGAAGTACTTGAGTTGTTGCCAGAGAAACGTTCCAGAGCCAAGTGGACGACTGCTAGGGGTGGCCTTGGGATAAGCTATCCTCCCTCTAGCAGTTTTTGGGAGGAAAAGGTGAAGGTGGAAGTGAGCTGCTCCACTGGGGGAAATGCCTGAGCTAGGCCTCAGTTAGAAATCTACCAAGAGAAATCGCGATGCTCGAATGTCCGAACTGTAGATTTCTGCCTGAAGCACGTCACTGCTCTCAAGCAACCACGATGATCTCAACGCCTATGGTGCTTTGCGATTCAACTCCCATTTACCCCAAAGTTTAATGATTGTCAAAACAAGTCATGTTTTCTTAGTAATAACACGCTTAATTCTTAACTGTCCATTCATTGTTTCGGAAAAATGCTTCGGACAAAGGCAGAGATCACATTTGTGTATGTTTTGCATACTCCATGAGAGACCTTAGAGGCATTAGAACTCCCACAGATTGGTTTTTTACTTCCTTAGGATGGAATTCCTCAGATGTGACAGAAGGACACAGTGACCCTTTCAGGGAAAGCAGCGAGGCATCTGGGACAAAGACAATGTCCACATGGCAAACCGCAAAGCACATGCTTGAAATCCTGGCTTTCTATGCACTTTCCCCCAACTTTTGTTTAGAAGTCAGACGTTGATTTTCATTATCTGCATACTTAACAGGACTGTCATGACATCCCATTACAAACTGTCTTCAAAGAAAGTAGTAAACATAACTTTACTCTTCAAAGATAACATCCCGTCCGTATGTGACTCCCTGCATCTTGCACGGATCATTTACAAACCAAGCATCTCCACGGGGCCCCAGGGTGACATAAACAAACCTTGGAAGGGTGTCAAGAAGCACAAGAATCATCTCTGGAGGCTGTATCTTAATCTTGAATCTTTTGTTACCCCTGCTGTTTTAGAAGGAAAAAAAACAACCAATCATCTTTTTATCTGAGAAATCTGAGCATGAGTGCCTTGGTTAACCAAAATGGGTTAACCTTATATTTGCAACACGAATGCTATTTCTCTCACTACATATTTCGACAGCTGTTCAAAGAAACCTTTTCTGATAAATGCCTACACTCCAAATGTGCTGTGCTTTCTTGGTTCATGCTTCTGCTGTGACACTTATCTCACTGTTTTATAATTAGTCGGACATGAGTCTGTTTCCCAAGCTAGACTGTCCGAGTCATGTCTGTATCCCCAGTGACCGGTGCAGGGCCTGGCCTAGAGTACGACAGAGTAGGTACTCCATAAAAGGTGTGTTGAATTGGGAAAAAAAAAAAAAAAAAAAGCACACAAGTACTCACTGCATCAGTCAGTCCAATCAAAGGAAAGCATGGTACTTACTCTTGAAAACAAAGGTTGAGCCAAAAGTCCTGTCCAGTACAGCTGAAAACATAGTATTTTTACAATGCAGATTTGGTTCTCTAATTTTGCATGCTTTTGGCTGACATTTAGATAAGCATGTACCAGTCAGCAATGTAGAATACGGCCCATAAGTTCATGAATGGCATGAAAGCCCTCTTAGAGTCCAGAATCTGATAATCTGAACCAGTTTATGGGTGGATGATTCCACAGACTCAGATGAGCTAGACTGGAGCCTACTCACTATTTACCATTATTGTTCCAGTTGCAGAATCATTCCAAATTTCAAACAACAGACATATAATGAACTATGGGGCACAACTCCTTAGTTGGGGACTGACTGTAAAGATAAAATTGTGAAGCATCATCATGACATAGTCCCATAAATCACACTACACAAAAAGGAACTGGGCATAGCTGGATTTAGACATTCATTCTTCTCTTATTCCCTTCAGCTACTCTCGGCAGCCTCAGATGCTGTCCTAGGGCACCTCGCTGAGCTTGAAAGCTAATGTTGCACAATGGTTAGACACGGACTCTGGACTCAACCAAGGTTCAAATCGGAACCACTTCCTGTGTGACACTGATTATTTCTTCAAACCCCAGGTTCTGGATTTACCTTATTTAAAAATGGGGATGAACGGCCAGGCGCAGTGGCTCACTCCTGTAATCCCAGCACTTTGGGAGGCTGAGGCAGACGGATCACCTGAGGTCAGGAGTCACGTGAGGTCAAGACCAGCCTGACTAACATGGTGAAACCCCGTCTCTACTAAAAATTAGCTGTGTGTTGTGGCGTGTGCCTGTAGTCCCAGCTACTCAGGAAGCTGAGGCAGGAGAATCTCTTGAATCCAGGAAGCAGAGGTGTAGTGAGCCGATATTGCGCCACTGCACTCCCAGTTTGGGAGGTTGCAGTGAGCTGAGATCGTGCCACTGCACTCCAGCTTGGGTGACAGAGTGAGACTCCGTCTCGAAAAATAATAATAATAAATAAATACAAATGGGGATTAAAAAGTATATAGGTAATGGGGTTATTTTGAAAATTAAAGAGAAATATATGAAACAAGCTACTCAGTAGCATTTGTCACGAGTGTTCAATAAGCATTAGCTATTACTGTTATTTACACAATTCCTTTTCCAGGATTTTCTCTGTACTCCTTACAGGTCAACACCACAATTTAACTTTGTGTTCCAGACCCCTTAGATCCCTACTTCCTAATCATGTCAGAGATTATTTAAGAAACTTGGGCCAAAGTGTTGATGCAAGACAAAATGATTTAGTGTTATTCCTGCCAAATAGCATCTTAGCATTTCTAAGAAGAGTCACCCTCAGCCCTTACCACCTGCTTGAGAGATGTGTTTTAGAGAAGGCACGAGAACAAGCCCCCATTTTAATTTTCACATCAGCAATGAAATGATCTAGGGAAGACTCTTTGAAGTCAAATTTGTCAACTACTCAAGAGAGGTAAGAATTTTCAAGGGGAAACTTTGAAGACTGGATTATGAGCACTTCAAATGGAGCTTTAATAGAAAGTGTTTATTGTGGATGAGTGAAAACGTCTCTCTTGTTCATAATCAAGTTTCTCTTCTACACGGAGTCTTTCCCTTTAGCACATGAAAGTGTTCATGCCTCTCCTGTATTCAAAATAAAAGATTTTCCTCAAATCTACACATTAGATCCTTGCTGCCCATCTGTTTCTATTGGGCCTGTCCAAATCTCTTGAAGCAGTCGTCTATATGTGTCATCTCTTCTCTCATTATCCAGTCTTTGCTCATCCATAATCTGGCTTCTATCCCCCACCTTCCACTTACACAGCTCTCCTGAAGGTCACCAGTGTGCTCTGTGATGGGAAACCCAACAGACTTGAGTTCTTGCATTATGTGACTTGTCATATGTGCATCTGTTGACCAACTCCTCCTTCTTGAAACTTCCCCCTCTATCTTCGAGACAGCACTTTTCTCCTTCCGTGTTTTGGCCACTACTCCCCATACTCGCTTCTGGATTCCTTAGTGTTCTGTTGGGTTCTGTCTTCAACCATCTTCCCTTCTCACTGCACACACATCTTGAAGCATCATCTACTTCCTTGGCTTCAACCACCATTCATATTCCAGTGACTCTCAAAATTAGATCTCCTGCTCACAAATCTCTGTGCCCCAGACTCATATGCAGTGGCTTATTGGACAGTTCCTCTTGCATATATCACAGATGTGTCAAACTTAGTAGGTCCAAATCTGTAATTATCTTAACATCCACCCTCATCACCATTAGAACAGCTCCTTCCTAGGTTTTCGACATGCTACAGAACAGTTCCATTGCTCAACCAGTAGACCAAACCTAGACAGGAATCATCCTTGGCTTCTCCCTTACTTCAGTCTCCACATCTGGTCAGCCAAGTACAATAGGTTCTACCTCTCAGTGTTTCTTAAATCTATTTCCCTGAATCCTTACTGCCACTATTTAGTCATGGACTTCTTACTTTTTGGCCTAGTTTACTCTAAAAGTATCTTTACTCATGATCAGTTTCACCCTTACCCAATCCATTCTTCATGTGTTATGTTTATTTTAGTCTATTTGAAAAGGCATTTTCTATAGAGGGTCTATTCCTCTCCTGTAAACATCAGGAAAGCATAACTTTTTCAATTCTTAAAACATACCAGAAAACCTACCCATACAAGTAATGACCCAGTTATTTCAAGATGATTGGGTAAGTACCAGGGATAATATTCAATGTGATTGGGCAATATTTCCATTTGCTTCTGTACTAATAAGTTCTTTCTCTGATGTTGGTTTATTCATGCAATGGGATATGATAGAAAAGTGAGTGTCAGTTAATGAGAACTGCTTGGTTTACATGGATGTAGCACACAAACCTAATATTTAGCAGACAGTCATACAAAGGCACACAAAATATATGAAGGTTATTAACATGAAAAATACTACTCTGTCACTTTGGGATACATGCTTAAGTTTAAAAGTAGAGGAAAGTACATGGGAGCAATGAACACCAAGTTTGCAACAGTGGCTAAATCTGGCTGGAGTGGAGAGGGCTGAAATGAGGAAGGGATGACCAAGCAGGTGCATTAGCTTTATTGAAGCATCTCAGTGTCTCATATCTTAAGCTGGGTTTTGGATACAAAGTCATTTATGTGTCCTTATACTTTTTTGCAGGTATTAAGATATTGTTCCAAAATTAACGTCCAAGAATGGATTTTAATATAAAGACCATTTAACATCATTCTAGGCTCTATGGCCCCTTACCCCTCCTGCCCCCCAAATACCCCAATAAAGTAACAAGCCAACATACCACTAGAACAGAAAAGGTTGCTAGACTCTAGCCAGAGAAAATCTTATCCTCAAGCAGTACTTGATAGAACAAAGCTTCAGAACAAAAAAAGATTCTGGAATCCACCAGAATATAATGTGTTTTAAACAGATTGTCTGAGTGCTCCTTTTCAGAAGGGCTCATCTCACACACCTTGCATATCTGGCCTTGTCTGACCTGTTTTCCAACAGGGAAAGGAGCATGGGTGCCTGCAGCTACTTCCTAAGTGGGCTCCAGAGTTCACTCAGAAAATACGCCTAACAAGCCCCAGGTGGACACATGAGGAACGGAGCCTCACACAGAGGCCAAAGGTGAACCAGTGCATTCTTCACAGAGCCAGCTAGCAAAGTGGGTTTCAGGATGCAGCTCCCATCTGCTCCACCAGCGCCCCTGGGGATTCACAGGCTGCCAACAGCAAAAGGGCAAGGGTTTGATGTGGGCACAGCCCACAACACCTCTATTATGCATAACAGTCAACTGAGATGCCCCAAAGCCCATGCCCTTTGAATCAGGTACACTCAGCTTCCTGAATACTTTCACTATGTGGGACCTCATGCTTCAGCACAAAGACAGTGAGGAAATTAACCTGTCTGCAACAGCATGCGTTGCTTTCAAAGGACTGGGAGCTCCACACCTGCATGGTTCTGAGAAGAGATCTCACCACCGGCTCTGCCTATTCCAATGTATGAGCAACGCAGTCTTAATATCACACTGCAGCTCTTCCCTTCGTAATTTATTAAGTATCACTCAGCTTCTTCCCTTGCTTCCGAGTAAGAGCTGGCAAGAGTGCCAGCCAGGACTAGAGAGAAAAGAAAGGAAAGGCCTCCTGGGATGCATATGTGTACATAGCCTTTCTTTATGAGCCACTGAGCACCACTCAAATGGAAATGCATGGCCAAAGTTTTAGAAAGCAGAAAGACCATGATTCAAAACACATTTTAGGAGAAGCCCACACATGAGTGAAGCAGAGGACTGTCAAGAAGCATTTTTCGGGCCAGGCACAGTGGCTCATGCCTGTAACCATAGCACTTTGGGAGGCCAAGGTGGGTGGATCATTTGAGGTCAGAAGTTTGAGATCAGCCTGGCCAACATGGCGAAACCCCATCTGTACTAAAAATACAAAAAAATAGCTGGGCATGGTGGCATGTGCCTGTAATCCCGGCTACTTGGGAGGCTAGGGCAGCAGAATCACTTGAACCAGGGAGGCTGAGGTTGCAGTGAACCAAGATTGTGCCACTGCACTCCAGCATGGGCAACAGAGTGCAACTCTGTCTTAAAAAAAAAAATAAAAAAAGGAAGCATTTTTCTGTATACCAAATACAGGAAAAGAGCATTCATGACACCAAACTAAAGGCTTTGAAACTGAGCCTGAGACTTACGCATCAAGTTCAGAGTTATAGATTGAAATATAGAGTCACTGGGAAAACAGATGTCCATAAAGTCTTAAGAGCAGGGTAAAGTCTACTGTTTGCTGGTTTCAAGCTACATACCTGGAGTCCAACTCAGAAGTGACATGCTGCTGGGCTTGGCATGACTATACCCCTAAGCCAGTGAATGCCTCTACTCAGTTTCCAAAATTCACAGGTCTAAGCAGGAAGCCTACAGCATAGGCCTAGATAGAGAATGGTGTCTCAGTCAACAAGTCTTTGCACATTTTTGAACAGGTTAAGAGCCACTGGGGCAAATCTCAAGTGACAAATAAGATCTTAATTCTTTGGCAGAAGCACTGGCTCTTCATACTCCCTTAAACCAACATGGCACATGTATACATATGTAACTATCCTGCACGTTGTGCACATGTACCCTAAAACTTAAAGTATAATAAAAAAAAAAAAGAAAAAAAAAGGGAAGAAAAAAAAGAAAAAAAAAAAAACAAACAATCCTCCCTCCAGGCAGTGTTGTGGTGGCAGCTTAGAACAATGCTCAGAGGGCCCCAGCCTCCTGTCTTCCCCAAGGCAGCAAAAAGGCTACAGCAATTCTAGGGCTGATGGAGAGTGCTTCCCCCAACTCTTGCTAGAGATTGTGTCATTCTATTCTTCCCTAGAAAGTAGAGGTTTTCTGGGCAGCTGACTTTACCAATAACCATGATTATTTATGGAGCTTTATTATTTGTCAGGAACTGGGCTAAGAGCCTGCAGAAACTGAGACTTGGACAGCTGAAATAAATTAGCCAAGATCACACCAGCCAATAAGTAATGGAGCCAAGATGCAAACCAAGGTATCTGCAGCCTAAGCTCAGTGCTATGCAATGGGAGCCGCCCCATGCAGACAATTCTTACAACTGGCCTTGGGTGACTTCCTTTCACTCAAAGTAGTAGGGAAAAGAACTCAGCCAATCTCAAGGGTTTTTTTTTTGTTTTTTTTTGTTTTTGTTTTTGTTTTTTTTAATGTCTGTTAGATGGCTGGCTGGAACAAAGATGTGGGAATAAGGAAGAAAAGAATTCCTAGTCTGCTTGGGAAGGCAAGACTCACACATGTTGAAAGTATTAGAGACTGTGAAGAGAGGGCATATCATTAAGTGCTAAATTGCAAGGTATGGACTTTAAATCCTAAAGGAATTCGGAGAAGACAGACCTAAAGGAAACTCCTTCATCAGGGGCTTGAGGTGGGGAGTGGGGTGGAAAGGGCAAAGTCCTGCTCTTATCGGAAGTAACTGGATTAAAAATAGGAGCATGCTCTACACCTGTGTATCTACACCAGCTGCAGGGCATGGATGGGGTGGGGGGTGGTAGAGGATAACTACGCAACTACATAGTAGCAGGCAGAACACAGGAATCATTTTGCCACCAGTTAAGCCGTGTCAAGGTACAAACAGCAAAATATGTTTTCTGTCAGTGTGATTTTTTTTGTACCCTTGAGAGGGATTTCTGTATACAGAAAAGATTCAAGAGTTGTTTTGTCTTATTGATTTTAAAAATTAGTATTCGATGTATTGAAGTTAAAATTCAAATTCCTGTTTTTCTCTGAAGAATATAGTTCAACTTACAAATCTGATTCTATGTAAGCAAATTTCAAACAATTATTTTAAGGGAAACTTACAAATTACACTCAATGTTTTAAACTGCACTCAGAAATTTTGTATGTTCCATTCTTTTTAGACTTCAATTGTCTAACTTTTGGAATTTTAATTAAAAATATCAATATAGAGGCCAGGCACAGTGGCTCACGCCTGTAATCCCAGCATTTTGGGTGGCTGGGCAGGAGGATCACTTGAGCCCAGAAGTTTGAGACCAGCCTGGGCAACATAGTGAGACCCCATCTTTATTAAAAAAAAAAATTAGAAGATATCAATATGGTTAGTTCTTAATGACTTTCACAATCCCACACTTGTAACTCTAAACCTCTTAATTATCTTTTTAAAATTGAAGCACAAAGATGTTTTTCTCTGATGGGTTTTTTTTTTTTTTTTTTTTTTTGGCAGGGGGAGACAGTCTTGCTCTGTCACCCAGGCTGGAGTGCAATGGCAGAATCTCAGCTCACTGCAACTCTGCCTCCCTGGTCCATGCGATTCTCGTTCTTCAGCCACCTGAGTACCTGGGATTACAGGTGCACACTTGAGGTGGAGTCTCGCTCTGCACTGTCTGGAGTGCAGTAGTGCGATCTCGTCTAACTGCAACCTCTGCCTCGAAGGTTCAAGAGATTCTCCTGTCTCAGCCTCCTGAGTAGCTGAGATTATAGCCACACACCGCCATGCCCCGCTAATTTTTGTATTTTGGTAGAGACAGGGTTTCACCATGCCGGCCCGGCTCAAACTCCTGACCTCAAATGATCCACCTGCCTCGGTCTCCCAAAGTGCTGGGATTACAGGCATGAGCCATCGTGCCTGGTTCTCCAGTGGGCAATATTTTCTATTTTAAATATCAATATATTTAAAGAACAGATGTACCCAGAAAGGTCTTTAACAAAAAGTGATTTACTTACCATTGTTTTTTCACATAGTTCTAATTTAAATTTAAAACACACTTAGCCACTAATAAAACAATGGTGTCTTCCCAAATAATGTCTGGGTTGCCTTCCCGAGCTACTTTTGGAGGGCACTTTTCACTGGCTGTTTTTGCACACTGACCAGGATCAGGAGCAGCAGACGGCTGGGGCAATTTTTCTCAAGACCCATGCTATGGCGGCTAGTCAATGAAGCCCAGAAGGAAGGGCCTCAGAAGCATATCCTGAGCTCTCAATCTTGATCTAGTCTAAACGCTGATTGAAATTCACTTCCTTCAAGCCTAGTTTAGAGTTTGTTTCTTTGGTTCTGAACCCATCTCCAAGACTTTGTCGTCACAGTCCTAAAGCTGAGCTGAGGACGCAGTCCTCCTGACTTCTGTTAATATGCTATTAAATGGGGTGACATGACCCAACCTACATACGTCTGTTTATTTCAGAACAAATGTTAATATATGAGAAGCATGTGTCCAATCACAATTCATTATGTCCTCCCACACCTCTACAACAAACCATAGGATGTACCATTTCTTAGTCAATAGCACATCTAGATGTTCAAGCCAGAAATTCTGAAGTCTTCTATGGCTCCATTCTTTCTCCCACTTAATACATCCAATGACAAATGCCTGACAACTATGTGTCCACTTTTCTCTCTTCTCCTTCCTTCTTCTCCACCTGCCCTGTCGATGGAGACCAGAACTTCATCAAGTCTTGATTAGGAGACTAACCATGGCTGAGCCTCCTAGTCTCCCTCTGTACCTGTCTTCCACTCCGTGGAAGTGACCAGGGGAAAACACTGCTCTGATGGTATAAACCGCTGGGCTTGAAAACCTGGATGGTTTCCTACCATCTCTAGGGTCATCTCTTAGGATCTGCAAGGCTGTTCAAAGCTTTACTTCCTGTTTCATTCTCACCCAGAATCTGTTGCTTTTGTTCCCTAACACCATGCTCATTCGCGCTGCGTAATTTCACCCACACAATTCTTTCTGAATAAGTAGCTTTCTGTCTACTCAGATGCCATTCCCATTCCAGAGTCATTTCCAATGTCATCTGCCTTTTCCTGGTCAAGCCTGTCCTGACCAACTGTCGGAGAAAAAAAAAAAGACAGAAGAGATCTTTAAGGTGTTTTCACTGTATTTGGTATATATTTTGATCACACTATACTACAGTTAATTATAAGTTTGTTTCTCCTAAATTGGTTTTGAGCACAGGGCCAGGAGTGGCTTTATTCTTTATCAATATGATACTTGGCATATAGTTTATTTAACCAGCTGCCTCGTTCCATAAGGTATGAGGTTATTTCTTTTGTCTGCTCTCCACTAATCCCCCCTACTCCCAGTCACTTTAGAAGGCAAGATTTACAAGGGACCTTTGTTTTGTTCACGGACATAGCTAGAACAGTGCACATGGTAGGCATTTAATATTTGCAGAAGAGAAGGAAAGAATAAGAAGGTTGAAAGTAAGCAAGCACTCATAGAGCAAAGAGGACACTTACCAAGGGGACTATTATTAAACCTAGGTTACTTTAAAAAATCCTACTACCATGGCCATATTGGGATCAAGAGGAAAGTCTAAAGGCATCACAGAATCTCTAGTAGCTGAGCTCGGCTGTGGTCCTATAACAAGTTACAGATCCTATGTGATGGGCGCTCTGGCCTCCTCCTGCTTAGCATATTCTTGGGGCATCCCAACCTGAGGATCTGGGTTAGAGGGAAATGGGCTCTCAAGAACCCTCCAGAGCTGCAGAGTGCAGGGCAGCCCTGTCAAACCAGTGAGGGCTGCTGTGGGGTCATAGTGGGCAGAGTGGGGGAGAGAGATCAAGAGATGACCGCTTTAGGGAATGCTCATCTTAAACAAAAAGTTGGCAAAATGGAAAAAGAAAACAAAGAGGAGCCAGAGGCGGCCCTGAAAAATGATGGCTAAGTGATTCATGGGAGACCCCAGATGTGATTAACTCAAGTTCCAAAGTAAGAAATTTCAGGTTAAATGGCATTGTCTAACATATTTAAAAAGTTGGATCAGCTTCAAGTATAGATATTAAGCACATGACCAACTAAAAAGCCGCCCCTTTCCCTTCTCAGAGAACATGCCTCCCCAAGGAGGAAACAGGTCTCCCAAGCTAGAGACAGGCAGTGCCATCTTGGCTGGAACTTGTCTCTTGTGAAACTCCCCTTAGTGGCTAGGCGCCAAACCCATTCCTCAGTCCTGGCCCTAAGACCCCAGTTGCCTTTATGCTTCTCCCCCTACAAGTCAAAAGTTCGGTACACAAAAGAGTCTGTTAAGGTTGGAGGGGTGCCAGGATTAGACAAGTTGCATTAAGTTTCCCAGAAACGGATTCTTAAGGTAATAACCAAGGAATTTCACACAATGGCCGCAATGTGGTAAATGGACTGCCAGATTTAATTTCAAAGCCTGTTCGGACGGAAGCCTTTCTCATCCTGACTTTCCTGCAGACCAACTGTGTCATGTTGGGCAAGTCAGTTCATCACTCCAGACTTCAGCTTTCACATCTGCTAAATGGGAAGGATACTGCCTGTCATGCCTGCTTCACAGGGTTGCCATGAGCCACCGACTCTCAGCCTTTGCCATACGAATCTAGTTATCTAGGTTTCATCCCAAACCAATTAGATAAGGGACTGACACCCAAGATTTAGTAGTCACATAGCTTCCCAGGTTATTCAGATAAACAGCCAAAGTAGGAAACCTCTGAACTATACCAGTGTACAGTACAAAGAAGAGGGCAGTAATAACCAAGATCATCATCACTGGAACATGGCATCATATGATTTGGGGTTGAAAAAGTTATGCTGAAATCTCCTTAGGAGCAAAACCCATGTTTCTTTTGCACGTCCCATTATTACCTGCAAGCTTTAGGCATTCAGTAACATTTTTGATAACAAATGCAAATTCGAAATCCTTACAAATCCTAGTCTTAGATTCTTTGTTTACTAAAACTACCTTTGGAGATGTCACCTCCATGACCATCCATCAGCCCAGCCTACGGCAAAGCCATCATCTTAAAACTTGCCCAAAGGTCAGCTTAGAGAAACAGGAAATGTGAGAAAGGTGGCTTTAATCAAAATGGAGAGAAATTGCAGTTTTCCACCAGGGAGGTAACTGACTGTTTTTGTCCGGCCAAGAGCCAGTCACAGTGCAGGAGCTTGGATGAAAGCCAGAGACAAACACTGCTTGGGGCTACTTTTTCAGAGATGGGTTAAAAGCAATGCCCCTGCCGCTCTGGCTGGCCTTTGACTCAGGATACACACCTTTTCCTGGAGAATTTTACCACACAGCCCTTTAGATTGTAGGCTTGTAAAGCATCTGCATTAGTAGAAACAGTTTTCAAGACAATTCTTCTCTGACTCTGGGATTACTAAAGCCAGACCTGAGCCATGCTTATCACAGGCCTCCACCTCCGAAAATCCTGTTTGATTTATTACCACTGCAGGCTGAAAAGACAAGGCACAGTGCCTGAACTAATCAAGCCAGTATGTGACTTTCATATCATGCAGAATTAATCAGAAATTCCATACATTGACAGCTCGTGCCACTCGCCTCAAAGTAAGATTTGAGGACAAAGTAGATGTGGAATCCATTTACCCTTTCAAAGTAATTTAAGACTTTGGAAATCTAAGAAAGATAATCAATTTTGAACTATACTTGATTATGTATGAGGTATATGTCCCCCATAACGATGGATTAACGTTCTATGTTAATTTTAGGGTGGTTTCCAGGCACTTTCAAGATGTAAAACTTGAGCTGAGAGCGGTGGCTCATGCCTGCAACCCCAGCTACTTGGGAGGCATAGGCAGAAGGGAAACTTGAGGCAAGGAAATTGAGACCAGCTTGGGAAACATCAGGAGACCCACTGCTATTGAAAAAAATATTTAATAAATTAAGATGTTTTCCACAGAATCTAGTTTAAAAAAGAAAAAAAATGAGATGTAAAATGTAGAGTAGCCAACTCTTATTCCCAGAAGTCTGCAATCTTCAGACACATACATCTAACATATCCTCCTTAGAAAAGTTTTTTTTTTTTTTTTGAGACAGAGTCTAGCTCTATCGCCCAGACTGGAGCGCAGTGGCACAATCTCGGCTTACTGCAACCTCCATCTCTCAGGTTCAAGAGATTCTCCTGCTTCAGCCACCTGAGTAGCGGGGACTACAGGTGCGTGCCACCAAACCCTGCTAATTTTTCGGTAGAGATGGGGTTTTGCCATGTTGGCCAGGCTGGTCTCAAACTCCTGGCCTCAAGTGATCCACCCACCTCAGCCTCCCAAAGTGCTGGGATTATAGGCATGAGCCACCACACCCGGCCTAGAAAAGTTTCTTTGCAGCTAAACCTTGAGGGCCATTAAAAAGTATCTGTATCTCTACTTAGGATAAGAGGAAGTGCTCAGAATTTATTATGTACATCTGTAAACTACCCAGTTTTTTTTTAATAACTATAATTATTGGAGGCTGAGAAAGTTTACATAACTATATTTTACTTCGTGTATAGTGGAGAGAGAATATCTGCTACTCCAGGTATTGGATTTCAGTGTTATATTAGGACTGCTAACTGTTCATAGTTACAAATCATCTAATAAAACTTTCATGTTTTTAGCAGTTAGAAATTAACTTTTTCTCCTGTAAAATGAAGTTAAAGGAAAATAGAAAGTAACCTGAAGATGTGAATATGTATTTAGCCTCAAAGTATCTGTTTACTTCAAAAGCATAAATGATTCAATCATATTAAAAATGATGCCACCATTATATAGTACATGTTTACTTGAATGCTAAAATAAAATTTTAAAACGTTTTATTTTTCCATCTCTAATTACTTGGACTATCATGTGAGGAGGGGTACTAAATATTTATGTTTTCCAAATTGAAAGCCAGGTGTATTTATTTATCATTATTATTTTGTTTTTTAGAGACGGAGTCTTGCTAATATTGCCCAGGCTGGAGCACAGTGACTGTTCACAGGTACAATCAGGCCACACTACAACCTTGAACTCCTAGGCTTAAGCAGTTGTCCTGCCTCAGCCTCCCCAGGTAGCTAGGACTACATTTGCACACCACTGTGGCCAGCAGAAAGCAAGTTGTTGTAAAGGTACATGTTAAATAATACTTCCTTCCTCACTGGTTTGTAATATGTGTATTATATATAAAGTCTCAGATGTAAAGTTCTTTCTATGATTTATCCGGCTCCATTTAACTGTACTCATTTTAGCCAACAAAGACTTAATTTTAAAAAGTGATCTTAGTGTTTTGTTCTTGTCTGGTCAGACTGGTCACATCTCATTATCCTTGTTTGGAATTTTCTTCCAAATCTCATTGGCTTATGGTTCCAAGTGAGTTTTAAATGTGTTTTAAACTCAGTGATTTTTTTTAAACTCCTCTTGTTTTGATGAGGTAAAGAGGTCTTAAACTATTCCAGCTGAATTTATATCTAACTTCATTTTTGATGAAACCATTTTTATAAACTCCTAGTGGTCCACATCACTGAAGAAAAGGGACCTCAATTCTTCCAACACAAGCCAGACAAGCAGGTAGGGAATTCACGGCAGAAAGCTGGACAAGAGAGGGCGGTATTCCCAGTCCCATTCAACACTTCCACAGCTTTTGATCTTCACCATTGTAAGCCAAGTCAAAAGAGGGAGGGGAATAGGAAAGGAAAGAGTTGGGAAGGGAAGAGGAGGGAGAGAGGGGAGAAGGAACATGCACATGCAGAAAAAGAGACACAGTTTTCCCCACGTGAGAGCCTTGACTCCAGGCCCCTTAGAGCACCCTCCTAGGTAGCCTAGAAGTTTCTCCCTTCACCTCTGACCTCAGTGCTTCTTCATTCTCGCTGTCTTCCAGTGGGGGGAGAGATTACCCTGGCTAAACAAGACAACCCTGCTGTTTCTAGGACTTTCTAGGAGCATTTACCTGGTTGGAGGAGAAGAATTTGGTTGGAGGAGGTAGAAAAGGGGAAATTTGCAGGGCTAGAATGTGGCCACTGCCCTGAAGCCCTCAAGAGAGAAAGCTGAGACCCTCATTATCTTAGAATGAGTTATTTTTGACCTACATGAGATTGTTTATCCTAATACTATATGTAGCAGGATCCCAGGACAGGTGCTAATATGGTTTGGTTGTGTCCCCACCCAAATTCCATCTTGAATCATAGCTCCCACAATTCCCATGTGTTGTGAAAGGGACCTGATGGGAGGTAATTGAATCACGGGGGCAAGTCTTTCCCATGCCATTCTCATAATAGTGAATAAGTCTCACAAGATCTGATGGTTTTATAAAGGGGAGTTCCCCTGCACAAGCTCTCCTGCCTGATGCCATATAAGACATCCCTTTGCTCTTCCTTCTTCTTCTGTCATGATTGTGAGGCCTCTCCAGCCATGTGGAACTGTGAGTCCATTAAACCTCTTCTGTAAATTGCCCAGTCTCAGGTATGTCTTTATCAGCAATGTGAAAATGGACTAATACAGGTGCCAAATGGGAAGAGTTTCCAATAATAACATCCCTGCACTGGCCAGGGCTGTCCAGGCAATCGGACTTCAATTTGCCATAAAGGAAACCACAAAGGGTAAGGCAGGGAAGACCATAGGAGGAGTGACAGAACACACAGAGTTCAACTTGGCATGTGAATGGCATCTGAAGTTGTGGCAAAAATGTAACCTGTCTAGAAGGCTCTGAAAGACCACACCTCTCTTAGAAGGGATTCCCAGGACTCCAGCAAAACAGAGCATGTGACTGGGGCCCCAGGGCTTCCAGGAAATGATGTATCACTCACTGGGGCACCCAGCTCTGAAAGAAACAGCTAAAAGCAAACTCCCCACACACTCACACCAAGGAGGTGAAAGAGTTCCTGCAGCTGTGTTTCATCAGCAGATGGGCAGGTGGACAGTTCATCAGGCAAGATGAATCAGTCCCTCATTCCCCTTGGACTTGGGCTTGAACTAATCACACTCATCTTTCTAGGTGTCCCCACTGCCTGACCACCTGCTCTGGGGCCATTGGAGTCATTGGTTTTATCCTCACATCCACCCAGTGGAGCTGCTCATAGATGAGATTCCTGAGCCATTCCTTGTACACAGAGGCAGCAGACATGTGGATAAATAACCCCCACTAATAATTGCTACAACTTGCCATGCATCTATTCATACCTGGCATTACATGGGCTATAACTGAATCCCAGAACAATCCTTCAAGTAACACAGGATTGTCTTCATTTTACAGGCGAGCACAAAGGCTCAGAGATGTCACTAACCTACCAGAGTCACACCATCAGTAGTAAGCAAACTCATATCTCTCCGACTCTGAAGCCTAACCACCCTCTGTCACTTACATGGCCAGAGCCCTCGATGAAAGTAAGGGAAGGCCTATTTTCTTTAGTCTTTTCTTTCAGTCTATTTTCTTTTAGTCTTTGCCTTAATGTCAGAAATCAAACATCACGAACATCAGCAGCTTAACTCCACTCGGGAGCCTGCTGCACAAGTGACAACAGTAGGCAACATACAGATGTCATCCTTGGTGACAGAGGCCAGCCATGGACTTACCCTCACAGCCCATCTAAACGACACCCCAGCACTATTTCACACCCTCAAAACTACTATGCAAAGAAGTCTGCTTAATGTGTCCTCTCAGACTCCTGGCTCTCACTATCCTGGCATTGAATAATTCAAAGTCCACCTTCTCTCAGCACCTTTTCTGCATCTGCTCACCCAAGTGATTTTCTCTTCCATGGCCACCTCCAAGGGTGATCCTGCCTGTTACAAGGGTGTTCAAGAGGACCTTCACTTGCAGGGCCAACATGAGGCTGCCCATGAATACTGTACAGATGGAACAATGAGCACCACCCTTTAGAATGATCTGTCCAAATGAGCAGCCTGCCCTTGAGGGTAGAAGTCACCTGCAGTTACATCCTTATTTCAACCTTGTCTCTACCAAAAATACAAAAGTTAGCTGGGTGTGGTGGCGGGTGCCTGTAATCTCGGGATTACAGCTACTCGGGAGGCTGAGGTAGGAGAATCGCTTGAACCCGGGAGGCAGAGCTTGCAGTGAGCTGAGATCATGCCACTGCCCTCCAGCCTGGGCGACAGAGTGAGACTTCATCTTAAAGAAAAAAAAAAAAAGGCTGGGCATGGTGGCTCACACCTGTAATCCCAGCACTTTGGGAGGCTGAGGCAGGTAGATCACGAGGTCAGGAATTCTAGACCAGCCTGACCAACGTGGTGAAACCCCATCTCTACTAAAAATACAAAATGTAGCTGGGCGTGGTGGCATGCGCCTATAATCCCAGCTACTTAGGAAGCTGAGGCAGGAGAATCACTTGAACCCGGGAGGCAGAGGTTGCAGTGAGCTGAGATCGTGCCACTACCCTCCAAGCCTGGGTGACAGAGAGAGATTCCATCTCAAAAAAAAAAGAAAGAAAAAGAAAAAAGAAAAAAAAAAAAGATGCCAGGGTCTGGGGGAGGGAGAGAGGGAGGGATAGGGGGAGCACAGAAAATTTTTCGGACAGAGGAAACACTCTGGATGATACTATGATGGAAAATACATGTCATGATACATTTATCTAAACCCACAGAACATACAGTGACAAGAGTGAAAACTAACATGAACTATGTAGACTTTGGGTAATAATGATGTGTCATTTTAGGTTCACTGATTGTAATAAATGCACCACTCTGGAAAGGGGGCACAGAATGTTGGTAGTGAGGAGGAAATACCTATCCATGTGGAGTCGAGAGTATATGGGAAATCACTATTTCTTCCAGTTTTGCTGTAAATCTAAAACTGCTCTAAAAAAAATCCTTTTTTAAAAAATGTAGGAATTAAGGATGAGACAAGCTCCCTGATTTCACTGGTTACTTCTTCTGCTGTCAGTTAACCGCTGCCATTCTGTGTCTATCTTGGGTCCTTCAGAAACATTTTCTCCTCCCTTAATCAGTCAGGTCTGCTCTATCCTGGTCTCCCATTGTACAAAAGGGAACTGAGGCATGGTGTGTGGTCAGGGCACTTATCCAAGACACCAAATTGTCAGATGGCAGAGCAAACATTCAAACCAGCTTCTTTTCGAACCCACCCACTGTGCTGTTTGCACTTGGTCACCTGCCTCTTACTGAGCAAAGTCTGGACAAGGATAGGATGCCTTCCTGGGTTCTCTGAAGGAACATGTTCACATAATGCATAAGCCCAGGTAATAATCAATGGCCGTGAGTTTCTTTCAAACTCTCACAAGTCTTATCCTGTACGTGCTAGGAGACCCTTGCTACAGATCAGTACAAAAGCAAGGGGTTGGAGGGCCGGGGGCTGAGGGGAGAACATTTTGTTTATAAATTGTTTACCATTAGGCGCATCTACCAGCAACAGACAGGGGAAGAGTCTGCACTATTGAAAACACGGCTGCTTTGTTTTCAAGGACACACATGAATTCAAAGGAATGCCTGGTTTTGCAATAAAAAAACACAAGCTGAAAATAGAAAAAGAAAGTCACGAGCAGCTCCTCACTTTGGGAGAGATGGGCCAAGGCTGTCAAAATGAATTGTGTGGTTTTTATTAATCATGTTCCCCGGTGCAAACACCCAAACCACAGGACCACTAGGAGTAACCTGTTCCAAACAATGTGGGAGTGACTGAACTTAGTAGCGGAATTACCTTTCTGTATGAAAAGGAGGGTGGTCTGCCTGGGCCATGGCTGAGGTCACCAGAAATGCAATTTAAGAAGACATCTAGCTGCCTGCCCAATTTGCAGAGCTTCTGGTATGGAAGTGCTTTTCAACTCTAGCTGCCTCGTTCTTTGCTGCAAGGCCACAAGTCTGGAAGAAAACACTATTGATGTTTCATTCTTATTGGCTAGACCTTCACAATTTAGCCTCAAATTCTCTTTGGCCTGTGACATAACCATTCCAAGGTTCTGACAGTATGCTTGGGACTCTGCTGCAAATGCAAGGGCATACTAAAGTTGCAATTGAGGGGACAGCTGGGGGGCAGGGAAGAGAGAATGTGAGCATCAGTACTGATACATGCAATAGATTTATGTTTTTTAAAGTTTTAAAAATATATTTGTGATTGTTGGAACTACCAAGATCTGGTGAACATAACTTTGCAGCCTCAATATACTCCAGGGACTAAGACAACAAAATAGAGTTAGGCTTCCTGCCACTGAGGCTGAAGGCCCAATGGAGTTTTTAAATATTGCTATGACGGTGGTGGCCACAAAACAGGATGACTAGGTCCAAAGGGAGTCTCAGCTTCCTCCAAGTACAAGTGCGGTTGTTTCAAGGGTGAGAAACTTCACATACCAAAAACAAAAACAAAAGAGAGCCTTGGATGAGCTCAGAGACACTCTTGTCACCAGCCACTTTGGTGACATTGGCTAGGTAAGGTGATTCTACCTCCCCAGCTTCAGTGTTTACCAAACCTCAGTTATCCCTGTAACCACCTGGGCTGTTTCTTTGTGTTTTCTTAAATATAATTCACTAACCTTAAAAACAGCAAACATTAGCATGGATAAAGTATCAGTCATGTTTATAAGTTGATACACTCACACATAGCTATGCAATAGTATCAACTGGGCTGTTAAAATTCACACAGCTAAATCTCTGGAGGATGGGAACCCCAAAGTGTGAATGGCTTTAAAAGCTTCTCAGGCGTTTCTAATATGCTACCAAGTTTGACCACCATGGTAACAAATGGAAACCAAAATCCCCTGCTATAAAGACAAGGTAAGGTCAACACAGTGGTATAAAAATTGTAGCCATAGGCCGGGCGTGGTGGCTCCCACCTGTAATCCCAGCACTTTGGGAGGCTGAGGCGGGTGGATCACAAGGTCAGGAGATCGCGACCATCGTGGCTAACACGGTGAAACCCCATCTCTACTAAAAATACAAAAAATTAGCTGGGTGTGGTGGTGGGCGCCTGTGGTCCCAGCTACTCGGGAGGCTGAGGCAGGAGAATGGTGTGAATCCGGGAGGCGGAGCTTGCAGTGAGCCAAGATCGCGCCACTGCGCTCCAGCCTGGGCTACAGAGTGAGATTCTGTCTCAAAAAAAAAAAAAAAAAAAAAAAATTGTAGCCATATACTGATGCTTGCAGGGACTTCTGGAGATTCATCATCTTATTTGAAAGGAAGCTGTATTAGAGAAAAATTAAAAGCAAGCAGCAAACTGAGATCTTTAAAATATAATCAAGGAGACTGAATTAGTTCTGAAAAGGGGAACCACCTTCTCCCTGTCTGAATCAACATTCTTGAATGCAGAACCAGCTGCTGGGACAGAGATGAGAATCTCCCAGCCACCCGCCAATTCTTACATTCTGTAGTTCTAAAATCAATCATTATCACACCTAGGTAACTGCTATGGTCTGAATGTCCCCCAAAATTCATGTGTTGAAACTTGATTCCCATTGTGTTGGTACTGAGGGGTGGGGTCTTTGGGGTGGTGATTAAGTCATCATGAATGATTAGTAACTTGTAAAAGAGCCCATGTGAGGACACCTACCCAGCCTATGAGGAACAGGCTCTCAGACACCGCACCTGCCCACACCTTTATCTTGGGATTCCCGGGCTCCACAGTTGCAAGAAAATAAATCTCTTTTACTATATTTTTAAATTACCCAGTCTCAAGTATTTTGTTATAGCAGAATGAATAGACTAAGACAGTAACATAAGAAAATCCTGGGGGCTAAAAATGCTACATAGACATGCATCAAAGCGCAGAAGTGGATAGTCCAAGATCTATGATGGACAAATAAACAGAGGGCACTCAATTTGACCAATCTTAGTATCTATTTTGCTTTAAGCAAAATGTTCCTGAAAAGAAGGAATTGGTTTTGTAAATAAAGTTCCACCTTAAAGTACTCGTTTATTTATGGAACCCCACAGTAAATCCTTTGGTAAAGTAAACCACCTCGCAATGCATCTGTTTTGAAAGTCCAAGCTTTCCTTAAGGTGAAATGTCCCTTTACGTGCATTTTTCAGTATCCAGATAAATGTGGAAAAGGCAGCTGACATGGGGGTATTTTCAGGGGCAGGAGGGTGAGGAGATTATAAACATGACAGGAGCAATGAACACTTATCAGGCTTATGTAGCCCTGGCACTGATTCCACACTTCAATATGGAAAATACTCAAATACCACTTACTCTGTGCCAGGCACTGCTCTAAGAATTTCCCAAGTGTTAGCTCATTTACCTCATTTAATCTTAACAATGAGTATTAGCATCATCCTTATTTTACAGAGGAAGCAATTGAGGCCCAGAGAGGCTTATCACCTGGCCCAAGGCCATAAAGCTAGCAAGTGGTAAGGCCAAGACTGGCCTTGTGGCCCTCTGACTCCAGAATCCATTCTCATCTACTATGCTATGCCACCTCTATGGGAATTTACTTATCACATCCTCAAAGAGCCCTGTGAGATAAGAACAGTGTTCCCATTCTGCAGACAGGAAAATCAAGGCCTGGAGGGGTTAAGGGTTGAGCCCTTGATTCCACAGCAGAGCTTGGGTTTGGACTATCCTGGTCCTGAACTTGTGCTCTTAGTCACCATGTCTTCAGCCTCTCCACAAGCTTCCCAACTGTGCCCATGGTCTTGGGATTGTGTGTCCATCCTGTTGTAGAGATCAACTAGTTCATGTTGATTTAGTTGATGATCCTGTTCTAGAGCTCAGTTTCCTTATCACTACTCTTTTGAATACTCTTCATTTCATAAAAATATAAAACAATCCATCATTCATCAGTTCAGCAATTCATGGGGTATACTGTGAAGATACTGCAAATTCCAGTCACTCCCTCTCATGTTAATCCTGCTTAGTTTCCTAGTGATATATACACCATATTGTCCGTATTCTGAGTAATTATACAGAATATAATCTCATTTGAAATGTCAAAAATTAGAAGACAAAATTTGTGTAATGTAGTCTAAATTTTTACAAAAGGAGAAAGAAATATGAATTACTAAAACGATTTTAACTGAGTTATTTTGCCAAAGCAGTATACTTCCTTAGTTTATACCACCTTTTACACCTCATTCTTTTCTTTCAGTATCAGAGTGGATAATACTGTGTCCCCCAAAAAGACATATCCAAGTCCTACTTCCTGGTACCGGAGAAATAGGTGTTATTTCTTATTTGGAAATATGGTCTCTGCAGATGCCGTCAAGTTAAGATGAGGTCACACTGGCTTAGAGCGGGACCTAATCCAATGAATAGTGTCATAAGGAGGAAATCTGGACACTCATAGAAACCCAGAAAGAATTCCATGTGACAGAAGAGGCAGAGACTGGAGTGAGCAGCTGTAAGTCAAGGAACGCCAAAGCTTGTCAGCAACCCCCAGACGCTGGAAGCAGCAAGGATATGCTCCCCTAGTGCCTTCAGAGGAAACTTGGCCCCACAGACACCTTGATTCTGTCTTCTAACCTTCAGAACTATGAGGATACATTTCTGTTTTTTTAAGACACAATTTGTTGCCTTAAGTTTGTTACAGCAAACCTAGGAAGCTTATACAGGCATATTGAAAACCATACTCAAAGTGGATTTTTAAGTGCCAGATTCTGCCAGGTGCAGTGGCTCACGCCCACAATCCGGGTACTTTGGGAGGCCAAGGTGGGCAGATCGCTTGAGCCCAAGAGTTCAAGACCAGCCTGGGCAACATAACGACACCCCGTCTCTACAAAAAATACAAAAAATTATCCGAGTGTGGTGGTGCATGCCTGTAGTCCCAGCTACTCGGGAGGCTGAGGTGGGAGAATCACCTGAGCCTGGGGGCAAGCTGAGACTGCAGTGAATTTTGATCGTGCCACTGCACTCCAGCCTGGGCAACAGAGTGATATCCAGCCTCAAAAAAGAAATCCAGATTCAGACTTCCATCTTTTTGGATATTCTTTATTTTTAATTAGTAAATATTACACAAGGATCCACTAAGTGGAAGCTACTATTTTTCATTAAAAATAATAAGGAGAATATGCTTTTTCTTATATTGGATTCTCTTGGGACAAAATGGTATTTTTTCCTAACTTTTCTCTTCCAGTCTTACTGCCCCTACTCCAAGAGACATGAGGTGATGGAAAAAATCTATCTTAATGCTCTTCCAGCCTAAAGATGGCAGCTTTTTACCTGATCATGTCAATAGTCCAATTCATGCTCCAGACCAACAGGGCTGCCATGGACATTCCCTGTAACCACCGCGATGTCCATGGCTTCGTGGGATGGATGGGAGTCATAAGATATGACGGGATAGAACACGTTCCAAAACCTGGGATCAGGCCTTCTAATCTAACCTGAGACAATCAAGTAGCCTTGGGAAAGGGCTTCTTCATTCAAGTCAGCTCCTCACCCGAGGACCCAGACCTGTATGTCCAAGTGCCAGTCCTTCCTCTCAAGTGGAACAAAATCCATGCTGAACTACTGAGCTCCCCAAATCTGCTTTCTAGGCCACCAACCTGCCTAGCTATAACCAAAAACTCAGAGCCATCCTTGACTTCTGTCCTCACCCCAAATTAGCAAGTCCTATTAGTACCACTTTTAAAACACTCAAAATCCAACCATTTGTCACCTCTCCTCTGCTACCTCTGAGTTCAGCCAGCACCCTCTCATCATTATCACTGCCACAGCCTCCTAAGGGATCCCATTTATACCCTTTTCCCCTAGGATGTATGCACAGCCAGCAGCCAGGGTAGTCTGGGACATACATGAGATCCTGTCACTCCTCTGTTCAAACTCTCCAAGGGCTCCCATGCCTCTTGGAGTAAGAGGTGCCTGCAATGGCTCATAAAGCCCACTGACCTCATCTACTCATGATACTCAGTGAGTCTCAGGTTTCTTCCCTGCTACTAACTAAAGGCCATTGCACTGCTAATTTCTTCTTCCCAGAATCATCTTCCCCCAGGTATCATGTAACTGACTCCCTCATCTCTTTCTGGTCTTTGCTCAAAGGTCATCTTCAAGGAGACCCCCTCAGAAGACACTGTGTCGCTACAACTCCCTGTCCCAGCCATTTCCAATGCTGCTGTTTTTCCCTTCATTTTCATCATTTCATCTTCCTAATACATAGTATTGTTCAACTGAGTGTGCTGTTTATGTGCCTCTCTCCCTTTCTCCTTTAGAGAGTAAGTTCCTCAACCACTGGACTTTTGTCTGTTTTGTTCATGAATACATTCCCAGGATCTAGAACACTGCCCAGCACAGAGTGAGTTCCATGAATACATGATTAAGAAAGGAGTGGTAACGGGAAGTTATATCATCTCAAGACATACTTTCCATCAAGAAGTCACTTGCTTTTTGCTAACAGAGAAGTCAGGAATAGAAAACAGCATAGTATTCTCGAGTAGTCTCCGAGAGCCCTGGCTGGGAGATGGTTTCCTGAGAAGATGGTGGATTATCAAAAACAGACAGGCATATGTGCCTGGAGGTTCTCAACAGCTTGTCGGGGGAAGGTGGGCCGGTGCCTTCAGGGGGAGGTAGCAGGCGAGCCAGGAGGGCTCATGGAGGATGTGTACACCAAGTTTTTAGGCCCATCACAAACTTCATCCCAGTTCTCTGCGTGACCATTTATTAGCAAGGCTCTGAAGAATGGACATACTGCAGGGGCACACTGCAGTCTGCAGGGAAAAGAAAGTTTCCAGAAAAGGAGCCTACTTTCTATTTTGCAATACCACTGACAGAACACACTCTACTGGCTCGCCAAGATCCAGCTGTATAAGGAAACAGGAGTTTTCCAGGCCCCCTGGGGACCAGTAAACCAGCCACCATGTGCGGCAAAGCTGTGACAAGCAGGCAAGACTTTGACCTCCGCCTCATGCTCGTGCTCTGTTAGGCTCTGACATTAAAGGGGGCAGCTCGCCAACAAACTGCTGGCAGGAGGAAGATAAATTTATTATTTGAAAGCCTTTTGGGCAAAAAAAAAAAAAAGTCATTTAATCTTCCTTCATAAACAGCTCTTTTTATAACACATTTGTGTTGAGATCATAGTCAAGGTAATTAGAAATGTATTTGGTCTTTACTTTCTCATTAAGGTGTTGAAGCACTGGCA
The DNA here is from genome assembly GCF_000001405.40 of Homo sapiens. Taxonomy (NCBI): domain Eukaryota; kingdom Metazoa; phylum Chordata; class Mammalia; order Primates; family Hominidae; genus Homo; species Homo sapiens. The sequence goes on from NC_000018.10 coordinate 59,630,407, forward strand.
ATTTGCTCTAAAATTCAGTGGCTTAGGAAAACCACCATTTTATGATATCTTACACTTTTGTGGGTCAAGGATTTGGGCAAGGCTCAGCTGGGAGGATCTTCTGTTTGGGTGTGGCATTAAAGGTCCCATTGTGTCACTTAACTGGCAGATGGGCTGGCTAGAGGATGCAAGCAGGCATTCTCATGTCTGGTATCTTTGCAAGGATGGCTGGAAGGCTCAGCTGGGACTGTCACCAGAACACGTAAGTGTGACCTCTCCAGCATGATGGTCTCAGGTTGAACCTCCTAAGTGGTGGATCTAGGCTCTAAGATTAAGGGTCCCAATGAACAAGGCTGCATGTTCATGTTTTAAAACCATCACAGGGTTGTTCCTAGATTACCTACACAATGTATCTTTGATTTTGTACCCACAGTGGGATTCAGGTGCTCACTGGCCTCCCTACCTAACAACTCAATCATTTCAGCCATTAATTAAGCCCGTTTAGAGATCTAGCAATGTGCAAACACTGGCAGATATCAAAGGAAATGGCACATGGCTTGCAATGAGTGAACATATACAATGGCCAAGGTCATAGACATCTGTTCTTTTAGCTTGCCTAGCATCCAAGCTTTATTTTGGAAATGGTACTTCCATTTTCTTTTGGGGAATGATGACTTTTCCTGTCATCTCATGCGATTCAGGTGGTCCCATGACCTAGATGTGGCCAAGCAGAATACAACTTACTTGCCCACTCTCAGCATGGCAGTTGTTCAAATATTGATATGTAGCTCAACAAGAGTACATTCCAGTACTTTTCTATGATCTGGAGAAAAAAAAAAGGCATGAAGGATAGCGAGAGGGGAGCACCAGAAAGTAATTTCATAAGCAGAACCAAGGGAAAGAGGCTGAATCCTGATGATAGGGTTTCAGGCTGCCTGAAGCCAGCCTATCCCTAGAATTTGCAGTTACATAAGCCAATAAACTTCCTTTGTTGGCTGTGAACAATTCTGAATTGGGTTTCTTTCACTTGCTACCGAGAGTGCCGACTTGAATCCAGAAACAATGAGAGAGGACAACATAGTATTGGGATCAATGGAAACACTCCAAAAGATTAAAAGGCACTTATGGAATGAGCCTCTAATGCTAGATGTCAAAGGCCATTGAAATAAGGATCTCTGAGCAGTAGAGCCCAGATCAGCTACCTGCAAATCACACCATGCAGGTTGTAGACTACTGGACTATGTGAGAGCAGCATGGTTCAAGTCACTTTGCTGCAACTCACTCCAAAATGCCTACTTCTTGGCTTCTTGAATTAAACCAAATAACACCAACTTAAGAAGCACTGGGCACTAAATAGCTTAGAGTTGCCACCTTTTCCCACTAGGTGGCAGCTCTGCATCAGGGAGGTAGAAATTTGGGGTCTGACAAACTGACTAGAATTAGGACCCTTAAAAGCGAAGTACTGGTGGTTTGGATGCCATCTTAGAGTAAGAAGATAATAGGAAATGTAAGATGCCAAAAACCTAGAAAAGTCAACCATTCATTTAGTATCTACTCTGTATTTAGCACTGGGCTGCTGTATCCTGTAGATTCAAACAAAATCCAACACAGATGTCCTTAAGAATTAAAATATTGCTGAGAAGCCAAGACCAACCTGCAAAAGCTTTAAGGTTCAAAACAAGAGAACAAATAACTAAGCATTGAATTTTCTGCTCTAGGCAGAAAGGGCTGTAGGGATCTCCACAGTCTCAGTGTTGGAGTCCTCCCAAGCTATTCACTTCATTGATGAGGAAACCAAGGCCCCCAAAAATGGCACAATGGCCTCAGGATCACGAGGGCACTGACAGTTGAGCAGGCAAGGAAGGGCTCATTTATAGGCATTCTGGGCTGGGACCTGACAATTGGGAACAATCTGGTTTTTTTGAGACTGAGTCTTGCTCTATTGCCCAGGCTGGAGTGCAGTGGCTCACTGCAACCTCTGCCTCCCAGGTTCAAGCGATTCTCGTGCCTCAGCCTCAGCTAGGATTACAGGCATCCGCCACCATGCCTGGCTAATTTTTGTATTTTTAGTACAGATGGGGTTTCACTATGTTGGCCAGGCTGGTCTTGAACTCGTGGCCTCAGGTCATCTACCTGCCTCGGCCTCCCAAAGTGCTGGAATTACAGGCGTGAGCCACTGTGCCCAGCCTTTAAATTTTTGTTTTGTATTGTTTTTGTTTTTGAGATGGAGTCTTACTCTATGGCCCAGGCTGGAGTGCAGTGGCACGATCTTGGCTCACCGCAACTTCCAACCTCCCAGGTTCAAGCTAGTCTCCTGCCTCGGCCTCCTGAGTAGCTGGGATTACAGGTGCACACCACCACACCTGGCTAATTTTTATTTTATTTGTTTTATTTTATTTTTTTAATAGAGACGGGGTTTCACCATGTTGGCCAGGCTGGTCTCGAACTCCTGACCTCGGGTGATCCACCCTCCTCTGCCTCTCAAAGTGCTGGGATTACAGGTGTGAGCCACCGCGCCTGGCGAGGAACAATCTTCTAAAGCAGAAGGGCACAGGAGAGTAGACCAAGGGGAGGACCACAAGGGACAAGTCAGGCATTCCCTTCTGAGACTAATGTTTTTGAAACTGCCTTTAAGCATTCCATGCTTAAGTGATTTAATTAGTAAGAGGGGACAATCCAAACAGCCTCCTCCTCCTTCCCTGGGCACAGCTCTCAATAACTCACACTTTGGGAGCTCGCAGGGAGAGTATCTTGTAAAATCAGCTGTGGTGATGAATGTAAAAAGCAAGTTTGAAGCAGTGAAGCACCACACAAGTATTTATGCAATTACACAAGGATGATATTTTTTAATTAACAAGAAAGACTAAAACTTCCTTATTCTTATGCTGCTAAGCTCGCGACGAATTACATGAAAATAACACTGGTATAATTCTCCATTCCCAGCTCTTACATTTCCTCTCTGGTCTAGTTCTCCCTCCAAGATCACTGCTCTGAGAATCACTGCAGATCATTTTTCCAGGGGGACATTAGTTTTCTCTGGTCCAAATTCAGGCGTATTGTTTCATTATTTATTGCCAACAGCATTAGTTCTTCCTCTTGCTATTGCGCTCGGGCCCATGCCGAGAACAGAACATGGCCTTCCTCTATCATCATCTGTACATTTCATTAAGCCGTGTTTTCAGGCTCCTCTGGATCCCTCACGCAGTTAATAAAGGATACTCAGCCAGCAGTGACCCTAGAGGCAAAACATTGAGAGAACTGTCTACATTGTTAAGAGGTCAAATAGCCAACAGAACGAAGCCAATCCATTCAAAGACAGGCTGCTTCTTCCTAAATTTAGGGTTTGTTTTTTTTTTTTTAAAATAAAACCTATGCATAAAATTTTATACTGAAATATTAGAATTATCTTATGGTATCAACATTCCACTTGGCATGGCACCCAAACATAAGTGACAAATTTTATAATTGCATAAACTCCAAAACAAAGGTGATATCTTGACTTAACATAGGAAAATGTTTATCAAATTATAGATACATATGTGTTGACCCCAAGGTAGACATGGCCAATATGGGAACTAAGACAGATCTGGCAGATGTACGTACAAAATTGCAGGAACTGCATTAAATGTGAGGAAGAAGTGAAGGACTTCTCAGAAATTGGGGTCTCAACAGCCTAAACATACTAGGGACCTGAATCCAACTGGAGAGAAAAATCTGGAATAAATGTGACAAGCTAAAACTCAAACTGAAGCCAAGTATAATCATTTTGCAAAATGGAAATGAGGCCCTCAAAGGGCTATACTCTTAATGAAACAATGGCTTTAAAAAACCGCAAACACAAAACAAAACAAAAAAGCTCTGCAAGGGGAAGCAGCAGGGAAACTTACTCATTTGGGCCTTAGCTGTAGACAGAGAAAAGGCCTCCCCCACTGTGAATCTATCATCACAGATCTGTGTCCACACAGCTTCAGGGACTGCATTTAGACTAAATGCATGACCTGCGATCCCTAAAGCAACAACATTAACCAAAAGTGGTCTCAGAAGGCACTTCCAGGTATCTGGCAGAAGCAAACAAGTGTCCCGTGGAGGCCTGCTCTCAAGCCAGGGCCTTTTGGACTGCCACAGATTATGACAGTTAAATATGGGTTCCCAATAAAAAGTGAAAAATACCGAGGAAAGCAAAACTATGAGCTAGAGTTGGTAAAAACAAGAAATAGCAAAAGAGAGAAATAGCATACCCAAGGATATCAGATCGGCATCTTCAAATGCATAGTATAAAATAACTAAATTAGAAATATCATTTATTTAAAATAATTAAACTAAAACATGAGCGAGGAACAAGAGTTAAATGACCAGGGAGATTTGAAAAAGAAACAATTTCTACATATGCAAAATACATAATAGCTGATACTAAAAACTCAAATAGGTCAGATAGAGTCGACACAGTTAAAGAATGAATTACCTACTTGAGGAAACATCTCAGTACACAGCACAAAGAGGAACAAAATGAAAGAGGGATTAAGAGACAGGGAGATGGAATAAGAAGGTTGAACATATGTCTAATTAGAAACCCAAGAGAAAGAAGAAACAGAAGATAACAGCTGAGGGTTCTCCAGAATTGATGAAAAACATAAATCTTCAGATTCTGAGAGCACAAGAAATTCCAACTGAGGAAAGAAGGGACCTAGATATAAGCAAAGTAAAAAGTAGAGACAGCAAAGCCACTCTAAAGGCAGAGAAGAGATTGATTACTTCAAAGCAACGACGTTTTGATATTAGACTTTTGCAGCTACAAATGGAGGCCAGATGACAATGAAATCATAGCTTCGAAGTATTGATGGGAAGCCCCTAGCAATCTAGAATTGCGGATATGGCTAAACTGACATTCAAGAAATTAAGCAAAATAGTATTTTTAGCAAACAAAAAGAGAAAGTAAAGTACAAACAGTATGTCACCATAGGACTTGCTAAAGGATGTATTTCATCAAAAAGGGTAATTATCTCAAAGGGAAAACTGAAATAAGGGAAAACTGAAATAAGGAAAAACAAGCAAACTGAACAATGTGGAGAAATTTTTTAAAAATAAACAAGAAGAAACAGTAATTTAAAAAATCTAATTTCCGGGAATTGGAATAAAGATATATCCAAAATACTGATTAAAAATCACAGATACAATAGAAAGGGATGATCAAAGCTAAAATATTCTAATAAAATACTGTGTTATTCAGGAAGAGAAGAAGATATTTGTGAACAATAGACATGAAGGTGATTGTTCACCTAAGAGTAACCCACTAATATCTGCAAATGGAATGTCTAACTTCTAAAAACTGTACAGGAAGAGTATTTTTAGATTAAAAAAAAAAAGCTCAAGATAGGAAAGTAAAATAAAGGCAGCAGCTGCATAGAAAAAGCACAAAATGACATGGCAGAAATAATTTATCAGAAATGCCAATAGAGTTTTAGAAAAGAGATTAGATTTTAGAAGCCAAATTCTAAGCTGCATGTGATAGCTCATGCCTGTGATCCCAGCACTTTACTAGGCTGAGGTGGGAATGATAGCTTGAGCCCAGGAGTTCAAGACCAGCCTGGGTAACATAACTAGACTGTCTCAACAACAACAACAAAAAATTAGCTGGTGGGCACCTGTAGTCCCAGCTACTCAGAAGGCTGAGGGAGGAGAATCGTTTGAGCCCAGGAGGTTGAGGCTTCAGTGAGCCATGATCATGCCAACACACTCCAGCCTGGGCGACAGAGCGAGACTCTGTCTCTAAAAAAAAATAAAGCCCTAGCTCTGAACTCCTTACATAAGGCATATCTAAAATACAGAACACAGACACAGAAGAGAGGGGTGGAAGAAGAAAAAAAGCTATATTAAAACAAGACAAAATAGACATTGAGGCAAAAAGGCAAAAAGCACTTAGGATAAAGAGTCATTTACATCTTGGCACTACCTAGAAAAGAGGCGAACATTTTTAACCGTAGACCCTGCCTCAAATAGGTCTATGTGAAATGCACAGAGCAATACATTTTGAAGTTGTCCCAGATCTAGGCATCTGGAGATGAGTTCAGAAATTCTCTCTAACAACTTTTATCCAAGGCCTTAAGAGTTCCAAGGAATTCACACATAAAGATCCAAGGACAAGGACTTACAGTCAAAAGTCACAAACACAAAGGAAACCTAGACAGAGCAAGACTTACCACACATTTAATATTCCAAGTAATGAGAGGCCTCTTTCAAGAATACAGTAAAACCAACATTTATAGAGAAACAAAACAGAATGTTTACCAACAGATCCTCACACTAAAGGAAAGTCTTCACAACATGCTTTGGACAGAAGAAATATTGTCCAACATAAAAGATCCAAGATAGAAGGAATAGTAAGCAAAAAAGAATCTGTTTATACATGGATACAACTAAACAGATACTGACTGTAAAATAAACAATAGTATCTAACTTGTGGAAGGAGAATAAGATATAATTAAAATACTGGATGACGATAGCATTTACACTGGGAAGCAGTGATTACCTTGATAGTGTCTTTAAATGCAAATAATTAGCATTAATCTTTGGTGTGACTTCTAATATTCTAATGAGGTTTGTGTGAACATTCCCCTGGGTAAAATTCTACAAGTTTTTGAAGCAGAATTTTCAGCAAATGCTGGAACTGTAATTAGAGTTCTCCCAATGCATTACCTTAAGAAAAGATCAAGAATGGAGGTTATGTAAATAATCTGCACACATAATTCAAAAGGTTGAATCCCAGCAGTACATTTGGAATTTATACAAACAATTATAAATCAAGTTCACTTTATCTTATGACAAACAACATGATCTTAATTTTTCATGATCTTTAGTATTTCTATCCTTGGTGCTATATCTTTCACTATTAGTCTCTCACGTTTTAATGTTCAATGATGTTACAATTCTTGATCCAATGAAATTAAAATTAGACGCTTTGCTAAAATGAAACACAACAGAAGAAAAGTGATAAACCATGTTAATAGTCTGATTTATCCATCAATTACAAAGAGGTGTGTTAAAATCTCAATCCAAAAGTAAAACACACCACACACACCCTCACCCATCCACCCCAGAAGGACAGATAAAACAAAATTAGCCTACAGATAAAGAAGTAGCATAAAGAAAGCTAAGGTGTACAAAGGAATGAAAAAAACAACTCATTAAAGTTCATTCTTTGGAATAAACCAGGCAAACCTCTGGAGAGATTAATGAGGAAACAAAAAGATGACAATATTAGGAATCACAATTGGAGCATAACTTCAGATGCAACTGATTTAAAATATAATGAATTTCATGCCTATAAAATTTTAAACTGTGATTTAAAAATTGTGGAGAAATGAACAAATTCCTAGCAAAATACAACTTAATGAAAGTGATTCAAGAGGATATGGAATACCTGAATATTTCTGTAACCATTCATTAAAGTGAATTCAATTAAAAATCTTTTTACAAAATAAAAACCAGGCCTGGATCACTTCCTAGGCATGCTCTAACCAAGCATGCAAGCAACAAATAATCCTAGTTTACACAAAAATCTTTCAAAAAATAGAAAAAGAGGAAATAATTTTTAACTAGCTTTGAGGTTGGCATAACCTGGATAACAAAACCAAAGACACCATGAGAAAAGAAAATTACAGGAGAATTTTAGGAACATAGATATAAAATATCGGAAAACTGTTTCTCACCATGTACAAGAAAAGTAAGGCATCATGAACAAAATGGGTTTAACTTAGGAATGCAGAGTTTGTTTAAAATCATGTTATCTCAAAACATGAAAAGATGATCAATAAAATTTGACAGTGATTTCAAAATAACACACTCTTAGCAAGTAAAGAATGGATTTATGCTTTTATAACCAATAGAGAACTTTCACACGCATAGAAACATGCTTGCAAATAAACTTTATGGTGAAATGTCTAAAGCGTTTCAAGATCAGCACAAGATAAGGATATCAACTTTCACCAATTCTACTGCACAGTGTACTAGAGCAACGAACGGTTCTTGAAGTGTGGTCCTGGACCAGCAGCATCAGCACCACTAGAGAACTTGCTGTAAATGCACATTTTCTGGCTTTACCCTAGACCCACTGAATCAGAAACTCAGAGTGAAGCTCAGCAGCCTGTGTTTTAATAAGCCCTCTACAAGTGATTCTGATGCACACTGAAGTTTGAGAACCATTCAGATTTCAAGTAGACTAATAAGAAAAATATATAAAGCTTAGAAAAAACAAACTCACCTGTTGATATACTTGCTCTTAGAGAAACCCAAAACAATCCACAAGTTATCACAATCACAGGCTACCAAAACACACACACATAGCCCAGATCTTAAATTAATTCACAAATGTCTTCAAGAAACAACAAATACAACTTTAAAAGGATAGCATTTATAATATTAAAATTAGGTTTTCGGAGTAAGTCTAGCAAAAGACATGCTTTTTACAGAAAAATTAGAACATTTCATAAAAAGATTAAAGAACTTTTAAGAGTAGATCTACACTATGTTCATAGATAACAAGAAATCTAATTTGAGAGTAACTGGTTTACTTTAACCTTTAGATTGGATTACTTTTGGTGCATCTTATTTTGGCAGAACTTGACTAATTGTAAAATTTGAGAGGGTAAATGGCATCCAAAACTACAGGTCTGCTTGGGCCCAGGAGTTTGAGACCAGCGTGAGCAACATGGCAAAACTTTGTCTCTAAAAAAATTGAAAAATAAGCCAGGCATGGTGGTGTGCACCTGCAGTCCCAGGAGTGGAGGCTGAGGTGGGAGAATGGATTGAGCCCGGGAGTCCAAGGCTGCAGTGGGCCTTGATCACAACCCACACTCCAGCACAGGTGACAGAGCAAAACCCTGTCTTAAAAAATAAGAAACAAAGCTAATCCACCATGATCAAGTAGGTTTTATCCCTAGGATGCAAGGATGATTCAACATATGTTAATCAAGAAATGTGATTCATCACATAAACAGAAATAAAGGCAAAAACCATATGATTATCTCAATAGATGCAGAAAAGACTTTTCATAAAACTCAATGCCCCTTCATGTTAAAAAATCAACAAATTAGGCATTGAAGGAACGTACTGCAAAATAGTAAGAGCCATCTATGACAAACCCATAGCCAACATCATACTGAATGGGCAAAAGCTGGAAGCATTCCCCTTGAAAACTGGCACAAGACAAAGACGCCCTCTCTCACCACTCCTATTCAACTTAGTACTGGAAGTTCTGGCCAGAAGTTAGGCAAGAGAAAGAAATAAAAGGTATCAAAATATTAAGAGAGGTAGTCAAACTTTCCCTGTTTCCAGGCGATATGATTTTATACCTAGAAACCCCCATAGTCTCTGCCCAAAAGCTCTTTGATCTGATAAATTCAGCAAAGTTTCAGGATAGAAAAAAAGTTAATGTATGAAAATCAGTAGCGTTCCTATATGCTAACAACATCCAAAGCCAAGGGGCCAAATAAAGAATACAATCCATTCAAAATAGCCAGAAAAATAATACAATACCTAGGAATATAGCTGAACAGGGAGGTGAAAGATCTCTACAGAAAGAATTACAAAACACCAAAGAAATCAAAGATGACTCAAACAGATGGAAAAACATTCCATGCTCACAGATAGAATCAGTATCATTAAAATGGCCATACTCCCCAAAGCAGTTTACAGAGTCAATGCTATTCCTATGAAACTACTACTGACACTCTTCACGGAACTAGAAAAAACGATTTTAAAATTCATTATGGAGCCAAGAACGAGTCTGAATAGCCAAGGCGATTCTAAACAAAAAGAATAGAGATGGAGGCATCACATTACCTGACTTCAAACTATTAGGTTACAGCAACCAAAACAGCATGGTGCTGATACCAAAACAGATACACAGACCAATGGAACAGAATAGAGAGCCCTGAAATTATGCCATACCCCTACAACCATCTGATCTTCAACAAAGTCAACAAAAACAAGCAATAGGGAAAGGACTCCCTATTCAATAAATGGTCCTGGGATAGCTGGCTAGCCATATGCAGAAGACTGAAATTGGACCCCTTCATTACACATATACAAAAATCAACTCAAGATGGATTAAAGACTTAAACATAATGCCCAAGACTATAAAAACTCTGGAAGATAATCTAATAAATACCATTCTGGACACAGGAACTGGGAAAGACTACATGAGAAAGATGCCAAAAGCAATGCAAAAGAAACAAAAATTGACACATGGGATCTAATTAAACTATTAGGGAGAAAAAACAACTTCTATAGAGCAAAAGCGGCTATCAACAGAACAGACAACTTACAACATGGGAGAAAATATCTACAAACTATGTATCTGACAAAAGTCTAATATCCAGAATCTATAAGGAACTTAAATTCACAAGCAAAAAATCCAAACAACCCCACTAAAAAGTGGAACAAAGGACATGAATGGACACTTTTCAAAACAAGACTGATGCATGGCCAAGAAGCATATGAAAAAATGCTCAACATCCCTCATCAGAGAGTTGCAAATCAAAACCACAAGCAGATACCGTCTCGTACCAGTCAGAATGGCTATCATTAAAAAATAACTGATGCTGGTGAGGCTGCAGAGAAAAGGGAACGCTCCTACACTGCTAGTGGAATGTAAATTAGTTCAGCCATTGTGGAAAGCAATTTAGTGATTTCTGAGAGAACTTTAAACAGTGACCCCTCAATCCCATTACTATTATACCCAAATAAAAAAACATTCTACCATAAAAACACATGCACACATATGTTCATTACAGTACTAGTCACAATAGCAAATACATGGAATCAACTGAATGCCAATCAACATTACAATGGATAAAAAAAATGTGGTATACACACCATAGAATACTACATAGCTATAAAAAAGAAGATCATGTCCTTTGCAACAACAGGGATGGAGCTAAAAGCAAACTAACACAGGAACAGAAAACCAAGCATTACATGTTCTCACCTCTAAGAGGGAGCTAAACATCACATCGTGTCCATATGGACACAAATAAGGGAACAACAGACTCTGGGGCCTGCTTGAGGGTGGAGGGTGGGAGGAGGGTGAGGACCGAAACACTACCTATTGGGTACACTATCCTTATTACCTGGGTGATAAAATAATCTGTACACCAAACCCCGTGACACAAGATTTACCTATATAAACAAACCTGCACATGTACCCCTGAACCTAAGTTAGAAATAAAAGTGCAAATGTCCAAGAACCACCAAAATATTCCTGAAAAACAAAGTAGAGATCACTTTCTACCAAAGATACATAAACATATAGTAATCAGAATAGCTTGATATTGGTAAGGAAATAGACAAACAGGTGAATGGAACAAAATCAAAAGTCCAAAGGGATAACACGCACACATGAAAAGGTGAGTGATGGCATGGAAGGACAGAAAGCATTAAAATCGTTGAGGCTCGATGGTGTGGAGGACAGAAAGCATTAATATCGGAGAGGCTTGGACCCTGCCTTCCCATAAGGGGAAGAAAACGCAGCTGGATTCCTGTCTCATACTTTACATAAAAAAATTCTACATGGATTGGAGAAGGTGAAACTACAAAACTTTAGGAGAGAATGCAGGTAGATATTGAGAAAAAATGTATAAACCATGAAGGAAAAAGGGTGATAAAATCGATGACATTAAAATTCAAATTTTTTTCATCAAAAAAACACCATAAACTTTCTGCAGCACATAACCTGACAAAGTATTAGTATTAAAATCTGTAAAGAATCAATGAATCAATAAAAGAAAAACAATCTGATAGAGAAATAGGTAAAAGGCATTTCACTGAAGGAAATGCAAATGGTCCATTAACTCAAAAAGATGTTCTTAATCTCATTAAGAATCAGAGAAATGCAAATTAAAACTCCAAAGATACCATTTTATACCCACATGGAAAAAATGATCACAGTGCCAACTGTCCAGAAGGTGAAATAATGGGAGTCTTCTTCCATTGCTAGTGGGAGTGTAAACTGACACCACCACTGGAGAAATAGTTCTCCAGCAAAATCAAACATCCCCCCTCCATGACTGTGTAGGTCCCTCCTTGGAGACATCCTCTAGAAAAACTTGCGCATGCATACCAGGAGGCACCTGTAAGAAGGTTCACAGCAGCAGTGTCATAAATGCAAAACATATGTCTAAGAACAATCCAAATGTCTATCAACATAGACATCTGCATGCAATGGAATACTGGGCTGCAGTGAAAATAGTCAACTGCATCAAAGGAATGATTCTCAAGAATACAATGGGCCGGGCGCGGTGGCTCACGCCTGTAATCCCAGCACTTTGGGAGGCTGAGGCAGGTGAATCATGAGGTCAAGAGTTCGAGAGCAGCCTGGCCAACGTGGTGAAACCCCATCTCTACTAAAAATACAAAAAATTAGCCAGGCGTGATGGTAGGTGCCTGTAATCCCAGCTATTCGGGAGGCTGAGGCAGGAGAATCGCTTGAACCTGGGAGGCGGAGGTTGCAGTGAACCGAGATCGTGCCACTGCACTCCAGCCCTGGCAACAGAGTGAGACTCCACCTCAAAAAAAAAAAAAAAAAAAAAATTACAATGAAGGATAAATGTATGTCAAAAGTAGAGGGCTACAGTACAGAAAATGTTCTAGGCAAATGGTTGTTTTAAAAATTAAGCAGTTCACCACTGGATGGCTGAGTGGATGGTACCAGTCTGCACTCTGATGACTCCTCATCAACTGCTTTCTTTTATTGCCTCCTCCCAGATGTCGTTCATCTGCCATTAGACACAAATACATTTTCCAATTGCACGTTTCATGTTATTTATCCCAATCTAGTATTATTCATCCTATTTTTAAATCAGACCTTAAATATTTGACTCTAATTTTCAAACTGATGTTCACAGTAAAGAAAACAAGCCACCATCGACACTATTTGAGCAAATGCTCCATTGATTTGAAGGCAATTTAGTGGGACTTCAAAGAGTGTTTTTGAAAAGCAACTGTTTTGGAAGTTTAAACCTCCCAAAGGGTAGGACACTCGATATCCCAAATGTGCAGGTCCTAACATCTGGGATGGAAGGTGTTCTTTGTTCAAGTGGTTTAGGGAAATGCTTCTTTAAGTTGAACAAGTTTCTAGGCCAGGCGTGGTGGCTCACGCTTATAATCCCAGCACTTTGGAAGGCCGAGGTGGATCACTTTAGGCCAGGAGTTCAAGACCAGCCTGGCCAACATGGCAAAACCCTGCCAAAAATACAAAAAGTTAGCCAAGTGTCTGCTAAAAATACAAAAAATTAGCCAAGTGTGGGGGCGCACACCTGTAATCCCAGCTACTCAGGAGGCTGAGGCAGGAGAATCGTTTGAACCCGCAGGGGTAGACGTTGCAATGAGCCAAGATCATGCCACTGTACTCCAGCCTGGGCAACAATGCGAGACTGTCTCAGAATGCGGGGTGGGGGTGGGGTGAGGTTGAACAGGTTTCGAAACTGCAGTCTTCTTCAGAACCTTTAACATGCAAATATCTACCATGAAAGCCCAACTCAGGGATACAAGCAGCCTTTCCCTAATGTATTTGGCCCAGGCCCTCTCCCCCACCTCTGGAGCCTCCCACAGGATTAGCAGTCTATGGCACTGGTCCCCAACCTTTTTGGTACCAGGGACTGGTTTCATGGAAGACAATTTTTTCCATGAGGGTTTAAGGGAGGCCCAGGGGGACAGTTTTGGGATGAAACTGTTCCGCCTTAGATCATGAGGCATTTATTAGATTCTCACAAGGAACCCACAACCTAGGTCCCTCGCATGCACTGTTCTCAACAGCGCTCCTGCCACCATGAGAATCTAATGCCGTTGCTGATCTGAGAGGAGGCGGAGCTCAGGCAATAATGCTCCCTCACCTGCCACTCAGCTCCTGCTGTGCGGTCCAGTACCAGTCTGCAGCCCAGGAGTTGGGGACCCCTGGTCTATGGAACACAATTTGAGATACACTGGCCTGGCTCACCTAAGGCTTCTCTATTGATTCGATGTGTAAGTTCTGTTCTCCCTGTCTTCTTCAGCTTACAAAGCATCCTTCCCAGACCCTCTCCTTGTAAGCCACTTTAACCTGTCCTCAGGTAAACAGCTGCACACTGCAAAATGACAATTTTTTCCAGTCACACTTACCATTACTTCAGAACCACCACCTTCAGAATGCTTTATCTAACTGAATGCTGCAGTAGTTAATCTTTTCAAGTACTATTTGCCATTTTAAACAATTTGGTAGATAAAAGTTTATTCTAATTAGTTGGCACAATGTGTGGGGAAATGTCTGTGTGTACACATGCCCCCTAATACCTCCTATTTCTCCCCCCACACCGTCACTAACTCCCAGCTTTTGGGGGAACAGGTGGACAGAAACTCTACCCACAATGCCTCCCCATAAAAAATCCTTGCCAATTCCTACATTTTAAAAAAGTCATTTACAAGCAAATTGAATCTCAAATAAAAGATTTTCCTGCATCTCAGAAATTAACAGTGAAAAAGAGATTATCTCAAATTCTTTCAATTCTCTTTAGACATAAACAGGGATGAAAAGTTATACCCATCAAAACGCTACCCTTGGCCAGATGCAGTGGCTCACACCTGTAATCCCAGCACTTTGGGAGGCCGAGGTGGGCGGATCACGAGGTCAGGAGATCGAGACCATCCTGACCAATATGGTGAAACCCCGTCTCTACTAAAAATACAAAAATTAGCCAGGTGTGGTGGCACACGCCTGTAATCCCAGCTACTCAGGAGGCTGAGGCAGTAGACTGCAGTGAGCCAAGATCGCACCACTGCACTCCAGCCTGGAAACAGAACGAGACTCCGTCTCAACAACAACAACAAAAAAGCTACACTTACTCCCAATTTGTCATCTGTTGATTTAGGGATCCTAAGAATATCACAAGTCCACACATGACTTCTGAAAACCAGCACTTTACATCTGGACATTGGATACATTCAGTGTGACAGGTAACAGAAAATGTCACACAAACGGCAGACAAGTCCCTCCTGCTTCTCAGTGAGAAAAAAAAGATTTTAAAACTACCTGTTTCCCTTCAGAATCAGTCCTGTAGAAGCCCACAGCTTATCTATGGTACTTTGTCCCAATCCAAAGCCTTCCTATATCCCATTCCATCAAGGTCTCTCTACTCTCAGCCATGAAAAGAGAAACCTACATTAAGATGTTCAAATGGAATATCTGCCATCTCAGATTTTCCAGAGACATCATGAACTAGGACAAAAATAATCTGTAGCCAGCACCCTCCCCCATATTCTAAGGAAACTGTAGGTTTTGAAACCAATTCAGCCAGGCTTTGCTGCCCAAAACCTGCCTTAAAAGTATCAAAAGACAGGCTGGGCGCGGTGGCTCACGCCTATAATCCCAGCACTTTGGGAGGCCAAGGTGGGCGGATCACAAGATCAGGAGATCGAGACCATCCTGGCTAACACGGTGAAACCCCGTCTCTGCTAAAAATACAAAAAAATAGCCGGGTGTGGTGGCGGGTGCCTGTAGTCCCAGTGACTTGGGAGGCTGAGGCAGGAGAATGGTGTGAACCCGGCAGACGGAGCTTGCAGTGAGCCGAGATTGCGCCACTGCAGTCCAGCCTCCTGGGTGACAGAGCAAGACTCTGTCTCAAAAAAAAAGAAAAAAAAAAGGTATCAAAAGGCAGCAGTTTAAAAGGTGTAGAGAATTCCTCTGGAGAAGGCTAATGGGGTCTACCCTCCCCTACTTTGCCTCAAACCAAGTTAGAGGGTCTCCAGGGAATAAGTTGAAGTTGCATGTGAGTCCACTGGTGTTTGTCAGGCATAGGAAACTACGCATGGAAAATTTAAAAGGCTATCCCGATGGACGATCACTGTCAGAATTTGTTGGGACCCAGCAAGTGAGAGTTTCCTGTGGGCCAGATAGGGACTTAGGAATGGGAGCAGGACTAGATTGTCCTGAGAGGGATTCTACCCAAGAGGACTGCCTGGTGGAAGAGACAATCCCAACCCAGAAGTGGATGGCCCAGAACTAGCTTCTAAGAGGGGAAATCTACAACGCCATCTAGAGGAGCCATGGCTGCACCCAGGGCATGCTGGTGAGAGACGGATGAGGGTCTTGGGTTGGGACAGAGCTTACAGCATCTAAAATAATTCTTCTCAACTTGGGAATAGTTTGGGCTTTAGGGAACCACAACCCCTGCGAGATTAAACACAGAATTTCGTGTGTATGTGACCAGGTTGGACTCTCAAATGGGTCTAACCTAATACAGTTAAGAATAGCTGCCCTAGAGGAATAAACACTCCCCATAAAATCTCTCAGCAGAGACATGACAGGTCTCATGTAGCAATGATTTCAAAACGGTACTTCCCGATGAGATCTGGGTGTGCAGCCAGCTGCACTGCTGATGAGATGCTGGTCCATGTGTTTTAACCATCAGCCAAACTGAATGGGACCACCAGCATCACATGAACACGGAACTTAAGACAATGATCAGGTCGCTGCAGCATTTCCTCCCAGAAAGCCGTTTTAGTCCAAGATACAAAGATAACCCCTAATCAAACTCTGGGGACCACCAGCCTCAGTAAAACCATGCAACAGGCTCTGATCTTTCCGTGGGCCTAAGGATGGGAACCTAAATTCCAGAAGGAATCTGCTGAGTTGATGTTATCTAATAATAGAAATAGTGACTAAAGCAAAAAGCTGATGCTACACTCAAGAAAATCTTAGTAATAGTTTCCCAGACTTTCTCCTTTAATCCCTATTTACATTTGGTTTCATTTCTGACTAAAAATACCCACATTAAGTAAAAATACCCACATTAAGCAACAGAACAAATTCAGCCTTAAGTGTTCAGCAATGGAGTTTAACGTAATCTCCAAATATAATTATACCATTAGTTAAATGGCTGTATAATTAGTGGCACAGGAAATGACCATATGTTATGTGAAAAAAATATGTACCCACAGGATCTCAAAAATAAGAAATACATAAATAGAAAAAAGACTGGAAGGATATGCACTAAAACAGCAATAACATTACCTGTCTGATGCAGTTATTTTTGTATTGTTTTCATACTTTGTAGTTTTCTGTATTTTCCAGATTTTTTTCTGCTTTTGTAATCAGACTTTGTAATCAATTTACTCTGCAAGGCTTATTCCTAACAACTGGGTTGGCAGAAAACTGTGTTCATCTTTTTCAAAAAGAATATTCTGTCTAGTTCGTATAATACAGTCTACAGTCAAAGGAAATGCACGCATATTAGAACTTTCCCTCCACCTGTGAATAATTACCTCCAATTTATCAAAATGTGCAATGTTCATCTAGGTACTTATAAGGAGAGAAGGACAGAATTTTCAAATTCTGTTATTTGGTACACATTTCAATTGTTTCGATGGAATAAAAATTCAGTTCTGAATAAATAAGTACACAAAGCTTTCAACTTTAGAGTTTTGAGTAAAAATTTATTTTAAAAAGTGTTCTCATGTTGTATGATTGTGTAGGAGGGAGACACACAGAGACAGTAAGTTATCTACTAGATTATTCCCCGAAACTACAAAATATTGGGAGTTTTGCATATACTGTCTTCTCCAGTCTATCTCAGAGAGCTACCATATGTGAACAAATCCTTACATCAAAACTATGTGACAAAGAGAACATAGTTAAATGAAGGTCAAAATGAGAAAAGTGTATGAACACGATGGAAAAAATTCCAGGTTGCCCTGTGTCAGGTCTCCCCATAAAACACAGGGAGCTGTGGACCCTCAATAAGAATAGCTTGCTGAGCAGAGCAAGTTAGAAGCCTACTCAGTAAGTGTGAGGCAGCTGGAGCATAAACACACACACATTCCCTTTTTCCCTCCATTTAATGGTGGAGAAAAGAAAGAAGAACTGAGCCAGCCAGAGCTGCTAGTTTGTTTTAAAGACCTGGATACATAAATGCTTGGAGAACCGGGTGGCTGGGCCTCACAGAACCCTGTGACAGACTAACCTCAGTTTCTGGAACCCTTTAGCTGATGAGTTTGTAAACACAGGTATCAGCAGCCAGGCATGGGGGCTCACACCTGTAGCCCCAGCATTTGGAAGGCTGACACGGATGGATCACTTGAGCGCAGGAGTTCGAGACCAGCCTGGCCAACATGGAGAAAACCCCATCTTTACTAAAAACACAAAAATTAGTCAGGCGTGGTGGCGCATGCCTGTAGTCCTAGTCAGGAGGGTGAGGTACGAGAATTGCTTGAACCCAGGAGGCGGAGGTTGCAGTGAGCCAGGATCACGCCACTGCACTCCAGCCTGGGCAACAGAGCAAGACCCTGTCTCAAAAGAACGAAAAAGACACAGGTATCAGCAGCTGGAACAGGGCAACTTTTGGTGCACAGAGACCAACTCAGCTAGTGATGGGTGCAGCCTGCACCACAGCCCAGACCTTGGCTTTGAACAGGGCCCAACTGGCCAGGCTTTGTCCAGCGTCCCTTCCTCTTTCATCTCCTTGTATTTCTTCAACCAAGTTTAGCTCCTCTCAGAGATGCCCAGGTTAGAGCTGTGAGAATCTAATACTAATTGGTGTCATCAGCTGATAATGCATACATCTACATCTGATCCCTACTGACACGCTTCAAACTAACTGCAGGCATTTAAACACAGGGAAAGGGGGAGAGTGTCTGAGGAGAGGACGATTCAGTGGTCCATCAAGACTATTTTTTACAAACTTCAATGTGTATTTCTAACAGTGGACAGAAAGCATCCCATGAAACCTAGCACAGGACTGTTACCAGACATGAGAAACTTTCATCCTTGCCCATTATCTTATAGACAACAGCGGCCATCTGGAGATCTGCGCACTGCCCCTTGGAATCTGGTTGTTGTACCTCTGGGCTCATCCCCTCCTGCCCCTCCCTACTGGGACTCCATCAGTTTTGTGAGCACAGCAAATACACTGTGCATGTCAAACATCCTGGGAAGCAGTTTAACGTTTAACAGTTGATGCGGTGCAAGACTGACATGCAAGACAAAAATTCACACCCAGCCCTCAAGTTTACCAAAATGAAAAAGTCCTTTATAAGTTAAAGCTTTACGTGTAATGATAGCAGCTCTTGTTAATAAAGCACCATAATAACAGACAGACATTTACACAGATCAACTACATCATTCTCACAGCCAGTGTTACAGATGCAGAAATAGCCTCAGAGATGTCAAGGCAAGGACCCTCTGCCTACACTTTAGCAAGGGACAGAATGTGGATTCCCATTCCTCATTCTTGCTGAATCCAAAGCCCATGCTCTTTCAAATGTAACATCTTGCCATCTCAGGCTGCTGTTGGACTGTAATAGTAACCTATGCCCTTTTCATTCCTGTCTCACAACACAAAAGTAAAAGTGGGGGTGGATGAATGCAAGCAGCCCACATGCTCCAGCACTCACAGAGCTCATGTTACGGGCTGGGGCCATCCCAGTTTAGGTGCTGACACTCCAAGAGTCACTAGGCTGGGGCTCTGGCCTGGAGCTCTGAGCCTTGGGGTCCCACTGACCAGAAATGACCATGGAAGAGCATCTTCAAGGGGCACATGGGAAAGGAGGGAGGGGTCCCAGACAGGCCTTCCCCACTTGTTTTAGTGGCACTTGGGGGTGGGGGAGCACAGGTGAGCCATCTCCACCCAGCTGGGAGCCACCCTCCAAAGTCCGCTCTCCTTCCTCCACTTGGTTCCCAGCTTCAAGGCCACAGGTGTGACTTCAAATATGGCAGAATCCACAGACAGAACTAATTTTCAGAAGCTTCTGCTCACAGAACCATAATTATTCTCAGAATCATAAGAGGGAACTGTTTCTTTTAAAAATAAATAAACAGATATACAGCACTAAGGCAGTTTCCATTGTCCACCCCTGCCCAGATACAAAGTCAGGTGAGATGGGAGAGACCAAGCCCAGCACACCCAAAAAGCAGCATCCAAGCTCTCCACTCCAAGCAGAAGAGGCTCCAGACCTCTAGAGTGACCCCCTTCCTCCCTAGGTTCCTCCATGTAATGACATTTAGCCTCCTGTTCCCTTCAGCTTTTCACGATCCCATGGGAAACTCCCAACGTGACTGGGTTCAGAAAGTCTGGCGCGTTAAAAGGTACCTAATCCTGTTAGTGTGCGGGATAATCGTTTCAGAGAAGACCTCAGCACCAGCTTATACTAAGTGCAATTTCCTCTGAAGTTATTATCCCAGCCGGAATTTGAATTGTAAAGTATTTCTGATGCCCTGGGAAAGCTCACCACGCATTCCAGAACCGCACTTCTCCCTCTAAGTCTCTCTCTGCTTGGAATTTACAGCCGCCTCTTCTGGTTACCAAACATCTTTATTCATCATGAATTTCTCCACTCTCACTGCCTTGCATGTTGTACTGGAGAACAAGCCCATCCTCCCTACCGATCCTGTACCTGGGCAAGGGGCTCTGAAGTTGGAAATAGGCTTAGTCCTCGGTGGCCAAGCAGAAGCAGGAACAGATGAGTGATAAGGAAACAAAGATTCCTTTCCTGGCCTGTATGCCAGGGAAAATGGAGAGGAACATCATCCACATAGCTTCAAGACAGACAGACTGTGGCATAGCCTGAGAAACTCCATCACTTAGGGGTCAAGGTAAATAGCTGAAGTTTATTAAGAACTAACCTTTTCCTCGCCACAGCCAGCTAATCAACTTGGATATAGGGTGGGATTTCTTAATATCATCCAAAATTGTGATGACTTTTTACCCAATTCCCTTTCTTCAAAGGTATGAATAGAAGCAACAAGCCTAAGCTATAGAAAGATAAGAACCTAGGATCTCACCAATTACAATGTGTTCCAGGGAAAATACGTTCTACTTACTTAGGAAGTGTTCCTTGGCACCATGAAGCAAGTTGACACACATGAGTTGTTGCAGGCACTGGGGTTTCCTGCCCCAGTTCTTGCTGGCATTGGAAAATGAGCGTCCATACCACCGGGTTATGGGAACAAAACCAGGCAATTCTGAATGGAAAACTACCACCACCTTTTTGGGACAGGTTTTTAAACGAGACTGCATGCCAAACGCTGGTTCATCCTCTTGGGCTCAGTTTAGCTCCTTTTTCTGTGAGGGATTAGGCTGGCAGTCATTCACAGAACTAAATCAAGATTTTTCTGCACTATTAGTTTCCTTCTGAGAATCAAAGAATGTGTTAGCTATGGCTCAGCAGACCTTAGCAAGGATCTTTCCTGAGATGGAACGTGATTGACAGGGAATGAGTTAATCTTCTGCA
Source organism: Homo sapiens (assembly GCF_000001405.40). Lineage (NCBI taxonomy): Eukaryota > Metazoa > Chordata > Mammalia > Primates > Hominidae > Homo > Homo sapiens. The sequence continues at coordinate 59,651,638 of NC_000018.10, forward strand.
GCTCTAAATATGGCATTTTTCTAGGCAAGACCGTCAGAGAAAAGGACATGCTCCATCTACAAATAAAGTAGAACTAGTGATGTGGCGGTGTGTCTTCAAACTCCAGAGAAAGGCACTGGGCCCCACCTTGTAGTTCATGTAAATATCAGTCCTGGGAAAGGGAAGTGGAAAGCCAGTGCTTTTTGTGAAAGTGTATGTGGTACATGAGAATTTTTTTACACATATACAGTGTGTAGCAATCAAGTCAGTGTATTCAGGGTGTCCATTATCAAGATACAATACATCTTTGTTAAGTATAGTCATCCTGCTCTGCTATCAATCATTGAATTTATTCCTTCTATCTTACTGTATGTTTTTAATCTTTAACCCATTTCTTTTCATCCTTCCCTCTCCCACCCTTCCCAGTCTCTTATTTTTCCACTCTATCATCTGTTCAAATTTTTGTTTAGCTCCTAAATGTGAATGCGAACATGTGATATTTGTCTTTTTGTTCCTGGCTTATTTCATTTAACACAATGACCTCCAGTTTCATCCAAGTTACTGCAAATGGCAGGATTTCATTTTGATGGCTGAATAGTATTCCATTTCACTTACATACTACACCTTTCTTTAAAAATCTCAGCCTTGGAATCGAAGAATCAAGAAAAACTCAGCCAACTCATGGGTTACACAAGTTGAGGATGCCACCTGATTATCAACAGGTACTGCTCATCAATAGCACCGTTGGGACTCTGCCACTTAGGCAGGGACCAGCCTGAGCCCAAAGGTGAATGGGGTAAATTCCTCCAGTTCCTTCGGCATGGTTTGTAGGATCAGTAAAGGTAACACAAACTGACTCCCCCCCTTTTTTTTTAATGTAAACTCCATAGCCTAGAATAAAATACTATAAATTTAAGAAAGCTTAGGTCTATAAAACTAACATTTTATAACAATGAAGAGAAAGAAAGAGGAGAAGCAGCTACCACTGTGAGAGAGCACTCGGAGTCCCGCTCAGACTCAGAGCCAAATGGGAAAGACATTTTTCCCAGCTAAAGAAAGGATTTTCGGCCGGGCGCAGTGGCTCCCGCCTGTAATCCCAGCACTTCGGGAGGCCGAGGCGGGTGGATCATGGGGTCAGGAGATTGAGACCATCCTGGCTAACACGGTGAAACCCCATCTCTACTAAAAATACAGAAAATTAGCCGGGCGTGGCGGCGGGCGCCTGTAGTCCCAGCTACTCAGGAGGCTGAGGCAGGAGAATGGTGTGAACCTGGGAGGCGGAGCTTGCAGTGAACCGAGAACGCACCACTGCACTCCAGCCTGGGAAACAAAGTGAGACTCCGTCTCAAAAAAAAAAAGGATTTTCAGTCCCAGTGTAGTTTGATGCCAGCCCCCCGTTAAAGGAACTTACTTTTATAGAAAACTATGAAAAGGCAGTGGCATTGGACCGTTCTAAACATTTCACTTCTCAGTCCTCACTTACCATGTTCCAAAAAGTCAGCATGTATACGTGTGGCATAAACCTGGACAAGATATTCCCTCTGATCTCTGGCCCTCTCCTCCAGCCCTCTCCAAGAAGGACATTGTCCTTGCCTCCTATCCCAGAGAGCTGGCAAATATTCCCCTACCCAGGGGTCTGGTGAGAACCAAACCAGGCTTCTCAATGACTCTTGAACATGGCTGAAGGTCCTTCCTTCAAGAAAGGAGACAGATATCAAAATTGTTCATACCCAGGTTAAGGTTAAACAATCTGGTCATGCTACTTTTTTAATCCATCTGCCTGGCACAACCAATATATCTGGGGACTCATCACTCACTAGACAAAAATCATAAACAAATCACATAGCTTAAAGGCTATTTGGAATACTCACCCTGTGCCAAACAGGACTGTGTGCTTTTCACATTGTCTGCCAATTTTTTCCCCCACAACAACCCTATGAGATTAGTGCCATGATTTCTGCTGAGGAAATTAAAGCACAGAGAAGTTAAGAAAATTGACCAAGGTCACCCAGTAAATCCCCAAATCCATTTTCTCAACATTGATGCTGCTCTATGCCTCCCAATAGAGTTAAAAAAAATTAAAAAATTAAAAATCCCACGCTGACATCCAGGGGTTAAATTCAGAACCAGGCACAGCACTGTTTTTCACTAGACTTTTAATTCAAAACCAAAAATAAGTTTTAGTTACAACCCAATTTGTTACTGATCCCTCTGATGAGAGTAGGAAATCGTATCAGAGATAGGTTATTTGATGACTGCATATAAAATTCAAATTCTTATGGACATATCATAAGCAAAAATGTTGGATTAATAAGGAACACTGATACATAAAACTACTGATGCTAGAGATATTTATAGCTAGAAGGCTTTACACATTCCTAAAATATCACATTAGAGACAGAAAGAAGCATCATTCAATGTTTTAAAAGTAGGTTGGAAAAAAAAGATTAGCATTATAATTAATGACAGAAGAGTGAAACATTCTGTTCTGTTTAATGGCCAAGTACTGATGGGATAAACAGTGAAGAAGGAAAACACCATTGCCTATCCAGGACTTTTTCTTTTGATCACAGATCATTTCTCTCTGGCCAGCCTGGTATAAAGTAATGTATGATGGAAATAAAAAAGGAAGAAAGCCTTCACCATGAAACAAAAGCCTACCCAGCACAGGTTTTGTTTGGGCACACGCGTATGTGTGGCAGCAATATGGTGTGGAAAGAACTGGGAAAAACAGCCCAGAGAATCATGCCCGTAATCCTAGCACTTTGGGAGACCAAGGTGGGTGGATCACTTGAGGTCACGAGTTCGAAACAAGCCTGGCCAACATGGCAAAACCCCGTCTACTAAAAACACAAATATTAGCTGGATGTGGTGGCACACACCTGTAATTCCAGCTACTCGGGAGACTGAGGCAGGAGAATCACTTGAACCCAGGAGGCAGAGGTTGCAGTGAGCCGAGATCGCGCCACTGTACTCCAGCCTGGGTGACAGAATGAGACTCTGTCCCAAAACAAAACCAAACAAAATTAGCCGGGCATGGTCGCACGCACCTGTAGTCCCAGCTACTTGGGAGGCTGAGGCAGAAGAATTGCTTGAACCCAGGAGGTGGAAGTTGCAGTGAGCCAAGATCGTGCCACTGCGCTCCAGCCTGGTGACAGAGTGAGACTCCGTCTCCAAAAAAAAAAAAAAAAAGGCCAGGCCAGAAAAGGTGGCTCATTCCTAATTCCTATAATCCCAGCACTTTGGGAGGCCGAGGCAGGTGGATCACTTGAGGTCAGGAATTTTAGACCAGCCTGGCCAACATGGCAAAAATGCAAAAAGTTAGCCAGGCATGGGGGTGGGCACCTGTAATCCCAGCTACTTGGAAGGCTGAGGCAGGACAATCACTTAAACCTGGGAGGCGGAGGTTGCAGTGAACCAAGATCGCACCACTGCATTGCAGCCTGGGCGACACCACTGAGACTATGTCAAAAAAAAAAAAAAAGCCCAGAGAAAACCTCAACAGCCATGACCCAGCCTTGTGACTACAAGCAATGCCCTCAGAGTAAGCATCCTCATCTGAAGAACAAGAGGGCTTGACTATGAGGGCCTCCTTTTCTGGTTCTAAAACTGTTTCACGTTTTTAGATAATGTTGGTTTGTGACTGTAACATTAACATGCTCCATTCAACATGGGAATCCAAGGACCAAGTCCATGCAGGAGTGGGAGAGCCAGTCCCTGAGCACAAGTCTTGCTCACTGGCTGGGGCAATGTCAGGAAAGGGTCCAGGAGACAGAGGCTGAGCCACTGAGTGGAAACATGTCAAGTGTCATGAGGAGATGAGGGACAAGCTTCAAGGGCTTATTAAAAAAACATTTGAATTCAGTTTCTCTCCACAGGTTTTTCAGTACAGGTCCATATGGAGATCCTTTGGGCTTTTTACAGGCAATGAAGTCTCTGTTTCCCCTCAGCTCTGCTCCTGTAGCAGGAATGCAGCCATAGACAACATGTAAGGAAGTAGGTGTGGCTATGTTCCAATAAAACTTTACTTACAAGAATAGGCAGCAGTCAGACTCAGCTAATGAGCTGGTTTTGCCAACCTCCAAGAAAGAAGACAATTCCATCAGAACATCCCACAAAAGGCAGGCAGGGCTACGGAGGGCCCACTGACAACAGCTGCTGGCCAAAGCCCATCTGCACATGAAGCCACTGTACACAAGTTCCAGAGGACTTTCACTCCCCCATCAGATGCTGCAGCCCCATCTGAATGCACTAGAAGTTAACATACCACCACTGGGAAAGCAGACAGAACACCACATTCCCTTTTCATGAGCCTGACAGCAAGTCTAGGATGTTTTCACAAACCTGTAAATAACCTGGTCCGGCTGGCAATTTCTTCTAAATGTTGACTCTCTGTGAATGTAGTGACCAGGGTTACCAAAACATGAAGGGGTGGTGGGAGGAAAAGGCAAGGAGGAGGAGGTTATCCTCAATATAACTTCTGCTTTTGAATCTTTGCAAAAGCCTCATGATTACTCCCAAAGAAGTGAACATGCATGCTATAATTTTACAATTATATTATTAAATAAGCAGATCCACTTCAATTGAATCAGAAAAAGTGTTAAGTTAAATAGGATGGGGTAAGATTTCTGAGGGCACTAGAGTTGACTGAATTTTCTAGTACTTAATGAAACAAGAAAGTATATTTTGTACTATACATAAATAGAGCAGAAATTTTAATCACCCTATAAAACATTCATGTTTGTGGCTTATTTCACTGCAGAACATGAAGGGTTTTGAGTTTTATTAAATCTTAGGAGAGCAACTATTCAAACAATGAATTATTTTCTTGGGTACCTGGTAATTGCTAGTTTGCAATATATTTTAAGTGGAAGGGGGTTAATTTACCTTCCGCGGAGCCAATGCTTTAAATTGTTCTTAAAGGAAGAATTTAAGGACGCCACTCTGAGAACATGAATTCCAGGTCATTAGTTTCAGTTCCTGATGGCCAGAAACAACATCTGGGCCTAATTATTTGTATGTGCATCTAGCGGGCAATTGGTTGGCTAATTAATATATTTTAAGAGGTCAGCATTTTTAGTGATAGAGTTGTAAACACAAGACTTATTTTGTCTAAAGAGCAAATGCTAATTTTGTAGGCTTCCTCTACGATAGAGACTTCTCAGTATTATCTTACACTAATATGACCACAACCGTTGGTTACAGAGTGTAGACAGGGTCAAGAACATCTATCTTGGGATGCTTCAGCACCTAGAGACCACCATTGTAATCTGCCATTAGCTAAGCCCAGAAACCCCAACAGGCAGAAAAAACTTACTGCTAAGAAGATGAATATAGGGTCTCAGATGCAGTTTACTGGCTTCATGAATTCATCCCCTGGGAGCAATGGAATGGACAGGCCAGGACCCCAGAATGTCTCCACCCTTTGTCTTTCACAGCCTAAGATTCTGCCTTGAGCCTTCCATTTCCTTGGTCCCTGCATCTCTAGAAGTCCTTTGTAAAAATTAAATTACCCTGAAAGCTACAAATTGCATGCGTATGCTACAACAAATGGTTTCAGATTTACTCATGCTACCTAGAAAAGCATCCAGCCAATGAGACCTAGGACAGATGTGTGCGAGGGTAGAGAAGAAGGTGTCAGAGCTTCAAGGCATGCCCAGGACGGAGAGGTGGTTCCACAGTGTGAAAGGCTGAACAGCCAGGGAATGCCAAGGCTGTGACTATAGACTGAAAAATTACACACTTAAAGGGAGAAGGGAGGAGAGTAGAGATCCCGAAGACCAACGTCCCTGCCTCCATTTGTATCCAACCCTGACAGGGCAGGGCCCTATGCAGTTTTCTTTGCACACAGTGCACCCAACCCTCAGAGTCCCAGGGAGCTTTTAAAAAAGAGGATTGCTTTCATTCATTCTTGAGTTTTAAGATCATTGATGACACCACTCTTTAGGCTCAACAACTGAGAAAAACTCTGATGAAGGGAAAAACATACATTGGGCCAAGCATGGTGGCTCACGCCTATAATCCCAGCACTTTGGGATCTGAGGCGGACAGATCACCTGAGGCCAGGAGTTCGAGACCAGACTGGCCAACATGATGAAACCACGTCTCTACTGAAAAAACAAAATTAGCCGGGCGTGGTGGCACATGCCTGTAATCTCAACTACTCAAGAGGCTGAGGCAGGAGAAATCGCTCGAACCCGGGAGGTGGAGGTTGCAGTGAGCCCAGATTGTGCCACTGCACTCCAGCCTGGGCAACAACAACAAACAACAACAAACAACAACAACAACAACAGAAACAGATACATTAAAGGCTCTTGATAACTTGGTTGTAAGGAGGCCACATTATAGCCACGGGAGGCAGCACATTGGAGTAGCAGGCCAAGAGTGTGGGCTGAGGAGGCAGAGGGCCCAATTTTGGAACTACTCTGACACTTATAAGCTGTGTGACCTTAGGCAGGGTGTATTCACCTCTTGTGTCAGTTTATGCATCTGTAAAAGGTGGACAGCAATATGACTTGATTCATATGGCTACTGTGAGGATGAAATGAACAAATACATGTAGAGACCATTCAATGGTACCTGGCACATAAGCACTCAACAAACATTACAGGGCACAGTGGCTCACACTTTGGGGATGCCGAGGCAGGATCCCTTGAGGCCAGGAGTTTGAGACCAGCCTGAGCAACATAGCAAGACCCTGTCTCTAAAAAAAAAAAAAAAAAAAAAAAAAAAAAAAAAATATATATATATATATATATATATATATATATATATATATATATATATATATATATATATATAAAGTTAGCTACATGGTGGCATGCACTTGAGGTCCCAGCTGCTCAGGAGGCTGAGGCAGACAGATTGCTCTAGCCCAAGAGCTCAAGGCTGCAGTGAGCTGTGATTGTGCCACTGCACTACAACCTGGGTGACCGAGCAAGGCCCTACCTCTAAAAATAATTTTTAAAAAGTTATCAGATATTGGCAGGGCACAGTGGCTCACGCCTGTAATCCCAGCACTTTGGGAGGCCGAGGCAGGCAGATCACAAGGTCAAGAGATCAAGACCACCCTTGCCAACATGGTAAAACCCTGTCTCTACTGAAAATACAAAAATTAGCTGAGCGTGGTAGCGTGTACCTATAGTCCCAGCTACTTGGGAGGCTGAGGCAGGAAAATCCCTTGAACCCGGGCAGTGGAGTTTGCAGTGAGCCAAGATCGTGCCACTGCACTCCAGTCTGGGCAACAGAGCAAGACTCTGTCTCAAAAAAAAAAAAAAAAAAAAAAAAAAACTGTTACCAGATATAATCTTTATTGTATATAAATCATCATGTTCCATGAAATGAGATGTGATGCTCAGGGTTCCATAATCAGAAAAGCTCAACTAATCTCCATTTCCATCAGCACCACATCCCGACAAATAACATTGAAAATGGAAAAGAAAAGCAAGCGAGCCCGTGCATGCCACGCGTTCCTTTGCACGACTTCCACACACATTATGTGTAAGTTGCTGGGGGTCATGAAATAATGACTACAAGTACTCTGACCTCCTTGGAGAAACGTTCTATGTAAGTACTGAGGATTATGTTACTGGAGAAATTGTATAAGGAAATGGGGCCTCCCACACTGAAGTTGAGGCATATTCCATAAACACTCTTAATACATTAAAAGAATTTACATGTTTTTTTTTTTTCAAACAGCAACCAACTTTAAATGTTAGGAGCCAATACAGACACTGTGACATCCAAAAATACAGGCATCTTACATTGTTTTCAGACAACCAACTAATTCTTAGAAGTGCTTTATGCATTCTCTCGGGCATGAAAAGGTGGGGAGGTGGGCAGGCAGAAATCTCCCTGTTATTTCTAAGAGCTCTGAGAAGTGATTTGGTCGCACTTACAGCAATTTTAATTCACCGCATGCCAAACTGAAAGAAAGAACAACATCACGAAACAAAATCCATCACATCTTCAAAGCTATCGAATGCACAGCCAGAAAAGAGTCATGACAGGGATGTGTCTGACCACAATTTCAGGATTTCTAGAGAGCCTGGGTCTCAGGGAAGCAGAGCTGAGCCTGATGACAGTGCCCAGTGACACGTAGCTATGTCATACATAGGTAGAGGAAATAGTAAAATCCATCCTGAACCGACTGAAGCAGAAACTTTTCCCACTGCCAGCAATGAGCTGCGTGATCAAACACATGGATGAAAGCTTCCTGGACCCCCGTTTGCTCATCTGTAAATTGAAGGAGTGGACAAAGCAGAGCTCAGAGGTCCCCCCTCCCAGTTCTAAGTTTGTGTCACTGATTCCCTTTATCCCTAGGACCTCGCTATGCAATGCTTTCCTTTTCTCTGTCTAGCTGCGTCCCTAAAGCCGGGTCACAGACAATGCGTGAGTTTGTTGGAGCTCATGTGTAGTTCTCCAGACACACTTCAGTGGCCTCACCAGGGCTCAGGACCCCTGCATACAATTGCATAGTTTTGCCCTGTACGTGGGCACCCAGCTGAGAGTGCCGAAAGGGGCCGAAATCCAGCCTGCACTCCCTCTATCAGCCTAAAGGAAGGGATATCTTTTCCCAGTTGAAAAATAAAGCATCATACACAGTAGCTACAGCCCTATCTGGAAACACAAACCTTTTCACAAACACAGAAAATATAAAAATAAGTAAGCAAATGGTCATTTAGTCCAACATGTAAGTTTTAAGATTTAAATGCCCTTTAAATAGAGGCTGATTCCTTATAGCATCCCAATCTTCCCATTTTACACTGATCGGTCTTGCTTAGCAAGGCAAAAGAGTTTCATACTTCATTCTCGGTGTACGGTATTCCAATTCCTAAACACCAACTTTAGTTGCTCTTTTCAGAATATTCCCCCTTGTGATATTCTGGGTATGTTTGCATAGAGAGCAAAGCCTTTTTGAGCCTAAGTTTAAGCATTTGTTGTAAACAAACTACTTGGACCACACTATAAATACTGCCCAAGTTCTCAGCTTTGACATCTGTATGTGTGCTTTTTACTGCTTCCCTGATAGAGGGATTTATAGACAGTACTGCCCACCTAAGTCAAACAGCCTGTTCCCATTTTCTGCCTCAAACAAAAGCCCAACACGTATTTTTTTTAAATATGATATAAAGTAATTCAAAAATACTTTCTGAAATACTTAGAAAATGTGATTCACGGAAGCAATCAGCAAGAACTCTTCTCTCATTGGAATAACTATAATTCTGTGGCCAAAAGGTCAACCACATATTTACAAATGTCCCTTTTTTTGTCCAGACATACCAATACCTGGCAGACTGTGGGACAAAGGGAAAATGTATAAATAAATACATCTTTGTAAACTATTTCTTCCCATGACTACTCAATGATCATGGACTGGGAGGTGTTTTTTTTTGTTTTTGTTTTTTAAAATACGTATTTTTTTCTCCCCTTGGCCAACGCATTTTCCCTGGAGATAGTCCAACAATATAGAGCTAACATACTTCCACTGTGGAATTCATCTGGAAAATTTTGCAACTTAAGAAAACATCTCAGCCATCTGAGAGGCGTCTCTATGGATCTGCAGACTGGAGACCAACAACACAGTAAATATTTTTGGTCTAGCACAAAAGGAGTTTGGTAATTTGTGCAACTGAGCTTATTTATTTACAATAACTCACTGAAGAAGCTGGGACACTGTTCACATGCATTTGGTCTGGGGGTTAAGAATCCAGAGGGCCAAATATACACAGTGCCTGAGTCAGAATAGGGGTTCAATAAATATTTGTGGAACAAATGAGTTTTGAGTCTTATATTCATTAGCTGACTGTTCTGATGCCAGACATTTAATTCTTGGAACTTTAACTTCCATAGTTAATGAAATGGGGTGAGAACAAGTCAATCCTCATTACTCAGGTAGTTTTATTCTAGAAGGTAACCTCAGAAACTGAGTTGGCAAATACTGAGTCATTGGGGAAACACAGCGTGAGGTTCCCATAAGCCTCTGGCCACAATATTCTCAACCAATCAATATATAACCTTGTTTTATGTATATTTCTGTTTAAAGACACCTTATTTAATAGATTCTGTTGGCCCGGCATGGTGGTTCATGCCTGTAATCCAAGCACTTTGAGAGCCCGAGGCGGGAGGATGACTTGAGGCCAGGAGTTCAAGACCAGTCTGGCCAACATGGTGAAACCCTGTCTCTACTAAAATACAAAAACTAGCGGGGCACAATGCTGCGCACCTGTAATCCCCACTACTTGGGAGGCTGAGGCAGGAGAGTCGCTTGAATCCAGGAGGTAGAAGTTGCAGTGAGCTGAGATGGCACCACTGTACTCTAGCCAGGGCAACAGAGTGAGACTCAGTCTTAAAAAAAAAAAATCACTGATTGATCCATGTTGAAGTTACAACCAGCAGCATTGTAACTCATGCTTTAACAGAGCTTATCTGGCATATGCACTTTCTCACAAGGCACATCACAGCCTTCTTGCATTTAGGAGCACTAGACATGTCAGCACTGCTCTTGGGGGCCATTTTAAAACAGTGAAATCACCACCAATAACAAAAACACAAGACAGAACTGCACAGACTGCAGAAGGGTACTTGTTTACTGTATGACAGCTGACACCAGAAGATAGTCCCATTCTGTGACCTCAGCTGGGAACGTGCATAGTGGGACACTCATTTTTCACAGCTCTGGATGTGTCCTTGAATGACCATGAAAGTTCTGTACTGATTTGGAGATTACACACATATTTCAGCAAGTACATCAATCTGCAAATTTACAACGTATATTACAAGGTGGATTACATTATTTGTACTCTACAAATAGAGACCAGTTACACTTTGTCATTTCCTAAATATTTTTTCCCACCTCAATGCCAGCACCATGGTAGGAAGGTGACCAGAACAGACAGGTTCCTTCCTCACTGCAATAATAGCCTAGAGGGGGGAAATTACACAAATAGTCATCCAAATGTATAATTACAAAATGTGATTACTGCATGATGTAGAAGCCACAGGAATGCATTGAAGGAGGCCATAATCTAACAGCAGGTTCAGGGAGACCATGAGAGCTAAGCCCAGTCATAAAGTGCAGGCAGGAGTTAGCCAGGTGGAGAGGAGGGCATGCTGGCAGGCAGAATAGATGCAAATGCTCTAAAGCGAGTTTATAGGTAATTCATCCAGGTAATACATAAAAAGGTGCTTTATACATTCTAAAATCCTGTGCAAACATAAGTTTCTTGGTGTACACCTGTAGTCCCAGCTACTTGAGAGGCAGGAGGATGAGTTCAAGCCCGACCTGGGCAAAACATCAAGACCCTGTCTCAAAAAAATAAACATATATAAGGTTCTATCACAAAGGCTCACTATAGCAAAACAAAACCTAGAGAATGACTCCAAGTTCAATGTGCTTCATTTTTTAAAAAAAGTGAAAATACAATTCAACAAATTACTTTAACAAAGATTTACTGAATATTTCCCATGTGCTAGGCACCAGGCTTGGTGCTAGGGATAGGGATAGGAAGAAGGATAAGATACTTTTCTTACTATCATGGAGCAATTGCTGAGAGAAGAAGATCCTAATGGGAAGTAGATTGTGCGCAAGCTTTCATAAAAGCAATGCCAGTCAGAGAGGAGGTAACTAGTGGTTTTTCTTTAGAGTGGTTGTGAAAAATGCACAAAGCAGGTAATATCTGAGCTTTAGTAATGAGGGTGTGAACTTCCTGGAATAGCTGGAAGGACATTCCAACAGAAGAGAGAACATCAAGTCAACATATGTCCTGATTTGCCTGAGACAGTGCCAGTGTTTGCCTATTTTATCAATGTGATTATGAAGAGTGCCCCTTTCATTTTTAAAATCATCCTGATTTGGATGACAAATTCTTCACTGATGCTGCAGAGTTCTGTGAGGCTGGGCCTTGAGAGCAAGGAGGATGGAAGAGATGTAGTTATGGATTGATGTCAGCGGGTAGACCAAGCCAGGAGGATGTCTCTGTAAGCAGAGTCAAGCAGAGCTGGGTACGTTTGGGGGACTGTCTCAGGAAGATGACTTTCAGCAACATGAGAGTCAGAAGGAAGACAATTCAGAGGCTGAGACCAGAGGGCATTATTCAGGGCAAGAGATAAGCTGAGTGGCAGTAGGGATGTACAGGAGTTCCAATTCATGAGACTGTCATGAGGCAGAAGTGATGGGATTTGGTAATCAATTACATTATGAAAAGGCAGGGAAGAAGCAGATAACTCCCAAGATTCCAGTTTGGGAGGCTGGGAAGTTGGTGAAGTCACTAACCAAGATCGAAAACACAAAGGTGGAGGAGGAACAACAGCAGGAGAAATAAGTTCTGCTTCAAATGTATTGTTCATGGAGCCTGCACAGCATGTTCAGGCTGCACTAACAACATACCATGAACTGGGTAACTTATAAGGAACAGAAGTTGATTTCTCACAGTTTTGAAGACTGAGAAGTCTGCGATTAGGATGCCAGCATGATTGGGTTCTGGTGAGGACCCTCTCCCAGGTTGTGGGCTGCTGAGTTCTCGTTATATCTTCACACGGAAGGACAAGGCAGCCCTATAGGGGCTTTTATAAGGGCACAAATCCCATTCATTAGGGCTCCACCCTGATGACCTAATCACCTCCCACAGACCCCACCTAATCCCATCACCTTAGAGGTTAGGTTTCAACATGTAAGTTTTGGGGAGACACACTCAGACCACAGCAAAGGCCTCCAAAGAGAGAAGCGCAGCAGGTGACTGACATCAGAGAGAAAGGACAGTCCATATGTATGTGGCAACTGAGGATAAAGTAAATGGGAACAGAAGAGATTGCTATGGGAGAGAAGGGGCATAAACAGAGGAGAGACATGCTGTGAGAATCCTGAGCATGACCCCACCTACTGCAAGACATCCACAATAAACATTCAGCCCTAAATATAAACAAAGGGCCTACTACACATACACATTAAGTAGCTTCAACATAAACCCTTTAGTCATGTCCACTCGTAGCCCTTTAAACCAGGCTGCTGCCATTAAGCACCTCATTCTACTGAGGAACTGCTGACCCTCTACCGATCTGTCTCAGGAAGATGACTTTCAGCAACATGAGAGTCAGAAGGAAGACAATTCAGAGGCTGAGACCAGAGGGCATTATTCAGGGCAAGAGATAAGCTGAGTGGCAGTAGGGATGGCTAGAAGAGATCCAATTCATGCGACTGTCTCATTCATGGGCACTATTAATAATCACAATTATAAAATAGGCAAATGCTGGCACTGTCTCAGGCAAATCAGGACAATACTGAAGAGGTGAGCTGAGGGAGAAGTAAAGTTAAAGACTGATCAACAGGCAGAGGAGGATCCATTCTTCACTGCCCTCCCCTCTTAGGAGTTGCATTTTCTTGTGTAAGTCTGGTAGCAAAAGGCAGCTTTGACTTCAAACAGGACCCTAGTGCAATTTTTTCCTCATTGCTTGCATGGGAATAATCAGATACAAGGCCAAGGCAGCTCCAAGCGTCAGCTGGCATTCTTCTTAGTGCATGTACAACTTCCTAAAAACCTGTGTTCCCTGTCAACCAGAGTCCCCCCGAGACAAAAGCTCACGCAAGAGGATGCAGGCAAAAGTCTGTTTATGAGCTAATAACTGCAACTTCAGGTGACAGAGAAGATTCCCTGTCTCAGCATTTTTATCCTGATTTTACTGGTTATGGTACAGAAGGTGTATTGACTTCAGCTCTGTTCATTCGCATTAAAGGCCTCCAGTGATTAACAGCCAGGCTAGATGGTTGGGAATTGTGGTAGAAGGAATCCACAGGAATTTTTTATCCCATTTAAAAATAAGTGTTGGGTAATCATTGTTGAGTTTACTAAATGAAGCAATTTAACGGGAAAATTCTTCAGAAAGTAGGGGTACACCACATCATTTTAACCACCAATTTATCTGGCTGTTCATATTTTATAGATCCAACTGCAACATCTCACTGCTCCCGGAAACAACTGGGTATGACTTCACTGCATGTGGACAAGAGGAAAATGTGCTTTTCTTCTGAAAGCAAAGTAAAAGCCTCTAACATCAGGAAGCACTGCACTCAACAGCAGCACTGTTTACGGCTCCGAGGTGATGGATGTACCCCAGGCCACGCTCTTCCTGGGTAAGCATTTCCCACTAAAAAGCACACTGCTCACCAAGAGCAGAGCAAGTGGGTCTAGTGCGTCTGTGTTTGCTTTGCAGCTATTACTGTCAGCTGAGAAACTTGGCTTTAACCAAGCAGGAACACTGTGTGGGCCAAGTTAATTTTTCAGTTCACACACATGTATAGAATATATCATGTACAAAACACTGTTGTGGACAACTCTGGGAACAGGGAGTGAATGATTCAGTCTACCCACGGACAGATTCTATATCAGTCCGTTTTCATGCTGCTGATAAAGACATACCCGAGACTCGGCGATTTACAAAAGAAAGAGGTTTAATGGACTTACAGTTCCACATGGCTGGGGAGGCTTCATAATCACGGCAAAAGGCGAGGAGGAACAAGTCACGTCTTACATAGATGGCAGCAGGCAAAGAGAGAGTTTGTGATAGCAAGCTCCTGTTTTTAAAACCATCAGATCTCGTGAGACTTATTCATTATCATGAGAACGGCACGGGAAAAACCCACCCCTATGATTCAATTACCTCCCACCAGATTCCTCTCATGGCACATGGGAATTGTGGGAGTTACAATTCAAGATGAGATTTGGGTGGAGACACAGCCAAACCATATCAGACTCCAATCCTGTCACAGCTGGCAAAAGCACTGACACTTCAATGGCTTGTCGGTGAAAGTTCCATTTTTGTGAAAACCAGGAGCAAATGACATTCTACATAAGGATACAGGCTGGCAGCATAAGCCAGCAACTGCAATCACCCAGGACAAAAGGCATCACTCAGGGCCTGTGGAAACTGCTGTATCAACCATGTGGAGAGGGTTTGCTGCTACCATGAAAGTTTCAGCAAAGCTACAAGACACTTTTTTTTTGAGGTGGGGGGGTGGGGGCAGGGAACAACATTGTGAATGTATACAAGGCACATTTTTAAAGTTACAAGGAGACTGGGCGTGGTGGCTCATGCCTGTAATCCCAGAACGTTGGGAGGCCGAGGTGGATGGATCATGAGGTCAGGGGATCAAGACCATCCTGGCTAACATGGTGAAACCCCATCTCTACTAAAAACACAAAAACTAGCTGGGTGTGGTGGTGCGTGCCTGTAGTCCCAGCTTTCCAGGAGCCTGAGGCAGGAAAATCGCTTGAACCTGGGAGGCGGAGGTTGCAGTGAGCAAAGATCGTGCCACTGCACTCCAGCCTGGGCAACAGAGCAAGACTCTGTCTCAAAAAATAAATAAATAAAGTTACAAGAGGCCAGGCTCAGTGGTTGATGCCCATAATCCCAGTGCTTTGGGAGCCCAAGGTGGGAGGATTGCTTGAGGCCAGGAGTTTGAGACCAGCCTGGGCAACATAGTGAAACCCTGTCCCGACAAAAAAAAAATAGCCAGGCCTGGTGGCATACGTCTATAGTCCCAGCTACCCAGGAAGCTGGGGTGGGAGGATCATTTAAGCCCAGGAGTTCAAGGCTGCCGTGAGCCATGACTGTGCCATTGCAATCCAGCCTGGTGACACAGGGAGACCCTGACTCAAAAACATTAAAAAATAAATAAATAAAGTTACAGGGTACATTTTTCTATTTCGTAAGGATTGTACACTGCAGAAAAATTAGAAACTGCAGATGTATTTCTCCAGGGCCAAGGAGGAAGGTTTTGTGATGGAGCTGTTTACAAAGGTGTGCACAGGGGTAAGAATGCCAACCCAGGACATGAAGCACTGAGGGGCTGGCAACAGCAGGAAACTGCTACCCCATCACCTGAAGGGGTAAGGGGAAAGAGCCGGTGCAGGAAGGCAATGAGATGTGAGGCTAAAGTCATGAGGGACACTGACAATGACTGTGGCCCTTCCTAGAAGCACGCAGCCAATACCAACCCACCGCTCTGGAGAAAGTTGAGGAGGAAATACACCAGCCTCTCTCCCCTCATCCCCTGATCAGCTGCTGGGTGTGTCACTGGCTGTACCCAACAGAAAGCCAGATGGCACTCAGTTCATTCCACAGAGTCAGCCTACAGAACTCAGGACACAAAGCAGGACAGGAAAGAATGGGGAGTGGGTGTAGAGTGGCAGAGAATATGCAGCACAAGAAACGGTAATTTTCCCTGTTCACCTGCAAGAACCCCACTACCAGAAGACAGAAACTTTGACTCATGGAGTCACTGAATATTTCTGTAAAACTGGATAAAAATTTAGGTGTTACGATGGACACAGGGAGAGGAACATCACACACCGGGACCTATCGAGGGGTGGGGAGCTAGGGGAGGGATAGTATTAGGAGAAATACATAAATGTAGATGACAGGTTGATGGGTGCAGCAAACCACCATGACACGTGTATACCTATGTAACAAACCTGCACATTCTGCACATGTATCCCAGAACTTAAAGTATAATTTAAAAAAATTGGCCGGACATGGTGGCTCATGTCTGTAATCCCAACACTTTGGGAGGCTGAGGCGGGTGGATCACAAGGTCAGGAGTTCAAGACCAGCCTGGCCAAGATGGTGAAACCCAGTCTCTACTAAAAATACAAAAATTAGCCGGGCATAGTGGTGGGTGCCTGTGATCCCAGCTACTCTGGAGGCTGAAGCAGAGAATTCCTGTTACCTGGGAGGCAGAGGTTGCAGTGAGCTGAGATCACACCACTGCACTCCAGCCTGGGCGACAAAGCGAGACTCCATCTCAAAATAATAATAATAATAATAATAATTAGGTGTTACATATATACATGCTTTATAAAAATGAATATATATTTCATATGTAATCTGCTTTGTTCACATAATATATCATAAGCATATTTTCATCTCAGAAAAATATTCATTGAAATAGCTTCCATTCTATGGACAGACCCAAAATTGTACTCTTATCATTGCACATTTAGGTTTTGTTCAGTTTATATTAAAAACAAAAGTGAGATTAAGCAGCCTCAAATGATGCCTCTTTGCACATCCTTAATTTCCCTAGGATAAATTTCTAGACATGGATTTCTCACATGGCTAAGGCTGCCTCTGTGCAAAGTTAGTTTACTGGGCACTTTGTAAGTGCGATATGTCCAACATTGTGCTGGATGATGGTTTTCCATAAGTCTTTTTTTTTTTTTTTTTTTTTGTGATATGGAGTCTTGCTCTGTCACCCAGGCTGGAGTGCAGTGATGTGATCTCGGCTCACTGCAACCTCCACCTCCCAGATTCAAGCAATTCTCCCACCTCAGCCTCCAGAGTAGCTGGGATTACTGGGATTACAGACACACGCCACAACACCTGGCTAATTTTTGTATTTTTAGTAGAGAGAGGGTTTTACTATGTTGGCCAGGCTGGTCTTGAACTCCTGTGACCTCAAGTGATCCACCCACCTCGGCCTCCCAAAGTGCTGGGATTACAGACATAAGCCACCTTGCCCGGCCAACATAAGTCACTTATAAAGATGAAGTATTGCCTTTTTAGCTACACTTATTTTCCAATATGGTATCACCAGTATCCTCCGCCAGCCTTCCCCTCTAGCTCCCATAACCCCTCACAGATATTGTTTATAAACATTAAAAGACTTGGACAATATTCCTGAATAACAAGGCTCCATGCTAGCTATGCCCCGCTACAGGCTGATACTGCCTGTGTCTAACCTACTCCCACCAGCCATCTCGTTTTCCTTTCCCTGGAAAGAGGGTTCTGACCAACAGCTCCTTGGCTTCCTCCTTGAATCAATAGGACATCCTGGCTGTGACCACAGCACTGGAAGGTGAGGTACAGGGAATATCTGTGGCTGAGAGGAAAGTTGGAGTCAAGAGAGTCACTACTGGGGAACACATGGACATTGCTCCTTAGGGCCCATGTGCACCTACGTGGCTCCAGGCTGTCCCTGTGGCTGCAAGAAAGCTGCTTTCAAGCCCAGGTCTCCAGGCTTAGACTGGAGGAACACCCGCGGTGCCCTTGTGCTCTCAACCCGGACATCATGAAGTGCTGGAGATGACTTCAGGTTCCCTCACATCTCTCCCCGAACTTCCGGAGGGGCACTGGAGTTAGGGTGGTACAATGAGAAGTACCTGAACATGGGGTCAGGCCCACCTTTCAGCTGCAGGACCTAGGATAGATTAACTATATCTGGCTTGCATTTCCATGGGAAATAATTACTAACGCCATGGGGTTGTTGTGTAAATGTACCCAGCACAGTGTGTAGCACAGAATAGGCACTCAAAAAAATTGCATCCATGATGATTACTGATGCTACATTTGTCTGAATATTTGGCTGCTACGAAGTAACAGTGACTTAAGATAGATGTTTTTCTCGTGTAAACAGCACAGGGCTGATGCAATCATGGACCTCTGCTTCTTGCCTTTCCATCTTCAACATGTGCTTCTATTTTAGTTCCCATAGCATGTCTGTTTCAGAAAGCAGGAGGGGGTGGGGGAAGGGTGGAAGAGAAGCATGTGCCTTATTACATAAGTGGCAAAACTCAGAAGTAAAACTTCTGAGTGAAAATTATAATAAAAGTGAAAAATTATAATAAAAACTTGTGGTTTTCATTACAATTTTTTTATCCCACAAACTAAAGAAATGGACACTCTTGCAGGAATGATTTGGGGAAGAAAAGTCAATATATAAATGGTTAACTAATTCATTCCTCTTCAAGGTGGGAGAAGGAATAAGAAAGTGGGATGGCAAATGTCTGAGAAGAGGCGTGGGCTTAGGATCAACAGGATGTTCCTAAGGGAAGGCATGTGAGCCTGGAAACATGACCAGCTTCTTTCATAATGAGGATTTGTCTCATGGTCATGCATGCGTGTGCCCAGTAATAGGACGGCCCATTGCTTATACAACTCCTGCCATGTAACCACCTCCATATGAAAGTTTCAAAGTGGACCGGTCTATCTCTTCCTTAGCAAGTGATTCTATATCTTACACCAAGGAATCCATTATCCTAAATAATTTTCAATCCAGCCAGGTATGGTGGCTCACACCTGTAATCCCAGAACTTTGGGAGGCCGAGGCGGGAGGATCACCTGAGGTCAGGAGTTTGAGACCAGCCTGGCCAACATGGTGAAATGCTGTCTCTGCCAAAAATACAAAAATTAGATGGGTGTGGTGGCTAGCACCTGTAATCCCAGCTACTTGGGTGGCTGAGCCAGGAGAATCACTTGAGCCCGGGAGGCAGAGGTTTCAGTGAGCCTAGATCACACCGCTGCACTCCAGCATGGGCAAAAAGAGTGAAACTGTCTCAAAAAAATAATAATTTTCAATCCTATCACTCCATCGTACAAGGCATTTTAGAAGTTCATCAAAATCTAAACCCATGATTGACGTTCAAAGCTATGCCACAACTTGGCCTCAAGCAAAGCTCGGCAAAGGACAGTTGAATATACTTTAATGATCATATTAAGGGAGACTTAAGTATCACTGGGTTTGGGGAAAGGGAGGCAGTAGCTGCTGACAGGTCCTGAACGCTAGGAAAGCCATTTGAGTACCCTACAATAAGAAGTGACCAGTGGTGCCCAGGTGTGGTGGCTCATACCTGTAATCCCAGCACTTTGGGAGGCAGCCAAGACTGGCAGATCACTTGAACTCAGGGGTGTGAGACCAGCCTGGGCAACAGGGCAAAACCCCATCTCTACAAAAAAGACAAAAATTAGCCAGGTATGGAGGCGTCTATAGTCCCAGCTGCCTGGGAGGCTAAAGTGGGAAGACTGCTTGACCCCAGGAGGTCGAGGCTGCAGTGAGCCATGATTGTACCATTGCATTCCAGCCTGGGCAACAGAGTGAGACCTTGTCTCAGAAAAAAAAAAAAAAAAAGTAAGAAAAAGAAGTAACTGACTTCTTCTTCAGTCACTGACAGGGAGGAGACAGTCTTCAGCAAGAAAAGTGATAGGACATAGGTTTCCTTAATGGCACTTCCAAAGACCAGCAACTGTGGGATGAACAGAGCTCAATAGGAAGAGATAAGGCAGGAGGGTGGTCACTTGGAACAACTGTGTTGAGTGAGGGATGAGGTGATACAAGCCTGAATACAAGCAGTGAAGGGAAGGGGAAAGGCATTCTCAAAGGCTGCTATTATGTGTCAGATTAGATAAAAGGATGGTGGGAAGGTTAAAAAAAAAGGGGGGGGGTAGTCAGTATTTACTCCTAGAGAGCAGATTTAATGAGCTAGAAAAATGCTGGCTCTAGTGGCAATAACAAGAAAGCTGGCAGGACGCTGGTTTGCAGATAACATACAGATGACAAATTCAGCTAAGGCAAAGCCTGCAAAACCCTCAACAGGACAGAAGAAAGGATCAAGGACTTCAGCCATGGACGTGGAGACTGTCCATTCACATAGAATTCTATGTGCATTAACATAGGTACAATCAGAGTAGAACTTGGGGCCACAGGCTCTAAACTATTATGAAAAGGGAATAAAATATAATAAAAATGTGGCTGGAGTAGCTGTTTGGAAAATCATAGTATCATGAGACCAGAAGCCAAGACAGAAAGAGGTCACATGAAGGAGGATCATGATCCATGGGGTGGTGGGTGGAGACCACCAGTGCAGATGACAGTGGTAGATGGTAACTTGCCTGCAGTAAGCAACAATCCTCCCATTCCTGTGCACAAGCTGCCGCTGTCCCAAATCTAGACTGGCTGGCCCTGTCACCTGCTTTGATCAATATTATGCAATGAAAGCAGCCTGTGCTAGTTCCAGTTTTCAGTAATTTGGGACTCAAAAGCTGCCTCAGACTGCTTCTGTCTCTGCACTTGGAATGCTTATACACCATAAACAGATGCCCTGCCTAGACTACTGATTGATGAGGGACCAAGTGGAGAGGTCAGCTGGAAGAGAACTGAAGCATTTCTGCTGGCATCCAGCACCCAGACCTCAGACACAAGAGTGAGGCCCTCTCAGCTCCTCCAGTGCCAGCTGAACCACTGCAGCCTGCATCATCTGGAACCAAGCCAAACCTTCTCTAATGAGCCTTGCCCAAATGGCAAGCCCATACAATTGTGAGCAAGAGAATAATTTTTTTAGGCTACTAAGTGTTGCGGTGGTTTGTTATGCTGCAACAGATGAAGGATACAAGAATAAAACTGTATTTTATAAGTGGGAACTAAACTATGAGGATGCAAAGGCATAAGACTTTGGGGACTGCGGTGGGGGGAAGGGTGGGAAGGAGTGAGGGATAAAAGACTACAAATTGGTTTCAGTGTATATTGCTCGGGTGATAGGTACATCAAGATCTCACAAATCACCGCTAAAGAACTTACTCATGTAACCAAGTACCACCTGTTCCCCAAAAACCTATGGAAATAAAAAAAAAATTTAAGACTAAGAAATAATCAAAAGTCAGCTGGAAACATGACTCCAACATGGCTCCACCGCTGGTAAGTTATGGGACTGTGAGAAAGTTGCTTGACAAACCTAAGCCTTAATCATCTCTTCTGGAACATGAGGATTAAAAATAGTTTGTTGAGGCCAGGCGTGGTGGCTCATGCCTGTAATCCCAGCTCTGTGGGAGGTCAAGGAGGGTGAATGACTTGAGGTCAGGAGTTTGAGACCAGCCTGGCCAACACGGCATAACCCTGTCTCTACTAAAAATACAAAAATTAGCTGGGTGTGGTGGCAGACACCTGTAATACCAGCTACTTGGGAAGCTGAGACAGGAGAATTGCTTGAACCCAGGATGTGGAGGTTGTAGTGAGCCAAGATCCCACCACTGCACTCCAGCCTGGGTGACAGAGTGAGACTCCATCTCAAAAAATAAACAAAAATGGTTTGAGATTGTCAAGAAGATTAAAGAAAATACACATTGCTTAACACAGTGCCTGGAACATAGTAAGTGCTCGGCACATACTTCTTACAATCATTGTTATTAAAAACAAGGTCATAAATAGCTCTTATTATTTTGACATACATTCCATCAATACCTAGTTTATGGAGAGTTTTTTAACATGAAGCAGTGTTGAATTTTATTGAAGGCCTTTTCTGCATCTATTGAGATAATAATGTGGTTTTTGTCATTGGTTCTGTTCATGTGATGGATTACGTTTATTGATTTGCGTATGTTGAACCGGCCTTGCATCCCAGGGATGAAGCCAACTTGATCGTGGTAGATAAGCTTTTGGATGTGCTGCTGGATTTGTTTTGCCAGTATTTTATTGAGGATTTTCACATCAACGTTCATCAGGGATACTGGCCTTAAATTTTCTTTTTTTGTTGTGTCTCTGCCAGGTTTTGGTATCAGGATGATGCTGGCCTCATAAAATGAGTTAGAGGGGAGTCCCTCTTTTTCTATTGTTTGGAACAGTTTCAGAAGGAATGGTACCAGCTCCTCTTTGTACCTCTGGTAGAATTCAGCTATGAATCCGTCTGGTCCCAGGCTCTTTTTGGTTGGTAGGCTATTAATTGCTGCCTCAATTTCAGAACTTGTTATATACCCAAAGGATTATAAATCATTCTACTATAAAGACACATGCACATGTATGTTTATTGCAGCAGTATTCACAATAGCAAAGACTTGGAACCAACCCAAATGCCCATCAATGACAGACTGGATAAAGAAAAATGTGGCACATATACACCATGGAATACTGTACACCTATAAAAAAGGATGAGTTCACGTCCTTTGTGGGGACATGAAGCTGGAAACCATTCTCAGCAAACTAAGACAGGAACAGAAAACCAAACGCAGCATGTTCTCACTTATAAGTGGGAGTTGAACAATGAGAACACATGGATACAGGGAGGGAAACATCACACACTGGGGCCTGTCGGTGGGTAGGGGGCTAGGAGAGGGACAGCATTAGGAAAAATACCTAACGTAGATGACAGGTTGATGGATGCAGCAAACCACCATGGCACGTATATACCTATGTAACAAACCTGCATGTCCCGCACATGTATCCCAGAACTTAAAGTATAATT
Organism: Homo sapiens; assembly: GCF_000001405.40. NCBI lineage: Eukaryota > Metazoa > Chordata > Mammalia > Primates > Hominidae > Homo > Homo sapiens. The sequence continues at coordinate 59,674,620 of NC_000018.10, forward strand.
TTAAAAAATGTGAAAAATAAACAAGGTCAATAAGAACATATTTGAGCACAACCAAAATTAATATAAGTTATTAAGTGTTTGTTTGACAGGATCCAGGAAAATTTAGCAAGCACAATCTCTTCTGCTATTACACAATATTTGCATTTCTAAGATATCTTGTGTAATCCACAACTTTTATAAAATATAACTGCTCTCATAGGGAAAAGGGGTTTAGGGTCTATAAAATTTCAAATTTACAATAGAAGTTATTTTCTACAGGAATTTAATAAATAACAATAACATTTAGCTGTAAAACCTAAACAATTCCTGGGCAAATCCAGCATTTAATCATATCCAGATTTTGCTCAAAAGTCTTTTCTTCTTCTGTTTCCACCAAGACTATCACTGGCACTCTCCTGTAAACATCCTTATCTTTATCGACCATGGCTTTTCATAAGGCACAACATTGAAACAGGATGGATAATACAACACCCAAAGTTAAGATAAGTTGTAGCTTGGATAACAGTATTGAAGAAAGTAACCTAGTCAGCTGCCCAAAGTGTCACTAGTAGCTTTTGTTCCTATGAGCAGTTCTAGTGCCCAATGACAGAAGCCTCACTGCCAATGGTGTTCTCTAGTAATGTGCATTATGCCCAGTTTGTAGCACAAAAACTGATTCGGCAGGAATTTCTGCATTGTGTACCAACCATGGTACTAAATAGTTCTATAATCATCTATAATATTGGTATGATTGGTATGGTCAATAATTGGTTGCAGACTGAGCACTATATGGGGAAAACCAAGCAACAATAACTAAAACCTACAGCAACTTTACATCTCTCTCCCCCACACATGGGACTACTGAATTAAAATGAAATTTTCTGCTCCTCTGAGCAGCTTCCCTCTAAGTGGACAGCTCCCGTGTTAAAAGACTTTTCTACAAAGCCAAGGAAGATAAGCTTCCTCCATCTCTCAACTCCATTCTTTTGATAATCCCCAGTGATTGTGAACGTACAAGCATTACTGAGTTAAAGGAAAACCCCCACAACATTCAGGAGATGAGGAAAACATGCATCAGAGAGCAGAGAAGGTTGGCCCAGAGTTTAGAAACAGTTATCAAATACAAAAATTAGGAAGACATTCTCAAAATACTTTCTGAGAGTCTAGTCCCTTTTACACTAGAGGGTGCTGCTAGAGGAGGTATACATCAGACCTAGTGATGGGATGGAAGGAATCTAACAGTAATGTCTGGAAGAAAAGAGGCAAGGTCTCTAAGATGTTCAACAGAGGCAAACAAAAGTAAATGGTGCAATGTTAAAAATCAGTATTTGGTTAGGACAAATAAAGGACCTACAGTTAATAAAAGCCAAAAACTACATCCCCCCGCCCTACCTTCATAGGCCATCTCCAGAAGCAAACAGTGGCAAAAACAGCAAGAACTATAATCCAGCACAGATAGCCCAGATGTCATCTTATAGCCCCCGTAAATTAGCTTTGACCAAACTGTACTTAGGACAGCAGTGGTCTATACTTGAAGGTCACCAGAGGAACAATTCCTAGCAAGTTCACCGTGTCTATTATAGGAATGATCTTCATCACGTTATATACTGTTCTTTTTGCAGGAATGCTTGGAAAAAGCTTCTCTTTGGTCTTAATAAGGAACAGTCTTTGTTCTCTTGGGCACTGTTGTTTTCGCCACATGGACTTGGATAACTTTCTCACCGGATGCTAGAAAGCTGAGCAGCAAGTGCCCACCCATGGCAAGTCTATGGCTCTTTATGTTGTAGGCTCTTAGCCTCAATGCCAGCTCTATTTCATATGTCTCCTGCCCTGTTTATCTTTTTCCTTTTCTCTTTCAATTTATGCTATCTTCTTATATATAACTGCCTTATATATGGAATAAAACTAAGTATAAATTAAATCAAATAAACATGCCTCTATTTCAGAGGACAGTCTTACCATACAGTAATATGTATTCATTCTTTCACAAATATGTATTCTGCAACATCAGGAACCGTACTGGACACGGGGCATACAAAAATGAGACAGATCAGCCCCTGCTCTGACATCTAGTCAGGAAAAGACACAATAAATAAAGTACAAGCAATTTTAAGTACTACAACAAAGACAAAAACCTGAAATGGACAACCACAGATAGGGATGGAGGGAAGTGTCAGTGGTGGAGTTTGGGAGACCTCTTACTGAGGATGTGACATCATAATTAAATTCAGAAGGATTAGGAACCAGAATTAGGATTTAAGTGGGGGGAAGACCTTTTATCCAGGTACAGGGAATAGAACAGGTAATAGCCTGAGACAGGAAAGAGTCTTAAAGAAATGAAACGACTGAGCTCAACTGAGGGAGGATAGTGTAGGATGAAGGTGGAGAGGAAGACAGGGGCCGGGCCTCACAGCCCAGGGTAAGGAATATGGATTTTGTTTCCAGAGTGATGAGATGCCATAGAAGGATTTTAAGCCTGGGTATTTTAAGGTTCAGGATCATACCTTCTGCTACATGGGAATAGATTGCAAGAAGTTAAGACAGGAAGCAAAGAACAGTTGCAATATTCCAGGCCAAAGATGACAGTGGCCTGGACCAGGATGATGTCGTGGAGAGAGATAGCCCAAAAAGTCCCAAACTGGATACATTTGATAAAAGATTTGATGCAAAGGAAATGTGAAATGGAATAATCTAAAATTGCTTCTGAATTTGTATCTGGAGCAACTATCCAGGCATTCAGACCACAAGCTAGAGCTGCAGACTGTGCTGTGAGTGGGGGCTGGTCGGGGGTAGAAATCACCATCTCTACTTGGACCTGTCGTCTTTGAAATTTCTTGAAGACATCCAAGCAAAGATCAAGTAGGCAACTGGATATGTGAATTGCTGAGGCTCAAAAGATACATTTCCCAAGATCCTTTCTCAGGAAAGAACTAGTCTATACACGCCACCAAAATAAAGGAATAAATCAGGAAAGAGGAAAAATGTGAGATCCAGGAAACCCAGAATTCAACACAGAGAAAGATAAATTTTCCAGGATACTCAGGAGGCAGGAGGATCACTTGAACCCAGGAGTTGAGTCTTTTTAAAAGATTATCTCTTTAAAAAAAAAAAATTCCCCAGGATGACAGAGTGAAGGTGAGAAACCAACTGGATTAGTGCAGGCCTCAATGCTCTGGGCCAAATGTAAGGTTGAAATGACAGAACATCTAATGAGTTTGAATATATTGAGAGAAACTTCATACAAAAGGGAGTGAGTGGGGATGGCTTTTGATTATATATGTACAAAAAAATTAAGTTCTTAACTACAGGAAAGGTAAGATACAGTAAAAGAAAGGAAAAGCAATCCTAGTATACACAACCGGGCTTAGAGTCAATAGCATTTCCACAGTCATTACATCAACACTGAAAACTGACCTATCCCAAACGGCAACACAACCATACCGGGGGATGCAAAGATGGGAAGTAAGCGTGTGCGATGGTTGTAAGCGGGTGCGGTAGTCGTAAGCATGTACAATGCTGATAAGTGTGTGCAACAGTTGATAGCTGAATTTTCTCCTACCATAGAAGGAGGGGGGAGGACTCAAAAACTGAAAAAGTTAAAACATAAGTTTCTTACAGCGATGGAGGCAAAAACCAAAAGAATAAGCCAGAAAGTTAGAAAGCAGTTGCTGTGGTGAGGACAGAAGGACCAGGGGGGTGTTGAGGGCACAAAGTCTTCCCGGCTGTGGGATTGTTTGATTCTAACTGCTGCAATTTAAATAATATTTTATACTAAACATTTAAGACATTAAAAATGCTGAGTAAATCATTGATTTGACTCTGAATAGGTAAAATGTTGAAAATGTCCATGAAGACTAGATATCAGAATATTAAGAACAGACAGACTATGACTAGATACCTTTCCCTTCAGAATATTCGTTGCCTTTTATATTTAAAAAATTATATGTATTTTGAGATGGAGTCTCACTCTGTTGCCCAGGCTGGAGTGCAGTGGTGTGATCTCCGCTCAGTGCAACCTCTGCCTCCCAGGTTCAAGCGATTCTCCTGCCTCAGCCTCCTGAGTAACAGGGATTACAGGTGCCCACCACCACACTCAGCTAACTTTTGAACTTTTAATAGAGACGGGGTTTCGCCATGTTGGCCAGGCTGGTCTCAAATTCCCGACCTCAAGTGATCCACCCACTTTGATCTCCCAAAGTGCTGAGGTTACAGGCATGAACCACTGCACCAGGCCCACATTTTTATATTAGAGAAGCTAATGTATCGAGTGTTGACTAATCCAATTTTGCTACAAAAAAAATAGTCAAAGTAAAGGCCTGTTCATTTGGGTTTAAAAGGGCTCTAAACATAAAAGTAAAATACAAATATACATATAAAAATAAATAAAATGTTAGCTTCCCTTTAGAAGGTAAATTTTCATCTGATAAGAATACACCATGTTCATACTACAGTATTATCTTTGGAGTCAAATGCATGAACTGCCTTTGAGGTGAAGTAATTTTTATTTAAGTGTTTCTGAATCCAAAGCAGTTCAGGTGGCTTCCCCATACAGTGATCTGCTCTACCACAAACAGCGTCACAACTCACCATTCTAGTGGACAGGACAGTATTTCTATTCTAGAAACTTGCCCAGAATTAACACATCTGTTAAAATTTAAATATCGCTCACTAGTGATAATGGAAGTACCATCCACTAATGACTTAAGAGAAATTACTCCACAAAACAAATCTATTTTATCCAAGGAAAAAAAATGTTTAATATTTATATTGAGTTGTTTTTCTGTGTGATAATGACAATTCCGGTAACATATGAACACCCTACATTTTAGAGATGAATGCTGACATATGTAGTGGTAAGAGACATGTCTGGAATTTGCTTTATAATACTTTAGCAGGGAGTAAGAGGGACAGATGAAACAAACATAGCAGAATTTTCGTATGAGCATATGACTCTCCATTGGCATATCTGAAAACTGTTCATAATTATAAGCTACATTCTGAGAGAAAAACATTCAGCTTTTCACCCTCAAAATAAACTTGAATCTTTTAATGATGATAATGCTGTGGGTCCCCAAAATCTAAGACAGGTCTCAGTTAATTTAGAAAGTTTATTTTGCTAAGGTTGAGGATGCGCGTCCATGACACAGCCTCAGGAGGTCCTGACTACATGTGCCTAAGGTGGCCAGAGTGCACTTTGGTTTTAGGGAGACATGAGACATCAACCGACATATGTAAGATGAACATTGGTTCAGTCTAGAAAGGCGGGACAACTTGAGGCGGGGACGGAGCTTCCAGGTTGTAGGTAGGTAAGAGACATGGTTACATTCCAAAGGAGGCAATCAAGGCCGGGCACAGTTGTTCATGCCTGTAATCCCAGCACTTTGGGAGGCCGAGGCAGGTAAATCACCTGAGGTCAGGACGAGACCAACTCGGACAACATGGTGAAACCCCGTCTCTACTAAAAATACAAAAATCAGCCGGGCATGGTGGCGCATGCCTGTAATCCCAGCTACTCGGGAGACTGAAGCAGGAGAGTCACTTGAGCTCAGGAGGAAGAGATTGCAGTGAGCAGAGACTGCGCCCCTGCACTCCAGCCTGGGCGACAGAGTGAGACCCCTTTTCAAAAAAGAAAAAAAAAAAGACACACAACAAAGGAGCCGATCAGATACGCACTTATCTCAGGGAGCAGAGGGGTGACTTTGAATAGAATGGGAGGCAAGCTGGCCCTAAGCAGTTTCCAGTTTGACTTTTCCCTTTAGTTTAGCGATTTGGGGGGCCCAAGATATTTTCCTTTGACAACGCATGTAAAGAACACCTAAAGGCCAGGCGCGGTGGTTTGCATGTAATCCCAGCACTTTGGGAGGCTGAGGCGGGAGGATCACGAGGTCAGGAGATCAAGACCATGCTGGCTAACATGGTGAAACCCTGTCTCTACTAAAAACACAAAAAATTAGCCGGGCGTGGTGGCGGGCGCCTGTAGTCCCAGCTACTGGGGAGGCTGAGGCAGGAGAATGGCGTGAACCCGGGAGGCGGAGGTTGCAGTGAGCCGAGATTGCTGCCACTGCACTCCAGCCTGGGAGACAGAGCGAGACTCCATCTCAAAAAAAAAAGAAAAAACAAAACAAAACAAAACAAAACAAAAATGAAGAAACAACAGCTGCAGTGGAGATTCCCTTTCATCCATCAGGTTACAAACCCAGCCTTAACTACATTCCTTCCAAAGGAGCGTAGGTTAAAATGCAGATTAGACAGATTAACTTGCAAGCAGGAGAAAGAAGGAATCAAACTTCAAACCAGCGGCCTGTTGATCTCATGCTAAACTCAAGTGATACCTTTTTATTAAGCTGAGACTGCCTAAATATGGAAAGGATGTTAATAAATACAAAAACCTGATAATTATCTGGGTTATTCAAGAGAAGCCTCATCCTTTTAGGAAGGTAATTTGGCTGAGAAAAAAAAAAAAAAAAAGGAAAGCTGTTTGGTATCTTTTTAAACATATATAGCTAAGTTGCATAGCTGTCTTGTGTCACCATTTCCCTCGGAATCTTTAAACAGAGCCAAATATGGAACCAGAACCCGGAGCAGCAGAACGATGAAAATGGCAGCAAGGCCACAGCCAGCAAATTTGCACATGAAGTCTTTACGAGGGCCCTTAGAGACACTGAGCAGAGGCTCTTTGGTCCATAAAATAAGTACATTCAGAAGGAGACACGTGTTGAAAAATAAGTCTGTAATAGAAACCTTAGTAAATATAAGAAACATACTAAGTCCAGTATGTTAAGATAAAAGATGTGTAAGAAATTTTATGAGAAAGCTGATCTGATGTCCCCTTTTCTTCCCACTTTATTAGCAGGAGTCTGCCCAAAGGCAACTCAATTTCTCCTTTTTAGGAAGGGAGTGGGTGCCGTGGGACTACAGCTCTCCATGAAGCGAGGAAGCTGATACTTCACCCTGTGTTCTGCTATCCTATGGCACAGCACATGTTCAAAGCAAGCAGTGAAATGCGAGCCAGCCAGTGGCCAGCCAGGGCCCTTAACACTTTGATGGGCTCCTGCACTTACCCAGCATGAGCTTGCAGCAGATAGCAGCCCACTTTAAAGCATAGACCTGGGGAGTAAAAAGACTTTTTCCTTTTTAATAATTGGGGAAGAAACCATTAAAGCCATTCAAGAGATTAAATCCACAGTGCAAAGATGGCTATCATGTTTGTAAGGCTGATTAGAGATAAGTACTGCAGAGTCTCCCTCAGTCGAGATGATCACCCTTGTGTTAAGCAAATCCCCTGGGCTGTAAACTAAATGCGCTTCTGTTTACTCTGCTCTCTGTGAAGGTGGGAGTGGTCCCTGTCAGACGGTCAGACCTGGAAGGAACTCAAGCAAAGCCCCATCCCCTCCTCTGAGGTTCGGCGAGAGCCAGAGGGTTTCTGGAGGACCCTGCAGTGGAAGGTAGGGAGAGGGTAGGTCATTAAAAACCATGTCTCCCAGACCGGGCGCGTTGGCTCATGCCTGTAATCCCAGCACTTTGGGAGGCCAAGGTGGGCAGATCATGAGGTCTAGAAATCGAGACCATCCTGGCCAACATGGTGAAACCCTGTCTCTACTAAAAATACAAATATTAGCTGAGAGTGGTGGCATGCACCTGTAGTCCCAGCTACTGGGGAGGCTGAGGCAGGAGAATTGCTTGAACCCAGGAGGCGGAGGAGGTTGCAGTGAGCTGAGATCATGCCACTGCACTCCAGCCTGGCGACAGAGCAAGACACCATCTAAGAAAAGAGACCATGTCTCCCAAGTTCCAGAACCACGTGCTATCTGGTTATATTAGATCTTCTGATTCATTTTGATAAAACTTAAGATGCTAATTTCAAGTATATCAAGATTAAAATCTGACTATACTGAAACAGAGACCCCCCCCTTTAGCATCTGCTACATTTCCTTAGAGAACTCTCCAGTGAACAGATGAATTATGATGCCTCCATACAATTAAATGCCATGCTGTGAAATACCATGCTGTAAAATGGCTTAGCACCCTATTTAACCAGGAGTAAGTATTCCTTAGCTATTAACTGAAAAAAAGCAATTGTAGAATAAACCCATTTCTGTAAGTGGTAGGTCTAAGGATATCTTAGCATATGCATAGAAAGATTAGGAAAAGTAAACTCCAACCCTTTGATCGTCTTTACCCTGAAAGGGTGAAATTGGATGACCCTCAGTTCTAACTTGCACATTGCTATGGTGTAAAACACGCAGAGTAAATATTGCCATGATCATAAACAAGGTAAATAAAGTCTTAAAAAGAGAATGTCCAAAACAGAGTTCTTTCTTCTTGTGCCCCCCCTTCCCTGTAGGAACTACAGAGTGGAGCTTTCCTTTGTAAAGAAATTATCAAATAATCCCTCTGTCTTCTTTTTTCCAAACCTAACAATCTCCATTCCCTTGGGTAGGTCAGCTGGGATGGTAGAAAAAGTGATATATATTTTCATATACTTTCCTAGAAGAATAAAAGTGCTTTCCCCTCATCATGAAGGCAGTTTCTTTTGGGATCCAAACCCCTGAATATTAGAACCCTAAAGAGTGTGAGTGAAACTCTCACCTGTTCAAGGCATAAGGATTTAGATATGCTCCTAGTGCTCTGAGCTTCACAAGACAAACGCAGACATCACCTCAATGACACACACAGGAGCATGTGTCAAACGTGTTAGGAAAATCCAATAGTGGGTCAATCTGTGCTAGCAAATGAACACAACTCCTAAGATCACACAAGTCATACATTTAAAAGGCTGAACAGTGGGAATTTTTCTTTTTTTAAAAAGACAGTTGGCCAGGCGGGGTGGCTCACGCCTGTAATCCCAGCACTGTGGGAGGCTGAGGCAGGCGGATCACCTGAGGTCAGGAGTTTGAGACCAGCCTGGCCAACATGGCAAAACTGCATTTCCACTAAAAATACAAAAAAATTAGCCAGGAGTGGTGGCGCACGCCTGTAATCCCAGCTACTCAGGAGGCTGAGGCAGGAGAATTGCTTGAACCCAGGAGGTGGAGATTGCTGTGAGCCAAGATTGCATCACTGTACTCCAGCCTGGGTGACAGAGTGAGACTCCATCTCAAAAAAAGAGAGGAAAGAAAGGAAAAAGAAAGGAAAGAAAGCAAGCCAAGGAAGGATTCACTGAAGAGGCAGGACCTGGAGATGCCGCCTGAGTAAACAAAGCCAGATGGCCAAGGGCTGCAAGCTGGGGTGTCCCTGCTGGAGCATCCCAGTCAGTACACATGAGCTCCCACCTCACCCCCTACATCAGTGACCACCAAGACATGGTCCCGGCTGTGCCAAGACCTCAAACCCCTCCCTTCCCTAGGACAGCAGGGTAGCAGCTGGACCACCAGAACTCCCAGGGCCAGTTGTCTTCAGCCTAGAGCACCCTTTTTCATTGACCTTAATGTGGTCTCTGCTGATTATAATTTACCTATATTTTATGGCCTGAAAATATGCTTCTAAACACTGAGGGTTTCTGGAAATTGACTCACAAAGCAGTGGGGGTGGTGGAGATGCTGAGTAACTGTCAGGAGTCCACTCAGATCCTCTCATGCCTTATCATTAAATCTCCTTTCCTACACTTTGGGAGGCCAAGGCAAGCAGATCACCTGAGGCCAGGAGTTCAAGACCAGCCTGGCCAACATGGCGAAACCCTGTCTCTACAAAAAATACAAAAATTGGCCTGGCGTGGTGGCAAGCACCTGTAGTGCCAGCTACTCAGAAGGCTGAGGCACAAGAATCGCTTGAACCTGGGAGGCAGAGGTTGCAGTGAGCTAAGATCGTGCCACAGCACTCCAGCCTGGGTGATAGAGTGGGACTCTGTCTCAAAAAAAAAAATTCTCCATTACTATAATATCCTCAGTAATAGGTTGCCACGCTCAAACTAGCAAGCTCTGAAATGTATTAAACTCAGGTCACTTATGAACCACTTTGTGTTTTGCCAGCCTCAAATTCAGAGATTCTTCATTAAGAGCCTCGGGGTACCTCTATACACAAAATGCAGTTGCATTTCCTTTTATTTCTTGCTTTATAATCATTTCCATTTCTATGATTTAGTCAGCATAATTGCTGTTGTAACACTCAAAAAGACAATTACATATACAAACTATGCATTATAGACAGACATATTTGGAGACTGCCTGGTTTAAGGTCATGTAGTAAATACAGAGCTTGAGTTATAACTATCTGGTCAAACCACAGAAAGCATTATGTTGTGATGCATACAGTTAACTCAAGCCCGTAAGAAGCCTTTTGTTTTCTGGGGTGGAGGGTGAGGGGTTGAGAAATTCTTTCAGTTATCAGGAGGACTGGAGAGTAAAGGCGTACAGATGGGATGGGAGGAGAATCTTGGACAGCATGTAGATGTCCCATCATACCATGTAAAAAAAAATGTGTTTGATACTCACAAGGAAAGAAAAACACAGCTTGACACTGAAAAGCTTTCATTTATAATATACTGAGCCATGTTTATATCTTGGGAGAAGATTCATGCAGTGCAGCAACAAAGCAAAATATATTTTTTTTAATGCACCAAAGGTCATTGAGTAGCTTTAGACACCAAGCTGAGAGCCTACAATACAAAATAAAGAGTGATGGAATTTGCACCCTGAGATTTGGAATGGCTCAGCTTAAGAAACCAAGAACTCATGAGGAGTGTCCTATCCTTGATCCATTCTCCTATTAGTCCCTCCATCACTTCCCTGACACCCTCAAACCACCCCACACAGAATGGAAAGGGTCTAACAAATGAAGGATTGGAGACACCAGGCACAGTGACTGTCACCAAGGGACCACTGAGGGACCTGGACCTGCAGCAATTGCAAAGGACACAAGAGACCCTGGCTTAGTGGCCATGGAATAAACAAAGACCATTTACCCAGCTTCTGACAAAGAACCAGGCTGCTCACAACCTTATGCTTTCTCCTCAAGTTTAAGTCAGAGGTTTTCAGCATACTGGAATCACATGAGGAGCTTTAGAAATTCCTGGTGCCTGGCAACCACCTCCAGAGTTTCTGGCATGACTTTGGTGTGAAAGGTGGCAAGCCAAGGTATGTGGAGCAGCCTGAATGCTGGGAATTTTAAAAACCTCCTCGGATGATTTCTATGCGCAGTCAAGGCTGAGAATCACTGCCTAGCACCTTGCCAGGAAGAAGTAAACAACAGAACATTCTGTTGTTATAGTGATATAGTGACGATTAGGACCGTGCTTCTCAACACTTGATGTGCATAGGAAGCACCTAGTGACCTTGTCAGAATGCAAATTGTGATTGGGTAGGTCTGGGATGAAGCCTGGGCACCTGCATTTTTAACAGTGATGTCTTGCTGTGAACAGAATAGTTTCTAATCTCCCCAAATTTGGCACCATCCTGGAGAGAGGCTCTGCAGAAATGAAAGTTACATGTAACATCATAGTAAAGCTTAATCCCTGTTATTTTAGATAAAGCTTAATCTCCATTATTCTTCAATGATGAACAGAATTTCATTTCATTGGATAACTCAGGACATTGTGGACAGTGATATCCATGGAAAGCAAGGTATGTATGACCATGTGTCCCCTTTATTAAGTGGCATCAGTGTGTGCTGGGTTTTTGGGGTCAGTGGGAATGATTTTTGTGACTACTTTTGAGGACTTGTCCAACTTTTGTTTTTAACCACTGGGATGAATGTCACTGTTTCCAGCAGTCCTCCCTTCCTTTAAGTGCCTCTTTTCAATTTGCAGTTGGCAGAAAAGCAAGGTAACCACAATTGTCAGGCCATCAAAAGCCCAGTGGTTGAGAAGAACACAGGCTCCAGAGTCAGACTGCCTGGCTTTGAAGCCCAGCCCTGCCATGCACCTGCGTGTGACCTTGACACTATGTAAGAGCTTGCATATATATAAAGACAAGCTAGAACAGCTTCTGACAGTGAGTCCTCACACACAGGGCAATCTGAGGCACTCATCAGACAGTACTTGATGCTTTTGTATATCCATCTTTGGTTCCTCACCTCAAAGCCTTTTGTGATACCTATTTTTTGTGATGTTTTCTTTGTAATATCCATTTTGGATTCAAAGCTCCCTTTATCATCATCCCTTTCCTTCCCCACTTCCTCCTTTTTCAGCTGTGTTTCAGATATAAGTTGTTGCCAATCATATACAGTATCTCCCTCCCTATGTCCACCCAACTAGGCCAGTGTGATCTGCAGAAAACCAACAATACCAAAACCAATTTTACAGAATTTTTAAAACCCTTCAAACTTTCTCAGAGATAAAAGCCTGTTGATATTACATTGTAAGTTTTTCTAATCATTCAGATTTGGCCAGAACTACACTCCAGTGCATTTTTGTTTGGGGGCAACCTTGCCTCTAAAGGGCATTATCGTCTGCTCTCATACAACCTGCAGTTGGTTCAACAAGTCTGTGGTCTAAGTGGGTTCCCAGGAAGGCACCTCAGCTCTACCATGCAATTTCACACCACAAAAAAATTGAGCCATTTCTTTGTGGGAAAATTCCAAAATGAAGCAAGGACACATTATCAAGAGCAATCCAAATGAAAGCTAAGAGGTCACAGTCACAGAAAAAGCCACAGTGTGGTCTGTGCTGGCTTACAGATGCCCTCCAATCTTCGAGGAAATAGCGCTAGACAAAAGAAGAGGGTTACAAAGCTTACATTTGTCTATCTATGCACCTTTCTAAGTTTAGCCTACTTAAGTTAAAATGGACATGTTAAAGGTCATGAACGTCCACATAACGTTAAATTTTTTCACAACTTCATCTCCGTAGGATCCTATTTCTGAACAGATCTGTGCCTGTGTTTTTTTCTCTACACCACATCATTCCTTTACCTTCCTATTACATCAAATGATGAATTCCAGTTTCCTAACTTTTCCCTTCCTTTGCCAAAATACCATTATCAGACTTTGTTTCTCTCACTTCAGAATATTTCTTTTAGACTGTTCTCTCCTTCTCCACTACTGTTTTCCACAGTCATTGTTAAAGCCATCACTATTTAGGAGTCTCCATGAGCTTTGTGGAACAAAACAGCTGGTGTTAAAAGGAAGTTCAAAAATTCATAAGTTTAGGCTGGGTTCAAGTGGCTCACACCTGTAATCCCAGTACTTTGGGAGGCCGAGATGGGTGGATCACCTGAGGAGCTCAAGACCAGCCTGGCCAACATGGCAAAACCCCATCTCTACTAAAAATACAAAAAAATTAGCTGGGCGTGGTGGCACATGCTTATAGTCCCAGCTACTCTAGAGGCTGAGGCAGGAGAATCCCTTGAACCCCAGAGTTGGAGGTTGCAGTGAGCTGAGATTGCACCACTGCCCTCCAGCTTGGGCAACAGAGATTCCATTTGAAAAAAAAGAAATTCTTAAGTTTAATCACTGATATATTCTGCATAGGGTACCTGTATAGTGTTATAATATATTTTTAGCCATACATGGAAAAATATAAAGTTATAACTGATTCCGAATACCTTCAATGAAAATGGCTTTTTTTCCCTCGATGGGTATTCCTCCAAATATATGCTATCATTTGATCTTTGAATGTAAAAATTTTTCTACTATACTAATTCAAAACTAACATTTCGGCTAGGTGCGGTGGCTCATGCCTATAATCCCAACACTTTAGGAGGCTGAGGAGTTCAAGACCAGCCTGGACAACGTAGCAAGAATCCATCTCTACAAAAAATTAAATTAGTCAGGCATGGTGGTGGGCTCATGTAGTCCCAGCTACTCAGGAGGATGAAGCAGGAGGATAGCTTCAGCCTGGGAGATTGAGGCTGCAGTGAGATATGATTGCACCACTGTACTGCAGTCTAGGCAACAGAGTGAGACCATGTCTCAAAAAACAAAAACAAAAAACAAACCCTAACATGTTGAAATGTATGGAGAGGTGGCTTTCAGCCTACAAAGCGTGTGATAATTGATATGCAAATCAATGAGGTAAGGTAGCAAACCAAGGTAACACTCAAGGGTTATTCTATTGGCACAGGAAGGCTTGTCATGGAAAGCCATAGAAAGGCAGCAGGAAGTGAGTGCTCAATCAACTCCTTGCAATAAAGTCAGCTTCTTAGAAACTGGCAGATTATGCTCATTTCGAGTATCACTTAGGAATGATGACTTGAAAGAAGTTCCAGCTCAACAAAAACTATGATTCCTGGAGATCAGAAAACCAAGTGACAACTAAAGATGCTTGGCCAAGAAATCCAAACACTGTAATATAAATAAGGTGATACACAGGTAAGTGACCCAAAGATGAAGATGAGTAAGTGACCGTCCCAAGGTCACCTTGAGAATTCAGACATGTGGATGAGGTGTTATAGATGGAAAGCCCCAATCCTGGTGTTTGTATTAAAGTGGATCTACAGGAGTCAAGTTTTCTTTTGTAAGGGGCTAGGCAGTAAATATCTGGGACTTTGGGGGCCAAATTGGGATTCTGTGTGTTCTTTTGCAATGCTTTCAAGACAAAAACTACTCAAACTATTAGTAGTACAAGAACAAGCCATGGGCCCTAGTTTGCCAATCCCTGCTCTCTACCAAACTCCCAGGATTAGACGCTACCTGTTGAGAGCCCCCCTGTATCTCCCACCAGTTCTGTTTACATAGCCTCCTGTGGGACAGCCCACGGGGCTGACATCCGTCCCTGTCATTCCCAGAGGGCCAAGGATGAGAAGCTTCACTCCAGATGAGGCAAATAGAATGTCCCACAGGAGTGGCCAAGAAGGAAAGGTCTAGAACGGATGTGGTCCCAGTTTCTGAAGTCCTCAAGGTCATGGTAAGATGAACTAGTTCTACCACAACCAATAAGGTGGCAACATATTCATCCAAGCTTTCACATTGGCTCTTGGCACACATGGATCATACCTTAAAGCTAGAAAGATGCGACATTTTGCTTAATGAGGATTAAGTGTGTAGGCATCACTACCACCCCATTCTCTACAGGTGTTTCAAGCTGGAAACTAACTGTTCAAGAAGTGTCACATACTTATATGATGACAGATCTATAATGCATTATGTGGAGAGTCAAGCAATGTTGGAGGGGCATGCCTTCTTTAAAACTCTGCTTACAGTCACTGTCGGAAAACATGATGCTGGCCTAGGTGAACTGGGCTTGGGGTATTTGTCCCTAGTGGGGCAACTCTGATGCTGCTATCCACATCACAGGTCACATGAGAAAATAACACCTCCTCTTTGTAATGCTTTCACATTGCAATAATTCTTGGAAGAAACTTGCGGTACATGCTAAGTTCTTGCTAGCGCCTCTGCAGAAAACCTTCTGTTACCACCATCCCTGGGTTTTCCTGACTCTGCTTGAAGCTGTGGGATTTCTGTTGCTGAAAGGACACAGCTGGGCTACCGGCAATTAAGATCTTAACCTCCAAAGTGTGACATTAATCAAATGTATGTCCAAAACAAGTATCTTAAAAAGGTCCCAAAGGAAATCTTTGGGTCAAAATTCCTTTACTGAAAGATAAAGGGAATTAAAATTCCTTGAGGACAGAGGATTTTTGTTGTTGTTGGGGGTTTGTCCAATTTTCAGATATATTCTAAATGTCTAGAACAGTGCCTGGCAGATTGTAAGTACCCAACAAGTATTCGTTGACTAAGTAAATGAAGCTTGTTCATAAGATTAAAATTAGTCAATAGCTAATTAAAACACTATTTAAAATGAGTCAATAGCTTCGCAGAAAAAAAGGACCTCACTTGGCAGAAGAGGAACTGCAGATGTTATAGCTGTTTACTTTTTCATCCCGCAAATAAAAGCAATAATCTAAAACAGAATGTGATCTTTGTTCTCTAGATACTCAACAATGCCTTAAATGCCAGCAGACCCTCTAAACTCACAAAAGGAGCTCCGGTCCTGCTGAGCAGGAGAACAGCAGGGTTTGGGAAAGCTGCTGATTGAAATGCAAGCCTTCTCCTGAGAAGATAGAATATCTAGAATCAAGAAAGAGGCATTTGGCTTTTCCGGGTGCACCCACCCCAGCTTCACTTACAAAGGATGAAGTTAACCATAGGAAGTTGGGCAGCAACCAGAGTAGCAACTGGATCTGATCTCAAAGGACACACCAGTGAAAGAGCAGCCTTTTGTGGTTACTGAGTTAAAATTGTTTCCAATTACTCCGTATTGTTTCTCTGAGAGTGAGTGAGAAGTGATACAGAACCTTCCCTCCCTCGAACACCTGTTCTTGTGGGAAGGCGGGGGACCCCCTTTAAAACCTTGATCCTCTACTCCAAAGCCAGTGTCTGTGGCACAATTAAACACACAGGCAGGAACCCACATGTCCTCTTCAGGTGTTATTTAAGATGGCAAGTTCAAGGAGTTAGCTATAGCTGCCAGAATCTAGCACCTGTTACACATTAGCAATTAAAGTTAAGCGGATCTAACTTGGAACCAATGAAAATAATGGCAGCTTCTCAGAGGTCCAGTTAATCTCTGGTTTTTAGAAGAGTCTTCCTAGCTCAGATTTTAAATAAAGCACATTTGGATAGCAAGAGAAGTTCCTGAAGACCTAACAGATTTCAGTTAAATCTTATTGTTTACTTTTAACATAGTCATTCTGTCATTCAGCAAATATGTATTGAACAACCTCTCTGTCCAGGCATGGAGCTAGCCTCTGAGGATATAGTCATGAATGAGGACAGATGGCTCATGCTCTCAGAGGGTTGACAGCCCATGCTAGAGATGGCCTAACACAGGAGAGGAGAAGCTGCCTTCAGCATGCAAGGTGTGTCATTCAGGTCATTCTGCACAAAACCACCTCCAACTAGCCCCTGCTCTCTTCTTCACAAGATTTTTTGTTTGTTTGTTTGTTTTTGTTAGATGGAGTCTCGCTCTGTTGCCCAGGCTGGAGTGCAGTGGCGTGATCTTGGCTCACCACAACCTCCGCCTCCCAGGTTCAAGTGACTCTCCTGCCTCAGCCTCCTGAATAGCTGAGACTATAGGCGTGTGCCACCATGCCCAGCTAATTTTTGTACTTTTAGTAGAGACGGGGTTTCACCATGTTGGCCAGGCTGGTCTCAAACTCCTGACCTCGTGATCTGCCTGCCTTGGCCTCCCAAAGTGCTGGGATTACAGGCGTGAGCCACCGCGCCCAGCTAGAGTTCTTCACAACTTTCATTTTGTTTCCTCCCTGAACTACATGCCCTGAATGAGCCAAGTCTTCACAGAGCTGCCCTCAGTACCCGGCCTCAGCTATGCCAGCCACAGGACAGGGAAACAAGCAGAGGAGAGAGAAATCAGAATGGGCCTGGGGCTAAGGATCTGATTTCTAGTCTTCCTTCTGCCAGTAAGACCCTTCATAATCCTGGGGAAGGGATGAAAGTGGTGTAACTTCAAGTTCTAGTTCAGGCTATGCCTTCCACTGGCTCTTATGGTCATGAGTAGAGTAGCTTGTTAGTCAGGGAGGTAGCAGGAAACAAAGATACTCTAATTTCCCCAGGGCACTAGGTTTCTGGGCTCTCCTACATTTGAAAATAGCATCTGCAAACGAGTGATGTTTCTGGCTGTGGTCTCAAATTGCTCTTTCAAAAAGATGAAGTTCATACGACTCACAAAATTCAACAAACATCCATTGAGCATCTAAAACATTCAACATGCAGACTTGGCAAGATGTAGTGATGACGATGGGAGGTATTACTAACATAGCACTTCCTATGTGTCGTGAATTTTTCAAAGCATTTTACATGTATTAAGGCACAATCCTCACAGCAGCCCTATAGTTTAAGTACCAATTGGATGCTCATTTTACAGATGAGAAAATTAAAGCACAGATATTAAAACTGCTCAAGGTCACAAAACCACCAAGTAGTAGAGCTGGGATTCACACTGGAGCAAAGAGTTTATATTATTTTATATGTGTTTTGACATTATCGAAGCCCACTCCCCCGCCATGGGAACTTGGTGACTTGCCAGAGAAGTGCATTATACAGTCTTTCCTCAAATGTGTCCTTACCTAGAGCCCAATGCTATCAATCTGGTAGTACTATTCTAATTAAAAGGACCTTGCTCTTCAAAGCACTCCAAGTAAACACATTTGCAAAAACATCACATTAATTTTCACATTCTCACAAGACTTGGCAACACAGTTGTATTATCTCAAAGAAAAGTGGGTGTTTTACATCCCCCATGTCACTATTTCCCATGGGAACATTGAGCTGCCCTAAGCAAGAACACTGCCTCATGAGACAGCACGGGCTGGACAGATGAATACCGGCAGGGCAGAGAGGCACCTGGGGCATCCCTACCACTTAGCCTCCACGTGGAGTTCCATGAACCCCAAAGCCAAAATCACAGCGAGTTTTTAAAAAGCATTTAACACACAGTTAAAAGAACCACTTTGTCAAGCCAAAGCACACACACACACACACACACACACACACACACACACACACACACACAAACAAAAAACGCAAAGCCAAACCTATCTCATCTTGTTTTCTGTGGTGAAGGTGATGGCAGTCAGTTGGAGCGAGCATACCCTAAAGCTCTACAATGTGGCCAAGGACTTTGACTGTACATTGTTCTTTTTTTTAAATAATCATTCCAAATATTGCGAGATGCATTGTTGCAGGAAGTCCCTTGCCCTCCTAAATGCCACCCTACTTCTAAGAAGAATGGCTCAGTCCTCTCTGGAGTCCACACAGGGGAGGTGATAGCATTAGCATTGCTTTCATGTAAATTATGTAATGCAAAATTTTTTAAATCTTCTCCTTAAAACTTTGTTTCATTTGTGACCAGCTTTCATGGTCCCCCTTTTTTGTCCCCCAACTTGAGATGTGTGAAGGCTTTTGGTCTCCCTGAGAGTGGGTGGAGGCAGCCAGGGCTTAACTGTACACCAACTTGAGACCAGTTGACAAAAAGTGAACACTTTAAAAAAGGGGGAAAAAAAGAACCACTTTGAAGAACATGGTTAAATCTTCTTTTGCCCAAAAGCCATTTCTAGCTGCTTGTCTCTCTTCCCCATCACTAATACAGCATATGAACTACATGACTTTGAACTCAATCATACACCATTGCTTATTGCTCACAGTTTCAAAGTCCTGGATATAAAATCAAGTCTGCAAACTGAGACCAGAGATTGTATTTTATCGTTTTATACTCAAACATTTTCTAGGACTTTTCTGAGCTCGTAATAGATGCACAATAGATTCTTAATTAAGAAGTCAAGGGTTGATTAGGATGTTTATTCCACAGCCTCAGTGAAAATTGTTTTATTAGTGTTTCCTACACACGAGAATATTTCTTGTTAAAGGAAAGCCTTTTTTTTTTTTTTTTTTTTTTTTTTGAGACAGAGTCTTGCTCTGTCACCAGACTGGAATGCAGTGGCGAGATCTCAGCTCACTGCAACCTCCGCCTCCTGGTTTCAAACTATTCTCCTGCCTCAGCCTCCCAAGTAGATGGTACTACAGGTGTGTGCCACCACACCATGCTAATTTTTGTATTTTTAGTAGAGACGGGGTTTTATCATGTTGGCCAGAATGGTCTCGATCTCTTGACCTCATGACCCACCCACCTCCGCCTCCCAAAGTGCTGGGATTACAGGCATGAGCCACCGCACCCGGCCTAGTAACTTTTTTAAAGTCATTTTTAAACACACTTCAAGTTCAGAAGTGGCTTCCAGAGTTCCTTCACTTGTGCTGAAAACCATTCACCAACAGCCACCTGGTAAAGAGAATTCTATACAGTCAAAGAACATTCCATCATCAGTAATGCTGTATTACTTACAGCTCAATTCAAAGTAACCTTTAAAGACTGGCTTCCTGGAATGCTGGTTCTTTATCTCACTTTAGTTTAACCTTTAGTTTAGTGAGGTAGGAGAGCTAACTGTTTGGTCAACTGAAAGGCCTCCATGCTCCTTTAAGGATCTGTCTAAATAGGTCTGCATGCGTCCTGGGGATGAGGACACTGGTTTCTTACAGCAGTGCTTCAAGATTTTATGCATCTCTCATTAAGACAGATTCTGATTTAAGAGATCTGGGGGCAGAGGCCCAGGATTCCAACAAGCTCCCAAAATCATGCTGTGCGGCTGGTTTCCAGATGATACTTGAGGTAGTGAGGGTATAAAGGGCTAGGACAATCAAGTCACAAACTAAGGAAAATAATATCCTCTATTCTTGGGATTCAAGAAGAGTAGATTATAGAAACAGGATAAGACCAACGGAATACAGAGAACTCTCGACTTCCATAGAGAAAATAGATCTAAAAACAAAATCTAAGATCTTTTCATATACACAAGGATCAACACCACTTTCAAGCTGAAAGCATCGTTTCCCATTCCTTTAAACAAAGTTCTTTATTCTCCTTGATATAAAATGTCATTTTTGCGAGATCTCATAGCAATTTGAGTAGCTATTAGTGAAAACACATGCCAAGGTGCTGCTAGTGTCTCCTGTTCAAAGAGTATAAAAGAAACACCACACTGCTTTAAGAAGTCTGGAAAAGATGACAGTAATGGCATTAACAAACAATCAGGCACCAAATGGTTTCTGAAAATCTAACATGCATTCTGTAACTGTCACTGATTTATGTGAAGTCCGACCTTCAGGGACTGAAAAAATGAGCAAACCATCTCAGAGACATTTCCCATGTTAAATTCGAGGCTTTATACTGTGCTGATAGGAAAACAATGTGTCCTAAGAAACACTGTGGTCGTGTGGATGAAAGACACGGCTGGAACCAGGCAAGCAATCCTGCTGCCAGCACCACCAGGTCACTTCACCAGCTCGGTGACCTTGCTCACCCAGTTAGCCTCTTTAAGTCTTAACCTGCCAATTGAACATACTCCTTTCTCCTCTACTACCTCTCTCATTTTGTTCAGCATTCACCCCCCGCACACGCCAAGAGAAAGGAGCCTTTCCTAAGCCCAAGGAGTGACTTGATTTGCCTGATTATTGTCCCTTCACTGCCAACAACAGATTTAAGAGCAGAAGTACGCGATGTAACTGATGGTGCTTTTGCACCCATAAACTGACAGCCGTGGAACCACTTGGTCTGAACCTTTGGGTATATGAAATGCTCTCACCTGCAAGAAACGCTATGATTGATTCACAGGCTACAACCTTATAAGGAATAAAACATTGTTTTCTTTCAAGTTCGTTTCTAGGGACTGCTGCGTTACCTTGTACTACTCAGTATTTATCCTGGCAACCCGAACAGAGCATGTGAGTCTCCAGAGACAGTCAGGTGTGGGCATATGATCACATTACCTTGTACAGCGCCTCTAAAACGCAGATATCCAATAAACGTTTATGGGTGCATGTTCCCCTATCCAGTGAGAGCACTGGAACAGAACCAAGAATTCAATGGTGAAAAACCTAAATCAACCCTCATCTCCAAAAGGCTGCAAGCAGAACAGTGGTTCTCTCCTTTCAGAGACAAGAACCACCTGGGGAACATTTTATAACTACCGATTCCCTAGCCCCATCCACGCTTAGTTTTAACAAGCACCCGGGTCACTCATTTAACAAATACCCAGGTGAATCTGTGGCCCACATTTTTAGAAAGACTTTTTTCCTCTGCCCCAACAATCTTTTTGTTTTCACTCAACACAACCACTCACAATCCTCCCCCTACTTTTTTGTCCAGAGGCCGTGACAGCCACACTCTGCCCCAACAGAAGGTCAGAAGACAGACAAGTGCCAAGAATTGCCTTGTTGACGCTGTACTTTCAAAACAAAACACAAATACGAAAGCAGCCACCCGTGTTTGCTATGCCCCACTGTTTACACCCAAAATCCAATCCAATCTCCTTCACAGACTTCCACACAAGTATTTCAGGGAGCGGCAACCATCCTCAGGATCTCAGGGCACACACCCTAGACGCAAAGTCAGTTGCTCAGTGTTGCTCTGACTCCGATCCAACCAACCCTCAAAGATTCGCACCGCGCGGCACGCACCCAGCAGGTTCCAGCGTAAAAGCTGCTCCGGTCCCAAGCGCGTCTCCAAACCCCTCCTTTACAGCGCCGCCTCCCCAGCCAGCCCCGGTGCGCAGTGGCGAACAGCCCGCAGAGCCCCCAGGCTTACCTGTAGCATGTGGTGAGCTCGCCTGAAGACTTCAGACACGGGTATTTAGTCGTCGCGATTTTGCTCTCTGAGCAGATTTCTCTATGAAAAAGTGCAGAGGAAATGTTCGATTCTCAGCGGGAGAGCGGAGGCGGGCAGCGCGCGCTGGGGAATCCCTGGCGCGTGGGGATCGCCAGGCTCCCCGTCCCGGCGCTCTGGGCAGGGGCTGGTCCCCAAACGCGTACGCGGGGCAGACTCCGGCCACAGGGACGAGCCACGCGAGGGTCACGACGAAGCGAACCAGCTCCAGGAGAAAGGAAGCGGGGTTCACGAGCTGTGCCAGCCAGTGTGGCACCCGGGGGGAGGCAGGAACGCGGGGCGAAGGGTATCCCTGACGCGACCCACGGATGGCAGGGCGCAAAGGCTGATACCCGGGAGCGGAGGGAAGTGTCGCCCAGGACAGCTGAGCACTCTCCTTATCCCCGGAGAAGTGAGGGCGTGCGGATCGCTGTGGGAGTGGGCGCCGGGGAGGACCGCCCGCACCCCGCGAGCCGGGCGCGCATCAAGCAGGAGCTCGCCCTCCGCTGGGGCTTGCAGCGCTTACCTGTCGCCGTCCTCCGGCTCCTCTCTGTAGGTCCACGTGTGTCCCAACGCCAGGAGCAGCAGCAGCGGACCCAGGCTCCTGCCCAGCTGGCCCCTGGCAGCTCCTCCCCGGCTCGGAGGCGGCGGCACCATCAGGGAAGCTCCCGGCTTCTTCCCAGCGCCGAGCTCCGTCCGGACCAAGCGTCCTGCTCCTCCGCGGCCGCCGCCGCCTTCCCTCTTCCCGGCAGGGGGCGCCGGAGAGCAGGGGCGTTTGCACCACCTGCACGGGGAGCAGGGGTCCGGAATATTATGGGGCTGGGGGGAAAATGAGGCTAGGAGTTGGGGTATCGGATGCAAACCCAGCAGAGAAGCAGGTAAAGGGGGTACCTGCGGTGTCCGGCTGGCGCGAGGGCCCTGAGGTTCAAGTTGTCTCGTCGGGACGTTCACGTCCGATTGACAGACTTGCTGGACTCGGCTTGGGGCTGCGCCCTCGCCTCTTCCCTCTCCCTCCTCTGGGAGAAGCGCGCAGGGTGGGGAAAGCGGGCGGTTGTTTGCATTTTGCACCAGGGTCTCACGACCGGGAGGAGGAGGAGCTGATTCTCCACCGGGGAGAAGAGGGAGGGGGAAGAGAGGGGTTAATAAGCTTCCTTCCTGTTGTCCATGGGTTTCTAAAGCCCAGGGTCAGGCCAGTGTTCGTCTTTCCTCCGTGAGGACCTACCCTGAGATTTGCAACTATCTTAGTCTTCTTTTCTCTTAGATTATGTGAGGAAGGAGGAGTTGAAAGGCTACAACGGGCCTCTCAAATTGTTCAAACCTGAAATAGCGCTATTTATATAGTGTAATCACTCTTCCTTAAAACCTTTAGAAGAAAGTTCTCTGGTTGTTTCATTGGTCAATAAACCATGCGCTGTCTTCTTCATAACTCGAGTTCGGAACAAGTAAGGAGGTCTTTCTGGGAGCCTTACATCTCCTTGTCCTGAGCGGCTTTAATACTGTTTCCACGCCGCGCACATCAGAGCTGGAAACGCCCCCCCCCATCAAATGAGACACGTGGGGGCAAATTAATTACAGGTGCTGCTACCTGCTAGTGTATGCAGCCGCGTTGATAGGTAACAAGAAAACGGAGGAGGGGGGCCGTAAATCGGCTCCCTTGACGGTGACCCTAATTGTAATTCGTGTGTCAGCAACTTAACACTTTGTTGCGCTTTAGGAGTTTTCTCAGCCTTTTCCAGAGAAACTGGGGACGTGGATGTGGCCCAGAAATAAGTTGAAAAAGGAAAAGTTCTAATGCCTAAGCTCTAAAATATGCGTGGTTCTGCATCTCACAGGACAACGAGGTAAAAAGGTGGCTTGTTCACAAGTGACCGGTGTGTAAATTGGTTAGGTAAGCACATATTTTGATATACAGAATATGCTGGTCAACTGAGAATTACCACACATATCACATACACATTGACTTTTTTTTTTTTTTGAGACGGAGTCTCACTCTGTCGCCCAGGCTGGAGTGCAGTGTCTCGATCTTGGCTCACTGCAACCTCCGCCTGCCGGGTTCAAGAGATTCTTCTGCCTCAGCACCCCAAGTAGCAGGGATTACAGATGCATGCTTCCACACCCGGCTAATTTTTGTATTTTTAGTAGAGACAGAGTTTCACCATGTTGGCCAGGCTGCTCTTAAACTCCTGGCCTCAAGTGATCTGCCCAACTCGGCCTCCCAAAGTGCTGGGATTACAGGCGTGAGCCATAGCAGCCAGCCCACACTGATATTTTTGATAGCAATGACATTGTCATTCTTCCGTAGAATGCTATGTCTTTTCCTAAGATTTTTCATATTCAAGATTTTATTTGGTTCCCACAATATCCCTTCAATCTGAGCATCTGATTTCTTAGTTCTGTGAGGTGTGTTTTTTGTTGGCTTATTTTACAAAACTTACATATTCGGAAGACCACCCACTTGATATTAAAATATGACACTGCTACTTAACACAAATGAGTTAATTTTTATTTGATAATTCAGAAGACATTTCAGGATGTTGCAAAACTGGAGAGTGATCATCATGAGGTCAGAAAAAAAAAACCATGAGGTCAGAAAAAACTGGATTCAAACTCAGGCTGTTTGGTTTCCTGGAGGAGTGATCTGAAGCAATTTACTTCTGACACTCTGTTTTCTCATCTGTAAAATGGGGAAATATCTCTCATCAATTTTTATGAGTATTAAATGAAGCAATGCTTCTATAGCATTTTGTTTATCATGCCTGGCATATGTTGAGTGCCCTGTAAACATTATTACTTGTAACGTAATTATTGTATTGCACAGAACTTTAAGTTTTTGCCTTCTAGCCTTCTAGCTTTTCACTTCCTAGATATATAGGAATCCACTTTATAACAGTTGTTTGGGTTCCTAAAGACAGACCTCACTAAGCACATGAGGAAGAAACCCCTTCTGGGGCTTATGATAATTGTATCTCTTCAGATTGTGACAAAAAAGTGTTTGATATCCATCTTGGAAGGGAGAGGCCATCTTGTAATCTGGTAGGAGGTTCTATTTTTAATTCCTTACCAATTACTGTATCTTGACAACTTGCTGTCTTTTTTCTCATCTTTACGCATTTTATTCTTCTACTGTTGCATTGTGGACGTTAGTTCTACAAGTAACAGAGCGTGGTATAGGAGATTAATTATCAGTTTCATTAAATAGTTACTAGGCCACAAGTGCAGACCTGCAGCATTTCAGGGAAAGTGATTCAGGCTGCAAAATGATAACAGCAAAACCATTATACACAGCTGTGTGGCAGAAGATTGGCATCAGAGCTGACTTTGCCACCTTTTTATTTTCAGCTCCTGGTGCTGAGTGCCTATGAGAATAAGGGGTTAGAGAAGTTGCTGGGGCCCAGCAAACAGCTCAGGTTTGCACAGGGAGGAAATCCCAACGGTGGGTGGTCAGAGCATTTCATACATTTCTGTAAGAGGTGATCTGGAGCCGAAACCTTCTGAAAAACCTTTGCCTAGAGGCCTGTAATTTCAACCTACTGCCAGCTACTGACAGCATGGGGTGCAGTGAGGAGTTGCTTGTCCGGGGAGCACTGCCAAGCCGGAAAGAGCTATGGATGGCCATATATGGATACCTGCCCCCAAAAAGCTAAATACTCCTGTAAAAGACAAAATCTGCATTGCCCAGGCTGCGGGCTGCATGGGAGATGTCAGTGCTGGGGCTGACTGGTGGGAGCCTCAAGGGTGCTGAGTTTTCTTTCCTCCCTTCTAGACCATGTGCAAGCCCAGGCCTGCCCTGTCCCCTCACCTATGAAACACTGGCCTGAGAGAACATGCCATCCACCTCTTTCATAGGAGTGTTACAAAGATTAATGATAGGGCCCTAAATGCTCCTTGGGGGAGGCCGTGTGTGATTATGTGATTATTTCTTTTCAGCATACCACTCTCTGCAAAGTTTTTCATAAAGATCTGTCAGTTTCCCTGAAACAAACCAGAGAGCAGATAGTTATACAATTTACTGTGTCCTGGGGATGTGGGGCTGTGTCTGGGGCTTTCTAGTGCATACTATGTTATAGGTTAGAATCCCTGGTAGACCAGGTATTGTTAAGTAGTACTGCTGCATGTTGCCTGGGGGTGGGGTGACTGGCTGGAGAATAGAGAGACGGCTGCGTACAAAAGTAAAGTGAAAGGAAAAAAGAAAAGTAAACACCAGGACACAGGGCAGAGAATATGCTTCTAAATAAAATCAGTTGTCTCTTCTCAGTTTTAAGGGACTCCAACATCTTATTTGAAGAAAATCAGAATATAAAGAACAGACCACCACCAACTGGGACAATTCATTTC
The DNA here is from genome assembly GCF_000001405.40 of Homo sapiens. NCBI lineage: Eukaryota > Metazoa > Chordata > Mammalia > Primates > Hominidae > Homo > Homo sapiens. The sequence continues at coordinate 59,701,021 of NC_000018.10, forward strand.
ACCATTTAAAGATTTTCCTATAAAAAGGATTTGTGGTGGCTGACAAAAAATAAACTATTGTGTGTGTGTGTGTGTGTGTGTGTACATATGTACACAAAGTGTATGTAGTATAGGGCAAAATTAGACAAAGAAATTAAGGCAAAGGAAAAATCAGGATCAAACAGTAAAATAAAGCTGATGTTATGTTAATTGGCAGGGCTGTATAAGCAGAAAGTCCTGGGCCACGTTTCAAGCAGATCACAAGTCGGTTCTCAAATTCTCAGAAGTCAACTCAGGATAATTACATGATCAGTCATGAGATTCAAGGTAACCATAAAAGAAAAGCCTATAAATTGCTTGGAAAAAATGACAGTTTGTTCCCCCGGTCTCCCTGAAATATAGCAACAGTCACCTAACTGTAAGGTAAGGTGAAACAAAGCTCAACAAGTGTGGGTAAAGTTCATATTGTACTGTGAGTGATAGGCATACGATAAGATATCCCTAAAACAAAGAATTGCCCTGATACCTTTCCTTCAGTTTCAGTTTTGATTGACGTATATAGGCAGGTCTGCTTAGAGAATTAGGGTTACATCTTGGAAGGTGTGAAAGTGTGCCAGTCTCCAAACCATTGTGGGGGACTGTTTGAGGCAAGAAGAATAAAAAAAAAAGTTTTTAAAACAGTAAATGGATGTTAAAGCCCTGGTTTTTGGGCGTGTATATTACCTTTTCACTAAGCCTGTCTTAGTTTTAACTTGCACAAATTCTGAAAGTTGATTGAAGCTGTTGGTCTCTGGAATTTTCTCCCAAGGCAGGAAGAAATGTCTGATTCCTGTGTCCATGACAGAATCACACCATTTTTGCCCAATTTTGAAATAAAAGCCATTTTCATAGATTAGTTAGCTTTATACTTGGGTAGGCCACTCAAAAATGTACAAATAGAAAAAAGAGAACCTTCTAGCTACATGATTATCTCCAAAAATATCAAGAAAAATTATCCATGTGATTTGGATGTCTTATTTGGTCTGGAAAGTTGTAACACACAGGGGCCCAGTCTAGGTTTTCCCCCAAATCAGTATCTGTTGAGGCAATATGAGTTGGCAGTCTCCTTGACCAATCAAGAGCTATAGGATCAAACCTGGGATTTGGGGTGGAGAAGCGTGTTCTAACACCACTCAATTCTGCAGCTCCCTTTGCAACAAATAGCGATGGCAGGAGCTGCAGCTGCTCTGACCCATCTCTTGTCCCCATGAGCATGAACAAAGGAAGGACAAGGGGCCAGCAGCAGATGTGGGGCCACTGGCTCATGCTGTGAAGTCCCTGTTCTAGAAAATGGATTTGAATCTCCCGAGGACTTATGAGCTGACTCCTTTGAGTGTCTGTCATTCCAATGCTAGCAACATCTCGTTTTATTTTTGAAGAGCAAACCCTGTTTATCTCCCTTAACTCGGCAAGGGTAAGAGTTACTTAATGTTTATTAAGAACTGGGAGATATTCACTCAGTAATATGGTATCAAACCAATTTGACAGGTAATAATGCTGACTTGGAAAGTGTTTTGATTTGAGCCAAGATATCTTTTATGGTGGAATAAAAATAATTCTACTACCCATGCCAGCAGAGGATGCTAATTTAAAACTTTTTTTTTTTCCTCTGGATATGAGGTTGACCTTACTTTCCTCTTTTAAAAACTGGACTTAGAGAAATAGCACTGGGAGTTGGGAAAAAACTAGACTTAAAAGTAAGTTTTACTTTGGTTTGAAATTCAGTTCTACCACCTAATACCACTATGACCCTGAAACATTTGCTTCATCTTCCTGGGACTCAGTTTATCCACAGATAAAACAGAATGACAATATCCATCTCATAGAACTGATGAAAAGAGTAAATAGGATCTATAACAAGCCCATCACATCAGAGGTAATAAATGATACCTAAGATTATTTTAGTTTTTATCTTCAATAATTGGGATGTAGTTATGCTGGACCATCCACCCTGTCTCATCTTATTTGCTTTCCATGAAAGATAACTTTGTGAAATTGATAGCTAAGGATAGGACACCATGTCATAGAACAGCCTAAAATAAATAGCAGAATTGACATTGGTGTCATTAACATTGTGCTTAAATCAGACATTAGGGGGTGACTGAGTCTCTAAATCAAATCACCCAATAATGGTTGCTAGAAAATAGAATGCATATACTTCCTTTAGAGAAGAGCTGTGCTTCTGATTACTGTCTGTCCTACTTTTACCTCATTGTTTAAATGTTTGAGAGGCTACCTAGTTAAAACCCAGCTGTGATCAATTCTATTTTTCATTTATTTATTTTAGAGACAAGATCTGGCTCTGTTACCCAGGCTGGAGTACAGTGGTGCAATCATAGCTCACTACAGCCTCCAACTCCTGAGATCAAGCGATCCTCCCACCTCAGCTTCCCAAAGTGCTAGGATTACACACGTGAACTACGGCGCCTAGCCTGATCAATTCTAGAGAGGCAAAAATAACTCTCTTCAAATCTATCCACTAGTGACATCATGTTCTGTTGAGCTTTTCTTACTGGGTGACATCGGGAAAGTTTGCAACAGTGTAAGGGGCCCCAGCCTAAGGAGTCCACAATCTCCTTGAAGAGCAGCTGTGTTTAAAGGAAACAGCAGTCCATACTGTGTAGAAAAATCTCAGAGTTCAGGTTTTAAAAGTTGTTAGTTTTTTTTTAAGTCGTTAAAGATTCTAATAGAATGTGGAATGCATTTCTTAATGAAAATAGAGGCCTGTGGGCCAGGCACAGTGGCTCACGCCTGTAATCCTAGCACTTTGGGAGGCTGAGGCAGGCAGATTGCCTGAGCTCAGGAGTTCAAGACCAGCCTGGGCAACATGGTGAAACACTGTCTCTAATAAAATATAAAAAATTAGCTGGGCATGGCGGCATGCACCTGTAGTCCCAGCTACTCGGGAGGCTGAGGCAGGAGAATTGCTTGAACCCGGGAGGCAGAGGTTGCAGTGAGCCAAGATCATGCAGATGCATTCCAGCCTGGATGACAGAGTCAAACTCCGTCTCCAAAAAAAAAAAAAAAAGAAAGAAAGAAAATAGAGGCCTGTGGCTCTATTTTCTGAGGCAGTGGGCACAGTTACTCACACCTGTAATCCCAATACTTTGGGAGGATGAGGCAGGAGGATTGCATGAGCCCAGAAGTTCAAGACCAGCCTGAGCAACATAGAATCTGTTTCTACAATAATAATAATATTAGCTGGGTGTGGTAGTGCACACCTGTAGTTCCATCTGTTCAGGAGGCTGAGGTGGGAAGATCGCTTGAGCCTGAGAATCTGAGGCTGCAGTGAGTCATGATCATGCCACTGCACTCCAGCCTGAGCAACAGAACAATTAAGAAAACAAACAACAAAAATAATAGAGGCCTGTTCATGATATAATGCCAAGAAAGCTATATTCCTATAAGCTTTTAATGGATGATGATAATTTTCCAAGAATTTGGAACAACAAATAAAGAATAACAAATATTTATTGACCATTTGGTACATGTAGACATTATTCTAAGCACTATTCAGGTATTATCACATTTAAGCCTTATCAAAATCTTCTGTCACTGATTCTATTATTGTCTGCATTTTAAAGATGTGGAAACTGGTGGGGCGCAGTGGCTCACACCTGTAATCCCAGCACTTTGGGAGGCCGAGGCTGAACAGATCACTTGAGGTCAGGAGTTCGAGACCAGCCTGGCCAAAGTGGTGAAACCCCATCTCTACTAAAAATACAAAAACTAGTTGGGTGTGGTGGGCATGCCTGTAGTCTCAGCTACTTAGGAGGCTGAAACAGGAGAATTGCTTGAACCCGGGAGGCAGAGGTTGCAGTGAGCCAAGATCACACCACTGCACTCCAGCCTGGGCAACAGAGCAAGACTCCATCTCAAGAAAAGGCAAATAAAAATAAAGATATGGAAACTGAGGCAGTGATTTTATTAGATCCCTAAGGTACAGTTATAAGGGCAGTTTCGGCACCAGAGCTCACGCTGTCATCACTACACTAAACTGTCCTTTGGAGAAGTAAGCAGCTAGGTAGTTTTTGCCTAAGAGATAGACTGCATCCAGTATGTTTGCCCAGGGACATAATGCAAACCAGGGAAGGCCCATGGTCCACCACCATAACCAGTAACCCTGACATTGCCTGAGTTAGTGCTCAGGCACAATCTTCTTTCTGCAGTTCTGTTAACCAGCTGGCCCCATAAGTTCCCACCTCTGTATATTAGCCCCAGAGCTCTCTGCAGCAAAGCTGAGCTATATCCATTGGACCTGTCTTCCTAGAGGCAAACAATCACTGATTTACATGGGAATGCTGGCATGAGAAGAATGAGATGAGGTTTCACAACTTGTGGAGTTCTGGCACTTTTGCAAACTGTCCTTCCAGTTCTATCTCCGGCCCAGAAACAGGTTTTTATCAGACCTAGAACTCTCACAAAACTAGGAGATTATGAAGACTACTCACAGAGAGCATTTCTGCAATCACCACAAGGAAATACCTAGGCAAAATGTTTTAAAAACTTCAGAGTACAGCATAGTCCTGTGGAACCTACTTCTAATTGTGAATAGAAAAGGGCAAGCAGTTGCAACCAGGTTTTGCTCCAGATGGTTGGAAGATCTTTGCATTGATCTCTCTGTTCCTCCCCTCACACATCCCAACAACACACAAACACAACTCTTGGAGGTTGTTGACTTGTCTGCAGTGAATGGTTTAAGATCAGCATGGTTTTGCATTCTTTGGTCCTAATCTTTACCAGCAATGCAGGATCCCAAAGGAACGCCAGATAAAATGAGCTGACTTGGTTTAGTTTCACTTAATTGTTTTGCATCCCTTTTTGTTTGTGGTAGATCAGGGTAATTGTTGACCATCTTTCTGCTTGATTAGTGATGTTTAAACCTGAACCTATCTTTCAGTGATGTTTATTTGGTTTGAAACCTCTGATGAGCGTCATGATAATTAGAAAGCGAGTTGAGACTTATCGAAGCTTCTTTCAGTTCCAACATTTATCTGGAGTATTATTATAATAAACCTGGAAGTGATGTGTGTATATGCAATTTGACATGTATCTGGCTCTCACATCTTTACGTCCTGATAGAAGGCTAATGGGCCTAATGGGCCCTGACCCTGTGTGTCAGTTACCTGTCATTAAACCCTCGGATTGACCTGCTTTGAGGTCGATTCCCTCTCAGGCTGGCGTCACTCCCTGGACAGTCGTCCCAGACTTCCTTTCAGGTCTTTTTCTCTACTTTCTGCTTTTTGCTTGTCTTCCTTTCTGTTCCCTCTTCCATCAATCATTTTTGCTGTCACTCCTTCTATGGTGAGACTTTTACCTACCAGCTTTCTCTTTCCTCTGGCTTTATGATCTATTCTCTGCTATTTTCTGTTAGCTACACTGCTCTTCCTTAAAGTGTATCCCTACTCCTTCCCCAATCCTATTTCTTCCTCTGAATCATTGGTTCTCAACTGAGGGGCAATCTTGGTACCCAGTGGAGATTTGGCAATGTCTGGAGAGATTTTTAGTTATGACGACTGGGGGTGGGGGTAGTGACTTTACTTGCTAGCATCCAGTGGGTAGAGGCCTGGAAGCTAATGAACATCCTACAGTGCACAGGGTGGCCCCTCCCCCCACGGTGACACAACAAGGAACTGGCTGGCTCAAGATGTCAATAGAGCCAAGCCTCAGAAGTCCCAGGCTACACAGATGTCTATCCACCTCTCAATGGGAGTGTTTTCTCTCCTGGTTCCAAATCGCAGTTGCTTAATCCTTTCTTTCCCCAGGCCGGGGCTTTAGTGTGTTCCCATTCACTTGTTATTGCTCTTCCTTGCCACCGGATCCTTCTTGACTGAACAGTCCTTACACCTTCACACTTGCCCTGATCTCACCCCTGAGACTTAGTGTAGCAGCTACTTTATCAATCAGCTGCCCTGGAGTGACCTGAGGAGCTACAAAAATAATTTTCTTAGAATTCTGTTTATTTTCCAGTTTTTCACAAATCCAGTGCAGTGTTGTTGTTGTTATTGTTGTTTTTGCTTTGTTTTGTTTTGTTTTCCTGAAACAGCATCTCACTCTGTGCCCAGACTGATGTGCAGTGGCGCAATCATAGTTTACTGTAGCCTCAAGTTCCTGGGCTCAGGCAATCCTCCTGCCTCAGCCTCCTAACTAGTTGGGACTACAGGTGCACACCACCATGCCCAGCTAATTTTTTTAAAAATATTTTTTGTGGACACCAGGTCTATGTTGCCCAAGCTGGTCTCGAACTCCTGGGCTCAAGCAATCCTCCCACCTCAGCCTCCTAAAGTGCTGGGATTGCAGGTGTGAGCCACTGCACCTGGCTCCATGCAGTCCTTAAAGCTTAAGCTCCATGCTTCTGGTTTCAAAGTTTCTGGAGTATATCACATCTGCCTGACAGGTGCAGCCACAGCAGCCCTCTGCGGGGCCCTTCTTGCTTCTTCCTGCAATGCCTCCTTCCACTCCCCTGCTGCTGGCCACAGAAACTGCTCCTGGCTTCTTCGTTATGTGAATGCTTGAGTGTTGCCAGCATGGGTGTGGCTTACAGGAGGCTCTTCTGTCACTGTAAGACAGAGAAGAAATACCTTCCACTACCTTCATTCATTCTTTTTTTTAAAGGAGCATTTACTATATGCTGGGCAATGCTGGGTGTAGGAGAAATTAAAGTAAATGAGAGGCCGAGCACAATGGCTCATGTCTATGATCCCAGCACTTTGGGAGGACGAGACAAGTAGATTAGTTGAGTCCAAGAGCTTGAGACCAGCCTGGGCAACATAGAGAAACCCCATCTCTACCAAAAAATGCAAAAATTAGCCAAGCATGGTGGTGTGCGCCTGTAGTCCCAGCTACACAGGAGACTGAAGTTGGAGGATCGCTTGAGCCTGGGAGGTTGGAGGTTTCAGTGAGGTGAGATCACACCTCTGCACTCCAGCCTGGGCAACAGAGGGAGACCCTGTCTCAAAAAAAAAAAAAAAAAAAGGAAAAAAACAAAACAAAACAGACATTTGGGGTCCTGACTTCCCAGGCACAAATAAAGTAAATGAGAGAAAAACTGTCTCCAAGGAGCTCCAAGTGTGGTGGACAGACAAGCAAGAAAACCTAAGCACACAAAAATCAGTGCTGCATGCTGGAGGTAAGCAGTTATAGGAGTTCAAAGGAAAAAGTGCTTGTATTCGTTTCCATAGGCTGCTGTAACAAGTACCAAAGCCTAGTGGCTTAAAACAATGCAAGTTTATTACAGTTCTAAAGGTCAGAAGTCCAAAATCAGTCTCAGTGGGCTAAAATCAAGGTGCTGGGCAGGGTTGTGTTCCTTCTACGGGCTCTAGAAGAGAATTGTTTGCTTGATTTTTCTAGCTTCTGGAGGCTGCCTGCATTCCTTGGCTCCTGACCCTACGCTCCATTTTCAAAGCCAGTGGTGCAGCGTCTTCCAATCTCTCTTTTCCTGCTTCCTTCATCCTTTCTCCTTCCCTGACTCTGACCCGCCTTTCTTCTTTTTTTTTTTTTTTTTTTTTTTTTTTTTTTTTTTTTTTGAGACAGAGTCTCGCTCTGTCGCCCAGGCTGGAGTGCAGTGGCGCGATCTCGGCTCACTGCAAGCTCCGCCTCTCGGATTCACACCATTCTCCTGCCTCAGCCTCCAGAGTAGCTGGGACTACAGGCGCCCGCCACCACGCCCGGCTAATTTTTTGTGTTTTTAGTAGAGACGGGGTTTCACCGTGTTAGCCAGGATGGTGTAGATCTCCTGACCTCGTGATCCTCCCGCCTTGGCCTCCCAAAGTGCTGGGATTACAGGCGTGAGCCACAGCGCCCGGCCCACCTTCCTTCTTCTTATAGGGCCTCTTTTGATTCCTTTGAGCCTACCTACATAACCCAGGGATGTTCCCATCTGAAGATCCTTTGCCGTGTAAGGTAACACACCCACAGGTTCTGGGGATTTTGATGCATACAGCTTTAAAGGTTATTATTTCGCCCGCTATGTGCCTTAAGTTAGGTTAGGGTAGGGGGGTGGCTTCAAAGAGGAGGTGTGCCCAAATGGAGGCGGAAGAATAGGGTATACAAAAGGTTCTGGGGCGATAGCGAGTCTGCCACAGACTGAGAACCACCAGAAGTTTGGTATGGTGGGAATGCAGTGTGTGGTATTGGGGGAAGGGTCAAACCTGATGTTGCAAAGAAAGGCAGAGGTGAAACTGAAGCTTATCTTGGGGTGGGGGTGGGGCATGGAACTAAAAGAATTTGGAAAGTTCTCAAGTGATGAGGTTGCATTTACACCTGCACTGTCCAGTCCGGGCCACCAGCAACCTGTGGCAAGTGAGCATATGAAACGTGGCCAGTCCAAATTTGAGATGTGCGGTAAGTGTATATGCAACAAGATTTCAAAAACTTAGTATGAAAAAACATAAAAATATCTCATTAAAATTTTGTGTATTAATAATTTGGGTATATTGGGTTAAAATTTATTAAATGTTTTCCATTCACCTGTTCCTTTTTACTTTCTAAACGAGGCCACTGGCACACTGAGTCTTCTGATCCCAAGTCAGATACCTTATTCATTAGTCAATGTGGTCATCACTGGCAAACGTAAAATTGCATATGTGGCTCACATTAGATTTCTTTTGGACAGTGCTGGTCTAGAGGCTTAGGAGGAAAACAAACTGAGGGGTTGAAACTGGAGGAGAACAGGCTGGACTAGAAGTGACATGGGCTGGAATTGTGCTGGCATGGAGGAGCAGGGAGGGATAGAAAGGAGCTCTGTGAGGGACCGTTGGCAGGACCTGGTGGCTGGGAGGCAGTCCAGGAGAGAGGGAGGGTCCAGGGAAGCCCCCAGTCCCATGATTGTATGGATGGTGGGAAAGGCAAGTTTTTTTTAGGTGTGTAGAATTTCAGATCCCTGGGGCACAGCAGCATCTCCTCACCAGCACTCCATACAGATGAAGCAGGGTGGCCCGGAAGCTCCTTCTCCAACCTGGTGCAGCTTTCGCAACCTGACTCGCTCTTTCAGTTATTAAGAATCAGCCAGCCAGCCCAGTGGCTCACTCCTGCGATCTCAACACTTGTGGAGGTCCAGGTGGGAAGTTCGCTTGAGCCCATGAGTTAGAGACCAGCTCGTGCAACATGGTGAGACCTTGTCTCTACAAAATATTAAAAAGTTAGCTGAGCATGGTGGTGCACACCTGTAGTCCTAGCTACAGGGAAGCTGAGGCGGGAGGATCAATTGAGCCTGGGATGTGGAAGTTGTAGTAAGCCAAGACTGCACCACTGCACTTCAGTCTCGACCACAGAGTGAGACCCTGTCCCAAAAAAAGAAAAAAAAGGAATCTGATGCACATTCCCTCAGGGTGGGATCTGGGAGACAATGTGAGGAGTGACTGTACCCTATAAGTTCCCCCAACCCCTGCTATAGTAAAACAATTGCCCTCCTCACAATCTCTCAGCCCCAGCTTTGGTCTCTCCTGCCAGCCACCCAGTGCATCCCTTCCTTGGGTGCACAACCCAGGATTCCAAGCTATGCGGAGACCACTTTCTCTTGTCACTTAATTGAAGTCTTGGAGCCCAGCCTCATCTCCATCTCCTCTAATTACTGCTTCCCAGTAACAAAACCCTTTGGGCCATGTCTGGGTGGTCCAAATTTTCTGAGTGTGATTCCTAGGGACACTCTCCATGAGTTCCTACACGTGTTTAAAAGAGCGGGCCCTGTTATTGTAAATTTACAAATGAGGACACTGACACCCAGAAAGATTATGTCTGTATGTTGGTGCATACAGAGCTAGAGTTTGGACCTCCTGGCTTCCAGCTCCGGGTTTTTGTTTTTTTCAGAATACCCATTTGTTCTCCTCCTATATTACAGAACAATAATGAAGTTACGAAACCCTTCAAGAGATTTTTAAAAAATCAGTCTCTATCCATCTGATATCCTAAATTCTGACACCTTTCAAATACTTTGTATCAGTCGTTCCTTAACTATTTGCAGCATAAATGAATGGATGAATGAACGCTTTGCACTGTCTTAGAAAACAGGAGCTATAAAACATTAAAGCAGGCTAGGCATGGTGGTTCATGCCTGTAATCCCAGCACTTTGGGAGGCAGAGGCGGGCGGATCAGGAGGTCAGGAGATCGAGACCATCCTGGCCAGCATGGTGAAACCCTGTCTCTACTAAAAATTCAAAAATTAGCTGGGCGTGATGGCGTACGCCTGTAATCCCAGCTACTCGGGAGGCTTGGGCAGGCGAATCGCTTGAACCCAGGAGGTGGAGGTTGCAGTGAGCCGAGATCGCACCACTGCAACTCCAGTCTGATGACAGAGCGAGACTCTGTCTCAAAAAAAAAAAAAAAAAAAAAATCAAAGCAAAGTACTCAGAAGGTGTTCCCTGAACATTTTGTTGGGGTGACAGCGTCATCATATGTTACAGCAGAACAACCCGTTAAAGATAATGGGTCTTCTGGTTTCCACCTGAAGGCTTAGATAAGACTTCATGAGTAAAGGAGTCCACTGAAATAAGTATGAATTACTGAGTCAGGGCACCCCACCCTACAGGTGAAGGTGCTGAGACTCAGAGCAGTCAGAGTCACACAGTACATTTGTGATTCAGACTTCCCAAGGTCCTGGTGTCTGCCTTGCACCCAAGCTGAAACCTTAACTAACAGAAGTGCAATTTGCTTTGGGAGGCTGAGGTGGGCGGATCACAAGGTCAGGAGTTTGAGACGAGCCTGGCCAATATGGTGAAACCTGTCTCTACTAAAAATACCAAAAAAAATTAGCCAGGTGTGGTGGCGCACACCTGTAATCCCAGCTACTCAAGAGGCTGAGGCAGGAGAATTGCTTGAACCCGGGAGGCAGAGGTTGCGGTGAGCCTAGATAGCACCACTGCACTCCAGCCTGGGTGACAGATAGAGACTCCGTCTCAAAAAAAAAAAAAAAGAAGAAGAAGAAGTGCAATTTGATTTATACTTCTGGTGCAAATCAGACTGGTATTCTGTCATTCACTATCAAATATAGAGTTGAAAATCGAATTGCATGGTTCTAATTCTTTCATGAGACTCCAATTATTGTCAAGATTTAAAAAGGACTCTGACTTCACCTAGGAATTAGTTGCTAGTGGTAGCAGCTAATAACGTGATGGGTCAGAACTCAAATTCTAGAGTCAGGAAGAGCCAGAAAATCACTTTACCTCATCTCTCAGCCTCTGTTTCTGCATCACAAAAACAGGAATAATAGCCATATCTATCTTCATTGCTTGTGGAGAATCAAATGACTTGATGTACTGAAAGCACTTAGCATGGACCCAGCACATGACAGATATCCAATTGTGTTTATTCTTCTGGTTATGATTAGGACTGTAGTACCTAAGGGTGGTGTGGGGGGTAGGGGCTTGGCCTTATTATGCTTCCAATATTTCCAGGTGTTTTTAAGAGCTCTACATGAAAAGAGTTATTTTCCAAATTACATGAAAGAAGATTGAATGGGCAGGTGCACGATGATTCACACTTGTAAAAGGTTTTGCGGTTTATTTCCCCATCACAGGGGATGGTGGGGTGCGGGAGCTGTCAGCCACTCCAGATGGCATCAGGGAGACGATTTGATAGGGAGGACTTCTTGAGCAGTGAAGAAAATCTATTAAAAGGCCACAGGGCCTTCAGGACGCCTCCTATCTGGTGTCTTTTTCCTGGAAATTCGCTATCAAGTGTCATTTCCAGATGAGATCAGGCACGTTCAAGGTGGTATGGCTATAAACGGGTGTCATTTCCAATCAAACCAAGTTGTCGTAAGAGGAGTTTCTTTTTAAGCCATTATCTGTCATCTTTGGCTTGTTAAGGCACAAGGATCTGGGAGCAGGTGTTGGTAGAGCAAGGAGAGGAAAGAGCCAGAAAACTTACTCATTTTTTTTTTAAGTCTCTAGGGCAGAGCTTGTTGATTGATGGTTTCAGGCCATCTCTCTTGAATGAATGAGTGAATGAGTGGTGTACTACCTTCCATGGAGAGGATGCAGCACAGCAAGGACCGAGAAGTCTGAGGCTACCAACCATCGGTTTCATTCCAGTCGATCTTTGTGTCCAAGATCGCTCTTTTGCGGATGAATGAATTGTGAAGTGAAGCGACCCAGTTGGACACACATGTAGCTTAGTGAAATTGTGTCCGGAATTGGTGGGTTCTTGGTCTCACTAACTTCAAGAATGAAGCCGCGGACCCTCGCGGTGAGTGTTACAGCTCTTAAGGTGGCGCGTCTGGAGTCTGTCCCTTCTGGTGTTCAAATGTGTTCGGAGTTTCTTCCTTCTGGTGGGTTCGTGGTCTTGCTGGCTCAGGAGTGAAGCTGCAGACCTTCGCGGTGAGTGTTACAGCTCTTAAGGGAGCGCATCTGGAGTTGTTCATTCCTCCCGGTGGGCTCGTGGTCTCGCTGGGCTCAGGAGTGAAGCTGCAGATCTTCGTGGTGAGTGTTACAGTTCATAAAAGCAGCGTGGACCCAAAGAGCGAGCAGTAGCAAGATTTATTGCAAAGAGCGAAAGAACAAAGCTTCCACAGTGTGGAAGGGGACATGAGCAGGTTGCCAATGCTGGCTTGGGCAGCTTGCTTTTATTCTCTTATCTGGCCCCACCCACATCCTGCTGATTGGTAGAGCCGAGTGGCCTGTTTTGACAGGGTACCGACTGGTGCATTTACAATCCCTGAGCTAGACATAAAGTTTCTCCAAGGCCCCACCAGAGCAGCTAGATACAGAGTGTTGATTGGTGCACTCACAAACCTTGAGCTAAACATAGGGTGCTGATTGGCGTGTTTACAAGCCTTGAGCTAGATACAGAGTGCCGATTGGTGGATTTACAATCCCTGAGCTAGACATAAAGGTTCTCTGAGGCCCCACCAGAGCAGCTAGATACAGAGTGTCAATTGGTGCACTCACGAACCTTGAGCTAAACACAGGGTGCTGATTGGTGTGTTTACAATCCCTGAGCTAGACATAAAGACTCTCCACGTCCCCACCAGACTCAGGAGCCCAGCTGGCTTCACCTAGTGGATCCCGCACCGGGGCTGCAGGTGGAGCTGCCTGCCAGTCCCGTGCCGTGCGCTTGCACTCCTCAGCCCTTGGGTGGTCGATGGGACTGGGCGCCGTGGAGCAGGGGGTGGTGCTCGTCAGGGAGGCTGGGGCAGCACAGGAGCCCATGGAGTGGGTAGGAGGCTCAGGCATGGCGGGCTGCAGGTCCCGAGCCCTGCCCCGCGGGAAAGCAGCTAAGGTCCGGCGAGAAATCGATCACAGCGCCGGTGGGCCGGCACTGCTGGGGGACCCAGTACACCCTCCACAGCCGCTGGCCCGGGTGCCAAGTCCCTCACTGCCCGGGGCCGGCAGGGCCGGCCGGCTGCTCCGAGTGCAGGCCCGCCAAGCCCATGCCCACCCGGAACTCCAGCTGGCCCACAAGCGCTGCACGCAGCCCTGGTTCCCGCTCGCGCCTCTCCCTCCACACCTCCCTGCAAGCTGAGGGAGTGGGCTCCAGCCTTGGCCAGCCCAGAAAGGGGCTCCCACAGTGCAGTGGTGGGCTGAAGGGTTCCTCAAATGCCGCCAAAGTGGGAGCCCAGGCAGAGGAGGTGCCAAGAGCAAGCGAGGGCTCTGAGGACTGCCAGCACGCTGTCATCTCTCAAAATCACCACCGCAAGAATCCAGGCATACCATGTTCCTTCCCCTCCCCTGCATGCACTAAAGCCCAACATCCTGAAAAAGACTACTGTAATGGGAGATTCCTGCATTTGACCTCAAAGCCCCAAACCCCCATGACTCTGAGGAGCTGCTGTACCATTGGTGACAGCTCCGTGGCTCTGTATTTATTTATTTCTCACTTCATGCAAAAACACTATCAACATTCAATCAAGTCTCAAAGAAAAGGGTCAGAAGGCAAGTGGTTTAAACTACCTAAACTAAACAATCCTTAGAAAAACTATTTTCTTTGTCTTAAGGTCAAACTGTTGTTCTCAATACTGTGAGCAAATAATAAATCAGAGTGAGCCGAGCTGTGTCGTTGCCATGGAAACCCCACCCATCCGGCAGCACTGGACCACCTCTCTGCGAATCCAGACAGTTGTGAAAAGTGTGAAAGTTGCTCCAGCTCATTGATAGGATGCTTCCCCAATGTTATGAAACTTGTAGCCCACAGTAACTATTTTGAGGCCGGCTTTATTTTTCTTTTAGCCTGAATTCCCTGAAATCCAAGGTCAAGATTAAGAAAACTTAGAGTAGCAGTTTAGGGGATTTAAGGAAAACAGCAAGACTTAGCATAAGCTTTCAAAATGCTGTCAATCCTGTAAGGGGAACTTTGGTATAAGAAATCTCCATGTAAAGAAACAAATTTGTTTTCCCCGAGATTAAACTGAGACCAAAACACATTTGAAAATCTTTTCCCCAAGCACTTATCACCTTATTTTTTCTCATGAGAAGGGCCTTTTCCCTGCAGCTGTCTGGATGTCCCTGAAAAGGCTATTATGCTGTTTGTGATAGCACTATCTATTGCCAGGCTGGTGTGCTGCTGCTGGACTGAGGATGGTCTGCACATTCTTCACGGCCTTATGACGTTGATGTGCTCCTGGGGAGAACACGAGCCTCCTGGTATCACTATCAAGGTTGAGCTTGTGCACCATCATGCCTCAGTAGCAATTCTGGCAATCCTTTATGGACTGGTCACTCCATCCCAAGCACTGTTCTCGGTGATTCGCTGGTGTTACATCATCCAGTCCTTACAATAAGCCTATCCCCATTTTCTAGGTGAGAAAACTGAGGCATGGGAAGGAACATCATTTGCCCGAAGCCCCACGGCCAGTAGGTGGTGGGGCCTGGAATCAGAAACAGGCTCTCTGACCTGGATGAGCACGTGCTCAGCCACTACCCCATCTGGCTGGCTCTCTTTTTACAAATCTAAAGTCTATTTAGCACAGAGAGTCACTGTCTAGGCTACTTTCCCTACAGAAACCTCCTTTGAGTCTCTCACCACCATTTCACTGATAGGTTCTGTCTCCCTAAAACCCTTAAAGATTCTTAGTGACCTCAGTTAGCCAGCAGGGCAGCCTGTGCTTTGCCTGCAAAAGAGTCATAGGGTTCCCTTAAGGAAAGAGGAAATGAATCAGAGGTTCATTCCATACGATGTCCTTCAGTGATTTCTTGCCACTCACAGTTAGTTAGCCAAGTTGGGTGATTTATGGCCCTGGTATTCTAAGAGCAGTCTGGTAGGAGCCAGGCAGCCTGGTGAGCTCCATGGCCACAGGCTGTGTGCAGAATTCCAGGCTACCATCTTGCAAATGCATAGATCTGAGGGGGGATCTTGGTGAGCAGGTGGAAATGAATGATTGCAGCCGTTACTAGAGCCAGAAAACAACTTCAGGTGCGCGCGGGGGTTAGGGATGTGCATGCAAACAAAAGGAGGACATTATTTACAAGAAAAATTTCAGGACCACTCAGGATTTGCCTAGAGCCTGAAGCCCAAGTTTAAGACTTAAAAGCGAGCTGGGCACAGTGGCTCATGCCTGTAATTCCAGCACTTTGGGAGGCCAAGGCAGGTGGATCACTTGAGGTCAGGAGTTCGAGACCAGCCTGTCCAACATGGTGAAACCCCATCTCTACTAAAATTACAAAAAATTAGCCAGGTGTGGTAGTACACACCTGTAATCCCAGCTACTTGGGAGGCTGAGACAGAAGAATCACTTGAACCTGGAAGTCGTAGGTTGCAGTGAGCCAAGATCATGTCATTGCACTCCAAACTGGGTGACAGAGCAAGATTTCGTCTCAAAAAAAAAAAAAAAGACTTAAAAGCAAGGAACCTTTTATATCTTTATGTTTGTTTGTTTGTTTGTTTTTTGAGACAGAGTCTCCCTCTGTCTCCCAGGCTGCAGTGCAATGGCACGATCTCAGCTCACTGCAACCTGTGCCTCCCAGATTCAAGTGATTCTCCTGCCTCAGCCTCCGGAGTAGCTGGGGTTACAGGCGCCCGCCATCACACCCAGCTAATTTTTGTATTTTTTAGTAGAGACGGGGTTTCACCGTGTTGGTCAGGCTGGTCTCGAACTCCTGACCTCCAGTGATCCACCCGCCTCGGCCTCCCAAAATGCTGGGATTACAGGCGTGAGCCACTGCGCCTGGCCCATTATATATCTTTGAATATTTCATTTAAGCCTTGTATATAATACATTCCCAACAAATGATTGTTGAATAATGAATAAAAGGGATCTATTTAGTGCATTATGGCATTCTTGTAGGATGTTGTATTCGGGTTCTCCAGAGAGACAGAACCAATAGGATATATACAGCATACAGATATATGAGAGGGGATTTACTAGGGGAACTGGCTCATGTGATTATAGAGGCTGAGATATCCCACGACAGGCTGTCTACAATCTGGAGATCCTGAGATGTCAGTAGCATGGCTCAGTCTAACTTGGAAAGCCTCAGAAGCAGGGAAACCAATAGTGTAATTCTCAGTCCAAGGCCAAAGGCCTGAGAATGCAGGAGGCCACTGGTGTAGGTTCTAGAGTTGAAAGGCTGGAGCAGCTGGAGTTCTGATGTCCAAGGACAGGAGAGGAAGAGTGTCTCCCAGCTCCAGGAGACAGACACATTCGCCTTTCCTTTGTTTTGGTTCTTTCTGGGTCCCCTGGCAGAGAGGATGACACCCATTCACATTGAGGGCAGATCTTTCCCACTGAATCCACTCAGACTCATGTGCTAATCTCCGCAGGAAACATCCTCACAGACATACCCAGAAATAATGCGTTGCCAGGTTTTTAGGCATTCCTTAATCCATTCAAGGAGACCCCTGAGGGCAACCATCACAGGCCAGGCACAGTGGCTCACACCTGTAATCCCAGCCCTTTGGGAGGCCAAGGCGGGAGGATTACTTGAGCCCAGGAGTTTGAGACCAGCCTGGGCAACATAGGGAGACGCCCATCTCCACAAAATATACAAAAATTAGCCAGGCATGGTGGTGCATGCTGTAGACCTAGCTACTAGGGAGGCTGAAGTGGGAGGATCGCTTGAACCTGGGAGGCAGAGGTTGCAGTGAGCCAAGATCACACCACTGCACTCCAACCTGGGCAACAGAGTGAGACTCAAAAAATAAAAATAAAGTTAGCCATCACAGATGTACATCTCCTACTTGTTAAATGATTCCACCCTGGTTGAAGGAAAGGATTAGATTACATTCATTTCACATGTCATTTATGAAGCTATTTGCAAAGTCTTATCATATTCATCGTCTTAGTCATCACTATCATCATCGTCGTTGTTGTAGTAAGGAAGACCAGCTGCTCTGGGTATGAAAACTGAGGGTTGGTACCCAACATTCCAGATCAGTGGGTCACTGCCACACCCAATTCCCCTCAGCTGTGCTGGAGGCTGTAGCATAGGTCAGCTGCCTTGCTTTGCCTTCTGTTTTTGATTTTCTGGTTCTCTTCTATTGACCCAGCTTCTGAAATCTTCAGAAGCTATAGCTGGCTTTCCTGAGAAAAAAATGCAAATAGCAGGAGGCTGTCTGGGTGTGTAGATGCCCTAAGATAAAAGACTTAACAAAACCACAGAGATAGAAAGAGGTAGCAAGCTAGGCAGAATACTGACCCCAGCCAGGCAGGAGCTGTGAGAGCTGGCTCACTGGGTGGGCAGAGTGCTAAGCAGAAGCATCTGAAGATAAGGGCTAATGGTCCAGACTGCAGCCAGCGCTAGGATGAGACTCTCCGCAGGAAACACCCTCACAGACATACCCAGGCTTGGGATTCTGTCCCCTCTCCATGAATCTGGGTCAGTGCTCATGGCTCAGTCAATAGTTGATTATTCACATCATGAACAGCTTGTGGGTTTCTAGACCCTTAGATTCCAGCTCTCCCTGAAACTCTTCACTGCTCAGTTACCTCACTAGACCTTCCCAGTCTAAGGGAGGGAAAGGAAATAGAATTAAAAATCCATCAGAGGCTTTCCCTATTGGCACAGTCCTGCCAGAAGGCGGAGTGGGAGAGGAGGTTAGAAGCGATGGTTTAATGAGGTGCTGTGATTGTTGGAGGTGGCCTGGTCCCCGCTGGGAAGTTACTGTAATCAGAGTGAGGTCTGCCAGAGGCGATGGGGAGCAGAGAGCCCAGGACTGGGTGGGAAGGAGATGTCTGTGCGCTCAGCACTGAACATGCCTCTTTGCAGGCAGCACTGCTTTGTGGGGGGCTATGGCCTCACTTTTAAGGATCAAAGTAGCAGAAACCTCTTGTGAGTATAGGAAAGGAACAGCGCCCTCCCCCATTCTTCATGGCCAACAAGTCCTTGAGCCTGAATGTCATCCCCTGTCCCCGATAAAACATCACGAGAAAGCCTTGACAAACAATGTGAGCAATGGTGATGATGTTAGTAAGCCCTTCTTCCCCATCCCTCTCATTCCCATCAGGAGGGCTATCCCGGCAGCTCCCTAATACCTCATATAATTCAATCAAGAGAGTCGGCTATTTCTTTATTTGATTTTATTTTTGCTTTTTGCGGAGAGTGTTTCTGTATGCAAATGATAAATTTCAGAAACAAATCAGAGAGGAACAGTGGTCCTCACAGCAGCTCACTGTGGCAGAGTTAAACCACAGCACTCTAACCTCAAAATGCATGCTTTGGCCATAGTCACAGCTGGCCAAAGTTGCTTCTAGTTACTCATCTTCCTCTAGGCTCCCAAAATGTTTTCCTGGAATATGCTCATGGGGAGTGGAGGAACGGGGATGTTATTTATAATCTCACAGAATCCTCATTCTCATACTGAATGCTTGCAGTGGTTACTTTCCACAGGAAGAATAACAGCTCATGTGAGCTGGGAGGAATTCGAGGGAGTTACTTGGCACCCCTGACACCCCCAACCTGCATTCAATTTAGAGGAGTCTTGGCCTTCTGAGGATGGGCTAGGGAGCAATGGCCCCATTGCACAAACCTGTCTGAGCCTTTGCTTCAGGGGATGCCAACCCTTTCAGTCTATACCCTGCCTTCAGCAGTGACATCATGGGAAACCTATAACAAAGGCAATGACAGGGATGAATTGTTCTGATCCAAGGTGGTGCTGCTTCCAGCATCCTGGATCCATAAATTTACTGTTCACACAACTAAGCTCACCCTGAATCAGTGATAAATTCTGGAATGCGCATTGGCTGCAGCCACAGCCACAGAATGTCTTCAACAAGGACAGAAGAGACAGATTAAGGATTATTTTTAGAGAAATGAGAATAAACGACCTAGGAAGAACTCAGGTTCTGGCACTGCCCCCGTAGGTTCATATCCATGTTGTACCACTTACTAGCTTGGGCCATAGATAAATTAACCCGTCTAGTCCTCAATTTCCTCATCTTTAAAATGGGAATGACAATAATTCCCACAACATAAAGCTACTGCAAGTTAGATAATACATGAAAGTCCTATAGGACAGAGCACTGGGCATATAAAAATGTGCTCAGCAAACACACAGTGTATATGTTTCCGTGAGTGTGCACTTAGTGACAACAGAAATTATAAACAAGCATCCTAATTTTATCCAACCCTTTAGGATCATAGAAAGTCACTTGGTTATTTTTGTTTCAGATTTTTATCTTAGAAAATGATGTGCCTACTTTAAGAATGGGGCAATTAATTCAATAACGTTTACATGGTAGCAATTAACAATTCTACGGAGAGGCATATTAACAATTTAAAATGTTGCCAGGTGCAGTGGTACATGCCTGTAATCCCAGCACTTTGGGAAGCCGAGGCAGGCGGATCACCTGAGGTCAGGAGTTCAAGACCAGTCTGGCCAACATGATGAAAACCTGTCTCTATTAAAAATATAAAAATTAGCCGGGTGTGGTGGCGGGGTGCCTGTAATCCCAGCTACTCAGGAGGCTGAGGCAGGAGAATCGTTTGAATCCCAGGTGGCAGAAGTTGCAATGAGCCGAGATCGCACCACTGCACTCCAGCCTGGGCAACAAAGTGAGATTCCGTCTCAAACAAAACAAAACAAAACAAAACAAAACAACAGTCCTGAATGAAGAAAAAATATATTTAAAAATTTTTAAAAAATATCTTAAGATTAATCCTAACCTTTTTAAGTGTCTTCTTTGATGAATTTGTTCTGAGTGTTTTATAAATCTGTCTCACCAGTGAGCTTATTTTACATGCTACACATTTTTTTCATACTACCAGGGGTATTCCATAAGCACAGTTGGTTGAATAAAGCATGTACAATTCAGCAATAGACAGTGTCTGTGTGTAACTGACTTATTACGTGACAGTCAATAAATGAGCTTTGGGGTATCCATAACTGCTTTCTGAAAGCTGCTGTGGGCAATAACTACTTATCAAGGAGAGCAATAGGAGGAAGCCCATGATTGACGCTCTCTTTGGTGATTCAGGACATTGCTGGTTGGCCTGCAGCTGAAATACACTGGGGCAGACTTTTCTAATCAAGCCATATTCTGGGAAAGATCTTCTCCTTTGGCTCATTTGCAACTGAGATGGGCTTAATTAGCCAAATCTCAGATTGTAAGAAGAGTTAGAAAAATCTGTCCCTTCTGGCCATATATCTTCCTATATCACACAATGCTGTTATCCTGCATCATATCACTAATGTTGAAACTCAGAGAAAGTTGGAAAATACCCAGAGAAAACAGTAATTAACTCAGGAGGTTACCTTAAGAATGTTGTGACCATCCTATGTAGAGATGCCGTGCTCTCAGAATGCTAACAGAACCTCTCAGAATGACATTCTTTAAGTTTGAAATTAAAACAGAGTAAGTGTTGGTAAGTGACCAAAGGGGAACTTTCCATTGTTCTATTAATTAAAGCCATTCCACAATTGCAGAAACATGTTTTTATTATTTATTCAGTTTCCAGCTAAGCAATAAGAACACATACTCTTATGGGGTATTTCATTTATTCAGAACTTTAGCTTCCCATTTCCTGGTGCTGTGGGTTGAATTCTGTCCTTCAAAAGGATACTTTGAAGTCCTAACCCTCAGTGCTTCAGAATGTGACCTTATTTGGAAATTGGGTCATTGTAGATGGGATTAAGATAAAGTCATACTGGAGTAGGATGAGCCCTTAACCTAATATGACTGATGTCCCTATAGAGAGGAGAAAAGACACACAAGGAGAGATGGCCATGTGATGACAGATTGTAGTGATGCATCCACAAGCCAAGGAATGCCAGTGATTTCAGGGAAACACCACAAGCTGGATGCGGCAAGGAAGGATTCTCCCCTACAGGCTTCAAAGGGAACATGGCCCTGCTGACGCTTTTGAAGTTTTGGTCTCTGCAAATGGGAGATGATACATTTCTGGTGGTTGTTTTTTTTTTTTAATTTTAATTTTTTATTTTTTTGAGACAGAGTCTCACTCTGTCACCCAGGCTGGAGTGCAGTTGCATGATCTCAGTTCACTGCAACCTCTGCATCCCGGGTTCAAACGATTCTTGTGTCTCAGCCTCCCGAGTAGCTGGAATTACAGGTGCACACCACCATGCCCAGCTAATTTTTGCATTTTTAGTAGAGATGAGATTTTGACATGTTGGCCAGGCTGGTCTCAAACTCCTGACCTCAAGTGATCTGCCTGCCTCGGCCTCCCAAAGTGCTGGGATTACAGGCATGAGCCACCATGCGTGGCACATTTCTGTTGTTTTAAGCCACCCAGTCTGTGGAACTTTGTTAGGGCAGCCTCGGGAAACCAACACACCTGGTTTGTACATTTCTTTTAACTCAATTCAATGTCAGTTTGTAGGATATGAAGGGCAATTTGGGTTAAACATTCAGAACTTAATCCTTAAGCCATTTGTATCTGCTAATACTCGAAGCCTCACAACATGTAAGTATTCTATACATCCGAGGTGGCCAGCCAGGGACATGTGAGTCCTTAGAACTCTACGTGCTGCCCTGGAAGCACTTAGAATGGAAAGCAGCTGACATTATAAACTGTCAGATTTCTGTGATTTAAGGCCTTAATACATCTCTTAGCTACATAATCACCAAATGAAGTATTTATCATACTGTCTTTAGAAGAAAATCACTAGAAAGTATCACTGGAAAGCAAATATTGCTATTAGTTCCAGAATAATAAATAAGCCAGGTAGAAACCTTTAAAGAACTATTGAGACTTGTATTGGCCCTGATGAATTCTGGTTCCTATTTTGGTTAACTTTACCAGAAATAGTTTTTTAAAATGACTATTTATGTGAAAGTTGAATAAAACCAGAATTTGATCAATATCTGGGATATACTCCCATGGTCTTTAATGGTTTTTCAAAGATGTGCATTACTGGCCAGATGCAGTGGCTCATGTCTATAATTCTAGCACTTTGAGAGGCCAAGGCAGGTGGATCCCTTGAGGCCAGGTGTTCGAGACCAGCCTGGACAACATGATGAAACCCCATTTCTACTAAAAAAAAATAAATAAATAAATACAAAAATTAGGCATGGCGTTGTGCACCTGTAATTCCAGCTACTCAGGAGGCTGAGGCATGAGAATCACTTGAATCCAGGAGGCAGAGATTGCAGTGAGCCAATATCACGCCACTGCACTCCAGCCTGCGTGACAGAGTGAGACTCCATCTTAAGAAAAAAAAAAATGTGCTTTATAAATAGCAAAGAAAGCACAATTTTAAAAGGATTAACCGATGAAGATAAAAGAGATTTTTAAAATAATTGTATCAAAGACAAATGTTGGAATATTTGACTGCTATTAACATTTTGTTTGTAAAACATTTAATGACATGGGAAATGCTTAATATGTAGTTTGGCCAGGAAAATAAAAATTAAGAAATCATATATTGTATGTAT
Organism: Homo sapiens; assembly: GCF_000001405.40. Lineage (NCBI taxonomy): Eukaryota > Metazoa > Chordata > Mammalia > Primates > Hominidae > Homo > Homo sapiens. The sequence continues at coordinate 59,723,802 of NC_000018.10, forward strand.
AATCCCAACTAGGTAAAAAAAATCTGTGCATAGGAAAAAAAGGTAACAGAGACAATGATTGTGTAGTAGGATTTCAAGGAAGTTTTATGCTTTTTACTATTTTCCAAATTCTCAACATAGGCAAAAATTTCTTCTATAATCTCAAAACAATTCAATGCAAAAAGTAAATGTACCCAAATAGCAATAGTAATTTTCTGTAGACTGTAATATTATGGATTTTTTTCTTTAATTTAGTCTTTTGTACTTTCCATTTATTGTAACATAAGATTTTAAATTTCACACTGAAAGAAAAAGAAAATAAACTTCTAGAAAATTAGATAAGTTTATAAACGATATAGTGAAAATGGGTATTTGCAAGGTTTTAGAGTTGCATTACATTGACCCATTAAACTTTTGAGATGATGTCACAAGGAATAGCTGTAATACCTGTTGTAGATAGCATAATTGTTCCCAATTCTTCTCCTCCCATTTCTACACTCTTTGTCATGTGCAGAGAATATTGATGTCAGGCGTGGCTGTGTGACTCACTTTGGCCAATGATGGGCAGAAGTGACAGTGTGCCAGTCTGAAGCCTGGGCTTAAAGGTACCTTGCATGTTTCTGCTCCCTGATTTGCACATTTGCCATCAGAAGAATCTCCCATAAGCAGCTGCTGCTCCTTTAGCCTGGGCAAAAAAACACACATGTAGCAAATCCTAGTCCAACCCACAGTGAAGAGCTGAGCCTAGCAAGACCCAATAGCCTGAAGCAGAACCACCTGCTGAGTCTGATGTAGACCATCCATTCAATGAGCCCAAGAACGTGAAAGTAAATCTTTATTCACAAAAGCTTTTGAATTTGGGGATGGTTTGTTATACAGCAAAAACTAACTGGTAAAATACCATTGACAGGCTGGGGAAGGTGGCTCACACCTGTAATCTCAGCACTTTGGGAGGCCAAGGCGGGCAGATCATGAGGTCAGGAGTTCGAGACCAGCCTGGCCAACATAGTGAAACCCCATCTCTACTAAAAATACAAAAAATTAACCGGGCGTGGTGGCAGGTGCCTGTAATCCCAGCCACTCGGGAAGCTGAGGCAGGAGAATCCCTTGAACTTGGGAGGTGGAAGTTGCAGTGAGCTGAGACAGTGCCACTACACTCCAGCCTGGGCAACAGAGTGAGACTCTGACTCAAAAAAAAAAAAAAGTTGACACAGAAAATATTAGGCTGGATAATAAACAATAGCTCATATGAGGATTCCTATATTGAAGCTTAAAAATATAAAAATATAAATAGCAAGGGTCCCAGAGCCCTAGTGGATGAGATATAAAAAGAGAGAGAGAGAGCTTCATTACCCCTAAATCTTGATGAAGTTTTTGTGTGTATGTGTGTCAGTTTCTAAAGTATGTATGTATGAAAATATGTATATGGCAAAATTTATACCACTGTGTTTATATTTAGTTGTCTTTTTTGGCCTTCAGTTAAACCCATTAAATATACATTTTCCACTTTGGCATATTCTGGTTTCCTCTGAAGAATGGTATTTTGGGCTGTAATCTTGAATGTTTATTTGGCAACTTACTCTAAAAATTTTAAGAATATTAATCATACTGCATTCTTCTTTGGTGTACAGACTGGCAACTCTCTTTTCAGAGCAGGGTTTCTCAGCCTTGACATTACTGGTATTTTGAGCCAGTTCTTTGTTGTGGAGGTTGTCCTTTGCATTATAAGATGTTTAGCTGAATTCTAGCTTCTGCCCACTAATTGATAGTATTGCACTTCCCTCTACCTCCAGTCGTGATAATCAAAAATGTCTCCAGGCATTTCTAAATGTTCTCGGAATCACCCTCAGTTGAGAACTACTGTTTCAGAGGAAGTTGTGATTTGGTTTGGGTAAGTCAGATTTACAATGTCAGCCATCATCTGGCCATGTTTGAAAGTCTAGGCTTACAGTAATGCAAGCTGTAGTGAAAATACCAAGATCTTAAATATAAGATATTGCTATTTAAACATAATCCAAAACTCTAGGACTTTGGTTGCTTATGGTAATCATAATTATATTGTTATTGATAAGTGTGGGGGAAAAAAAAAAGTAGCAATGCCTGGCAGGTAGGTCTTTCTTTCTTTCTTTCTATTTTCTTTTTTCTTTTTCTTTTTTTTTTTTTTTTGAGACAGAGTCTCACTCTTTCGTCCAGGCTGGAGTGCAGTGGCGCCATCTTGGCTCACTGCAACCTCTGCCTCCAGGGTTCAAGCGATTCTCCTCCTTCAGCCTCCTGAGTGGCTGGGATTACAGGTGTGCACCACTACACCGGCTAATTTTGTATTTTTAGTAGAGACAGGGTTTCACCATGTTGGTCAGGCTGGTCTCAAAATCCTGACCTTGTGATCCAGCCACCTCGGCCTCCCAAAGTGCTGAGATTACAGGCGTGAGCCACCGTGCCCAGCCGCAGGTAGATTTTTCTAACCTACCTGTGCCTACACTAAAGTCAGGCAAGACCTTTCCTGGTATACACACTAACAGGCAGCTTAATGGAACAGCAATATCCTGGGCATTATATTTTAGGGCACAGCATCACGGCCAGCTTAACACGTCATAAAAATGAACAGAAATAGCCATGTTTAACTGTAAGTGAGGAACTTCAAATACCACCTTATTCAAATATTCCATTTCTATCAAACAAAAGATGAATCAAAAATTTAATTTCCTGACAATTTGTGTGCTTTGGCAGGAATGTGGGCAAGCACCAGTTAAGTGCTAAACCTGACAATGGGACATGTGTTTAAAATAAATGTCAGAAAAGAGCTTGTATCCCTGATTATATCCTTTTCATTGGAACTCGGATGAGATTGAACTACCTTAACATCAGAAACTCTAGTATAAAATTTTTAAACTGTTGGTGAGGGTTTGAGTTTGGGCTTATTCATTAAAATTGCCTGGACCTCATGGTCTTCATCTGTAGAATGAGAAGTTTGGACTAACTAGAGTCTATGACTCCTTCAGCTAAAACATACTTTGAGTTATATAATAGTTCATCTGTAAGTGCAGTAGCACATGGAATAAAGGAGTCAGTCAATATTGGCAAGTTTGTTTGTTTATTTATTTATTTAGAGACAGAGTCTTGCTCTGTCACCCAGGCTGGAGTGCAGTGGTATGATCTCAGCTCACTGCAATTTCTGCCTCCCGTGTTCAAGCAATTCTCCTGCCTCAGCCTCCCAAGTAGCTGGGATTACAGGTGCATGCCACCATGCCCAGCTAATTTTTGCATTTTTAATAGAGATGGGGTTTCACCATATTGGTCAGGCTGATCTCAAACTCCTGACCTCAGGTGATCCGCCTACCTTGGCCTTCCCAAAGTGCTGGGATTACAGGCATGAACCACCGTGCCTAGTCACAAGTTTTTTTAAAAAAATAAGATTTGACTTGGCCGGGCGTGGTGGCTCACTCCTGTAATCCCAGCACTTTGAGAGGCTGAGGTGGATGGATCATGAGGTCAGGAGTTCAAGATCAGCCTGGCCAAGATGGTGAAACCCCGTCTTTACTAAAAATACAAAAATTAGCTGGGAGTGGTGGTAGGCGCTTGTAGTTCCAGCTACTGTGGAGGCTGAGGCAGAGAATTGCTTGAACCCGGGAGGCGGAGGTTGCAGTGAGCTGAGATCGTGCAACTGCACTCCAGCCTGGGCGACAGAGTGAGACTGCGTCTCAAAAAAAAAAAAAAAAAAGATTTGACTTATACTTCAAGCAATTTGTCCAAGACGATTTTCACACAAAGGAACAAAACATCCTCAACTCAATAGAATGAGTCCTTCTATTCTCAGTTGAGACTTATCAATCAGCAGATCAGTCAAGGAGCAACGAGGCAGTAGAGAGGAGAAGAATCATTGATTTGTCACTGGAAAGTCAACAGATTTAAGAAAAGCACGCCATAAAAAGACTAGTCGCTTTAAAATAGAGAAAAATTGTGTATATATTCACATCACTAAGTCACTAAGTAAGAAAGAAACCCCATAGAATTATGGGTAATTGGAACTGATTTCTAAAACCATCAACTCACCAATTGAATTTATTGGATGTGAAACTTTGTGATCATGTTTTTTTTTTAAAAAAAAATCCTATAACACTTATGGAAAAAAGTGGAAATTTAGAAATATATTTCTACCTAGAGGTATTCTTTATTGGTACTAATATAAGCTGGGAGGAAAGGAGCTTCTTGAAGGGCAAAAGAGAAAAAAAAAATCCCCTTCCTCTGTGGTTGTACAAAGCAAAGGAACCTCAAAGGGAGACTTGAGGCCGGGCACGGTGGCTCACACCTGTAATCCCAGCACTTTGGGAAGCTGAGGCAGGTGGATTACTTAAGGTAAGAAGTTTGAGACCAGCCTAGACAACATGATGAAACCTCATCTCCACTAAAATACAAAAATTAGCTGGGTGTGGTGGCGGGCGCCTGTAATCCCAGCTACTCAGGAGGCTGAGTCAGGAGAATTGCTTAAATCCAGGAGGCGGAGGTCACAGTGAGCCGAGAGCATGTCACTGCACTCCAGCCTGGGTTACACAGCAAGACTCCATCTAAAAAAAAAAAAAAAAAAAAAAAAAAAAAAAAAGTAGAGAGACTTGAAAACACTACTCTCCTGAGAGAAGGGAATGAAAAGAGCCCTTCGATCAGATGAGGAAAAAGCCTAAACTTACAGTCTTGGCTATGCCCTCAGTCCCACCCTGAGTCTCAAGAACTGGTTATTCACCATCCACTACTGACAGACCACACCACAAAAGTGCCCACTGCCACTGCCCCTCTCCACCACCCCACGCCACACCTGACCACTCCAGTGGGGAGTATCCAGGCTCACTATGTCTAAGCCCTTTGTTCATACTCCACGGTGCTCGGTTTGTTTGCTTTAAAATAAAGACATTGCCATGGAATTTCAACTCCTAATTTATTCATTATTTCACTATCTTCCAATTCTACCAAAGGGGAATTAGAATTTGTATCCATTTTGTGTTTGCAAATATTTAAAAAGAAAACAAAAAAACAAATAGGTTGATCGTGGGGAAGGGACCCCCAGGGAGCACCACAAATCCTTTCAGAGGCACGCTCGGCCGTTCCACACTCTTGTCTCTTACGGACATACCAGAAATACTTTATTTAGTTTAAGTGAATGGAAAGATCCAGCACTTGGAAAGAATTGTTACTAGCCTTGTTTGTTCCAATAAACAACCAAGCTTCTTATTGCTCAATAAAAATCAAAACTGACAGTTTGTAAAAACCAGAAAACAGAAAATCTTGGACTATGTTTAAGGGATGATTGATATTTCCAGACTTTCATGAGGATCCTAAGGGAGAAGTCTATTTAGGTTTCAACAATGTCAGTGACAAATACTTCTCTGGAAAGCTTGCTACACATTGGCCAAAAGTTTTTCCAATTCCAATTCCAATTTGTATCTATTGAAAGATTTTGGGCTCATGGAAGAGCATTAGCTGGGGAAGTAAGCTTACATCATTGTAGTTCAAACATTCATTATATATAACTCTATAATTAATAATGAGTTCAGGTAAAATGGGAGGAATCTGCAATTTAATAGTAATTTCAATTCTGTTAATCCTGGGTCTGGGGCATATTTTAAAGATATACTTGACTTAGATACACTAGCTATGTCTGTCCAGGCCAAATAGAAAGAGATTTGAACTAAGCAACTAAGCAATTTCTTCTTGGACAATGCAAGCAAGAAATTACTCTTAGAAGAGGAGCTCTTTGAGAAGATACTGGACTATGGATGAATAAGATACATGGATAACAAATGAGGGCTTGGATCGGACAAAATGCCAAAATAGTCCCCCAGGATTTCCTGCCCTAATCCCTGGAACTGTGAGTATGAGTTATTATACCCATGCTCATGTTATGCTATTGGTACAAATCACAGGCTCTTTGGTTCCCCATGTAATAAAAAGTAACACTGAGCCACGCAGATGTCCTAGACAAGCCTTTTATTTCAGGGCTTGTGCTTGAGTGCAAGGGAAACAGCAGAGACTCAAGGACTCTCCAGCTGACTCCCCAAAAAAGCTGGTAGGGATATTTTTATTAGGCAAAGCATGGGAATGGGTGTCAAGGGTAATGTGTGCAGGCTGGAGTAGGCAAAGCACCTGAGGGGTGGGGTATGCGGTCAGCGTATCTGATTACATTGATCATCTTGAGTCATGGGCCACCTGGCGGGTCTGGCCAACAGCAACAAGGCTGCAAATGATTGCTGAGCATTCCTTCCCAAGGTGGGACACTCTTAACCTTGGTTTGATATTTGGATTTCCAAAGGCCAGTTCCTGGAATTCTTTAAGTAAAAGGCATGGTTAAACATCATGAGAGCACAGAAGAATGGCTATTTGCTTGGTATGACTAAAGCCTTGGGGTTAGCAAGTAGATTGCCAGCAAGGTAACGGTGTGAATTTTGTGATCACTGGGACGAGAGAAAAAAAGAGAAGAAAACATATGTGAAGGAGGAGTTGCATCCCATTCCTATTCTATCTCAATTCCCCGCTGAGAGATTTCACCTTTCCCCTCCTTATTCTTAAAGAGAAAGAACCAAAGATCTCATCTTCTGAAGCTACTTCCTGCTGAACAGGGTTGTCTTCCATGCCTAATCTTGGAGGGTGTGGAAGTCTCTCACTGACTGTTCTATAGACCTGCAGGGACAGAGATCCTTCTGGAATGATATGGGTTGAAATCCTTGGGCCATCATTAGCTTGACTTGAAACTATTGAAGCCTGAAAGATACAAACTTTACCAAAAGGTTAAAAATACAAGGCCCGAAAAGTAATAGCAATAAAATGACCACCTAGGGTCCAAGGAAAGGTAAAAATTCTGTCACTCATAGTAAGTATCCTTTGATGAAGTCCCAGATGGTCTGAGAAGTGGGGTTTTTGAAATTGTGCATCCAGGTAGCCTGTTGGTAAATCTTTTGAACTTGCAGTTCAACTAACCCTGAATTGTTAGCATAAGAACAACAGGTGTGGTTTATTCTGTGCATTCTCCCCCTTGTTCAGCTAGAAGATAGTCCAGGGCCAATCTCTGGTCTAAGACAACATTGACTAGGGAGTCTAGGGAAGCCTGAAGTTCTTTTAAATTTTCCCTCGTACTGGTTGACAGTGTTTGAAGGGTTTCTGTTAACTTCCTCAAAGTTGCCTCACAGTATGCAAAGCCACCCCCAAGTGTCTGCTAAACGGATAGCTATTCCAACTCATGCCAAAATTAGCTGTAAACCTGTCAGCCTTTTAGATTTTGGATGTGTGCTGTTATGAACTGTTATTCCATTGGGGCTCAAAGTACCTAAGGGTGCAGTGTGTTATACATTATAGACACAAGGGCATGCTGGTATGAGTAATGGACATGTGAAATTGGTTAGTGGATAGCTGTTGGCCAAATGGTCTTGGTGTCCACAAAAGGACACATATCCTAGGGGTGTGCAATTTACATGGGGCAAGAGGAATGCAGGTGACTGACTGAGCTTTGCAGAGAGGTATGACTGTTTTGGGCATTGGGAGAGAAAGACGAACTCCCCTAGTCCACGTTTGATTAGGGCTTTTTTTAAAAAAAAAACTGATGAGGGAAAAGCCTGTGAGATGTCAAAGTAGGCATTTCAACTTCCCCTTTTCCCACCCTTTCGATGACTGAAGCATTTAGCAGGCCAGTGAGGTTTATACATTCACAGGAAATGAGGCACTTAGGTGTACCATGAGAGGTGCAGGGGTTACTTTAGGTTCCCATACCTCCTTTGTGAAACTGGTAGTCGAGCTTTTAGGGAATGAAAGAGGCAGCCCCTGAGCCTGCTGATGATGGTGGCATATCCAGCAGTTGGACAAATTATTACCCAAAGCTGCAATGCCAGAAAGGTAGATGAGAGAGTTTGTTTCCCTTTTCAAGAGGGCCCAGCCCACCACGTCCCCCTACATGGAGGAGTAGGAACAAAGTAAAGAGGAGCATAACTATATGCAGCAGGGATAAAAGAGGTGTTTACCAGGGGAGGAGGCTGAGCAAAGCAACAGAATAATTGTAAAACAATTCATATTGTAAGGAGAATTACTGGACTCAAGATCTCTAACCACATTACTCCAGGGATGAACTGGCTCTCTTGAACAGGTATTTGAGATCATCCATAGGTTCACATGAGTAAGATGGGCTTTCTGGGCATGTCTAGAAACATTTAGGAGAAAAGATGTTTTAATCAGGTGAGGTGTACCCAGCTAGGGATACAAGGAATCCTCAGTTAGGGTACACCTCTGTACCTTACTGGGTGTTTGGATCACCAAGTAAAGTGCCTTCCATTTAGCCAATGGTTGTTCCTCCAGGAAGTCCTCCTTCCCAGTCTTAAGGAGGACTTGGTTTCCTGGATTAATCCATAAAGGGGTTTCCCCATCTTTAGTGGAGACTGGCAGGATTTTGTTCCCATATTCTGAAATTGCCTTTTGAACCTGTCCTAAATTAATTATATATTATAATTTTTAATTTAATTGTCCATCTAACAGGAGGTCAGTGGTGAGGAAACTCCTCTCATAGATCATCTCAGAAGAGTTAAGTCTTAGGCTGCCCCAAGGGGCCATGCAGACTCTAAGAAGTGCAACTGGGAGCATCGTAACCCAGGGCTGTAGGTCTCTTGACAAAGCTTTTCTAGAATCAGCTTAGGAATATAGTTCATCTTTTCAACTTTACCTGATGATTGGGGGTGCCAGGATGGCACTGTCTTTAATCTATTCCTACGATGTGAAGAGGCTCTGGGTAATCTTAGCCACAAAGGAGGGCGAATTATTGCTATGAAGGGATTTGGGGAGTCCAAATCAAGAAATTATTAATATTTATTTTGGTAAAGATTTATAGATTTCTACTGCTCCTTCTGTATGAATAGGAAAAGCCTTGAGTGACCCAATAAAAGTATTCACAAACACCAGGAGATATTTGTATCCTAGATTTGGGGGCATTTGAGTAAATCTACCTGCCAGTCTTCTCCTGGATAAGTTCCCCTGTGTTGAACCAGCTTAAGTCAAGAGGGAGGAACTGGATAGGTTTGGGGATTATTCTGGGAACACAGTTCATAGGCAAAGGTTACTTATTTTAGTTTTTCTCAATCCCTTTTCAATTAATATTTTATATACAATATTCCATAAAACATCTGTCCCATAATGAATGGCATCATGGAGATGCTTAATAAGTTTCTACTGGTCAGTTCCCGGAATAAAAATCTTATCACCATCTGGGAACCATCCATCATTGTTTTCCTCCTCTAGCTCTTCTTGTGAGTATCGTGGGTGATTCAGAAGGTTGGTGGGGTCTATCATTAAGGACAACACATTGCTGGGTTCCTGTAACCAGGCTGCTTTGTGGCCCTATCATCCCTATTATTTCCTTGGCTAATGAGGGACCTGTCTCTCTGGTGGCCCTTGCAGCGAATGTCTGCTATGTGGCAGGGAAGTTGTACCACTTCCAGGAGAAGTAGGACTGGGTCCTTATGTTTGATTGGGGAATTTTTAGCTGTTAACATTCCCCTTTCTTTCCATATGTCTGCATGGCCACACAGTGCAAGAAACCCATACTTTGAGTCAGTGTATACACGTACTCGCTCCCCTTCTCCCAGTTGTAAGGCTCTGATGAAGGCCATCAGTTCTGCTTTTTGTGCTGAGGTTTGGGGAGGAAGGGTTTTAGCTTCTGTAGTCTCATTCAGGCTTACTACTGTATATCCTGCCATTCAGGTTCCTTCCTCCACAAAGCTACTGCCATCAGTATGCCATTCTGCCTCCAGGTTCTCAAAAGGCTGATCTCATAAGTCAGGCCTGCTGGAGAATGTCTGTTTTATGGTCTCTCTGCACCGTCATAAGCCCTCATCATCTGTGGTTGGGACTAAAGTTGCTGGCTTCAGGGTCTGACATATACTCAAAGTAATGTCTGGGGTGTCTAATAAGAGAGGTTGGTGTTTGGTCAGTCTCCCCCCCACCAAGTGAGACAATTGTGTCTCTTGACTTCTAACACAGTCTGAACCTGGTAGGATGTCATAACTTATATATGTTAACCCAGAATCAGCTTAGAGGCTTCACTAACCAGTAGGGCAGTGGCTGTCACTGCCATCAAGCAGCAAGGCCACCCCTGTGCAACTGGGTCCCACTGTTTTGAAAAATGAGCCACCAGCCACTGAACAGGTCTTAACCTTTGGATTAAGACTCCCAAAGCTATTCCTAGTCTCCCACAAATATACAAGATAAATGGTTTTTCTAAGTTGGGGAGTCCAAGGGTGAGGGCTTGACCCAACTCAGTTTTTAAGGCTTCAAAAACTTGTTGGCATTTCTTATCCCAGTACAAGGGCTCTGTTTTTTCCCCTTTTAGGGTCTCACATAAGGGTTTAGCTGTCAGGTCATAATTTGGAATGCAAATACGACAGAAGCTCACCATTCCCAAGAAACCTTTGAGCTGCCTTTTTGTTTATGGGACCAGCAATGACGTGATTACCTTTTTCCAATCCCCAGCCAGAATGTGGGCTCCTGGGATCAGAAGGAACCCCAGATACTGAATGTTTTGTAAATAAATCTGGGTCTTGAATAGACCTTGTATCCACTCTCAGTGAGGAAATTCAGGGTTTTAATGGTATTAAAATCTAAATCCTGCCCTGTCCAGCTGGCAATTAACAAGTCATCCACATATTGTAATAAAGTTCCATTCCATAGGCTTAGCTCCCTGAGCTCTTTAGCCAATGCTTCCCAAAAAGGTAGGTGCTCTCCTAGACCCCAGGGGAAGAACAGTCCACTTGTATTGTGTGGCTTCCTGCATGTCGAGATTTCTCCATTCAAAAGCAAAAAGATATTGGGATTCTGGATAGAGGAGTACACACACAAAAAAGCCTCCTTTAAGTCTAGCACAGTAAAAAAACTGAGCATCTTTAGGGATCTGGGTGAGCAAGGTGTACAGGTTTGGGACCATTGGGTGGATGGGAATGACTGCCTCATTAACCTCCTGGAAGTCTCACATAAACCAATATTCTCCACTAGGCTTTTTGACAGGGAGGATCAGGGTGTTGCAAGGGAACTGGCACGGTTTAATTAACCTAAGCTGTAGGAATCTGTGGAGTAATGGCTGAATCCTGTTCAGTGCCTTAGGTTTTAAGGGGAACTGTTCCTTCCACAAGTAGCCCACCCCCAGGCTTTAGGTCTGTTTTTACTAGGGGAACATTATTGGCCCCTCCCATATGAAAGTCTTTACTTGATCCTTGATTTCCTCAGAAATGTTTGAGTTCTCCAGTTCCTGTCCATTTAAGAGTGCTAGCAAGTGGATTCCACGTTCTGGCTCTACCTCCAACTGCACTCTGTCTTCTTCCAGGTTGATGGTGGCTCCCATTTTGCTTAATAAGTCCCTACCCAAAAATGGAGTAGGAGATGTAGGGACAAACAGAAATGAGTGACAAATAAGTCTAGACCCAGCCTCCCAAGGAAGAGGGAAAGTAAATTTTCTTGCCTTAGGCCATCAGTCTATTCCCATTAACATGCAGTCATGGTTGGAGAGGGGGTCAATAGGCTGGGTCAGGACAGAGTAGGTGGCTCCACTGTCCACAGGGAACTCAGTTTTCCTACCTGCCAGATCAAGGGTGAGCTGAGGCTCTGCTGGCATGATAACAATGGAATGTGCTGCAGTTGGAGCTGGGCAGGAGTTCAGGCCCTGTCAGTTGGTGTGCATTGATCTCTCATCTGAGAGATTGGCAAGGGGGGGTAGCTGGCCAGGGTTGCCTGCCAGCCATCTTATTTTAGTGCAGTCAGGGCAGTCCCTCTTCCAGGGGCCCTCCCTCCTGTAATGTGCATATTGGGTCTGTCCAAGGCCACTTATCTTTAATCAGTTGTCAGTTCTCCTGGGCCTGGTAGGGTCACCCTGAGGTGGCTGATGGATAAAGGCAGCTGAAAGCCATGCTATCTTGGCCAATCTCCTCATCAGCCTCCTCTGTCCTGTCTCTGTTATTGAAAATCCTTTTTTTTTTGAGAGGGAGTCTCGCTCTGTCGCCCAGGCTAGAGTGCAATCTCAGCTCACTGCAAGCTCCACCTCCCAGGTTCATGCCATTCTCCCACCTCAGCCTCCCAAGTAGCTGGGACTACAGGCACTCACCAGCATGCCTGGCTAATTTTTTTTATTTTTAGTAGAGATGGGGTTTTACTGTGTTAGCCAGGATGGTCTCAATCTCCTGATCTCGTGATCCACCCACATCAGCTTCCCAAAGTGCTGGGATTACAAGTGTGAGCCACTGCACCAGGCCTGTTATTGAAAATCTTAAAAGCCTTCTCCACCAAGGTCGACAGCAGGGTCTGGGGTCCTGCCTCCAGCTCCTGTATTTCCTTCTAACATCCGGATCTGACTGAGTGATAAAATGCATGGCAAGCAAAGCCCTCCCCTCCCCTGACTCTGGCCTGCACTGGTGTATTTCTTAAGGACCTCAGTGACTCAATTGAGGAAGACTGCTGGGCTCTCCTCATTTCCCTGGGTGATTTCTCTGACCCTGTCATAGTTAACAGGTTTTACTATACATTACCTCATTCCTTCAGTCAGGCAAGTGACCAAGTGGCTCAAGTTAGCATTATCTACATTGCAGTCCCACTTGGGATCTTGTGCTGGGACTGCATCTCCCCTTACATAAATGACAGCATATTGAGAGGTTGGTGGCCACCTGGCCATCTGCACATTTCTTAACCTTCTTAAACATGTGTTCTTTCTCATCAGTAGTGCAACAGTGTGCCAGAATGACCATAACATCCTGCCATGTAATGAAAATGCTAAATTTAGTTTAACAAAATTTATCTCTAAACTCAGAGGCTGGCCATGGTGGCTCATCCCTGTAATCCCAGCATTTTCAGAGACCAAGACAGAGGGATTGCTTGAGCCCAGGAGTCTTGAGAGCAGCCTGCGAAACATAGAGACACTCTGTGTCTACAAAAAAATATTGAAAATAAGCTGGGTATGGTAGCACACACCTGTAGTCTCAGCTACTCGGGAGGCTGAGGCAGAAGGATGGCTCAAAGCCGGAGTTCAAGGCTGCAGTGCGCTATGATCAGGCCACTGTATTGCTGCCTAGGCAACAGAACAAGACCCTGCTGTAGAAAAAATAAAAATAAAAAATAATACACTTATCAGGATTCTTCGAAAATCTACCAAATTTTCCTTTACACAGTCCTAGATCCATTGCCAAAAAAGCAACATGCACCCTTGTAACTTCCCTGTTTCCATCTGCCACTTCTCTGAGGAGAAAATAGCCCTGGGTTGGTGGAAGAGCAAAAGAAGGTGCTGTTGGAGTGGTTTTTCCCATTACTTTTAAGGGCAAAAAATGCAATTTGCAATTAATTTTTCACCAACCTAATACTTAGAAGACATAAAGAAGATTATAGAAGCCAAAGTCAGAGTGCCAGACAGAGGTTCCTACCAGCCGAACCAATCAGCCATTTCAATCCATCCTGTATAGATGTCTATTCAGGCTGAGCCGTTGAAGTTAATGAAAAGTGAAAGCAGGCTGGGCGCAGTGGCTCATGCCTGTAATCCTAGCACTTTGGGAGGCCAAGGCAGGTGGATCACCTGAGGTCAGGAGTTCAAGACCAGCCTGGCCAACATGGTGAGACTCCGTCTCTACTAAAAATACAAAAATTAGCCAGGCATGGTGGTGGGCACCTATAATCCCAGCTACTCGGGAGTCTGAGTCAGGAGAATCACTTGAAGCCGGTGGGGGCGGGGGGAGGCAGCGGAGCTTGCAGTGAGCCAAGATTACACCACTGCACTCCAGCCTGGGTGAAAAAGCGAAACTCCATCAAGAAAGAAAGGAAGGAAGGAAGGGAGGGACGGAGGGAGGGAGGGAAGGAAGGAGGGAAGGAAGGAAAAGTGAAAGCAGGGAAGGAGGAAGGTAGAAGAAGGAAAAAGAAAGATACCACAGATGGGGACAGGAGGTGAGGGAAAGCATTGTCTCAGGTTGGGGACTGGTGAGAAGCCCCTGGAAGGAAAATGCCAGTTGCAGTGGTGCTGAGCCAATGGTTCAGGTGGCCGCCCATCAGCCGTGAAGGAGATGTGTCTGGCTGTTTCACTAACTCACAAGCCTCCCACTCCTGGGAGGAAAATGCTCCCCACATATCATGCTCCTGGCTAGCTCATCAGAGAATCTGTTACAGATCACAGGCCCTTTGGTTTTCCCCATGTAATAAAAATTAACCTGGGGCCAAGCAAATTTCCCAGACCAGGTTTTTATTTCAGGGCTTGTGCTGGAGCACAAGGGAGACAGTAGAGATGCAAGGACTCTCTAGCTGACTCCCTAGAAAAGCCAGGAAGGATTTATTAGGCCAAGTGTGGGAATTGACATAAGGGGTAAAGTATGCAGGCTGGCTGGGCAAACCATCTGAGGGATAGGGTATGCAGTGAGCATATCTGGTTGTGATGGCTATTATTGTTTTGAGACAGGGTCTTTCTCTGTCACCCAAGCTGCAGTGCAGCATTGTGATCAGGGCTCATTGCCGCCTCAACCTCCCAGGCTCAAGCAATCCTCGTACCTCAGACTCCCAAGTAGACGGGACTACAGGCACGTGCCACCACACTGGGATAATTTTTTATTTTATTGTTTTTGTTATAAAGATGAGGTCTTGCTATGTTGCCCAGTGTGGTCTAGAACTCCTGGGCTCAACTGATCCTCCTGCCTTGGTCTTCAGAGTAGCTGGGACTACAGCCATGTGCCACCATACCCAGCTAATTTTTTGATTTTTGTTGTTGTTGTTGTAGAGATGAGGTCTTGCTACATTGCCTAGGCTGGTCTCAAACTCCTGGGCTCAAGCAATCCTCTGGCCTCAGCCTCCCAAAGTGCTGGGATTACAGGCATGGGCCACCATGCCCAGCCACAATAGTTATCTTGAGTAATGGACCACCTGGTGGTCTGGCCAGCAGCAACCATGCTGCAAATCACTGTTGAACATTCCTTCCTGAAGTAGGACACTCCATAACCTTGGTTTGATATTTAGATTTCCAAAGGCCAGTTCCTGAAATTCTTTAAGTAAAAGGCATGGTTAAACATTATGAGAGCACAGAAGACTGGCTATTTGCTTTGTACAACTAAAGCCTCAGGGTTAGCAGGAATATTGGTATATTGCCAGTGAGGTAGTGGTGTGGGTTTCGTGATTAGTGGGACAAGAGAAGAAGAAAAAAGAAAAAAAATTTGTGAAAGAGGAGCTGTGTCCCATTTCTATTCTATCTCAGTATCTGACAAAAGAAATTTTGCAGCTGTGATTAAGGTTACTAATCAGTTGACTTTGAGCTAATCAAAAAGAGAGTTTATCTGGAAGTGCACAATCTAATCACATGAGCCCATTAAAACCAGAGAACTTTCTCCAGCTGGTGGCAGTGGGGAAAGTCAAAGAGAACAGAAACACTAGAAGGACAAGACACATAGTTGTTAGCTGGAAGATGGAGGGCATCATGAGCAAGGATGGAACAGCCTCTGGAAACCGATAGTAACACCAGTCAACAGTCAGCCTGGAAATGCAGATTTAGTTTTCCAAGTGCAAGGGACTGAATGCCAACAACCTAAATGAACTTGGAAAGAGACACTTCCTCAGAGGCTTCAGATGATAGTCCAGTCTGGCCAACACCTTGATTTTGGCCTTGTTGGGAGTTAAGCAGAGAGCACATTGAGCCCACTCAGACATTTTGACCTAAAAAAACCGTGAGAATAAAAGGATGTTGTCTTTAGCCATTAAATGTATGGCCATTGGTTCCACAGCGATAGAAAATGAATATAGGACTCTCAGAAAAGTTTGAGTACAAGACCTAAACTTTGTCTACATGCTGTATAAATCACCTAGAAAGAAGGTCTTTGTTATTTTTCTTTAAATTATAATGGAAAAATTTAAATCCCATTTATTATCTGTGTGTGTGTGTGTGTGTGTGTGAGAGAGAGAGAGTTGTAAAGCAAATCAGAAGTTTTTTAAATTGTGACTGTGGGGACAATCTATATTAGCATCATCTGGGGGGCTAATTAGAAATGTCGCTTTGTGTCCCATAGAGGCCTATTGAATTAAATGCTATGGCATGTGGGGCCCAAGCATCTGCATCACTAAATCCCCAAGATTCTAAAGAACCAACATTTGATAACAAACTGACCTAGAAACCTCTCTCTCTCTCTCTCTCTCCAGCAGCCCTGGCTTCCTTCAAAGCGGTGTTTTATTCCTCAGAACCAAGATGGATAAGGATCCACACTCTAGTGGATCCTCTCCACTCCTCCATTCCCTCCACAACCCTCCCATAGAGACTAAGTTCTGGGGGGCAGTATCAGAACACAGTGCTGGGGACAGTACTGGTGAGCCCTTGAGTGTGAACTCAGGAGTCAGAATGCCAGAACTTTGAATCCCAGCTCTGCTGCTGAGCTAGTTGGATGCTCCTGGGCAAGTTACCTAAGTGCTCTGTGCCTTATTTCTTCCATGTGTAAAATGAGGATGATAAATTACCTACTTTATAGAGTTGTGGAGATTAAATTAGTGAATACCATTCAAGCTCTTACAAATACCTGACACATAGGAAGCCCTCAATGAGTGTGAAGAGAATATTATTAATACTTGTTCTCTTGGCTTCCTGACAAAATCCATTTATCTCTATGTCAGATGCTACATAAAATATTCCAACTGCATGCTCAGAGTCAGACTTAAATCACCAAAATCCAGTTAACTTATGTCACAATAAACTAACCTGCTGAATTGAATGTTATGTCAATTTTTAAGCAATTGTGATTAATCATAATTTTGGGGCATCATTTATCAGCAAAAAAAATAATGTTCTTAGAATTGTGCCACAGCACTCTCTATTATGTGCCTGAACAAATTAGCTAGAGCTTTATATAATGGGCAGAGATATTTGTTGTTTTCCTATAGAGAAACCTGAACACTCATTGAATTTTTACAAATGAATAATCGGATTTATTTTAACATGATAACGTTACCATACATAATTACTTTGGATAATCCTCTTTGTAATTGTAATGCCATCAGTGAGATATCAGTTTCTTGGGGTTTTGTTTGCTTGCTTTTCCCATGACCCAAGGAGGAAATGCTCCCAAGAAAACTCTATCTAAATAAATGTGGCAGCTGGATTAAAGAAACTTGGTCCTCTTGGTGATAAGATTATTACGAGTATGCTCACTTGTGTTTCTTTGCTCTTTCATGTCTTCTGTTCATTCATACATTTTAAAATGTACATTGACATACTATGTGCTGTGTTAAGAAATGATGACAGACAAGACAGACACAGGTCCTACCCTCATAGAAATTTTAAAAATATAAGAGCTGTATTTGTTGCAAGTTTACAAGTCCAGGCACTGTGCTAGGCACTTAAAATAGATTGTCTTTTTATTTTTTTATTTTTGAGATGGAGTCTCACTCTGTCACTGAGGCTGGAGTGCAGTGGTGAAATCTTGGCTCACTGCAACCTCTGCCTCCTGGGTTCAAGTGATTCTCCTGCCTCAGCCTTCTGAGTAGCTGGGATTACAGGCATGCACCACCATGCCCGTTGTATTTTTAGTAGAGAGGGGGTTTTGCCATGTTGGCCAGGCTGGTCTTGAACTCCTGACCTCAGGTGACCTGCCCGCCTCAGCCTCCCAAAGTGCTAGGATTAAGGCGTGAGCCACTGCGCCCGGCCAGATTGTCTCTTTTATTTCTCACAGGCATGTAGCTCCATCTTATACATGAGGCCATTGAGACTCTGAAGTTAAAAAACTTGTTCAATATTGCACAGCTACAAGGAAATAGAATTAGGATCCAAATCTGACTTTAAACCCACCTTCCTAACTACAGTCCTGCCATCTCTTTTTGCAATTACTTCTCAATATCAAAACATCTATTCTTTTAGGTCGATTGCTCTATGCACCACACACAAAAATTCCTTAACTTTGACCTTGTCAGGCAGCCAGATCCCAAATATGACCCAATCTTGTGTGTCTAACCCAAGCCCCTCTTCTCAGCATGTCTTACTCCCTAACCCACTCACTTCTTCAGCCTCAAACACTACATCATACACTCCCCCTTCCCCTGCAACTATCAAGTTCTTTTGTATGTTCATCTAATGTTTCAAACTAGATTGTAAGTTCCAAGTTAGACTATAAAATTTCCTCAAATACCTATATTTTTTCTCTCATCTTAGCCACTGAAGTTGGGCAGACAGTTAGGTGCTCAATAAGTTACCATTGTCTTTTTCATTGCTAACTTAGTTCTATGATCCTAATAACCACAATAGGTTCATAGAAAAGGCAGGTGGTCTTTAGGAATTAATAAAGGCTGGGCTCACCTTTATATTATAGGTGGGTCACACCTATAATCCTTCCACTTGGGGAGATTGAGGCAGGAGGACTGCTTGAGGCCAGGAGTTTGAGACCAGCTTGGGCAACATAGTGAGACCCCCATCCCTACAGAATAAATAAATAAATTAGCTGAGTGTGGTTGTGCACACCTGTGGTCCCAGCTACTCTGGAGGTTGAGATAAGAGGATCCCTTGAGCCCAGGAGTTTGAGGCTGCAGTGAACTATGATCATGTCACTGCACTCCAGCCTGGGCGACAGAGTGACAACCTGTCTCTAAATAAATAAATAAATAAATAAATATTTTTAAAAAGAAGAATCAGTAAAGAAAACGTCCTTTCTCGGCTGCCTCCCCTCTCCTCCAATTAATCACTGCCATGTTCAGAACACTGCCTACATCTACTGCTATAGACTTTGCATGACCGGTTTTGCAGTGAGCACACAATCCTGGTTTACATAATGTAGACCGGGTTTGCATCTCTATCTTAAGCCTTTGGGACAAGGCCAAAGAGATCACTGGAGCACCCACTTAGCCTGAAATTGAAGGATAGGAACTCAAGAGTCTCTCATTGGTTGTCTCCTGCTCTGAAAATACACAGACCTCTGTATTAGCCCTTTGCCACTTAACACTTACAGCCTTGAGATGTCATTTTTCATAGCTGTGTATTCTACAGGCTTCTGAGCAGTGACGTGGCCTAGCCCAGTGACACGGAACAAGTGCTCTCTAAGTGACTGTTGACTGGCCCTTGATTTACTGAGGGAATTTTTGCTGGGGCCTCTTGTGTGGAAGCTGCTAGAACTTCCCAAGGTGTTGATAGCCACTGGCTCCTCAAAGAGGTTCAGGGCAGCCGGGAAGTATTTCTCACTTTTGAATGTCTTGGCTGAACTCTTGACTTCCATGCTCCATCTTCCCCACTGCTTCCCTTCTGGAGTATCAAATGCCATGTGGTTGTAGTCATGACATTGTAAAATTGCCCTGCTAGCTCATGGGAGGAGAAAAGTCTTGAGACAGAGAAAAATTTGATGGGATTTTATTCACTCTGAATCCATCTCTGCATGACTGTCTATGTCCTAATCTCAGCTAGGAGATCTTGCATTTCTTTTCCTTCTGGAGATGGGGAATAGGAGCAAGCTGAAAGATTCTCTGTGGCTTTAGTTGGGAAGAGCTGGAGTGGATGAGAGCTGTCCTCTCAAAGACAACCTCCTTAGGAGACCTCTGGGAGCCACTTTCCACTGGGACACTAAATGGGAGCTAAAAGGTTGTCATTTTCCCACCCTCTCACCTCTGTCAAGGCCGTCCCAGGTCCTGTGCAGACTGCATTAGGGATGATGTAAAATCAATACCCCCACACCTCACTTTACCCTCCACTCTCACATAGAAGATGATAAAGCATGTCTCTGTGCCATTGGGAAGGACCTCACCATAAGTTTTCTTTTCTCATCTGCCTCTCCATTCCTCAGATACTCTGTTTATGTGCTATTTATGTCCACTCTTATGGAAGAGGATTGCAAGTAATCACACAGGAGGGAGATTAGAATTCCTGGACCATTGGCTTAATATTCCAGAACACCATAATTCTGTTATCATGAGCGTTTACTAGATTTTCATTCCTCGTCATAGTTTACTCTATCTTAAAGGAATATTCTGTATTTCTTCACTCTGGGTTCTCGTAGATTTGGATTCCTTGAACAGCTTGAACTACTTCTTAACCACATATTTCCTCATTTGGAAAATATGAATGAAGGCTGCTTTAACCCTTTGTATTATATATTAACTCTTTTTACACATCTCTGGTGTAATCCTGGGGATTTTCCTTGGACTTCTGCAGTTGGTGGTGATTATTCCATGAGGAGAACAGAGCTGGGTCTCTGAGGTTCCTTTCCTTCCTTATCTCTCTGTAATTAAAGTTGTTGCCTCTGAGGAGCTCCTGGGAATTATATTTAACAGTTTGACCTCCCAATCAAATGGTCAGACAGGACATTAGGTCATACTCTTAATCATCCTCAGAATAAAAACTTGTTGAAAATGTAATGGAGATCACTATCCAATCTATTTGATGTACTTTTCTAGGTAAACCAAGCAAGCAAAATTATGCAACAGGCCATCAAGAAGCAATAGTCTGAAATTTTAAGTGAGAAAAAAACCTTGGACACAATATAAATGAAATGTCATTTTTTTTTTAAAGAATGCCCCCAGTTGAGTAATTCCAAGTATATGCATCATTCTGTGGTGAATGTGAACTCTGACTGCAGGACAAGGCTGGTGACACATGGGTTACTTAATGGTGAATAAATCTGTTGAAATAAAAAAATGCTTCCAGCACTAAAGTGTGTGTTCATATTTTGACCATATGTCTAAAATGCATATTTACTTAAAACCAACATGGACAGGCTGAGTAACTCAAGAGTTACGATAATCTAAGAATCATCACTAGCCAAGCCTTTTTTTTTTTTTTTTTTGAGACAGGATTTCACTCCTGTCGCCAGGCTGGAGTGTAGTGGTGGAATCTCAGCTCATTGCAAACTCTGCCTCCCGGGATGAAGTAATTCTTGTGCCTCAGTCACCCAAGTAGCTGGGATTACAGGCGCATACCACCATGCTCAACTAATATTTGTACTTTTAGTAGATATGGGGTTTCACCGTGTTGGCCAGGCTGGTCTTGAACCCCTGACCTCAAGTGATCTGCCCGCCTTGGCCTCCCAAAGTGCTAGGATTACAGGCATGAGCCACTGTGCCTGGCCAATCACTAGCCCAGCTTTCTATAGAATGCCTTCTTGGTCTCATTTCTTTGGTACTGAGCAGGGAATTCTAAGTGAGGGTTGCTGAGCCCTAGGTGCTCTGGAGCTTTCTTCCCCATCAGATACGGAAAATATTCACAGTCACCCTCTAGGCACATTTCTGAGTCCTATAACTGCTCACTATGGGACTAGAGGGCAAAGATAAGAGCCATGACTCCTTTTTTGTATAGGGAGATTGAGTCTAGTCTTTTTTTTTTTTTTTTTTTTTTTTTTTTTTTTTTTTTTTAGCAAATGCTGATTGCTCTTCCCTTTCTCTCATCTTCCCATTTTTTTTTCCTCCAACAAAATTCTAAAATATAGATGGGCAGAGGGTCAGAAAAAAGTGAGGCAATTTCTTTCTGATGGCTAAAAGCTTTAGCTCTAATTCTCTTTTTGCACAGATTTTTTTTTCTAGCAAAAGCAACAGTGATAGTTGCTGTTTATTATTTTTAGACTTTATTTTTAGAGCAGTTTTTGGTTAAAGCAAAATTGAATGGAAAGTACAGAGTTCTCATATACTTCTGCCTTCACATATGCACAGCCTCCCCAACCATCAACATCTCTCACCAGAGTGGTACATTTGTTATAATCGGTGAACCTAATTGACACATCATTATTGCCCAAGTCTGTAATCTCCATTGGGATTCCCTTTTGGCATTGTATATACTATGGGTTTGGACAAATATATCATGGCATGTATCTCCCATTATAGTATTCCAAAGAATAGCTTCACTACCCTAAAAATATCCTGTGCTTTGCCTATGTATCCTCCCCTTTCCCCAACCCCCAGAAACCATGGATCTTTTTATTGTCTTCACAGTTTTGCCTTTTCTAGAATATCATATACTAGAAATCATGCAGTATGTAATCTTTTCAGACTGACTTCTCTCACTTAGTGGTATGTACTTAAGTTGCTTCCAAGTCTTTGATGGCTTGATAGCTCATTTCATTTTAGCACTGAATAATATTCCATTGTCTGGATGGACAACAGTTTATCCAGCCACCTATATCTTAGGTGTTTCCAAGTTTTGATAATTATGAATAAATCTGCTATAAACATCCATGTGCAGGTTTTTGTGTGGACCTATGTTTTCAACTTATTTGGATAAATACTGAGGAAATAAGTTGCTGGATTATATGGTAAGACTATGTTTAGTTTTGTAAGAAACTGCCACACTTTCTTCCAAAATGGCTGTACCATTTTGCATTCCCATCTGCAATGAATCAGAGTTCTTATTGCCCTAAATCCTTTCCATAATAAGCGTTTTGGATTTGGGCCATTCTAATAAGTGTGTAGTGGTATCTCATTGTTGTTTTAATTTGCATTTCTCAGATTAAATATGATATGGAACATCTTTTCATATGCTTGCTTACCATATATATACATCTTATTTGGTGAGGTGTCTAAGGTCTTTGGTGCATTTTTTAACTGGGTTGTTTTCTTATTAAGTTTTGAGAGTTCTTTGTATATTTTGGATAACAATCCTTTATCAGATGTGTCTTCTGCAAATATTTTCTCCCAGTCTGTGGCTTGTCTTCTAATTCTCTTGACAGTGTCTTTTGCAGAGCAGAAATTTTTAATTTTAATAAAGTCATTTTATTATTTCTTTCATGGAGTGTACCTTTGGTGTTGTATCTAAAACATCATCACCATACCCAAGGTTATCTAGATTTTCTCTTATGTTATCTTTTAGGAGTTTTATAGTTTTGCATTTCACATTTAGGTTTATGATCCATTTTGTGTTAAATTTTGTGAAAAATGTAAGATTTGTGTGTAATTTTTTTGGCATATGGAGGTCTAATTGTTCTAGCACCATTTGCTGAAAAGACTATCTTTTCTCCTTTGTATTGTCTTTACTCTTTTGCTATAAATCAGTCGACTACATTTGTGTGGGTCTACTTCTGGGCTCTCTGTTCTGTTCCATTAATCTACTTATCTGCTCCTTTACTAATACCACACTGTTTTGATTTCTGTGGCTTTATAGTAAGTTTTAAGAGTTGGGTAATGTCAGTCCTCCAACTTTCTCCTTCTACTTCAGTATTGAGTGGGCTATTTGGGGTCTCTTGCCCCTGTATAAACTTTGAAATCAGTTTGTCAATATCCACAAAATAACTCACTGAGGTTTTGATTGGGATTGCATTGAATCTATAGATGAAGATAGGAAGAACCAACATCTTGGCAATATTGAGTCTTTCTATCCATGAACATGGATTGTCTCTTCATTTAACTAGGTCTTTGATTTTTTCCCAGAAGTTTTGTAATTTTCTTCATATAAATCTTACATATATTTTGTTAGCTTTATACCTAAGTATTTCATTTTTAAGGGGTGATAATTCTAAATTCCTGAGGTGCTAATGTAAATTGTAAAATGTATTTTTTTGTTTGTTTGTTTGTTTTTTAGATGGAGTCTCGCTCTGTCACACAGGCTGGAGTGCAGTGGCGTGATCTTGGCTCACTGAAACCTCTGCCTCCTGGGTTCAAGCAATTCTCCTGTCTCAGCCTCCTGAGTAGCTGGGAATACAGGCACATGCCACCATGCCCAACTAATTTTTGTATTTTTAGTAGAGATGGGGTTTCACCATATTGGTCAGGCTGGTCTCGAACTCCTGACCTCAGGTGATCCACCTTCCTTGGCCTCCCAAAGTGCTGGGATTGCAGGCGTGAGCCACCATGCCTGGCCGGTAAGATGTATTGTGCTTTTACAGATTGTGTTTTTACTCATTCAACTTTTACTGCAAGGCACCACTATATATGAAAAGGAGTTTGGAAAGCTATCTTGCTGCTCATGTTGTCATCATTGACATCATCGGGCATTCAACTTTTCAACTTTCTTCTAACAGATTAATTCATATTTTAATAAAGTAATTTGTATTTTAATAATTAGGGCAGGTACAGAAAATTAGAATTTCTAGTTTGGAGAAAGACTTAATCTCTTCCAATCACATCTCTGATTTGTAGCTTGAATACGCTTATAAGTGGTCATTTAGCATTTATTTAGATACCTCCACATACAGGAAATTCACCATCCATGATCTGAGCCCACCATTAAAAAAAATACCTCTTATTGTTGAAAAAGTCTTTGTTGAAATAAATCAAAACCTTGCTTCTTATCACAACCTCTCCTTGACCCACGTTGTATAACTTAATCTCTTTTTCTTGTAATAGCCCTTAGAATAAAGACAATTATCATGTATTCTGAAGTGATTTTGTTCAAGGTGGCCATGTTCAGTTTCTTCAAACACATATGGATTTTTTCATATGAACATCACATAGGGTGTTCTTCAAACACATCCCCTCACCATTCTGGACACTTTCCTCAGAACAGTTTGTCTAGATGTCTCTTAAGTTGTCATGCAAAAAAACAAAAAAACAAAAAACAAAAAAACACCTGATTATGCTTCTGTTAGGCTACGATCATTATCTCTGTGTCATCTTCATTTCACACGAGAACACTAAGACTACCTAGTAAGTGTCTTATCCAAGGTGTTAAGCTAGACTTTGAACTAGGATCTCTGTTTCACTTAGCAGAGAAAAAGAACCCCCTGCATTTTAACACTGGTCTGTATTTCTTGGTATGACATACAAATCTGGCCAGAGACCCCATTTCGCATTGAGGCAGTATAACGTGAGCTTCTACTGGTTTCCATGTAAGTGGAATAGTGGTAAAGGGCTGAGCCAAAAAGGCTTTCTGGGAATGTCAGTTGGTTAAGAACTTGGGACAAGAGAGTCTCACAGTTACCTGCTTGAGGGTTTGAGTCCCCTCACTACCCCCTCCTTCCTTCTTTCCTTTTTCCTTCTTTACTCCCTCCTTTCTTTCTTTTCTTTCATCTCTCTCTCTTTCCCTCTTTCCTGGGCACTGGTACATATTGTAATGTTAGTCATTTCTTCCATAAGACAGTCTATTTGTGACTCACCTCCCTTCTATGATGACCACATCAAGTAAGTGCTATTGCCATCGGCCACCAATAAGGAGACTGGAATTTGAAAAAATGCTCATACATAATTGAATATTCAGCATGGCCAGTTCAAACTTATTTTTAGCTACAAGTGATATAACAAGGAAATCATTCTTTCTGGAGTATCTGAACACAAAAAGGTTTAGAAAGAAATGATAAACTTTAGAATTTCTTGAATCACAAATTGCTCAAAGCAAAATAAATAATTCATTTTAAGAAATAAGTAAATGCCACCTGGCACTTTTAAGATACTCAAAAAAGAAAACAATCTTTGTGTCATAACTCCTGAAAGAATTGAGTCGTAATAATAGAGCCATCCTATAATGGCTGCAGTTCTGATAGACTTATGACTCAGAGTCTAGGAGACCCAGCTCAAGAGAAGGTTTTGCTTGACCTGAGAAGAACCTGCTTTCTCAGGTGGCCAAGAAGGATAAAGGACACTCAAGCTGTAACTATCCTGATTGTTCACATTGCCCACCTAGACTGGAAGAAAATATCTGGGCCAATAAAAGCCTGGTTTTCTCTTTTACCTATTCATTCATTCACTCATTCATTCAACAAATAATTTTTGAACATCCACTCATCTATCTTTATCATTTATGAGTTGTATAGACAAGATACTTAAGGCCAGGCGTGGTGGCTCACGCCTGTAATCCCAGCAGTTTGACACTTATTCAAGTTACTGTGCCTCAGTTTCCTTATCTGGAAAACATGGATAAGATTTCTTCCTAGGGTAGTTGTAACCTTTGTATAAGTGAATTGTATAAAGTCCTTCACACAGTGCCTGGCACCTAGGAAGCACTCAACTATTAGCTTTTATGATTATTACCGTGTCCCAGACAATAATCATATATTAGGTTGGTGCAAAAGAAATCAGTTTTTGCCATTACTTTCTATGGCAAAAACTGTAATTACTTTTGCACCAACCTAATAGTAATAAGATATATTGGACAGTTTCCAATAGACAGTTTCCAATATATCTTATTACGTATCTCCCTGTTTGAATAAACATGGGAATGTAACCACTCTCTGCTCTTGTGATCACCTCTCAGTATATCAGAGTTTCGTGGCTAGAATAGATCAGAGAAGTCATCTTGTACAAATCCTTTATTTTATAAATGAGAAAAATGAGGCCCAGTGATAGAAGGTGACTTGCTCATGGTTACAGTGAGTAGGAGACCCAGGACTGGAAGTCATGTCTCCCAACTCCCAGCTCAGTGGTTCTCCAGTTCCCTTTGCTTCCTCAATTACTGCATCTGCTGTGGCATTTGTTTACATCGTACCACATCCCCTTATCACTAGGCATGAGAATAGGTCATTGAGGACATCCTGTTCTAGTTCTGAGTGCCCTTGTCCCTTTCTCTATATTCTTGCTTTAGAGAATGAAACTAGGAACTACACTTGTTACAGACAATAAATAATAATAATTTTTCACACGCACACACCCCCACACTTGTTTCAAATACATAATTTTATTAATAAAATAGATTACAATCCTTATTAATTTTTAATGAGCATTCAATATGGGTCAGGCCCTGAGCTAAACACTTTCCATGCATTGTCTCTTTAAGAAAGGGCAAGGAGCTTACTTTCTGGATCAGGGTCCATTGCCACAGGTGGAGAAACGTGCTCTAAGAAAGTTGATTTACTGGGAGAAGTTCTTTTATCTCAAACACTTCAAATGTATTCAGTTGGTCCTGTCCCAAAGATGCAACCATCTGAGCCAGTATGTTAAACAAAAGTAACACAGATTCCTTTTAATGACTGAACAAAAGACTCTTGTAAATTGCTGAGACTATGATCAATTCCTTATAGTTATCTGGACTCACCTTGAAAATCACTGACATAAAATATTACTGTTCTCCAATAATGTCTTTCAATGCTAATTATCACTACAAAAGAGAAACTTCATAGCTAGTACACCCCAGTTTCAGAAATTCTTCTAAGCTTTAAACTATCCCAGAAGGCTGCCCATTTCTCCACAAGCCTTTAGCACCCAGGTTTAGGGGAAATGCTCTGTCTTTTAAGAAATTTGAAGGTTCTTCTCAGGGGTCCATTGTGCAGTGACCCATGAGAGGGAACTTCACTCATTGCAATCACGTTCTTGAGATGACTGTCAGCAAGATTCTAGCACATTCCAGCACACCACTTTGAAATTGTAACTTCTCAAATACTTTCTAAGTGAATTGAATGTTTTCAGATATTCTTGAATACATTAGAATATGCTTCAGATCTGATGTGATGATTATATTTGTTTTCAGGTTGTTAACAGAGGAGGGGGAGACTCTTTCCTACTCTACCCAAAGGAAAAGCATAGAGTTTATATCATTAAAAGAGTATGTGGAAGCTTATTCTACAGAAGGTAGATACCATCCTTTGCTGTTGCAAATAACCTACTAAAACTACTGTCATCCTACACAAATGTCTTCTTCAGGCTATAATAGGATGCCATTTCAATTTAGTAGCATAGTAAAAATTTATTCTATCAGTTGCTTTATTTGAATCATGAGTCAGCAAACCTTTTCTTCAAAGGGACAAATGGTAAATATTTTAGGCCTTGGGGCCCTTATGGTCTTTGTTGCAACTGTTTAACCCTGCCAATATAGTCCAAAACAACCACAGACAACTCATAAACAAATAAGTATAGCTGTCCATATTCCAATAAAACTTTTGATGGACACTGAAATTTGAGTTTCATATAATTTCCATGGGTCATGAAATATTATACTACTCTTGATTTTTCCCATTTAAAATATGCAAAAACCATTCTTAGCTCATGGGCCATATGAAAACAGGGCCGGAGTTGGCCCATAGGTCATATTTTGTCAACCCTTGGTCTAAATGATTGCAATAGAATAGTTGGCTGATTCATAGAATATTTTCACTAATTGATTTATTCTTAATTTTTAAGATATTTTAGAGTCCCAATAGGATGTTGATGCAGATAATTTTAAGCTTACGTAATTTTGGCTGTTTACACTGTAAGTCATTCTAACAGTTAATTTTATGTGCCAACTTGGCTAGGCCACAGTACCCAGATATTTGGTCAAACACTAGTCTAGATATTCCTGAGAAGCTATTTTTTAGATGAGATTAACATTTGTATCAGCAGACTTTGAGTAAAGTAGATTACCTTCCATTATATGGGTGGGTCTCATCCTATCAGTTGAAGACCTTAATAGGAAAAAGACTGACCTCCCCTCAAACAGAGAAAATTCCATCAGCAGACTGTCTTTGGACCCAAGCTACAACATCAAGTCTTCCCTGGATCTCCAGCCTACCAGACTACCCTGCAGATTGTGGATTTGTCAGCCTGTACAGTTGTGTGAGATAGTTCTTTAAAATCAGTATTTTTCTGTGTCTCTCTGTCTCCATCTCTCTCTCTCTGCATTTCCCACCTCGTCCTCTCATTACATATGCTATTGTTCGTTTCTCTGGAGAATCACGACTAACATATTCTACCTGTTGTGATCTTTAAGGACTATTTTTGTTTTAAACAAAAGTCCTTCCAGGGTCTCATTCTGTAACCCAGGCTAGAGGGCAGTGGTGCAGTCACCATGCCCATCTAAATTTTTTCATATTTGTAGAGATAGGGTGTCACTATGTTGCCCAAGCTGGTCTTGAACCCCTGGCCTCCAGTGATTCTCCCACCTCAGCCTCCCAAAGTGCTGGAATTACAGGCCTGAGCTGCTGTACCCAGCCTTTCAGGACGATTTTTTGGATGGCAGCATGATTATTCTCTTAGTACAGAAATTTTTACTTCAGTTATTGATTATATTCCTGCTCAAATCCCTTTATTGAAGTTTGAAATCCAGGTCAATAAATTTATTGAATTTTGTGTCTTCAATATTTTTATAAGTTTAAACCAATAGTGCAGCTTTATTATACTCACAGGAAAACTCAAAACGGTTTTGAATCAGTATGACCAATGCAATTCTTTTAGCTCATTAGTAAGCAACTGACACTTCTTTGTTGGCAGTACATCCTAGTCTTCTACTGCATTTTGAAATCAACACATTCTTTAATATACCATATTTAAATATGTTACAGCTGAAGTCTGTCAACTTAAGCTCACTAATGTTCAGCAAACTAAAGTAATAGGCTTTGTTGCTTCTTTTAGTCTAATTTTGCTTTTCTTAAAATATGTTCTGTTGGCACTTAGCCTCTTTGTCCCATAAGCTGGTCCTTTAAAAATGAGTTTTACAGAAAAATAAGTTTTGCAAGCACTGAATGCTACAGGCCACTCCTGAAGATTTGTAATACATGTGGCATATTATAGATTTGAAAAGTTAGGTAGCAAAAGAACCTGTTTAAATTTATTGAATCTAATGTTTCCCAAATGTATTTGACCACATAATTTTTCTTTTTTTCCCCCCCCAACAACATCTACTGGAACACATTTTGGAAAATGCTAGTCTCATAACTTTCTGTCCTCCTTAAGGGTCATAAAAGGCTAGAAACAATATGGCCTTAAGGACATGTAACAAATAAAGAAAAGCACAAATTACATTATGAAAGCAAATAAACAGTCAAGATTCTAATAATTTCTGATAAAGAATCAGAGTCAGCTAAATAAACTATCCTTTGTTATTATTCTCCTTGTTTATATTTAGGTATAATGTCTCCTGTATAAATCATTACCAGCGGCGGCTAAGAGAACAGCATCTTCCTTTGTAAGGCTAACCAGTTTTATATTTAATTCCAAGTCTATAAATCGGGAATGTGACATTTCTCCCTTTGGCCTGTTTTAGAAATAATGATAAATGAATTGGGCTACCTGCGTGAGAAGGGAGTAAATCCACATCTTCCAAGAAGGAAATAAAGTCAGTTGCTGAGTTTTGGCCTTTGACTGCTCCTTCTGATCCATCTGCCTATCTCGGGTTGCTCTCAGCTGCAGAGATCAGGCACGTGGCTTGTGAGATAGGCCTGATGATGCTCCACACACCTTCACTGGGGTTTCTCTGAGCCCACCCCTGGGTGGTGAAAGGGAGCCCTGGGCGATTAGTGAGGGAAGGCTCTCCCGTATGGTACCCCACCATCTGCTCCTGCAGACTCCTTGATATGGTTTGGCTGTGTCCAAATCTCATCTTGAATTCCCACGTGTTGTGGGAGGGACCTGGTGGGAGGTAATTTAATCATGGCGGGGGGGAGGTCTTTCTTGTGCTGTTCTCATGATAGTGAATAAGTCTCAACGACATCCGGTGGTTTTATAAAGGGGAGTTTAACTGCACAAGCTCTCTTCTCTTGTCTGCTGCCATGTGAGACGCGCCTTTCACCTTCCGCCATGATTGTGAGGCCTCCCCAGCCACGTGGAATTGTAAGTCCATTTAAACCTCTTTCTTTTGTAAATTGCCCAGTCTGGGGTATATCTTTATTAGCAGCATGAAAACGGACTAATACACCCCCTATTTATGGGAGTGGGAATGGGAGCACATGAGAGTTCCCAGGGATAGGACAGTGGCCCCAGCAGCCCCAGCTGCTTAGCTCCACATTTCCCAGTAAAAGCACAGGGCCAAGACCCGGCCAATGGCCAAGAAAGCCCCAGCTGAGTAGTTTGCAGCCTTGCTGCTTATTTGAATCACTGGGGGACCTTTTAAAATACCCGGATGCCTGAAGCCTCGCTCCCTGCAGTTCTCATTTAATTGTCCCGTGGTTGGTACTGGACCTCTGGAGTTGCTGAGAATTCCCAGGTGATGCCAATGTGCCGCCAGGGTTAGGAACTTCAGTTTCATAAAAAAAGCACTTTGATATGCTCAATGCATATTATTTCCTGTTGATTTATTGATATCTTCATGATCTGAAAGAAGAAAGGCTACTAGGCTAGGCATGGTGGCTCACGCCTGTAATCCCAGCACTTTGGGAGGCTGAAGTGGGAGGATCACTTGAGCCCAGGAGTTTGAGACCAGCCTGGGAAACATGGCAAAACCCCGTTTCTAAAAAAAATACAAAAATTAGCTAGGCGTTGTGGCACGGGCCTGTAGTCCCAGCTACTCGGGAGGCTGAGGCGAGAGGATCCCCTGAGCCTGGAAGGTTGCGGCTGCAGTGAGCACCAGTCACACTGCTGCACTCAGCCTGGTCAACAGAGCGAGGCCTTGTCTCAAAGAACGAAGGCCACAGATCAAACAAGAAATGGTGCGTGGTGCATTTTATGTGGCTGAAATCAAATCAGTGGGGCAGGAAGAGGGAAGAACTGCTAGTTTGCTCTGGGTTTTGTTCGTTAGGGAAAAGTCAGCTGAAAGCAGCCCAACAAGTACAGCCCATTTATTCCTAAAATGTCTCCACTCTTGGGCCAGGGCGACCCAGAGTCCGTGGCTCTCAGACTGTAATTACTGATGAGGATTTTGGGGATGCTGCCTCTTCCTGAATTCCTGCCTATCAGGAAATCCAACCTGTGGCCACCAGCTCACATACCTGCTTAAAACTCCTTTCAACCTGGGCGCAGTGGCTCATGCCTATAATCCCAGCACTTTGGGAGGCCGAGGCAGGTGGATCACTTGAGCCCAGGAGTTCAAGACCAGCCTGGGCAACATGGTGAAATCTCGCCTCTACAAAAAATTAGCCGGGTGTGGTGGTGTGTGCCTGTAGTCCCAGCTCCAAGGAGTCTGAGGTGGGAGGATCACTGAGCTCAGTGGTTGAGGCTGCAGTGAGCTGAGGTCACACCACTGCACTCCAGCCTGGGTGTCAGAGTAAGACCCTGTCTCAAAAAAAAAAAACAAAAAACAAAAAACAAAAAAAAGAAGAAGAAGGCTGGGTGTGGTGGCTCACACCTGTAATCCTAGAACTTTGGGAGGCCAAGGCAGGTGGATCACCTGAGGTCAGGAGTTTGAGACCAACCTGGTCAACGTAGTGAAAATCCATTTCTACTAAATACAAAACTTTGCTGGGCACGGTGGCACACACCTGTGATCCCAGCTACGCAGGAGGCTGAGGCAGGAGAATCGCTTAAACTCGGGAGGTTGAGGTTGCAGTGAGCCAAGATCACGCCATTGCACTCCAGCCTAGGCGACAAGAGCGAAACTATGTCTCAAAAAAAAAAAAAAAAAAATTAGGAGCCTTGCTTAGCCATACTATTATTTTCTACTTCATTGGAATTTTAAATTATTTTTCATCTGCTTTATTTTTTGTTTTTTGAGACAGTCTCAAAAAACAGGCTGGAGTGCAGTGGTGTGATCTCAGCTCACTGCAACGTCTGCCTCCCGAGTTCAAGCGATTCTCGTGCCTCAGCCTCACGAGTAGCTGGAACTACAGGCACACACCACCATGCCCCACTAATTTTTATTTTTCATCTACTTTATACTCTACTTCATTTTACTGAAATGGCTTTGAAAATCTAGATTCTAGTCCTAGCTTTGAGTTTTATTAGTTGTATCCTTACCTTTTCTAATCTGTATCATGAGGATGTTAACATCTAGACTGTAAGTCACGGGACTATTGTGGGGATAGGGATGTGAAAATAAGTAAGTTCTAACATGCTATGTAAATGTAAGCATCTTCATTTCTTTAACGGGGGAAAAAATCAGTCAAAATACGCTTTTGTCAATAGCATATGCCCTGAAGAAATTCAATGATTCTCTGGAGTTAATCCTCAGAGACTATTAACACCCACACAGTGTTCCCCCATTTGAGATCCAGATGGTATCCCTGACCCCAGAGCCTGTTGCTTAGTGATCGCTCATGGGACCACACTTAAAATCATAGCCTCCCAGCCACTCTGACAAGGCAAGTCCAATCTTTTTCTCAAGAGAATGAAGAGTTCAGTCCCAAAGATACTTGGAATCTACTGTACAAGGAAACACAAACTCAAGTCCACAGAGTGCAACGTACTTGTTGAAAACAAACTAGGCTTCCAACCAATTCACACCGAGTGCTGAGAAGGAAAGGGAAGGAAGCTATATGAAGAGAGGGACCCTTGGTGTGATCCTGCCCCAGTTTTCATTCTAGAAAAACAAGGGCTGGGCACTGTGGCTCACACCTGTAATCCCAGCACTTTGGGAGGCTGAGGCGGGCAGATCACCTGAGGTCAGGGGTTGGAGACAAGCCTGGCCAGCATGGTGAAACCCCGTCTCTAATAAAAATACAAAAATTAGCTGGGTGTGGCAGCACATGCCTGTAATCCCAGCTACTGGGGAGGCTGAGTCAGGAGAACCACTTGAACCCAGGAGGTGGAGGTTGCAGTGAGCCGAGATTGCACCACTGCACTCCAGCCTGGGCAACAGAGTGAGACTCCATCTCAAAAAAACAAAAAAGAAAAGAAAAAGAAAAATGATCGGGTGACTGTGTTAGGTGATTGCTCTCAAGGACCACAATGTGATGGCACCTAAAATCCACCAGCTGACAGCCTGTCCTATTTCTCTAGGTTGCTCCTGTCCCTCTCACTATTGATTTACTTATTTATTTTTTGTCATCTTGTTTGTAATTTGTATATATTTAGGGGTATAGGTGCAAGTTTCAAACACACATGTTACATAGTGGTGAGGTCTGGGCATTTTGTGTCCCTATCACCCAAACAGTGAATGCTGTATCCAATAGGTAGTTTTTCAACCCTAACGCCCTTCTCACCTTCCTACCTGTTGTAGTCTCCAATGTCTCATTCCACTCTATATGTCCATGTGTACCCTTTGTTTAGCTCCTACTTATAAGTGAGAACATGTGGTATTTGGTTTTCTGTTTCTGAGTTATTTCACTTAGGATAATCGCTTCCACCTCCATCCATGTTGCTGCAAAAGACATGATTTCATTCTTTTTTCTGGATGAATGCTGTTCCATTTTGTTTATATACCACGTGTTCTTTATCCAGTCCTCCACTGATGGACAT
Organism: Homo sapiens; assembly: GCF_000001405.40. Taxonomy (NCBI): domain Eukaryota; kingdom Metazoa; phylum Chordata; class Mammalia; order Primates; family Hominidae; genus Homo; species Homo sapiens. The sequence goes on from NC_000018.10 coordinate 59,757,639, forward strand.
TTAGGTTGATTCCATATCTTTGCTAGTGTGAATAGTGCTGTGATAAACATACGCGTGCAGGTATCTTTTGGATACAATGATTTCTTTCCCTTTGGGCATATACCCAGTAGTGGGATTGCTGGGTCAAATGGTAGTTTTATTTTTAGTTATTTGAGAAAGCTCCATGCTGTTTTTCATAAAGTTGTACTAATTTACATTCTTATTTATTGCTGTTTACACCTTGCTGGCCTTCCATGGCTGCCTTGGCCTTTCTTGAACATGCGTCCTGCTTGGCATGCAGCCCACATACTGACGATGCTCCCCACCAGGTCCTCAGCATCCTCCCGAGTCCTGGGTCACAGGCACTCCCTCCACCAGCTCTCACCCGGGCCAGCCTCCAACCTTCTCCTCACCCAGGGAAGGGAAATTCAGATAATCTTGAGCTTTAGAGAAGAGTTCTTAGAAGGAAATACAACTGCAAATCCTCAACAACATTTTGGAAAAGCCTCTAACACTATCTTCCTCTTACATCAGTCTGATTATATTGATTCACCTCCAAGAAAGATGGGAGTTCAAGTGGTGCATCCTTTTATTGGAGGAGAGTCAGGAGCTGGATGTTTGTCTTGGCTCAAGGTTGGAAAAAGTTCCTTGTCCTCTCTGGGGGACAGAGTCCTTGTCAGTAAATAAGGAGATAAGATTGGGAGATCGTGGAGGTCCCTTCAAGCCCTGACCTTCTAATGCTTTTAAGGTTTCTATGATTCTATGTGCAGTTCTGTCCAACTTCTCTCATCATAAACGCCAAGGGGGAGTTAACTAAAGTGTGGGTCATCCCCAGTAAATCTTTAAGAGAATACTTTAAAAAGTTTTTAGGCCAGATGATATTGTCATGGTGTTTCTTTTAAAATTTCAAACAACAGCCAATTCCAGTGTAATATATATTGTTCCAGAAAATAGAAAAGGATGGAAATTTGTGAAACTACATATTCTCTGAAAATATCTGGTAAAGCATCAAAATGATAAAATTATACAAATAGAAACATTCATGCAAAGCTGTAAATTAAAATCAAGAGTACATTAAGAGACCTAGAATAAACAAATTCATAGAGACATAGAATAGTGGCTTCCTGGGCCTGAGTGGAGGGAAAAATGGGGACGGGGAGCTTATTGTTTAATGGGTATAGAGCTTCTGTTTGGAATAATGAAAAGTTCTGGAAATGGATACTGGTGGTGGTTATACAACATTGTGAAAATATTTAGTGCCACTGAATTATGCAATAAAAATGGTTAAAATGATATATTTTATATTTTGCCACAAAAATTACCAATAACTAGAGACAGGCAGAAAAAACTACACACACACACACACACACACACACACAGTTGTGCCAGTGCCGATTTCCTGATTTGGATGTGCTGTAGTTACATCAGATGTGACCACGGTGGGAAACTGGGTGAAGAGAACTTGGGACCTCTTTGTACTATCTTTGCAACTTCCTGTGCATCCAAAATGCTTTCAAAATAAATTTAAAAGAGCGCATTAAAAGCATAAGCCAAAATAACCAAGAAATATTTACCTGCAAATACAAGAAGGACTGACAATTGAAAATCTACCAATATTTCACACCTATAGCTGAAATAAGATAAAGCATATGATTTTTTTTAGAGGCTTAAAATTCTTCCATTAATTCCATTAGACTTCCCTGTAACAGATTGTTTTCCTTAACATCATCAAAAAGATCCTTCTCAACAACAAAGAGCCTTAACATTCAAATACTGTAGGCGTTTTTAATAAAATCAGGAGTAATACAGGATGTTCAGTATTGTTACTTGTTCTGGAAGTTTGGGCATTCTATGGCCAGTGATTACAACTGTGAAAATAGAGATGGAGGAAAAATGCATGAAAATGTGGGGACAGAGTGAGAGGCTACTTTTGAATGGACCATCATCTACTATGGCTTTGGATTTATCTTTTAACTTTTCAGTCTTGTTTATGTCTTATAAAAGATGTTAACATTAGAGAATTAATTGGACTAAATCACTTTATTACTTTTACTACTGCTTTTCTGTTTCTTAGCATTGAACAGTTTCCTTCATATTCCTTCCTTATTTGGTCCTTGAAAAAAATTTATTTTTTTTGCTCCCGGCCACTGTGGTTCACACTTGCAATCCCGGCTACTTAGGTGGGTGAGTCAGGAGGCTCACTCAGGCCCAGGAGTTCGAGGCTGCAGTGAGCTGTGTTTGCACCACTTCACTGCAGTCTAGATGACAGAGCAAGACCCCATTTCTAAAAAATAAATAGGCTGGGTGTGGTGGCTCACACTGGTAATCCCAGATCTTTGGGAGGCCAAGGTGGGAGGATTGCTTGAGCCCAGGACTTTGAGACCAGCCTGGGCAACATGGTGAAGCCTTGTCTCTACAAAACATACACTAGGTGTGGTGGCATATGACTGTAGACCCAGCTACTCAGGAGGCTGAGGTGGGAGGATCCACTGAGCCCAGGAGGTAGAGGCTGCAGTGAGCCCTGGTTGTGCCACTGCACTCCGGCCTGGGCAACAGAGTGAGGCCTTGTCTCAAAATTAAATAAATAAATAAATAAAAATTGTTTCTATGGAAGACCAAAATATAAAACAGGTAAAACTAGAGTTGCTGTGATTGAAACAGGGGTAGAGCACCCAAATCCTGGTCTATCCTGATCCTTCCCTCCCCCAGCCAGCTCTGCGTGAAACAGGCTGCTAAGACAAACTCAGGGAACCAGTGGATGGGGAGGCCCTGCTCTCGCGTTCCGGGTAGTGCTAATATGTTATGGCTGTTGGAAGCATACCAGGTGAGGTGATTCATGGGATTTGGTATAGAAGCCTATTTAAAGACAAAGACAAAGAACTAAGTCTGGTCTGTATTGGACTACTTGCTTCAGGACCTGGAAGCACTCTCATTTCTGCCTCTCATCTAATCAACTGACCCTGAGTGAGGGCCCTCTCCTCTTTCAGCCTCTGTTTCTTATCTGCAATGTGAGAAGGTTCATTTACTTAACATTCATTCAGCAAAAATCATGTTATTGTATCCTTGTTACTTGGTCACTTTTGCCAGTGGATGTTGACGTCAGAATAGACCACCAAACTCCATCCAGCGGGTCACCACAGTCAGCTATTGGGAGCAGAGGTCAAGCCAACTCATACTGCAAATCTCAGCCTTGGCTACATGTAGAATCGCTGGAAGGAACTTTTAAGATAGCCAGATGCCCAGGCCCCACTCAGTCCAATTAAATCAGAACTTTATGCATGACATCCGGGAAGTACTGTTTTTAGAAGCGTCCCTCATGATGCTAATGAGCAGCCAAGATGAAAAACCATTGTCTCAGCAGAATCATAGAGTATGTTTTGAGTGATTTCAGTCAAAATGAGACAGTCTACAGGGGCCCTATGATCTTTTCATCATCTTAATGACTAACTAGTAACATTTGCCATTAATTATTTTCAGATTAAACTTGTCTCTATTTTGATTTATGACACAGACTCCTAAGCTTTTAACAAAATGCCCATATGCCTATGCATATTTAACGCTTGTTCTGGAGAAAAATGTAGACCCTGTCAAGAAATTCATCATCATTAGTGAGTTATATTTTTCTGATTCCTTCAATAGAGGTCACACCATATAGGCAATGATTCCCAACTCTGACAATGGCAATGCCTCCCATTTTTAAGTGATTAACTGTTTTCTCTCTCGAGGTTACATATACCATACTTGAATGTAGTACATACAGCGTATGTGTGACTTTGCCTAGTAACTCCATGGCACTATCTTACTACATTCAGCTGTCAGGATTTATTGGATCATGAGCTGGGATGATCCATTTCTATGGTGGGGAGGCTAGTTCTAGCCTGTTTGCAGTCTGTGGGTGTTAAAGAGGAAGGCAGTCCTCTCTCCGGTCCGTGCCTCTAAGATGACAAAGAAAAGAGGGAACAATGGTCGTGCTAAAAAGGGCCGTGGCCACATGCAGCCTATTCGCTGCAGGAACTGTGCCCGATGCATACCCAAGGACAAGGCCATTAAGAAATTCATCATTCACAACATAGTGGAGGCCGCAGCAGTCAGGGACATTTCTGAAGCAAGCGTCTTCGATGCCTATGTGCTTCCCAAGCTGTATGTGAAGCTACATTACTTTTTGAGTTGTGCAGTTCACAGCAAAGTAGTCAGGAATCAATCTTGTGTAGCCCGCAAGGACCAAACACCCCCACCCCGATTGAGACCTGCGGGTGCTGCTCTACAACCCCCACCAAAGCCCATGTAAGGAGCTGAGTCCTTAAAGACTGAAGATGGACTATTCTCTGGAGAAAAATAAAATGGAAATTGTACTTAAAAAAAAAAAAAGAGGAAGACAGTTCTTAGCGAAGTGCTATAAATCTCTTAGACCTTTGAGGGTAATTTATAGTTTTTGGAGCAACCCCACCTCTAGCTTAGCTTTCTACTCAACATTATCTCATTGTTCCAATTTCATGTAGGCTGAGATTCGAATGTTGGAGATCAGAATAAGTTGCATACATTTCTAAAAAGCGGAGGATTGCGCTCGGAGGAGTTTTAGGGCAGCAAAGCTATTCTGGATGATGCTGTAATGATGGATAGGTATCATACCCATAGATTGTCCAAACCCATACATTATCCAGCACCAAGAGTGAACCCTAATGGAAACAGTGGATTCTGGGTGATAATGATGTGTTAATGTGGGTTTGTCAATTGTAATAAATGTACCACTCTGGTGGGGAATTGACAACGTGGGAGGCTGTGCATGTGTTGGGGCAGGGGGAATATGGGAACTCTCTGTACTTTCTGCTCAATCTTGCTGTGAATTTAAAATTGATTCAAAAAAGGAGTCTATTTAAAAACTAAAAGAGAAGAATTTGGAGTTTTGCTTAAATTTTTTTAATCCTAGAAATTGAGGAGCAGCAAAACAAAACAAAACCCTAGGAAACAGTCAAATCTCCTCTACAAATCACTCTCTTAGTGATCCTGGGTCCACCATCCTTTGCTCTTCCTACATGGTCTCCTTACTGTTTCCTCCTGATATAGTTTGGATGTGTGTCCCTGCCCAAATCTCATGTTGAGTTGTAATAACCAGTATTGAAGGTGGGGCCTGGTGAGAGTGATTACATCATGGGGGTGGATTTCTCATGAATGGGTGAGCACCATCCCCATGCAGAACTATGAGCCAATTAAACCTCTCTTCTTATAAATTACCCACCCTCACGTATTTCTCTATAGCATGACCTAATACACCTTCTTACTGATGACTTGCATATATCCTTATCTAACCCAGAATTATCATTTAAATTTTAAGCTCTTCTATCCAAAAAAATCCAAAAAGTCTCTATCTGAATGTCCCTAAAGAACTTCAACATCAATTTGCGCCAAATGGAAATCATTATCTCCCCATCCCAACTCCTCCTTTTGTATTCCAGCCTTTACGTAAAAGAGTTATGACCTGTATGGATGAGAACTCTAGTCAGCCTTCTAAATTTTCATGCTAAAATAACAACAGTCCACACTTCTCATTAAAAATAGTGGACTGAATGCCTGTAGGTGTCTGTGTTCCTTCTAAAAGCACAACAAAATTTTATTACAATAAAAGGTTTAAAAAGCAGCATAGACTCACAGGGGAAAAAAAAGACTGTGGGGAGAGGACAGCTACACAATTTTGGAAGGTGGGAAGCACAGGGATAAATAGAAACTGACTCGGCAAACCAGAGACAACCAGAATCCATGTTGGCAATGGTGGGGAAAAAACCCAGAAACAAGCTGATTAACACTAATGAACCCCAGAAGAGCTCAGGAAGAGGAGGCACCAGGCACCTCTTAAAGAAGCAGTCAAATAAATACAATTTCAGACATATGAGGTTTCATAAACATAGCCTTCTGGATCCTGTTTACTTGGTTGGAACGCATCTAGAGGATGTGCTCCACCAAAATAAAAGAATAAGCCAAAGCTGAGATGGCACAGGATTTAACACAAGAGGGAGGCACAGGGCATCCTGAGCTGTTGCTGAGGGAATATCCCAGGACCACAGCTGTGCTCATGGCTTGTTAGTTCTTTTAATTCTTGCACATATATGTTTCGAAAGGTTAAATTTGTTTAAGGTTATACAGCTAGTCCAGTGAGCTTTAGAGCTAGGAATCCAACCCAGCTGTGTCTGACCCAAGGCCATAATAAAGCATTTCTATAATTATGGAATTCTGGGCCAAAGAATGCCTGATGTAAACTTTTAAAAATTAGCTGGGCATGGTGATGTGTGCCTGTGGCCCCAGCTACTCAGGATGGTAAGCCTGAGGATCTCTTGAGCCCAGGAAGTCAAGTTTGCAGTGAGCCATGATTGTACCACTGTACTCCAGTCTGAGCAACAGAGGAAGACTCTGTTTCAAAACAAACAAAAACAAAGAATGTCTAATGCAGATAATAATGGTTCCAAGTCATAAGCTTACAATGAGAATTAAATGAGATAATCACCCAAATCATTTACCCAGCATCTGGCACATAGAAATCTAATTACTGTCTTACTTCTAGTTAAAAATATGATCTATTATTATCATTACTGCCTCTATCAAATGTTCCATGAAGGATTAGCATTTCAACTGGACCTGGAAAGACAAGAAGGATTTTGGGTGGTTAGAGTCCTAGTCAGCTTGGGTGGCTATAACAAAATACCATAGACTTGGTGACTTAAACATTTATTTCTCATAGTTCATGAGGCCGGGATCAAGGTGCCAGCAGATTCGGTTCCTGGGGAGGGCTCTTTTCCTGGCTTGCAGAAGGCTGCCTACTCCCTGTGTCCTCACATGGCAGAGAGAAAAAGAGCTCTGGTATCTCTTCCTCTTTTTATGAAAGCACTAATCCCATCGTGGGGCTCCACCCTCATGACCTCGTTACCTAATTACCCCTCAAAGACCCCACCCTCCAATACCATCACCTTGGGTGTTAGTGCTTCAATATATGAATTGGGGTGGGGGTGGGGGACACAAAGGGACAATATTAAAGAGAAGACAATGAAGATGCACACTTCAGGCATTGGTCAAATAATCTCGTCATAAACTGACTGAAGTTCAGCACTTGCCAAAAGTTTGCAGAAACATTTGGGATTTAAAGGAAATATATTAGTCTCCATTTCTCTAGGTCCTGTAAGCCCCATCCATGGAGTAAATTAGATTGTCAGAAAGCAACAAACCTAAACTCTATTAATAACTCCCCACAGAATAACTTTCATAGAATTAAGATTAACGTTATGTCCTTAAATTTTGGAGGAGAGGAATAAAGCATCAATTTGAAGAATATTTTCATATCTTTTGCTAAAATCATAGTTGTAAACATTGTACACCATATATTGCCCATCCTTAGAGAGTCTGAAAAAGACTTTTTTCTACAGATAAACTTGTATGCTTGATTTTATAATGAAATGACAACTTCATAACGCAGTGCCAAGAGTGGATTTAGTGTTCAACGGCAGTAATTTAATTCATACCAAATGCTTCAAAACAGCTCTCTTCTTGTAAATATATTAAAATTTGTGTTTATTTAATTATCTTGTTTCATATGTACAAATATATCATGTGCTATCTTAGAACAGGTGTTTTAAACAAATAAAATTGAATATATTGTTGAATCTTGGCATAATGAAGTATCAGGAAGTAAAGCAAAGTCTGTTACCTGACAGCGGAAACAGGTCCTGGGACATCAATATAAAAATGGCATTCCTCGAATAAGGCGCTTTAAAACATTAGATCATTTGTTTACCGAGTTTTTAACAAAAATGTGAGAAACTGCAGCAGAAGTGCTCAGAAAAGAAGCAAATTTACCTATCAAGGGCACTGCATTCAATCCATGAGAAAAACCTTGTAAGAATTTAATTACCAGTTTCAACATGTTACCAACATTAGTCACATTAGCTAGGTTATACTGCAGTAACAAACAACCCCAACCTCTTAAAAGCTTAAAACATTAAAAGTTTATTTCTCATGTATGATACATATCCAATGTGGGTGTGCAGGGCTTTCTACGCTACACTGTCCTCACTTGAAGACCTGGGCTACCAGAACCTCCACCTTCTGGTACATTGATGGTTGAGAAGAACATAGCAAATCAAGAACTGCCTCTAAAGTTTCCTGCCTAGGCCAGGTGGGGTGGCTCACACCTGTAATCCCAGTACTTTGGAAGGCCGAGGCAGGTGGATCACTTGAGGTCAGGAGTTCAAGACCAGCCTGGCCAACATGGTGAAACCCCATCTCTACTAAAAATACAAAAATTAGCCAGGCGTGGTGGTGCATGCCTATAATCCCAGCTACTCAGGAGGCTGAGGAAGGAGGATCACTTGAACCTGAGAGGTGAAGGATGCAATGGGCCAAGATCGCACCTCTGCACTCCAGCCTGGATGACAGATCGAGACTCCATCTAAAAATAATAATAATAAATAAAAGTTTCCTGCCTGAAGTGGTACATGTCATTTTCATTTGTGCTTCATTGGTCAAAGCAAATCATATGGTCTGCCGAACATCAAGGGGGCCAGATAGTACATTCCTTTTATGCTTGGAAGCAGGAGAGCCAGGAATATTGGTGAACAGCACTCATGACTGTTAGAGTCTGTGCTTTTTGCTACTGAATATTCATTTCATTTTCCTTTCTGCCTGCAAAATACACTCACCCTTTCCTCCAAAAATAAAACCAGAAAATTTCATTCCGACATGACTTTTAGTTGTAAGCCCAAGATTTTGGGAGACACACAGACGTTTTTAAATCAAGAGAGGATATAGCACCTATTGATTCAGAGAGCTATAAATGAGAAGTTGAATGTTCTTCCCCACTCCACAATGGTGTCCACAGTCACCCTTCAATGGTGTAACAGAAACAGGATAATTACAATAGGTAGCCCTATTCAGAAATGAGGATAGTAAGAGACATACAGCAGGTGGTGGTCCACAGCAATTCTAAATCCCACTGGGCAGACATTGTAAGGGCTCCTATCAGGGGTAGGGAAAGTTCCTCGATTAGGGTCAGGTCCTGCTCCCTGGGAAAAGCTCTGTTATCCAGTCATCCTCCTGAAGCCTGGATCCAACTTCTGAACCATTCTTTTTTCATGATGATTCTCTGTGGCTGCATTTCTGTAGCGCCTACATTCTCTGTAGGTGCTATGGTCTGAATGCTTATGTTCCCCCAAAATTCATATGTTGAAACCTTAAACCCTAAGGTGATGGTAGTACCTAGATTTGTGTCCCCACCCAAATCTCATGTGGAATTGTAATCCCCAGTGTTGGAGGTGGGGCCTGGTGGGAGGTGGTCGTATTATGGGGACAAATTTCCCCCTTTGGTGCTGTTCTCTTGATAGAATTCTCATGAGATTGGGTTGTTTTCTCTCTTCCTCCCACTCTGACCTAGTGAAGTGCTGACATCTCCTTCACCTCCTGCCATAATTGAAAGTTTCCTGAGGCCTGCCCAGAAGCCGAGCAGATGCCAGCATCATGCTTCCTGTACAGCCTGTGGAACCGTAAGCCAATTGAACCTCTTTTCTTTATAAATTACCCAGTCTCTGGTATTTCTTTATAGCAGTACAAGAATGGACTAATATAGGAGGTGACTACATCATGAGGGTGGAGCCCTCATGAATGGGATTAGTGCCCTTATAAAAGAAACCCCAGAGAGCTAGCCAGCGCCTTCCACCATGTGAGGACAGAGCCAAAAGCCATCATCATCCATGAGAAATTGGGCCCTCACCAGACACCGAATCTGCCAGTGCCTTGATCCTGGAATTCCCAGCCTCCAGATTGTGAGAAAGAAATTTCTGTTGTTTATAAGCTACTCATTTATGGTATTTTATTACAGCAGCCCAAAAGAATTAAGACACTGGGCGATGAAAATATCTCTTCCTTGGAGAGGTACAGCTTTCTCAGCCCACTTCCTACTCTTAGATGATTGGAGTCCCAAAGTCATTTTAAATTTTAAACAATCACCATATTTTTTAGTCCAGACTGATTGATACTTCTTTTGTCAATGCCACTCTTGTCAAAAACATAGCTTCTTGTGTATTTTATTCTAGCCAGCTCTATATGGCAGTAACCATAGTTCAATCTGAGATACAATTCTCATATTGACTTTTTTTTTTTTTGGCTTTTATGTTCTCACCCCTCTCTTTATCACTTTAATTTCAATTTCCTGAAGCTTTCAGGCTTCAATGAGAGAACCACATACACAATCTCTTTTCCCTGAGTCATTTTCTGCAAGTGAAAGCAGTTTTTTGGACATCATATCAGTAATTGGACTGTTACTCAGAAACATCTGTATTCACAGGTTTCAACAGTAAGTGTGATGACTGCATCCTTACTGTGCTTTTTGATGCAAGGTTGACTTTCAGTTGGTCCCTGCTCCTGAAGTTTTTCTCCGTTTTATAATTTTCTATTTAGAACGGAGTCTTCCTTCAGGCTTATAAGTCCCTGAACTCTGTTTGCTGACATTCCTGCTTGAATATGAGCCAATTTCTTTTTGAGCTTACCTCTTTCTTGTAACATCTTGCCAAAAACAGCCATCACCGAAGCACATACTATTATACTAACAATAATCTTCTCTCTCAATCTCTTCTCCTAGAGGCAAAAGCTTATCAGGAGAATAATCTACATCCTAAATTACTGCATGCACAGTTTCCTGCCTCTCACTACCAGGACCTTAAGCCAATATAATTTATTTTAGATCTTTAGTTAAAGCCACAGCCCACTTCTATGTACCAATTTCTGTGTTATTCAGCATATGCAGGGTTACATTGCAGGAAAAAAAATTCAACATCTTAGTGGCCTAGAACAAATTATTATTTGTTGCCTGTGTCCATTTCAGGTCAGCAGAGGACACTTTTTACTGTTACCCTCACTTAAAGATCCATGTGAATGGAGTTTCTGTGAACTGGAACATCCCCAGTTGCCACGGAAATGGAAAGGAACATGGAAAGTTGTGCATCTGCCCAAAGACAATCATTTCTGCTCACATGGTATTGGCTAGAACAAGTCACATGGCCAACCCTAACTTCAAATTGGCAAAGCAGTGAAATTTTTCCACCTCCTGAGCTATAGGAGAATTGGAAGTATTGTTAAATAGCACTAATGACTCCCCCAACACCCATTTACTAAAAATATAAGTATGTTTACAGCTTTTGCTCAATACACATTGTTTATGTTGCACTTAAGTCTCTTGGACTTACAGAGCCTGCAATCTTTTACAGCCTTTCTGTTTCTACAGGAAATCGAAGAGACTGAAATTTAATTCTCATGGCTCCCAGTTTCAAGTGGGTGTCATGGGCATTGTTGACATATTAAAGAGAAAACAGCTAAAATGGAGAGAAATGATCATAAGTAGATACTGGAATGAGGCAACTGAGTGTGTGAATTCTCTATTTGCCTAATGTCATAGGTATGTATTTGCTTGTACATGGGCATGTGTCTCCTTTTTTAACCAAGTAGATTCTTTTTCTAAGTGCCAAAGCAAATGTGACCATTAGTGATTTTAATTGTCTTAAGTATTTAAGGCAAATCTACCAAGAATATGGAATACAATATGACCCAAGTCTAATTTTTTCATTGGTTGTCTGGTTACTCAATAAATATTTCATTTATTGAGTAATCCCATGTTCCAGAGAAATATTGTGGCCACAGAAGAAACAACAATAAGCCAGATTAAAAAAAAAAAAAGTTTCCATTCCAAACCCATTTGGCCACAGTCACAGAAACTCGGTCAGAAAGCTGGAACTGCTTCTCTAAGGTTGATGCTGGAACTGATAGCTAGGCACTATTTATAAACTTTGGGAATGTTTTCTAAATAAAGTGTTTAACCATGCTTTTGGAAAGTAAGTGTCTTCATTCATTTTGTTGTCCAAGCTCTCTTTGATCCATTAATTTCACTTTTCCTTTGATTTTTCCAAACACTGAAAAGAGAAAGTTCATTTTTTCTTATGGTGAGCAGCAAATAATTTGCTCATGATCAAGAGACCTTGTGAAGACATCAACGTGATGTTTTTCTTGGTGCTAAGCTGTTCTGTGGAACAAAGGAGTTGCCAAAAATGCCCGCTTCACATAGATGCATAGGACAAAAGTTTCCTAATCATAGCAGAGCCAGTCCAATTCAGGGTGGGGAGGAAGGAAAGATGCTCCCAGGAGCCTCAGCATCCTCTTTAGAGTCCTTCCTGGATCCCCCATGGTAAGTCCTTCTGCTAAGTCAGGGCTCCAGTGAACAGGGACATACCAGGGTAGGGCAGGGGCTTCTGCCTGCCAGCTTTAAGAGATTTTAGTTATGTCAATCTTTTTGAAAACTAATATTCAGGAAAGAAGTAGGCAGGCTCTTTGGGGGGTCCCTAGGTCCATGCAGGCTCACTCAGTAGGGTGGAGAATCAACAAGTGCTCAGCTGGTAGGTGAGGGGGTCAAACCAGAAAATAATTGGTGGAAGGTGAGAGTGGCTGAGGCTGGTCCAGGAGTACCCACTGGGACTCCTCATTGGGGCAGACAGGGAGAGGCAGGCTTCACAAGCCTTACTGCAAACAAGTGAAGCTGAGTGGGAACCAAACAAGATCAGTTCATGGTGACAGACCCCAACCAAGGTTTCTTCCTCCGAGGCCAATTACAGCAACAGAGGCTGATGGTCAAAGGCTACACTCTACCAAAGCTCCTTGGACTCCCTGGTAAGCCTGGCTGGAGGACGTCTTTCCCCAATCCTAACAGGGTGCAAATATTTAAGGCCCCCCATATGAGAACAAAGTCTTTCTTGCTCAGCTGGAGAAATAACATCATGCCATTTGCTCCAAGGTTCCTCTGAGCCTGACATGGGTAAACAGCAGCTCCTGTAGTCCTTGAAGGGAGAAGGACAGACAGCCCCAAAGAGCTGTTTCCCAAGAGGCAGTGCATGTGTGCCTAGAACCCTAGGTGGCTTTCGGTAGTCCAGAGAGAGCCTGGCAGTGGTCACTGGAGGGAACTGGGTGGCTAGGGAAAAGCAGGAGGCAGGAAGGAAGGGACAGCAGATGGGGCAGAGCCAGCTCAGAGGCATTAAGATTCATTCTCTGTCCCCATGACCCTGAGAAACCCCTCTCCAGGCCAATCTACACACATCCCTGTGACCCAACTTTATAGGTCAGTCAGTGACCAAGCCAAGAGATCTCTGAGACCAGGTACTCAAGCATGGGTAGTGATCTCTGGGTAAGAGTGGAACCCCTGAGCTTGTGTGTGAGGAGAACTTGGACTTCCTTCCCTCCCTCACCCCCTACTCCACTACCTAGGACCACACAGGGAGCCTGGGACCTGGTTCTCTGGATTAAGGAGGGGATGTGACCACCAATTCCTGTTCAGCCCCCACTGAGGCAGTGGAGCTCTGCAATTAAGAGTGAGGCTGTGATTCACAGAAAATAAGGAATATTCTGGATAGAAAAGTGGAGCGCACTGGGCACAGTGGCTCATGCCTGTAATCCCAGCACTTTCAGAGGCCAAGGCAGGTGGATCACTTGAGGTCAGGAGTTCGAGACCAGCCTGGCCAACATGGTGAAACCCGTCTCTACAAAAAATACAAAAATTAGCCGGGTGTGGTAGTGCATGTCTGTAGTCCCAGCTACCTGGGGGGCTGAGGCAAGAGAATTGCTTGAACCTGGGAGGCAGAGGTTGCAGTGAACTGAGACCATTCCACTGCACTCCAGTTTGGGCAACAGAGCGAGACTGTCTCAAAAAAAAAAAAGAAAAGAAAAGATCCGTTCCAAGATGGCTGAATAGGAACAGCTCTGGTCTGCGGCTTCCAGCGTGATCAACGCAGAAGACAGGTGATTTCTGCATTTCCAACTGAGGTACCTGGTTCATCTCAATGGGACTGGTTGGACAGTGGGTGCAGCCCACAGATGGTGAGCCAAAGCAGAGTGGGGCATCATCTCACCCAGGAAGCGCAAGGGGTTGGGGGAGTTCCCTTTCCTAGCCAAGGGAAGCTGTGACAGACTGTACCTGGAAAAACAGGACACTCCCTCCCAACTACTTGCTTTTCCCATGGTCTTAGCAACCGGCAGACCAGGAGATTCCCTCCTGTGCCTGGCTCTGCAGGTTCCATGCCCACAGAGCCTTGCTCACTGCTAGCGCAGCAGTCTGAGATCGACCTGTGAGGCAGCAGCCTGGTGGAGGGAGGGGTGTCTGCCATTGCGGAGGCTTGAGTAGGTAAAGTGGCCGGGAAGCTCGAACTGGGCAGAGCCTACCACAGCTCAGCAAGGCCTACTGCCTCTATAGACTCCACCTCTGTAGGCAGGGCATAGCTGAACAAAAGATAGCAGAAACTTCTGCAGACTTAAACGACCCTGACAGCTCTGAAGAGAGCAGTGGTTCTCCCTGCATGGTGTTTGAGCTCTGAGAACAGACTGACTGCCTCCTCAAGTGGGTCCCTGACCCCTGTGTAGCATAATTGGGAGACACCTCCCAGTAGGGACCAACAGACACCTCATACAGGTGGGTGCCCCTCTGGGGCTTCCAGAGGAAGGATCAGGCAGCAATATTTGCTGGTGATACCCAGGCAAACAGGGTCTGGAGTGGACCTCCAGCAAGCTCCAACAGATCTGCAGCTGAGGGACCTGACTGTTAGAAGGAAAACTAACAAACATCAAGGAATAGCATCAACATCAACAAAAAGGACATCCACACCAAAACTCCATCTGTAGGTCACCAACATCAAAGACCAAAGGTAGATAAAACCACAAAGATGGGGGGAAACCAGAGCAGAAAAGCTGAAAATTCTAAAAACCAGAGCACCTCTTCTCCTCCAAAGGATCACAGCTCCTCGCCAGCGACAGAACAAAGCTGGAGGAAGAATGACTTTGATGAGTTGACAGAAGTAGGCTTCAGAAGGTTGGTAATAAACTTCTCCGAGCTAAAGGAGAATGTTCTAACCCATCGCAAGGAAGCTAAAAACCTTGAAAAAAGGTTAGAAGAATGACTAACTAGAGTAAACAGTATAGAGAAGACCTTAAATGACCTGATGGAGCTGAAAACCATGGCACAAGAACTTCATGACACATGCACAGACTTCAATAGCTGATTTGATCAAGTGGAAGAAAGGATATCAGTGATTGAAGATCAAATTAATGAAATAAAGCAAGAAAACAAGGTTAGAGAAAAAAGAGTAAAAAGAAATGAACAAAGCCTCCAAGAAATATGGGAGTATGTGAAAAGACCAAATCTATGTTGATTTGGTGTACCTGAAAGTGATGGGGAGAATGGAACCAAGCTGGAAAACACTCTTCAGGATATCATCTAGGAGAAGTTCCCCAACCTAGCAAGGCAGGCCAACATTCAAGTTCAGAAATACGGAAAACACCACAAAGATACTCCTTGACAAGAGCAACCCCAAGACACATAATTGTCAGATTCACCAAGGAGGAAATGAAGGAAAAAATGTTAACGGCAGCCAGAGAGAAAGGTAGGGTTACCCACAAAGGGAATCGCATCAGACTAACAGCGGATTTCTCAGCAGAAACCTTACAAGCCAGAAGAGAATGGGGGCCAATATTCAACATTCTTAAAGGAAAGAATTTTCAGCGCAGAATTTCATATCCACCCAAACTAAGCTTCATAAGTGAAGGAGAAATAAAATCCTTTACAGACAAGCAAATGCTGAGAGATTTTGTCACCACCAAGCCTGCCTTACAAGAGCTCCTGAAGGAAGCACTAAACATGGAAAGGAACTACCAGTACCAGCCACTGCAAAAACATTACAAATTGTAAAGACCGTCGATGCTAGGAAGAAACTGCATCAACTAACAAGCAAAATAACCAGCTAACATCATAATGACAGGATCAAATTCACACATAACAATATTAACCTTAAATGTAAATGGGCTAAATGCCCCAATTAAAAGACACAGACTGGCAAATTGGATAAAGAGTCAAGACCCATCAGTGTGCTGTATTCAGGAGACCCTTCTCGTATGCAGAGACACACATAGGCTCAAAATAAAGGGATGGAGGAAGATCTACCAAGCAAATGGAAAGCAAAAAAAAGTAGGGGTTGCAATCCTAGTCTTTGATAAAACAGACTTTAAACCAACAAAGATCAAAAGAGACAAAGAAGGCCATTACATAATGGTAAAGGGATCAATTCAACAAGAAGAGCTAACTATCCTAAACATACATTCACCCAATACAGGAGCACCCAGATTCATAAAGCAAGTCCTTAGAGAACTACAAAGAGACTTAGACTCCCACACAATAATAATGGGACACTTTAACACCCCACTGTCTATATTAGACAGATCGACGAGACAGAAGGTTAACAAGGATATCCAGGAATTGAACTCAGCTCTGCAACAAGTGGAACTAATAGATATCTACAGAACTCTCCACCCCAAATCAACAGAATATACATTCTTCTCAGCACCACATTGCACTTATTCTAAAATTGACCACATAATTGGAAGTAAAGCACTCCTCAGCAAATGTAAAAGAACAGAAATCACAACAAACTGTTTCTCAGATCACAGTGCCATCAAATTAGAACTCAGGATTAAGAAACTCATTCAAAACCACACAACTACATGGAAACTGAACAACCTGCTCCTGAATAACTACTGGGTAAATAATGAAATGAAGGCAGAAATAAAGATGTTCTTTGAAACCAATGAGAACAAAGACACAACCTACCAGAATCTCTGGGACACATTCAAAGCAGTGTGTAGAGGGAAATTTATAGCACTAAATGCCCACAAGAGAAAGCCGGAAAGATCTAAAATTGACATCCTAACATCACAATTAAAAGAACTAGAGAAGCAAGAGCAAATAAATTCAAAAGCTAGGAGAAGGCAAGAAATAACTAAAATCAGAGCAGAACTGAAGGAGGTAGAGACAAAAAACCTCTTAAAAAATCAATGAATCTAGGAGCTGGATTTTTTAAAAGATCAACAAAATAGACCACTAGCAAGACTAATAAAGAAGAAAAGACAGAAGAATCAAATAGACACAATAAAATGATAAAGGGGATATCACCACTGATCCCACAGAAATACAAACTACCATCAGAGAATACTATAAACACCTCTATGCAAATAAACTAGAAAATGTAGAAGAAATGGATAAATTCCTGGACACATACACCCTCCCAAGACTAAACCAGGAAGAAGTTGAATCTCTGAATAGACAAATAACAGGCTCTGAAATTGAGGCAATAATTAATAGCCTACCAACAAAAGAAAGTCCAGGACCAGATGGATTCACAGCCGAATTCTACCAGAGGTACAAAGAGGAGCTGGTACCATCCCTTCTAAAATTCTTCCAATCAATAGAAAAAGAGGGAATCTTCCCTAACTCATTTTATGAGGCCAGCATCATCCTGATACCAAAGCCTGGCAGAGACACAACAAAAAAAAGAGAATTTGAGACCAATATCCCTGATGAACATCGATGTGAAAATCCTCAGTATAATACTGGGAAACTGAATCCTGCAGCACATCAAAAAGCTTATCCACCATGATCAAGTGGGCTTCATCTCTGGGATGCAAGGCTGGTTCACCTATGCAAATCAATAAACATAATCCATCACATAAACAGAACCAATGACAAAAACCACATGATTATCTCAATAGATGCAGAAAAAACCTTTGACAAAAATTCAACAGCCCTTCATGCTAAAAACTCTCAATAAACTAGGTATTGATGGAATGTATGTCAAAATAATAAGAGCTATTTATGACAAACCCACAGCCAATATCATACTGAATGGGCAAAAACTGGAAACATTCCCTTTGAAAACCGGCACAAGACAAGGACGCCCTCTCTCACCACTCCTATTCAACATAGTGTTGGAAGTTCTGGCCAGGGCAATGAGGCAGGAGAAAGAAATAAAAGATATTCAATTAGGAAAAGAGGAACTCAAATTGTCCCTGTTTGCAGATGACATGATTGTATATTTAGAAAACCCCATCATCTCAGTCCAAAATCTCCTTAAGCTGATAAGGAACTTCAGCGAAATCTCAGAATACAAAATCAATGTGCAAAAATCAGAAGCATTCCTATACACCAATAACAGACAAACAGAGAGCCAAATCATGAATGAAATCCCATTCACAATTGCTACAAAGAGAATAAAATACCTAGGAATCCAACTTACAAGGGATGTGAAGGACCTCTTCAAGGAGAACTACAAACCACTGCTTAACGAAATAAAAGAGGACACAAACAAATGGAAGAACATTCCATGCTCATGGATAGGAAGAATCAATATCATGAAAATGGCCATACTGCCCAGGGTAATTTATAGAGTCAATGCCATCCCCATCAAGCTACCAATGACTTTCTTCACAGAATTGGGAAAAACTACCTTAAAGTTCATATGGAACCAAAAAAGAGCCCGCAGAGCCAAGACAATCCTAAGCAAAAAGAACAAAGCTGGAGACATAATGCTACCTGACTTCGAACCATACTACAAGGCTATAGTAACCAAAACAGCATGGTACTGGTACCAAAACAGATCTATAGACCAATGGAAGAGAACAGAGGCCTCAGAAATAACACCACACTTCTATAACCATCTGATCTCTGACAAACCCGACAAAAACAAGAAATGGGGAAAGGATTCCTTATTTAATAAATGGTGCTGGGAAAACTGGCTAGCCATATGTAGAGAGCTGAAACTGGATCCCTTCCTTACACCTTATGTAAAAATTAATTCAAGATGGATTAAAGATTTAAATGTTAGACCTAAAACCGTAAAAACCCTAGAAGAAAACCTAGGCAATACTATTCAAGACATAGGCATAGGCAAGGACTTCATGACTAAAACTCCAAAAGCAATGGCAACAGAAGCCAAAATTGACAAATGGGATCTAATTAAACTAAAGAGCTTTTGCACAGCAAAAGAAACTACCATCAGAGTGAACAGACAACCTACAGAATGGGAGAAAATTTTTGCCATCTATCCATCTGACAAAGGGCTAATATCCAAAATCTACAAAGAACTTAAAAAAATTTACAAGAAAAAAACAAACCACCCCATTAAAAAGTGGGCAAAGGATGTGAACAGACACTTCTCAAAAGAAGACCTTTATCTCATCATCACTGGTCATCAGAGAAATGCAAATCAAAACCACAATGAGATACCATCTCATGCCAGGTAGAATGGCAATCATTAAAAAGTCAGGAAACAACAGATGCTGGAGAAGATGTGGAGAAACAGGAACGCTTTTACACTGTTGGTGGGAGTGTAAATTAGTTCAACCATTATGGAAGACAGTGTGGCGATTCCTCAAGGATCTAGAACTAGAAATACCATTTGACCCAGCGATCCTATTACTGGGTATATACCCAAAGGATTATAAATCATGCTACTATAAAGACACATGCATATGTATGTTTACTGCAGCACTATTCACAATAGCAAAGACTTGGAACCAACCCAAATGTCCATCAATGATAGACTGGATTAAGAAAATATGGCACATATACACCACGGAATACTATGCAGCCATAAAAAAGGTGAGTTCATGTCCTTTGCAGGGACATGGATGAAGCTGGAAACCATCATTCTCAGCAAACTATCACAAGGACAGAAAACCAAACACCGCATGTTCTCACTCATAGGTGGGAATTGAACAACGAGAATGCTTCGACACAGGGCGGGAAACATCACACATCGGGGCCTTTCAGGGGGTGGGGGGTCTGGGGGAGGGATAGCATTAGGAGAAATACCTAATGTAAATGACAAGTGTATGGGTGCAGCGAATCAACATGGCACATGTATACATATGTAACAAACCTGCACGTTGTGCACATGTACCCTAGAACTTAAAGAATAATAATAATAAAAAAAGAAAACCTAAAAAAAAAAAAAGGAAAAGTCAGGGAAGGCTATTTTTCAAAAATATTCATATTGTACAGTTGATTGGATAAAGAAAATGTGGTATATAGACATCATGGAATATACCATGCAACCATACAAAAGAATGAAACCATATCCTTTGCAGCAACATGGATGGAGCTGGAGGCTGTTATCCTAAGTGAAACAACTCAGAAAATCAAATACTGCATGGGCGCTAAACAATGGGTACACATGGACATCAAGATGAAAATAATAGATACTCAAGACTTCAAAATTGGGGAGGTCGCTAGGGGTGTAAGGGATGAAAAATCGCCTATTGGGTACAATGTTCATTATTTGGTTGATGGGTTCACTGGAAGCCCAAACCTGACTATTACGTAATATATGCAGGTAACAAACCTGTACATGTATCCCCTGAATCTAAAATAAAATTTAAAATGTCAATGTTGTAAAAGACAGAGAAATGTTCCAGGTTAAAGGAAGCTAAAGAGCCATGGCAAATAAAACCAATACCTGACCCTAGACTGGAGTCTATGCTGGGGGGCAAGGATGTGCGGCACACAAGGATGTTCTACAGGAAATTATTAGGTCAAAACTGACGGAAATGTAATATGGACTGTAGATTAGGTAAACGTATTGCATCCATGGAAATATATGAAATTGATAACTTTACTATGGATATGAACCAATAGTCTCTTATGTAAAAGACTATTCCTACTCCATATGGATATCTGATAGATAGATAGATAGATATGATATATACATGTATGTACGAGGTATCTACATCCCCTTTGAGAGGAAAAGCAGACACCATAATTATGCCAGGACAATAGGTGCAAACCAGGACAGTCCTGGGCAAATCATACCTTGAGTCACTGGTGTCCTTGGCTAGGACAGTTTTGGTGGCGTATTGAGTGCAAAGCCCAGTGTGTGTGGGTTCAGGAAAGAATGGAAGGAGGAAAAGTGAAAACAGTGCGTATGAACAACTGTTTCAAGAAGGTTTCTTAATGGAAAAAAAAATGAGAGAAGTTGGCAGAGGCAGGAGGCAAAGTGAGGTCCAGAGACGGAGTTTTTAAGATGGGAGAACTAGGAGTGTGTGTGACAGGGAGGAAATGAAGTCAGGAGCATTATGGTTATTCCAGATCTCTACATGAATGCCAAAGGAGAGACAGCATCCAACTTTGAGTGGCTGAAGAATCTAAATCATGTCAGCTATGGCTGTTTGACCTTCAAATATGAAAGGGAGTGTAACTACCACTTGCTAATATCTGTTCAAGAGAATTTAGCAAGAAAATTTGGAAAGCACAGTGGAACTATTCTCATTATACCCACAGCAGAGTTCCAAGACAGGATATCAGGTGCATCAGAGAAAGACACCATGCATGCTGACTTGGTGTACGCAATGGAGAGTTCTGCCAGGCAAATTTTGTGCATAGCCATGAGGTATAACCTGGGATTGGACATGAGGACCACCGTCTATGTCAACGCCATTGAGAAAGTGTTCAAAGTATACAATGAAGCCAGAGTGACCTTCACGTAGATGGCTCATGGGTGACTTCCTTGCTACCCTCTTCACCTGTAACTTCTGCAGACCTACCACAGGTTTACATGTTACCACAGAAATCCCCTTCTCTCTTGACTCATTAGATAATGGACACTATTCTTAACAAATCGATCCAAATCAGCTCCCTAAGAAGAAAGTAATTAAGGTTAGGGGATCATGTACACTCTGATGACGGTGAAAGTAGAAATCACTGACACCAGAGAGAGAGACATGTAGGTGTGTTGCCTCTAAATGAAAAGTCTCTTCCATCTGGCTGTGCAGCCTTGCTCTGTGGCTCTTCCCAACACAGTCAGCAACTGTTGCCAGGGAAGGCACAGTCAAGAGCAATCAGATGCTTACTTCTTTGCTCTGGACGAGACTGGGAAGTGCTGTAACTTTTCACATATTCAGAAGGTGACATGGGGGCCGGGCGCAGTGACTCACGCCTGTAATCCCAGCACTTTGGGAGGCCGAGGCGGGCGGATCATAAGGTCAGGAGATTGAGACCATCCTGGCTAACAAGGTGAAACCCCATCTGTACTTAAAAAACAAAAAATTAGCCGGGCGTGTGGCGGGTGCCTGTAGTCCCAGCTACTCGGGGAGGCTGAGGCAGGAGAATTCCCAGAACCTGGGAGGCGGAGCTTGCAGTGAGCCGAGATCGCGCCACTGCACTCCAGCCTGGGCGACAGAGCAAGACTCCGTCTCAAAAAAAAAAAAGAAGGTGGCATGGTCCTCACATGAGTTATTGAAGCAAAATAACTCAATTTTACAGGATGCAAACAAAAATAAAAGCTGTTTCTGCTTATTAATTTTATTCTTCTGGAAAAAAATAAGTAATGCTGCTGTAATAAAATTGCTTTTAATCTCTTAACAAGCCTAACCTTGATTCAAGCAGTGAATGCCTACAAACATAATAAATTTAAAAAGCTAGTATTTTTATATCATAAAACAGTACCATTTAGAGCTTATCAGCCATGTATTGTTATCCAGCAAAAATAAGAAGCCCTATGGAGAATTAAATTATCTTCATACCTACAAAAATGCTGGAGGGCTATTTCTGTGAAGACGGTCGGAGTTTGCTGACTATAATTATGACACATAGTCCAAAGAATGCAGTAACCTCCTTATCATGTTAACAAATTGTTCTCTTTTGAAGGTCTATGGTTGACTAATTGAACAATAATTCAAATAGAATGTTCCAGAAAAAAAAAAAAAAAGTGGGTTCCCTGTTTGGAGATTGGCTGGCCCTGAACATCCCTTGCTAATGGCCTCTACTCAGCCTGACTTTGTGTCCTCTTCTTTTAGAGGCTTTGCATTCTGCACCCAGGTGCACAAACAGTGGGTTGAAAACAACCTTGGGTTGAATGTTTTGTTTGGGAATTATTTGGCCAGGTCCTTTTGAACAGTAGTGTCCCAGTCAAATGCTAAATAATAATATATGCAAAAATGAGCTTAAAAAAAACCTGTAATGCCCTTTCAGAATTCTAACTACTTTGTAACTGCATGACTTAACCTGGTAATAAAAGCAGTTATTAAAAGTCTACCTTACAAAAAAAATCTTCTCATCTCTGTAAATCAACAGGGATGGAAAACAAACCTATACTGCCACCCAAAAGACAAAAGAATTTAGAGTTTAGTAAAAGCGGCATTTTAAATGGGGAAAAGGTACATTATTGAATGAATGATGTCAGAACAATTCAGCACATGAGAAATAAAGTGACAACACTACAAATTCCAGACTGATCAAATATTTAAGTTGAAAAGCTTATCCAAGAAAGTACTCCAATAAACTACACAATAGTTTTGTTTTACAACCTCAGAAAAGGAAAGTCCTTTCTAAGCATAACAGGAAAACCTAAACTATAACAACATTTTGTGGCCAGGTGCGGTGGCTCACGCCTGTAATCCCAGCACTTTGGGAGGCTGAGGCTGGTGGATCATGAGGTCAAGAGATCAAGAACATCCTGGCCAACATGCTGAAACCCTGTCTCTACGAAAAATACAAAAAAAATTATCTGGGCGTAGTGGTTCACGCCTGTAGTCCCTGCTACTTGGGAGACTGAGGCAGGAGAATGGCTTGAACGGGGAGGCAGAGGATGCAGTGAGCCGAGATCTCACCACTGCACTTCAGCCTGGCGACAGAGTGAGACTCCATCTCAAAAAAAAAAAGAACATTAAAAGAACATTTTGCATGGCAAAAACCATCATAAGCAGCAAAGTTGAAAGACAAACGATACACTGGAAAACAATATTTGTAACTCTTATCTCAGACAAAATGTAAACTAACCTAATATATAAAGAGCTCCTACCAACCAATTAGAAAAAAACAACATCATAGAAAATTGGGTAAAGTATAAGGAGACAATTCACAGAGAACAAATCAGATGAAAAATTACTCAATATCACCCATAATAAGAGAATGCAAAATAAAAATAAAATAAATTATGTTTTGCCTTGTTTTATCCATCAAATTATCAGTAACAAAAAGACCGGCAGGGTGTGGTGGCTCACACCTGTAATCCCAGCACTTTGGGATGCTGAGAAGGGTGGATCTCTTGAGGTCAGGAGTTTAAGACTAGCCTGGACAACATGGTGGAACCCCTTCTCTACTAAAAATACAAAATTAGCCAGGCACGGTAATGCACACCTGTAATCCCAGCTACTCAGGAGGCTGAGGCAGGAGAATCACTTGAACCCAGGAGGCGAAGGTTGCAGTGAGCTGAGATCGCACCATTGCACTCCAGCCTGGGCGACAAGAGTGAAACTCTGCCTCAAAAAAAAAAAAAAAAAAAAAAAAAAGACTGATAATATAGTTTGTTGGTATATGAGAAAACTGCACTCTTGCACATTACTCATTGAAATGCAAATTGATTGAATTTGTAATTGTAATTAAAATATTTCTTTATATTGCATTTTAAAGCTTGCTTTTTTGGCTGGGTGCAGTGGTTCACATCTGTAATCCCAATACTTTGGGAGGCCAAGGCAGGTGGATCACTTGAGGTCAGGAGTTCAAAACTAGCCTGGCCCATATGGTGAAACCCCATCTCTACTAAAAATACAAAAATTAGCCAGGTGTTGTGGTGGTCGCCTGTAATCCCAGCTACTTGGGAGGCTGAGACAGGAGAGTTGCTTGAACTGGGGCGGCGAAGGTTGCAGTGAGCCAAGATCGTGCCACTGCACTCCAGCCTGGGTGAGAGGGTGAGACTCCATCTCAAAAAATAAAAAAAAATAAAGCTCGCTTTTTAGGTAATGTCTCAATATTCAAGCATTTGGTTTACCATTGACCCTTGAATAATAACAGGTTTGAGCTGCAAGGATCCACTTACACACAGATTTTTCCCCCACCTCTGCCACCCCTGAGACCAACGCCTCCTCTTCTTGCTCCTCAATTTTCTTAACATTTTTTCTCTAGCTTACTTTATTGTAATAATCTAGTATATAATACACATAAAAATATGTGTTAATTGACCGTTATATTATCAGTAAGGCTTCCCGTCAAAAGTAGGCTATTACTAGTTAAGTTTTTGGTGAACCAAAATCTATACCTGAATTTTTGACTGCATGGGGGGTTGGCATCCCTAACACCCCACTCTGTTCAAGGGTCAACTGTATTTATATTTATATTTAATTTTTTTATGTAAAGAAAGGGTCTCACTCTGTCACCCAGGCTGGAGCACAGTGGTGTGATCATGGCTCACTGCAGCCTCAACTTCCTGGGCTCAAGCGATCCTCCCATCTCAGCCTCTTGAGTAGCTGGGACTATGGGCATGAGGCACTATGCCCAGCCTGTATTTATATTGCAAAGTATAAATAAATAGGAAATTTTACTAATTTTTCCCTAGCTGAGTACACTTAATGAATTCTTCAATTTTGAATCATCACCATCACTTGGCGAGAGCATACAACTAATTTCATGTTCATAACCTTTTGAATGAGAAATTGATCTCTTGAAAAATGAATTTATACTAGCCTTAGTGGTCTCACACACCAGTGTGTCTTATTTTTCTCCTATTAGGCCTGCCCTCTACTCCCCTCACCATCACACACACATAACAGAAACCTGAATCTTCAGATATCTTTAACCCATCAATGGCCACGTCACATCTCCACAGGAACCTCACTAGATTCTCCAGATCTCACCTTAGACTCTATCCAGAAATCAAGGTGGTGCTTTTTGTTGTTTTTTTGTTTTTTTTATTTTGTCTTTGGATCGTTAGGGGTATCAAGAGCCTTTAGCTCAAAGCTGGTCCCAGCTGGTCCACTAGATGTCACTGTCTTGTAAATTAATAGTGCTTTACCTACAAACTCCATCCCTGACATGGCACTGAAGGGACACCAGGCTAGTTCCAAAGAGCAAGTATTAGTCCGTGTTACGCACACGTCCACTCTTAGGGGAGGGACAGGAAGAGGCAGGCTGTCAGAAGTCTGGCAGGAAGGGAGGGCTCTGAACATTGAAAGAATGCTGGGGATGGGAATCTGAGTTGATCATGCAGTGTGTGGTGAAATGTATCTGAATGAAGAAGGGAGTGAGACAGGCGAAGACCCTGAACGAAGAGCATGCCAGGAAGAGGAACAGCAGGTGCAAAGACCCAGAGGCTGAGTGAGCCAGAGTCCGGTCGGGAGGAGGCTAAAAAGACAGGCCTCACGGGGACTTGCAGGGCTTGGTAAAGTGTGCCCATTTCATTCTGAATGAAATGGGAAAACATTGGAAGAATCTGTGATTTTTGGCTTTTCACGGAAAAGCCCTCAAAATCTACCTAGATGTAATCATGAGGAAACACCAGACAAACCCAAACTGAGGAACTTTCAATCAATTTTACAAATTGATAATTTGTAAATTATCAATGTCATAAAAGATAAAGAGAGGCTGGGAAACCATTTGAGAGTAGAGGAGATTAAATGACAACTAGATGCAAACTGTGGCTCTCGACTGGATTCTGGAGGGAAGGAAAAACAATGCTCTGATGGGCATTATGGGGACAGTGGATAATATTCGAACATGAATTATAGATTAGATAACATAATGAAATTAATATTAAATTTCCTGGCTGGGCACGGTGGCTCACACCTGTAATCCCAGCTCTTTGGGAAGCTGAGGCAGGCAGATCACCTGAGGTCAGGAGTTCAAGACCAGCCTGGTCAACATGGTGAAACCCCATCTCTACTAAAAATACAAAAATTAGCCAAGTGTGGTAGCGGGTGCCTGTAATAACAGCTACTCGGGAGGCTGAGGCAGGAGAATTGCCTAAACCTGGGAGGTGGAGGTTGCAGTGAGCCGAGATCATGCCATTAAACTCCAGCCTGGGCAACCAAGAGTGAAACTCTGTCTCAAAAAAAAAAAAAAAATTAAATTAAATTTCCTGAAGTTGATAACTGTGCTATGGTTATATAAGAGAATATATCTTATTTTTAGAATACCCACAATGAAGTTTTAAAGGGGAAAGTGGATGGTTTGAGGTTTGAATACACTGGTAGATGGCAGGAAACCTGCAAACTGCCATCCTCAGAAGCGGAGTCTGTAGGTTAAGTATATGCATTTGACCATTCAGCCACCCCTACCCCCAAAGGGGAAAAGGACCTCAGTAAGGAGGTCACAAATCTAAAATCGTGATCCTTACAGCACTCATTTTTACAGCATTTCTGTTAATATTTGTGCTAATTTTTTTCATCCCCAAAGCAGTTTCTGTTGTTTCTGTATCTCTAGAAAACTTTCAAAAGAATATTCAACTATCCACTTGCAAAGACTTAGATAGCTGCTTCTTATCTCAGGGGATGACAGTCACCCTTTGATAATGTGATTTTTAAAAACCTTTGCTCAAATACGGTCACAGTCTCAAATTTCCTCACAACTGACCTTCCCAAACAGCACTGGCTTTCATGCAAGAAAACCATCCTTAACATGTAATCCTTGTGCTTAAAATGCCAACTCAAAAATGTGACAAGAGATTAAGCTCTGAGTAAACAGTGGGAATAAATCGCACTAGTTTGGAGCACACATTTTGTCTGTTTATTAATATGAATGTTGGGAGTTATGGGAAATATAACAAGTGACAAAGATGGTTTGGGCCGAAATGGCCATTCTTCACCACCCATTAGTCAACAAGCATTTTTATGAACACCTATTATAGGCAAGATGTTGTGCTAAGTGCTGTGAATATAAAAATAAACATGATATCTACTTCCAAGTTTGCACCTTTATACTAGAGGACCTTGGCAAGTTTCAGGGAAGCTCAAAAAAGAGAATGATATTCAATTTTATTTTATTTAAAAGTTTAATTATTGCCGGGCACGGTGGCTCACACCTGTAATCGCAGCACTTTGGGAGGCCAAGGCAGGCAGATCACCTGAGGGCGGGAGTTCGAGACCAGCCTGACCAACATGGAGAAACCCTGGCTCTACTAAAAATACAAAATCAACTGGGTGTGGTGGCAGGCACCTGTAATCCTAGCTACTCAGGAGGCTGAGGCAGGAGAATCGCTTGAACCTGGGAGGCAGAGGTTGCAGTGAGCTGAGATCGAGCCATTGCACTTCCGCCTGGGCAACAAGAGCAAAACTCCTTCTCAAAAAAAAAAAAGTTTAATTAGTCAGGCATGGTGGCATGTGTAGTTCCAGCTACTTGGGAGACTGAGGCAGGAAGATCGCTTGAGCCCAGGAGGTTGAGGCTGCAGTGAGCCAAGACTGTACCACTGCACTCCAGGCCTGGGTGATAAAACAATGCCTTGTCTCGAAAAAAAAAAAGAAAAAGTTTAACATTTTGTGGGGCATGTCTGATAGTACCTTCAAGGAAACAGAAACTCTTGTTGACCGTGGGATGAGATGCACAGGCTGATAACTTTCCAAATGAAACAACAACAGCAGTAACAACAAAGTAGGCATAGTCCTTGCATTTTAGAAATTTTATGAAAAATTAAAGCAAATCCAGAAAAATTATGGTAGTGCAAAAGGGATTCTTATTAAGAGAAGTCTAGAGAAATTGAGGTTATATTGCCTAGAGAGGGCAATAATTAATTATGGCCTTAAAGTGTATAAAAGAATGCTTCATGAGAAGAGTTATTGCTTAGTTTCTCTCCAGCTTCACTGAGATATAACAGAAGAAATTAGTTAAAATTTTAAAGAAGACTTTTTAATTAACCAGTTGGATCTCTTGATCTTGGAAAATCAAACCCAGAAATGAGCCACCACAGGTTTCTGAGATTTCTGTTTCTAGAGCGTCTTCAAAAGAGTACACAACTATCTCCTCCTAAAGCCTTGGAGATCTGCTTCTCACCTGAGTAGATGGCAACCACCATTGCTGCTGCTGATGAAATGGCAATAGAAGCCCATTACCCAGCCCAGTGTTCCCACCAGGGCTCCTGTAGTACCTGAGATTCTCACATTAGCCAGTCCTTTCAGATTAAGGCATTCAAGGTATCAATTAAAATGTAAATGTATCTGATGAGGTGACACATTCCACTATTATGAGCCATGAACACCTCATCTCGTTATCAAATGGGTAAGTCACCTATCAGTGACCCCTAGTTAATAAGAGACAAAACAAGCGCCTTTTGATGGTAGAGAAGAAGTTGGGAAAATCCTGGGACTTGAGAAAATCTGAATTTAGATGGTAGTGAAGGAACTAAAGAAACTTCGAGTTTTTCTGGGGAGGAAAGGTCGAGGTGGGTTGCCACTGTTAGTGGCCTCACCTAGGGATCCAGGTGACAGAGCACTGAGCATTTGGGCTTGGCTTCTTGCATCATGTACTTTCTGTTCTTCTCTCCTTCCCTCCCCTGCCTCCCCTCCACTCCCCTTCCTTGTGCAATTATTTCTGGAATTATCACCAGGCACTTCGCTAAGTGCTAAAGGCACCGTCCTAGGTTCTGCACAGGCCTTGAACACATTTTAGCTCCATTGAGTTTCCCAAAGGAGAATGCTGTTATTCGTGTACTGCACAGAATTAAGTTGATTCCCTCACCTCTTTTTGTTCATGAGGACTGTCAGTCCTAGACCAAAGAGCACGTTTCAGGAAAAGCCTTCATTCCCAAGCCTCATCTCCACCAGCAGCAGCAGCAGCAACATAGACAGCCAGCAGCCCTGAGGCCTGTGGGCCTTAGAAACCAAACCCATGTGATCCTTGCCAGGCCAACACTTACCCTGCAATTCATGTTCACTTTGTCTGATTCACTCTGTCATATTTTATTTTTTAGCCCAAAGAGTCTGTTGGTTCTTTCCATTAAGATGGGATTTGTGAACCTTTCTGTTGTTTCCTGAGGACGTGGTGCGCAGTTAATTTGTGGAGCTGCGTACTGACTGTTGCTGCCTCCTCTGTAACCTCTTCATTTAAAAAAAAAAACAAAAACAAGCCTGGGCAACGTGGTGAAACCCCGTTCCATAAAGAAATGCAAAAACTAACAAACAAACCAACAAACAAAACAAAAATTAGCCAAGCATGGTGGCTTGCACCTGTAGTCCCAACTACTTGGGAGGCTGAAGTGGGAGGACTGATTGAGCTTGGGAAATCAAGGCTGCAGTGAGCAGAGATCGCATCACTGCACTCCAGCCTGGGTGACAGAGAGACACCTGGCTCAAAAATAAGGAAATAAAATAAATAAAAACCAAAAGTTACCTGTAGGTATGTTTAACTTAGAAAGCTCAATTCACTTAGCCATTCAATTTGTATTTTTTCTAAAGTTTAATGACATAGCATTGTACTTAAAATATTAAAATCACTTTAGTAAGTATTAGAAACAACAGTTTAAATGTATATAGCAAAATATAAAGGATTAGACAGAAATATTTACAATTGGGAAATTTTCCTCTCCAATCCCTAATTGCTATAATTTGTTCACACCACAGACTTTTACTGAATGACTACTTTGCGCAGGCTTGGTGCTAGGTATTCAGCATATACGGCAAACAAAATTACTGCCAAGTACAGCTCTCCTTTTCTCCACCCACAGTCTTCACCGAGTGTGAATAAAACCAGACCCTGGAGAAAAATGGGTTGTATTTTAAAGATTCCGTTTTAAAGTTTTATATGGGACACCCACAACCTAATTTCCCCTAGGAAGAGTGCTATCAGGGGCAGTCAGATTTCAGTGCTGCCTGCCAACGTGATGTATGAGTCAGCTTCAAGTACGATCCTGAGGGATCCGCCTTAACTCCCTCCAACCACAATCACATCAGTTTCAAAGAACACTTTTCAACCTAGGAGGAGAGGAACACAACTGTCCCCGGATCCCCGTACAAAGCAGAGAAGCCAGAGTGCCGGGTGAGGCAGATACTCCAGGGGACAACAAAATGTTCCGCTGTCTCCACTGGCATGAGAGAAGGCGTCTCTTAAAGTAAACAGACCTCAGATGTTCCCAATTGTAGATCAAAAGGCAGCTGAACCCATGGGTTGGGGAGAAGTGTGAGATCATCGCTCCAGGACTGGAAGTCAAAAAGCCTCTCATGCAAATGCATGGCACTCGGCTTGAGGCAACCCCAGCAACCACAAGTCTTGAGGTTTGGGGCCATGCTGGGCTAGGTGTGCATCCTTAGTACTTCATTCCCCAGTGAGCATCCCCACCACTGCCACGGAGGCCTGTATCTTTCTTTAATGAGTTTTGTTCTCCCTTGTCTCAATCGTACTTGATCTTCTATGCACTGATTGAAAGATTAAGAAACCACCTCATTGAATCTCCACTGGCATTTTCCCAGATGCCCGGGGCAGTTTAGCATCACATTTACACCAGGCACCATGCCCTTTGTCCCCTCTGGTCAAGCTGGCAACAGGAACTAGTTCAGGTATTTTCTCTATATATGTTTTCCTGAGTCTTTTTCTCCATCTTTTTTCCTGCCTGTTCTCCCCCAACCCCCACCTCTTGGTTGGAATCAGCTCCTCCCTCCTGTCTATCAGCCTTGCTAATACCACTGCTGAGGACACCCGACACTCCCATGCTTGCTTATATGTTTGAGTCTCCCCTGAGATTATACATTCATTGAGAGCTAGCACATTGGCTTACTCACCTTTGATGCTCCAGTCAAATATAGTAGGAGGATCAGGTCGTGGTGACATGCTTGCAACCCCAGCTACTTGGGAGGCTGAGGCAGGAGGATCACTTGAGCCCAGGAGTTTGAGACCAGGCTGGGCAACATGGGGAGACCCTGGAAAACACACACACACACACATACACACACACACACACACACACGGTTGTAGGCACTCAACAAATGTTTGATAATGAGTGAACATATCTACTAGCATGGTTAACCTATCACCACATCAGTTTCAACTCCAAATTTCTCCCTTCCCCTCCATGTCAGCAGTGTGTATAATTTGACGTGAGTTATATTCAGTTCTTTGTCTACCTCTAAAAACATAAATAAATAATGCTATTCTCTGATACAGAATAGCTTCCCTACAATTTGGAATTATTGTATTAGGCTTATAATTAATCCTATTTATTATATTATTTAATTATATTAACTATAACATAATTAAAAATAGATTTAAAGAAAAGTCTAAAGGGCATAAAGAAGATAGAAATTGATTTCTCCAGTAATTTTAATTTTATTTTTTTTGGAGACAGGGTCTCAGTCTGCTGCCCAGGCTGGAGTGCAGTGGTGAGGTCATAGTTCACTGCAGCCTCAATCTCCTGTGCTCAAGTGATCCTTCCGTGTCCGGAATTGGTGGGTTCTTGATCTCACTGACTTCAAGAATGAAGCCGCGGACCCTCGCGGTGAGTGTTACAGCTCTTAAGGTGGCGCGTCTGGAGTCTGTCCCTTCTGATGTTCAAATGTGTTCGGAGTTTCTTCCTTCTGGTGTGTTCGTGGTCTCGCTGGCTCAGGAGTAAAGCTGCAGACCTTCGCGGTGAGTGTTACAGCTCTTAAGGCAGCGCGTCTGGAGTTGTTCGCTCCTCCCGGTGGGCTCGTGGTCTCGCTGGGCTCAGGAGTGAAGCTGCAGATCTTCGTGGTGAGTGCTACAGCTCATAAAAGCAGCGTGGACCCAAAGAGTGAGCAGTAGCGAGATTTATTGCAAAGAGCAAAAGAACAAACCTTCCACAGCGTGGAAGGGGACACGAGCAGGTTACCAATGCTGGCTTGGGCAGCATGCTTTTATTCTCTTATCTGGCCCCACCCACATCCTGCTGATTGGTAGAGCCGAGTGGCCTGTTTTGACAGGGTGCTGATTGGTGCATTTACAATCCCTGAGCTAGATACAAAGGTTCTCCACGTCCCCATCAGATTAGTTAGATACAGAGTATGGACACAAAGGTTCTCCAAGGCCCCACCAGAGCAGCTAGATACAGAGTGTCAATTGGTGCACTCACAAACCTTGAGCTAAACACAGGGTGCTGATTGGTGTATTTACAACCCCTGAGCTAGACATAAAGACTCTCCACATCCCCACCAGACTCAGGAGCCCAGCTGGCTTCACCTAGTGGATCCCGCACCGGGGCTGCAGGTGGAGCTGCCTGCCAGTCCCGCGCCGTGCGCTCGCACTCCTCAGCCCTTGGGTGATGGGACTGGGCGCCGTGGAGCAGGGGGTGGTGCTCGTCGGGGAGGCTCGGGCCGCACAGGAGCCCATGGAGTGGGTGGGAAGCTCAGGCATGGCGGGCTGCAGGTCCCTAGCCCTGCCCCACGGGAAGGCAGCTAAGGCCCGGTGAGAAATCGAGCACAGCGCCGGTGGGCTGGCACTGCTGGGGGACCCAGTACACCCTCCACAGCCACTGGCCCGGGTGCTAAGTCCCTCATTGGCCGGGCCAGCAGGGTTGGCCGGCTGCTCCGAGTGCGGGACCCGCCAAGCCCACGCCCACCCGGAACTCCAGCTGGCCCGCGAGCGCCGCACGCAACCCGGGTTCCCGCTAGCGCCTCTCCCTCCACACCTCCCTGCAAGCTGAGGGAGTGGGCTCCAGCCTTGGCCAGCCCAGAAAGGGGCTCCCACAGTGCAGTGGTGGGCTGAAGGGTTCCTCAAATGCCGCCAAAGTGGGAGCCCAGGCAGAGGAGGTGCCAAGAGCAAGCCAGGGCTCTGAGGACTGCCAGCACGCTGTCACCTCTCACTTCCACCTCAGCCTCCCGAGTAGCTGGGACCTGTGACACGCACATTCCACCATGCCTGGCTGACTTTTTCATTTTTTGTAAAGATGGGGTCTCCTCATGTTGCCCAGGCTTGTCTTGAACTCCTGGACTCAAGTAATTATCCCACCTTTGCCCCTCAGATGATTATCCCACCTTGGCCTCCCAGGGATTACAGGCGTGAGCCACTTCTCCCGGCCTCTCTGCTAACTTTAGAGCACAATTCTACATGGTATTTGGTAAGTGACATCCCTCCTAAAATTCAAATTCCAAAGCCAATGTCAAAAGATATTCTGTTTTTCATTTTTTAAAATGTTTCTAGCT
The DNA here is from genome assembly GCF_000001405.40 of Homo sapiens. NCBI lineage: Eukaryota > Metazoa > Chordata > Mammalia > Primates > Hominidae > Homo > Homo sapiens. The sequence continues at coordinate 59,791,356 of NC_000018.10, forward strand.
AAAGAGTTTGTTATCCATACTGACCCTGCACATTCCTTGCTATAGCATCTCAGTACTACTGTATTCAGTGTCAATTATAGGAGTATTAATCTTATAACGCTTTATATTTTTAAATGCATTTTATGCATTTACTTTGAACATTATTTTCCTTAAAAGGATTGCTGTCTTTGTGATAAATAGGCTTGAATTCCAAAATTTGAAATGAATAATAGGAAAACCGTATTAGATATATTTATCATGCATAACAACGCATATGCCAATACCAAATTAAATTTTATAGTAAAATTTTATTAATGAAATACCTTATACAGCTATTGTTTTATAAATGTTTCTAAACATTTAGCCCTTTTTCATTTTGACACAATTAAATTCAGATAAGGCCAGGCATGGTGGCTCAAGCCTGTAATCCCAGCACTTTGGGAGGCTAAGGCAGGCGGATCACTTGAGGTTAGGAGTTTGAGACCAGCCTGGCCAGCATAGTGAAACCCTATCTCTACTAAAAATACAAAAAATTAGCCGGGCGTGGTGGCGGGCGCCTGTAATCTCAGCTACTCTGGAGGCTGAGGCACGAGAATCACTTGAACCCAGGAGGCAGAGGTTGCAGTGAGCTGAGATCACACCACTGCACTCCAGCCTGGGCAATAGAGCAAAACTCAGTCTTAAATAAATAAATAAGTTCAGATAAGATTCCTCCATACTTTAGTAATCATCAGTACGTGTTGTTCATACTTTGGTAAGGTCAAGAAGAATTTATGGCATAGAGAAATAATCTTTGCTGTAATACCTGCACGTGAATTGGTATTGTTGACAGATGCCACAGGTGGAAATGGTTAGGAAACTGATACAGAGAAAATGAGCAATGTAATATTTTCTTTACTGCCCTGAAATAATCTTAAAAATAAATTATAAAGCAGTTGATATAGAGACAATGAGAAGATCAGTTAGACATCTTTCGTCTCCTTGAAATACCCAGGTCAGTTCTGATTTGTGCTGAATGAAAGGTTATGTCATATGTCTATGTTTTCCATTTTTACAGGATGAATCTCAGAAAAATATTTCATTAAGTAGTGTGGAGGTAGGGTCAAATGTTTGGTACAGGAGGAAATGCCTCCTCAGCCACATGGGGAGCTAGGTGACAACCCTAGACCTCTCAACCTCCTGCTCCTCCTTGCTGGCATGCGTAGGAGCTGAGCATTTATTGATTGCAATAATGAGCAAACAAATGAAAGCGAAAGGAGACTTCTGTTTACGTTCTCTTCTCTTTTGTTTTCCCTTCTAATGCTTGGCATAATCATTTACTTAGGTAATACGTAATGGAGACACTGCACCACATAAAACTCTAATTCACAATTGATGCTTGGCAATCTATCAATATTTATTGAATGCCTACTCTGTGCCCTGTGTTAAACTTAATGAATGTTTAGAAAACTTCTAATTAGGGATCCTGCCCAATATTATAGTGGTTGTTAATGAATACAAAAGTAGAACACAAAAGTGCTAGATTTTTTTTTTTTTTTTTTTTTTTTGAGATGGAGTCTCACTCTGTCGCCCAGGCTGGAGTGCAGTGGCGCAATCTCAGCGCACTGCAAGCTCCACCTCCTCCCGAGTTCACGCCATTCTCCTGCCTCAGCCTCCCAAGTAGCTGGGACTACAAGCGCCTGCCACCACCCTGGCTAATTTTGTATTTCACCATGTTGGCCAGGATGGTCTCGATCTCTTGACCTCATGATCCGCCTGCCTTGGCCTCCCAAAGTGCTGGGATTACAGGCGTGAGCCACCATGCCCGGCCCAAAGCTCTAGATTCTAAGAACACATACAGGTAATCAGAATGTCGATAGGTATATAGGAGATAGAATTTTCTATTGTTTTATATGTAGACATACACACCCATATATCCTCATAAGGACATGTATTTAATTTCTATTTTTATGTTCTCTACATTGGTTCCTTATTTTCTTCTCTTTTTTCTATTTATTGTTTTTTAATGCACTCTTCTAATCAATATAAAATATGATAACTGAAGGATCTGATTACACCTTATGAGGGTCAGGGAAGATACTGAGGTGGATTCCACTCATTGCCATCTTCACCACCCTCTTATTCTTCTCCTGTGGGACCAGCAATCCCGGGATTTCACTCTTTCTTTTTAGAAGTCACGGCATCAACACAGCTTAGAGATTAAGAGCAGGACTCCTGAAATCTAAATGCTTGGCCTCGCAGCTCCCACTCCTGACAAGCTTGAAATCCTGGGCAAGACTCGAGCTCTCTAAGCTTTAATCTCATTTGTAAAGTGGAGATAATAATAATACCTAACCCTCAAGGGGCTAGTGTAAAAGACTCCAGAAAAACTGGCTGTTGTGACTGTTGTGCTGTTATTCTTGCTAACCATGGGAAAGAGAGCGCCTGTGAAATGTGTGCGCGATCTCCGTGGAGATAGCAGCTGCAGTTTCAAATATCCACTCTTTTCCATCTGCTTTTCCCACAGCCCAGTTTGGATCCGTCCTTCTCTGTCTCTCCTAACATTCATCAGCACTTGCTGTTTTCCACTCGACATTGCTGGCTACCATTTCATCCACCTCGTGTGTTTCTCCTTGTTGATTCCATGCTCCTCAAAGGCAGGAATAATGACTAGCAACTCTTCGTCTCCCTAGCCCCTTGTTTTGTGTATTATTCTTATTATTAACTTAATAACTATAAGAGATAATTGACATTTATCTATTGTACATCTTTTCAATTACATTAGTGCCCATCATATCGGTGAACAAAAGTATCTTACATCCTTGGTCAGCTTCAAACCCACTTTCAGAATAAAGTTGGGTACAGCTCAATAAATGGTACTCAGTATACCCTTAATATACATGGATCAGCCTCATATAAGCTCAGGAAAAAATGAGATAAAAGTTTCTCCCTTCAAACACTAAACTGATTTGGTTTTCAGTGATTTTTTTCTCTGGCATTTCTCTGAATTCCACCTGTTTGGTTCTAGTCCCTCCATGAGATGCTCTCTCTGTTAGTATTTACAAGGGCATGAAGACCCTTCTTACCTGAGTCTTGAGATTTCTATCTTTTCAAAGTTTCCAACACCTTAGTAAGAATTTAGTAGGTTTGGAGGTCCTTTTTTTTTTTGAGACAAAGTCTACTCTGTTGCCCAGGCTAGAGTGCAATGGCGTGATCTTGGCCCACTGCAACTTCCATCTCCTGGGTTCAAGCGATTCTCCTGCCTCAGCCACCTGAGTAGCTGGGATTACAGGCAGATGCCACCATGCCCAGCTAATTTTTGTATTTTTAGTAGAGACGGGATTTCACCATGTTGACCAGGCTGGTCTTGAACTCCTGACTTTAAGTGATCTGCCAGCTTCGGCCTCCCAAAGTACTGGTATTACAGGCATGAGCCACCGCGCCTGGTCTCCTGGAAGTTCTTACAGTGTAAAGCATGACAAGAAAGTTTCCCTCCCCACCTGTCAATGTGGGTTTCCTAAGCATCAGTGGGAATGAGGACCCCATGTACTGGTGTATGGGAGGTCCCAAGGCCACAGTGGCTCATCAGAATCCATTTTATACCTTTCCCAACATGTACCCATATCCTACAAGTAATGTTGGTTCATTGCAAATGGAACTGGTCTAATCCTAGGCCAGTTTCCTAAAAGATCATGCAACTATGGTCGCAGGTGTGGTGTGGTTAATGTGAGTGGGCAGCTATGTGATGCTTTAAGAAACCTGAAGGAGGTCTTTCTGCCCTCAGATCACTTTTCCATAATGACTGAATTCTTTTGCTTTTACACAATTCGATATCCTATCAAAGGAGATCAAACTTTCGATTAGTCAGGAAGTGGTTTTCAAGCCCCTAAAGGGTGTTGGAAGTATACAGGGTGGTCTTGATTGTCACAGTGACTGGAAAGCCTCTCCTGGCATTTCCTGGGTGGGGCTGTCCTTCATCATCTGCTCAGCCTCATCCAGCCAAGCAAAATGTTTAACTGCTTTAGCTTTGGGAGGTGGGGGCTGACCAGGATAAAATGTCTGAAAGGATATAACTGGAAATTAAAGAAGATAACACAGATATTAAGTTCTTTATAAGTAGTGGTGAGGGCCGCCAAGAGTTGAGAGGGTAGAAGAGATCAGATTTAATCCCTCCAAATGCTTTTTTCTACGAACATAATCATCACCCCACCTTAAGTTTGTCTGGACTGTGTATGCTTTGCATATTTATTATTTCGTTTGAATCTCACTAGAAAACTGTAAGGTAGGTAGACTGCATATTGCTATTACCACAGTTGATTGCTTTGGGTTGGGGGGAGAGAGTCACTGAAGACCTCTTTTAAAAAGTAAACATTACGGGGAGAAGCGCCAGTTATCTTTCCTTACTGACATCAGTTTTTCCTATTAGTTCAGTATTCCAATCAGTCATCAGAAAGAGCCTGGAAGGAGTGGAGCTGTCTTGAGAAGTGGAGGGAGAACGAAGAGCCCTCTCATGTGGCCACCGGGCACTCTGTGGGCCTGGAGGGTAACTGGGTGCCAGTGAGTGGCATAAATGTTATCTGGGTGTGAGGGGGAGGCAGAGAAAAGGAAGGCAAGTGGACGGCCAGAGACCAAGGTCACAGTGAGAGGACTGTGGCACCATGGGACTATTGACATGTGGGTTGCTTACTTCACCTCTTTGCCAAAGGCTGGCCCTTCAACCAAAATAAAAGGCTTAACTGATAAACTTCGATGAGATGGATTGCATCTCATTTATTCACCAAGTGTTTGTCAATTACGTACTATGGCCAAGGACTGTGCCAAACACTGTGGATAGAAAGATAAAGAAGGCCGGGCTTGATAGCTCACACCTGTAATCCCAACATTTGGGAGGCCGAGGCAGGCAGATTGCATGAGCTCAGGAGTTTGAGACCAGCCTAGGGAACATGGCAAAACCCAGTTTCCACCAAAAACACAAAAAAATTAGCTGGGCATGCTTGTGCATGCCTGTGGTCCTAGCTACTTGGGAGGCTGAGGCAGGAGAATTGCTTGATCCTGGAAGGTGGAGGTTGCAGTGAGCCGAGATCATGCCAGTGCACTCCAGCCTGGGCGACAGAGTGGGACCCTGTCTCAAAGAAAAAAAAAAAAAAAGAACAAGAAGAAGAAAGATAAAGAAGACATACTATCCTCTATCCCTCCTCTATCCCTCCCCGGCACTACTTTCTCTCAAAGATGTCCACTGTCCTAACTTCCAAACGCCTTAAATTAGTTGTACCTGTTGTTTAATAATATATATGACAGAAATTATTAAAACCATACAAAAATATTTAGCTTTATTTATGTTAGCTGGGCCAATTGTTTTTCCTCTTTGCTGAGGTCAGAACAAGATGCAATGGGTGAAGGTTGAAACATGAGAGGTTTCAATCACAGAAGGTTTTTTTTTTTTTTTTTGAGACAGAGTTTCACTCTTGTTACCCAGGCTGGAGTGCAATGGCCTGATCTCGGTTCACTGCAACTTCCGCCCCTAGGGTTCAAGTGATTCTCCTGCCTCGGCCTCCCAAGTAGCTGGGATTACAGGTGCCTACCACCACACACACAAAAAATAATTTTTTGTATTCTATTTAGTAGAGACAGGGTTTCACCATGTTGGTCAGGCTGGTCTCAAACTCCTGACCTCAGGTGATCCACCCACCTTGGCCTCCCAAACTGCTGATATTACAGGCATGAGCCACCACACCCTGCCAGAAGGTTTCAATTATTGCATTTTTTAAATAATAGGGATATGAAGAAGCAACCTAAGTATCTGAGGGGAACTGATTGATTATTGAGTATATTGTGTTATGACACTCATATAATGAAATGCGGCACAGCAATTCAGAATCAATAAATATTCACTGTGATGGAAAGATGCTAGTGAGGTATCCCTGCAGGAAAAATGTTTACATAAGAGTGTACATAAAACGTGGTTGTAAAGATATCTAACTTGCATTTTTCTGCATTTTTCAAGTCTTCTATTATAAGCATATAGTATTTTTATAGTCAAAAAATATTGTCTAAAAAAATGAGGGGAAGAGGGCTGAGGAGGCAGTTTTCCTCAAAGTCTGAAGCTACATTGAAGCATGAAAAATGCTCTTCCTCACTGCTGAGGCCAGTGTAGGATCAAATGGGCTGAAGCTGAATCAGGAGAAGTTTCTTTTCTTTGAACTTTTAAGTTCAGGGGTACATGTGCAGGTTTGTTACATAGGTAAACTTGTGTTATGGGATTGTGTTAACAGATTATTTTTTGTAAACTTGTGTTAATAGATTATTTTTTCACCCAGATATTAAGCCTAGACTAGTACCCACTCATCGTTTTTCCTGATCCTCTCCCTCCTCCCACCTTCCACCCTCTGAAAGGACCCAGTGAGTGTTGTTCCCCTCTGTGTGTCCATGTGTTATCATTATTTAGCTCCCACTTATAAGTGAGAACATGCGGTATTTGGTGTTCTGTTCTAAAACAGGAGAAGTTTCCATTGGAAAGGAGATAGCATAACTGTGGGAAGAAAAAAAGAGTTCCCCAGTGAAGGTCTTCCTCTTCTCTAACTGAAACCTCTCATTCATCAGCCTTCACTCATTGCCTCTTGTTCCAACCTCAGCAAAGATGAAAAACAATTGGCCCACCTCCCTGTCTACCCTTTGAAAGAGACCCACACTGTTCTCTTTGAGATGACACGACACGGTTCTTCAGGAGGTATAAATGTTCAAACTGCCTTACAGATTCTGGGGGGCCTCCTTGGTGGATAGATCAGATAATACGATGAGATCAGGAACTAGTGTTCTCACCAGAAAAGAACCGGTGGTCTAACCATAGCCCTTGCCCAACCCCCTCCCTCAGTTTACCAGGTCTCCACTCTCTGGGGAACACCTGACCCTGCCTTACAAACTGGCACCCTCTCTTACAGTTTTCTGCGCTACAGTGATGACGTCTCATATCCTTCAACCAACTGAAGACGTTTTGGCAGGACCTGCAAAGCACTTCCTGGTTTTCATTCTTCCATTTTTACCGGATTCCTAATACAATGCCTTTCAAGGTTTCAGCCTTTTGTGAATCGATAGAACCCAGGAAAAGGAGACACCCAGAGTGAGAAGCTAGCAGAGCCAATCGAGCACCCGAATTAGCACACAGTCCCACCACATATGCTGCTTTTATACAAAAAGGTGTTTTTATTTTGCAAAAACAGTTGTTCAATCTCTGACAGTTTTGATAGTGACATGAGGGAATTCCTCCAACTTCACTTCCCATGACCCCATAGTTCCAGTCTTTTCTGATACGCCCATCCTAGCCTTCTCTCTGAACTCTTCTCCATATCTTAAAAATGTCTTTCTTATTTACTTGATTGGTAAGAATCACAAAATTGTGTTTTCTATTTCTTAATTATCGGTCTATGTGTTTTCTGTTCCTAATTATAGGTCTTTCTTTTCTTTTTCTTTTTTTAAATAGAGTTGGGGTCTTGCTATGTTGCCCAGGTTGGTCTTGAACTCCTGGTTTCAAGCGATCCTCCTATGGTGGCCTCCCAGTGATTACAGGCCTGACCCACCGTACCGACCTTAATTTTAGGTCTTTTGCTGCTGGAGCATCACCACTTGGAATATTCCTTTTAAAAGAGTCTGAAGAAAAAATGTTACCCCCGCCTATAGAGTTTTTATGGTTAGTAATCACCTTAGAGATCAAACAAATACAAGCCCTTCAGAGAAATATTTGCTGCTCCCTATAAGTTGTTAATGTAGAGTTTGCAGTGGTATTATGTGCTTCCTGCAAAATCAACTTAAAATACAATGTTAATTCTGTAGAGCAACTTTTTGTTGTCTAATGAACACAGCAGCATGGAAGTCACATGGAAGCCAAGAGTAACTTGGTCTACTCTTGAAAGGCTGGAACCCATCAAGGACGTCCCATTTCTAAGTGATGTCCACTTGTTTGATTTTTAACTCTTCTTCTTTCTATGATTTTCAAAGGATTCAAAATAACTACAAAGCATAGCATGGTGCCTTTTGTGTATATGAAAAAGCAAATCTGGTTCTAGGGCTTAATGTTTGTTACTTGAGTCTGACAATAGACAATCTTGCCTTGGGCTATGCCAGTAACGACAGGAGACCAGGCGCCGAGTCTTCAGAGCTCAACCTTGCTGGCATCTGTTCCTCTGAGAGAGAGAAGTTGAGAGGGGAGGAGAGCAAGTTCCCACAAACCTTAAAGAGAAACATCTGTTGCAGCTTGTGTGCTGAGTTCAGCAGGGGAGAAGCCAACCCAGGACCAGGTCAGATCTCAGTACTGGTCTCTATGCTAAATTGAAAATGACTAAGACAGTATCAAGGGATGCGTAAAAATCATTATGGTCAAAGTTATCACAATGATTTCTTTTCTTCTGGATTTGATGGGAAATGTTTGTGTAGACCCAGGCTATGTCCAGATGACTGTTGTAAATTCAATAAAAAATGTTTAAAATAAACAAAAGGACATTATGACCACCACTGTATGATTGCACATGATGGTTGAACACTGGCCAGGCCGAAGGGCCACCAGGCTAAACAGCAAGGGAGAAAGTCCCTGGCAAATGGTTTCCATCCTGGCCTTACTCACTTTCATGCATACAGAAACAGCTGTGAAATATACATGGCTCATCAATATTAATTTTCACGTTGATGAAAAGCCACTCCCTGTCCTGGTGACCTTGAAGAAGTCCCAACCTCACTGGGTCTCACTTTCTCTGTCTGCAAAATGAGGATAACAATATTCTCCCCATCTGCCTTAGCTGGTTGTTGCTTATTGCATACGCATGAGGCTCCAACCTGTTTATTTTATTTGGTGAACAGTTAAATAGTACTTACTACGTGCCAGGCAGTGGTATTAACTCATTTATTTCTCACAACAATCGCATAAGAAAAGGTATTATTATTATTATTATCCCCATTTTACAGATAAGGAAACTAAGACATGGAATTTAATGACCACAAAATATTGAACAACTGTTAATTATTAATGCCGAGAATTTTTGTGTCCTTCTGAACATGAAAGTGGCTAGCATTACCCATGAAATTCTGACTTCTACACCCCCGATTAATTTCCCACAAGCTCTCAGACCTCTGAGATTCTGCTAGCCTTTTCTTTTCTGCACCTCCTGTCCGCTTATACATACTACCTTTTTTGTTTGTTTTTTTGTTTTGTTTTGAGACAAGGTCTCACTCTGTTGCCCAGGCTAGATATCAGTGCTGTGATCACAGCTCCCTGCAGCCTCAACCTCCTGGCTTCAAGAGATCCTCCTGCCTCAGCCTCCAGAGTAGCTGGGACTACAGGCACACACCACCACACAGCTAATTTTTGTGTTTTTTGTAGAGACGGAGTCTCACCATGTTACTCAGACTTGTCTGGAACTCCTGGAGTCAAGCAATCTTCTCAAAGTCCTAGGATTACAGGTGTGAGCTGCTGCACCCGGCCATACTACCTTTGATTATAGTGTTCTATGGCCTTGTGTCTGCACTTTTCCACATCATTCCTAGTTTATAAGCTTCTGGAGCAGAGAGAAACTTCCCCTACCAAACCTGTCACAGTACCATGCACCTGGTGCTCTGGGTGGCTGTTCAATGAATTAATTAGCTATTAATGAAGCAATCGTCCCCACCTGTGCCTGAGGGACATGCTCATTGGCAATGGCTCATTATGATTGGTTCACTCATAATGGCTGTGACTAGGTCCCTTTTCAGGGGCACAGGACTCTGGATTAGCAAACTTAACATTTTCTGACCTCTCTTAATGCTGAATCACACACGCATTCATATGTGTATTCACACCCTTCTCATGTGTCATTCTCATGTGTCAAGGGAAACTTTGGCCTAGATGCTATTAACATTTTACAATTTTCTTTTGGTAAATATCAGTAGCCATCATTGTTTAAATGTGAACAGCAGCTATGTTCGTAGAAATATGAAGTGGATTGGTTTTCTATTGCCGCTGCAACAAATTGCTGCAAATTTGGAGACTTAAAACAACAGAGGTTTATTATCTTACAGATCTGGTCCAAAGTAGGTTGGCATGGCTGTGTTCCTTATGGCAGCTCTAGGAAAGAATCCATTTCCTTGCCTTGTTCAGCTTTTTTTTTGAGATGGGGTCTCACTCTGTCCCCCAAGCTGGAGTACGGTGGCATGATCTCGGCTCACTGCAACCTCTAGCTCCTAGATTCAAGCGATTCTCTTGCCTCAGCCTCCTGAGTAGCTGAGATTACAGGTACCCACCACCACGCCCACCTAATTTTTGTATTTTTAGTAGAGTCGGGGTTTTGCAATGTTGCCCAGGCTGGTCTGGAACTCCTGACCTTAAGCGATCTGCCTGCCTGGGCCTCCCAAAGTGCTGGGATTACAGCGTGAGCCACCATGCTTAACCCTTGTTCAGGTTTTAGAGGCTGCCTGCATGCCTTAGCTCATGGCCCTACCTCACGTCAGCCTCTGCTGTGGTTATCACATCTCCGTCTCAGACTCTGACCCTACTTTTCCCCTCTTTTAAGGACCCTTGTGCCTGGGCTGCCAAGATAATCCAGGATAATCTTCCTCTCTCAAGGTCCTTAATTTGATCACATCAGCAAAGTCTCTTCTGCCAGGGATTTGTAAGGGAATATATTCACAGTTTCTGGGGATTAGGCATAAACATCTTTGGGGGCCATTATTTGCCCATCACAATAGGTGTATAGACATCTATCAGGTGGTATGTTACAACGGAAGTGGACTGATTTTTGCCACATGTAAAAAGAATATTCACTAGCAGATAAAAAAATAAATAAATAAACTGTCATAGAACTCACCGCTGCAAGCTTGGTAAATTTCCTGTTCTTGCCCTTCGTCATGACAGAAAGTTTCACTTTGAGTCAGATCCAACAATATTTTGACAGTAGAATCTGCCAGCCTTCTGGGTGGGCCAGTGGCAGGGTCCCTGAAGTCTGGGTAGATACAGGATGACACAGGCTTCTGGACCCTGATCCCGGCTGGCCTTGCAGAGCGCTCATGTCTCTTTCCTACAGAAACGGTGCAGCAAGAGCACAAAAGCTCTCTAGCCAAGACTTATCTTGATTATCTCGAACTGCTGACCTCAAGTAATCGGGGGCCTTGGCCTCCCAAAGTCCTGGGATTACAGGCGTGAGCCACCCTGCCTGCTGAATATATTTTTTTGACCCACACTATCATTTTATTTATTTTTCAATGATACTATATGAATACAAAGTTTCTAGAAAGCTACAAAATGTCTACCACTGTATCAAGAAGGCATCAAAATGTGTCACTTTGCAAAGACATGAAAACATCTGCAGGAACAGACACAAAAACAGCATTTTAAGAGTGAGGAAATAATTGTACTTATCTGCCCTGAATATTAAAGTTATTATACATATGTACTGCAAAAGCTAGAATCCATTTTTTTTTACAAAACACTTTATTTAAAAATTCTGTGCACACAAACTGTATAATTTTCATATAACTATCATACTAAAGATAAATTCACTTTAAGGCCAACACTTAGAACTTTTTTTTTCTTTTTCTTGAGATGGAGTCCCACTCTGTTGCCCAAGCTTTATGGCAATGGCACAATCTCGGTTCACTGCAACCCCTGCCTCCCAGGTTCAAGTGATTCTCCTGCTTCAGCCTCCTGAGTAGCTGGGATTACTGGCACCTGCCAGGACACCTGGCTAATTTTTTTTTTTTTTTGTAGTTTTAGTACAGATGGGGTTTCACCATGTTGGCCAGGCTGGTCTTGAACTCCTGACCTCAGGTGATCCACCCCCCCTCGGCCTCCCAAAGTGCTGGGATAACAGGCATGAGCCACTGCGTCCGGCCTCACTTAGAACATTTTAAAACCAAAAGCTACCAGTAGCTAAACACAGATGTTAACAAATACAAGAAAATACAAGAACACTGTACTGCCTAGAGGTTTAATCAAGTGCCTTTTGAAAGTTTCTGCAAGTAGGTTAAGGAAGTATGTGCGTGATTTTGCCCTTGCCTCATCTCTTCAGTCTACCCAAGAGCAGCCCAGTTACCCAAAGGCAGGTTCCACAGCCCAGTCCAACAGCACTACGATATCAAAGGAACTACCAACCAGATTAGATGCTTGTATCACAAACTCTGTATGTGAAAGACACAAAGACACCGACCATGAGAATCCCATTAAGTCATTTAGAAAGTGAACAAACACATGGACAAACCAATTTAAATAAAATTTAAGCATATTATTAAAGAATTAAAGACTATTCAGGTTTCTTTCTTTCCTTCCTTTCCTCCCTCCATCCCTCTCTCTCTCTCTCTCTCTCTCTCTCTTTCTTTCTTTCTTTCTTGAGAGCTCAGTTGCCCAGGCTACAGTGCAATGGTGTGATCATGGTTTTCTGCAGCCTTGACCTCCTGGGCTCAAGCATTCTCCCACCTCAGCCTCTTGAGTAGCTGGGACCACAGGTGCACACCATAACACCTGGCTAATTTTTACTTTTTTGTAGAGATGGGGATCTCATTATGTTACCCAGGCTGGTCTGGAACTCCTAGCCTCAAGTGATCCTCCTGCACCGGTCTCCCAAAGTGCTAGGATTAGAGGCATGAGCCATTGTACCTGGCCAGGTTTCTCTCTTAAATGTTACAAAAAAAGAAAAAAAATGTTGTCATTTTTCTGGCATGAACTTTTACTTTCTTTCCCTTTGTCTGCAGTCCTGAGCCTATTGAAAAAGGCCTACATAAGGAAATCTTTTAAGGATGTAACAGGGAGATGTATGTTTTTAAGAAGTGTCATTAATACATAATTTTCCCAGTGAAACTAATCACAGAAAATGCCTGATTAAAAAAAATGAAGTAAAAATAAGACACTGGTTTCCAATTAATTTACAACTAGATCCTGCCAGCCTCTCTTAGAGAAAAGGGGAAGGAGAAACAATCTTACATGGAAGGCAAACAAAAGAGTCAGCCTGAGAGAGGTGGCGTCCAATGGAATCTGATCCCATTCATTTAATTTTTTATTTATTTATTTATTTATTTATTTTTTGAGACAGAGTCTTGCTGTGTCGCCCAGGCTGGAGTGCAGTGGTGTGAACTCGGCTCACTGCAACCTCCACCTCCTGGGTTCAAGCGATTCTCCTGCCTCAGCCTTCCGAGTAGCTGGGACTACAAGCGCGTGCCACCATGCCTGTCTAATTTTTGTATTTTTAGTAGAGATGGGGTTTCACCATTTAGCCAGGCTGGTCTTGAACTCCTGACGTCAGGTTATCCACCCACCTCAGCCTCCCAAAGTGCTGGGATTACAGACATGAGCCACCGCGCCCGGCCCTGACCACATTTAATGATGAATGAGAGGGAACCTGAATGCCATCTCGAATACTAAAATGATGTAGTGTGGCATATGACTGACTCAATGCAAATTCACAGAGTAAAACAATTTAGAGCGTAGGAAGTAGGACAGTATATACAAATATTTCATCTTATTTCATGGTGCATGACTTCAAGTGAAACTATCCCTTGCCATGCAATACATTTTAAACACTAACCTTCATTCTTTTTTTTTTTTTTTTTTTTGAGACGAGTCTCGCTCTGTCGCCCAGGCTGAAGTGCGGTGGCATGATCTCAGCTCACTGCAAGCTCCGCTTCCCGGGTTCACGCTATTCTCCTGCCTCAGCCTCTGGAGTAGCTGGGACTACAGGCGCCCGCCACCAGGCCCGGCTAATTTTTTGCATTTTTAGTAGAGACAGGGTTTCACTGTGTTAGCCAGGATGGTCTCGATTTCCTGACCTCGTGATCCACCCGCCTCAGCCTCCCAAAGTGCTGGGATTACAGGCGTGAGCCACTGCGCCCGGCCCAAACCTTCATTCTTAGTGATACAAGCAAAGAGTTTATGGGAGAAAACTATTGTCAAACAAAACATAGTAACAGTTAAAAAGGAAGCAGGAAAATAAGTCTGACTAACTTCTTCCAAACTGTGGTATTGTTCCCACAGGGAGGAGTTCAGAATGGAACTTTTGGATTCTAATTGTCATTGTTTTGCTTGCAAGTAAGGCCTACTCATACTGTGAGATTATTGGTCTTTTGCATTTATTCTTCTGCTTATATCTCTACTAATTAAAAAGTAATTTGTGAAAAGTACAGAGCAAATTGTGTCCCCATGGGGTTGCAGCAATCGCCTTTTCTGGTGTCTGCTCAGCCTGTGGGGACACATTTTTCTCTGCTACCAGCCTCGCAGGTACCCTCACCTGTGTGTGTGTTCCAATGTCCATGGGCTGCTGGTCACAGCCATCTGGATTAAGGGTTTACAACTGGGCTGGGCACGGTGGCTCACACCTGTAATCCCAGCACTCTGGGAGGCTGAGGCAGGCTGATCACCTGAGGCCAGGAATTCGAGACCAGTCCGGCTAACATGGCGAAACGCCATCTCTACTAAAAATACAAAAATTAGTCAGGTGTGCTAGAGAGCGCCTGTAATCCCAGCTACTGGGGAGGCTGAGGTAGGAGTATCGCTTGAATTTGGGAGGTGGAGGTTGTAGTGAGCTGACACCAAAACTGGACAAATTGGGCCACTAAGAGTCTGTGTCACATGAGGACTTTTGTTTATGGCTGGGACTGAGGACCTATGAAGCCAGAAGCAGTTACGTGCAGGGAGAAGGGAGAAAGGGCCTGAAAGAGGAAAGAAGGAAGCAATGGTAAGGCCAAGAAATGAGTGGGGGATACTCTGTGAAAATCTCAGGGCAGCTCCGAGAGTGAAAGGCTTATTCCTTCATCTCCCGTGGCCTCGAGTGGTTTCCCTTTCTCCTGATGTCCTCCTGTCCTTGGAGTTTGACATACCCCTGTTTTCTTCTGTTTTTTTTTTTTTTTTTTTTTTTTCTAGCTTTGTCATAAGCTAGCTTGACTGAGTTACATGCAGCCAAAAGGAAACTTGAAGAGGATTTTGCACATTTTTTCCAATTGGTTTGCCTTTGTTGGCGGTGCTTTTATCCTGAGTAAAAAAAAAAAAAAAAAAAAATTAACTTGAATAAAGTCCAATTTAGCTTCCATTTCCTTTATAAATAAAACCAAGTTTTGGCATTGGTTTTTTTGTTTGTTTGTTTGTTTGTTTGTTCAGATAGCCATTTGCACCTCAAGATTATGTAAATATTCACCTGTATTTTGGGGTTTTAAGTTTTTGTTTTTCTTCTTTTATTATTTTTCCTTTCCTTCGGTTCTTATGTGGTTTTGATTTTTACATTAAAATCTCAAATCAGTCAGAAATTTATTTTAGTATAAAGCATGTGGTATGAGGAACAGATCAGCCTTTACTTTTTTCCATTGGTAAAGAAAAAGAAGCACGAATTTTAAAAAGGGGTCCAGAAGCACTGTTTGGTATCTAGACTAGGTCCCAATTCCTTTATAACTGCACTTTTGATTCCTAAAAACCTTGAATCAATCATTCTTCTGAAATTAGTCCTTTGCTGTTGGCTTGCTCTGTCTTCATGGATTACTGGACATGAAAAAAAGGAAGAGTGATTGATTTCCTTCTGAGAGTTTGTTCCATGAATATTGGTACCCTGGGAGTGGAGCCTATAGTGTTTACACTCCTTTCCATATAGATAAATGTCTCCTAGTCTCTCATGCCTGAATAAATTCACTATAATCAGCTTTTTTCCTTTATTATATTCCTGGCATATATTTCAATAAAGACTGTTTCTCTAGAGAATAACTAAACTAAGGACATTGTGTTCCATTTCTATGATGAGATATGTATTTTCCAAACAAAAGTCAAATCCTTCATTTCAAAGGGTTACAGGGATGGTACTTATAAAACATTCCAGCTGATTAAATAAAGGGCACTGAGAAGTCAGCTGAAGCTATTAGCTGGCTCTGAACCCATAGCATGTTCACTCGATTGCGAATTGGACAAACTTTTGCTCATTTGAAGCCCTTGCTTTTCATCACTTTGTTCTAAAAGAGGAAAATACATTAACAGTCATGTTGGCCATGACTATCCAATCTGCCAAACTTGAGGTGCACAATCCCATTGAAGGTAGCACCATCTTTATTAACACGTTTTCAACCACATATATGGTGGGCTGTCTGTGCTACTTTGCCTCTAATCTATAGGTCTCTCTGTGAATGTTTTGCCTTGGTTAGAATCTCATTTAGCTCTTGTTCCACCCCTTTGTGTACACTTCTCTTTCTACCTCCTTCCTCTGGCTGCTTCCATTGACCACAATGTAGAAGGAAAATGCAATGCATGCTTTTCTATTGCATTTATAATTACTAAGTAGTGATCCCTGTTACAGTTTTTAAAGTTGAAATGCAGATACTTGAAACATTTTCTATTTCTAGATTGAAAAGATAATCAGATTGTTTAAACTGACAATGACTCAATGCTGATACTGGGCATGCTTCATTGTTTTGTTTTGTTGTTTTTGTTTTTAAATCCCAAAGCCGTGGATCATGGATGGATTCTGGACAAAGTAAATAAATTGTTCCTATTTTATTCCTCCTGCTTTCCATTAAAGACTGCTGTGACCCTCCTCTTCTCTCTCCTCCCCACCAGTCCACAGCCCTCGACCTGCTGCCCAGATCCCATGTTGCTTCCTACTCACCAAGAGCTGCCCACCCTTGTTTTTCTCTTGTTTCCTGTGGCACCACAACACCAATTGCATAGTCCACCCCCATTCATGCTGTTGATCTTTGCAGCCTCACTCCTAGTAGACGGCGCACTTCTCTTCTCTCTTACCTACACCCTAAGACTCAAAGCAGGCACTGTTCACAGGATCAGTCTTCCAAAGCAGGGAGCTGCTGGCAGCTTGTAGACGCTGGTTGAAACCCTAACCCCTTCCCAGGCTTGTACTCAGGCCAGCACATCACCAGGCAAGATCTCAAGGACTCATAGCCAACATGGTGGCAGATGTTGTTAATACTTTCACTTGTCCATTGATTGATAGGCTTTTGAATTTGTTGGCTGCAGAGCAGATATGCCACTATACTGGAATAAAAATCATACTTAATTTTCCTTTGTTAAAAGAATCTGTAAAAATTCTGTTAAATGTTTTGAAAATGCAAAAGTGGGCCAGGTATAATCCCAACACTCTGAGAGGCAGAAGCAAGAGCATCACTTGGGGCCAGGAGTTCGAGACCAGCCTGAGCAACATAGTGAGACACCATCTCTATTTTAAAAATTAATATGAAATATTTTTAAAAAGCAAAAACATTAAGAAATCTGACTAAGAGAAAAACAAGAAGGCAAAAAATATTATGCCAAAGGAGCTACAGGAGAGAGAAGGTAGCAAGATGGCCTGCAACCTCGGCCATCATTTGAATTCCTCATTAGTGATATGGCCCCCAGGTGCCAAATGTTTGTGGGTGTTTTATCTGTTTCATTTTTAATTTTCTCTAAAAAATTTATTTATGGTTCAATGAATAAAAAGTTTGTGTTATTTATGGAGGATGAATATAACCTCAAATATCCATACATTCTAAGAGCAATGATGAACCATAAAAGAAAAGGAGATTATGGGGTAAGGAAAGGACTCAGGTTGATTTGGAGACGCCTGCAACCTGGCTTGGAGGAAGAAGATAGCAAAGAAAGCTGAAGAACAAGACAAAAGTGGCAGACAATGATGATGGCTTAATTTTACCATTAGAAGATATATATTTTCTTTTGAATTTATAAAGTTTTATAAATTATTAAGACCATATAGTAGCTAATAATAGATTAAAAGTAGAAACTCAATAATTATTTATTGAATCAATAGAAAAAAATGTATCAATGCTGTCTTCTGAGCCAAAAAGAAAAAAGAAAAAATGTATATCTTCAATAACATAATTGTTTGCCAAATTTAAACCTCATCAACTTGGACTAGTTAGATTAGCTGAATTGAAGCTGTATATGGAAAATAAAAGACAGATCGCTGGATGGGATTGTACTATAGGTGTCATGAAATCTCGACTTAGTTTAAAATTACTGGGGTAGGCAATAGGATATGTGGTTGTGTAAATTCACAGGACTGACCTCTTGGACTTGGCTGAGTTTTTTAAGAATAGGGTCTATACAGAGCCAAGGTAGACATAAAATTGAGGCCTAATCTATACTGGTAGAATTTATGCTAAAAACGATGATTAAGGGAGATCAGTCTGACTGTCAATGTACAAGACAGATTAAAAGGAAAGATTGCAAAGGTAGGCAGACCACCTAGAAACATGGTGCAGTGACCCCCAGTGTGGGATAAGAATGTGTATTGGCAACAGCAAGGGACAGGTAGGTTCACAACAGAATGGGGAATTAATAGAATTTAGTTCCATATTGGGCCAGAGAAAGAAAACGATATATAGAAGGCAATTCCTAGGTAGGGTGGTAAGGCAGTGTGGAGTAGTGGTTAGAAGTTCAGTCTTTAGGCCGGGTGCAGTGGCTCATGCCTGTAATCCCAGCACTTTGAAAGGCTGAGGCAGGTGGATTACTTGAGGTCAGGAATTCAAGACCCAGCCTGGCCAACATGATGAAACCTCATCTCTACTGAAAATACAAAAATTAGCCGGGTGTGGTAGTACAGGTCTGTAATCCCAGCTACCCAGGAGGCTGAGGCAGGAGAATCACTTGAACCTGGGAGGTAGAGATTGCAGTGAGCTGAGATTGCACCACTGCACTCCAGCCTGGGTGACAGAGTGAGACTTTGCCTCAAAAAAAAAAAAAAAAAAAATTCAGTCTTTAAATCCAGGCAAACTAAGGTTTGAATCCCACATCTACTACTTACCATCTATATGACTTTGGGAAAGATGTTTAATCTCTCCAAGCCTAGTTACTTATGTACAATAGCAGTTATGAGAAATAAATGAATGATTAATGCATGTAGTGTTGTAGTGTTTATTATTGTGCCTGGAAGGACATGCATACTCATCGAAGGTTAGTTATCATCATTTTCCCTCTCCTCCACTTACCTATCGAAGATTGTCCAAAAGGAAGATGGTGCTTTCTTCCCATAGCAAAGTGACCATTCGCCATCCAAATAGTCTAAGCCAAAAAGAATGTAAGTGTGTTTCAGTGGTTACTTTGGTCGCAGCCACTGGTCATGAAATCTCTCATGCAGATAAGTCAGGCTGACCTAGCTGACATATAATAATCATTGTTGACAAGAATGATACTAGGTTCGTGTCATAGCATGATTTATTTGTACGTAGTGGGAAACTGTAACTGCCAAATTGCTTTCTTTTTGGAAGCCAAAGATGAAAACCTTAAATTCACCTCCTCATATTCAGGAAAAAACAAAACAAATCCAACAGTAAAACAATTGTTGGGGGTTGAAGTTGATCAACATTGTTATTGTTATCAAGGATCCTGGCATAAGTGCACTAGATCACGTTGCCAGCAGTGGCAAGTAACAATACTTTTTCAAGAGTCTAGATTGATACCTACATTGGCATTTCCTTAAAAATCCTTCGCTATTCCCAGCACTGACCAAAGTGCACGTTTTCCCTTTGTTTAATACTGATACCACCTCCAATCTCACACATACATACATCCATGCATACACACACACACACACACACACACACAGAGTAACTGCTCCTGATGTAAAAAAATATATAGCTCTGTCCGTTTGTGAAATTTTGCCTCCTGTTTTTGATTAACTGAAAGGGGTCAAGACAAAGTTTTGATAAATGGCAGAAGGCAGATCATGCAGAAATGTGTTATTCTGGCCAAGGAATGGCCTCAATTTGAGAATGTAAGATAAGAAACAGGAAATGAAAAAAACAGAATAAAAATCTCCCCCAATTGTAGAGTGCATTAATTGTCAATAACTTTCTGGAGATCATTTCTCTTTCAACAAACAGGAATAGGCTCTTGGTGACTTCCTAGCTGGTTGGGTATTGCTTTTTATGTGATACATGACCAAGATCCACACAAATTGGGAACAAAGCTAAATGAGCTATATTTTCCTGGTGACTGGCAATTCA
The DNA here is from genome assembly GCF_000001405.40 of Homo sapiens. Taxonomy (NCBI): domain Eukaryota; kingdom Metazoa; phylum Chordata; class Mammalia; order Primates; family Hominidae; genus Homo; species Homo sapiens. The sequence goes on from NC_000018.10 coordinate 59,811,249, forward strand.
TTTTCTTTCCTTCCTTATTCCTTTCTTCTTTCTTTCCCCCTTCCTTCCTTCCTTTTCCTTTTCTTCCCTTCCCCTTCCCTTCCCTCCCTCCTTCCTTTCCTCTCTTCCTTTCTTCCTTCCTTCCTTTCTCCCTCTTTCTTCTCCTTAATTTCTTTTTTTTGAGATGGAGTCTCACTCTGTCACCCAAGCTGGAGTGCAGTGGCACAATCATGGCTAAATGCAACCTTCACCTCCCAGGCTCAAGCAATTCTCATGCCTCTCCTGAGTAGCTGGGACTACAGGCGCTCACCACCTTGCCAGGCTATTTATTTTTTCTTTTTCATTTTAGTAGAGACAGGGTTTCACCCTGTTGCCCAGGGTGGTCTCGAACTCCTGAGCTCAGGCAATCTGCCCGCCTCAGCCTCCCAAAGTGCTAGGATTACAGACGTGAGCCACCATGCCTGACTCTTCTCTTTAAATCAATAGAATGTTTAGATCTCCACAGAGAATAATTTGTCAATTACATTCTTTTATTTATGCATTTATGTACTCAACATTTATTTTAAAATGCCTATTACATTTTAGATGACTAAAACACAATTTTCTTTTTCTCTCTTTCTGTTTTCCTTATGAGTAAGGGATATAGAGAGAAAGGACCATAGAAGTGTAACTACTTGAAGAAATGAATGTTATAATAAAGTTAGCAGGAATCCCCTGGGAAGCCCCATATTTCACTTTAGTAAGGCAACTTTTAATACTGGTTGCCCTGGACAGCTCTAGCACATGCTTATAGCCCTGGGATAATGATTAATAGGGCTCCCAGTCAATCCCCAAGAGTGTCCCAGTTTGGACAATAAATTGTATAGTTTTCATATATAATTTCAATTTGGAAAATCTAGGATCTATGTTAGGGCAAACATTTTCTACGCTTCATGTCTCCCACAGGTAAGAGTGTTTCCATGCCACACCTCAGATGAAAAAGTATGAGAGAAATTTACTCCTGACTTCTCTCTGCCCAACTTCTTCAAATGGGAAGAGCACTGACTGATCGGATTGCCAGCATTGGGATGAGGAACTGAGCATGCTCAGCTTTGCCTTTTCTGGGTTTTTCTCATGTAGCTCTGGCTGCCAACACCTACGGTACACTCTGGTCTGCTGGTCACTATGTGGAGCCTATGGTTGTCCTTCTTTTTGAGTGCCTGGTTGGATAAATCTGACCAATTTGTCTAGGGGCAGATATTGATAAGCCCATTAGGCTTCAGATCTGACATTGCATTTTTCAATCAGCTTGATCAGTAACCTATAGACATTTTGATCTTCATTTGTTCGCCTCCTATGTCTCCTCATTTGGTTCCATATTTGGGTGGAAATGTTTACTGAACTCCAAACCTCCATGTCTTGGTGGTTTGGCTAGGAAACTGAAAAAGAGGTACAAGAATTGACCTTGGGGATCAAAATAAAATGTGGAGATTGATGCTTCTAGTCTGATAAGGGCCAGAAGAATACATTTAAGTAGTTAATTCTGTTTTGCTTTTGTTTTTGAAACAGGGTCTCTCTCAATTGCCCAGCCTGGAGTTCAGTGGCATGATCATGCCTCACTGCAGCATCAAACTCCTGGACTCAAGAGATCTTTCCACTTCAGCCTCCCATGTAGCTGAAACTACAGGCACATGCTGCCATGCTCAGGTAATTATTTCATTTTTTTGTATGGACAGGCATCTCACTTTGTTGCACAGGTTGGTCTTAAACTCCTGGCCTCAAGCAATTCTCCCTCCTCGGCCTCCCAAAGTGCTGGGATTATAGGTGTGAGCCACTGTACCCGTCTTTAGCTTTAGTGTGAGGGGCTGAAGCTTGTCTTAAACTACAGAGATACAGCTTGATCTACTATTGTAGATGGGTTAAGGCAAGAATTACTTAATCAAAAGGTTTTTGAACCCAATAAAGGCTCACTGGAAAACAGGCAGAGCATCAGTATAATATATTTTAGACCTTCTGCCAAGATGGTGTAGTAAAGTTTACTCTCCACTGTGTGGTGAGTTTTTTAGGCATGCTTTGCCTGTTCAGAGAAGACCTGAAATTTCTTTCAGTAGGGATGTGAATGAATGAATTAAGGGAGATAGCTAAAGCCATATTATCTTATGAACATCACCAGAAATAAATCTCTTATTGTTATCTGCATTTGTATGCCTCTATTGATTTAAGGTCAGAATAAATAAATATCATTTATTGATTCTCCTTTTTCATTCTTAATAATCCAGTCATCCAAATAGATACACCGAAAGTCTATCATTTCTAGGACAAAAAGAATTAATTGTAGGATTAAAAAGATTCATTGAAAAGTGCCTTCCATCACACAGAGTTTCTCAGTGTCTCACTAATTATGAAAGAACAGATGAAGGTCACTAAATATGTGAGAAAATTTAATATAAAAAGGACAGGGTCTAACCAAGCAACTGAAGCTCAGAAGAAGGGAGAAAATAAAGGAATAGGAAACAAAAAATGCATTTTAAAAAATTCATTAAAGTACACAAAGACAAAAGAGAAGATACTGCATTCATAAAAAAGAACAGAAAGCTATAGAAAAAAGAACTGTTAAAAAAAACAGCAAAGAAAATGCTCCTGGAAATTAAAACAATTGTAGCAGAAATGAAAAACTCAATGGAAGAATTGGAATTGGATTAGAGACTGAGAAAATCTCCCAGAAAAAAAAAATGAATGTAAAGCTGGAGGAATGAAAAACAAGAGAGAGAAGATGAAAAGTTTAGATCAGTCCAGGAGGTTCAACATCTTCAGAGTGGAAGTTCCAGAAAGAGAAAGTGAAAAAAATATAGAGAAAAAAATTATAAAATAAATAACTCCAGGAAGTTCCCCAGAAGGACACACGTTTACAGATTAAAAGAACCTACTGAGTGACTAAGCCAAATTTAAACACACACACACACACACACACATACACACACACACACTAAGGCATATCACTGCAAAATTTCAGAACACTGGGTACAAAAATAAAATCCTAAAAGCATCCAGAGAGAAGAAAAACACATGAACTCACAAATTTTATATAAAAGACAGCAAATCAAACTTATATCAAATTTCACAAAACAACTCTAGGAGCTAGCAAAAAATGATGCAATTCCTTAAAAACTCTGAAAAAGAATGATTTCTTTCTTTTTTTGGGGGGGGGCGGGGCAGAGTCTTGCTCTGTCACCCAGGCTGGTGTGCAGTGGCTCAATCCCGGCTCACTGCAACCTCCGCCTCCCGAGTTCAAGCGATTCTTGTGCCTCAGCTTCCCAAGTAGCTGGGACTACAGGTGTGTGCTACCATGCCTGGCTAAATTTTTGTATTTTTGTAGAGACAGCGTTTCACCATGTTGGCCAGGCTGGTCTCAAACTCCTGGCCTCAAGTGATCCACCCGCCTGAGCCTCCCAAAGTGCTGGGATTAAAATAAATGTGAGCCACCATGCCTGGCCCCAAAAGAGAATGATTTGTAACTTAGAATTGTGTATGCTGTCAAAATGTCAATCAAGTGTGAAGATAAAGACATTTTTACACATAAAAGATGTAAATAGCCTGGCGTGGTGGCGGGCGCCTATAATCCCAGCTACTGGGGAGGGTGAGGCAGGAGAATCGCTTGAACCTGGGAGGCAGAGGTTGCAGGGAGCCGAGATCATGCCATCGTGCTCCAGCCTGGGCAACAAGAGCGGAACTGTGTCTCAGAAAAAAAAAAAAAAGATCTAAAAAAGATTTACCTCCCACCATCATTTCTCAGGAAATGAATATGAACTCCTTTAAGATGTGTGAGGAAACCAAGAAAGAAGATGACATGGGATCCAGGAAATGGGATGATGATGCACTCGGAATGGCAACTAAGGACATTCCAAGAATGATGGGAAATTCCAGGGTGATTGTACAGCAGGCCTTGGAGCTACTCGTCCAGATCGGAGTAGTAGGACAAACCGCTCCAAAAGGGATGTCTTCAAAAAAATTTCAAAAAGGAAAAAGAAAGAAAGAAAAAAGAAATTGAGAAATGTGTTTAAAATTATTGAAAGGAGATTTATTCTGCTGGCAGAGAGTTAGGGGATAGATTAATGATACCAAGAACACTAAGCAAATGAAAAGAATGAGGCACTTATTATCTCCAAGGAAAATAAAAAGCTGTGCAAAAAGCATATTACATGGTTCATCTGTGCATACGAATATTGATTTAACCAAAACCTATGATATATTTATAGTGGTCAGAAGGAAGGTGCAGCGGGAAGAAGAAATGCTGAAGAGAGGAAATACTTTAAGCACAATAAATCTTCACTTTCCAAATAAGAAAGCCTGCAGAGAATATCCAAAAACTATTAAATATAAATCAGTAGTATAGGAAAATAGAAATACTTTAAGCACAATAAATCTTCACTTTCCAAATAAGAAAGCCTGCAGAGAATATCCAAAAACTATTAAATATAAATCAGTAGTATAGGAAAATAGATGAAACATGAAAATAAATACCAGGAAAAATGGCTAAAATAGGTGAAAATGCTTTTACCTGAAGACCGAAAATTAAAATTAGGAAGGAGTGTGAGGCAGGGGAATGCTGGTTTTCATTTTAAGCAATGTAGAACTACTTAACTTTTAAAACTGTGCATATCCATATATTTAATAAAAATATAAACTAAATTTAAAAGTCTGCTTTTCCGGATCAAAGCCTGACTTGCTTTACAAGAGACTGGTTTTCATCCAATTTATCAAGTATTCCCTAAGCATCTCTCTCTCTAAAATCGATCAGCACTGCTTAATAAGAAATGAACAACAAATGGCTAATTTCATTTAATTATTTATTCAACAAATATATGTAGAAAGTTCCAGGCATCTGGGATATATGGGTGAACAAAACAGAAAAAGGCCTAATCCTTTCAGAATTATATTCTCATAGGGTAATGGACAATAAACTATTCACCTGAAATATAGATACAGTACGTGGAATTTCATAAAGTGGGACTGAGTAAAGGGATCACCCAAGCCAGTGGGATAGAAGAGTGAAAATTTTAAATAGAATAGAGTGGTCAGGGGGCCGGGCACAGTAGCTTACGCCTGTAATCCTAGCACTCTGGGAGGCCGAGGCAGGTGGATCACCTGAGGTCAGGAGTTTGAGACCAGCCTGGCCAACATGGCAAAACCCCATCTCTATTAAAAATACAAAAATTAGCCAGGCATGGTGGCACGCAGCTGTACTCCCAGCTACTTGGGAGGCTGAGGAGGGAGGATCATTTGAACCCAGGAGGCGGAGCTTGCAGTGAGCTGAGATCGCGCTACTGCACTCCAGCCTAAGCGATGCAGCAAGACTCCATCTCAAAAAAAAAAAAAAAAAAAAAAATAGAGTGGTCAGGGGCTGGGCGCAGTGGCACACATCTGTAATTCCAAACACTTTGGGAGGCCGAGCCGGGCAGATCAACTGGACCCAGGGGTTGGAGATCAGCCTGGGCACACATGGCAAAACTCCATTTCTACAAAAAATACAAAAATTAGCCAGGCATGCTGGCACATGCCTGTGATCCCACCTACCCATGAGGCCGAGGTGGGAGGATCGCTTGGACCAGGGAGGTCGAGGCTTCAGTGAGCCATGATTGTGCTGTGCATTCCAGCCTGGGCAACAGAGTGAGACTGTCTCAAATAATAATAATAATAAATAGAGTAGTCAAAACAGATCTCACTGAAAAGGTGATAACTGAGCAAAGGCGAGAAGGCAGTGAGGAAATTAACCCAAGAGGGGCTATTCTAGGCACATGAAAGGAAGAGCACAACAGCAGGAAGGTAGGACCATGCCGGTGTTCTGGAAACACCAAGGTGGTCAACGTGATGAAAGGCGGTCAGAAACTAATGCAGGCGGGAGGAGATGGCAGGCCTGGGGAAGGTGGTGGGTATTTGGATTCAGGGTGCAGAATCCTGAGAATAGTCAGGAGTCCGTGCAGACAGAGGACGGCCTCCACCAGGTGGCAGAAATGGAATTCCTGAGAAGTGGTCAGATTCTGGATCTATGTTAAGGATCTATGTTAAAGGTAGGGCAGACAGGAGATACCTTTGGACCAGGTATGGAGTAAGAGCGGGGAGAAAAGAGTCATGAATGATTCCAAAGTTTTTGTACTGAAGAATGAAGTTGTATCCACTGGGATGGGAAACAACAGGTCACGCAGGCTGGGGCGACAATCAGATTAGGGTTAGATATAGAAAGTTTACATGTCCAAGATTAGTTAAGAGAGGGTGAGGTGCTCTGGAAGCTGATGAAGAAAGAGTTGGGGAAGAGGGAGTGATCAACTGTGTCAAACGCTGCTGAGAGATCAAGGGAAGGCAGATGAGCCAATGGGGAGGTATGGGCGATTTTAAAAGAGCCGTTTCATGGAGGGATCAAGGGAAATGCCAGAGTAGGGTGAATTTAAAAGAGTATATCCAGATGCAGTGGCTCATGCGTGTAATCTCACCACTTTGGAAGAGTGAGGCTGGAGGATCGCTTGAGGCCAGGAGTTCAAGACCAGCCTGGGCAACATGGCAAGATCCTCTCTCTACACACAAAAAACTGTTTTTCAGTTAACCAGGCATGGCAACATATACCTGTTGTCCCAGCTATTTGGAAGGCTGAAGCGGGAGGATCACTTGAGGCCAGGAGTTTGAGACCAGCCTGGGCAACACAGTGATACCCTGAGAACTCATCTCTACAAAAATTAAAAAATTTTTAATTTAAAAATTAGTTAGTTTAAAAATTAGCCGGGTGCAGTGACCCAAGCTTATAGTCCCAGCTACATGGGAGGATGAGGCGGGAGGATTGCTTGAGCCCAGGAATTTGAGGCTGCAGTGAGCTACAATTAAGCCACTGCACTCCAGCCTGGGAGAGAGAGTGAGACTCCGACTCTAAACAAAAAAGAAAAAAGAAAATGGGAAGAGAAGATGTGGAGACACACAGAGATCACTGTTTTCAGGATTTTTGCCTCAGTGGGGAACAAAGTAATGGGTTGGGTGCTGGCCAGGAAAATCATGTCAAGAAGAGATTTTTCTTTACTTGGGAGAAATAGTAACACTGTGGTTTGCTGATGGTGATGTCTGGTATAGAATTAATATATTTGATGATGCAAGAGAGAGAGGACAGCTTTCCTGGAGCAGTGTTCTGAGTGGTCTAGCACACAGTGGAGGGATGTGTTTTTGGCAGGAGCATGGAGAGCTCACCTGTGCTAATGGGAGGAAAAGCAGAGGTGGGAGATGTAGTGCCAGGCAGGTTTGGAAATCTCCTCTAATAACTTCCCTCTGATTCAAGAAGCAGGAAGCAGGAAGCAAACTGGGCGAGGTGGCTTACACCTGTAATCCCAGCACTTTGGGAGGCCAAGGCAGGTGGATCACCTGAGGTCAGGAGTTCGAGACAAGTCTGGCCAACATGGTAAAACCCTGTCTCTACTAAAAATATAAAAATTAGCCAGGCCTGGTGGCGGGTGCCTGTAATCCCAGCTACTCGGGAAGCTGAGGCAGGAGAATCTCTTGAACCCGGGAGGAGGAGACTGCAGTCAGCCAAGATCAGGTCACCACACTCCAGCCTGGGTGACAGAGCAAGGCTCTGTCTCAAAACAAACAAAAAAAAAAAAAAAGGAAAAGAAAAACAGAAGCAGGGAGAGGAACAACACACATTGGGGCCTCTCAGGCGGGCTCGGGGGAGAGAGCATCAGGGCTTAATACCTAGGGGATGGGTTGATAGGTGCAGGAAACCACCAGGAAGCCACCATAGTACACATTTACCTACGTAACAAACTTGCACGTCCTGCACATGTAGCTCAGAACTTAAAGCAGGAAGCCAGGTTATTAGCTAAGAGTGAAGATATCTGAGGTGGTGTTGAAGGTTTGAAGGGAGAATGGGTATGAAATAAACACCCAGAAGAGGGAGAGGGTGAACGAACAGACTAGAGGAAGACAGCATAATGGGTGATCATTTGTAAGTCCCAATTGAACTTCATGGTCACCCCCGCCTTAGTTTGTTCAGGCTGCTATCACAAAACGCCATAAACTGGGTAGCTTATAAACAGCAGAAATTTATTTCTCACAGTTCTAGAGGCTGAGAAGTCCAAGATAAAGTTGCCAGCAGATTCAATCCCTGGTGAGGGCTTGATTCCTCAAAAATGGCACCTTCTGTGTCCTCACATGATGGAAGGAACTAGCTAGCTCTAGTCTCTTTTATAAGGGCACTAATCACATTCATGAGGGCTCCGCCCTCATGACCTAATCACCTCCCAAAGGCTCCACCTCCTATTATCATCACCTTGGCAGTTAGGATTTCAACATATGAATTTGCGGGGAGAGACAAACGTTCAAATCATAGCACTACTCTTCCCATCCATCATATACCATTTTGTACATTTGTGACCTGTTTTAAGTGTCAAAAAGGAAGCAAGGCTGGGTGCTGTGGCTCATGTCTGCAATCCCAACACTTTAGGAGGCCAAGGTAGGTGGATAGCTTGAGGCCAGGAGTTTAAGACCAGCCCGGGCAACATAGTGAGACCCCACCTCTACAAATGAAAAATCTAGCCAGGTGTGGTGGTGCGCACCTGTGGTCCTAGCTACTCAAGAGGCTAGGCAGGAGGATCACTTGAGCCCAGGAGTTTGAGGCTGCAGTGAGCTGTGATTGCGCCACTGTCCTCCAGCCTGGACAACAGCATAAGACCCTGTCTCAAAACAAACAAACAAACAAAACACACACACACACACGCACACAAAAGCAAGAAGAGAAAAAACCTGAACTCAGTTTGAAGTGGTCTCCAAATTCCTATGATTTGATGATGAGAAACACAATAAAATGGATTTCAACATGCTCCTCATCATTTTTACATCCTCAGTCATAAAAGAAGCAGGGCCCTCCACTCCCGTCAGGGGCAAAGAAAAATCAAACCAGCAATTGAGTGAAGGCTTGTGAATTCCTTTTTTTTTTTTTTTTTTTTTTTAAATTTTGAGACAGAGTCTGGCTCTGTCACCCAGGCTGGAGTGCAGTGGCGAGATCTCGGCTCACTGCAACCTCTGCCTCCCGGGTTCAAGCGATTCTCCTGCCTCAGCCTCCTGAATAGCTGGGATTACAGGCGCCCGCCATCATGCCGGGCTAATTTTTGTACTTTGAGTACGACAGGGTTTCACCATGTTGGCCACGCTGGTCTCGAAGTCCTGACCTCAATTGATCTGCCCACCTTGGCTTCCCAAAGTGCTGGGATTGCAGGCATGAGCCACCACGCCCAGCCGAATTCTTTTAGTCAAGAGCGCTAACTAGAGAAAGAGAAGAAGGGAAGGGAGAAACCCCTTCCACAGTATCAGTTAAATATTGGAAGGAATGATAAAATTAGAAAATTGCCATTTTGCATTTCCTAGTATTGATTCAGGCAAAGATCAACAATGTGCAGTAAAACCACCAGGGGAAAGACGATGGAGAGCAAGCTACTCACACAGACTCAAGGCAACACTCACATATCACTTATAATTTACAAAGGAAAAGCCTATCTTTACCTTTGGAGAGAACTGGTGGACATCGCCTTGGGAAAGTGATCAAACTTAGCATCCACATTATGAACCCCAGATGGGATGTAGCAAGAAGCATACAAGCATACCAACGTGGCATTCTTGGCAAAACTGTCTGACTTGAATCTAATCATAAGGAAACAATCAGCCAATTTCAGAATGTTGGGACAGCCTACAAGACCAGTTGGCCTGGAGTTTTCAAAAAAAGTCAATATTTTGAAAGTAGGAGGATGGTTCTTGATTGGAAGAGACTCCAGAGACTCAACACCAATGCAGAGAACCTGGATTTGCATCTTGGAACAGAAAATAGAAGAGGTATAAAAAGATATTCTGGAGGCATCTGGGGAAATGCAGATGTGGGTTGCAGATTATTAGATGATAGTGTGTAATTAATATTTATTTTTGTAGGAGTAATATTTACATCATGTTTCTGTAAGATGCTGCCTTATTTTCAGGAGATGTTGGCTGAAGTACTTACAGGTAAAGTGTTATACTGTCAGCACCTTATTTTCAAATGTTTAAACCAAAAAAAAAGAAAGTGGTGTGTGTGTGTGTGTGTGTGTGTGTGTGTGTGTGTGAAGTGTATGCATGGGTACGTATGAAGAGAGAACAATAAAGCAAATGTAACAAAATGTTAATACCTGGTGAATCTAGATGAAGGGTATATGTGTGTTCAACTTTTCTGTCGATTTGAAATTTTTCCTTCCAGCTCTTAGGGAAATGGGGAAAAGAAATTTAAAATTTTAAATAAAAAAATTTTAAAAACAAAAATTTCCAAATAAAAGTTAGATTTTAAAAAAGCGCCCTATCTGTGGCAAGTTGCTGAAAGTACCTTGAATGCAAGACAGTGAATAGGAGACCAGGGTCATATGAATCCCAAGTTTTCTTTTTTGGAAGCAGTGATTGCTACATTGTTTTCCATTCCCAAAATTTTCCTAAATCTCAGCATAACAAATAGTTCTGCAGGATTTCCAAAAATGCCTAACTGTTTCCATATTTGGGACAATTTTTTCCTGGGTACCAAAACAAAAAAATAAATTTTCCCTGCCCTTCTGAGAGAGAATGAGGATATTAGCTTTCCGTGGCTTAGTGGGGATTTTCCCACAAGAAGTAAAAGGATGCCCTGATTTCTAGTCTCCCCAGTATAAACTCAGAACATGGCTCATCACAGAGAGTATTGCCAGTTGTGTGACTGGAGGGCTAGCAGTGCAATAGAGGAAAATGCAGCTTACCCTTCTAAAAGTTCTTTCCTTAGAACTCTAAACTCACTGAAATGCTGAGCCCAGTTTAAAGTCATGCAATTTAAGAGGGTGTGAAAAACTTGGACAAGGCTCTAAACTCACGAAAACAACTTCAGGATTAAAGGCTTGGAGAACAAGCTTTCTGAGGAAGGTCAGAGAGAATGAATGGGCTGTTTTGCTAGGAGATGAGCAACTATGTGGCAATTTAATGCTGGTTCTTCAGATGTACCAAGAGAATGGCAACCAGATGCTCCCTGCTGCCACGAGAACAGGAAAAGCAGAAACTGGTTTGCCTTAATGAAGGAATTCATTTCTGGGAAGGTTGTTAAAAAGAAGTTGGGCATCATCAGAGGGACCATTCTAGAGAACTAGACCCACTCTCAAAATGCTCCAAAACTTGATTGCAAATAAGTTGCTTTTTGTTTTGCTTTGTTTCGTTTTTTCATTCTGTTTTGTTTTGAGACAGGGTCTTGCTCTATCCCCCAGGCTGGAGTGCAGTGGAGCAATTACAGCTCACGGCAGCCTCAAACTCTTGGGCTCAAGTCATCCTCCCACCTCAGCCTCCCAAGTAGCTGGGACTACCACCATGTGCCACTAAGCCTGGCTTCAAATAAGTTTAAAAAATTAAAGCAATTTGTGTTATGAAAATGTTAATTAACCCAGAAAATTCCTAGTCTAAATGCCAGCTTAATCAGTAGATCCTTCTTTCATCTATCCATTTTTTTTTCTTCTTCTTTTTGTAACCTGCCTACCAGAGAAATGGGATGCCAAGGTCTTCCTTCGGGGATACAAATATTTCTTCATCACACAAATCTCTTGATCACAATGACGTGGCAGAAAGCTTGTTCTGAAGCATTGCTGTAAATTATATGAAAGCATTATTTAATGTGTTTGGCCTTATGGCTTCATCTTCCTAATTATGTTTATTTTGATAAGCATGCTAATCAGTCTGGGGTAAGAGGGTGAAGGTGGAAATTAGGATTATAGTTAAAATATGCCTGGGGCAGGAGAGCCTCTTGTGAGTAAACATCTAATCGTAATTCACATGAATTGCACATGAAGCCCATCAAGAGTTGGCACCACCTCAGATCTGAAATTGGCTCATTCTTCCTTCATCATCTTACTTTCTACCCTATCTCAGAAAAGTTATCGCTTTCCTTTTTCCAAGGGAGCATCTCTGTCCCTAACATGGCAGAAAGAAAGAAAATGTGACTGAAAAACTGATAAAAGGACTGAGGCTGGATGAGATTTTTGTCACAGAAGAGTTTTAAATGGAGTGATCCTATGGTCAAAGTGATGCGATTTTCTGTGAACAGCTGGACAAAGTGATACAAATGTGTTCCTAGCAGAAAAGCAGATTTAGATCCTCCCAAGAGCTCAGCAATGATGTATGGTGCCAATTACTGTTGTTTGCTTTTTGTTTTGGTTCATCTGTTTTTCTCTCGCTCACCCATACCCAATTCTGTCATTTACGCCAGGCTATTGTTTATGACAGTCACAGCTTTCCAAAGAACCCCCAATCCCTGCTAGTCCCCTTTCCAGCAAAACTGGAAACTCACAGGGCTTGCCCAGTTTTCCTTGCAGTTTCATGTCATGTATGTTTGGGAGCTGAGTCCCTCCTGAGGATGAGAAGAAAACAATTCTCTATGTAGTTATGTACTCTGGTATCGGCATTTATTTGGGGTTTGGGAAAGCCTCTAAAGCAATGAAGAAGGAAATCAGAAAAATCCCAGGCGTTGCATTTTGGTGGCCTTTGATCAGCTGGGAGATGGCTCAGGGCCTGCTGTCTTCTCTTTCTATTGAGCTCACAGCGCCATCTCTTGTCCTCCCAGGTAATTACAGGTGGCAATAGCTCTTGGAGCACTAAAGGATATTTCACTGGGCTCTAGAATCTTCGCACTCAGCATCAGGAGCTAGGCTATGAGAGCTATTGTCACCTGTAAACAGTATCTTTTTTTCTCTCACCAGGTGTCCTCGCAGGAGTGACATCGTCTTTAAATCCTATGTGGCAATCCCTGACGCACCGTCGTGATGCCCACGGAAGACAGGGTGACCTGGAAGTCCAACTACTTCCTTAAGATCATCCAGCTTTTGGATGGTTATCCGAAATGTTTCATGGTGGGAGCAGACAATCTGGGCTCCAAGCAGATGCAGCAGATCCTCAAGTCCCTCCGAGGGAAGGCCATGGTGCTGATGGGCAAGAAACCATGATGCTCAAGGCCATCCAAGGGCACCTGGAAAACAGCCGAGCTCTGGAGAAACTGTTGCCTCGTATCCAGGGAAATGTGGGCTTTGTGTTCACCAAGGAGGACCTCACTGAGATCAGGGACATGCTGGTAGCCAGTAAGGTGCCAGGAGCCACCTGTGCTGGTGCCATTGCCCCATGTGATGTCACTGTGCCAGGCCATCCTTGAGAAGACCTCCTTTTTTATTTTTTTGAGATGGAGTTTCCCTGTTGTTGCCCAGGCTGGAGTGCAATGGCACGATCTTGGCTTACCACAACCTCTGTCTCCCAGGTTCAAGCGATTCTCCTGCCTCAGCCTCCTGAGTAGCTGGGATTACAGGCATGTGCCACCACACCTGGATAATTTTTTTTTTTTTTTTTTGTATTTTTAGTAGAGATGGGGTTTCTCCATGTTGGTCAGGTTGGTCTCGAACTTATGACCTCAGGTGATCTGCCCGTCTCGGCATCCCAAAGTGCTGGGATTACAGGCTGAGAAGACCTCCTTTTTCCAGGCTTTAGGCATCATCACTAAAACCTTTGGGCACCACTGAAATCCTGAGTGATGTGCAGCTGATCAAGACTGGAGTCAAAGTGGGAGCCAGCGAAGCCACACTGCTGAACATGCGGAACATCTCTCCCTTCTCCTTTGGGCTGGTCATCCAGCAGGTGTTTGACAATGGCAGCATCTACAATACTGAAGTGCTTGACATCACAGAGGAAATTCTGAATCCTCACTTCCTGGAGGGTGTCCGCAACATTGCCAATGTCTGTCTGCAGATTGGTTATCCAGCTGTTGCCTCCGTACCCCATTCTACCATCAGTGGGTACAAATGAGTCCTGGCTTTGTCTGTGGAGACTGATTACACCTTCCCACTTGCTGGAAAGTTCAAGGTGTTCTTGGTTGATCCATATGCCTTTGCGGCTGCTACCCCTGTGGCCACTGCCACCACAGCTGCTCCTTCTGCTGCTGCAGCCTCAGCTAAGATTGAAGCCAAGGAAGAGTTAGAGGAATTGGATGAGGATACAGGATTTGGTCTCTTTGACTAATCACCAAAAAGCAACTAAATCAGCCAGCTTTATTTGCAAAACAAGAAAATAAAGGCTTACTTCTTTAAAAAAAAAAGTATATTTAAAAAAAAAAATATATATATATATATATAGCCAATTCGTGAAATAATTATATTTCATTTTAATGAAAAAAATTGGGGGGATGTTGTTCCACTTTATCTATTTTTTATTTTACTTTTTATTTTAGACTCAAGGGCACATATGTAGGTTTGTCACATGGGCCTATTGCATGATGCTGAGGTTTGGGGTATGATTGATCCCGGCACCCAGGTAGTGAGCATAGTACCCAATAGGTAGTTTTTCAGTCCTTACCTCTGTATGTCCCTCCCCATCTAGTAGTCCCTCTGGTAGATGTCTATTGTTCCCGCCTTTATGTCCATGTGTACCCAACGTTTCTGTTTGTTTGTTTGTTTGTTTGTTTGTTTTTGAGACAGTCTCGCTCTGTCACCCAGACTGGAGTGCAGTGGAGCAATCTCGGCTCACTGCAACCTCTGCCTCCTGGGTTCAAGCGATTCTCCTGCCTCAGCCTCCTGAGTAGCTGGGATTACAGGTGCCTGCCACCACATCCGGCCGATTTTTGTATTTTTAGTAGAGACGGAGTTTCACCATATTGGTCAGGCTGGTCTTGAACTCCTGACCTGGTGATCCACCCACCTCGGCCTCCCAAAGTGCTGGGATTACAGGTATGAGCCACCGCGCCCGGCCTCATGTGTACCCAGTGTTTAGCTACCACTTATAAATGAGAATATTTGGTATTTTTCTGTTTCTGTGTTAATTCACTTAGGATAATGGCCTCTAGCTGCAACCATGTTGCTGCAAAGGACATGATTTCATACTTTTCATGGTTTTGTAGTACTCCTTGGTGTATATGTACCATTTTCTTTATCCCGTTCACCATTGATGGGCACCTAGATTGATTCCATGTCTTTGCTACTGTGAGTAGTACTGTGATGAACATACAAGGGCAGGGGTCTTTGTGGTAGAATGATTTGTTTTCCTTTGGATATATAGCCAGTAATGGAATTACTGCTGGGTTGAATGGTTGTTCTAAGTTCTTTGAGATATCTCCAAACTGCTTTCCACACTGGCTGATTTAATTTTCATTCCCACCAACTGTGTATAAGCCTCCCCTTTTCTCTGCAGCCTTGCCAACATCTGTTTGCTTTTTTTTTTTTGTTTTTGTTTTAGTTTTTACTTTTTAACCTATTTATGCTGGAGATTGCTCTTTTTTTTTTTTAAACTAGACGTTGGGCAATGACCTTGAGCTGTAGGATATAAACAACTTCCACAAGCTTAGCGTTCCAATAATGGAACACTAGGCATAAATGGCCTAATAATAGCCATTCTGACTGCCATGAGACAGTATCTCACTGTGGTTTTGATTTGCATTTCTCTGATGAATAGTGATGTTGAGCATTTTTTCATGTTTGTTGGCCGCTTGTATGTCTTCTTTTGAGATGTGTCTGTAAATATTAATACTATCTTGAAAGCAAGTTCAGCACTCCCCTTTATTTGAAATTGATTCTTGGGTCACATCAATGGGAGCCCCCAGCTTGAGGTTAAGTTCTTTATACTTATACCACCAGAATCAGTCTTCCTTCAACCAGTGGCTTGCTTTCCACACATTTCAGAACATGAGATGTTCCAAAATATCACTCAAAATAGGCCTTTTGGTCTACGTGGACACACAGGTAACACTGAGGCCACTTTTTGTCATTTTTTGATGACCCACCAATAGCAGCAAACCACATATACAAAGATTGATTTCTGGCAAGTAATTGCAAGTCTAGCCACACAAACCTATTGAAGATAATTGTTCTGAAACCTCAGAAGCCAGAGAAACAGAAATGTCAGAGGTGTTCAAACCAGAGCGACTCCATCTTGAATAGGGGCTGGGTAAACTGAGGCTGAGATCTACTGGGCTGCACTCCCAGGAGGTTAGGCATTGTTAGTCACAGGATGAGACAGGAGGTTGGCACAAGATACAGGTCATAAAGACCTTGCTGATAAAAAAAAGAGTTTGCGGTAAAGAAGTCGGCCAAGGCTGGGCGCAGTGGCTCACACCTGTAATCCCAGCACTTTGGGAGGCCAAGGAGGGTGGATCATGAGGTCGGGAGTTCAAGACCAGCCTGACCAATATGGTGAAACCCTGTCTCTACTAAAAATACAAAAATTAGCCAGGTGTGGTGGTATGCACCTGTAATTGCAGCTACTCACGAGGTTGAGGCAGGAGAATTGCCTGAACCTGGGAGGCAGAGGTTGCAGTGAGCTGAGATCGAGCCACTGCACTTCAGCCTGGCAACAAAGCGAGACTCCATCTCAGCCAAAAAAAAAAAAAAAAGAAGTTGGCCAAAACCCACCAAAACCAAGATGGTGATGAAAGTGACCTCTGGTCATCCTCATTGCTCATTATACACTAATTATAATGCATTAGATGCCAAAAGACACTCCCACCAGCGCCATGCCAGTTTACAAATACCATGGCAATGTCAGGAAGTTACGCTATATAGTCTGAAAAGGGGAGGAACACTTAGTTCTGGGAATTGCCCACCCCTTTCCCAGAAAACTCATGAATAATCCACCCTTTTTCTAGCATATAATCAAGAAATAACCGTAAGTTTCCTAGCTGAGCAGCCCATACTGCTGCTCTGCCTATGGAGTAGCCATTCTTTATTCCTTCACTTTTCTAATAAGCTTGCTTTCACTTTACGGATTTGCCTCGAATTCTTTCTTGCACGAGATCCAAGAACCCTCTCTTAGGGTCTGGATTGGGACCCCTTTAGAGTAACAGAAAGACTGAAGAAAATAAAGGGGACAGCAGATAAATAGAAAAAGAAAAATAGACAGTGTTGAAAAAAAAAAGCAGCAATTTCCATTTTTCTAAAGTAAGAGTGGGAATGAATGATAGATCCTCTGAACAAAAAATAAAAAGAAATGTAAGGGGTGCCGGCCAGAAGGCGACAATTTAATTTTACAGACAGTAAAATAGGCCAGGTGTGGTGGCTCATGTCTACAATCCCAGCACTTTGGGAGGCCGAGACAGGAGGATTGCTTGAGCCCAGGATTCTAGACTAGCCTGGGCAACATATGGAGACCTCATCCCTACAAAAAGTTAAAAAATTAGCTGGGCCTGGTGGTGTGTGCCTGCAGTCCTGGCTACTTGGGAGGCTGAGGAGAGAGGATTGTTTTAGCCCAGGATGCAGTGAGCTATGATCACACCACTGTACTCCATCCAGCCTGGGCAACAGAGCAAGACCCTGTCTCAAACAAAACAAAATAAAACAAAAACCCAGCAAAATAAAATGAATAATAATTTGAATTACTTGGAGATCCAATATCTTGATTTTCCAAGTCAATTAAACATGTTTATTAATAGATAAATGAGCATAATTCTGCTAAAAGCAGGGAACCCTCCCCAATCAACTACTCTAACACACACACAGATATACACTCACTCTTTGTAGAACCAGAGAGGGACTAATAATCAAATAAACTAAGTGCAAACCATCTAGAAAAAGTTTTTTTTTTCTCCTGAGTTTTTCCCAGGCTGGAGTGCAGTGACGTGATCTCAGCTCACAGCAACCTCTGCCTCCTGGGTTCATGCAATTCTCGTGCCTCAGCTTCCCAAGTAGCTGGGATTACAGGCATGCACCACCACCCTTGGCTAATTTTTGTATTTTTAGTAGAGATGGGGTTTCACTATGTTGACCAGGCTGGTCTTGAACTCCTGACCTCAGGTGATCCACCCGTCTTGGCCTCCCAAAGTGCTGGGATTACAGGCATTAGCCACCGTGCCCAGGCTCTCCTGAGTTTTTATACTGCAGCATAAAGAGCTTTGCCTCAGAGATGAGATTATCAGCCACACTGACAACATCTCTCATCCCATGGCCTTCATTCTAAAGGATTCTGGTTCAGAGTCCAAACCCTGGAGCAGACAGATGCCTGTGTGACCTTGGGCAGGCTTCTTAAATTTTCCCTCTGGGTTCCCTCATCCATATCATAGGGACATAACAATAGTACGTACCTCAAAGAGTTGTTCAAAGACTATACAGTGTAGGTAAGATGCTTAGAACAGTGCCTGGCATGTAGTGAGCATGATATAAAGTGCTGGTTTTTACTACTATCATACGAAAATCAGGGATTCTAGTTCTTGTTTTGGTGGCCAACTTAACGTTTTCTCCCACTGGTGTTTAGAGTGTTTGCTCTCATGCATATGAGCAACTCCTCACTGTCTCAAGTTAAGCTTTTCATGTGACAGTCACTCCTTCCTTACTCAGCACAGGGATAAGGGATGAGGGGGAGTACTAGTTCATTTTCACACTGCTGATAAACACATACCTGAGACTGGGCAATTTACAATGGAAAGAGGTTTAATGGAGAACTCACAGTTCCATGTGACTGGGGAAGCCTCATAATCATGGTGGAAGGCTAGGAGGAGCAAGTCACATCTTACCTGGATGGCAGCAGGCAAAGAGAGCTTGTGCATGGCAACTCCCCCTTATAAATCCATCAGATATCGTGAGACTTATTCACTATCATGAGAACAGCACAGGAAAGACCTGCTCCCATGATTCAATTACCTCCCACCAGGTCCCACCAACATATGGAAATTCAAGATGATATTTGAGTGGGACACAGCCAAGCCATATTGGGGGGAAAGTGGAACTGGGGCTCCTGGGGGAGTCTTCCCTTGAGAGTGAGTGGCTAACATGCAACCTGAGTTTTTAGTAGGCCCTGTAAATCCCACGTGAATGGAAACCCTATATATCATGAAAAGGATAGAAATGTGGGGACCTGTTAATACTACATTAACGTATATAATATTTCATATGTTTTAATAAGAGAAAGCCATGTTTTACTGGTTATCAAAAATATCCCAGTCTTTACTGGATGTTTTATTTATTTTTATTTTTATTTTTTTGAGACAGAGTATTACTTTGTTGCCCAGGCTGGAGTGCAGTGGTGTGATCTTGGCTTACTGCAACCTCCACCTTCCGGGTTCAAGCAATCCTCCACCTCAGCCTCCCGAGTAGCTGGGACTACAGGCCTACACCACCACGCTGGGCTAATCTTTGTATTTTTAGTAGAGATGAGGGTTTCACTGTGTTGGTCAGGCCGGTCTTGAACTCCTGATCTCAGGTCATCCACCTGCCTTGGCCTCCCAAAGTGTTGGGATTATAGGCATTAGCCACTGCACCCGACCTACTGGTTCTTTTAGTTATGAGTTCAGCTCAAAGCAAGTTCATGTTAGAAATCAAATGTAATCCTTCACAATCTGTGAAATTTACTTTATTATTATTATCCATTTATTTTTTCATGCAGAAACCCATGCATTCATCCATCCACCCAATTGTTATTTTGTAATTCTGTTGAGCACTTATTGGAACAGAGATAAAAGACGCAAACATCAACAATGCTCAGAGGATTAAATGGAGGCCGGAGACAAGGGGACAGATCATGACAACCTGGTGATGGCAGGCACGCCCTGGTGTGCCCAGAGCACTGCAAAAGGTGCATCTAACTGAGGCTGAGCATAGGAGTTAAGCATGGCCAGGAAAGGCTTTCTAGATTGGATGGCGGCCAGGCCAATCTTGAAGGAAGAAGCTATTGGCCAGAGAAAGACAGGGAGGAAGGAAAGTTCAGGCAGACAGACACTGACCCAGGCACCTTGGTGAGGAGACCCTCCCAGTGCTGTTCACTTCTCAAAGTGAAGCACCTCTGTCCCCAGGGGTAATTTAAGGAGGAAATGTGGGACATCTTTTGAACCTGCAACTTTACTCGTTAGTGAGTAATTTTAAACAAAGAATAAGTAAAGTGTCTCAGTAAGGTCAGAGCTAAGATTCATTTGTGCCTCCCAGCTCCCCTCCAAAAATCTAGCTTTGTCTTTACATTCTGGGTGACACTTTCTGAATGGGGCTTGGATTTGAATGGGATCCAGGAACCCCATGGGAAAGAATCTGAACCCTGTTCACAATTGGAGTTCATTAGAAACATATCTGAAAGGCTGAGAGACCCAGTGACAGGCTGTGGAGGACAATGGAGCCTTAGGATTAAAGAAAAAAGAAGAGGCTGGGTGCAGTGGCTCATGCCTGTAATCCCAGCACTTTGGGAGGCTGAGGCGGGCTCTCTCTACTTAAAATACAAAAATGAGCTGGGTGTGGTGGCATGCACCTGTAATCCCAACTACTCAGGAGGCTGAGGCAGGAGAATCACTTGAACCCAGGAGGCAGACATTGCAGTGAGCTGAGATTGTGCCACTGAACTCCAACCTGGGTGACAGAGTGAGTCTCTGTCTCAAAAAAAAAAAAAAAAAAAAAAAGAGAGAAGAAGAAGGAGGAGGAGGAGGAGAAGGAGGAAAGAAAAGGCACTAAGTGAGCAGATCTGGTGGAGAAGGTCAAACTCAGCAGGAGGGCGGTTAAGTCAGGGACAGCGATTCCAGACAATGTGGGGTGTGCTTGTCCCTCCCATGGACACCCCTGCCTCCATCCCACCTAGGCCCAGGAGAGTCTGTCTGCTCTAGGGTATGAAAGATGTAACCTAGGAGCCTCCTGTATGAGAGAGCTGAAAGAGAAAGGAGAGACCTTTCCCTCAGGCCAGAGAGGATGGGTCAGCAGAGCAGAAAGCAGCCCAAGGCCACCACAGTGAGCCCAGGTGGCAGAACACAGGGCTAACTGAGCTGCTGGCCACGGATACAATTCAGGGGAGTCACCCCCATGCCTTTCTGGCTCCTGAAGAAAAACAAGAGAAAAGGATGCTGTTTGAACAGTCTTCCCTGCGAGGTTGTATATTCAGTGAACTTAGGGACAAACTATCAAAGGGACAAACTGAAAGGATCCACAAGCTTGGAGAATGAGAATCAGGGTACACATGAGACCCCTGCGGGTTCCTAGATGAACATAGGACAATAAAGCCCTGGAAAAGAAAAAAAGACAGACGCGGGGGAGCAGGGGTCTTGAGGTCTTGAAATTGGGTCATTTCTGCAAATACAATCACAGTTCTCAATTCAGGTAACACCTAGGTCCAACCAGTCAATTATATCCAACAGTGTGTGACTGAGCTATATGTTGCAGTACAATGCAAAATTGCAGTCATTTTTGAAATCAAGCATAAGTTTTTGAAAAATTTTAAAGATAACTTTGCATGGCTTTTCCAAATTTTAGAGTGTGATTTCACCCCCCTCTGGATAAGGGGATGTCAGTGGAATAATTTGAGCAACTTGGCCTCCAGGGAACCAAGTATCCTGTGGTAGAGTTCAATATATAGGCAAGGTGGGGAAGGTAGGAGAAGATCAAAGAGGTGGCTGGAGAAGTAGGCAGGTCAGCCAGGGCCTCTGGGCCCCACCCTTCACAGGGTTGCCCATGCATGTGGTCTCTCCCCGATCCCATCCCAGTCTCTGGGTGTCCCCTGCTCTCTCTCTCTATCCCATCAGGGTCACTGCCCCCAATACCAAGTTTACCTCAAATTTCCTCTGGCTTCACCTGTCGAATGAACCTATCCTGTGCTCTCCACCAAAATACCAGACACATATTTGAATCCCAGTTAAGATGTTAGAGCATGCAAATAAATACATATGTTAAGATGTCAGAGCATACAAATAAATATGTATGTTAAGATGTTAGAGCATGCAAATAAATACATATGTTAAGATGTTAGAGCATGCAAATAAATACATATGTTAAGATGTTAGAGCATGCAAATAAATACATATGTTAAGATGTTAGAGCATGCAAATAAATACATATGTTAAGATGTTAAAGCATACAAATAAATACATATGTTAAGATGTTAGAGCATGCAAATAAATACATATGGTAAGATGTTAGAGCATGCAAATAAATACATGTTAAGATGTCAGAGCATACAAATAAATACATATGTTAAGATGTTAGAGCATGCAAATAAATACATATGTTAAGATGTTAGAGCATGCAAATTAATACCTATGGTAAGATGTTAGAGTATGCAAATAAATACATATGTTAAGATGTTAGATTGTGCAAATAAATACATATGTTAAGATGTTAGAGCATGCAAATAAATACATATTTGTAATCTTTTTCCTTTCTCTTTTTCTTAATTCTAAATCTCCCGCATATTTCTATTTTTTATAGTGGTATCTCGGAGACAATTCCTTAACTCAAAGACTGATTATTAGCGGAGGCATTCTAAGCATTTGCAGGCAAGAAGGTTACCTGTTCATTCTCACATTGGGTGTAGGCCTATTACAATTTTACTTTATTTATCGTATTGTCTTTTACTTTGTTTTGGAAACCAGACTTTAGTGTATTGAATGAGATCCTGAAACTTAGAACCAGATGGATCCAAGTTTAATTCTTAACTCTAACGTTGTCTGGAGCACGTCACTGGAATGCTGGGAGCTTCTGTTTCCAAACTTGCAAAGGAGGGCCATCGTAGCTCCTCACTGGGCTCTAGTGGAAATGTCTGTGAAATCTCTAGTGTAAAGTCCTGTGTCTCTACCAGGCAGCCATTCCCTTCCTTCTTATAATAGAGCCACTTCCCATACACATGCTGAAGTTGGAAAAGTTTCTTTTCTATCACAAAAAATAGAATCTGGGTGGGGGCAAGAATACTGCTTTTCTGCCCCGGCTTGTTGGGTGTGTGAAACTGTGACTGACACCTTGAAATTATGAGGGATTCCCCTTCTACCCACAGAGGCAGAGTGAAAAGATGACAGAGCCTCAGCTGCCGAATTAACCCAGCCAGGACTTGACTACCCATGGAGTCTTTACCTGAGATGATAAACTCCTCTTGCTTAACACATTTTCAGTTGGGTCTTCTGATATTTGCTATCAAATCACTCTGATGGTTTTGTATTTTGTTTGTTTGTTTGTTTGCATTGTGACGTTTTGCATTTTAGAAAAGTCCATAAAAGGACTCAGGTAATATTAACTATCTTGATTTTCACTTAAATCACTTGATTTAAGTGATTATCCTTGATCAGTCAGGATGAACCACTTCTAGGTGGCCTGTTAATTTAAATAAAAGATGCAGGTGGTCTAGACCAGCAGCTCCCGCCCCCCAATCTGTGCTCACTAGTCACCAGACACACAGAGTCAGAACAGTGAGAGACTGTTTTGAATAGTTACCACAAAGCATCTCAAACTTCATCATCCTCAAATGAAAGATCAAATTGGTCTTTTCATAAAAGTGAAAGAGAACAGTATTTAGTGTTACAAAGAACCCTGGCAACTAATGACAGCATTCTAAAATGAACAATCATTAAAGAAATGAAAATTTCAGAAAAATTTGCATCTTCACCCATGTGACTGCAGTGGAAATGTTACACCGGGTGATGGTATTTGTTAAAATACGTTTGTGTCTTCCCATATTCAGTTTGATTCAATATGATATTTTCTTGGAGTTTCTGGGGGCATCACCGGTACCCAGAATTCTTGGAAAGGCAGTGGGTGTCTGGCTGGCACTGCCTGTCACCCCCCTCCCCAACCCAGCACTAGTCTCCCTGCCTGTCTTTTCACATCAAGAATTAAGCAAAATCTAGCATCCTGATGTAATTTAGGAACAAGCTGTTATTTTTTTCTCCCTTAGTCAATAATGTTGTATTGTTTTAGAATTAGAATATCTTTTACAATCTCATTGTAACTCAATCTAATCTTCATTTAAATTAAAAGTAAATTTGCAAAGCAAAAGGAACAATAGTAACCTGCTCAAATCATTTAGACCAATGAGACACTTGAGAAGATCAACAGGGATTTGGGTGGGGGATAGAGGAGGCAAAAACAAGCTGGTTGGCTTGTTCTCATTTCGTTTTGGCATATGGCATTTTCCCAGATGCAACGCTGGGTTTACCAGGTGGGACAGTTTAACTGGAATTTCAGTTCACCGCCAAAATGTTGTATCCTGGTGCTGAAAGGGGACATGAGGAAACTTTTTTGGAGTGGTGGCAATATTGAATATTTCCATATCTGATACCTTGATTCTGGTGACACCTATATGACTATTTGTCAAAATTCACGGAGCTGTACACATTAAAAAGTGAAGTTTATTAAATATGTTATTGAATGTAAATGTTAAACCTGATTTAAAATAAAATAAAATTTTATTAAAATGAAAAAGAAGATACCATATTAGTAATTTCACAGGTCAAATGCAGCCAATTTGAGTAAAATCATTTTGCTCTCTTTTGAAAGGGCATTGAGGTTTTTGTTTGTTTGTTTGTTTTAATACTTTACCTCTATTCTATTTTGTTATCAAGTCTCTTCCAGGGAATATCATTTCAGAGGCTGCAAACTTGAGTTTACTATAGAATCCTTGTGAAATGATCTCATTCTTTATTTTAAAAAATTGTATCTTAGGTCCAAAACCAGAGGTAAGAGGGATCTTGAAAATAACCCACAGTTATACAGAAAACCGTCTGAAAACATAGCCTTATCCTAGACTATTTTATCTAGTTCACCTCTTAACACATTCCTTAGAGCGGTAATCACTTATGTTTTTGCTTTCAATTTCTTGAGCTGTAAAATGTAGGGTGGATTGGATTAGCCTTATTTATGCCACTCAGATTGCTAGTAGTAGCTGCTTGGAAGTACCATGCAGAGAGATGCACAGTGATCTGCCTTCCATGGGCACGGGCTTCAGGGAGCAGAATGCGGGGAAGGGGTGACACCTGACACCTATTTGCTATCTCCACTCTCCTCAAGGCCGTCAGCTCCACAGGGATTGGGTCCTGTTAGTTTTATTTCCTTCTGTATCCTCAGTTCTTAGCACAAGGGAATTCCAAGGGTGTTCAGTAACTCATGTTACAAATGAATGATGATTTGTAAGGTGCTTTTTGGCTCCAAAGATCTGAAGGTTGAAACTGTGACAGGCAGTGGGCCTCAAGTCAGGGCACAGCTTGTCCCTAAATAGTGAGTTATTTTTGAAGCGTCCCTAGAGATCTCTGACACACAGACCCTTCTCACTACCTCTTTAGGTTCTTTTTCACTAGCTGCAGATTTAGATTGTAAATAAAATACAGCTGGGGGCCGGACATGGTGGCTCACGCCTGTAATCCCAGCACTCTAGGACGCCGAGGCGGGCGGATCACTAGAGGTCAGGAGTTCGAGACCAGCCTGGCCAACACGTCGCTACTAAAAATACAAAAATTAGCCGGTCGTGGTGGCATGCATCTGTAATCCCAGCTAGTTAGGAGGCTGAGGCAGGAGAATTGCTTGGACCCGGGAGGTAGAGCTTGCAGTGAGCCGAAATTGTGCCACTACACTCCAGCCCAGGCAACAGAGCAAGATTCTCTAAAATAAAATAAAAGGAATAATTATTTATTCAAAAAATATGAAAAGAAGATAAAAATTACTTGTGATTCAATCATCTAGGGGTAGCCACTGTGAACATTCTAACGTCCATTCTTTCAAATGTCTTCCTGTGTGTGTATACATATATACATATCTACATAAGCACACACAGACCCTCATTTGTGTAAGTGGAATTATAATATTCATACAATTCCATTATCTTCTATTTTTACTCAACAATTTATTAATGGTCAATTAATATAGCTCTGTAATATTCCATTGTATGGATGAGCCGTATTTATTTAATCAGTTCTTTATTTGGGAACATTGGTTGTTTTCAAATTCTTATCCTTTAAACTCTGAATACTCTCCTACTTATATGTTTTGTTTCTTGATAAACACATTCTTCACATAAACTCCCAATGGTGGGATTACGCCGTCAACAGTACTAACATATCACCTTTTGAAACCGAATGGCAAAGTGTCCTCCTGAAAAGTTATTCCTCTTTGTTCTACCAGTAATCATGCTTGTGTGCTCATTTTTAATATGACTCTCTTGGGTTTAGGTAATTTTTATTTTATTTATTTTTATTAATTTTTTTTTTTTTGAGACGGAGTCTCACTCTGTCGCCTAGGCTGGAGTGCAGTGGCGCCATCTTGGCTCACTGCAAGCTCCGCCTCCCGGGTTCACGACGTTCTCAGGTCTCAGCCTCCAAAGTTGCTGGGACTACAGGCGCCCGCCACCACGCCTGGCTATTTTTTGGTATTTTTAGTAGAGACGGGGTTTTACCATGTTGGCCAGGCTGGTCTTGAACTCCTGACCTCGTGATCCGCCCGCCTCGGCCTCCCAAAGTGCTGGGATTACAGGCGTGAGCCACAGCGCCAGGCCTGGTTTTGATAATATTTTAAATTATGCCAATAAGTAAAAATAAAAACAAAAACCAATCGAAAAAACCTCACTATTTGTGAGGGTCCCATCTTGTTTTGTTCCGATGAGTTGAGTGATCTCATCATGTCCGCCAGGTGCTTAGGAGACTGGATATCTCTTTTGCAGCTCTAGTTTTATACTATGAAGGGGGTACTTTTCGGTTCCTAGGTGTATTGCACAAAAGCCTTTTCTCCACTTTGGCTACTGACACTATTTTGCCACTAGAGGGCGATGAGGCTGCAGAAACATAATCCTAAATTGAGCCACTCAATTAACAGGGAGGCGCTGTTAATAATCAGGCTGGGACAACAGGCCTAATGGAGGACGAGCGTTAGAGCCCACGGATCACAATTAGCACATTACTATGGTTGTCCTGCTTTGAGATGTGGTTTAGAATGATAAGCAGGAATATCTCTGTCTAGATTTATAGTATCTGGGTAATCTTTAGAGATGTTCTAATAACCTCAAAAATTTCTCAAAACAGGTAGGACACGATGGGTCATGCCTGTTAATCCCAGAGCTTTCGGAGGCTGAGGTGGGAGGATCACTTGAGGTCAGGAGTTCGAGACCATCCTGGCCAACATAGTGAAACCCCGTCTCTCCTAAAAATACAAAAATTAGCCGGGCGTGGTGGTGGGCACCTGTAATCCCAGCTAGTTGGGAGGCTGAGGCGGGAGAATTGCTTGAATCCAGGAGGTGGAGATTGCAGTGAGCCGAGATTGTGCCATTGCACTCCAGCCTGGCCCACAGAGTGAGACTCCATCTCAAAAAAAAAAAAAAAAAAAAAAAAAATTAAGTACGTTGCAGATAGCATATTGTTTCTACATCAAGTCCAAAGTAATATTTTAGTTAATCGCAATTTGCCACCTAAGAGACAGAAACTCAGTGTAAAAAGACAATCTACTATAATAAGAAAATGTAGGCCGGGTGCAATGGCTCATGCCAGCACTTTGGGAGAGCAAGGCAGGCAGAATGCTTGAGCCCAGGGGTTTGAGACCAGCATGGCCAACATGGCAAAACTCCATCTCTACAAAAAATACAAAACTTCTCAGCAAACTATTGCAAGGACAAAAAACCAAACACCGCATGTTCCCACTCATAGGTGGGAATTGAACAACGAGAACACATGGACACAGGAAGGGGAACATCACACTCCGGGGACTGTTGTGGGGTGGGGGGAGAGGGGAGGGATAGCATTAGGAGATATACCTAATGCTAAATGACGACTTAATGGGTGCAGCACACCAACATGGCACATGTATACATACGTAACTAACCTGCACATTGTGCACATGTACCCTAAAACTTAAAGTATAATAATAATAAAATAAAATAAAAAAATACAAAACTTAGCAGGACATGGTGATGGGTGCCTGTAATCCCAGCTACTCAGGAGGCTGAGTCTGGAGACTTGCCTGAAGCAGAAAGGTGGAGGTTGCAGCGAGCCAAGATGGCGCCACTGCACTCCAGCCTGGGCAACAGATCCAGACCCTATCTTGAAAAAAATAAAAAAGTAGATTCCAGTTTTTTAAACTAGTAGGTGTGTCCTTACAAGGCTGCTAAGCTACTGTGTTCAGCAGAGCCCTTTCTCCATTAAGATGTCTTGACTGCATCTCCTGTCTACCTGAGGATGGATACACTGCCTCCTTCATTCCTCCTCCCAAAAGGCACTGAATAAAAAGTGTTTCCCCTAGCTTCCTTTCCAGAGACTTGGATCAGATGAACACATCCAATAAAGAAAAAAACACTCTTAATTTTTTTTTTTTCTTGTGGAGACAGGGGTCTCTCTATGTTCCCCAGGTGGGCCTCCAACTCCCGGCCTTAAGTGATCCTCCCACCTAGGCCTGCTAAGTGCTGGGATTACAGGTGTGAGTCACCATGCCCAGCCAAAAAAATTCTCTTTGACACTAAGTCCCCCAACACCTCTAGTCACACTCTCCTGCTTTCTTTCCCTCTCTTCCGACAAAACAAACTTCTTAATTATTAACCCAGCAGAGGTGGAGCCCAACTCCCACCTTCACTTCTTAGTGAGTGGCACTTAAACCACAACTAAGCAGGGATGAGATTTTCCCAAACTGATAACTGCCCTCCCAAACAAATCTACATTGACATCATAAATACAGTACTAAGCATTTTATAAGCTTATATATAAGAACATACCTTATTTGAATTGGTGCTAAACTGGGGAGAGGAGAATGCGAGTGGGAACTTGCTCCACATGCAGTGATGAAGCCTGTTCTATGCACCAGCCACAGGTTCTAGGGGCTGGGAAAACAGCAGGGAATAAATGGAATAAATCTAAGTCTTGCCATTGTGTTGCTTAACATTCTCGTGTGGAATATAGACAATAAAACAGTTGACCAATACAAGGTGGGGAGTGACAAGGGCCAGGAAGAAGAATCAAACACAGAAGAGCAGAGAGGGCAATGGAGAGAGCTACTTTGGGTAGGGTAGGGGGAATGTGAACAGAGGTCTGGTTGCAGAAGGGAGGGAGCTACCTGGAGACAGAGGAAGCATATTCCATGTACAGGCCTTAGGGCTGGAATATCTCTGGTAAGTTGAAGAACAATGAGGCCAGAGTGGCTGGAGAGGAGAGAGAGAGAGAGAAGGAAAACGTTGGAGGGTAACTAGGAGCAAGGTTCTGCAAGGTCTTGTTGACCATGGCAGGAATTTGGGGTTTTGCTCCAAGTGTGATGGGAAGCGTGGGAGGGTTGAGAGTGAAGGAGTGGCATGATCTGATTTATGTAATAAAAAAATCACTTGAGTGGCTGTGTGGTATGAAGGAGAAAAATAAACAAACGTGCATTGCATACCTTGTGCTGATAACGAACTATGAATGAAAAGAAGGATTAACTCAATTCTGAGCCTGAAGTTCATGAAAGAATAAAAAAGGAAGGAAAGGGGGGGAAAAGGAAAAACAAAATGTATTCCTATAAACTATTCTCCATCCCATGAGACAACTGTCCATCATTTCTCTATGGATTTTCTCAAACACTTCATAATTCTGCCCCCAGTGTTGGATTTGGGTATGATTGGAAGTATCAGTAAAAATGTATTATATAGATATAATGAGCTCTGTCCACTAAAATGGCCTAGACGCAATAATAACCCAGTGGCAATTAGCAAACTAGGCACCTAGCTCTCACTCTCTAAACACAACAACTTCCCTATTAAAAGGAATTAGGGGAAAAAAGAAATTAGGCATCTTTGAGGATATGGCTGATTTCTAGAATATCTGCTTATGCCAGAAAACAGTGAGCTGTGGTTGAAGACTGATGGAGATGTGGGAGAGGAAAAGGTTGAAAGGGATCCCACTGGCCAGATTTGGGACAATTAGGGCATCAGAGAGAATCACGGCAGTGATGGTACTAACATTTTAATTTTTTTTTTTAAATAAACAAGCAGTTAAGTAAGTAGATGGCAGATAGTGGGAACCAGGTTCCACCCTGTTGGAGGAGGAGGTTACATATGAACAAGGAGAGGCTAGAATGATCCGTGTGGTCCTGGATTGGAGTTGGAGATGCTGTGAACTCATGTTTAGCTTATATACACACAGTGATTCCACGTAGAAATTCTTAAAGATGGGTGTGTGTGCTCAGGTTCACGTACACACATATGTTTCTTTGCTTTTTCAGGGGAGATGGCCCAGAAGTAATGACATTCCAGGAGCAATAGGCACACCTAGCACCCCGATCTTGGTTTCTGTCTAGTGTACCCCAGTAAAAGGAAACAGAGGTCCTTGAAGAACTGGCTGACTCTAGGGCCAGGGCAGAAAATACACATGAAGGGGCCAGGTGCGGTGGCTCACGCCTGTAATCCCAGCACGTTGGGAGACCGAGGTGGGCAGATCACTTGAGGCCAGGAGTTTGAGACCCGCCTGGCCAACATGACGAAACCCCGTCTCTACTGAAAAATACAAAGAATTAGCCAGGTATGGTGACTCTGTCCCCCTCCCCCGCCCCCAAAAAAGAAAACATACACAAAGAGCCTAGAGCATCTTGTAGTGCCAAAAAGTAAGGACACACTTAAAGGAAAAAACTAACCAAAAATACTGCAATGACAGGGTTGTGCCAGAGGGACGCAGGAATCAGCTGAAAAGCTCCCAATGGCCAAGCTGGAGCAATTTGGGATTTTGGGGATTTTTTTTTTTTTTTTTTTTGACACAGGGTCTTACTCTATAGCCCAGGCTGGAGTGCAGAAGCACGATTACAGCTCACTGCAGCCTCCATCTCCTGGGCTCCAGCCATTCTCCTGCCTCAGCCTCCCAAGTAGCTGGAACTACACATGTGGGCCACCTCACTTGGCTAATTTTCTTTTTGTATTTTTTTCTTTCTTTTTTTTTTTTTTTTTTTTTTGAGATGGAGTCTCGCTCTGTCCCCCAGGCTGGAGTGCAGTGGCGCAATTTTGGCTCACTGTAACCTCCGCCTCCTGGGCTCAAGCGATTCTCCTGCCTCAGCCTCCCGAGTAGCTGGGATTACAGGCACGTGCCACCGTGCCCAGCTAATTTTTGTATTTTTAGTAGGGACGGGGTTTCACCATGCCAGGCTGGTCTTAAACTCCTGACCTCATGATCCACCCGCCTTGGCCTCTCAAAGTGCTGGGAATACGGGCGTGAGCCACTGCACCCCGCCTTTTGTGCTTTTTGTAGAGACAGAGTTTCGCTATGTTGCCCAGGCTGGAGCTCAAGCCATTTGAATAACACAGTAAAGACATTACTATAGGATTATAACCCCAAGTATTACATGAGTCCATACTTACATAAGGAAATGATTGAATAGATAAACAAATGGGGGAGAAGAGACAAATCCCCCCCAGCAGATGAATTCGAAACACTTTATGTAGATACTTGAGAAGCTGTGGCAGGTCTCCTCACTTGCTGGCAGTATATGCCTTGGAGGTGATGTGATTCCAGTGGCATTTTACCCCCTGGTGTCCTCACCAAAACCCATTACCCCAGTCTAATCATGAGGAAGAACATCAGACAAATTGAAATTGAAGGACATTTTACAAAAATGTCTGAACAGTACTCTTCAATACTGTTAAGGTCATCAAAACCAAGGCAAGTGTGGCCAGGCATGGTGGCTCATGCCTATAATCCCAGCACTTTGGGAGGCTGAGGTGGGTGGATCACTTGAGGTCAGGAGTTCAAGACCAGCCTGGCCAACTTGGTGAAATCCAGTCTCTACTAAAAATACAAAAAATTAGCTGGGCATGGCGGTGGATGTCTATAATCACAGCTACTCGGGAGGCTGAGGCAGGAGAATCGCTTGAATCCAGGGAGCGGAGGTTGCAGTGAGCCGAGATCGTGCCACTGCAGCACTCCAGCCTGGATGACCGAGTGAGACTCTGTCTCAAAAAAAAAAAAAAAAAAAAGACGAAAACAAACAAACAAAAAACAAGGTAAGTCTGAGAAACTGTCACAACCAAGGGGAGGAGACGCAATGGCTAGATGTAGGGTGGCATCCTGGAAAAGAAAAAGGACATTAGGGAAAAACGGAGGACATCAAAATAAAGTGCGGACTTCAGTTAACAATAATGTAGTAATATGGGTTCATTAATTATAACAAATGAGTCATACTAATGTGTTAATATTAAGGGAAATGAGATGTGGGCGGTATGGGCACTGCCTGTAGTATCTTACCAGTTTTCCTTTAAGGGTAAAACTGTTCACAAATTGAAAGTCTGTTGAACAGGCCAGGTGCAGTGACTCATGCCTGTAATCCCAGCATTTTGGGAAGTCAAGGTGGGTGGATCACTTGAGGCCAGGAGTTAGAGATCAGCCTGGTCAACATGGCAAAACCACCTCTACAAAAAAATACAAAAATTAGCCGGGTATGGTGGTTTATGCCTGTAGTCCCAGTTACTTGGGAGGCTGATGTGGGAGGATCACCTGAGCCCAAGGCAGTCGAGGCTGCAGTGGGCTGTGATCAGCCACTACACTCCAGCCTGGGTGAAAGAGTAAAGCCCTGTCTCAAAAAAAAAAAAAAAAAAAAAAAAAAAAGTCAGTGAGCCCTCTAATACACAGAAGAGAAAGATGGAGAATGCAGTTAGTAAATGGAGAGGGAATGAGATACAGTTCTCATTATAAATCACCATTTTGCAATCCTTGACATAGTAATTGATTCCCCAAAAGCATCCATGAATGCTAAAACTACTGAGTGAAAGACAGCTCAAAATAGGATTTTCATATAGCCTCAGGGAATCACCCTACAGATTATTTATTAACCACAAGGGGTGGGGGAAATGTACCTTGATAGAAAAGAAATCTAAAGATTTCTGGCTGGGTGCGGTGGCTCACACCTGTAATCCCAGCACTTTGGGAGGCCGAGGCAGGTGGATCATGAGGTCAGGAGTTCAAGACCAGCCTGGCTGGGATGCTAAAACTCCATCTCTACTAACACTACAAAAAAAAAAAAAAATTGAGCTGGGCGTGGTGATGGGCACCTGTAATCCCAGCTACTCGGGAGGCTGAGGCAGGAGAATGGCATGAACCCGGGAGGCGAAGGTTGCAGTGAGCCAAGATTGCACCACTGCACTCCAGCCTGAGCGACAGAGTGAGACTCCATCTCAAAAAAAAAAAATTTTTTTTTTCTAAATTTCTGAAGAAACTGCCTTATCTAAATAATCATAGCCTCTCCAACAGTAGGGTCACCTGATACCTTGTGCCTCCCAATATGATGCAATAGAAAGTGCACAGTGTCACCTGTGAAGAATGTTAGCTGAAAAAATGGTTTGTCCTGAACTTATTCATGAGGAATCAGACTCAGAATGTGGAACACTCTGCACAAGAGCTGTCCTGGACTCTTCAAAAGAGTCATTGCTCAGCAAAACAGAAAGCAAGGTGGGGAAGAACTGTTTTTGGTGACAAGAGGTTAAAGAGACATAACAACCAAATGCAATGTGTACATTTTTTGTTGAGTCTTAGATAAAGATAACCAGGGTCACTTGAATATGGACTGTATAACAGACAACAGAGACTGTATGTCCATTTTTAAAAGTTGTGATAACATTTCCTTTTTGGTTTTGTTTTGTTCTTTCTGAGACAGGGTCTCGCTCTGTCGCCCAGGTTGGAGTGCAGTGGTGCTATCTTGGCGCCCTGTAACTTCTGCTTCCTGGGTTCAAGCGATTCTCCTGCCTCAGCCACCGAGTAGCTGGGATTACAGGTGTGCGCCCCCATGCCCGACTAATTTTTTATTTATTATTTATTTATTTTTATTTTTATTTTTTTGAGACAGAGTCTTGCTGTGTCGCCAGGCTGGAGTGCAGTGGCGCAATCTTGGCTCACTGCAACCTCCGCCTCCCGGGTTCAAGCGATTCTCCTGCCTCAGCCTCCCGAGTAGCTGGGACTACAGGCATCCGCCACCACGCCCAGCTAATTTTTTGTATTTTGGTAGAGACGGGGTTTCACCATGTTGGCCAGGATGGTCTAGATCTCCTGACCACATGATCCGCCCACCTCGGCCACCCAAAGTGCTGGGACTACAGGTCTGAACCACTGCGCCCGGCCTATTTTTTTTTTTTTTTTTAGATGGAGTCTTGGTGTGTCGCCCAGGCTGGAGTGCAGTGGCATGATCTCAGCTCACTGCAACCTCTGCCCCCCGGGTTCAAACAATTCTCCTGCCTCAGCCTCCTGAATAGCTGGGATTACAGGTGTGAACCACCACACCCAGCTATTTTTGAATTTTTAGTAGAGACGGGGTTTCACCATGTTGGCCAGGCTGTTCTTGAATTCCAGGCCTCAGGTGATCCGCCCGCCTCAGTCTCCCAAAGTGCTGGGATTACAGGTGTGAGCCACCACGACCAGCCATGATAAAATTTTCATTACTAGAAAAATGTTCTTATTCTCTGGAAATGCTTGGTGTAGTATTTTGGAGTGAAGTGCTATGATTTCTGCAACTTTATTATTTAGCAAGAAAAATTGTGTGTGTGTGTGTGTGTGTGTTTCCATATATATGGAAATAGAGACAGAAATAAAGAAAATTTATAAAATGTTAACAATTGGTAAATTTGGTGAAGGATATATTCATTATACTATCGTTCTTTTTCTTTCTTTAAGAGACAGGGTCTCTGTCGCCAGGCTGGGGTGCAGTGGCAAACCCTAGTTCACTGCAGCCTTGAACTCCTGGGCTCAAGCCATCCTCCTGCCTCAGCTTCCCAA
Source organism: Homo sapiens (assembly GCF_000001405.40). Classification (NCBI taxonomy): domain Eukaryota; kingdom Metazoa; phylum Chordata; class Mammalia; order Primates; family Hominidae; genus Homo; species Homo sapiens. The sequence goes on from NC_000018.10 coordinate 59,845,639, forward strand.
AGTGCTAGGATTACAAGTGTGAGCCCAACCTCACTGTAATATCTTTCAACTCTTCTGGAGATTCTCAATTTTTCAAAATAAAAAGTTGGGAAAAATTAAAATGTCTATAGAGACGATGTAAGGATAGGTATTGAGCATTAACTATATAGTGAATTGTAGAACAAGGATAATATGAGGTTTCAAAAGAAGAGAGTACAGTAGGCTGGGTGTGGTGGCTCACCCCTGTAATCCCAGCACTTTGGGAGGCCAAGGTGGGTGGATCACCTGAGGTCAGGCGTTCAAGACCAGCCTGGTCAACACGGTGAAACCCCGTCTCTACTAAAAATACAAAAATCAGCTGGGCATGATGGCACATGCCTGTAGTCCCAGGCTGAGGCAGGAGAATGACTTGAATCCAGGAGGCAGAGGTTGCAGTGAGCCGAGATCCCACCACTGCACTCCAGCCTGGGTGACAGAGCAAGACTCTGTCTCAAAAAAAAGAGAGTACAGTATATAATGGTTTTATGATCTGTCAATGTGCACCTCTTAAAATGGCGAAAGAATGGTAAGAACATATGCAAAAAAAGTTTTTTTTTAACGTTTTCAGTAATTATATTGGAGTAAGTGTATTTAATATTGTTATTCTGAGACTGATGTGTGTGCATTGTTGGATAAAGCAAATGAACAATTCTAAGATATTCTAAAAATAATAATAAAAAGTTGAGAAATAAATTCCAAACTCACAATATATTTTAAATGTTCACATTTAACAAATGAAAGCCTTTAAAACAGAAATACATGGTGAAACCCAGACTCTACTAAAAATACAAAAATTAGCTGAGCGTGGTGGTGGGCGCCTGTAATCCCAGCTACTCCAGAGGCTGAGGCAGGAGAATTGCTTGAACTTGGGAGGCAGAGGTTGCAGTGAGCTGAGATCTCGTCACTGCACTCCAGCCTGGGTGAGAGAGCAAGACTCTTAGAAAAAAAAGCCAAAAAAAAAGCACAGTATACAATATATTATACTAAAATACTCATAATCAAAAACTAATTACATAAACTATAAACATACATCTCTTATACAACAATTTAAAAACACTCACAAAATAAATTATGACTGCTAGAAAATTAAAAACAAAAAACAGTAGAAGCCAGGTGCAGTGACTCATGCCTGTAATCCCAGCACTTTGGGAAGCTGAGGCAGGTGGATCACTTGAGGTCAGGAGTTCGAGACCAGCCTGGCCAACACGGTGAAACCCAGTCTCTTCCAAAAATACAAAAATTAGCCGGGCGTGGTATGTGCCCCAGTAATCCCAGCTACTAGGGAGGCTGAGGCAGGAGAATCGCTTGAACCCGGGAGGCAGAGGTTGCAGTGAGCTGAGACTGCACCACTGTACTACAGCCTGGGCAACAGAGCAAGACTCTTTCTCAAAACAAAAACAAACAAAAAAACCAAAAACAATTGGTCCATGGTTCCTGATAGGCTGTGTAGTCTGGTAATAGACATAGGTTTGAAGCTGTATGAAGAATATCTTTCAGTAGCTTTGGGGATGATTTAATCTTATTTGGAGAGAACATTAAGGATTCGAATTTGAGGCTGTTCCTAAGTGTGAAGCCTGAGTCACCGCCCCTCCCAGTGTGGACCTAGATCAGAAAGCACTATTTACATACAAAGATCTCTGCCTCCGCCCCTGCCTTGGGGCTGTTCTCTGCCCTGGGCAGGGAAATTCCCTCTGGTCAAAACATCCTGCAAGGCATGGAAAGCAAAAGCATAAACTGCAGTTCAAATCCACAAATACCCCTTTTCTGGTATCTCCTTAATCCCTTCTGTTCATCACAGTTTAGTTTACAAAATTATTGCTTTGGAAGTCACAGCTGGAACAAGTCTGAGCTGGTAATGTCCAGTAGGACAGAAAACAGAAAGCGAGGGCCAGCGCGGTGGCTCAAGCCTGTAATCCCAGCACTTTGGGAGGCCGAGATGGGTGGATCACTTGAGGCCAGAAGTTCAAAACTAGCCTGGCCCACATGGGAAAACCCCATCTCTACTAAAAATACAAAAATCAGCCAAGTGTCATGGCAGGCACCTGTAGTCCCAGCTACTTGGGAGGCCAAGGCAGGAGAATTGCTTGAACCCAGGAGGTGGAGGATGCAGTGAGCCGAGATCATGCTACTGTACTCCAGCCAGGGCAACAGAGTGAGCAGAAAGAAAGAGAGAAAGTGAGAGAGCAAAGCGAGAAAGCAAAGCAAGAAAGCAAGCAACGCCTGGCTGGTTGCTGGAAAGGGAGCCTGGTGTGAGCGGACAGGGAGACCCCAGGCAGCTAGGGCTCTTATTGGGTCCCCTTGAGGACCATTTGGGTTCCAAGATGGAGCCTTGACACTAGGGTGAGGGAGGGTGTCCAAAGGTAAGGGAACACAAAGGGAAAAGTGGGGGGATCCTAGAAAACATTTCACTTACTTCACTCTGCTCCACGTGCTTTCTGGGAAACCATAAAACTGTTGGGCTAAAGAGACTCCAATTTAGTACTCAGGGAGGCGGAATTTCCCTTTGCTATCTCACCTGATGAACTCTGACGTCATAGGATACTGGTTGGCTAACTGGTCTTTCCTCTGTGCAAGCCTCATTTCACTCCCCACCTGGCCCTGGTCCCACTCAACTCAGGAGAGAGGCAGGTGGGCAGCAGGTGTTACCACGTCTCAGAAGATCTGTTACCCCTTAGATCCTTTACACCAAAGCCCAAGGCAATTGTCTTCATGCAGAAAGCACAGCTGAAACATTAAATACCTCACCCAGGAAAGTGGCGACTTGTGGGGAGGCAAGGGAAGGAGACTGGATGGTGGGGGGAAGGAAACTTAAAACCTAGCTTAAAAAGGTTAATTGTTCAGCTGGATGGCATGGTTACAAATGTCCACTGTGCAGCACGAGGTCTAAAAGATTTCATAATATGTTTTAAGTATACCATACTTCAGTGCAAACTTTGGAATGCATAGTTCTGTGATTTTAGTTCAATTCCAGAAGCATATATAGCCATGAAGGAAGCTTGAGCTATGAGTTAATAGGACCCAGGTGCCTAAGTTGCTGACCAGTCCTGTAACTTTGGGCAAAGCACTCTGCCCTCTGTGCTTCAATATCCCCATCTTAGGTGGGCACTATGCTATGGGAGGGTAAGGCGGAGGATCACATGAGACCAGGAGTGGGAGACCAGCCTAGGCAACACAGGGAGACCCTGTTTCTAGAAAACTTTTTTTTTTTTCTGAGACAGAGTTTCTCTCTGTCACCCAGGCTGCAGCACAGTGGTACAATCACTGATCACTGCAGCCTTGAACTCCTGGGCTCAAGCCATCCTCCCACCTCAGCCTCCCGAATACCTGGGACTACAATGCCGGGCCACCATGCCAGGCTAATTTTCTTTTTTGGGGGGTGGTGGGGGTAGAGATGGGCTTTCACCATGTTTCCCAGGCTGGTCTCAAACTCCTGAGCTCAAGTAATCGGCCTGTCTTGGCCTGCCAAAGTGCTGGGATTACAGGTGTGAGCTAGCTCACCCGGCCAAAAAGTCTTTTTAAAAATTAGCTGGCTTGGGCCGGGGCGCGGTGTCTCAAGCCTGTCATCCCAGCACTTTGGGAGGCCGAGGTGGGCGGATCACAAGGTGAGGAGATGGAGACCATCCTGGCTAACACGGTGAAACCCCGTCTCTACTAAAAATACAAAAAAATTAGCTGGGCATGGTGGCGGGCGCCTGTAGTCCCAGCTACTCGGGAGGCTGAGGCAGGAGAATGGCGTGAACCCGGGAGGCAGAGCTTTCAGTGAGCCGAGGTCGCGCCACTGCACTCCAGCCTGAGTGACAGAGCGAGACTCTGTCTCAAAAAAAAAAAGAAAAAAAAAATTAGCAGGGCGCGGTGGCGGGCGCCAGTAGTCCCAGCTACTCAGGAGGCTGAGGCAGGAGAATGGCGTGAACCCGAGAGGCAGAGCTTGCAGTGAGCCGAGATCGTGCCACTGCACTCCAGCCTGGGCCACAGAGCGAGACTCCATCTCAAAAAAGAAAAAAAAAAAAATTAGCTGACTTGTGTCTCAGAGAGGACATCAAAAAAAAAAAAAAAAAAAAAAAAAAAAAAGAGGAAGAAGAAGAAGAAGAAGAAGAAGAAGAAATTAGCCGAGCGTGGTGGTATTGGACTGTGGTCCCAGCTACTTGGAAGTCTGAGGCAGGAGGATCACTCAAGCCCAGGAGTTGGAGGCTGTAGTGAGCTATGATCACACCACTGCAGTCTAGGTGAAAAAAGTGAGAACCTGTCTCTAAATAAATGCATAAAAATAAATACAAACAAAAACAAAATTAAAACCTCCATCTTTAAAGGGGGGAAAACCTTGTTCTGCCCACTTCTCAGAAGAATCATGCAAGGAAGTTCTGTAAAAAACCTAAAGCGGCTGCGCACGGTGGCTCATGCCTATAATCCCAGCACTTTGGGAGGCCAAGGCGGGTGGATCACGTGAGGTCAGGAGATCAAGACCAGCCCGACCAACATGGTGAAACCCCGTTTCTACAAAAAATACAAAAATTAGCTGGGCGTGGCAGCAGGCTCCTGCAGTCCCAGCTACTTGGGAGGCTGAAGAATGAGAATCACTTGAACCTGGGAGGCAGAGGCTGCCGTGAGACGGGATCATGTCGCTGCACTCCAGCCTGGGTGACAAAACGAGACTCTCTCAAAAAAAAAAAAAAAAAAGAGCAACGTATAAATGCAAGCCATTCTATGTTTTATTTGGGGTCTGGACTATCCGTGATGTTAAACTCACAATTGCTGGATCTTTAGGTTACTGGCCTAAGGGCTTTTGTAGGGGAAAGATGGTGTTGAATGATGGAGGAGAATAACATGGTTCCCAAATCATAAACTGAGTTACAGGCCTCCTGGTCATCACCACTTCTGCGTTATTCTCATTTCTGTTCTCAACTCTTCTGTAAGTCTTTCTGCAAAACAGCAGCTTTGGGAGAAATTGAATAGTTCTCATCTCACTCTTTTGTGCATGGTGGGGAAGGCAATATAATTATTTTTCCCCTAAGCATGTACTTAAAAAGTAAACCATTTTAAAGTTTTCTCTATCTCTCCCTAAAGCATTTTCACCTTCAGAAGTTTATGTGTCTGAGTCATGGCTATAAAATCACATGGATTTATTTTTAAAATGCATTGTGATTTCTACCAGATTAATATCACTTTAAAACAGCCGCTTTGGGAAGCTCTATTTCTTACCTATGCTCTTTACTTTGTTTAAAACATGTCTGAAACTCTTCTGGGGTGGCTTTCAGAATATATTTACAGACTGCACAAGAAAAGGAATTCTCTGGGCCCAAACTGGGTTTTAGATCCAAACAGTGTTGCCCAGATGGAGCACCCACGTTACTGAAAGAATAAACTCCAAGTTGTTTACAGAAAGCAAAGCTCCAAAGAAAAAAGATTTCTCACCCTAGACGATATCCAAAGAATAAACTCCGGGCTCAGAAAAGTTTCCAGAACTTTCTTGGCAATGATAGCATTGACTGAACCATAAGGACAACCCACAAAGTAACTACCCTTACCTGGATATAAAAGTTTTAGATCAGCTTCTTTTAAAATTGGGCTTTTACATTTTATAATTATTTTTAACAAATTTTTTTCTGTAGCATGAACTAATGAGAGCATCAGTATTTTTGATAGCTTGTAAATTGAACCAGTGATAAAATGATACTAGAATTTGCTTTTGGGCAGATAAACTCCTAGATTAATCAGACCAATAGACAATGACAAAGCACATTTTCAATAATGTAGGCACTAGTGTTACATTTTCTATCTGAAAAGTGAATTTTAGTGGTGGCTCACACCTGTAATCCCGGCACTTTGGGAGGCCAAGGCGGGTGGATCACCTGAGGTCAGGAGTTCAAGACCAGCCTGGTCAACTGGGTGAAACTCTGTATTTACTGAAAATATAAAAATTAGTAGGGCATGGTGGTGTGCTCCTGTAATCCCAGCTACTCTGGAGGCTGAGGCAGGAGAATTGCTACTCCAGCCTGGGCGACAGAGCAAGACTCCGTCTAAAAAAAAAAAGGCTGTGTGTCTACGCGTATCAATGTATATTAAGAGATTTAGAGAGTGGGGCAGATGCTCATGTTCCTCCTTGCCTCCTGCCAAAAAAAAAAAAAAAAAAAGACATTTCACTGTTTTGAATGAGAAAATGATTCTGATCAACAGTCTAACAACAAATGGACTCTGAGCAGGGTTAGGAGATCTAGCTGACCTCCATTGCCGCTGGGGAGATTTCATCCAGGACAAAGCCTGACTCTGAAAGTCAGCTCGTTAAAGTACATCATAAAACTTTGACTGTTCCTTTTGGAGACCTGGCTAAGCCAACCAGATAATAAAAGACAGATTTATAAGCCTGGTGCCTGCTGGCACCTCAGTAATTCTAAGTAGCTTGGAGAGGCTCCTAGACGCTTTATTGGTCCTTAGTGGACCAATCATCAATAATGAAGGGTCAGGCAGGAAGGCTCTCGTCTTGTGTCCCTTGACCACCTGGGCTGTGTCAACCTTCAGCTCCCGTTACAGTGCTTCCCACTTCACGAGGCTGCCTCTCCAAGACACAATGTTCCCTAGGCCCTCCAAAAATTATCTTTGCAATTCCGAGAACTTTCTAAATTTAGTTAAAACAGCAACAGACACAGAAATGGACACCACATTGATCATTTCTGGTTACGACCACTCAGGCAAAATGTTAGTACAGTACAAGAAATGGCAGGAGGTGGTGTCACATAACAGCCACCATTGGGAAGGCCAACCCAGGGGTATCCCGAGCACTTGGCAGAGCACAGGATAGCTGAAGAGGAAGAGACTACTTGGGATGCCATATTGTACATATTTATACTGCCTGCCGCCTGCCCCCCTTCAGGTGAAAGTCAAACTGGAATATTTAGATCTGTTCCTAGAGACTGGGGGAAATTCAGGAAACTGCCGAGCCTCCATTTCTTCATCAATAAGGTGAAGCAGAGTATTTGTTGCATGAGAAAACATCCCTAAAGTTCTCTAAGGATTGATCCCTCCCTCCCTTTCTCCTTCCTTCCTTCCTTCCCTCCCTTTCTTTCTTTCTCCCTTCTCTCCTCCCTCCCTCCTTCCTTCCCTCCTCCTCTCTCCCTTCCTTTCTTCCTTCCTTCCTTTCTTTGCTTCCTTCCTTCCATCCTTCCTCCCTCCCTCCCTTCCTTTCCTTCCCTTTCTTTCCTTCTTTTCTTCCTTCCTTGGCCACTAGGTCTGGCGCTGAAAACTTATTTGTGCCCTAGGCCCAAAATTGAGTTCCTATCTGATCCCCAAGATCCAAACACTGTTGCCTAGATGGACCACCCGCATTACAGAAAGAATGAACTCCAAGTCGTTTAAGGATTGATCCCAAGATGTGGTCCCTTCTTTTTTCTTCAGTCCTGGTAACTGGGTCTCCATCTTTTATTCTGTCTTGAATGTCCGGCCAGCACTCATCTAAAATTCCCTTGCTCTGCTCTTGTCATTCCCTGTTTTAGAAAGGAAGTCCTGTTTCTGACACCTGGATGGTGGCCCTGCTACCTGCCACACACTCCAGATGTTGCTTGCCTGCCCTTTACCCTCCTGAGTACCGACTGCTCTTCTTCAGCTATCCCTGTGCTATGTCTAGTTCTCAGGATATCCCCGGGTTGGCCTTCCTGATGGTGATGGTTATGTGACTCCACCTGCTGCTATCTCTTGTACTGTGCTAACATTTTGCTCTAGTGATCATAACAAGAATTGAGCAAGTGTTTCAGGATTCCTAGGTCATAAGCTCCTTCACGTCAGGAACAGACTGTCAATCAGCATTTTATATCCAGGGTCTGAGTACTGGGCTCACCCAAAATAGATGCATGAACTCTTGGCTTACGGATGGAAGAGTGCTGTGATTATTGTGTTCTCCCTAGGGCCCACACCTGGGTCTTTCATGCAAGAGTTCCCATGGGGTTCTGTTGTTCTGCTTAAGTAATGCTATAATCAGGCTTCTAGATACCACTATCAAAGCACTCAGTAGACAGGAATAAAACTCAGTGTGCTCATGGGCATTCGTTTATTTTACAAATATTTACTGAGTGTTTGTTGTTATTGTTTGTTTTGTTTTTGTTTTTGTTTTTGTTTTGAGATGGAGTCTGCTGGCCAGGCTCGGTGGTTTACACCTGTAATCCCAGCACTTTGGGAGGCAGAGGCAGGCGGATCACCTAAGGTCAGGAGTTTGAGACCAGCCTGACCAACATGGTGAAACCCCGTCTCTACTAAAAATACAAAATTAGCTGGTTGTGGTGGCACATGCCTGTAATCCCAGCTACTCGGGAGGCTGAGGCACGAGAATTGCTTGAACTCGGGAGGCAGGGGTTGCAGTGAGCCGAGATCATGCCATTGCACTCCAGCCTGGGCAACAAGAGTGAAACTCCATCTCAAAAAAAAAAAAAACAAAAAAAACAAGAGATGGAGTCTGCTCTACCACCTAGGCTGGAGTGCAGTAGTGTGATAAAGCCTCATTGCATTCTTGACCTCCAGGGCTCAAGTGATCTGCCCGCCTTAGCCTCTCAAAGTGCTGGGATTACAGGCCTGAGCCACTGTGCTTGGCCTTGAGTGTTTTACTGTGTGTCAGGTTGTGCCAAGTATAACCTGCGTAAAATTATGTGTCCCCTGATAGCGGAATTGACTGGAGCAGGAGTTCTCAAACACCAGAATCAACAGGGGATTTTGTGCAGCTCTGAGGTGGGGGCCAAAATTCTGCATTTCCCGCAGATCCCTGCTGATGCTGAGGCTAACTGGCATAGACAGGATCAAAGTGCTCCTCATAGTGTGCTCTCTGGGACCAGGAGCTCCCTGGACCACCTGGGAGCATGTTAGAAATGCAGATTCTTAGGCCCCATACCTGAACTACTGCACTAGAAACTTGGCTATGGAGCCCAGCAAGCAAGCCGTCCTGTGATTCTGATGCACGCCGAGTGCGGGACCCCTGGTCTGGAGCTGGCCTCCTCAACCTGGGCTGTACGTTAGCATCGTCTGGGGGAGCTTTCAAACAATGCAGGCCTCCAACCCAGGCACAATGAATCACATCTCTGTAGGTGAGGTCTGCCATCAGAAATTTTTTTTAAAAGATAAGGTCTCCCTCTGTCCCGGGCTAGAGTGCAATGGTGAGATCAAACAAAGTAGCTCATTGCAGCCTCGAACTCGTGTGCTGAAGCTCCTGCCTTGACCTCCCAAGTAGCTGGGACCAGAGGCATGCACCACTATGCCCAGCTAATTATTTGATTTCTCTGTAGAGATGAGGTCTCACTATGTTGCCCAGGTTGGTCTCGAACTCTTGGGCTCAAGCAATCCTCCTGTCTTGGCCTCCCAAATTGCTGGGGTTACAGGAGTGAGCCACCCCACCTGGCTGATTTTCTATTGTTTAAGTTGCCTGGTTTGTGGCACTTTGTTGTGGCAGCCCCAGGAAACTGACACAGCGCCCCTGTGTTTTGTTCCCAGAGCGCCCTGTTGTCACTCTGTGTTACTGCCTGTTGCTGTCTGCTTCTCCCAGCCCCTTCCTTCCTTCCTTCCTTCCTTCCTTCCTTCCTTCCTTCCTTCCTTCCTTTCTCTTTCTTTCTCTTTCTTTCTTTCTTTCTTTCTTTCTTTCTTTCTTTCTTTCTTTCTTTCTTTCTTTCCTTATTTCTCTTCTCTTCTCCTTCCTTCCTTCCCTTTCTCTCTCTTTCTCTCTCCTTTCTTCCTTCCTTCTCTCTTTCTTCTTTTTTTTTTTCTTGACAGAGTCTTGCTCTGTCACCCAGGCTGGAGTGCAATGGCTTGCTCTCAGCTCACTGCAACCTCTGCCTCCTGGTTCAAGCGATTCTCCTGCTCAGTCTCCTGAGTAGCTGGGACTACAGGTGTATGCCACCGTGCCTGGCTAATTTTGTTTTTTTGTTTTGTTTTGCTTTTTGGTTTTTAGTGGGGATGGGATTTCACCATGTTGGCCAGGCTGGTCTTGAACTCCTGGCCTCAGGTGATCTGCCTGCCTCGGCCTCCCAAAGTGCTGGGATTACAGGTGTGAGCCACCACACCCAGTCTAGCCCATTTCTTGAAAAGGGCTCCACCTTTCATTGCTACATCCCCAGCAACCAATTTAGGGCCCAGCAGAGGACAAACAGCTGCTGAGTAGCTAACGACTGGAAGGGGAAGAGGGTACCATTTTGAGGAAGAGAAATACAGTTATTCTGTGAGGCTTCAGCAGGTGCCATCAGAACAACGTGGTGGATGTAGTGAAGACTGTTGAGTGCCGGCGAGTGCTCCATTTCACAGAGTCCTGACTCGGCTTACAAGCACCATGGCCCTGGGTAGATCCCACAGCCCTGCTGAGCCTCCATTTCCTCATCTGTCAAATGAAACAGATGATCATTGCATGACGAGTCACTGTTAAACTTAATGCTTCGTCACTACAGAAGATCATAAAGGATGTAACCAGAGGCCTAAAGGATGTAACCAGTGAACACATGCTGCATTGGACACTGTTTTGGACAAACTTGGATGTTCAGGTCCATTTAGGATGTTCCAATACTAGGGGATACACACACATTCATGCGTGCACACACACACACACACACACACACTCCAAAAGGTGATCATTCTCTAAATATGTTTTGGCAACATGTTTAAGTTTATTGAGATAGAATTCGTATACCATAAAACTCACCCCTTTAAAGTGTGCAATTCAGCTAGGTGCAGTGGCTCATGCATGTAATCCCAGCACTTTGGGAGGCTGAAGCGGGCAGATCATGAAGTCAGGAGTTCGAGAACAGCCTGTTCCAACATGGAAAAACCCCATCTCTGCTAAAAATACAAAAATTAGCTGGGCTTGGTGGCGCATGCCTGTAATCCCAGCTACTCAGGAGGCTGAGGCAAGAGAATCGCTTGAACCTGGGAGGTAGAATTGCAGTTAGCTGAGATCGTACCACTGCACTCCAACCTGGGTGACAGAGCGAGACTCTATCTCAAAAAGAAACTAATTTTAAAAAGTGTACAATTCACTTTGTTGCTTTATGTATACACACATACACACACACACACACACACACACACACACACAACACATGGTTAGAAATAGTGTCCACAAGTAAGGGCTCTAAGGTGTAATAACAGCGATCTGAGTGTCTGAGAGGTGAAAGATTAGTGGTCTTATTTTTAATTTTATGCCTGCATTTTCCAGGCTTCTATGATGTAAATGTTCTGTTCATGTAATGACAAAGAGTTCTAAAAAATAATTCATATGACAGGAAAATAATCATGATTTATGTTCTAAGATTAAGGTAAAGAAAAGTAATATATAAAACAGCATATGCAGAGTGATATCAATTTGTAAAACACACATATACTCACACACATACACATAAATGCAAAGAAAAAAGGAAGGAAAACACAGCACTTGGTAAACTTAACAGAAAAGTTGAACGATGCAATTCCAGAAAGGAAAACATCACTAACTTCTTTCTTGAGCCAAATGGTTGAAATCTCTCAACAATTTTCTTATAACATGCATTCTTTTAATATACAAAAAAGACATCAACAAGTTTTGTTTTGTTTTACTACAGGATGGTGGGGTTAGTTGAGACTTATTTTCTTTTGATATCTTTCTGCATTTTCTGACTCAAGTGAGGATCTTTTATTTTTAAATTTATTTATTTATTATATTTTAAAGACAGGATACTGCTCTGTCACCCAGGCTGGAGTGCAGTGGTGCCATCCTAGCTCAATACAGCTTGGAACTCCTATGCTCAAGTGATCCTCCCACCTTAGCTTCCTGAGTAGCTGAGACTTCAGGTACGTCGTGCCCCACTCCTGGCTAAAACTCCTCCTGTTTCAGGACTCCTGAGGCAACTGGTTTTGCGTCTCAGAAGGGATCACCCTCACTAGTGTATGTCTTTCACCTTTCATCAGCCACTTCCCCTCTCTTGCCAACGCGATGGCAGAAACCATTTCTGTCCCTGTGAACTGGGCTCTTTTCCCCAGGTAGCCACAGATGAACATGAGTTGGATGAAACCAGGAATATAGCGTAGACCCCTCTGTAGACTCCTCAGTGTCATCAAGGCAGGGGCTGAAGCTGTCCCCACTTTGCAGTTTCCCCTTTCCCCTCATCACAGGGGACTGTGGCATCCGCAGGGGGTGACAGAAATCCCCTCAAGGAAAAGAGTAAACCAGGTCAACCATATCAGAGGAAAGGGTCTGTATGTGTAGATTCTGGAAGGTTGACAGGGGAACTGTGAATTCAGGTTCCTTTCAAAGGCAGTGGTTTGGGTGAGGTGAGCCTGCAGGGATTTTGCAGCAAATAGTTCTAGTATATTGTTCCCAGCACCACAATCTTCAAAAAGCAATACCTGGTTGGATGTAGTGGCTCATGCCTGTAATCCCAGCACTTTGGGAGGCCAAGGCAGGCAGATCACTTAAGGTCAGGAGTTCGAGACCAGCCTGGCCAACATGTTGAAACCCTGTCTCTACTAAAAATACAAAAATTAGCCAAGCCTAGTGGCGCACACCTGTAATCCCAGCTACTTGGGAGGAAGAGGCATGAGAATCACTTGAACCCAGGAGGCGGAGGCTTCAGTGAGCCGAGATCGTGCCATTGCACTCCAACCTGGGCGACAGAGCAAGACTCCATTTCAATTAAAAAAGAAATGCAATAGCTGACAATTGCTTAATATGCAACCATTGCAGAGAAGGTGACCTGGGTGAAGGGTACAGAGAAGCTCTCTGTAGTACTTTTGCAACTTCCTATGGATCTATAATTATTTCAAGATAGTTTAAAAAAAAAAAAAAACAGGTGCTGGGTGCACTTTGCCAAACTCTGATATAGGTCATTATTTTGGACTCTATGCTGAAAACAAGAGAGACACAAAAGCGTCTGTGTGCACTGGGCATCTGGATGTGTTTCTACTGTGCTCTTTTCACCCTATCTTCTGCCAGCATCTCTCTATCACCCTACAAGACGGCTGATTGATATAGGCTGTGCCATTAAGTTGCGGAGGATGAAGTCCTGTCACAGAAATAAAGAAGCCAAACTTTCTTTCTTTTCTTTTTTTTTGAGACGGAGTCTCGCTGTGTCACCAAGCTGGAGTGCAGTGGCACGATCTCGGCTCACTGCAACCATTGCCTCCCGGGTTCAAGTGATTCTCCTGCCTCAGCCTCCCGAGTAGCTGGGACTACAGGTGCATGCCGTCATGCCTGGCTAATTTTTGTATTTTTAGTAGAGACCAGGTTTCACCATGTTGGCCAGGATGGTCTCGATCTCTTGACCTTGTGATCCACCCGCCTCGGCCTTCCAAAGTGCTGGGATTACAGGAGTGAGCCACTGCACCTGTCCAGAAGCCAGACTTTCTAAAGTCCAGGAGAAGAAAAAAGAACAACTCCCCTGCCATTCTTTAATTCATATTTTTGCAGGTGTTTTTGTTCCCCAATTGTTTTTTTTATGGGATTAATTTGTTTAGCAGCAAAGATTTTATTTTTTTCAAAAAAAAAAATGGGGGGGTAGGAGTTGCAGTGGCTCACACCTGTAATCCCAGCATGTTGGGAAGCTGAGGCTGGAGAATGGCTTGAGCCTGTGAGTTCAAGACAAACCTGGGCAACACAGTGAGATCCCATCTCTCTTTTTTCCTTTTTTGAGACAGAGTCTTGCTCCGTTGCCCAGGCTGGAGTGCAGTGGTGCAATCTCGGCGCACTGCAACCTCTGCCTCCTGGGTTCAAGCCATTCTCCTGCCTCAGCCTCCTGAGTAGCTGGGACTACAAGCGCCGACCACCATGCCCGACTTTTCTATTTTGTTATAGAGATGGGGTTTCGCCATGTTGGCCAGGCTGGTCTTGAACTCCTGACCTCAGGTGATCCGCCTGCCTTGGCCTCACAACGTATTAGGATTACAGGCATGAGCCACCGTGCCTGGCCCAAGATCCCTTCTCTAAAAAAAAAACCAAAAAGCAATAGCTGATTCTGGAGACTGAAGAAGCTGGGAGATGCGGCATCTAAACAGCAACTGGTTTAAATGACATTAACTTTAGGCCCATGTTGTGGGTTGAGTTGTGTCCCATCTGAATGATGGTGAAGGCCTAACCCCCAGCACCTGTGAATTTGACCTTACTTGGAAATAGGGTCTTTGTAGATGATGTTGTTCAGATGAGTCATTAGGGTGAGCCCTAATCCAAAGTGCCTGGTATCCTTATTAAAAGGGGTTCTTTAGACAAAGAGACAGGCACACACAGGGAGAAAAGCCACATGAGGAAGGAGACAGCTGTTGGAGTGATGCTTCTAGAATCCAAGAACACCCAGGATTGCCAGTAAAACACCAGAAGCTAGGCGAGAGGTATGAACAGGTTCTCCCTCACAACTCTCAGAAGGAAACAACCATGCCAGTACCTTGATTTTGGACTTCTAGCCTCCGGAGCTCTGAGACAATGCATTTCTATTACATGAAGCCACCCAACTGTAGCAGCTCTAGCATAAATGAATACAGCCTGGCCCACCTGGAAGCCCTTAGTAGACTTCCTTCCTTTATAAGACAGCACCATCATGATCTATGCCATCTGTCTTCCAGGACAGCTGTGAAAAATAAAGTATTTCTTAAGCATGCATCATTTGAGGCATTGGGATAGTGAATAAGAAAGCATTTAATAAGAATAAAAGAGCAGAGCATAAGATATTACTATTTCCTTTTACCTCAACTGAGCCATAGCAGAGAATGGATGCAAGATGCAGATAAATTTAGAATTAGGAGGCCGAGCATGGTGGCTGACGCCTGTAATCCCAGCAATTTGGGAGGCCAAGGTGGGCGGATCACCTGAGGTCAGGAGTTCAAGGCCAGACTGGCCAACATGGTGAAACCCTGCCTCCACTAAAAATACAAAAATTAGCTGGGTGTGGTGGCACACACTTGTAACCCCAGCTACTCGGGAGGCTGAGGCAGGAGAATCACTTGAACCTGGAAGATGGAGTTTGCAGTGAGCTGAGATTGATTGTACCACTGCACTCCAGCCTGGGCGACAGAGCAAGACTGTTGCAAAAACAAAAAAAACAAAACAAAAGATTAGAATTAGGGGCAAATTCCAGCAAATATTCTTTATAGGACAAGCATTTTCAAAGTACTCCTTGTAACAATGATAATCCCAGGGGCTACCGAGCACATGTTATGTACTAAGTGCTTTATGTACACTATGTGCATGATCTCAACACATACAGCTGCCCAGTGAGGTAAGTGCTGCTCTTATTCCTTCTTTAAGACAAAGGAAATTAGGATTAAGTAGTCTGTGCAAGGCTGCAGGGCTGTGTCATGGTTGAGGCATGATTTGAACCCTTGCCTCTGAGGACATTCTATTAACCTCTGTGAGTCTTGTTTCTCCAGCAGCTTAACAGCTATAGTTAGAAGAAATATGCAGCAGTAGCAATACTCTAAAAGTGGAATTTAAAAAAACAATCTATACACATTGTTATCAGTTCATAAATTAATCAAGGTTCCTGTGACTACACAGAGGGTGACGAGTAAACCCTTCTTCCTAGAAAGAGAGAGTTTTCCTGGATTAAATTATCTACTCTGTTTCAGGAGTGAATCACCCCAGGGTTAGGGATTTGAGGCTGAAGAGAGATAGCAGCTGAACATTTCTGGACTCTGGCAGAGACGGGTAGAAATGAGGTCATTCTAGATTCGAGATTATTTTAGATCTTTCTAGGGGCAGAGCTAAGAGACCAACACTCTTCTCAGGGATTCACTGAGGGAAGACCGAGGCCAGCCATGGGGTCTGATCAAAAGTTCCTTACAGGCCGGGCGCAGTGGCTCACACCTGTAATCCCAGCACTTTGGGAGGCCGAGGCAGGCAGATCACGAGGTCAGGAGTTCAAGACCATCCTGGCTAACACGGTGAAACCCCCTCTCTACCAAAAATACAAAAAAAAAAAAATTAGCCGGGCGCGGTGGCGGGTGCCTGTAGTCCCAGCCACTCGGGAGGCTGAGGCAGGAGAATGGCGTGAACCGGGGAGGCGGAGCTTGCAGTGAGCCGAGATCGTGCCACTGCACTCCAGCCTGGGTGACAGAGCGAGACTCTGTCTCAAAAAAAAAAAATTCCTTACAGTTCTGCGGACTTCTGTTAGCAGCTGAGAGACTAAGGCAGAATTAGGGGGAACAACTGCTATCTCAGACAATTTCCATATACCCTTCCTTTACCTGTCTCAGAAGGACTAACTTTGAATTTCAGTTTGGAAATGCATGATTTTTCCCCTAACTTGACATCAATACTTGATTGTTTCAATTGCTTTTTAGAATTCCAAGGCAGGAGGCAGGCGGGGTGGGCAGCCAGCAGCCTTGTGGGTCACTGGCCTTCAACATGGTGTCAAGGGTCCAATGTCCAGGCTAAGGGGAGATGGCCAACCAAGGACTTTGCTGTCACCCTGTAGGGCTGTGCAGGGACTTTAAGGACAAGAAATTCACCCTCCTCTCCTGAACTTTCCAGCACTGGCTGTTTTACTAGGTCATGCATTGAACTGAGTTTTCCTGACTGCAACCTCATCTTGTGCATCTCTAGCAACTTCGGAAAGGTGGTGTAATGTAAGGAAAGCTCCAAGGGCTTTGGAGACAAACCTGCCTTAACAGGTTAGACAAACCTAACCCCAAGGGCTTAGGAGACAAACCTCACAGCCATGTGCCCCTGCCACTCACAGTTATGTGGTTTTAGGCAAATTGCCTAATTTCTTTTTCTTTTCCTTTCTTTTTTTTTTTTTTTGAGACGGAGTTCTGCTCTGTCGCCCAGGCTAGAGTGCAGTGGCGTGAACTTGGCTCACTGCAAGCTCCGCCTATAAAGTGGTTGGTAAATAGGTTTCCAGGTCCCGCTCAAGCAGAGCCAAGGTCCTAAAGAGGCAGTCATTAGTGAAACAAAAAGAGGGGCCTGGTTATCTTGGAGACCCCACAGACATCTGGCAGAAGTAGTCAAGAAGAAGGTGGGACTTCTCCAGTCCCTGGGGCACATTCAGACTTCTCCAGTGTAATTAGCCTCAGGACCAGGCCTTTCTGGCTGTAATCACAGTGCTTATTGGTGGCTGTGTTTATGTCTCCCCAGACGGTAGACACAAACTTTCATTTGGCAAAAGGCAACCATTACCCCTAAATATACTAGTAAGAGTCTCCTCTTTGCATTGAGAAAGGAGGCATCCCCCACTTAAGCACTCCCTTCCCAGTATCAAAAGGAAAGGGGTCAACAAGTGGTACTCTCCTTTAAAAAGTTTCAGACCTGGACCGGGGCAGTGGTTTAGGTCTCTAATCCCAGCACTTTGGGAGGCTCAGGCAGGAGGATCCCTTGAGCCCAGGAGTTAGAGACCAGCCTTGGTAACAGCAAGATCCCATCTCTACAAAAAATAAAAATTAAGGCCAGGTGTAGTGGCTCATGTCTGTAATACCAGCATTTTGGGAGGCCAAGGCAGATGGATCACTTGAGGTCAGGAGTTCGAGACCAGCCTGGCCAACATGGTGAAACCCCGTCTCTACTAAAAATACAAAAATTAGCCGGGCATGGTAGCACCCACCTGTAGTCCCAGCTACTCCAGAGGCTGAGCCAGGAGAATTGGTTGAACCCAGGAGGTGGAGATTGCAGTGGGCCAGGATTGTGCCAGTGTACTCCAGCATGGGTGACAGAGTGAGACCGTCTCAAAAAAAAAAAAAAAAAAAACCAATCTGGGTGTGGTGGTGTGTGCCTGTAGTCTCTCAGCTACTCAGGAGGCTGAGGTGGGAGGATTGCTCGAGCTGGGAGGTTGAGGCTGCCATGAGCTATGATCACACCACTGCACTCCAGCCTGAGTGACAGAGTGAGACCCTGCCCTCCACCCCCACCCTCCCCCAAAAAAAACCCAAAACCAAAAACCAAAAACCAGAACAACATAAACCTTTCAGACCCACAGAGGATTTTTAGAACAGTGAATATACTGTGTATACTATAATGGTGGATATATGCCATGATACATTTGTTCAAACCGATAGAATACACAACACTAAGAGTGAACCCTCATGTAAGCTACGGTATTTGGGTTTTGATAATGGCATGTGAATTCAGCCATTGTAACAAACGTGTCATGCTGGTGCCCATAGGTGAGGCTGCATAGGTGGGGACAGAGGATGTGTAAAAGATCTTTGTACCTCCCTCTTAATTTTATGTTGAGCTTAAAACTGTTCTAAAAATACAATCTTTTTTTTTTTTTTTTTTTTTTTGAGACGGAGTCTCGCTCCGTCGCCCAGGCTGGAGTGCAGTGGTGGGATCTGCGTTCGCTACCAGCTCCGCCCCCCGGGTTCATTCCATTTTCCTGCCTCAGCCTCTCGAGTAGCTGGGACCACAGGCACTCGCCACCATGCCTGGCTAATTTGTTTTTTTTGTATTTTTAGTAAAGACGGAGTTTCACCGTGTTCGCCAGGATGGTCTCGATCTCCTGACCTCGTGATCCACCCGCCTCGGCCTCCCAAAGTGCTGGGATTACAGGCATGAGCCACCGTGCCTGGCCTTAAAAATATAATCTTTAAAAAAAAGTTTCAGACCTCCTCGAGGAAAGGAGGACAGATGTCAATTTTGTCCCCAGTTGCTGAATAAATGCCCTTTGCTAACTGTCTAAATCAGCTGGAAGCGATTTACACAAAGCCAGGAGTCTTTCTGCATATTCCAGGGACTCCTGGCTGCACCTGCAGCCATCTTTAGCAAAAGCTCATCTACATAACAATGCACCAAGGCCCGGGGAAGCTTCTGGGACTGTCGTTGTTCTGTTGTGTATTCACCTTCAGTTGTATGGGAAGTGTTTTTCTATAAGGGCAAACACTTTGTTTACCACCTGGTAACAAACCTTCTGGTAAACAAAGTTTGCATCACAGATTGGATTACTCCCAGTCCCTGCTTTTCAAAACCAGCTCGGAAAGGGTGTACCTTATCTAGCAATGACTAATTGACTTTATGATACAAGTCTGAACAAAGGCCAAGGCAAGAGTTAAAAAATAATATGTCTGGCCAGGCACGGGGTTTATGCCTGTAATGCCAGCACTTTGGGAGGATGAAGTGAAAAAAAAAAAAGTCATTAAGTTTAAAAAAAAAGAAGGTGCAGGGAAAACACTATTTTAAAACAGTGCAAGTGAGATATAAGGCAGGTGAAAAGCCTAACCATGTGCTATTTATAAAGTGATTATGTGGCTATACCATTGACGATGAATAAGGAGAACTTGAGAAACTATTAGTAAACATAGTTATTATTACCTAATCTTGTTCCTAGAAAAGCCAATGGAAGTTTAGACTCAATATTCAGGTTTAAGTATAGAATTAAGCATCACGAAAATTCTGAAATTATGGAGGGCGCCTGTAATCCCGACTACTCAGGAGGCTGAGGCAGGAGAATCGCTGGAACCTGGGAGGTGAAGGTTGCAGTGAGCTGAGATCATGCCACTGCACTCCAGCCTGGGCGACAGAGTGAGACTCTACATAAATAAATAAATAAATTCTGAAATTATAGAAGAAAACCTGAGATGAGATGGGGAAAGTTACACAAAACTTTACAGATTAAAAGTCATAAAGGATGGGATAGTGGTTTGCTGCTTTCTGTGTAAGACAAGCTTATATTGGGGGATCATCCAAGTTTAGCATGCATTAACTCTTGATTTTACACTGCTAGTCCAAAAAAAGTCTTTATTTTCAATAATACAGACTTCCACAGTCGCTCCCCTCACCTGTCCTGGAGTGCCCAGCTTTATATCCCTGCAGCCCCCTAACTTCTCACCCCAGCTAGTGAGTCACTCAGGGTCAGGCAGGCGTAATTAAGTGTGGTTAGTGTTTCCCTACATGCACAGACTTAAGTCTCTGGATCCAGAGAGTTTAAGACTCTATCCTCAGAGTGGCTTAGTACTCACACTATGTAATTATGCTTTTCTATCCTAACTATGGCATAAAGAAATGAAGATGCCTTTCTCCTATGTTGCTTTAGAGAGAAATAGAGCTTTGTGGAGTGTTTCTAGAAGGTTCTACATGTCAACAGCAGCCAGCAGGCTTATCTGCTTTCCTACCATGCACCTCTGTCTCTTTCTCCTCATTCTCTTCCACTCCTTCTGCACTATCTTTCTTCCCCTTGACTTAACCTCATTGTTACATAAGACTGATCGCATTTGAGCATCACGGAAAAAATAGGAGGTGAAACAGAGGCCACAGAGGTTTGCATCTACCATCTGGGAAGACATAAACAGAAGATATAAATGTGCTTCCCTCATAACGACATAGTGATGCCAGCCACACTTTTGTATTAGTACTTGATTTGGTGAGATTGCCCTGTACTTCCAAGGTGGTGGAAGATCACGAGTCTTCCCTGAAAGGTTCCAAGCAGCATGGAGTGTTTTGTTTACCTAATTCTGTTTAGCATATATTATGTAGACTACTAGTAATAGTTCTAAGGTTCAGGAATAAGCAAAAAGACATCAGCCACGACCATTACACTCCAATCAATTTGCTGTTGCTGGTCACGGTCATAGTGGGGTTCGTAGAGGGGCTCTAGCAGGACCTGGAGTCACAGCAGGGATGCACCGAAATTCAGTAACTATAAAGGTGAATGGATATACATTGATTGCCATTCAGAAAGTTTTCCAGCCATTCTACTATAATAATCAGATAATGTTAAGTAACAGTGTTATTTTATTTATTTATTTATTTTTGAGACGGAGTCTCGCTCTTGTCACCCACGCTGGAGGGCAGCGCATGATCTTGGCTCACTGCAACCTCCACCTCCCGGGTTCAAGTGATTCTCTTGCCTCAGCCTTCTGAGTAGCTGGGATTACAGGCACCTGCCACCACGCCCAGCTAATTTTTGTACTTTTAGTAGAGGCAGGGTTTCGCCATGTTGGCCAGGCTGGTCTTGAACTCCTGACCTCAGGTGATCCGCCACAACCCCCCCCCATCACCTCTGCCTCCCAAAGTGCTGGGATTACAGGTGTAGGCCACCGTGCTTGGCCAAGTAACAGTGTTATTGGTAGGCTCATAACAAACAAAAAGTTCAGCAAATAATGACAAAGGTCAAATAGGGAGACTTATCTGGCATGAATATGTTGAGGCTATGTTCTTGTAGCAAGTGTGAAAAGGAGATATTTCCTGGTACAGCGGCCTAACATTGAGATAATGTGCCAACATCAATGGCAATGGGTACAGTGGGATGGGAAACAGCATGTTCTTATTACCTATGTGTCCACATTCTAATAAAACATAGAAGTGCTAATGATGATGTCACACATAGCTAGGTGTCCCTGTGAGAGTCCAGACCTTGGAAACAGTGAGATGCAAAATCCCAAGTCTTGAGACTTTGAGCATTGTAGGCAAGGCTTACATATGAAAATAATTTGTTTTCTGTTTTGACCTGATTCCATGGTGAGTAGAATACACTGGTCTCTGATTGCTGGTGGTGGGGGTGAGGGGAGAGGGTGTAATTTGGAGCCAAAATATCTTTATGATCCTAGAGCTCTGACTTAAGGGAAAAAACACATTTCTATTACATTGCACAGTATTTTATGTGTTTAATTCTCTGTTCTCATCCAAGCATCACATGGGTAAATCAAACAAGAGACACAATGCACTCTCTCAGTCTACAGCAATCTCCAAGTGTGCCCCAAGAGCATGTTATAAAGTATCATAGGCTTGGAGAGCCCCCAAGACCTCTGGGTTCTCTCCCCTTCTTTCTAGCCCCTCTTCTCCTCAGTCTGTTTTCCCAGGCTGTTTTTGGCATGAGCCCACTGGACTCATACACCTGAAGACACCATCAATAGATGAATATTAACATGAGAATGAGACATGCTTTGTGCTTGCTTGTTTTGCTGTTTGTGGACTTGCTTTGTCTTGCTATTTAGCATAAACTCCTTGGAAAGTTTTCTCTACCCAGCACCACCCCCTCACACCCCCTTCGTGTTTACCTCTGGGCAACAGCTAAAATTGCACAATCTCAGCGATTATCTCCAGACTATCAAATACAGTTTGGAATACAATTCAAAATATTTGCAACAGATACAATTTAAAAAGGGTCCATATCCTTCACATTCTTCTTCTGGATCTTGTTCTAAATGTATATGAAAATATGACAAACTCTTGCAAATTCATTTTTTTTAAAGCCCAGGAGAAAAATAAACCAAGCATGTAATTAAATACTTTTCAAGAGAAAAAAATAATAACTGTAAATAAACATATCTTAAAAGGTTGGGCCAGGCATGTTGGCTCATATCTGTAATCCCACCACTTTGGGAGGTCAAGGTGGGTGGATTGCTTGAGCCCAAGAATGTGAGACCAGGCTGGGCAACATAGTGAGACCCCATTGTCTACAAAAATTAAAAAAAAAAAATTAGCCAGGCTTGATGGCGTGCACCTGTTTTCCCAGCTACTTGGGAGGTTGAGGCAGGAGGATTGTTTGAGCCTGAGAGGTAAAGGCTGCAGTGAGCTGTGATCGCGTCACTGCACTCCAACCTGGGCAACAGAGAGCAACCTTGTCTCAAAAACAGAAACAAAAAACAAAGGATTGGTTTTGTGAAAAACAAAGAAGATGTAAAGTATAAGAAGAAGGAAAGTTTTTTTTCGCGTTTCAAATTGACAAATAGTATAAAGAAAGACAATATGCAGAATAATGGAGGACTGTGAGAATTGATATTGTCATTCATTGCTGGTGGGAGCCGTTCTGAAGGACAGTTTATTTCAAAGTGTTTTCCTCTGCAAAGAAAAAGAAAGAAGTAACTGCGTAACAACTTAAACATGTAACAAACATTTCATTTGTTATATAAAAATGTAACAAGTAAATATGTAACAAAGTAATGATGTAGTGGTAGAAAACAGGCATTTGTGGTTTTTCTTTGAGACAGTCCTCACTCTGTCACCCTGGCTAGAGTACAGTGGCCAATCATAGTTTACTGCAGCCTCAACCTTCTGGGCTCAAGTGATCCAGCCCCACTCAGCCTCCTTAATAGCTGAGACTACAGAAGAACACCATTACACCTGGCTAATTTTTTAATTTTGTAGAGATGAGGTCTCACTATGTTGTCCAGGCTAATCTTAAACTCCTGGCCTCAAGTGATCCTCCTGCCTTGGCCTCCCAAAGTGTTGGGATTACAGGCGTGAGCCACCATGCCCAGCCCAAAAGATTTTTACAAGCTTGATAGAGGTAGGACCTGCTTAGAATAGCACCAAGGCTAAAACTTATAAATGGAAAGAGACAAATTTGACTACCTAAAAAACTCTAAATGGCAAAAATATGAAGTTAAACACAAACATCAAGTTAGAGAAAATAATTTTTGCATTGTGTATGAGAAACAAATGCTTAGAATTTATCTACACAGGCCAGGCACGGCGGCTCATGGCTGTAATCCCAGCACTTTGGGAGGCTGAGGTGGGTGGGTCACCGGAGGTCAGGAGTTCAAGACCAGCCTGACCAACATGGAGAAACCATCTCTACTAAAAAATACAAAATTAGCCGGGTGTGGTGGCACATGCCTGTAATCCCAGCTACTTGAGAGGCTGAGGCAGGAGAATTGCTTGAACCTGGGAGGCGGAGGTTGCAGTGAGCTGAGATCGTACCACTGCACTCCAGCCTGGGCAACAAGAGCGAAACTCCGTCTCAAAAAAAAAAAAAGAATTTATCTGCTCAAATATATGTACAGAAGTAGGTAACTAGGTTCTTAATATAGGAACTAGGTTCTTAAGATATCTTAGGAACTTAAGATAACAAGGTTCAAGGATGTTCTTTGTAGAATGTATATAATGCAAAATACTGAATACAAAATGTTCATCACCAGTAGACCGGTTATTAATGATTGCATGTCCTGTTACGCCACTTAATGAAACAGACATATGGAAAAGATGTTAACATATATCTCTAAGTGTAAAAAAATCTACTAAACAAGATATGCAGAATAATCTATTCTATTAAATATATATGTATATGTGCATATATGTTTGTATTTTAATATAAACAAGTCTAAAACTATATGCTAAAAATAATAAATTATCTTTGGTTGAATGGGGTAACAGGGGATTTACTTCTCACTTCTTACATTTCTATGCTTTTGAGTTTTCTGAACAGACAATAAAATGGATTACATATATATGTAATATACATATAATTTCTTTAGAGATGGGGTCTTGCTATGTTGCCCAGGCTGTACCTCAAACATCTGGGCTCAAGTGATTCTTCTGTCTCAGCCTCCCAAGTAGGTGGGACATTAAGCTGATGACACTACACCCAGCTATGTATTACTTATATAATGAGAAAAGTATATTTACATTTAATTTTTTAAAAATGCTAATATAGGATTCTGCCTTTCCCCTAGTCTTTCTTCTATTTTTGTATTTTACAAATTCCTGTTATGCATCCAACAATAATGCAACATTAGGGGACACAGGAAATGGGTTTTTGTTTTGTTTTGTTCCTTTTTTTTTTTTTTGACGGAGTCTCGCTCTGTTGCCCAGGCTGGAGTGCAGTGGCGTGATCTTGGCTCACTGCAAGCTCCGCCTCCCAGGTTCATGCCATTCTCCTGCCTCAGCCTCCCGAGTAGCTGGGACTACAGGTGCCCGCCACCATGCCCGGCCAATGTTTTGTGTTTTTAATAGAGACAGGTTTCACCATGTTAGCCAGGATGGTATTGATCTCCTGACCTCGTGATCCACCCGCCTCGGTCTCCCAAAGTGCTGGGATTACAGGCGTGAGCCACTGCACCTGGCCTTGTTTTGTTCTTTTTGAGACAGGATCTTACTCTGCTGCCCAGGCTGGAGTGCAGTGGTGCAATCACTGCTCACTGCAGCCTCAGCCTCCCAGACTCAAGGAATCCTCCCATCTCCAGCCTCCAGAGTAGCTGGAATTATAGGCATAGGCCATCATGCCTGGCTAATTTTGGTATTTTTTGTAGAGACAGAGTTTTGCCATGTTACCTAGCCTGGTCTTGAACTCTTGGGCCCAAGTGATCCTCCCACCTCAGCCCCCCAAAGTGTTGGGATTATAAGTGTGAGCCACTGCACCTGACCAGTAAATGATTTTCTCCAAATTTCATTTTAAAAGTGTAAGTTAGAGATCACAAATGAGAGGAGAAAATTCATGTCACCAGCATCTTTAGTATTGTATGCATGTAATAGTCTTTAGTTTTTTTATTCACTTTTTCTTACTTTCATTTTTTGTTACATGTTTTCATTTTTTAAAACCAACATTGTTGTTAAAGAAAGAACACACATTTTCAAGTAAAGAGAGCATGTGGAAATAAAAAGGAATTTCACTACTATTGAACTTGGTTAAAAACATCTCAATATTACTGAGTCATAGCTATTTTATGACATGAGAGTGGGGTGAAGTAATGAATACATGTCAAGAAAAGGGAATCCCTTCCTTTCCCTTCCTATCTATATCCTCCTCTTCCAAAAAAAAAAAAAAAAAAAAAAAAAAAAAAAAGAAAAGGAATTGCTTTAGCCCAGGAGTTTGAAACCAGCCCTGGTAATACAGCTAGTCTGTCCCTACAAAAAATTTAAAAATAGCCAGGCATGGTGGTGCACACCTGTAGTCCCAGCTACCTGAGAGACTGAGGCAAGAGGATTGCTTGAGCCAAGGAGTTAGAGGTTAAAGTGAGCTATAATTGCATCACCGCACTCCAGCCTGGGTGACAGAGTGAGACTCTGTCCCAAATAAGTAAATATAGTTCAAAAAATATTTAAAAAAACAGTAGTTACATGGGCCCTTTTCTCACAGTAAATTTTGATGAAGACTTTTGCTGTATTGAAAATTGCTCTTAGGTCTGGGCATGATGGCTCACGCCTGTGATTCTAGCACTATGGGAGGCCGAGGTGGGTGGATCGCTTGAGCCCAGGAGTTCGAGGCCAGTCTGGGGAACAAATTGACACCCTGTCTCTACGAAAAAATTACAAAAATTAGCCATGCGTGGTGGCACTCGCCTGTAGTCCCAGCTACTCAGGAGGCTGAAGTGGGAGGATCACTTGAGCCTAGGAGGTTGAGGTTGCAGTGAGCTGTGATTGTGCCACTGCACTCCAGCCTGGGCTACAGAGTGAGACCCTGTCTTAAAAAAAAAAAAAAAAGAAAAAGAAAAGAAAATGAAATTGCTCTTATTGTAACCTGCAACCTGAAGACTGAGAGTTTTATTTTCAAAACATTTTTGACTGTGAAGATGAGGAGTCTGATACTTTGAATAAACAAAACTCAGGTCCTGGCAAATATGTATGCAACTAAGTGTTAAATCCCCTGTAGTTCAGACACGTCCGCTGCCTAAGATCACATGCTGAGTTAGAGTCGGGACTGAGTTAGAGTCGGGACTAGACTCCAAGACTCTCCACCGTAGACTTGTTTCCCTTTACTCCCTTCAGTATTTTATGAAATGATTTTTTTTTTTTGAGACAGTCTCCTTCTTTTGCCCATGCTAGAGTGCAGTGGTTATTCACAGGCTCCATTACTGCACACTGCAGCCCTGAACTCCTGGGCTCAAGCGTCCTCCCACCTCAGCCTATGGAGTGGCTGGGACTAAAACCACACATCACTGCACCTGGCTGAAATGACTTTAAGCTTGGAATTCAATGCCTGTTTAAAACTTAAGTACTGACCTGACCGGGCACTGTGGCTCACACCTGCAACCCTAGCACTTTGGGAAGCAGACGCCTGAGGATTTCTTGAGCCCAGGAGTTGGAGATCAGCCTGGGCGACAGAGTGAGACTCCGTCTCAAACAAACAACAAACAAACAAAAAAACCACACACAAGTGTTTTTAGGTATAGCTTCTCACTATTTTCTTGTTTCTTTTCAAAGATTAATGAATTATATACATTTTATATAAAGTTCTGAAATGTATAAAGGATGCAAAGGTTTATTTTTCTTGAAATTTTGAGAACTCCTTTTTATTGTATACCACTTAAAATGGTAAACAGGAGACATATTTGCTGAATAACAATGTAGAACTGAACCTTGTGACTTAAAAACAAATCCTCAGCTGAAAATAGCATCTAGGCGAGATGTCCCTGCACTGGAGAGTGACATCAGAAACTACAGCCACAAACAATTTTCTCAAGATAATGGAACTGATAGGGGGCAGGGGGAGGTTCTAGAAATCTCACAAAGGAGAATCTCAAAAAGAGATCTGGGCTCATAAATGTCTATTTACAAACCCTGGGTTTGAAAAATACACTCAGTGAAAACATGTTGAATTTTGTAAAGGAAATCAGCCAATCATAAAGGATTTTGGCACAAAGCTGGCTTTTACCTTTTTTCTTTCTTTTCTTTTTTTTTTTGGTTTTGTTTTGTTTTTGAGACGAGTTTTGTTCTTGTTGCCCAGGCTGGAGTGCAGTGGTGCAATCTTGGCTCACTGTAACCTCCATCTCCCAGGTTCACGTGATTGTCCTGCCTCAGCCACCAGAGTAGCTGGAATTACAGGTGCCACCATGCCTGGCTAATTTTTGTATTTTTGGTAGAGACGGGGTTTCACCATGTTGGCCAGACTGGTCTCAAATTCCTGAACTCAGGTGATCCGCCCGCCTCAGCCTCCCAAAGTGCTGGAATTACAGGTGTGAGCCACTGCACCTGGCCTGGCTTTTAGCTTTTAAAGCTGGATATTTGAATTTCTAAAATTCTTAATAATTTGCCTTATTTGAATAATTAATTATGCTACTTCTTGCTATTTTGTTCAATGCCACTGTTAGTATTAAAACAGAGTTCAAGCCACTTGAACTGACAACTAATATCCAGCTAGTAGATCTATCCTAATATTGAGTGACACAGGGCCTTCACAATCAAACCTTTGGCTTTTGGCCAGGCGCGGCAGCTCATGCCTGTAATCCCAGCACTTTGGGAGGCCAAGGTGGCCGAATTGCTTGAGCTCAGGAGTTCGAGACCAGCCTGGGCAACATGGCAAAACCCTGTCTCTACCAAAAATACAAACAAATAGCCAGAAGTGGTGGCATGTGCCTGTAGTTCCAGCCACTCACGGGGCTGAGGTGGGAGGATCGCTTAAACTCAGGAGACAGAGGTTGCAGTGAACCTAGATCACTCCATTGCAGTCCAGTCTGGTTGACAGAGTGAGATCTCATCTCAAAACAAAAACAAAAACAAAACAAAAAACAAAAATCTTTGGCTTTCACTCTTGATTCTTTTTTAAAATAGACAAGCACAAATTTCCAAGCTTCTTCTGTGCATCTGGGCAGGAAATGATTATATCTGACGTTGATCTAAAAACAACTGGGTCATATCCTTATATTTATACAAACATTAGAAAGGAGTAGGCATTATGGAAACTTCTGTCTGTTAGAATGAAAGTCCAGATTTTATTCCAAATTGTGTTCTCTATCTGCCACCAAGAATCCTAGAAAACAATGTGAAAAAGCCTGAAAACTTTCCAGATAAAGTTGGAGGAAGCCACCAAGACGCTTCCCACTTTAGAGGCTATTCAGAAAACTCTGCTATCGGGTGAGATAAATCCTTCTGGGACAAAACTCTAAATGGATATGATTCCATTAGAAATTATTACAGTATTTTTATTACAATATCTATTTGGAAAGACACTTTTACAGAACAGCTCCAATTGAAGACTGAAGAAACAACAAGCAACTAAAACCAAAATACAACTACAATAAATCCGTTTACTTTCATAAAATTGTCTCAGGGTTTACGAAGGGATTTTACACATATTTGGTCATTTGAGCGATCAAAGGAGAAATTACATCATGCTGGTTTGTTTTCAAATGGCCTGGACTTCATCTTCCTTGGTGGAATTCATAAACTACTGATGTGACTCATCATCGAAGGCTGACATGTCTCATGCACCCAGAATGCACCGACCACTGTCGCACACTTTACTCTTGATGTTCAAGTTTAGAGGTAGATCACCTCTCTTTAAGAGCTGCCTGAGACAAATCCATGAAAACAGACTTGAGAACTGGTATAGACCAGTGCAAAGAACGTCGGTGTCAGGAAATAGCCTGAATTTTAGAATGAAAACCTCTTATATTTATCTTGTTGGGTTTTGGTTTTTCTCCCCCAGCTTTATTGAGGTAAAATTGACAAAAAAAAAATTATATATATTCATGGCCAGGTGTGGTGGCTCATGCCTGTAATCCCAACACTTCGGGAGACTGAGGTGGGAAGATCACTTGAGATCAGGAGTTCGAGACCAGCTTGGCCAACATGGTGAAACCCTGTCTCTACTAAAAATACAAAAATTAGGCTGGGCGTGGTGGCTCACACCTGTAATCTCAGCACTTTGGGTGGCCGAGGCGGGCAGATCACCCGAGGTCAGGAGTTTGAGACCAGCCTGCCCAACATGATGAAACCCTATCTGTACTAAAAATACAAAACATTAGCTGGCTGTGGTAGTGGGCGCCTGTAATCCCAGCTACTTGGGAGGCTGAGGCAGGAGAATCACTTGAACCCGGGAGGCGGAGGTTGCAGTGAGCCGAGATTGCGCCACTGCACTCCAGCCTGGGTGACAAGAACGAAACTCTATGTGGAAAAAAAAAAAAATTAGCCTGGTGGGGTGGCGCATGCCTTTAATCCCAGCTACTCGGGAGGCTGAGGCACAAGAATCGCTCGAACCCAGGAGGGAGAGGTTGTGGTGAATTTGCACTCCAGCCTGGGTGACAGGGAGAGACTTTGTCTCAATTTAAAAAAATAAAAAATAAAATAAAATATATATATAGTTTACAACATAATGATTTGATATATGTATACATTGTTTACCACAATGATTACCACATGATTACCACAATCATATTAATTAATACATCCATCACCTCACCAAGTTACCATTTTCTGTGCATGTGAATGTGTGTGTGTGTGACAACACTTAAGCTTACTCTCTCAGCAAATTTCAAGTAATCAACACAGTATCCTTAACTATAGTCACTATGATGTACAGAATGTATTTTTTTTTGAGACAGAGTCTTGCTGTCGCCCAGGCTGGAGTGCAGTGGCGCAATCTCGGCTCACTGCAAGCTCCGCCTACCGGGTTCACGCCATTCTCCTGCCTCAGCCTCCCGCGTAACTGGGAATACAGGCGCCCGCCACCACGCCCGGCTAACTTTTTTTTGTATTTTTTAGTAGAGACAGGGTTTCACCGTGTTAGCCAGGATGGTCTCGATCTCCTGACCTCGTGATCTGCCCTCCTCGGCCTCCCAAAGTGCTGGGATTACAGGCGTGAGCCACCGCGCCCGGGCAAGAACATGTTCATCTTGTAACTGAAAGTGTGTACTCTTTGGCTGTCTTCTCCCTATTTCTCTCACCATCCCCCTTGGCCCCTGGCAACCATCATTCTACTCTCTGCTTCTGTGAGTTGATTTTTTAAGATTCCACACAGAAGTGAGATCACACAGCTTGTGTCTTTCTGTGTGTCTTATTTCACTGAGCATAAGGTCCTCCAGGTTGAACCTTGTTTATTTGAATCTCAACTCTGCCCTGCTTTTGCTAGCAATTTAGCCAAGGGCAGTTTTCATATCTTGTAAAATCGAAACAATTCTTACTTTACAGGGTGGCGGTGAAAGTTAAATAAGACACTGTATGAAATGTGTGCCCCTGAAATTACAGTCTAATCCATTTACATTATCCTAGTTATCCAGGAGCCTGTAGGTATAAAAAGCAAAAACAGGAGACATATTTGGTGAATAACAATGTTGAACTGAAACTTGTGACTTAAAAACAAATCCTCAGCTGAAAATAGCACCTAGGAGAGATTACCCTGCACTGGAAAGTGACATCAGAAACCATAGCCACAAACAATTTTCTCAAGATATGGAACTGATAGAAATCTCACAAAAGACAGCCTCAAAAAAGGGGTGTCTTTTATGCTAGCCGTCACTCTTTACCCTTAACTGGTCAGAATTTTGTGCTCTAGTCCCAAAGTTATTTTCAGATAGTCTGCACCTCCACGTTTATTCAAACAGTATTCCCAAGAGCCAAGATATGAAATCATTGATTCCAATAAGAGATGAATGGATAAAGAAAATGTGGTACATATACACCTCGGAATACTATTAAGCCATAAAAAAGAATGAAATCCTGTCATTTGCAGCAACATGGATGGAACTGGAGGACATTATGTTAAGGGAAATAAACCTGGAACAGAAAGTTAAACACAACATGTTCTTACTCTTGTGGCAAAGCTAAAAATAGTTAATCTCATAGAAGTAAAAAGTAAAACAGGCTGGGCACGGTGGCTCACGCCTGTAATCCCAGCACTTTGGGAGGCCGAGGCAGGTGGGTTGCCTGAGGTCAGGAGTTCAAGACCAGCCTGGCCAACATGGTGAAACCCGGTCTCTACTAAAAATACAAAAAACTAGGGGCGCTTGGTGGTGGGCACCTGTAATTCCAGCTACTAGGGAGGCTGAGGCAGAAGAATCGCTTGAACCTGGGAGGCAGAGGTTGCAGTGAGCCCACATCTGGCCATTGCACTCCAGCCTGGGCAACAAGAGTGAAACTCTGTCTCAAAAAAAAAAAAAAAAAAAAAAAGGTTACAAAATTACAACTAGATAGAAGGAATGAATTCTGGTATTCTATACCACTGTAGCATTACCAGAGCTAACGATAATATATAGTTTCAAATAGCCAAAAGGAGGATATTGAATGTTCCCAACAGAATAAATAATAAATGTTTGAGATAATGGACATTGCTAGTTGACTCCGGTCAGATCACAATATATTTATCAAAATATCACTATGGACCCCATAAATATGTATAATTATTATTTATCCATCAAATTAATAGTTAACATATTATATATATAGGTTAAGACATTGCAGTAGAAAAAAAAGACTGTAATAAGATAAATTATAGGAAGAACATATTTAATTTTATTGACTTGTCCTAAGGTAAAGTTAATGCTTTTGGGGGGGCAGGAGTTTTTCCTTCCTCTTTTACATAGATGGATATCCAAGGAACTAAAAATAGATGACTTCCCCTTTTTTACTAGATCTTGCCCAATTAAGAAACCATTCCATTACACAAGCATTCCTTGGCTCCCCAGATGTTGTTTTTCTGTTTGTAGTTTTCAATGATGTTGGTTAGAAATATATTGATTTGTTTAAAATGATTTCTGGGCTTCTGAGAAAGCAGACATATTTCCTTTTTATAACTATTTTCATTTGCCCTGTGCATGCCTCCGTGTGTGTGTGTGTGTGTGTGTGTGTGTGTGTGTGTCTATCAGTAATATCAGTAAAACAATCTTGGACATTGTGACCAAATTACCATGGAAAGCCATAGCTCTATCCCTAAATCTAATTAGACACCTTTTATCACTGAGTGTTACATAGTCCTGAGATTGGATGTTTATGAAAAGTATATTCAAGCCTGGGCACGGTGGCTCATGCCTATAATCTCAGCACTTGGGATGTGGAGGCGGGTGGATCACTTGAGGTCAGGATTTCAAGACTAGCCTGGCCAATACGGTAAAACCTCATCTCTACTAAAAATACAAAAATTAGCTGGGCATGGTGGCATACACCTGTAATCCCAGCTACTTGGGTGACGCAGGAGACTCACTTGAAGCTGGGAGGCGGAGGTTGCAATGAGCCGACATCGCGCGATTGCACTCCAGCCTGGGCAACAGAGCCAGACTCTGTCTCAAAAATTTAAAAAAAAAAAAAAAAAGCATATTCAGGTGAGATGAAAAATCCATTTACATGTCTTAAGAACAAAAGAAATGCAAAATCAAGAGATCATTCAGGTAAGAATTGCAGAGCCCCACAGGTAGAAGAGCATGAAGTGAGAGGTCACAATAGGCTATAGACCCACAAATTATGAAGTCCCTGTTACAGACTATAAATAAGGCTCAGGATGCTCTGTCACCATGCCTGATGAGAGTCCAACGAGCATACCAATCCCAAAAATTACATGGAAAGATAAACCCCAGATTTAGATAGTCTGAAAAGATAGTTTCCTTTGTATTATATTTTTCTACCAGAAGAATGTGTATTAGGTATACAAATGTTTAAGAGAATAAAATCTTTAGGATTAATATACTGTGAGGAGAGTGTACCATATCTGGTATTCTATGTATGTTTAAGTAGAATGTGTAAGAAATTTGGACCTATATGTTATTATATGTAGTTAGTGTTTATGAAAGTTGGGCCTAATTTTAAATTACAGTTATTAAGGCAGCTCCTCCTTACTCCACTTTGGCTCAGCAGACTCCAAAGCCCTTATTCCCCACCTCCACACACTCTTCAAATATGAAAGTGATCTACACAGTGAGTCAGATCAGAACAGTTCAAGATCTAGTCAAAGGGACACCATTTAAGCCTGCACTGCATGACCATACAAGAGTGGTTGTTTGAACCAGGGGGCTCACACCTGTAATCCCAACACTTTGGGAGGCAAAGACAGGAGGATCGCTTGAGCTCAGAAGTTCAAGACCAGTCTGGGAAACAGAGCAAGACCCCACCTCCACAAAAAATATTTTAAAAAGTAGCTGAGTATGATGCCACATGCCTGTAGTTCATCCTAGCTACATGGGAGGCTGAGGCAGGAGGATGGTTTGAGCCTGAGAGGTTGAGGCTACAGTCAGTCGTGATGATGCCACTGCACTCCAGCCTGGGCCACTGAGCTAGACCCTTTGTTCAAAACAAAACAAAACAAAACAAAACAAAACAAAACAAAACAAAACAAAATGGTGGTCACTCAAAAGGTATCTTACTTCCACTGATGCCCATACTTAACATGGGCCAGCTCTGGGCACCCCTCCCACCCCCAAATGCCCAATTAATCAGCAGTGCTATTCACAGAGTAATATTAAGCATCCTGTTTGTTAATTTACTTACTTTACAATAGCACTTAGAACATTTAACATTTATCAAAACTTTCTACCTCTGTGGATTTTGTTAGGACTGAGAGCAAATCATGCTTTCCACTCACTTTCTTAAATAAAAATGATAAAAGCCGGGCTTGGTGGCTCACGCCTGTAATCCCAGCACTTTGGGAGACTGAGGCGGGCAGATCATGAGGTCAGGAGATCGAGACCATCCTGGCTAACACGGTGAAACCCCGTCTCTACTAAAAATACAAAAAAATTAGCCGGGACTTGTGGCGAGTGCCTGTAGTCCCAGCTACTCAGGCAGCTGAGGCAGAAGAATGGCATGAACCCGGGAGGCGGAGGTTGCAGTGAGCCGAGATCGTGCCACTGCACTCCAGCCTGAGTGACAGAGTGAGACTCTGTCTCAAAAAAAAAAAAAAAAGATAAAAATAAGACAAAACCTAAATCTTCCTTTAACAAATAAGCTCAAACAATACAATAAGAAAAGGATGAGAAAATAAAAGTTTTACACTATCCCAACAGTTATCAGAGGTTTTGTTTTGTTTTGCTTTTGTTTTGTTTTTGAGACAGGGTCTTGCTCTGTCACTCAGGCTGGAGTGGAGTGGCGTGCTCTGGGCTCACTGCAATCTCCACCTCCTGGTCTCAAGCAATCCTCCCATCCCTGCCTCCTGAGTAGCTGAGATTTCAAGTGCATTCCACCACGCTGGGCTAATTTTGGTATTTTTTTGTAGACACCAGGTCTCACCATGTTGCCTAGGCTGGTCTGGAATGCCTGGGCTCAAGCAATCTGCCCACCTTTGCCTCCCAAAGTGCTGGGATTACAGGTGTGAGCCACCATGCCTGCCAAGGTTTTTTTTTTTTTAAACTGCTCTTGCATTTTCTTGTTTCCAATTGCTCTGTAAATGCTCTGACCTCAGTATGTTATGAACACAACAATGCCACCTCAATTCTCTTAGATTGCATGACACTAGTTTAAAAGTTAATGGTGAGGTACTGGGCCCGGTGGCCCATGCCTATAATTCCAGTACTTTGGGAGGCTGAGGTGGGAGGATCACTTGGGGCCAGGAGTTTGAGACCAGCCTGGACAACATAGTGAGATCCCGTTTCTACAAATAAATTTTTAAAGATTAGTTGGGCCTTGTGGTGCACGCTTGTAGTCCAGCCTGGACAAAATAGTGAGATTCCATTTCTACAAATAAATTTTTAAAGATTAGTTGGGCCTTGTGGTGCACACTTGTAGTCCCAGCTACTTGGGAGGCTGAGGCAGGAGGACCCCTTGAGCCCAGAAGTTCAAGGTTGCAATGAGCTGTTATCCACCACTGCACGCCAGCCTGGCTGAGAGTGAGATCCTGTCTCAACAAAAGTAAAATTTAAATAAAAAAATAAAATGAGAATTAACAGTGAGGGAGGCTAGAGGGGCTTCTTGAACTTTAAGGTGAATATGAATCCCATGAAAATCTTGTTAAAATGCAGATTCTGACTCAGCCAGCCTGGATCAGGGCCTGAGATTCTGCATTTTAATTCAGCTCCTAGAAGATGCAGATGTCCTTACACCCCTTCTCATACTGAGTGGCAAGGATGGTAGCAGTGAGTTAGACCAAGCCAGAACTAGAGTTTAATTTTGCTCTGGAGGCAAAAATGCACAGGGCAAGATCTCACAAGAAAAGTAAAGGCATTCTGTATGTGGGATTTTCCTTTCCTAAAAACCATTCTGGGGTGGGGGTGTGTGCAAGTTTTTCCCAAGTCACACAACACTGATGAATCTGCTATATTTGAACTACCCCCTTTTCTTAGATCTCTGTCATTCAGCGTATTAATGGTGATTCCACTGCAGATTGCCTGGATCCCTTGAAATTTGGGTAAAATAAAGAGGCTCTGGCTGGGTGTGGTGGCTCACGCTTGTAATCCCAGCACTTTGGGAGGCCGAGGAAGGTAGATTACCTGAGCTCAGGGGTTCGAGACCAGCCTGGCCAACACAGTGAAACCCCTTCTCTACTAATAATACAAAAATTAGCCAGGCATGCTCCTGTAATCCCAGCTACTCAGGAGGCTGAGGCAGGAGAATTGCTTGAACCTGGGAGGCGGAGGTTGCAGTGAGCTGAGATGACACCATTGCACTCCAGCCTGGGTGACAGAGTGCGACCTCATCTAAAAAAAAGGGGGGGTTATCTTCCCAAGGTGGAATCCAGTGAAGTTTGGCCTAGTAGTTGTTTATTTAAATAAACTCTTCTGGTAATAAACCTTCAGGGCAGGGAATTTTGAGGCTAAGATGAAAGAAAGCCCTGGCTGAAGAAACAATGACCAAAGCCACTCAATTGTCACTTCAGTGCTGGTGAGTGTGGATGCAGGTGCCCAGTAAGGCCAGACAGCAACATCCCTCAGGGTGAGTTATGACCCAGGCATCAAAGGAGGCCACCTCAACGCCCAGCTGCCAGGAGGAACATGATAGTCAAAGGAAAAAACAAGGGTGGGGCCCGTGTGAAGAGGCAAAATATATTCTCACTTTCATCAGGAGCTAGGATCGGCTGGGTGGATTACCCAGCCCTTGGCTAGAGTTCTGGAGGATTCAGATTAGAGATGCTGGATCAAAACAACGGAAGAAAAGGCTGTACAGAGCCATTCTGTAAACACAGGCCAAATTTTACTATTTGCTGCTCTACCTAATGTTGTGATTACTACTGAGTGCTTCCTCTCTTTGTTTGTTCTTCTGAGCCAACCTTTGTCCTCTCTGCCTAGACACTCATTTTCCTGGTAGGACACTCTGAGTTCCGGAAAGACGACAAGATGAATAACTAAGGCTCAGGGAGAGATAAATACTGCCCCGTCTGCAAAACCACAATGCCTGGCAACCACCTAGAGCCCCACACTTGGAAACAGAAAGAAATCCTGGGGTTTCTAGAAACCAAACCCACTGGGACCATACAACTTCAGACAAAGCTGTGGCCTCACTTGAGCATAGCTTACAACTCTCTAACGTTGATCACAGCAGAAGCCCCATGGCCATATGTACTGTAGCAGTTGGGGAGGGCGTGAGGTGGAAAAAAAAAAGTTTAAAAAAAAAGTTTCCATTCTTTTGAAGCCTGAGTTGAAATAAGGAGAGGGGAAGAAGCTGAGAAAAGCAGGAACTAATCGGGCAGCTGACTCACAGGGGCAGAATCTCAGGTTCATTTGCTCTCAGCAGAAAATTATCTCTCTCCAGTCAGTTCCACTGTTTTCACTCATCGAGCTGATAGCCTAAAAATAGAGATTAATGTGGAACATTATCTTTTAAAAATGCACCTCCCTCTGGGAATGGTAATAAGCCATCAGCCATTCACACATTGTTGTGAATTAGTTTAATTTAGTGAGTGGGAATTAGAATGGAGGAAATTTAGAAAGTAAGTAATCAGCCTTTATTTAACACATGAGGAAATCATGGTCCAGAGATGGGAGCTTCTGGGCTTGAGCTCGCACAGAAGGTAAACAGCAAACAGAGTTAAACAGCAACTACTACTCTCCCGGGTCTCCTGTGAGATCTGCCGACTCACATTCTCCTGGCACTCATTATGACATTTATTTATTTATTTATTTATTTATTTATTTATTTATTTGAGACCGAGTCTCACTCTGTCACCCAAGCTGGAGTGCAGTGGCGCGATCTCAGCTCACTGCACCCTCTGCC
The DNA here is from genome assembly GCF_000001405.40 of Homo sapiens. Lineage (NCBI taxonomy): Eukaryota > Metazoa > Chordata > Mammalia > Primates > Hominidae > Homo > Homo sapiens. Next base: position 59,883,065 of record NC_000018.10, read on the forward strand.
TCCCAAGTTCAAGCGATTCTCATGCCTCAGCCTCCTGAGTAGCTGGGATTACAGGCGTGAGCCACCGCGCCTGGCCATGACTGACGTTTAAAATAGTCATCTGCTGAGCATCCCTAGCATGCCAAGTGCAGGAGTAAGAGCTGGAGACACAATAGATGTGGCTGTCACCTCATGGAGCTTATAGTCCAGCTGGGAGACTGGTAAGTGAATACAGGATCAAGGACCACTCCCCAGTAAATGAAGCAACTCTGACCTCTGCTAGGTTATGAAGAAAGAAAACAAGACATAGAGATCAAGAAGGAGAATGATTTCAGATTAGGTGGCAGAAGAGGCCTCAGGGCATTTCAGCTGGGATCTGGAGGATGCAAAGGTGCTAACCTCGACAGGAGGGTGTGAATACATGTAAAAGTTTGAGGAAAGAAAGCTGCATGTCGTCCAGTAACTGACAAAAGTTCGCGGTGCTTTACATTGGACTTTCAAGATCTGGCTTCAAACCCTGGCTCCATAACCTACCAGCTCTGTGGCCTATGTATCTCCTGAGCTCGGGGATTTTGAGGTCATAAGAGATAGTGGTTAGAGATATTGTCTTCATCTAATGGCCTTTGAGATTAGAATTCATCCATTTACATTTCACTTGACTTCTGTTTTGGATACTTATTGCTAAGTTTCCTATGCTATACAGTGACATTTTTCAGTTCTGAGGAATATAAAAATGTCTTTTACTCTCACACTGACTTTCCAAACTCTAATACTTCGACATTGCTAACTCTGTGACTTCATTTTAAGATCTTGACACGGTTCCAATTATATATTATATCTTTATTTCATTGTAGTGTTGCTTGATAGTACTGAAAAAGATACTAATACACTTGACTCTGATTTTAATATCACCCTTTGCTCTGTATTTTAATTTCTGCTGCCACTAACAAATGGTAGCCTCTGTGAATTTCTGAAACTGCCCCTTAGAGACGGAATGAAATGGATACCATTTGGAGATCACTGGAAAAGCTCAAAGCAAAATTTATTTTATTGTTCTGTTGTTTTATTGTGAGTCCCATTAGATGGTTCCTGCCCCATCCAATCTTTCTTATTTATTTATTTAAACCTTCGGTTGATGTGTAACATACAGAAAACAGTGTCATAAATTTTCACAAATTGAAGACACATATGCAAACAGCAGTGACCCAGTTAAGAGATGGAATGTTATCAACACTCCAGAAGCCCTTCTTTGACCCCTTAAGTTACAAAACCTTGTAAGGGGGACCACTATTATGACTTCTAATGTCTTACAGTAGTTTTGCCTGCCTTTGAACCTTTTATAAATGAACCCACAAAGTATGTACTCTTCTGTGTCTGACTTCTTTCACTCCACATGTTTGTCATATTCATTCACATTCTTGCCCATAGTTACAGATCACTTATTGTAGTTGCTATACAGTATTTCACTGTGGGAAAATACTACAATTTATGCATTTTATAGTGGTTGGGCGTTTAGACAGGGTTCCAGCTTGGGGCCACTACAATTAGGGCTGCTATGAATATTCTTGGACATGCCTTTTGGTGAACATGTACGTACATTTCTATTTATAACTGAGAAGGAAATAACTTGGACCACATAAATTTGAATTTTATTTGCATATTCTTTGAGCAATTAACACAAACATATGCTTTAAAATATTCAAAAGTTACAGAAGAGTGTACAATAGAAAATAGTTGTCCCTTCTACTCCTGCCCACCAACCACTCCATTCTCCTTCTGAGAAGCTTACTGTTATCCATTTCTCATGAAAACAACAACAAAAACAACAACAAAAATATATATATATATGTAGCACTGGGCACAGTGGCTCACACCTGTGGCACTTTGAGAGGCTGGGGCGGGCAGATCACTTGAGCTGAGGAGCTCGAGACCAGCCTGGCCAACATTACGAGACCCAGTCTCTACTAAAAATGCAAAAATCAGCCAGGTGTGGTGGCACATGACTGTAGTCCCAGCTACTTGGGAGGCAGAGGCACGAGAATCACTTGAATCCAGTCAGCGGAGGTTGCAGTGAGCCGTGATCGCACCACTGAACTCCAGCCTAGGCAACAGAGCGAGACTCTGTCTCAATAAATAAATAAATAAATAAATAAATAAATAAAAAATAGCTTTTTTTCTTTTTGTTTTTGGAACTATCACATTTTATCGGTTGCAATCACATCTTTATAAACACATCCTAATTGATTGAACTGCGGTCCTAATAATACTAATAAACCATGTGTGACATAGTTTACAACATACTTTTATCTACTCTCGCTATTTAATCTTCCCCCCCAAACTGAGGAGGTAAGCACAGAGTTAAGACAACCATTTAACAGATGGGATAACTAAGCCCCAGGGAAGTCGATCCTTTGCCTAAGAACATGTTGGGTTTCCAATGGCAGAATTAGGAGTAAATCCAGATTTCTGGCTAAAACTAAGTAACTAGTTTTAGTTACTTCCTGCATTAAGGAATCAGAGTTAATATCTGACAGCAACAATGTCAAAACTGACAGTGCCTGGTACGTAGAGCTGCTGTGTCTCTTGGGAGCCAAAGCCGCCCAGGGAATCTGTGCTGGACCCAAGCCTCCTTTAGCCCAAAGCTCCAGAGCTCCAATAGGGCAGAGTTCCTGGGACCCTGAAAGGAGAGGGGGAAACTCTCATGGCTCCCGACGAAAGTTGGAGATCCCATGCTCCTCTCCTGCCAGAAAGTCACTGAATCAGATAAATGTGGGTATGTGGTTTTTGCCTTTTCCCCAAAAGACAGCTTTAAAAGAATTACCTACTGATGATGACCGAGCTAACTCATCTCCACTCCCCAGCCTGTTTGTGCACTTGAGGTCTCATATTCAGAAAGTGATTCATTTCCTCTTTTTTAGTTTCCTTTCTCTCTTTTTTTTTTTCTTCTCTGAAACAAAAATGCTTTTGTTTATAATCAAAGAATTCTGGTTGCAATTTGGCCTGTCATGTTTCCACCCAAGCACTGTGGCTTGCAAGGTTTCCCAGGAACGGCTTCTGTGTTTGAAATGAAGAATATGCCATTTTAAAATTTATTCCAGGGACTTTTAGGGTGGAACTGCCCCACTTACTTGCCCTATTCCCCTCATTTTAGGAATGGTCTTTTGACTTTTTTCATAGTGTTATTTTACTTGTTATATGTAAAATGTTTATTTGGAAACAGAATGTTTGTTCCCTGGTGCTACAAAGAAATAGCACTTGAACATAAATTTAATTTTCTTACTAAGGCCATTTTTACTTTCTGCAGAAAGAGTGCCCGTCACAGATGGAACAATGGCGACAGCACATCCAAACAAAGGAGGGAAGCAATTTTTATTCCTTAAGTAGTTTGTCCCTGCTACTGTGTCCTGTCTCCATTGGCTGGAGTCAGACAGCACAGTCTAAACTAAAACCCGATTGACTAACAGTTTGAAACTTTTTTAAATAGGTAAAAGTAATGGAAAGACAAAGGAAAAGAGGAAGTTGCTTATGCCAAATAGGGAAGGGGCATAGGCTGCGAGCTGGAAGGTGCCTGTGAGCATGTCCAGCACAAATATCTTGGTTAAGGTACAAGGACATAGAATGTACTACGTGCCTGTGAGCATAACAGCTACATAGGAGTGGACCTAACAAAGAGTTATTAGCATAAAGTGAGGAGGCTTGAAGGAAGTTAGTCTTTAAAAGAAATTATTATTTTTATCATTTATGATTTATTTTTTAACAAGAAGGGAAACTTTGAAGAGGAAACTTTTTACTTTCTACATTACTGATCCAAACTTTCATATTCCTAGGAAGTCAAATGTGTCCTTGGGATTTAGTCTTCACAGTAGGCTTTCAAAATCCAGTCCAATCCTAAAATGATGAAAATACTCACCTATGATTTATTTAAGCATGTTTTAACATGTTTGATATTTATATTTAAATGTGAAATTTTGGAATTTGTTTTGATGCAGATAATGAGGTAGGAAACTGACATTAATTATTTTTTCTGAATGTATAATCAATTGTCTCAAAACCACTTATGGAGGCCAGGCGCAGTGGCTCCCGCCTGTAATCCCAGCACTTTGGGAGGCTGAGACGGGAGGATCATCTGAGGTCAGGAGTTTGAGACCGGCCTGGCCAACATGGTGAAACCCCATATCTACTATAAATATATAAATTAGCCGCGCGTGGTGGTGGGTGCCTGTAATTCCAGCTACTCAGAAGGCTGAGGTAGGAGAATTGCTTGAACCCAGGAGATGGAGGTTGCAGTGAGCAGACATTGCACCACTGCACTCCAGCCCGGGCCACAGAGCAAGACCGTGTCTCAAAAAAACAAAAACAAAAACAAAACCCACTTATGGAATAATCAGTTCATTTTGTCTTCACTGAATTGAAATGCCACCTCCATCATATACATCATTCCCACATTTTGAGGTCTGTATCTTTAGCTCTCTGCTCTGCGGAACTATTTAATACTGTGTTTATATTTGCTTTGTAATATTTTAACGGGTAGGGGTGGTTGTCTGTGGGCTTTTTACATTCCTAAAAAAGTCTTCATGGCATTCTAATTGGACTTGCATTGTGTTCATAGAATAATTGGGCAGAGGAATGTCTTCTCATTCAGAAATCCTTCTTCCATTATGTCCTTCAGGACACAACCAGGATTCTTGATTTAGGTTTTGCATACGCCTTAGTAAGCATATTGATAATTTTCATTTTTTTCAGAGATGGGTTCTTGCTCTGTTGCCCAGGCTGTAGTGTAGTGGTACCATCATAGCTCACTGCAACTTCAAACTCCTGGACTCAAGCCATCCTCTTGCCTCAGCCTCCTAAGTAGGTGGGACTACAGCTGTGAGCCACCACACCGAGCCTATACATATATATATTTTTGTTACTAATTGAATGGTGCTTTTTTAAAACATTGATTTTTCTAACCGATTATGACTGAACTATAGCCTGTTATTGCTGGACTAAAACAGACTATAAGAAGGCTGTTTTATTTTTCTTTTCTTTTTTAGAGATGGGATTTCACTATGTTGCCCAGGCTGGTCTCGAACTCCTGGGCTCAACTGGTCCTCCTCCATTACTCTCCCAAGTAGCTAGGATTACAGGCACAAGCCACTGAGCTCAGAGTCCAAGTCTGTTTAAAAAACTAATGTGGTATCGGCCAGGAGCGGTGGCTCACGCCTGTAATCCCAGCACTTTGGGAAGCCGAGGTGGGCGGATCACGAGGTCAGGAAATCGAGACCATCCTGGCTAACATGATGAAACCCCGTATCTACTAAAGATACAAAAGAACTTAGCCAGACGTGGTGGCGGGCGCCTGCAGTCCCAGCTACTTGGGAGGCTGAGGCAGGAGAATGGCGTGAACCCGGGAGGCGGAGTTTGCAGTGAGCCGAGATCGTGCCACTGCACTCCAGCATGGGCGACAGAGCGAGACTCCGTCTCAAAAACAAACAAACAAAAAAAGCTAATGTGATATCTAGCCTGATTGAAATCTCATGATTTCTAAAGTCTTTCTCATTTTTCAACTCTCCTGACAGGTGTACCAGGGTGGTGGGGCTGCTAGCTATGTTCCTTAGGCCACCTCTCTTTCTCATTCTCCCTTTCTTCTCTCTCTTACTCACTTCTCATCTGTCCCCTTCTCCATTTCGATGGTTTGGGGCATGTCCTCTTGGGCACTGGCCCCTCCCCCACCCTATCTGGGCATAAGAACAAACTGTCACTCACTTTTTCCCTTTTGCTGTGGCAATTGGATTTGATGCTAGGGCAACTGGAGAACTCTGACAACATTTAAACAGAGAAGAGACTCTGTCTTTTAAAAATAAAAATCTGGTTTGGGCCTGGTGGCTCACACCTGTGATCCCAGCACTTTGGGAGACTGAGATGGTAGGATTGCTTGAAGCCAGGAGTTTGAGACCAGCTAAGGCAACATAGCAAGATCCCACCTCTACAAGAAATAAAAGGTTAGCTGGGTGTTGTGGCACATGCTTGTAGTCCCAGCTACTCTGGAGGCGTAGGTGGGGAGGATCACGTGCGCCTAGGAGTTCGAGGCTGCAGTGAGCTATGATGGTACCACTGCTTCCATCCTCGGAACAGAGTGAGACCCTGTCGCAAATAAATAAATAAATAAATAAACAAAAATAATCAAAAACAAATTAAAGACAAAAATTGATCACTTTGAAGCCATGGAGAGAAGAGTTTTAAGAAGGGACCTGGGAACATTTGAATTAAAGAAAAGTACTCTGGCTGCAGCGAGAATAGATGGAAAAAGGGGCAGGTTTGGAAGCGGGAAGGCCAAAAAGGAGGCACCTGCAGTGGTTCAGGCCAGAGGAAGTGATGTCCTAGACTGTGGAAAGAAATGAACACAGCCCAGGGATATTCAAGATGACTTCGCCCTGATTGGCTGTGGGGTGAAAAAGAGGGAGGGGCGGAGAGGGAGACCTGGGCCTCCGGCTGGAACAACTGGAGGGATGTTGAAGATGGTCCTGGGTGTGGAAACCACGAACCTACCTGGAGGATGAAGGAGGAAGGTGCTCAGTGCGTTTCAGAAAGAAGGCCGGGGAGGTTGGATCAGATGTCCTGATCTCCCAGTGCCTTCGCAAGGTCTGCAGTTGCTCTGTTTTTATTTTTTAATTTCATTTCATTATTATTTTTTGAGACAGGTTCTTGCTCTATCACCCAGGCTCTGAAACCCCATCTCTACCAAATATACAAAAAGTAGCCGGGCATGGTGGCTCACGCCTATAGTCCCAACTACTCGGGAGGCCGAAGTGGGAGAATGGTTTGAGCCTGGGAAGCAGAGGTTGTAGTGAGCCGAGATGGAGCCATTCACTCCAGCTTGGGCAACAGAGCCATACCCCATCACAGAAAGACAGACAGATATAGATAGACAGATAGATAGATAGATAGATAGATAGATAGATAGATAGATAGATAGGATGCAGCCTCCCTTAGCTTCCAATCTATCTGCTGCAGTGAAATTATACCTCTTACTAAAGGCAGCAATCACTGATTATCTACACAGCTGGGTAATAATTCTGCATGTTAGTAGTAACACTCAAAGCTTCTGCAGACTCAAAGCATCTTCCAATTATCTGTTCCCTTCTCAACACATGTATCTTGTCTTGTTCCTGCTGGCTCTTGTAAATCATGACTATCTTTTCCCTATTCCACGGGGCAAATGCTATGGGGCAATTGTATTCGTGTGTGTATGTATTATTACTGTTTTCATTCTTTTTGCCTAAGGCTATTTATCCAGGAGGCCTAGGATTCTTTTGCCTCCTGAGGATAATAAACAGGACTTTTTATTTTTCCTTTCCCTACATAATTTATTTAAATTGTAAAACAGGCCGGTGTGGAGGCTCACGCCTGCAATCCCAGAACTTTGGGAGGCCGAGGTGGTTGGATCACTTGAGGCTAAGAGTTCGAGACCAGCCTGGCCAACATGGTGAAACCCTGTCTCTACTAAAAATACAAAAATTAGTCAGGTGTAGCGGTGCACGCCTGTAGTCCCAGCTACTCGGGAGGCTGAGACATGAGAATGGCTTGAACCAGGAGGTGGAGGTTGCAGTGAGCCGAGATCACGCCACTGTACTCTAGCCTGGGTGACAGAGCAAGACTTCGTCGCCAAAAAGAAAAAAACAAAAAAACAAAAAAACTGTAAACCATAACACTAAACCAGAAAAGCACATAAAGTATAAATGTGCAGATTGGTAATTCATTTTACATTATTTGTTACTATTAATAAATCATTATAAATTTTTTCACTTAACTGTTTTGTAAAAATATTTCCATGTCACATAATTTCACCCAAAAATTATAATCTATTTTCTATTATCTGCTGCTAATTCAGAGGTACTGTCTTTAACTAGACTGTGAGCCACTTGAGGTCAGGTATCATTTCTTAAGTGCCTTTTCATTCTCTCCATTAGTGTCTCTATGTAACCCGAGAAGCTTTTTAAAGTGAAAATACCAAGTCTGAGGAAAGGTCTGTATTTTAAATAACCTCATCAATTAGTTCTGAGGTTGTACAGGAGCTACTCTTAGACAACCATTGCTTTCTACTCTCCCCTAAGAATAAATTACATAACTAGTAGTTCTTCAGTAACTACCTAAAAATCATTTTATTATCACCAGACATTAACGGTTCTGATAAATACAGCACTTACTAAGTCTCTTCAATTAAATCTTCTAAACTAATTGGATTTATTTCTTTGCTAAAAGTCAATAATTAAGCTAATTTAAATACTCAGGCAGTACTGACAAACTCCCTTCATTTCCAGGGGTAGCTTCTGAAACATACCTCTTCCTGCTTCTCTTCTGAAATCTTTGCAGAAAAAGAACAAAAGCACAAACATGCTCAATAGCCATCATCTACAATAATCCAGAAGGCCGGGGAAAAGTTAATAACATGAGAGAATAAAATGAAGAAGAGAGACTTTGGGTGCTGAATGTACTGAATTATCCAAAGAGAAAAGTAGAAGAGGCAATGAAAAGCAAGACAGAGCCAGCCTGAGGGGGTCAACTTTTAGTACTTTTTTCTCTCCCTCAGAAGCATAAATACAACTAAGTTGTATCTAGATTTCAAAAGGAATTAAACTGAAATTAATCTGCAAGTAACAAAGAGAAAGGAGGAAGGGCGGGATGTGGTGGCTCACGCGTATAATCCCAGCACTTTAGGAGGCTAAGTGGGGAGGACTGCTTGAGCCTAGGAGTTCAAGACCAGCCTGGGCAACACGGCAAGAACCCTGTCCCTACAAAAAAAATTTTTTTTGGCCGGGGACAGTGGCTCATGCCTGTAATCTCGGCTCTTTGGGAGGCCGAGGCGGGCGGACTGCCTGAGGTCAGGAGTTTGAGACCAGCCTGTCCAACATGGCAAAACCCTGTCTCTACTAAAAATACAAAAATTAGCTGGGCGTGGTGGCAGGCACCTATAATCCCAGCTACTCGGGAGGCTGAGGCATGAGAATCCCTTGAACCCAGGAGGCGGAGGTTGCAGTGAGCCAAGATCATGCCACTGCACTCCAGCCTGGACCACAGAGGGAGAGTTCATATTTAAAAAAAAAAAAAATTTTTTTTTTTAATTAGCCAGACGTTGCGTGCACCTGTGATCCTAGCTACTTGGGAGGCTGAGGTATGAGGATAACTTGAGCCCATGAGGTTGAGGCTGCCATGAGCTATGATCTTGCCAATGCACTCCAACCTGGGTGACAGAGCAAGGCCCTGTCTCAAAATAAATAAATAAATAAATAAATAAATAAATAAATAAATAAATAAGGAGAGAGAAAGGAAGTAAGGGGGCAGGGTGGGGATGTCCAGGAGAGAAGAGAAAGAGACAAACCCCAGAGTACTACAAACGAGTGAATGGCCAAGTAAGCTGTGAGCTGTCTACTTGATTACACTATTAGGAAGCAAGAAAAATGGTGCACATGAAGACCAGCAAATAACATTTGATATAACGTAAGTGAGAAACAGAATACAGAATCTTACATGAACTGCATGCAATTATGATTTTTAGAAACACTCATTGAAGATAAGACCAGAAGTATATACCGAAATCCTTTCTTTTCTGTCTGGTTTTGAGACAGAGTCTCACTCTGTCGCCCAGGCTAGAGTGTGGTGGCACAATCATGGCTCACTGCAGCCTCAACCTCCCAGGTTTAGGTAGTTCTTCCACCTTAGCCTCCCCAGTAGCTGGACCACAGGCATGAACCATCACACTCAGCTAATTTTTGTGTTTTTGATAGAGACGGGGGTTTCGCCATGTCCCCCAGGCTGGTCTCAAACTCCTGGGCTCAAGAAATCCTCCCACCTCGGCCTCCCAAAGTGCTGGGATTACAGGCATGAGCTACTGTGCCTGGCTGAAAATTTTTTTTTTAATGTTAAGAAACATTGTATTAAATGTTTCTTAAACAATACATTTAAAACCGCAGTCAGGGTCTTGCTATTTTGCCCAGACTGGTTGGTCTCAAACTGCTGGCCTCAAGTGATCACGCCTCATCGGCCTCCCAAAGCTCTGGGATTTCAGGCACTAGCCATTACACCCCGTCTCTAAATCCTCATAATGGTTGTGTTAAGGTGCTGAGATGAAAAGAGATTAAAAAGTTTTTTTCTCTGTTTCCCACATTTTATAATGTACTTACATGTTGCACTAATAGAAATTGAATTTACTTTCAAGCTCCTTCAGGGAATTTATTGAAAACTTGCTTGGCCTTGTGAGTGGGAAGCCCAGGTATGGGCGGAGGGTGGAGTCACACCATAACTTCCAGCTAAGAATATGTAGGACACATACTTTCTTGGCTGACAGAGGTTCTAAGCCTATTCCCTCAGAAGTCCTCTTACTCCTTATCTTGTCTATACTGCGCTTGAGTATTTCAGGCTGCTTTAAATTCATTGTCAAGTATACTAAGGGCCTTATGATTTGCAAAATGTGCAATTTGGTTTTGTTTGTTTAATTGTTTTTTGAGCTGGAGTCTCGTTCTGTTGCCAGGCTGGAGTGCAATGGCACAATCTCGGTTCACTGCAACCTCTGCCTCCCAGGTTCGAGCGATTCTCCTGCCTCAGCCTCCCGAGTAGCTGGGATGACAGGCCTGCACCACCATGCTCAGCTAATTTTTGTATTTTTAGTAAAGATGGGGTTTTACCATATTGGCCAGGCTGGTCTCGAACTCCTGGCCTCAGGTGATCTGCCCACTTCGGCCTCCTAAAGTGCTAGGATTACACGCATGAGCCACCACACCCGTCCCAAATTATAAAGAGGATGACAAATGTATGTGCCAACAGCATGGGAAATGAAAATACCTAGGATGATGTAAATGTAAAAATAACTGAAGAAAAAAAAAAAGAAAAAATGTATATATAGAACTTTTTTTAAAAGGCAGTTGATACAAGGAGATGCTATGGCTTAAATCGTGTCCCCCAGAAAAGATATGTTGAAGTCCTAGACCCCCCCCCACCCAACAAATTATAAATGTGAGTTCTTTGGAGATAGGGTCTTTACATATGTAATCAAGTTAAAATGAGGTTTTACTAATTTGTGGTGAACCCTAGTCCTATGACTAATGTTTTTATAAGAGGAAATTTGGACACAGGCACACAGGGGAGAAGGTCATGTGAAGACAGGCAGAGAGTGCAGTGATGCACCTACAAGTTAAGGAATGCAGGCCGGACACGGTGGCTCACGCCTGTAATCTCAGCACTTTGGGAGGTCGAGGTAGGGGGGATCTCCTGAGGTCAGGAGTTCGAGACCAGCCTGGCCAAAATGGTGAAACCCCACCTCTACTAAAAATATAAGAATTAGCCAGGTGTAGTGGCAGGTACCTGTAATCCCAGCTACTCAGGAGGCTGAGGCAGGAGAATCGCTTGAACCCAGGAGGCAGAGGTTGCAGTGAGCCGAGATAGTGCCACTGCACTCCAGCCTGGGTGACAGAGCGAGACTCCATCTAAAAAAAAAGAAAAGAAAAGAAATGCCGGGACTGCAGGCACCCACCAGAAGCTAGGAGAGGGAGGGAAGGATTCTCCCCTGGAGGCTTCAGAAAGAGCATGCCCTGAAGGCACCTTGATTTTGGACTTCTGGAGTGCAGTGGCATGATCTTGGCTCACTGCAACCTGATCTCGGCTCACTGCAACATCTGCCTCCTGGGTTCAAGTGATTCTCCTACCTCAGCCTCCCAAGTAGCCGGGACTACAGGCGTGCACCACCGCCTGGCTAATTTTTGTATTTTCAGTAGAGACAGGGTTTCACCATGTTGGTCAGGCTGGTTTCGAACTCCTGATTTTAAGTGATCTGCCCACCTCGGCCCCCCAAAGTGCTGGGATCATAGGCACGAGCCACCGTGCCTGGCCTGAGAGAATACATTTCTATTGTTTTAAACCACCCAGTCTGTGGTACTTTGTTACAGCAGCCCTAGGAAGCTAGCATAGGATAAAATGTCAATTATAATGATGCTGAAACAAAAAATCAAGACATGTTCTACCACAATGTGGTTCTACCCTAGTCAGGAAATATGGGAGTTTTAATAAGATAGGTTGAAACAGTGACTGTCTTTGCTGACACTGCCATTTTATACTAGAATTACCACAATATTTTTACAAGTCACACTGTCTTGGGTCTTAGCTTGGTTAATCTACTCACACTGCAGTCAGAGTGACTTTCTAGAGTTTTATTACATCAACTACCTGCTAAAAACCTTCTGTAATTCCCTATTGCCCCCACGATAATATCCAAACTCCTCCAGTGGCTTTTCTCCCCATCACTTCTCACCACTCCTGACCTCACACTGCTGTCAGTCTCTGCCGAGAATGTCCTTCTTCCCTTTGGTTGGTGTGATTGCTTGGCCGACTTCTATTCGAGCCTCAGGTCCCTATGTTGATGCCCTTTCCTACTGATTGCTCTCCCAGGCAGCCCTGTAATCTGCTCTAATTTCCCTGGCTCAGGACTGACACACATCTTATTGCACCTGCTGGGTTACTCTCTATATCACCCTCTGGCCTTGCTACTCAAAGTTGTCCACAGAGCAGAAGCATCAACATCGTGACAGTTCACGAAAGATGCAGAATCTCAGGTCCAAGCAGAGCTCCAGAATCAGATGCACATTTTAAGAAGATACTCAAGTGATTCTTATGCACATGAAATTTCTGAGTTACTGGTCTCTCCACCAAAGATTGCATAGGGGCAGGGAGCATTGCCTTCCCTTGGCCTAGCTCAATGTCTGTCTTTTTTTTTTGTTTTTTTTTGAGACGGAGTCTCGCTCTGTCGCCCAGGCTGGAGTGCAGTGGCGCGATCTCAGGTCACTGCAAGCTCCGCCTCCCGGGTTCACGCCATTCTCCTGCCTCAGCCTCCTGAGTAGCTGGGACTACAGGCACCCGCCACCATGCCCGGATAATTTTTTGTATTTTTAGTAGAGACGGGGTTTCACCGTGTTAGCCAGGATGGTCTCGATCTCCTGACCTCATGATCTGCCCGCCTTGGCCTCTGAAAGTGCTGGGATTACAGACGTGAGCCACCGCGCCCGGCCTGTTTTTTTTTTTTTTTTTTTTTTGAGATGAGTTTTGCTCTTGTTGCCTAGGCTGGAGTGCAATGGTGTAATCTCGGCTCACTGCAACCTCCACCTCCCGTGTTCAAACAGTTCTCCTGCCTCAGCCTCCTGAGTAGCTGGGATAACAGGCATGTGCCACCACGCCCAGCTAATTTTGTATTTTTAGTAGAGATGGGTTTTCACCATGTTGGTCAGGCTGGTCTCGAACTCCTGACCTCAGGTGATCCACCCACCTCGGCCTCCCAAAGTGCTGGGATTACAAGCGTGAGCCACACTGTGCCTGGCCTCAGTGTCTGTCTTAAAGAGAGATTTTTTTTTTTTTTTTGAGACAGAGTCTCACTCTGTTGCCCAGGCTGGAGTGCAGTGGCGCCATCTCGGCTCACTGCAACCTCCGCCTGGGTTCAAGCGATTCTCCTGTCTCAGTCCAGCCTCCTGAGTAGCTGGGATTACAGGATTACAGGCATGCACCACCACGCCCGGCTAATTTTTGTATTTTTAGTAGAGATGGGGTTTTGCCACATTGGCCAGGCTGGCAGACTCCTGACCTCAAGTGATCTGCCTGCCTCGGCTTCCCAAAGCGCTGGGATTACAGGCGTGAGAGATATAATCCATCAAATACTCTGGCTAATTTCCTGTTAACAAACATGCTATACAGGAAAACAACAACAACAAACACTTTTATTAGAACAAACACAATCGATCTACAGCCTGTATATTTTATCCCAGGCTGACTCTACATATGCCTCATTTATATCTCATGTCCTCTTGTTTAACTGTCAAATCCTATTTTCTGCAAGAAATATATGAATGACTATTCTATTACTAATCATGCTTATTTTGTTTTGTCATTGTGGTTCATATATATATATAGATACGTATACATTTTTCTTTTTTTAAACACTGACATCGAAATGATCAGATGTGCACTGTCATTTTTGAACTTGTTTCACGAGAAAGGATTATCTAATAGTTTTTTAAAATGTCATTTTCACCAGTCCTACTTAAAAAAAAATAGTAGGGAATTCTAACGCTTCATGATACATTTTTATTAATTATTTCGTTTGGTCAAATATCTCCATGTTTATATTTGTTGCAAGCCCAACATTAAATGATACCTCCCTTTTCCAGAGGATATACAGTTAAAAGAAGCTATTCACTCTGCTTCTAGCTTTTTTTTTTTTTTTTGAGACAGGGTTCTCCCTTTGTCGCTCAAGCTAGAGTGGAGTGGCTCGATCATAGCTCACTGCAACCTCCTCCTCCTTGGCTCAAGCAATCCTCCCACCTCAGCCTCCTGAGTAGCTGACACTACAGCTTATACTTGTATTATCTGCAGAGACAGGGTTTCACCATGTTACCCAGGTTGGTCATCAACTCCTGGACTCAAGCGATCCCCCAGCCTCCACCTCCCACAGTGCTGAGATTACAGGCGTGAGCCACTATGCCTGGCCAATTCTCTTTAGAGAATGTTAGATCTGCCAAAGAGTTTATGGACCATCTCAAATCCTAAATCTTTAAAAGTCCTCTATAAACCAGCTGAATCTGACCCATGTCCAAAACCCACCTCGCCCGACTTCTTTCCGCTCTTTTCCTCCTTGCAAGCTGAATTTGCAATTCCCTAAAAAACAGAGTTGCCTAAGGTTTGTAGCCAGTGTGAGTCACATGACCAATTCTTTTCTAATGAAAATGTTAGAGGATGGGATTAACATACCTTTTATAGGTAAACAATGTTGTGATTCACTTTTTTTTTTTTTTTTTGGTGGTTGTTGAGTATATTCTCTGCATTTCAGGGTGCGTATTTGAACGACAGAAATTTAATAATTTATGCAACCAAAAAGTTAACGGTGTTCCTTATGTATTAGGTAAGTCAAAATGAGCCTGGAGTGGTTTTGAATTACCACTTGGGGATAATAGATTTCAAGGCAGCATCTCCAGTGTGCTTCCTGCGTCTTGTGATGATTCCTAAATTCTGTCCACTTTTACTCGTTTGTATATACCCCATTCAAAAACAGCCAACATCAGCCTCGAAACTATGTTGTTTAAACTCAAGAGCAGTTTTGTTCCATGCTTATATTGTTGTCCATACCTTCAGCAGGACCAAGCCATAAATAAATACTTGCTGGTTTGTGTTGACTGAATGATTTAAGATAAATAAACAACCTCAAATGCCTACTGAGGCCAGATAATGTAAATGGGAAAAGCAAACAGCGGGGAGTGTGGTGAACAGGAGCACCCTAGGTTCCTCTAAAGGGTGTGGCTTCGACCACACTTCAAACCTAGTTTGCACTTTTGGAAAATGGATCCCACGTTGTCAGAGATTCTGGTTTTCCAAGAGATGCTGGAATCTGGGTTTTTCATGCAATCCCTCAATGTTTAAAATGTTGGTAATCAATTCAAATTTTTACAATACATTTTGAAGGCCAATACTGTAAACCAAACTAAGCACTTCTAGGGAGCCCATGCAACGAATTTGCAATCTTTTCATTAAACAGCACAGCTAATATGAAAACACGCTTTTTTTTTCTTTTTCTTTTTTGAGACAGAGTCTTATTCCGTCACCCAGGCTGGAATGCAGTGGCGCGATCTCGGCTCACTGCAACCTCCGCCTCCCAGGTTCAAGCGATTCTCGTGCCTCAGCCGCCCAAGCAACTGGGACGACAGGCGTGCACCACCAAGGCCGGCTAATCTTTTGTATTTCAGTAGAGACGGGGTTTCACCATATTGGCAAGGCTGGTCTCGAACTCCTGGCCTCAAACGAACCACCCGCCTCGGCCTCCCAAAGAGCTGGGATTACAGGCGTGAGCCACCGCGTTCGGCGAAAACACACATTTTCTAAGAAACTGATTGCTGGGAAGGCTACAGTGGGTAAGAGCTCTTGCTCTCTGTGGGCCTGCCTGGTTCGGAATCAGGGCAGTGCTCTCTGCCTAAGTGAACTTGGGCAATTTTCTACAAACCTCAGTTTCTGCACCCGTAAAGTAGCAACGGTTGTTCTGAGGACGGAATGAGAAAATGCATGTCAAAGTCCTTAGCATGAAGCGGCTCTCAGTAACCGTTAACCACTCCTAATTACTCCTCTTCATAATAGTAGAATTACTCATGGCCTCGCCAAACATTATGCAAATAATTTCACGTTCCCAGGTAGCTCAGCCCTCCCACAAAAGATTTGAACGTTTTCCATATGATAACGATCCACTCGTTTTTGCTAAACATCCACAATGGGCGATATCGACCTATCTGGAAGGACACACACAAATCCCTTCCCAACTCAAACACGATGTTCTTTCTGGCTGGCACCAGGGCTTCTGTTTGCAGTGACTTCCTGGGACCCGGAGCTTTCTCACAGGGCCTCTGGCATCTCCTCTGCGGTGATTAAGGTTCTTCTCATTTCCCTTCCCTGTTACTGCCCATACTCTTCAAGTTCGAAAAGTTTCCTTTTCCAATCTCTTTTCTGGGCTTGTTTACCCAAGTCTCTAATTGCCAAGGCCTCTGGTCTCTCCCCACCCACAACGTTCCTCCTGGTTAAACCCTTCCCCTCCCGCCACTCCCAGCTCCCGCCACTCCCAGCTCCCGCCACCACTGCCGCTGACGACGTCCAGCGTTTGCAGATGGTCAAAGCCGACCCCCTTCTCCTCCCACCTCGTTTTGTAAGGAAGTAATTTCGGGGCCGAGCGCTCTGCGCCCCCCGCCGCGGGTCGGCGCCGCCGCGGGTCGGGAGCGTGTCCGGGCAGGTCGCGCTCAGCGGGGTACTTCCCCGCCCGCGTCCCGCGTCCGCTCCCATAACGCCGTCTGCGGGGCGGGGACAGGGGCGGGGACAGGGGCGGGCCGGGCGTCTAGTTTCCCTACGTCACCAGGGAAGTTCTCACTGGACAAAAGCGTGGTCTCTGGCGCGGGGATCTCAGAGTTTCCCGGGCACTCACCGTGTGTAGTTGGCATCTCCGCGCGTCCGGACACCCGATCCCAGCATCCCTGCCTGCAGGACTGTTCGTGTTCAGCTCGCGTCCTGCAGCTGTCCGAGGTGCTCCAGTTGGAGGCTGAGGTTCCCGGGCTCTGTAGCTGAGTGGGCGGCGGCACCGGCGGAGATGCCTGGGAAGAAGGCGCGCAAGAACGCTCAACCGAGCCCCGCGCGGGCTCCAGCAGGTACCGACCCGCTGGGGCCAGCGAAGACCCAGGCCGGGCGGGGTCGGGGCCGGGGTCGAGGTCTCGGCTGGGGCGGGCTCAGCTCGCCGGGGCTCAAGCACAGACTGCACGGGGGTCAAGGTCGGGCCAGGTCTGTGCCCTGGCGCGAGCCTTAGGGGCGCCTCCAGAAAGTTCTTCGGGGTTTTTCCCCAGGACCGGCGGGTACGGCGGGTACGGCGAGGGACCAAGCCGGATTTGCGATTGGGATGCAGCTGCGTTTCACCAGGGGCAAAAAGCTCCTTTCCTCCTCTCTTTCCTCCTCGCCACTTGCCCTTCCCCGGGGCCACGAGGAACAAGTGCAAGTGTAGGCGGCTGTCTCTAGGAGAAAGTCATTGTCGCGGCAGAAGGGGCAGGAGAGAGCCCCGGGGACCGCCTGGACTCCCAGCGCTTCCAGAGACGGCCCCACAAGGGCCCCTGTGTTCAGGAGCCTAGAAAATCTTGTAACATTTAAATAATCGATATTGTGGGAGGTGGGGATAGGAGAATAGGAGTTAGTCCGCTCCTTTTTTTCATTCATTCATTCGCACTCCCCACCCCGATACATACAGCTCCATCGTAAGTTTTCAGGCCAGCGCCCCGGCCCCATGCTTTTTCTAAATCTAAACAGAGAACCCAGTCACTGCCCAGAGCCCGAAGTCTGTGTGGGCCATACTGCTGTTGCATCAGACGATTATACGCCCCCCCCACCTTTTAAGTTACTTTCATTTTATAGAGCTCCTGGGGCGTGCGAAGGAAGTGGTGCATTGCAAATGTGACCATGCCTAAGTTGGTAACAGGCTGCTGTCTCTGGCGCTTGTGTGGGATGGAAAAAGCTTTGTCTACCTTTTGTGATGTCTTAGGATTCTGACCTTGTTTCTTTCTGAAGGATCTTACTTATGCATAGCACTTTCTGGTCCGACTTAATTCCCAAGAACAGGAAGCAGCACAAAGTCCCTCTTAAACTTGATTTGATTGATACTAATACATTTATAGGTGTGTAATGCAATTTTTAAAAAATTAAGGAAATGACCGGGAAGTATTTTCTGCCTTGTTTTCTACATTTTTGGTGAAAGGGATAACTTTTCCACTTAGAATTCAGGGCTTCCAGTGTCGGACGCTGAATGGTATTTGGTTTTTCTTTTAGAACTGTATATTAATATATCTCAATCTCTGTAGACAACATGTCTATGTAAATACTTCCCAACATATTTGATCTTGTAGCCCATAAAGAATAACACCTTAAGGGATTTATTAGGTCTCTTGGTGTAGGAGTTAGGAAAGATTTCACTCACTTCTTGTAGAGAGAAATTGGTTGAAATATAGGTTTAAGATTTTGCTTTACTATATATTGACAGCTTTGATTTATTTTGAGCCTAAATACGGTATTTTCAGGGTCGATTTATAAAATAGACCAGATTTTAATTTGTAATCATGATTTTTTAATGTTTGTAATCATGAAGTGTACCCGAAAGACCTCAAGCTGCTCTTTGAAATATTCAAGAAAATTGAAATTATAGTCAGTATAGATACGATATTATAGTCAGTATAGTGTTAACTGCACTTACTGAAAAAAAGTGTACTTGGAAATTATAAGCATCATTTTTCTTAATATTCAGTTAGAATAACTCAATTCCAAAAAGTAGTAAACATGTGAATTAAACATTGCTTATTTTCTGCTCCTCTCATTTCCATAAAGGCAATGGATTGGTACATAATGGGGTTATAGGAAGAAGTGGGTTTACATTAAAATAGAAATGTTTAAATTATTTTAGAGAATGTGGACTTAATTTTAGAATAAGATTTTATGAGTCTTTTATGAAAAAATATCAGCGTTTTTTAACGAGAAAAAGAATACCTCTAGATTTGCCTATATAATGAGAGTATAACCTAAGCTGTAAATTATTGCCATTTGAAAATCAAATCCTACTTGAAAGCCACACAGAACTTGACTTCTGTTTCCCAGCCAACCTTAAATGAAGAGAAAAAGATGACATCATCTAAGGCTGGTGACTTATGCTACTCTTTGTAGCATTGCTTTTAAAATAAACAAAGTGGTTTTACAATGTTCTCACATCCCAAAGAATGATAATGCTACTCTTTGTGGTATTTGACATATTTGAAAGTAAGGTAACACTTGCCTCATCCAGGATGCGTTTTTTAAAAACTCAAAGTAAATGTCTTTATTCTTACCTTAACGATTGCTTTCGGTGAGTCACAATGTGTGTAAGTGTGTGTGTGTGTCACATTTGGAAAACAGGTGCACATAAAGCCAAAGTTAAGAGAAATGCTTCCTGGGATACTCAATTTGTCACTAGTGTGGGCGTATTAGGTTTTGCTGGTTACAGTCTGTAATATCATCAATGTTCATGTCCATGTTTTGCTTTCCTTCTCAGAGCTGGAAGTCGAGTGTGCTACTCAACTCAGGAGATTTGGAGACAAACTGAACTTCCGGCAGAAACTTCTGAATCTGATATCCAAACTCTTCTGCTCAGGAACCTGACTGCATCAAAAACTTGCATGAGGGGACTCCTTCAAAAGAGTTTTCTCAGGAGGTGCACGTTTCATCAATTTGAAGAAAGACTGCATTGTAATTGAGAGGAATGTGAAGGTGCATTCATGGGTGCCCTTGGAAACGGAAGATGGAATACATCAAAGTGAATTTCTGTTCAAGTTTTCCCAGATTATCATTCTTTGGGATGAGAGAACATTATAAAACCACTTTGTTTATTTTAAAGCAAGAATGGAAGACCCTTGAAAATAAAGAAGTAATTATTGACACATTTCTTTTTTACTTAGAGAATCGTTCTAGTGTTTTTGCCGAAGATTACCGCTGGCCTACTGTGAAGGGAGATGACCTGTGATTAGACTGGGCGGCTGGGGAGAAACAGTTCAGTGCATTGTTGTTGTTGCTGTTTTTGGTGTTTTGCTTTTCAGTGCCAACTCAGCACATTGTATATGATTCGGTTTATACATATTACCTTGTTATAATGAAAAAACTCATTCTGAGAACACTGAAATGTTATACTCAGTGTTGATTTCTTCGGTCACTACACAACGTAAAATCATTTGTTTCTTTTGACTCAAATTGTATTGCTTCTGTTCAGATGATCTTTCATTCAATGTGTTCCTGTTGGGCGTTACTAGAAACTATGGAAAACTGGAAAATAACTTTGAAAAAATTGGATAAAGTATAGGAGGGTTACTTGGGGCCAGTAAATCAGTAGACTGAACATTCAATATAATAAAAGAACATGGGGATTTTGTATAACCAGGGATAATAAAAAGAAAAAAGAAGTTAATTTTTAATTGATGTTTTTGAAACTTAGTAGAACAAATATTCAGAAGTAACTTGATAAGATATGAATGTTTCTAAAGAAGTTTCTAAAGGTTCGGAAAATGCTCCTTGTCACATTAGTGTGCATCCTACAAAAAGTGATCTCTTAATGTAAATTAAGAATATTTTCATAATTGGAATATACTTTTCTTAAAAAAAAGGAACAGTTAGTTCTCATCTAGAATGAAAGTTCCATATATGCATTGGTGAATATATATGTATACACATACTTACATACTTATATGGGTATCTGTATAGATAATTTGTATTAGAGTATTATATAGCTTCTTAGTAGGGTCTCAAGTAAGTTTCATTTTTTTTATCTGGGCTATATACAGTCCTCAAATAAATAATGTCTTGATTTTATTTCAGCAGGAATAATTTTATTTATTTTGCCTATTTATAATTAAAGTATTTTTCTTTAGTTTGAAAATGTGTATTAAAGTTACATTTTTGAGTTACAAGAGTCTTATAACTACTTGAATTTTTAGTTAAAATGTCTTAATGTAGGTTGTAGTCACTTTAGATGGAAAATTACCTCACATCTGTTTTCTTCAGTATTACTTAAGATTGTTTATTTAGTGGTAGAGAGTTTTTTTTTTCAGCCTAGAGGCAGCTATTTTACCATCTGGTATTTATGGTCTAATTTGTATTTAAACATATGCACACATATAAAAGTTGATACTGTGGCAGTAAACTATTAAAAGTTTTCACTGTTCTTTTCTGTGTGTTAATTTTGTCTTCATCTTGTAAGCTACTAATTACTAAGTGTTCATTATCAAGCCAAAGTATTTTAACTGATTTCCATCAGCAGACATCCTCTGACCTTCTGACCACACTGTCTCCTCCCAGTAGTTGGAGTAGAAAATATAGGGGAGTTTGCATGATTTCTGCTCTCAAGGGACTTACACTTTAATTGGGAGGGGAAATAGTGAAAAATAGGAAATGAATGCCCAACATAGGTCCTTTTTTTTTTTTTTTCTGAGACAGAGTCTTGCTCTGTCGCCCAGGCTGGAGTGCATTGGCACAATTTTGGCTCACTGCAACCTCTGCCTCCTGGGTCTAAGTGATTCTCGTGCTAAAGCCTCCCCCACACGCCACCACACTGGGTAATTTTTGTGTTTTTAGTAGAGACGGGGATTTCACCATGTTGGCCAGGCTGGTCTTGAACTCCTGGCCTCAAGTCATCTGCCCGCCTCGGCCTCCCAAAGTGCTGGGATTACAGCCTATACAGATTCATGATCTAATTAGAGGTGTTTTGTGAGCTGGCATCCTTGACTGCTCCTGGGTCTGTCTGGCAAGAGGAGCTGCAGTGCAGTTTCCTTTTTGGTGACCTCACGCTTCTTCCTCTGCTTCCAGCCGTAGAGTAGCAAAGATTGCTTCATCTGAGGTTAGTCATGTGCAAAAGTAGGTGTAACTCAATGGCCTTCCTGTTTGAGTGTGAGAACTAAAAGATACCCCTAGTTTTTAGCTTCAATCTGGTAGCCACATCTTCACCCCACCTCTGCCAAGGGAAAGAGTCAGCTGACACCTTAGAATGTAAATTGCCTTCCTAACATGGGAAACGTGAGGGAAGAAGGAGGAGTTACTAGAGGAAAAGAAGAACCAGAGAGCTGGAGGATGCAGGGTTATGGGCAAGATACATAACAATCTGGAGGGAGAGGCTTTTCTCTGGGAAAGTGGGGTGGAGGTGGGAGCTTGGCTTCAGAAAGGGTGGGGACAAACTACATGATTTGATTTGAGAATCACTGGAAGAGTAACTCCTGTCTCTGAGCCTGCTCGCATAGCCAGAATTGTTTTGCTAAAAGTGCACCTTATTAGTTCTCGCCACCACTAGAAAACAAGGAAAAAAAGTGTACCTCAGGCTCTTCTTTTATATAAAGAGTAGCACATGAAGGCTTAGGCACAGATTCACAATCTTCAGATATTAGAGCTATATATTCTTTGAGAACCATATTTTAATGTTAAAAAATGTCCAAGATGTTCAGGCAATTCTAATTATATCTGTTGACTGACAAAAACTGCTAGCTTTTAAATTTGCATTTATATTATAAAAGAAAATGTATCTATCTGTGAATAAGTTGTTCTTCACTTTAAAGAACTGTGTGCTGTGATTTGGGTTTTGGAATCCATTGCAATAACTCTACAAACTCCTCCCTGCCCCACTTCCTCTCAATCACGGAGCAGAAACCACCTAAAGGGTCAAAAATCCTGTAAATCTCATTGTCAATCGTCAAAGGGGACGATCCATCAGGAAGAGAACAAACACCTTAAAAATAGAATAGTGACTGGAAGTGCTGCGGTACAAGGAGTATCCCACTTTAGAATCTTGAAGGTGGACTTTCAAGGCAAAATCATGAATGAGCTGTGTGACCTTGGGCAAGACAACCTCTCTGAGCCACAGTTAATCTCTGAAATTGAGACTTAGATCATCTTTAAGGTCCCCTGAAGTTTGAATCATAAAATGGGATGGCAAAGGAGTCTGAAGGTCTCCCACCATAGTTCCAAGTCTGTCGGCCCCCACTCCTGAGCTCATTTCAGACACTAAGAGGAAAGTTAAGGGTTTGCAAAAAGAAGCAGGGGAGTGGGATTTTAAAAGACCCCCCCCCCCAAATTTCTGTTTTCTGGATTCTTCCCCCAAACATTGATTCTAAATCTTAGAGGAGGTTGAGTGGGAACCTCTTGGACTTGTATTTTCTTAGAAAGGGGAGTTTGCTATGCATGCAAGCTTTCCCAGTGATTGTATCACTGCCAGAATTCCTTCTTATGTGGAGCTGAAAGTAGATAGGGTCACTTGATAGACATACCCTGCGGTGTCATCACGTGAATCTTCTCAAGTAATAGTTCATGGTTAAAGAGCAAAACATTTGTCAATACTGCCCAGGCACTAACTTTAGTTTCTCTTTTAAAAACTTTCAGAAATCTGTTTAGCCAATTCAGGGTGAAACATTCATGCTCACGATTTATTCCCTTATGGTTTTCTTCCAAATATACCATTCTTCAAATCACCAGAGAAACAGGAGAGTTGGTAAGAGTTATAGATGGGGATTTTGGATTCTTTAATTTATCAAGTAATTAACCACATGCTCTGGGCACCTCCCAACCACCCCCCGCCCTGATACAGTCCATGTAATCTATGCTGTCTGCCATTAGACATTGCTCAGTGCGAGAAGCCTCAGCTTGGATTTACACTGTGCAATAAGATAGAATAGAACAACATAGAATGTGCAAATAACTCCTTGATATTTCTTGTGTTTTAGGAAAATGCCTCTATTGTTCTTCTCATGCTCTCTCACTATGATCTCTAGCAGAGCCTATGACATTTGCCCATTTCCAAATTCACATCTTTACTCAGCCATTTTCAAAACGACTATGTCCCTCTCCCACAATTGTCATTGTCATTGCCTCTGGCTTCAGAATTGTCATTTCGCCACTTTGTGCAACTCTGGATAAATATTTGATCTCTGTTTTCTTATAAACTGGTCTAAAATATATCTATTTCAAAGCATCATTGAAAATCAAATGAGATGAGATGAATATAGTGCCTGGCTCACAGTCAGTGTCCAGTAAGTGTGAGTTAACTTTCCCGACAAGATGGAGGGAGGGTTAGAGGTTAGCTTTCCTACAAAGCTATGGAAGATCTTACCCAATTAAGGTTGTTAGACTGAAATGAAACCTTTCAAAGGAAAGACGTTTGAAACGTTTCAAATGAAACCTTTCAAAGGAAAGCAGTGGTGGAGCTGGAGGGGAAGTGGCAGTTTTTCCCTTGATGAGGTCATCTGCTTTTAATTTATAAACTCTTAGTAATGGTAAACCGTTTTTTTTTCTTCACCTGGTATACAACAGCTTTCACAAGCACTATTGAATTGTCCAAAGCCCCTTGCATGTATTCATATAAAAATTCAGGTCCTGATTTACATACATTTCAAGAAGTAGAAAGAAAGTTCCGGTCTAGTTATTTTTGACTGGGGTAAGGCTAGATTTGGGTACAGTAATTTTTCAAAAGGGAATCTTGAAATGCTCTCTCTGAGATAAGACAAAAAAAAAGTGTTAATTTGGAAAACACAGGTCAAACCCCAGCTGCCTTTGTTTTTGGCTTTATGGAGTCAGTTGCACACATTCACAGGGGTGCAACACTGCTACGTTAACACTATACTCACATGACTCATATATACTTATATATACATGTATGTACGTATATACACATATGAGTATATACTAATAGAACAAAACTTCCACTAGATAAATACTACTCACTGACAAACCCATCATGTGCCAAATACTTTAGAAACATAACTTTATTAATCCATGTGGTGCTCAGACACTCCTATTCGGAAGGTATGATTATCTTTTTCATTCTAGGAAGCAGCCTCAGAGAATCAGCAGTGTCCTCAAAGTCCCAAAGTAGTCGATTGGCAAATGAGGAAAAGTCACAGGATTTGAACTTGGGCTTTTCTTTCTTTTTTCTTTTTTTTTTCTTTTTTGAGACAATCTAGCTCTATTGCCCAGGCTGGAGTGCAGTGGTGCAATCTCAGCTCATTGCAGCCTCCATCTCCTTGGTTCAAGCGATTCTCGTGCCTCAGCCTCCTGAGTAGCTGGGATTATAGGCTCACACCACCACGCCTGGCTAATTTTTGCATTTTTAGTAGAGACAGGGCTTTGCCATGTTGGCCAGGCTGGTCTTGAACTCCTGACCTCAAGTGATCCGCTCTCCTCGGCCTTCCAAAGTGCTGGGATTACAGGTGTGAGCCACCTCGCCCGGCCTGAACTTGTGTCTTTCTGACCTCAAAATTCTTTTATCTTCCTACCACAACGCGACTGCCTCCCAGCGTGGGGCTGGAGGCAGGATCCCCGTCCCAGAGCAATGCTAGTTTGTTTTCCATCCTGAGTCTCATTAATTACAACCAAGGTTTACACCTCTGGGTGTTCCGAGGAAGGCTGATGATTAAGCCAGCTGATAGGCAAAAAAAAGACTGATCATTGCAGCCCCTATTTGCACTCATCTGGTATAGGGGCTTTCCAATCTGCAGCAATAAATGAGACTAACCCTATAAACTGTCTCAGGTTAATCCAAGAAGGTAGGTAGAGCAAGCCAGTCAGGCACAGTCAGGTGGCATCTCACTCCCGGAGGGATCTTGTGGTGGAGGAGAACAGAATTAATTCTGAAAGAAACAGCATTCATGGGCTCGCTTTTTACCAACTTAAGCCAAAACAGCACCTACTGAGACGGACCTGCAGGAGCTATTTGTAAATGGAAAGAAAAGTATTAAAAGAAGCCGTCAAAACAGCAACGGGTGTGTTTTTTCGGCTCCCCTGCAGTATCCACCCTATTTCAGCAAGTCTAGGCAGAAGTCAGGAAGGAAGATTAAATGGCTGCCACTACTTTAAAAAAAATCAAACAACAGAGAACATCTAGACTAACCAGTGTATGTTTGTGATGATTCATTCTGGACAAGTGTTGGGAACCCATCAGAAATCAACGGGTGGTTATATCGTGAAATCCTCTGGTTTTAGAAAGCCTGCATTTGTAGTAAGAGATTCCCAAATGCTGTCTTCAAGAAATACGCATTTATTGATTCATCAGGAAAACACTCCCCTTTTCCTATCTGAACAAAAATGACAATACAGCGCTGGCCACTGAAGTGAGAAAACAGCTCCTTCAGCCCTTTCAAAATCTTTACTGATGTTATATTAAAATAAACAGGTTTCTGAGAACTAGAAAGTCAAGACTAGAACTTTAACTTTCAAAATGTCATTATAGAGGAATAGAAGGAAGTCAGGCTAATAACTTTTCAATGACTCCTGAGCTACCCTGCTATTCAGAGACCTTTCCCGGAGTCTTGGAAAGCACCTAGTCTGGATGATAAATCTAGACTTTTTTTCTGAACTTTAAATTAACGTAAACAAGGACAAAGGGCAGTAACAAGGCGTCAGTGTGTTACTTACCAACCATACTATTTTTAGAATAAGTTGGCTAACTTAAAAAGTATGTATACTTACTTAAAACACACTTTCCTGTAAGTTTCAACCCACGTTATCTTACACTTACCCTGAAATTTTTTCTTTAAAAATATTGTGGGAGGCCACAGATATTGGCCCTTTTCTTTATGAAAGCATTTTATTGTTTCATCCTTAATGAATATGGAAATTTCTTTGGTACCGGCTTGCCTCTGACTGTCCCGCTTTTAAAACTGAAAGTCCCTTGGCCAGATGCCTGTGGCTGATACCTGAAATCCCAACATTTTGGAAGGCCAAGGCAGGAGGATCACTAGAGCCCAGGAGTTCACGACCAGCCTGGGCAACGTGGTGAAACTCTGTCTCTACTAAAAATCCAAAAATTAGCCAGGCGTGGTGGCACGTGCCTGTAATCCCAGCTACTTGGGAGGCTGAGGCACCAGAATTGATTGAACCAGGGAGGCAGAGGTTGCAGTGAGCAGAGACCGAGCCACTGTACTTCAGCCTGGGTGACAGAGCGAAATTCTGTCTCAAAAATAAATAAAATAAATAAAAACAGGCTGGGTGTTGTGGCTCACGCCTGTAATCCCAAAACTTTGGGAGGCTGAGGTGGGTGGATCACCTGAGGTCGGGAGTTTGAGACCAGCCTGGCCAACATGGTGAAACCCTGTCTCTACTGAAAATACAAAAATTAGCCAGGCATGTGGTGCTGCACCTGTGGTCCCAGCTACTCGGGAGGCTGAGGAAGGAGAATTGCTTGAACCCGGGAGGTGGAGGTTGCAGTGAGCCGAGATCGTGCCACTGCACTCCAGCCTGGGAGACAGAGGGAGATTTCATCTCATAAAATAAAATAAATAAAAATATATATATAAAAAAAACTGAAAGTACCATGTCCTGGAAATGCTCTCATTTCCAGGCAAATCAAGTGAGTCACCCTTGTAAGGTTGTAATGTGATTCCATGTGAAACGTTAGTAGATTTAACCCTAAGAATCTACATCTAAGTAGCTATATCCTACTAACTTTTTTTTTTTTTGAGACAAGGTCTTGCTCTGTTACCCAGGATGGAGTGCAGTGGCACAATCTCAGCTCACTGTAACCTCTAGACTCTTGGGTTCAAGGGATTCTCCTGCCTCTGCTTCTCTAGTAACTGGGATTACAGGTGCGTCCCGGCACACCCAGCTAATTTTTGTATTTTAAGTAGAGATGGGGTTTCACCACGTTGGCCAAGCTGGTCTCAAACTCCTGACCTCTGCCCATTTCGGCCTCCCACAGTGCTGGGATACAAGCATAAGCCACCACACCCGGGCCCCCACTTACTTTTTTTCACCACTTTTGACTCAGTTTTGAGAAGGATATAATCATTATTCCCTGCCTATCACAAGTTTCACTAGAGGATTAAAAGATACCATGGAGTCAAAACTCTCAGCCCAGGGCATGACTGTTTATAAGCCACCAGTAAATGGCTGAAAAAAAATACTTTGTAGGATTACAGAGAGTTTACAAAAGCCAAATGTTATCATAGTTGTTGGAATTATTAAGTACAAAATGAGTGAAGAGATAAAGACATTCCTCCTGATTTATGGACTTTACAGTTGAGAAGACAGATGAACACAACCAGATGAAATATCTGCAAATAGTTCAGAACTTAAAGTTATAAGCCAAGAAAGTATTCACTAGAAAAAAGAAAAAATGGCTGGGTGCAGTGACTCACTGCTGCAGTCCCAGCACTTTCAGAGGCCAAGGTTGGGGGATCGCTAGAGCCCAGGAGTTTAAGACCAGCTTGGGCAACACGAGGAAACCTTGTCTCTACAAAAAATAAAAATTAAAAATAATTAGCTGGCATGGTGGAGTGTGCCTGTAGCCCCAGCTACTTGGTGGGATGAGGCTAGAGGATGGCCAGAGTCCAGTAGGTCTAGGCTACAGTGAGCTGAGAACATGCCACCACACTGTAGCCTGGACCATAGAGCAAGACTGTCTCAAAATAAGAAAAAAAAAGTCAGGTAATATCAGTTACTTTTTATTTCAAGTAAAGAAAGGTGTTTATTTCACAATCAGATAAGTTATTTTATTGTCAAAATCACTAGTGACTTAATTAATGAGCAGGTCTACCAAGTTATTATTGGGACTGCTTTTCCAAAAACTAGTTGCTTTGTTGACTTCCTCAAATATACTGTACTTTTGCCATGTTGTAATCTGTCTTCCATCTCCATTTTTTTTTCCACAGTTACTGTTTTCCTAAAGGTCACTAGTGCTCTAATTGCCACATCCAAAGGCCTCTTTTTACATTGCATCATGCTAAACCTCTGAGAGTCATCTCCTCCTTCAAACTCATGTAAAGTGATTGGCACTTGTCTCCATGCACCTGGAGCCCTCTTAACTCTACTTAGCAAGTTCCTCTTCCCTTTTGTTCCTTAAGTTTCACAAGGTTCATCTTTCAACCATGTTATCTAAGAGTAATGACCTCATGTGCCCTCTTTAAGTTAATTGATTTCCAATTTTCATCTTTCTTCTGGCTTCTCTCCGCCTCTCCCAAGCTCTGTCTCTCTGCTTCTCTTTTAAGGATTTGTTTATGCTTTTCATCAACTCTGGATTTCTTTCTTTTCTTATTTTTACTGCTCAAAGCTCTGTCATCCTTCAAGGTCCATGTCAAAATCCATTTCCTCTGAGAATTCTTTTCAGATTGTTCAGAACAGAAAGGACATTCTATCTTTTAGATTCCCATAGCACATTTTTCTTTTCCAGATCATTACTTCATTGTTGATTCCTTATGGACAAGTGTTGGGGACCTGGCAGGGAAAAATGGGTGGTTATATTATGAAATTCTTTGATTTCACGAAGGTTACTTTTTTAGTAGGAGGTTCCCACATGTTCTGTCTTCAAGAAACACACATTTATTAATTTGTCAGAAAAATACCCCTCTTTTCCCATGTGAAAACAAAGACTTGTGCAATACAATATAGCACATGAAATTATAGGCATAACAGGTTTTGTCTGCCTCTTCAACTTGATTATATGTTCCTGTAGTTATAACATAGATCTAATTTATTTTTCCCCCTGCTTCACTTAGCAAAATGTCTATTATTCATTTGTTCATTCATTCATTCATTCATCCATAAAATAATTTTTGACCAGATGTGCCAAGAACTATTTGACATAGAGATACTGAGATAGAACAACCAGGAAGACATACTACAGCCTCAAATGTCTCAAAGTCTATCGGGAACAACAATTCAAAAATTAATTAAAGGCTTAATTATAATTAAACCTTTAATACAGTGCTAGGAGGTGAGTAGAAAGCACTGTGGAAGCTCTGAAGAGGCTCACAAAATGTGTGTATGTGTGTGTGAGCCTGGCAGGAGGGATTGAAGTCTTCATGGAATAGAGGTTGCCTGAAATGATTGTTTTAGTTACATATTACTGTAATAAATTACTCAGAAATTTAGCAGCTTAAAACAGCATGCACTTATTGTCTCCTAGTTTCTGTGGATCAAGATTCTGAGCATGGATTAGCTGGATCTTCTCCTTCAGAGTCTCTGACAAAGCTGCAATCAAGTTGTTGGCTAGGGCTGTGGTCTCAACTGAAGGCTCCAATGGAGAAGGATTCATTCTAAGCTCTCTTGTGGTTGTTGGAAGGACTTGATTTTGACACTGTTGTTGCCTGAAGACCTCAGTTCCTAACTGGCAGTTGTCAAGAGGCCATCCTCTATTTTTTGCCACCTAGGCCTCTCCAGCCTGCTTCCTCAAAAGAAACATTTGAGGAGAACCAGAGAGAGAAAGTGCAAACAAGATGGAAGTCACAGTCATGTATAATCTAATCATGGAAGTGACCTCTCGTCCCTTTCATTATATTCTATTTCCTAGAAACAAGTCACCAGGTCAGACCTATACTTGGGGAAAAGGGATCACACAAGATGTGAAAAGTAGGAGTTGGGGATTCTTGAGTTTTTTTTTTTCTTTTTGGCAGGGTTTTGCTTTTTCACCCAGGTTGGAGTTTAGTGGCACAATCATAGCTCACTGTAGTGTTGACCTCCTGGGCTCAAGGATCCTCTCACCTCAGCCTCCTAAGTAGCAGGGACCACAGATGTGTGCCACCATGCCTGGCTAAGTTTTTAAAATTTTATGCTTATTTATTCATTTTTCTGACCTAAGGTCTCACTCTGTTACCCAAGCTGGAGTGCAGTGTTCTGATCATGGTTCACTGCAGCCTTGACTTCCTGGGCTCAAGTGATGTTCCTACCTCAGTCTCCCATGGAGCTGGGACCACTTGTGCATGCCACTACTCCCTGCTAATATTTTTTTAAATTTTTGGTAGAGATGGGATCTCTCTCTGTTTCCCAGGCTGGTCTCAAACTACTGGCCTCAAGCTTTCTTCCTTCCTTGGCCTTTCAAAGTTCTGGGATTACAGGTGTGAGTCACTGTGCCTGGCCAAGGATCCGTTATTAAAGGCTGTCTACCACCACAATGAGTCTTAAAGAATAAGATGTTAACTCAAGACATCTTGCTCAGGCAAATGCATGATGGAGAGAACGCATATGGCAACATGCATAGGAGACACTTTCGTGCTGCTGGGTTTTAAAGTTTAAAGTAGGAGATGAAGGATTCAAGCCTGGAGAGTTAAGCAGGGTGTGGTTTGTCATATGAAGGGGCTTGGACTTTATCTTGTAAGTTGATTGGGCTAGTATAAGAAGGAGTAACTGGAAAGTTGATATTTTAGATACCTCAATCTGGTGCCTGGATAGAGGATAGATTTGAGAGGGATACATTTAGAATGTGAGAAGCCATGAAGACCTCAGTGTTGGCAGTTTTTTAGGGTAGGAGAAGAGGAAATGGGCTTGAGATATTAAAAAAGGTAAAGTGGGTTGAATTTTATTTGTTACGTCTGGGGATACTTAGAGAGAAACATCTTTCAGACAGTGTGGATATATATCTATGAAGTTCAGGAAAGATCTTAGCCCCAAGTTTGCGAGTCATATAAATATCAGTGGTGGGTACAATTAGAAGAGTTGAAGAGAGAATGAAATGAAAATGAATCTGGGGAATAGAAGTATGTAAAGAATGTACAGAGAAAGAGAGGCCTGAAAGAATAAGAAGGAACAGTCAGAAATGAATGCCAAGAGAAAATATTGGCCAGGCACAGTGTCTCACACCTATAATCCCAGAACTTTGAAAAGTCAAGGAAAGAGGAAAGCTTCAGCCCAGGAGTTTGAGGCCAGTCTGGGAAACATAGAAAGATCCCATCATTCCAGTCAAAGGATGAGAGGTGTTCAGATGCAGCAGAGAAATCCATCAGGATAAAGATTGAATGTCACTTTCACATTCATTCATTCACTCAATTCTTTATTTACTGGGCACTGAGCAAGGTATGGGCCATGAACAAGACTTGACATTTTTCCTTCCCCTAGGGAAGTTATAGTCCAGTGGGTAAGATGGACATTGGAGATAGTTACAAGTACCCAAAGTAAATACAGAAAGTGCCATGAGCAAAACTAAGAGGGCACAAAATATTCAAGTGGAATCTTTTTAAAAAGCAGAGCAGGGGCACAGTTTTAGAGGTTCCATCAAGGAAATCTCTTTTACCAAGCCAGGCAGGAAGGCTGGGGTGCGGATTCCTAGCAGCTCTCCTCTGTGGCTTAGGTGTCCCAGCTTGCTTGGAACAATTTAGGTCTATCATTTGCCTTTTTTTTTTTTTTTTGAGGTAGAGTCTCCCTCTGTTGCCCAGGCTGGAGTGCAGTGGCGTGATCTCGGCTCACTGCAACCTCCACCTCCCGGATTCAAGCGATTCTCCTGCCTCAGCCTCCTGAGTAGCTGGGATTACAGGCAAGTGCCACCACGCCCAGCTAATTTTTGTATTTTTAGGAGAGACAGGGTTTTACTATGTTGGTCAGGCTGGTCTTGATCTCCTGACTTCGTGATCCTCCTGCCTCGGCCTCCCAAAGTGTTGGGATTACAGGTGTGAGCCACTGTGCCTGGCCCAAGGTCTATCATTTGCTAAGGTAACTGTACAAAGTACCACAGACTGGGTGGGTTAAAGCAGCAAGAATTTTTTCTTTCACACAGTTTTGCAGTCCAGAGTCCAAAATCAAGGTGTCAGCAGGGCCATGCTCCCTCTGACGCCTGAAAAGGAGAATCCTTCCTTGCCTCCTCCTAGCATCTGGTGGTTTCTGGCAATCCTTGGTGTTCCTTGGCTTGTAAATGTATCACTCCAACCTCTGCCTCTGTTGCCACATGGCATTTCCCCTGTGTGTCTCGGCCTTCCATTCGTTTTGTCATCTTCTTATAAGGACACCAGTCATACTGGATTACGACTCATCCTAATGAACTCACGTTAACTTGATTATATATACAGACTTGATTTCCAAATAAGGCCACATTTACGTGGACTGGGAGTTAGGACTTCAACATATCTTTTGGGGGGACACAATTCAACCCATAACAGGAGTTGTTTAAGATTAATTAGTAAAACTTCACTAAGGACAGTTTCAGTAGATGGATGAATATTAGTATTATTACAGGATTTGCCTGACATCTGCTCAATAAATGAATTGGATAAGATAGATGGTAATCTTTGCTTTTCTCGTATCTATGGTACTGTGTTAGGTCAGAGAAAACTGTTTCTGACTAGTGCTCACCACTGAGAAAGGAGAAAACATATTGGCCTGGCCTTTGCTAGCTCACAGGCCTTATTGGCTGGGCTGAGGCTTTTTTCTCTTTTCTTTCTTTCTTTTTTTTTTGAGACAGGGTCTGGACTGCAGTGGCATGATCACCGCTAACTGCAGCCTCAAATTCTTGGGCTCAAGTGATCATCCTGTCTCAGTCTCCCAAGTAGGTGGAACTATAGGCATGCGCTACCATGCCTGGCTAATTTTAAACATTTTTTAGAGATAGGGTCTCACTATGTTGCCTAGGCTGGTCTCAAACTCCTGGGCTCAAGAGATCTGCCTGCTTCCACATCCCAAAGTGTTGGGATTATAGGTGTGAGCCACCATACCTGGCCTAGAGCTGCAGTTTCTTTCTTTCTTTTTTTTTTTTTTTTGAGACGGAGTCTTACTGTGTCGCCCAGGCTGGAGTGCAGTGGTGCTCTCGGCTCACTGCAACCTCTGCCCTCCGAGTTCAAGCGATTCTCCTGCCTCAGCCTCCCAAGTAGCTGGGATTACAGGCATCTGCCCCCTCACCTGGCTAATTTTTTGTGTTTTTAGTAGAGATGGGGTTTCACAATCTTGGCCGGGCTTGGTCTTGAACTCCTGACCTTGTGATCCACCCACCTTGGCCTCCCAAAGTGCTGGAATTACAGGTATGAGCCACCACGAAGGGCTGAGGTTTCTTAACTGTTCTTGGCCTCACTCATCATTTGCCCAAAGAAAAGTCTGACCTGATAGGGGAGCCTCAGGGTGTCAGTGTGTCTCTGAAATTGTGTATAAAAGAGTTGTTTTTTTTTTTTTTCAGATGAAATCTATTGTACTTGTCACAGGAGTCTGTGACTCAGTAACACTTAAGAGCCACTGGACTGGATTTCCTATATTTAACCGCACATTAGAGTCACCTGCAGAGATTGCAAATGCCCCATCTCAATCCCAGAGACTCTTTTTCAATTGGTCTGGGAGAGGGCTTATCCATCGGTATTTTTTAAGTTCCTCTAGTAATCTTGGTGTGCAGCTGGGTTGGGCACCACAGCACCAGACAATTCCTACACCCACCCTTTTGGCACTAATATTCAGATTCTGATGGTCTCTACTCTTTATATAAATAATACGGCATATCCCATCAAAACTGCCATTGCCCTGGGGAGAGGGCTTGTTTACAGCCTGAGTATTAGGACTTAATATACTTCTGGTATGCATTTCAAGACATTCCCTTAGGCTTCTTCTGCTGGACTCCTCTGCTGCGCTGGGGTGGGGACCTGGCTCCTGGGGCATCTCTCCCTTGCTTCCCATACCACTGTGCATTCAGGGAGAATCAGCTCCACAGAGGAAGTCACTGTGGAGCTTCAAAGGGGATGCACTGAGAGGGCCCACAGGGGGCTGCCAAGCGAGCCTCCAAAGTGGAAGGGGGAATGTCAAAGAGAAAGCGGGTGGCAAGCAAGAGGTGCTGGGGATGGGGTTATGCAATGCGAATCGGAAAAGTGAGCCAGTTCCTGAGCACAGGCCATAGTTGCCTTTGGAGGGTGACTCAGCAGGTTACTTTTCAGGAAGTGTTTTTTCTTCATTTTTTTGTTTCTTTTTAATGAGCAGGTGAAGGGCATCAAATGAACAGACAAGTTACTAAGACTGAAAAAAATTCAGTTTCTTTTTCTTTTCTTTTCTTTCTTTCTTTTTTCTTTTTTTTTTTTTTTAATAGAGACAGGAGGCCAGGTGCGGTGGCTCACGCCTGCAATCTCAGTACTCTGGGAGGCTGAGGCGGACGGATCACCTGCGGTTATGAGTTCAATACCAGCCTGACCAACATGGAGAAACCCTGTCTCTACTAAAAACACAATAATTAGCTGGACGTGGTGGCGTGTGCCTGTAATCAGCTACGCAGGAGGCTGAGGCGGGAGAATCACTTGAACCCCGGAGGTGGAGGTTGGAGTGAGCCGAGAGGGTGTCACTGCACTGCACTCCAGCCTGTGAGACAGAGTGAGACTCCATCTCAAAAAAAAAAAAAAAAAAAAATAGTTTCCCTATGTTGCCCAGGCTGGTCTTGAACTCCTCGACTCAAGTGATCTTCCTGCCTTGGCCTCCCAAAGTGCTGGGATTACAGGCGTGAGCCATTGCCCCCAGCCTTTACGGTTTCTTATGCTAGATATGGAGATTGGCATTAATTGCTTAATTAGCTATCTACAAAAATAATCTAGTGATTCACACTTCTCTACTGTTGTCTGCAGACTGACATTGTATAATCCAGGTGTCTCTCCGACACTGATACACAAACCAAGGCTGATAAACGCTCATATAAAATGGCCATTCCACAGTTGATGGCCCAGATACCCAGAAAGACACATGGCCTCCCGCATTTGCCGTTTATCTCTGCAGACAGGAAAGCTAGGTGTGGGTGTACTGTGGATCGGGTGACGGACATGGCCCCTTTGGGCTTAAAATTGCCCTGCCGGCAGCTGGCATGACTCAGCTTGTGTGCTGCAGCCAACATAGCGAGGCCAGGCAGGGTGGGGCTGAAGGCAGTGGAGCGGAAGAGATCTTCCCCAGTTGCTCTATTTTAAGCTACAGGGTCTTCTAACAGGTTTGGTAGGAACTGAAGTACTGGCTGAGGAGTGAGGAGGGATTGCATAGTTTCGAGGTCCTTGGTTTAATAATAGTTTACACTTTTGGATTCCTTGATCTGTGCCAGCTTCTGTAGCTCGTGCTTTGCAAATATAATTTCATCTAATCCTTCCACCAACTCTGAGGGCTAAGTATCATTATCTTCATTTCTTTCTTCTCTCTCTCTCTTTTTTTTTTTAATAAAAAACAAGAGCGCACTGAAGATTAGGAGGTTTAAAAGCCTGCTCAAAGTCAGAGGACTGAATGCAGAGGTAGTGACAAATATTAGAACGGTCTGATTTTAATGCCTGCGTCCTCAAGCCTCACAATGTAGCCACCCGTGGCCTCTCCTCAAGGGGAGTTAATTCAGCGAGCATTTGTTGAGGGCCTGCAGCATGCCAGGTGCTTTGCTGGGCATGGTGGAGAGCGCAGTGCTGACACATGTGGCCCCTGTTATCAAGGGATCAGTATCCTCTAGGAGGACCACCCAGGGAAATTGCCACATGTTTGTTTTAGTCTCCATTTTATCCTTTAATGGTGGTGTGATCATGGCTGATCTATGTAGTCTGGGATAACATTTTTTTTTTCAGCTATTAAAAGACTGTTGTGAATCCAGACGAGAGTAAGGATGGGGACAGTGTGTTGAAAAGTAACCGGAGCTCAAAAAGTGAAGCTTCATTCATCTTTCCCGAGCTACCTGGAGTTTGGATGGACTGGCTCTGAAGCAAAGGAGGCTCAGGTCAAGCTCAGGCTTCTTGCCTCATCCAAGATCCTTTCTTTCTATAGACCTCACATTCTGTCACTCCTTCAGCAAATCCTGGCAGCTATGTCTTCTGAGTATGGCCAGAGTATGACCCTTCTCTAATCCCCTGTACACAGAGCCACTATCATTCCATACCCGGGTGCTACAGAGGCCTCCTAACTGGTCTCCAGCTTCTGCCCTTACTCCTCTTTGATCTCTGCTCAAATAGCATTTTATCAGAGAATGCTTGAGTACCTGTTGAAAGACTATGCCCCTACCATCACTCACTGTATCCCAACCTGCTTTATTCTTCTTCACCACTTGGTATAGATCTGCTCATTTGCTAGTCATCTGATGCCCTCTCTTGAATGTAGGGCCCTGAGGGCCAAAGCCTGGGCTCTTCCATGCACTGCTGTATCCCCCAGATCAAGAACCTGGCAGGCAAGGCAATAGGGGCTACCATGCTTGACCTCTTTCAGTTTGTTCTCAAACTGGTTTGCCCTTTATTTTTTATTTTTTTAATGAGATGGAGGAGTCTCCTTCTGTCATCCAGGCTGGAGTGCAGTGGCACGATCTTGGTTCGCTGCAACCTCCACCTCCCTGGTTCAAGCAATGCTCTTTCCTCAGACTCCCGAGTAGCTGGGATTACAGGCGTGCACCACCACACCCCCAGCTAATTTTTGTATTTTTAGTAGAGAAGGGATTTCACCATGTTGGCCAGGCTGGTCTGGAACTCCTGACCTCAAGTGATCCGCCCACCTCGGCCTTCCAAAGTGCTGAGACTACAGGCATGAGCTCCACGCCCGGCCTGCCCTTTTAACTCTTTTTTTTTTTTTTAAATACAGAGTCTCGCTCTGTCACCCAGGCTGGAGTGCAGTGGTGCCATCTCCGCTCACTGCAAGCTCTGCCTCCCGGGTTCACGCCATTCTCCTGCCTCAGCCTCCCCAGTAGCTGGGACTACAGGCGCCCGCCACCACACCCAGCTAATTTTTTTTTTTGTATTTTTAGTAGAGACGGGCTTTCACCGTGTAAGCCAGGATGGTCTCAATCTCCTGACTTCGTGATCCACCTGCCTCAGCCTCCCAAAGCACTGGGATTACAGGCGTGAGCCACCGCACCTGGCCTTAAATCTTATTTTTAATATTACAAAATTCAGCATATAGAGAAAGGTAAAAAAGGGAGGAGAAATTTGTCCCTAATGGCAGTCCCAGCAACAACCACTGTAATACATTTAAAACCATTTTGATTTTTAATATCATTTTTGTTTGTTTGTTTTGAGAGAAAGTCTTGCTCTGTTGCTCAGGCTGGAGTGCAATGGCGCCATCTCGGCTCACTGCAACCTCCATCTTCAGGGTTCAAGCGATTCTTCTGCCTCAGCCTCCCCAGTAGCTGAGACTACAGGTGCCCACCACTACGCCTGGCTAACTTTTGTATTTTTAGTAGAAATGGGGTTTCTCCATGTTGGCCAGGCTGGTCTCTAACTCCTGCACTCAGGTTATCTGCTCACCTTGGCCTCCCAAAGTGCTGGGATTACAGGAGTAAACCACGGCGCCTGGCCTGATTTTTAATATAATTTTAAGAGTAGTTTAATTACAAAGACTAACCAAGCCTTATTTCATTCCAGATGTTCTGAATTTTGACGTTTTACTTAAAGCATTTGAACAGTGGAGTCAGCCTAATTTGAAGTCTATACTTACCGTTATGAATGTTTAGCATTATCAGGTAACCCTTATCCAAATATTTTGGGAAAGTAAACCCTAAAAGGAAACCCATTATACACCGTAAGCTGCTCTTTATGTGTCTAATGCCCTGACAATACAACAACTTTATTCACATGATCACTCATTAATTTATTAATAAAATATTTATTCACCACCTACTACATGCTGTACATCCAGTTTCTGTCTCAGTTTGAACCTTGAACTTCCATGCTGTTGTTCTCGTGAGTTTTCATCATGATGATATAGTATGTCTGTCAAGCAGAAGCTGTGGTTTGTGGTTGTGGTGGGGGTGAGGGAAGATGGCTAGGTTCAGAGCTGGTAGGTATATTTTTATGATGAAGCCCATGATCAGTTTTGAAGTGGGAACAGTCTTGGACTCAGAGATAGAACAGGGTTCTTGTTCCAAGCGCTGCAACTTACTTGCTGAGAGATGGTGGAAAGTCACTCCTTCTCCAGATGTCAATTTCCATGTCTGGAAAATGTTAGGTTGGGTGGGGGTAATTCCTTAGCTCTCATGAATGATTCATCATCTTGGCCAATTTTCTTGTCATTTGCCACCTAATTTATAAGTTGAATGCAGGGGAAAGAACCAAACCAAACCACCTGCTTACCCAACCAACCCAACCAGTAAAGCCATGTCCTGGCAACACTTCTTGTCTCCTGCTCAGATTTTCTGGTATTCCAGCAGTAGAAAACAGTTCTTCATGCTGCTTTGTGTTTGTTTGTGCTGATCTTTGGCTATTTCTGAATTGGAGGAAGATTCTCTGGACTTTTTTAGAGCCTCCCACTGGCAAAGAAGGGCAAAAAAATCTGAGGATATAACCTACCCCAAACAATACTCAGAGTTGGGGTCAAAATATTGATAGTCACTTGGTGGCTTCCTGATATCTCAAATCCAATATTTTTTGTTTTTGTTTGTTTGAGACAGGGTCTCTATCGCGCAGCCTGGAGTGCAGTGGCACAATCTTGGCTCACTGCAACCTCCACCTCTTAGGTTCAAGCAGTTCTACTGCCTTAGGCTCCCAAGTAGCTGGAATTACAGGTGCATGCCACCATCCCTGGCTAATTTTTGTAATTTTAGTAGAGATGAGCTTTCCCCACGTTGGCCAGGTTGGTCTCGAACTCCAGATCTCAAGTGATCCACCCACCTCGGCCTCCTCCCAAAGTGTTGGGATTACAGGAGTGAGACACCACGCCTGGCCCAAAATGTCTTAAATTAAGAGCATTTTAGGCTATTTTGTTCTTGAAGCTTGGTCAGTTACTGCTACTTGTACATCATTTCAAGTTTTTAATTATTTAAACATAAACCATGAGTTTGACTTTTATTTAGGTCAACTTTCTATGAAACAGAGGGAAATAAGCCACTCTGAATTGGCTAATAGTTTAATTCTATGTCAAATGTAGAATTTCTTTTCTTTTCTTTTCTTTTTGAGACAGAGTTTCACTCTTCTTGCCCATGCTGGAGTGCGATGGTGCGATCTTGGCTCACCGCAACCTCCGCCTCCCGGGTTCAAGTGATTCTCCTGCCTCAGCCTGCTGAGTAGCTGGGATTACAGGCATGCACCACCACACCCGGCTAATTTTGCATTTTTAGTAGAGACAGGGTTTCTCCATGTTGGTCAGGCTGGTCTCGAGCTCCCAACCTCAGGTGATCCACCTGCCTCAGCCTCCCAAAATGCTGGGATTACGGGTGTGAGCCATCATGCCCGGTCTCTTTTTTTTTTTTTTTTTTTTTTTTGAGATGGAGTCTCTCTCTGTCATCCTGGCTGGAGTACAGTGGTGCGATCTTGGCTCACTGCTACCTCCGCCTCCCAGGTTCAAGCAATTCTCGTGCCTCAGCCTCCTGAGTAGCTAGGATTACAGGCACATGCCACCATGCCTGGCTAAGTTTTGTATTTTTAGTAGAGACGGGTGTCACCATGTTGGCCAGGCTGGCAAATGTAGAATTTCTAAGCTGTGCTTGATATTGTTTTGTCATCTAAACAGGAGATTTTTCCACAATGGTAGCTTCAACCTGAACACCCAAGATGACATGTGCCTTTGGAATGTCACCTGACAAGACCACACTTTGTCTGTAAGAGAACACCAGTGTCTGGTAACCCACAAACCTTGTTTGGTCTCTGTGAGGAGTTCTGTTTCACCCGATAGCCGCAGCCTCTCTGTAGAGTACAGTGTGACCACATCAGTCATTGGATTTTGTGCCAGGGATTCCCATGAGAGAACAGATTGCATTTGTCTGTAAATGTTTCCTTAGATAATGTGCAGTTTCTTTGGTTGTTTTTTCCCCAAAAACAAACATAAAAGGGGTGAAAATTTTCCAGCTCTTTATTTTGATGTTTGGCAGGAATATGCTTTGATATATTAAGAGAGGTTTTGGTGTGTGTGATATTCTCTGTTACTCCATGAACCTCCTGCTGCTGGGCAGACAGAAACCAAGCTCTGTTGCCTCAAGGGACAGTTGTCATAGCAGAACCCGAGAAATAAGAATCAAACTCTTGTCTTTTAGTTTTAAAAGCTAACAGCCAGGTGGAAGATGCAAAAGATTGAGAAGAATAGGTGGCCAAGGCGAGTCAGTTTTTCCATCGCTGAAGATAAGATAAATCTACTTGTCCAAGACAGAAAAGACTGGAAGAGGGGAACAGTTTAGTGAGGCTGGGGACAAGGGGACCAATTGAAGCAGGCGCTGTTTGTCTTCACCACCAGGAAGCTGTGATGAGCCTCCATGGATCCTCTACAGACCCCACGCTCTGTTTAGAAGCATTCTTCACCTTCCACATAATTTAGGGTCCTTCTCCTCCGTGGGCTACTTGTGAGCAACACTTGCTTGCACCCCATCTTTTTTCAGCATCTCACTGCTCACTGTGGAGGATTCCCCTTTCAGCAGCCTAGGAAATTTAAGTTGCCAAGAAGCTGCCTTTCCAATTCCTTTTTTCTTCCCTTAAAATCCTAATTTACTGTCTCTGAACAGAAGAATTGTGGGTGCTGGCAGGCCTCTGCTTCTGGTAGTCACTCTTCAACTGACCTCATAGAGATCATAAAGCTCTCAGAATTTGGAGCTTTTTCTTTTTCTTTCTTTTTCTCTCCAGAAATATGCTTACCCAAGAATATGGGGCTAGACCGATTTACCAAACAACTGCAAATTAACTAATTCAGATGTGTTAATTCTGAATTTTTTTTCAGGTACAGATAAGAACCCAAATTATTCATTGCACTTAAAGAAAA
The DNA here is from genome assembly GCF_000001405.40 of Homo sapiens. Lineage (NCBI taxonomy): Eukaryota > Metazoa > Chordata > Mammalia > Primates > Hominidae > Homo > Homo sapiens. The sequence goes on from NC_000018.10 coordinate 59,924,462, forward strand.
CATAATTCAAATTAATCATACCACTTAGCATTAATTAATGTACTAGTTCATTGCAGAATCTATTGCCCATGGTCAATTCCACCAAATCAATTTCAGAGGCTGCAAGTCTAGAATTATCTCTCTTCATTTGTACTCTTTCTCCTCACCAGAAGTCAGTATATTAAAACCTGATTTAATTAGATACACTCAACAGGGGATGGTTGAGCTTTCTTTCATTTCGTCAGTGTAGGATTCTGTTATAAATAATCCCAAAATAGAAGTTGTTTAACAAAATTAAAAGTTCATGGGTTGCTCACAAAAAGTCTAATGCTGTTGTTCCTAGTTGAGAGGTCTTCTAGTCTTCTCTCTTCCAAGGGGCCATCTGGGGATCCAGGATCCTTCCATCTTGTGGCTCCATATTTTGGCTTCCAGGTCACTGTTATGCACTGAATTGTATCTTCCCCAGATTCATATGTTGAAACTCTAGCCCGCAGTTCCTCAGAATGTGACTCTATCTGGAAACAGGGCCTTTAAAGATGTGATTAAATTAAAATGAAGCTGTTAGGATGGGCCCTAATCTAATGTGACTGATGTTCTTAGAAGAAGAAGAGGAAATTTGGAGATATAAAGAGACACCGGAGATGTGCTCACAGAGAGGAAAGCCCACGTGAGAACATGGCGAGAGGGCAGCTGTCTGCCTGCTAGTGAGAGAGGCTTTAGGAGAAACCAAACCTGCCAGCACCTGGGTGATGGGCTTCCAGCCCCCAGAACTGTGAGAAAATAAATTTCCGTTCTTTAAGCCCCCCCCAGTCTGTGATATTTTGTCATGGTAGCCCCAGCAAACTAATACCTGCACCTCAGCATCATCCAGGGAATGGATGAGTGGAGTGAGAATCCCATCTGGGAACTCTTCATGGCCCAACTCTATAAGTAGTATATCTTTTCCATCTATATTCCCTGGTCCAGAATTTAGTCACAAATGGTGGTGGCTTTAATAAGTGTTCACTAATAATTAGTGATTAAATTGTTTATCTATATTATAAGTACTCAGATACATATGGTGCATATCATAGTGAAAAAGTTAAAAACAACAACAACAACAAAAAATTCGGCCGGGCGCGGTGGCTCACGCCTGTAATCCCAGCACTTTGGGAGGCCGAGGCGGGCGGATCACGAGGTCAGGAGATCGAGACCATCCTGGCTAACACGGTGAAACCCCGTCTCTACTAAAAATACAAAAAATTAGCCGGGCGTGGTAGCGGGCGCCTGTAGTCCCAGCTACTCGGGAGGCTGAGGCAGGAGAATGGCGTGAACCCGGGAGGCGAAGCTTGCAGTGAGCCGAGATCGCGCCACTGCACTCCAGCCTGGGCGACAGAGCGAGACTCCGTCTCAAAAAAAAAAAAAAAAAAAAAAAAAAAAAAAAAAAAAAATTCTACTCCAGTGCCTCCAAAGTAGTAGTCTAATAGATAGTTTAGCTACCCCTTTCTCCCTGTATGTTAGGGATCCTAGATTAGAGAGTTAGGGCAGGAAAAACAATCTCTCTACTTGTTTTTAGGTAAATCTCTCATATGGTTTGAAATTTGTGTAGGTTTTTTTTTGTTACTGTTATTTTATGTTTGTATTTATAATGAAATAATGCTAAGGACACTGTTTTCATAAAAATACATGATGCACAAGTTACAAATTATTCTTTTTCTGTTATTAAAGGGCATTCGATATTTTTAAGGAGAGATTTAGGTGGTTTTTCTTCTCTTTTCTTTTTTTTCTTTCAGAGACAGGATCTCACTCTGTTGCCCAGACTGGAGAGCAGGGGTGCGATCGTAGCTTACTGTGACCTTGAACTCCTGAGTCTCGACTCACACAATCCTCTTGCCTCAGCCTCACAAGCAACTGGGACTACAGACACATGCCACCATGCCTGCCTAATTTTTTTTTTTTGTAGAAATGGGATCTCGCTATGTTGCCCAGGCAGGCCTTGAACAATTGGCCTCAACAGATCTTGCTGCTTTAGCCTCCCAAAGTGCTAGGATTACAGATGTGAGCCACCATGCCTGACTTGTTTTGACTTTCTATAAGTCTTCTGAAAATAACCAACTACATTTCTTTAACAAAATCACACTTTTTCCAAAAATTTTTCAAAATTAGTGTCTTGCTGCAAGCCTGCAAACTCATTTCCTCCATCGTTTTTTTTTTCTTACAAAAAGACAACAGCAAAGATGTCCAGAAAACAGTAGTTGACCAAAAGCCTTTTTCATGCTTTCGTGTTTATGTTTGGGGCATGCCATATCTGCTGGAGAATGGTAGGGCTCCTGAGGTCTGAATTATGGCTTCCACTGAAGCCTGAGACCATTGTCCTTACAGAAGCTTATTCAGAAATACACTCTATGAGAAGCAACATTGTGTGGTAATTAAGGGCAAAGACTCTGATTTCAAATCCACCACTTAATAGCTGGACAATTTACTTAACCTCTCTGTGGCTCAGTTTTCCCATGGGTAAAGTAGGAATAACACTAGACCTACCTCATAGGGTTGCTGTGCTGATGAAAAGAGTTAATATATAGAAAGAACTTAAAACAGTACCTGACATGAAGTAAGTGCTACCTAAGTGTTTGCTGCTATTGTTACTAATAATCAGCTAGGTATTATCATCTTCCATGGACATAAGTCTGCCACTGTTTTTCTGTTTTAGCATCACATTTTCTAGGAAGAGTAGAAACTATCGGTGTGGGGAAAAAACTAATATGTGAATTTAAAAAATGAGGCCAGTTGCACAAGAGGCCTAAACAAGAAAATGAGTGCCTGTCTTGGAGATTCACAAGCCCAAGCACGCTTCCTAACAGGTGCCTCAGAATTCTAGAAAAGATTCATACTGAAAACCCATTGTCACAATCACAGTTGCTGAACCAATCATCTTGCTGAGTGCTCCTAGACCTGCCCAAAGGGAAAGTCCAGGGATGGTGTTGAAATTCCGTTCTGAGCTAGAGGGCTGTTTTAACAGAGAAAGGAATCTATAATTGGCAAGAAAGACCAAGCTTAATGTCAAAGCCGTTTGATAAGTCTGAGATCACAGAATGTCTAGGCCAAGACTTAGTCAGAATGAAACATGTTTCTGGAGGTAAGTGAATGAGATTAGGGAAGGGGAAGACACAGCTGTTTATCATGTGACCTTTTCTTCCTGAACGTTCCGCAAAGAATTGTTGTGGGGCCTGATAAGACATACATGGGAGACTAAAAGCTTAATGACACTCAACTCCTGCCAACCTAGTTCTCACTGTGTGCTTGGGAGAAGGATTCCTACTCTTGGGTTTCTGTCCCTTCTTCCCCACTCTGGTGTGACTTCCTTGAGGTGAGCCATCTCTGCCTCCTCCATGAAATAATTGAACCAGAGAAACTTCTCAAATGTGGGTGGATTTAGAAAAAGATACGCGTGTGAGGAGAATGATTGAACACCTTGTATATGGGGTGATGCAGTGGTGGTCCCCCGAAGCAGTAACTGCTGTAGTAGCCTTCCCCGTTGGGCCCTGATGCTGCAATGTTGTGTGAACTTGGACCAATTAATGTTACATTTCAATGTTCTTACTTGAAAAATAGGTAGTGTAAAATCTACTGCACTAGCTGGATTAAAAGCAAAATTTCTAGTTTCATAGGTGGAAGTTGAAGCAAGATGTTTTTCCTCTAAGTGCATGGGGCCTTTATACAGAGAAGCTAGCTGCATGGAATATGAGTAAAACAAAAACCAATTCAAACGCTGCTTCCAGTCTGTTTTAGTTTAGCAGGAAAAAAGACAGAAGGGAGAAAGAGGCTGCAGTTTTCCTCCACTTCATTAGTGACCTGGGGAAATGGAGGGGGCACTATTCCAGCAGCTTACTGGTGCCTGAAATGTGTTGACTCACAAAACTTTTGATACCAAATGTGTGTGGGTTTGTTTTTCTTCCCCTCACATTAAGCAGTTCTCTAGTTCTTCGGACAACTGGGTGATCTACAATTCCATTCAAGTCTGATAATTATTACCTGGAGTTAGTGCAGGTCCCATAGCTAAGGGCTCAGTCCCACAAGATTGGCCTCACTTCAGATGCCAATCGCATGTCCTGAGTTGCCACCTGCACTTTGGTTCTGATTGGCTGGCTATAAATCAGGAGTTTCCATGCCCTTCTCCTCATGTTTGAGAATTTGATGGAAAAACATGGGAAAACCCTTTACTTACATTTACTGGTTTGTTATAAAGGATACAACTCAGAACAGCCAAATGAAGAGACACACAGGGCAAACTATGGGGAACGGGTGCCCCATTCCCCCAGCACCTCCATTAAGTGCTGGATGGTGACGAAGACATACTCAGTCCCTCTTCTAGTGGCCAGGGTTGTAATGCAGAGTAAAATCTGAAGAACCCCTGTAAATTGTATGCTAAATTAAGCTTAAGTGAGCACATACTATTTTCTAGGGCTCAAGTCCAAAGGTTTCATTAAATTTTTAAAGGTCTCCTTGGCTCATAAGAGTTTAATGATCATTCGTTAGAAGTAGATGAAAAGCACCCCAAATTATCTTATGTTTCCCAATTCATTTTATGAAAGCTAGCATTACATTTTATAAAAGCCAATAAAGATATTTCAAAAGTAAAACTATAGGTTGATTTTACTTATGGATATAGGTGTAAAAGTTCTAGAAAAAATATTCACAAACCAAATGCAGTATTACATTAGAAGAATAGATATTGGTGTGACAGTTGGAGCTGAGGAAACCCAGTGGAGTCTTTGCATTCTCCACTCTGGCTGGTGGGTGAAGAGATGGCCTGAAGAGTGGCTGGTTGCTGCAACAGAGTGCTATATTGAAGTTCTGGAATAAGAATTGGTTTGACCTGTGGTCAGATGGTACCTGACCTATTATGATGACCAGACTTGGCAGAGTGTTGAGGATAAGGTCCGCATGCAAGTGGAATGCCTCAATATCCCTGCCAGGCAGGAATGTCGGGATAGTCAGCCTCTGCATGGAAAGTCAAAAGACTGCAAACTGCCGGGAGTGGTGGCTCATGTCTGTAATCCCAGCACTTTGGGAGGTCGAGGCAGGCGGATCACTTGAGGTCAGGAGTTCGAGACCAGCCTGGCCAACATGGTGAAACCTCGTCTCACCTAAAAATACAAAAATTAGCCAGTCATGGTGGCACGCACCTGTAATCCTAGCTATTTGGGAGGCTGAGGCAGGAGAATTGCTTGAACTTGGGAGGTGGAGGTTGCATTGAGCCGAGATTGGGCCACTGCACTCCAGCATGGGTGACGGAATGAGATCCTGCTCCCCCCCAAAAAATGTATAAAATATATATTATATATTGTATAATAAATAATACTTATATATTATATAATTATATTTAAATATAATATACATTAATATTTAAATATAATTATATAATATATAATATTCTTATTAAAATATGTATCATATATAATTTATATATATGATATATATATATGGAAAAAGACTGCATGCTGCAGATTGTTTGCTCAGATGGGAAAACAATTAGTCTTTGTGCAGAAAACACAGTGATTGCTTGGCTTGGAAATTTACACTCCAAGATTCCAGGACAAACACAGCCTATGTGGGCTCCACAGTCATGACTGATGAGACACCCGTGGTTTCCTCCCCTCCACCACACACGGCCTATGCTGCACCAGCCACTGAGGAATAGGGCTATGAGCCATACAGTGGTGTGTGCCTGCCAGGAACTCAAATTGTCTATGCTGCTAATGGACAGGCGTATGCTGTGCCCTACCAGTACTCGTATGCAGGACTTTATGGACAGCAGCCTGCTAACCAAGTCATCATTCAAGAGTGATATCGAGACAATGACAGTGACCTGGCAGTGGGCATGTTGGCAGGAGTGGCCATAGTCATGCCCTTAGGGTCTCTATTCTTGGTCTTCTAGAGGCCGTAAGGTCTTGATGTGCCTAGCTCCTGATAACCCTGTGTGCAGTAATATGATTTACAGGGCATTTCTGTTTGTGACAAATGTTTTTAATAATAATTTTAATCGTTCCTTTGAAAGTAGTGACATCATAATTGTAACTAATCCACATAAGTACCACAGAGAAAGGTTTGAACTGTGCTATTTTTTTCTTTTTTCTTTTTTCTTTGAGATGGAGTCTAGCTTTGTCGCCCAGGCTGGAGTACAGTGGCGTGATCTTGGCTCACTGCAACCTCTGCCTCCAGGGTTCAAGTGATTCTCCTGCCTCAGCCTCCCGAGTAGCTGGGATTACAAGCACGTGCCGCCATACTCAGCTAATTTTTGTATTTTTAGTAGAGATGGGGTTTCACCATGTTGACTGGGATGGTCTTGATCTCCTGACCTTGTGATCTGCCCACCTCGGCCTCCCAAAGTGCTGGGATTACAGGCATGAGCCACTGCGCCCGGCCAGAACTGTGCTATTTTGTTCAAACACGGGCTCTCCAGGGGCACTGGCTCATTCTAGGACTGTCCTTACGGAAGTCTCGGAATACTTTATTTGAGCCTAGCTGTTTTGAAAGGCATTTTCTTTTTAGAGTTAGGTGTAGTGCTTAAGGGATAATTTATTTTCATGTTATGCCAGTAATATAGCGTTGTATGCATCATGAGTGATTGTGGCAAGAAAATCTACAGCTCCTTTCTGTTTAACTTTTTCAAGCCACAGACCAGAACTGGTTGCATGTTACCTTAGGAGTTGTGGATTGGTAAGCTTCTGGTTACTTCTCCGAGGCTGTGGTGTGAGAGCCCCCTGACCCGCCTTCTGGGGCTCCACAGGCCCCCAGCAAGGGTGACTCCTCAGGATGAGAGGGCACAGCCAGCCTTTGAAAAAACGATGCTTCAGAAATCTGCGTAACCCTACTGTCTTCTTTTTCTTTCTTTTCTTTGCTTTTTTTTTTTTTTTAAGACAGAGTCTCGCTCTGTCACCCAGGCTTGAGTGCAGTGGCACGATCTAGGCTCACTGCAACCTCCACCTCTCGGGTTCAAGCAATTCTCTGCCTCAGCCTCCCGAGTAGCTAGGATTACAGGCTCCTGCCACCAAGCCTGGCTAATTTTTTTTTTTTTTTTTTTTTTTTTTTTAGTACAGATGGGGTTTCACTATCTGGGCCAGGCTGGTCTTGAACTCCTGACCTTGTGATCCACCCGCCTTGGCCTCCCAAAGTGCTGGGATTACAGGCTTGAGCCGCTGTGCCCGGCCCCTAGCTTCTTATTCTCAGGTTATTCTTGTATGGTTTTGGTAGCTATATTTGGGAAACATATCCCTCATTAGGAATTGATTTGAGCTTCTGAGTGTTAGGGTTTTATCCTTTAAAACTTGGAGAAGTCAGAACAATAACAAACAAGCGTGTGGAGGCAGATTTGCTTTATTCAGAGAGAGCTATTTGAGTGTGTGTCTGCTTGGGGTGTTTGCGTTGCTGCCTAAGCCTCCTTACAGCCTATTTTTCTACTTGTTGAGAGAATAATATTAAAAGAAAAGTGGGGGAGTGGAAGGAGAGCCTTAGTTAGAGCGTTTCCATTTCAGGCCTTCTGGGGGATTGGACTGTGGGGGGAATGCTCTCTCTTGTCCCCCTGAAGGCCCACAGGAACGGGGCCCTGTGGCTGTCCACCGAGCACCAGGACAGACTATGGCTGAGCAAACTTGGGTTATGGATGGGAAATGGGGCCCAGGGGCCCTCAGGACACAGGAACTGGCTCAAGATACCACTCAGTCTGGTCAGGACCCCAGCCTTCTTTTGTTCTTGATCTCTGCGTGATAGAGAAGCTTAGAACATGGAATTTTGAGCCCCAAAATGTGGGAGTCTCTGGAAAACCCAGTCCTGCCTTTCTGTCCAGTGCTCTTATTTCCAATATTATGAAGTATGTATTTCAAATATTCATGTTTCTGTTATTTCATGTTTTCAAGCTTGGAATTATTCTGGTTTTCTGTCCTGCATGCTTTAAACATGTGATTTTACAAAGGCAGTTTAGCACAGTGAATATCTCTGCCCCACGCTCCATACGGTCCTGTTTTCCCTAACATACGTTCCAGGTAGCACAGACGTGTTATTTTGCCCGACTAGTTACATACATGCTGTCTTGCTTTGCTGCTCAGTCACTTCCCTCTGAGGCCAACTTACATAGGATTCCACATGAAGCCAGATGCCAGAGAAACCGAGTGGTGACCACAAGTCTGTTTTTATCGCCAGTCCTAGGGGACTTGTTGACATGAGAGTGTCTGTTCCCACCTGGAAGGATGTGTGTTTATCTGTCATCTCTGGATAGATGCAACGTATGACAACACTAGTGTCCATGGTTTAAAATGTCGCTTTGAAGATTTTCCATCCTGTGTAATAAGAACGGCTTTGTTCAGATTATAATCGTTATTAAAGCTGTATGTACGCTTTACTTAAAAACTATGAACAGCTTTTCATGTTGCACTTGTGGTAATTTTGGACTTGGAATTACCGGGAGGGAATTACAGGAACCAGACTTTTGCAGCTGAAATGCTCTTGAAGCAGACGTCTTCCTGTGCCCCATGGCTGCTTCTGGATGAACCGAGGGAGATGTGGACTGAAGCTTGGGCACCCGTGTGTGTCCCCTCCCCAGTCCCCATCCCCAGTGGGGCCAGCCTCATTAGGCAGCCATAGTTGAGCCTGGAAATTCACGGTCATTAGTGATTTGATCCTGGTATGAAATGCATGCTGGGGATAAGGTGAGCTCAGATATTTCATTTCCTTGGCCACAACTCCCATAGATGCCAACATTTTGATAGCCTCAGTTTCTCAATGACATTCTTTGTTTACAGTGCTACACTTAGTAATTCCAAGTGAAGAAGTGCGTCGTGAGTTAGAAGAAACTTCTGTTCAGTTTTGAGTAACATTCTACTTGCATGTATACTTTTTTTTTTTTTTTTTTGAGACGGAGTCTCACTCTGTCGCCCAGGCTGGAGTGCAGTGGCACGATGATCTCGGCTCACTCCAAGCCCCGCCTCCCAGGTTCACGCCACTCTCCTGCCTCAGCCTCCCGAGTAGCTGGGACTACAGGCGTCTGCCACCACGCCCAGCTAATTTTTTGTATTTTCAGTAGAGACGGGGTTTCACCGTGTTAGCCAGGATGGTCTTGATCTCCTGACCTCGTGATCTGCCTGCCTCAGCCTCCCAAAGTACTGGGATTATAGGCGTGAGCCACTGCACCTGGCCTCTATGTGTACTTTTAAATAATGATCCATACCTTGAAGAAGTTGGCTGTTGACATTACTTACATGCTAATCCGATTGTTCTTTTTGCTCTGTTCTTTTCATTCCTTGAGTCAACTTCAGGGTCTTGGATATTAAAGAGAAGAGGGAGAACTGTGGTTAATATCTTGGATCATAATTTGTGAACAAGGCCAGACTTTGCCCATTTTAGGCCATCCAGGACTCAGTGTAGCCACCTGGATCATAAGAAGATTCTCAATTGAGATAAAATGACCCAAGTTTATTTTCCACATCAAGTTTTGATCCTGTGGAATATTTCTTTTTCCTTCCCTAGTGTATGTAGATACAAGCCATGGAATGCAGTTCCACTTTCTCCCCGGAACTGATCTATTTGTGATTGCTTTCTGTCTCTACTATTCTCTTGTGCCTACGGAACTGATTTTTTTCCCTACATATGCAAATTGTACGTTTGTAAGCGAAAATGTCAATATATTGAAGTGTTAACCTTAAAGAAAAAAAAGAGAATAAATACCAAAATTAAATAGATTTATTCTGGAATGCAAGAATTGTTCAACATTTAAAAACTATAAATAATAATCAATTAGAGTAACAAAAGAGAAAACTTGCAAGATTATATTAATAAATATTTAAAAGCATGTGATAATTCAGTATTCATTTCAGAGAAAAAAGCTACCTAAATATGATGAGATTTGCCAAAACCCAAAAGCAAACATCATACCAACTATTGAAGAACAAAAAAAGTTAACTGAATTAAAATGAGTAACAAGGCAGATATACTTCTTATCTCAACTTATTTATTACCCCTACATTGTTTTGGAGGCTCTAGGTAATGCAATAGAAGATGAGATGATTTGCATAAATATTGAAAAAGGAAAGCACAATACTAGAATTAATAAGTGAATTCGGCAAGTCATTTGGACTTTCTGTTATTTGTCCTTTGCTGTTATTTTTTGAATGATATGACATTGTAAGTAAATGTAAGTTTTATGTTTTTACATTAACAGATTTAAAAATCTTTTCCTTTAAATTTAGGATTTTGCATCTCTGCTTAGAAATGACTTCCTCATGCTTAGAAATGACTTCCCAGGATTTCTTCTAGTAGTTGTATGATTTTATGTTTAAACTTTCAATTCATCAGGAAGCTCCTTTTGGCTTATGAGGGGAAATTGGGCTTAAGATTTAGTTATCTTCAAAGTATTTTATTTATTACACAATGCACTTTCTCCCATTGATTTGAAATGCCAACATGGCACAAATTTCATTTTAGAATGCAGCTGGGTCTGTTTCTGGACTCTGTACCTCTGTTTTCTTCTTTTGCAGTTCCAAGATATTTTAATTATCATAGCTGCATTTTATGATTTACTACCTGGAAGAGTGAGTTTCTAGGGAGAAATTATCAGCATTTTAAATAGTGAAGAGAAGGTACTAGCAGGGAGGTTAGTGATGTTACACAAGGGTGTATTTATTTACTTGTTTTTAGAGATGGGGTTGTGCTTCGTTGGCCAGGTGGTCTTGAACTCTTGGCCTCAAGCAGTCCTCCTGCCTCGACTTCCCAAAGTGCTGGATTACAGGCAGGAACCACCATACCTGGCCAGAAGGTTGTATTTAGATTACAGATCCCTGAAGAGGTGGGGTGGGGGATAAGTGAGGTGCAGGGGGTTGAGAGGGTAGTGGGGAATGGTTTCCTCACAGGGCCAGGTTGGGGTGTTAGCCTTGACCAGGAGAAAGGGTACTCTGACAATGTGAAGAGACAGAGAGAGGGAAAGCTGGCATTAGCAAGCTCACAGCCCTTCCAGGAGAAAGACCCTTCATCCTGCTCCTAATGCTGGTCTTAGGTAGACATATTTTGTGACTGTGAGTCCCTGTCCATCCCAACTATCCCCAATTAAATCAGGAAGGCCCTGTTACCGGAAAGTGGTCCCCATCCAGACCCCAAGAGAGGGTTCTTGGATCTCGCACGAGAAAGAATTCAGGGTGAGTCCATAGAGTAAAGTGAAAGCAAGTTTATCAAGAAAGTAGAGGAATAAAAGAACGGCTACTCAGTAGACAAAACAGCCCCGAGGCTGCTGGTTGCCCATTTTTATGATTATTTCTTGGTTATATGCTAAACAAAATGTGGATTATTCATGCCTTCCCTTTTTAGACAATATAGGGTAACTTCCTGACGTTGCCATGGCATTTGTAAACTGTCATGGCGCTGGTGGTGGTGTGGCAGTGAGGACGACCAGAGGTCACTCTTGTCACCGTCTTGGTTTTGGTGGGTTTTAGCCAGCTCCTTTACTGCAAGCTGTTTTATCAGCAAGGTCTTTATGACCTGTATCTTGTGCTGACCTTCTAGCTCATCCTGTGACTTAGAATGCCCGACCATCTGGGAATGCAGCCCAGTAGGTCTCAGCCTCATTTTTACCCAGCCCCTATTTAAGATGGAATTGCTTTGGTTCAAATGCCTCTGACAACCAGAGCATGGCAGCCATTCCAGAACAAGCAGACTGTGAAGTGACGTGACATGAAGAGCTCTTTTCCAAACATGAGGAAGAGAATTCAGTCAGAATCTCTAGTGTATTGATTTGCTGGAACACTCATTGTCAAGTTCTAGATTTTCTTTATGTAGAAAACACAGACTCACAGTGTGAACAAAGCACATTTTAATGCTTCCCCACTTCCTCCCCAGACCCAGAGGGAGTGAAGGAGAGCAGTGTTCCTCTCCAGAGTGGGTCAAGGATTGAAATTTCTTACCACTGGGTTCAGGAGCTGGCTGTCACCAGGGATTGCAGGTCCTAGAAGATGCTGGGTCTTACCTGATTGAATCAGAGAGAAAGTCCAGTAGCTTGGTCTCAGCGGGGCCTCAGCCCCAAGAGACGGAATGGATGTCCTTTTCCTCTAGACTGCCGGGGGCAGCAAATTCCATATGTATGTTTTGCTAAATTTTTCTTCCTGAGAGTTTGCCTTCATGCGAATCTTCCTGAAGAGCATTTTCCCTGGGTCTAACCCCCTGCATATGAAAGCAAATGGTAGGCCGGGCGTGGTGGCTCAAGCCTGTAATCCCTGCACTTCAGGAGGCCAAAGTGGGTGGATCACCTGAGGTCAGGTGTTTGAGACCAGCCTGGCCAATGTGGCGAAACCCCATCTCTACTAAAAACATAACAATTAGCTGGGTTTGGTGGCGGGCGCCTGTAAACTCAGCTACTCTGGAGGCTGAGGCAGAAGAATGGCTTGAACCTGGGAAGCCAGCCTGGGCAAAAGGTGAGACTCTGTTTCCAAAAAAGAAAAAGAGAAAAAGAAAAAGAAAAGAAAGCAAACGGTAGCAGTGGGTGGGAGTGTTGAGAAAGTGAATGATGGACTGATGGGCTCTTTTGCAAACCAGAGTTTTCAGTTGAAGGAGGAAATAATCATGTTGTTTATTTGTTTCTCACCTGTCAGCTAATCAAGTGATTTGTTTCATTGACAGATGAACTAAGAAAGTTCTTATTTCTAGTGGTAAAGCATTCACAATAATTTAATCTTATCAGTAAAACTGAGAAGTTGTTCGGAGAATTGAATATCATTTCTATGCCCAAATTCCCTTCCCATTTCTATTTATTTATGTGAACAAGTTTTTCACAGTTTTATATATATTATATATTATATATATATATATATAATATATATATGAAAATAGGAATAAAATCCATGCCAACTTAGTCTCAGGCTGTCATCTACAGATACATTAAAAATTGCAAAAGCCCTCTAAACTATTAAACAAATAGCACCATTCACCTTTCAGGAGCTTCATTCTCAATGTATTTCCTTTATATTTTATATTTACTTTCTGTTTAATGACTTAAAATATGTAATATTTAGGTACTTTGATCAACTGTTCACTGAAAACAATGGTAAAGATAATTTAATCCAGAAAAATTTTAAATACAGAGCTTTAAGATCGAAGTAAATAATTTTTTAAAATTTCAATGTGTACACCTATTTTTGTTACAGAAACATAAGGAAGTTCAATAAAAGACTTTTAGACAGAAAAACACATTCCATTAGGATATAATTCTGTAGAAAACGTGGAAGGGCAGAGGTCCGGAGCCCGGGTCTGTGAACTGCCTTTGCCCCCAGGCCCTCAGACCTTGCCCTCCGTGCTGAGATTTAGAGGCTGGAGGCCCTAATGACTGCTGATCTCATATCAGGTGAGAGCTCATCTCCTTGATGATAACAGGCATCATTAAGCCCTAATTAGTCAGGCCACAGGAAGCTGGTATCTATTATTTAAAGGAAAGCAAAACACATTTTCCTTCTTCTTTGGTAGAACAGGAAGCAAGGCCACATGCTGAGCAGGAGGAGCCAGCACAGGGTGGAGTAGTGAAGGGCCACTCTGCCGCAGCCGCGTCTCAATGGTGAGCCTATATGTATTTCCCACTGGGCACAGCGGAGCGTCAGGGATTGAGTGGGGGTGTGTGTGTGTGTGTGTGTGTGTGTGTGTGTGTGTGTGTGTGTGTGTTTTGCTTATTTGCTTCACAAAGTCATTCTGGACCTCAGTTGAGAGAGAGAGGCTCTGATTCTTTAACTGGTGGCCCCGGGCCCTAGCACCCACTCTGCAGATGGGGAAAGAGAGGAACATTTGTGAGAGGTTTGGATAAGCCTGGTCCAGAGAAGAGGCACATCATTTAAATTTTTTTTTTTTTTTGAGATAGTCTCACTCTGTTGCCCAGGTTGGAGTGCAATGGTGCGATCTTGGCTCGCTGCAGCTTCTGCCTCCCTGGTTCAAACGATCCTCTCACATTAGCCCGGCAACTAGCTGGGACTGCAGGCACATGCCACTGTACCTGGCTATTTTTTTTTTTTTTTGTATTTTTTGTAGAGACAGAGTTTCACCATGTTGCCTAGACTGGTCTCAAACTCTTGGGCTCAAGCGATCCACCTGCCCTGGCCTCCTAAGGGCTGGGATTACAGGTACGAACCACCATGCCTGGCCTTTTTTTTTTTTTTTTTTTTTTACTTTAAAGGTTTTAGATATTTCCAACAATAAGGAGCTTGAAGGGGCACATCACTTCTGCTCACACTCCATGACTTGAACTTGGTAGTTTGTGGCTTTCCTGGGGGTCCTGGAAGAAGGAGATGCTGGTTGGCTCCTCAGCTAGCTGTCTCTGCTCTACGGGGGTAGAAGGTTTGAAGACAGCTGAGAAGGTTGGAAATAGCCACTGCAGCACGGGGAGAACAGCTGACCAGGAAACACAAGCCTGGTGGGCAGCATTAATGGCCTAGCTGCAGTCTGTGGGGTGGTGGGCTTTCTTCCAGCAGCCTCCAACTATGCCCCTACGAATGTCAACAGGAGAAGAGTTGGTTAGATCGAGCTTGTGGTTTCAAGGGAGAGACATGTCAGGGGGACAAGGAGGCAAGGGAATTGAAGATCTTGGCAGGAAAGAATCTGAGGAGCTACCATGTCTATGGTGGATAAGAAGAGAGTGGTCATGGCAGATGGGCGAAAAAGAAAGGGCTCACGTACCTACAGGTCTTGATGAAACTGAAGAAGAGATGGAGTGGATGGAAGAGAATGAGAACTGGGAGGCAGGAGATCATATTCCAAGAGGAGTGTGTTTGAATTTAAGGTTTTGGAGTTAGGACCATCCTGGATATAGCTGAGATGCTGAGTGTGGCCAAGAGAGGAAGGAGTGGGGTGGAGTGAAGGTAATTTTTTTCCTCTTACTTCTTTGTTTCCCAGACACCACCCAATTGGGTGCTGGGTCTCAATACATGCTTATTATTTTAGCCTTAAATTATTTGAATCAGAAGCAGTAAAAAATAATGACTAAGTAGATTTGGCATGTAGGATATTAAAAAATTTTTTTTTTGGTGGTATGGCTTTGTATAACAGAAAAAATATGTTAAAACAGAAAGCCTTTTTCAGGCTTTTAACCCTTTTCCATATATACGGCATTGTATTTTATGTAAGTAAAAAAGTAAAACATACTGTCACAAGCAGGTGTGGTGTCAGTTTCCCAAGATGTAAAATTAAACTCTGTCTTGGGAGTGGATGGAAATGAAACCCCGCCTACTTCAACCTGTGCATTACACTGTATGTGCCATAATCCACATGGTTTAATGTGAATGGTTAGCAAATGAAAAATAAGAACAACAGTTTTAATGCCTGACATCTCACATCATTAGATAATATTAGTAGGGTCCTGTTACCAAAATGAGAGCTTTAGAGGGGCTAATTAGAAATACCACTAATGATTTAAACACTAAAGATTAAGAAGTAGTTTTGTATTTTCGTCAAATCTAGTCAAGTTTTTCCTTTATCCTATAAAGTCTTATCAGGTGTTAGCGAGGGAGTCTTTCCAGGTAGAAAGAGCTGATGTAATTATTTTGGCTCATCTAGGCAAGAAAGCCTGCCTACCCAAGAGGTAAAAACGTCTGTATCTCTCAGATATAAGGATCGGTGATATCCATAAAGAGATTGCCCCTAGAAGATTCTATCTATACACAGGTCACTGCTCTTTCTCACTATATTCAAGCACAGCTTTAAAATCAATTGCAAAAAAATATTTCTTTATGTTGACTTCAAATCGTCATTTGGGCAATAAATAGAATCCAAGAAATTGACCTTCCATTGGGTGTGTTACGTTGCCACTTCCTTATTCCTTCTCTACATACAATTGCTAGTCCTCAGTGAGAAGTTGGAGCCTACTGATTCAAAACTTCCTCTCCATGAACTTCAGTGAGATGAGAAATTAGAGGTTTGGATGTGACTTAGAATATTTCCTCTTATTTTCAGGACTGAAACATCTTTTATTTTTATTTTTATTTATTATTTTTTTTAGAGTTTCTCTCTTGTTGCCCAGGTTGGAGTACAGTGGTGCGATCTCGGCTCACCACAACGTCTGCCTCCCAGGTTCAAGCGATTCTCCTGCCTTGGCCTCCCAAGTAGCTGGGATTACAGGCACCTGTCACCACACCCAGCTAATTTTTGTATTTTTAGTAGAGACAGGGTTTCTCCATGTTGGTCAGGCTGGTCTCGAACTCCCAAACTTGGGTGATCTGCTAGCCTCGGCCTCCCAAAGTGCTGGGATTACAGGCGTGAGCCACTGTGTCTTGCTCTGTTGCCCAAGCTGGAGTGCAGTGGCACAATCATAGCTGACTGCAGCCTTGACCTCGGGGGCTCAAGCAATCCTCTCACCTTAGCCTCCCAAGTGCTGGGACTACAGGTGCTCACCACCATGCCCCCCTAATTTTTGTATTTTTTGTAGAGACAGGTTTTTGCCATAGAAACTCTGTATTTGTACTGTACTTGTATCAGGACTCTAAACAGAATATACATGTTTAGAAATTGTTGCCCAAGCTGGTTTTGAACTCCTGGGCTCAAGTGATCCTCCTGCCTTGGCCTCCCGAAATGTTGGGATTATAGGTGTGAGCCACTTTGCCCAGCTCAATAAATTTTTTTGTCTTCAAGCCTCAGTCTAAAACTCAGGCTACTACAACAGGTATCTCAAATGACAGTTTTTCTTCTCATATCAGCCCCATTGTCAGTTCAGTCTCTGAAGATGAAATGTCTTGAGATCACTGCTCTCCATACATAAAAGCAGTAATAGTAGACTTCTTCAAACTTGTATTTTAACCACGTGGCTCTACTTTTTACCTTAAATTAATGATGACTATCACCTGTTTTCCATAGTCGTATTTGTTAACTGAAGCTACTAAGTATTGTAAGTTTGTCTAAGACAGGATGATAGGGTACATAGGAAAAAATTAAATCTATTTTATAACTATAAAGGGAGGCATAAAACTAGAGCATGTTCCTGAAGCAAGTCATGTTTCAAAAAGATGGTCAGGGATGCAGCATTTTTTTTAAACTAGGAACTATCTTTTTTTTTTTTTTTTAAAGATTAACAAAGAAAAAAAACAGGAAGTAAAGAACAACAACAATTGGCATTGCTGTACCCAGCGCAGGAGAAGTTGTCTGATGTGTAGATATAATTTCAGTCATTTGAGATTAAAAGGGTCCAGGTGTGGTGGCTCGTTTCTGTAATCCCACCACTTCGGGAGGCCGAGGTGGGCAGATCACTTAAGGGCAGGAGTTTGAGACCAGCCTGGCCAATGTGGTGAAACCCTGTCTCTACTAAAAATACAAAAATTAGAGGGGCGTGGTGGCAGGCGCCTGTAGTCCCAGCTACTCAGGAGGCCAAGGCAGGAGAATCACTTGAACCCGGGAGGCGGAGGTTGCAGTGAGCTGAGATCGCACCACTGCACTCCAGCCTGGGCAAAAGCGTGCGACTCCATTACACACACACACACACACACACACACACACAGAAACTTTAAAAGGATAATTTGGAGTACTTGTATTTGTACTCTTAACACAGTATATATGTTTAAAAATTGTGGATTCTCAGATGATATTTGATTAGTAAAAACATATTTTTGTCATTGGTGAATGTACTGGGTTGGATAGGGCCTCCCCAAGTTCACGTCTCCCTGGAACCTCAGAACATGACCTTATTTGGAAATAAGGGTCTTTGCATGTGTGATCAAGTTAAGATGAGATCATACTGTATTAGGTTGCACCCTAAATCCAATGACTGGTGTTTTATTTTTTATTTTTAATTTATTTTTTGGACACAGGGTCTCACTCTGTCACCCAGGCTGGAGTGCAGTGGCGCAATCTCAGCTCACTGAAGCCTTGACCTCCCAGACTCAGGTGATCCTCACACTTCAGCCTCCTGAGTAGCCAGGACTACAGGTGTGTGCCACTGTGTCTGGATGATTTTTAAATTGTACGTAGAGACGGGGTCTCCCCATGTTGTCCAGGCTGGGATTGGTGTTTTTTAAAAGCTGTACAAAGACGCAGAGACACACAGGGAGAATACTGCGTGACAATGGAGGTGGAAATTGGAGTGAAGAGTCTAGAACCAGGAAATGCCGGCAGCCACCAAGAGCTAGAGGAGGCAAAAGGGGCTTCTTCCCAAGCGCCTTCAGCAAGGACATGGTCCTTCTATACCTCAATTTCAGACTTCTGGCCTCCAGAATTGTGAGATAACAAATTTTTGTTGGTACAGGCAAGTTTGTGGTACTTTGTGGTAGCAGCCTAGGGAACCAACATACTTAGGTGGGGTAAAAAATATGGAGGTAGAGGGTTGTGATAGCTGACATTTTTTCTAAATGTTATGATGGACAGTCTGTGGTATAGCCTGAATGAACCAGATGCTTCCTGCTGGAAGAGTGACATTCGCAGGTTCTTTGGTTCAGAGTTTACTAAAACGTAGTCAATAGACTTCCCTTCAGATGGAGAAATGATTTTCTATTTTATATATAAACGGGTTTGGTATGCTTCATGGTATCTTTAACTTCACTAAATAAAACGCTGCACAGAAACATCCTACACTGCAGTCCCTGAAGATATTACTTTTCTTTTTCTTTTTTTAGATGGAGTTTCGCTCTTGTTGCCCAGGCTGGAGTGCAATGGCACGATCTCGGCTCACCGCAACCTCCGCCTCCCGGGTTCAAGTGATTCTCCTGCCTCAGCCTCCCGAGTAGCTGGGATTACAGGCATGTGCCATCATGCCCGGCTAATTTTGTATTTTTAGTAGAGACGGGGTTTCTCCATGTTGGTCAGGCTGGTCTCGAACTCCCTTCCTCGGGTGATCCGCCCGCCTCGACCTCCCAAAGTGCTGGGATTACAGGCATGAGCCACTGAGGCCGGCCAATTTACTTTTCATAATTTGTTTTTGCATTTTTCTTCATCTCCAAGGCCAGCCTCATAGATGTGTAATATTTAATTTTACTTTTAGCTAATAGTTACAAATATCACATTTCTTTGTCATTGAATACTTTTGAAATTATTCCGATGCTTATTTATCGAACTTTATGAGGCTAAGAACCTTTGTGATTTTTTTTGGGGGAGCATAGACAATATTTTATATGCTGATAGCTATTACCAAAGCATAGGGGTTACTTAAATGAACAAGCGATGATCTATCACAAGAGAAATGGAAACAGACATTTAATACATCATTTTGCTAATGGTTCTTCCCTATACACTCATCAGCCCCCATTCATTTTTTGCTCTAATAAATGGACTATATTGTTTTATAAATTTTCTTTTGAGTGTTAATATAAGAAGGAAGTTATTGCAGCCCTCTTTACACAGAGACCTAACGGAATAAAGGACTTGACCAACATCACAGTTTTCCTATCAGTGGGTAGGTTTTCTAGCTGGATTAATGCCAGCTCTTCCTCCTTTTTTTTTTTTTTTTTGAGACAGGGTCTCACTCTTTCACCCAGGCTGGAGTGCAAATGGTACAATCTTGGCTCACTGCAACGTCTGCCTCCCAGGTTCAAGTGATTCTCCTGCCTCAGCCTCCTGAGTAGCTGGGACTACAGGTGTGTGCCACCATGCCTGGCTAATTTTTGTATGTTTTTGTAGAGACAGGGTTTTACCATGTTGGCCAGGCTGGCCTTAAACCTCTGATCTCAAGTGATCTGCCTGCCCGCCTTGGCCTCCCAAAGTGTTGGGATTACAGGCGTGAGCCACCACACCTGACCCTTCCTCCTGTTCTTAGCTCAAATCTCATCCAAAGGAAATTGGCACTCTCCATTTCCTTTTATATTAAGAATGAGTTTCATGTTCATAAGTATATACTCTGAAATAGTAAACCAATATTCTCTTTGAAATGGGTCCCCTTGATGTCAACACAGGGATATAAGGTAGAATGGCAAGACAAGGCCCTGTACTTAAACTGCTCTGCAGCCAAAATGGAAACTAAAGACCATTGGTTTGGTCAGGCCATTAACCTACATAATCATAAAAGCAGAGATCCTTGTCCATTGGTGATATCTACCCTAAAGCACAGTGAAATTTAGTCTAACACCTAATTTAATGTTTTGATTTTCCTATTCTGTAGTCTGATCTTGTAGACATTGAATTGGTGCTGTTTTACCCTGGTGAACACAAGATTTGAAAAAGCCTCTGAAAGGCGAGGGAATTACATAAACTATGCTGCATAGTTAGATGGTCTGAAACTTTGCTCTGCCTATGAAGTAAACACCTTCATAGGTTGTCACGTTCTTGGACATGCAAATAGCTTCTGTGGAGATACATTAAATATACATTTCCAAACTTATCGGCCAGCTAACATAGGAAATATGTTAGATTTAAACACCAGGATTTTAGAATTTGTGTACTTTCTTTAATGGCGGCTCCAACTGGTTGTCAATCCAGAGAAAAAAAGAGAGCTGAGTTTTGGAAGCTACTCCTGTGTGGTATCTTTATTCTTTTATTTTATTTTGAGACAGTCTTGCTCTGTTGCCAAGGCTGGAGTACAGTGGCGTGATCTTGGCTCACTGCAACCTTCGCCTCTGGGGTTCAAGCTATTCTCCTGGCTCAGCCTCCCAAGTAGCTGGGATTACAGGTGTGTGTTATTATGCCTGGCTAATTTTTGTACTTTTAGTAGAGTCAGGGTTTTGCCATGTTGGCCAGGCTGGTATTGAACTCCTGAGCTCAAGTAATACACCCACCTTGGCCTCCCAAAGTGCTGGGATTATAGGTGTGAGCCACGGCGCCTGGCCTGGGGTTAGGTATCTTTAAATACTGGGCAATTTACTAGTGATTTTCTTGGAAAGCAGATGGCCTCTTTGGTCACCAATTCTGTAGGGTCTGTGAAAGAGGATACGGTGAGTAGTTAAAATATAAGCATAAAGAAAAAAGTAAGACAAACAGCAGGGGACAGACTTCTGGGTTATAGAACACCACCCAACATTTCACTGTCTTAGCTTCATGTTTTCTCTACAAAGTATCTCATTACATCTGTTTGGGAAGTTTTCTTCCCTAACCTCCATAGAAAACAAATTATTTTGTTAGAACTGGAGGGTGGTATCTGTGATTTCAAGATGGTTCTTCGCCATTTTAATCTCTCTTTATCTCAGGTTAGACTTTTGTTTGCAATTGTGATTTTCAAAGAAAAGGTCCTTGTCAAATGTTTCAAGTAGAACACAGCAACACACATTTATTTGCACCCCAACTTGTCAACAAAGCGTGGGGACAGGCATGAAGGAGAGATGCCATTGCCTGCCAGTGTTTAACTTCATTGCTGCCCAACTCAGAACTCATCTGACTAAAAACACTTCTTAACCCCAATGTTTTTCTGTCATTTTAGGATTTCACTGTGGCACAAAATGTTCCTGCGGTCCAAAATTGAGAAGGGAATTGAAACAAGGGAAATTTTACTGTTATGAAATATAATAAATAGTGCTTGCTTTACTGTATGATTTTTATGCTTCCTAATTATATGGACTCTATACAGTTTGTATAGTCACAATGACAAGAATTATTTTATCTTCCCTTTCTTTGGCCCAGCTTTTTGGGCCACTCTGTGACTAGCAATGAGCATTAAGTGGTTAGTAAGGAAGCAGGTGCCCAGATATTGGCTCCAGTTTTCACAGTATCCACCAGTGACTGTGGACAATTTGGGTAAGTCATTCTCCACAAAGAACATGGTTTATTTGTATTTTTATGGATTTGAGCTATGTAGTTAATAAGGCTATGGTAGCTCTTTGATGTTCTGTGCTGAATTTTCATAGTTCATTCTTTGTTTTTTTGAGACAGAGTTTTGCTCTTGTTGCCCAGGCTGGAATGCAATGGGACGATCTTGGCTCATTGCAGCCTCCGCCTACCAGGTTCAAGTGATTCTCCTGCCTCAGCCTCCCAAATAGCTGGGATTATAGGCATGCGCCACCACACCCAGCTAATTTTGTATTTTTAGTAGAGACGGGGTTTCGCCATGTTGGCCAGGCTGGTCTCAAACTCCTGACCTCAGGTGATCCACTCGCCTCAGCCTCCCAAAGTGCTGGGATTACAGGCATGAGCCACTGCACCTGGCCTCGTAGTTCATTCTTAAAATCTATAACCATTAGCATTAAAACATAAATAATTGAAATTTAAGCATAAAATATTTAATGAGTAAAAAAATGGCCCAGAAGAGAATTAAAAATCAATAGCTATTCATAAGGGTAGGTTTTCATATAGCTTGTATTAGGTAGCATTGTATTGTGTGAGTGTGTGTGTGTGTGTGTGTGTGTGTTGGGAGGAGTGCATTAATTTGTGAGGGTTCCCATCTCCCATAACAAAAGACTTCAGACTGGGTGGCTTAAACAACAATTTTTTCCTCACAATTCTGGAGGCTAGATGTCTGAGATCAAGGTGTCGGCAGGGTTGGTGTCTTCTGAGGCCTCTCTCCTTGGCTTGTAGGTGGCCGCCTTCTCACTACACTTGGTCTTTTCTCTGTACCTATCTGTGTCCAAGTCTCTTTTTATAAGGACAACAGTCATATTGGATTGGAGTTCATTCTAATGACCTCATTTTAATTCTATTGCCTCTTTAAAACCTTATCTCCAAATAGACAGTCATATTCTAAGGTATTGGGGGATAGGACTTCGACATGTGAATGTTTTTTTTTGGTTGGGGGGATACAATTTAGCCCATAACAGTGGGTATATGGCTTTAACAGCTTTCTTGAGGTTTATCTTATGAACTATACATTTAGCCCATGTTAAGGTTGACCAGTCTTAGTAATTTTATGCAGCCCTGCGACTGTCACCGCAGTCCCATTTTTTTTTTTTTGATGGAGTCTCGCTCTGTCGCCCAGGCTGGAGTGCAGTGGTGCAATCTCGGCTCACTGCAACTTCTGCCTCCCAGGTTCAAGCGATTCTCCTGCCTCAGCCTCCCAAGTAGCTGGGACTACAGGCATGTGCCACCATGCCCAGCTAATTTTTTGTATTTCAGTAGAGATGGGGTTTCACCGTGTTAGCCAGGATGTTCTTGATCTCCTAACCTCATGATCTGCCTGCCTCAGCCTCCCAAAGTGCTGGGATTCCAGGCGTGAGCCACTGTGCCACACCGCAGCCCCATTTTAGAACTACATGACGTTCTAAGTCTCAAGGAGCACGATGATGTAATGGGAGTACTGGATGACAACCCAGTTGTTACATTCTGAAATTACTTAATAAAATTTATGTTTCAAGAATTGGTTAAAATGATTGCCTATTGGTCTGTAAATCTTCCTAATCAGTTATACTGACGTTGATATATTTTGCACTTAGCATCCTGCCTATTTTTTTTTTTTTTTGGCCATGGTTTTTCTTATAAGGATGAAAGAGGAGGCCCCAAATAAGCTGCCTAGAAGGGAAAAAGTGTTATAAGTTTTCATATGGAAGATTTCATCTGATTTTGATAGAATGGAAAGGGCACTGACCAGGCACAGAGGCTCACACCTGTTAATTCCAGCACTTTGGGAGGTTGAGGCAGGAGGATTGCTTGAGGCCAGGAGTTTGAGACCAGATGGGCAACATAGGGAGACCCTGTCTCTACAAAAAATAATTTAAAAATTAGCTGGGTGTGGTGGTACATGCCTGTAGTCCTAGCTACTCAGGCCAGGAGTTGGGGAGACCTGGGTTTGCTCTGAGATTGGTACTTTCCAAACTAAGCCTCAATCTTCTCAACCAAATAAGACCCTGCTCGGCATGCAACACTGTTAGGAGCATAATAAAGAATATTACCCAGGGTAAAAATCCTTAAAAAGTTTTTTAATGTACATATAGGATGGTATTACTTTTTGAAGAAAAATAAAATGGGGCCCCTGATTAGAAATAATTAAAATAGACTTTTCTGAGCTGTTAACAGTTTACCCAGTTACTTCAAAGAATAATTATTTTGCCAGAACCTTAAACTTTAAATTGTTCTATAATCTAAATATTAGTATTACTATTTGAGATGGAGTTTTGCTCTTGTTGCCCAGGCTGTAGCGCAATGGCACGATCTCGGCTCACTGCAACCTTTGTCTCTCGGGTTCTAGTGATTCTCCTGCCTCAGCCTCCCGAGTAGCTGGGATTACAGGCATGCGCCACCATGCCCAGCTAATTTTGTATTT
Source organism: Homo sapiens (assembly GCF_000001405.40). Classification (NCBI taxonomy): domain Eukaryota; kingdom Metazoa; phylum Chordata; class Mammalia; order Primates; family Hominidae; genus Homo; species Homo sapiens. The sequence goes on from NC_000018.10 coordinate 59,948,529, forward strand.
TTAGTAGAGATAGGGTTTCTCCATGTTGGTCAGGCTGGTCTCAAACTTCTGACCTCGGGGGATCCACCTGCCTCGGCCTCCCAAAGTGCTCGGATTGCAGGTATAAGCCACTGCACCTGGACTATAATCTAATTATTAATGTGCCAAACAGCCTAAAGAAATTGGCTCAAAAAGACAAAGAGGTTAAGGTAAATGTTAACAATTACAAAATCATGCTTCAAGTTTATGAACAGCAGTCATATTTCATCATACTTTTAACTCTCTCATTAGATTGCATTTAAATACATTGGGAAAGTTGTTTGCAGTTTGAAGCTTCCTCTGCTTTTGCTCACAAGGGTCTCTTCTCAAAGAGTTATTTATTATTTGAAAGTAATGAGGGTCTCAGAAAGGAAAAGTCACTCCTACCACTCCACTCTACAATACATCTGAATTCAGATCACCCTGACTTCAGCCCAAATACCCTGGTTCTACAGTTACACTTGGTCTTAATTGAAATATGTGTAGCAAGGCAGGTTTATAGCAAATTGAGTTATTATTAAATAATGTTTCCTCAAAACTCATAATTTTAATTGAGATTTTTTTGTCCTTGGAGCAATGTACCAGCATAAAAGGGAGGCCCCTTCTTTGTAATCAAGGGGTTTCTTTTTTTTTTTTTGAGATGGAGTCTCACTCTGTTGCCCAGGCTGGAGTGCAGTGGTGCCATCTCAGCTCACTGCAACCTCTACTTCCTGGGTTTAAGCAATTCTCCTGCTTTAGCCTCCCAAGTAGCTGGGATTACAGACATCTGCCATCACACCAGCTAACTTTTGTATTTTTAGTAGAGACAGGGTTTCATCACGTTGGCCAGGCTAGTCTTGAACTCCTGACCTCAGGTGATCCAAAGTACTCGGCCTCCCAAAGTACTGGTATTACAGGAATGAGCTGCCACGCCTGGCCAAGAAGTTTCTTGAGGCAGGGATTTGAACAAGGAGAACAGGTGTAAATATGTAGGACAGCTCTCAGTCCGATATTTGAGGAAATAATGTTATTATCATCAGTGCTCACTCACTCTTTACCTCTTGTAGAAGAGTTTACTGAGGGGAGTATATGTAAACCCCCATTTGTGGACTAATTGTGATGGGTAATACTGAGTGGCAACTTGATTGGATTGAAAGATGCAAAGTATTGATCCTGGGTGTGTCTGTGAGGGTGTTGCCAAAGGAGATTAACATTTGAGTCAGTGGCATGGGAGAGGCAGACCCTGGCAGGGGCAGCTTGCAGCACAGCTAGGAAAAAGCAGGCAGTGTAATCCCAGCTACTAGGGAGGCTGAGTCAGGAGACTCGTGTGAACCTGGGAGGCAGAGGTTGCAGTGAGCCGAGACTGCACCATTGCACTCCAGCCCAGGTGACAGTGTGAGGCTCTGTATCAAAAAAAGAAAAAAAAAAAAAAGAAAAAAAAGAAAAAAGCAGGCAGGAGAAGGTGGAAGAGCAGACTTGCTAAGTCTTCCGACCTTCATCTTTCTCCTGTGCTGGATGCTTCCTGCCCTTGAATATCAGACTCCAAGTTCTTCAGCTTTTGGACACTTGGACTTGCTTGCCAGAGGGTCTTGGACCTTTGGCCACAGACTGAAGGCTGCACTGTCAGCTTCCCAACTTTTGAGATTTTGGGACTCAGACTGATCCACCACTGGCTTCCCTGCTCCTCAACTTGCAGATGGCCTATCGTGGGACTTTACCTTGTGATCGTGCGAGTCAATTCTCCTTAGTAAGCTCCCTTCCATATATACATATATCCTGTTAGTTCTGGCCCTCTAGAGAACCCTGACTAATACACTAATGTTCTGTCATTTGCAACTTCCAGTAAAATAAAGTACTGTTTAATTATATTTAGAACTTATGACTGGCAATTCTTAGATTGAATCACTCAGACTTCTAAAGATCTGGCGTGTTCTTAAGAACATTAAGTCTTGCAACTTGTATTACAAAACCTCTTTCTAAGTGGATTTGCTCTTTTCAAATGGAAACCATTAGTAGTGCATTGAACCATATGTGGAAATAAATCAGATGGCAGAACATGCTGTTAATTTCCCCAAGACACTGATTTTAAATATTCTTTACAAACAGGTCTAGCTCAACATGCTTGCTTTTCCTTCATGGAAACTGAAATCTCACCTGGCAATAGATTTCAATGTCTGGACACACACGTGACACTTTGAGGAAAGCCACTGAAAACAGCTGCGGCCAAGAAAGTCTTCAGATCTCAAGGCCACAGCTAAGATATAAAGCCAAGGGGAGGAGCCAGCTGCAGGTTCTGTATTAGATGGATCTCCCAGGGGAGGGGCAAAATATCTCTCTTACTGAACTCCACAGAGTGTATTTGCTCTCTAGGTAAAGGTGGGAGGGAAGGGGCCCTAGGATTGTTTGAGATGCAATCTTGAGAGGTTGTGAGATTACACTCATTAAAAAAAATAACTGGCCAGGTGCAGTGGCGCATGCCTGTAATCCCAGTACTTCGGGATACTGAGTTGGATGGGTTGCGTGAGCCTAGGAGAGATCAAGGCTGCAATGAGCCATGCTCACATCACTGCACTCCAGCCTGGGTGACAGAGTGAGACCCTGTCTCAATTAAAATAATGATAATGATAATAATAACAACCTCAGGTGGAACTTGGAAATGGTACCATGAAAGCAAGTATCTTTGAGTTTCTAAGGTAAACACAAAATCTGGCCCTGGAACTCCTAGCAAGCCATGAGATTGGTAACATTGATCCAGGCTCAGACTGATGTTTGTTAGTAAAAAAAAAAAACTCTCTTCCCTTTATTCCTTATTAGTATTATTATTATTTTTTTGGGACAGAGTCTTGTTCTGTCACCCAGGCTAGAGTGCATTGGTGTGATCATGGCTCACTGCAGCCTCAACCTCTTGGGCTCAAGCCATCCTCCCAACTCAGCCTCCCAAATAGCTGGGATCACAGGGGCAAGCCACCACACCCAGCTAATTTTTAAAATATTTGTGTAGACAAATAGTGAGACAGGGGTCTCACTATGTTGTTCAGTTTGGTCTCAAGCTCCTAAACTCAAGTGATCCTACCACCTTGGCCTCCCCAAGTGCTGGGATTACGGGTATGAGCCACCATGCCTGGCCTCCTTATGCTCTTTTAAAACAGGAGTGAATAAAGTCCTGACATGTTCCCAAGCCTAAATTTCCCTCATTATTGATTCTTTTGTTTGAAATGTTTCCAAGATAGTCATCTCTCTAAATTATTTCCTGATTACTCAGACGTGATAAATCATAAAGTCACCTATTTCTTCTAAAGAGATTTGGAGAAGTGTTAAGCGATCAGTTTAAATCCCAAGCAGTGCAACATGAGCTGCTGGATTTGCTAATGATCACTCTAAATAGTGTTTCTTGTAAGCATTGGCAATGAACATGAGAACTCGCTTTATTCATTTTCTCTGATTACAAAGAAGATGAAATTTCACGTAAGTGCACTGTAAGAAGCTGCCCATGTTTCTCCTGTATTCAGATAGTTTCCACAATTCCATTCTCATTCTTAGGGAATCAGTTCTTCCCTTGGTAGATGAAGGTAGTTTCTGTTTAGCGGAGGACTTGGCCCATCTTTCCTTAAGGGATGACAATCTTTGTACCATTGCCACAAGTGAAGGCTTCTAGGACATCTCCATGGATGGAATAAGCCATTGCAGAAGGAAGGACACCTCCTCAGAGAATGGCCTTTGAGGAAGATCCATGGGAAAGAGGGAAAAGGTAAGAAAATGCATATCTACTAGTAACCTTCAGTAACACCAATGGGGTAAACTACAAATCAATTTGAAAGGAATACATTAAAGACTAAATGTTCCAAATCAAATTGGTGCTCAGTTTGTGCACGTAAAAAACTTGTGTGCTAAAGCAGGGAACAGATTTCTGAATATTACTTGCCAATGACAACGTGTACTTGCATTTTTACTCAGTAAATGTTCATTATTGTCAAATGTATCCCCAGGGGCCTTTTAATTTTTAGAAATATAAAAATGAATAAGTCATGGTCTTTGCTAAGATGAGAACACAAATTAGTAAAAGATATTTTAGCAATTTCTTTTCTTTTCTTTTCTTTTTTTTTTTGAGACGGAGTCTCACTCTGTTGCTAGGCTGGAGTGCAGTGGTGCAATCTCAGATCACTGCAACCTCTGCCTCCTGGGTTCAACTGATTCTCCTGCCTCAGTCTCCTGAGTAGCTGGGACTATGGGTGTGCACCACCACGCTCAGCTAATTTTTTGTATTTTTGGTGGAGATGGGGTTTCACCATGCTGGTCAGGATGGTCTTGATCTCTTGACATCGTGATCCACCTGCCTTGGCCTCCCAAAGTGCTCAGATTACAGACGTGAACCACCATGCCCAGCAGTAATTGTTAAAAAAGTGTGGTTTTGGAAATGTGCCAATGTGGAGCAAACACAAATTATACATATGAATTAGATCTAAGGCTTTTAGTGCCCTTACAGTGAAACATTAAGACAAATTTCTCTCTTTTTCTCTCTGTGCAAACTAATATTAATTTGTTAATCTATAATACTCTGATATCAACTGTGTAACAAGATGAGCTCATCTTTATCGACGAAAACATGATGTATTTTTCCATTTTGGTGGTAGCTGACAAAAATGACTAACCTTTAAAGGGTTTATTATGACTCACTGATTTGAGCTGGGTGTATACCAATGAACACTTCACTAAATATTAAGGTAGTTTGAAAAGAAACTTGCTGAAAGACTTAACATCTTTTGCAATAGCTGGTTTACACTCCGTATCTCTACTTTATCCTAGAATGAATATCATACCTGAATCTCCTTTGTAAATATTTACTTGTTCGAGTAAAAGAGAAATAGAAAAAAATTACTTGGCCAGGCGCTGTAGCTCATGCCGGTAATCCCAGCACTCGGAAGGCCAAGACAGGTGAATCATTTGAGGTCAGGTGTTCAAGACCAGCCTGACCAATATGATGAAACCCCATCTCTACTAAAAATACAAAAATTAGCTGGGCGGGGTGGCATGTGCCTGTAATCCCAGCTACTTGGGAGGCTGAAGCAGGATAACTGCTTGAACCCAGGAGACAGAGGTTGCAGTGAGCTGAGATTGCACCATTGAACTTCAGCCTGGGCAACAAGAGTGAAACCCCATCTCAAAAAAAAAAAAAAAAAAGACAAAAAAAAAATTACTCATTCTTTTACTAAGAACAAGGAAGTTTATGACCATAAATCATTTGGTGGCACCAACAGTGACAGACTTCAACTTTTGACGTCAATCTTGAATGTTCAGGTTGGGCTGAGGTGCTGCAAAAACACCATAGGAGCACCAAATCCCCTACGTTAACAAACTCAGGGTGGTATTTGCATGATGAGTTTAGTATTCCACTGCTCAGATGTAGAAATAGAGCCACAGAGAAGTGGAAGCAATCATGAATGTTTTAGATTGAAGACAAGCTCAGAGAAATGATTAAAATTCTGGAGTATTAAGATTCTGTTCTGGCCCCTAGTTCTGTTTTTCCCCTAAATTAGGTCATAGAACATCATTTTGGCCAGAAGGAAAATTCGATTCTTTAGTTTTAAAGCTTAACCCCTACCCCCAAAATGCACAGAAGTCAGATTCTACAACATCAAAACACCATGTGTCAAAGGAAAAACATGTTTAAAAAATTGTTTCCAGATATTATTATTAAATTATTGAATTTAAGGTGCAGTAGAATAGCTGTAGAGCTAAAACATGTAGTATTTAAAAGTAAAATTTAATTTTTATTTGTTCATATTCCAGCCAAAATGGCTGTTAGTAGTAATTTACAGTATATCATAAAAGACTGTATCAAGTGTCAAACTGGAATAGTCACTTATTAGAGTCTAAGGAAAACAAAAGAACTTTGATTATTCAGATTGAATCATGGGATAAAATATTAGCAGCCAGGTCACCTTGATCTCAAGTTATATGAACAGTAGACTAAAGCGATTTGTATTTACTTCCCTTTTCCTCCTCCTGCCTTTTAATATTCAAGACAGACTTGTTTCCAGAGGCTGAATAGAGCTGATGTGTCCAGGGAGTTTTAGACAAGCTCAAGGGGAATTGTGAGCCATGAAAAAATCAGAAGGAGGGCCACTTGCCATTCTCATCTCATTTTAATCATGTTATTGTTCCAAGGATATACACCAAATTTTCAAGACTGTTATTCACCTATTTTTAAAACTATTTTGTAGCTTCTATGCATAGCTCTGGCATCATGCATAGATAAAAACTTAACTATGCAATCCTGCTGGATGAGACCTTCCTGAAGACACACATTCCTTACTCTTTTGTGTTACCATTAAGGCCAATGTGGACAAATTTCCAAAGTGTTCTACAACTGTCTTTTCAGACTGTACTCAAATAGGTCAGAAAGACAAAATTCTTTAATGATGACACTTGTTCCCTGCTTTGATGACAGGAAGTACCGATGCCAAGCAAATAACCACATCTGTACTGTAAGCCTACATTTCATTTAGTGTTTTGAGAAACATAGCATATGTGATTCAGAGTAAAGGCATTTATTATGACACTTCGTCATAGAGAGCTTACCTTGGCAATTTCTGCTGTTTAAAAAAGTGCATTCAGCTTTTAACCCATGGAATTCTGATAGCTCCGATTTTGCCTGTACTAAAATTACTTTCGCACTTCTTAGGGGTTTGAATGTAACCTCCTACATAAATTTTTTGGTGTCCAGAGATTCCATGCCATGGAAAGAGAAACAGACCTATTCTTTTTTAATTTTTGAATTTTTAAATATATTTTGTAATTTTTGTGGATACATAGTAGATGTATATATTTACGGGATACATGGCGATGTTTTGATACAGGCATGCAATGTGAAATAGCACATTACGGAGAATGGGGTAATCATCCACCTCTCAAGTATTTATGCTTTGAGTTATAAACAAGCCAATACATGAAGTTATTTTATTTATTATCATTATTATTATTATTTGAGACAGGGTCTCATTCTGTTGTCCAAGCTGGAGTGCCGTGGCACAATCAAGGCTCACTGCAGCCGTGACCTCCCTGGGCTCAGGCGATCCTCCCACCTCAGCCTCCTGAGTAGCTGGGACTACAGGTGCATGCCACCATGCCTGCCTATTTCTTTTGCATTTTTTGTAGAGACGAGGTTTTGCCATGTTGCCCAGGCTGGTCTCAAAATCCTGGGCTTAAGCAATCCATTTGCCTTCACCTCTCAAAGTGCTAGGATTACAGGCATAAGCCACTGTGCCTGGCCATAAGTTATTTAAAAATATACAATTAAGTTATTATTGACTATAGTCACCCTATTGTGCTGTCAAATAATAAACATTATTTCTAAAAGAATAATGGAAACATAAGATGACAAAATATTTTGTCGTTTTATTTTGACTTCTGGGAGATGCAATGTGGATGTTGAAATTTTGGCATTTCAGAGACATTTAAATGGCTTATGGGATCACAGGGCAGAATATTTTATCCCAAATTTTTACTCATTCAAGTTGTGTTTTTCTATTCAAATATTTAATTTTAAAAATATTGAAATATTTAAAAAATATAGAAAAGGATTGCATTCATTTACTTCATAAATATCTATTGAGAGTTTACTACATGCCAGCAACTGATCTCCATGTTTGGGATATATCAGAGAACCATGTAGACAAAAATCCATGGATTTCTGGAAAATATAACCTAGCAGGGTAGGCAGGTGATAAAGAACAATCGCAGAGATAGTCTTGACTAGATGACAGGCCACGTTACCTAGTGCTCAAGCACTGGGAATTGGATGTAGATGGTCCTATACACTAATGGGCAGGAAGGCAGCATATGTGGGTATAGATGCTAGTGGGCGGTGGATGTGGTGGGGGAGGCTCAGGACCCTCTGATGGCATCATTGCTCTCTGGGAAGTAAGAAGCATGGTCATAAGCAGAAAGCAAAGATAGCAGAGGAAGTGGTGGATATTTGAGGAAAGAAGCTGAAGGTGTGGAAAATTTATTTAGTATAGAAAATGACATAACAGATACTTATAAACAACCCTAAGTTTAAACAGATAACATTTTGCCGAGATACTCAAAGTAACTGTCTGTTGATCATTTACCTTTCCATCTTCTCAAAGAAAAGCACTCTCTCAAAACCGGAGTATTTGATACTTATGCCTGATGTTCAAATTAGGACTGTTTAAGTTGGATTTGAAGCTGCTTATTTCTCTGAGAAACTGAATTCAATATGCTCCCCCCAACCCAGTGCCTTTTATTGCTTTGCTTTTTAAAATTGTGGCAAAATAGACATAACATAATATTTGTAATTTTATTTTTATTTATTTTTTATTGTAAATTGAATATTCTTAATTGTATATATTTATGGGAGACAGTGATGTTATAACTCATGAATACTTTGTGGAATAATTAAATGAAGCTAGTTAATGTATCCATCACTTCAACAACTTAACATCTTTTTTGTGGTGAGAGCATTTGAAATTTACTCTTAGCAATTTTGAAATGTGCAATACTCTATTATTAACCGTATTCACCACACTGTGCAATAGAACTAAAAAAAAAAAAAATCCCACACCATGTTTCTCTTCTGAGATTTTGTACCCTTTGACCATCATCTCCCAACCCACTTCACCTTCAGCCTCTGTAGCCGCCATTCCACTCTCTGCTTCTATGGGTTCAATTGTTTTAGATTCCACATGTAAGCGAGAATATATGGCATTTGTTTTTCTGTGCCTGGCTTATTTCACTTAGCATAATATTCTCCAGTTCCATCCATGTTGTTATTGATGACACAATTTCCTTCTTTATTAAGGCTGAATAATAGTTCATTGTGCATATACACCACATTTTAAAATCCATTTATCTGTTGATTCATGGACATTTCGGTTGATTCATGGACATTTCGGTTGATTCCGTATCTTGGTTATTGTGAACACAGCTTCAGTGAACTTGGGCGTGCAGACATCTCTTGGACAAACTGATTATAACTCTTTTGGGCAAATATCCAGAAGTTGGATTGCTGGATCAATATTTGTCATTTTAACCATTTGTAAGTACAATTCAGTGGCCTCACGTACATTCATAATCTGTGTAACTATCACCACTGTCTGTGTCCAGGACATTTTAGTTATCCCTAACATAAACTCTGTATCCACTAAACAATAACTCTTCTTTCCCCACCCTCCCCTAAACCCTAGATAGTCTCTGTTTTGCTTTCTGTCTCTATAAATTTGCTTATCATAGGTACATCATGTAAATGGAATCATGAAATATTTGTCCTTCTGTCCTGGCTTATTTCACTTAGCATAATGTTTTCAAGGTTCATCCATGTTGTAGTATATGTCAAAATTTCATTACTTTGCATGGGTGAATAATATTTATAGCAGGCTTTTAGTATCATAAAAACTTACTACAATCATCATAGTCTAGTACAGGGGTGCTAAGGACTGCAAAATCATACCGATGGCTTCTATCTTCCTTGTCAGTATTTCCTATTGTCTTTAGTGCAAAATTGTTCTTCCTAAATCCTCTTTGAGCTGTTTCACTGACATCACCTCAAAGCCATACTGAATGTCATATGGTAAGGCAGGATCTTGTTCACTAGCAAGATATGAAGACCTTGGAAGGCTGCCAGGCTCCCAGCTCTGAGGCCCTGCTTGCTGCAAATTATCTCTGCTGGGCTGAGCAGGGCAGGTGCAGAGGAAAAGGGCAACTGTAGATCAACAGCAGCTGCTGCTTGCTGACTGGAAATAGGGCCGGCACAAGCAAAGGGTCAAGAAGAAACATCTTAGGTAATGGTTTCCATAGTTTCCCTCCTTGGGAGGAAATAAATGACAGAGTCACAAAAAGAGAGACCATGAATTACAGGTATTGTACTTTCCATAGCTTTGCATTCCGCAGCTTAAAAACATGACTTTTTGAAGTTTGCATGACTTAGATTTGGCGATCCTAAAGGTTAAAGGCATTTGGTCATTTTTATCTCAAATATCATGTTTTAAAAGAGATACTATCTCATTTCTCAAATATTGTTTCTCAAAAGAACTAGTGCCAGAAAAATATTTTCTAAAATTCTTACAATGAGCAGTATTTCTTTTTTTTTTCTTTTTTTTTGAGAAGGAGTTTCTCTCTGTCGCCCAGGCTGGAGCGCAGTGGTGCAATCTCAGCTCACTGCAACCTCTGCTTCCCGGGTTCAAGTGATTCTCCTGCCTCAGCCTCCTGAGTAGCTGGGATTACAGGCGTGTGCCACCACGCCTGGCGATTTTTGTGTTTTTAGTGCAGACGAGGTTTCACTATGTTGGCCAGGCTGGTCTCAAACTCCTGACCTCAAGTGATCCGCTCGCCTCAGCCTCCCAAAGTGCTGGGATTACAGGCGTGAGCCACTGCGCCTGGCTGAGCAGTATTTTTTTTAATGAGAAAGTGATAATTTAAAAACTCACTTTTGTTCTTGTTGTTAAAATTTAAAGTTTCTTATACTTTCTATATCAGTGTCTGCCTAATTTTTCTGTAGTGTATTACTAATACTAACAACAGTAGGAAACATTTTTTGAAGGCTTAGTATATGTCAGTGTTCAAAGTAGGCATCTTATATAATCTTTACTTAATATTTGTAATTATACGATAAAGTAGAAGTTATAATATTCATTATTCTTATCTTTGAAATGAGGAAACTGAGGCTTAGTATAGGTGACAAAATACATAGCAAAACCATGAGTCAAGGCAAGCTTGGCCAAATGTCAGTGACCTTCTTCTTAGTCACTGCATGCATCAGGTTATCAGATGAGGTTCAAGAATGAAGAGTGCCTTGAAACTATCTGATTAATCCCCCCCCTTTTCAAATATGGACAGTGAGGCCCAGCGTGGCCTCAGCCCTCTTCCACACTTGTTGAGTGGGTTTGTTGCAGGGTGGGAACCAGAAGGGGTCTCCCGTCACCAGAAGACCCTTGTGCTTTCATACAAGAGTGCTTGTATTTTCTTGTAACTGCTTTATATCCAATGGTTTCAAAAAGAAAACTCTTGTAAATACTAAAACACAAAACAATACGTTGAAGAAGAGTGATTTGGGAGGTGGTATCTTTATGACTTTCCTACAAAGTGAAAAATGGGCTTGTTAGTGTTTGCTCACTTCACAACCACATTCAGTGAGAAGAATTTTTTTCTTCATTAATTACATTCTCTATCTATATCCTGTAGCATTTGTATACTATGTGTTTTCAGAAATGGCTAGAAATTCCTTTGAAACAAAACTGAAAGCTAAAATTAAAAATACACACTTCTGCTAAATATGGCCTTCATAAAAGATTCATAAGTGTTGTTTATTTCTGATGCTGATGCCCTCCATCTCTGTATGCCAAGGTAACTTCTGTAACCTCGTATAACACTTCTACTGCCTTGTCTTGTCACGTCTGAAGCCCAGCTCTTTAACTGTAAGAATATTTCCTATTTGTCTGTTCTCTGGCTTAGCCCCATCTGGCTATTGTCTCTGCTTGGAAGGTTTGAGGAAAATTCTGACTATTTTTATATTTCACTTCTATCACTTCTAAATGCATCTTCTTGTAAATACATCTTCTAAATATTTTGGAAGCCATCTCTGGTTTTCTTAAATTTTCTCTTATGCTAATTTTGTTTGGTTCTTCTTTATTTATCTGATAATAACAACAGATTCTTTTTATTTTAAATTGTTCAGTTCAGTAGTTTACAATTTAAAGTTGTACAATCCAGTAGTTTTAGTAGATTACAGAGTTGTGACCACTGTCCCTGCTATCAAATTCCAGGACATTTTCATCACCCAGAAAGAAACCTCATACCCATTACTGGTTACTCTCAAGTCCTCTCTTCCCCTATCCCCTGGCAACTGCAAATCTGCTTTCTGTATCTACAGATTTGCCTATCCTAGGCATTCTGTATAAATGTCATCATATAATATGTAGCCTTCTGTGACTAGCTTCTTTCACTTAGCATCAGGTTTCTCAGGTTCCTTCATGTCGTGATATGACTTAACTTTATCTTATGACCGAATAGTATTCCATTGTATGGATATACCACATTTGTTTATTCATTCTTCAGTTGATGGAGAGTTGGGACTGGTTTCTTTGTTAATAAACTCTCCTGCCTCCTTGATTTCCTCACTCCAATGCATAATCTGCTACATGTCCAGAATTATCTTCTCAAAGAGTTCTGATCATAGCACCCTGTATATGAAAACCTGTGAAAGTTCCCCAGTGGCTCACCCACAGAATGAAGCCTTGCCCCCATCCCCCTACTTCAGTCTCATTGCCTATTCTTTCCAGATGCCCCATGTGGATGAACTCTTATGCCACTCACCTTCCTTGCTTGGGGCCTCTGCCCTGACTAGAATACCCTCTGCTCTCTCCAAGTGGTGAATTCCTCTGGCCTTCCCTGGGAAGCCTTTCCCAAGGCCTGCTGGGAGAAAGCATGATGCCTCAGCACTTTCTACATTTCCCTTAGTGGAAATATTTACTATTCTGTATGGTAATTATTTACCCTTTAATTGTCACTCTACAAAGAGTGTGAGCCCTTTGAGGAAAATGCATGCTTCCTATTTATCTTCCATCTCTCCATGACTTTTCTGTGACCAACCCAAAGCAGTTGTGTAATCAGTGATGATTTAATTAATGTGCATACCTGTGCTTCACCTTGACTTTGAAGTGTTTATGGAACCATTTAATGTTCCTGGCACTCAGTTTCTTTACTGGGAAAATGAAGCCAGCTACTTTGAGCCAGGTGCTCGCGTGGCCCCAGGACAGAAAGCAGAAGTGCGTTACCTCATACTGTGCCTGCTGCCCCACCTTCCAGATGATAACATGTTTTTGCATACTTTATCTTCTTTTGATTGCACACTGTCTGTGTATCTGGCAGCTGTTGTTGCCCTCAGTTGAAAACAATTTGAAAGTGAGACCTACGGAGCTTAAATGAATTTTGCCTGTTTGAGGTCACACAGGTAGAATAAAATCTGTCCTATTTAAGCCACATTCCTAAGGAAGGAAGAGATCCTAAAGGAAAGAACATAAACTCTGCACTGGATAATTTAGCTCCTGAGGGGAAATGGTAGTTTTGCATAGGCTGTGTTTCCACAAAGGAGGAACTCTTTTCTCCCCCAAGTTCTTTTTTCTTTTCAGTATACATGCATGTTGATATAAACGTTCTGTGAGAAACACAGTGTAATAGGCTGAGATTGTCATTTTTTTATTTTTATTTTTTGAGACAGAGTCTCCCTCTGTTTCCCAGGCTGGAGTGCAGTGGCATGATCTCAGCTCACTGCAACCTCTGCCTCTCAGGTTCAAGCCATTCTCCTGCCTCAGCCTCCCGAGTAGCTGGGATTACGGGCGTGTGCCACCACGCCTGGCTAATTTTTGTATTTTTTGTAGAGACAGTGTTTCATCATGCTGGCCAGGCTGGTCTCAAACTCCTGACCTCAAGTGATCTGCCCACCTCGGCCTCCCAAAGTGCTGGGATTACAGGCGTGAGCCACTGAGCTCGGCAGGATCTGAATTTTCAATTCTTTTACTGTTCTTGCTCCAGAGTGATCGACCCCAAACCTGTGAGCAGAGAGAGGATACAACAACCAGCTTAGGGCTTCTGGGCTTACAAGAATCAGGGAGCACAGGGAGTCCAAGTCAGGATTGGGGACATCATTTTCAGGGCCCAGGGCAAAATAAAATGTGAGATTCCTTGTTCAGAAAGTCTTAAGAATCTCAAAATCATGACAGCAGAGCATTAAACCAAGTAAGGGAGACTTCTAATATGGGCATAGAGATTCCTTCTTGTACAGGTCACATGCCCATGAAGCTGGCCCTGGTCAGAATTGTCTAGTCATCCTTTGGTATCTGTGGGAAAATGATTCCAGGACCCCTCCCCTGGTATCGAAATTTGAGGATGTTCAAGTACCTGATATAAAATGGCATAGTATTTGCATATAACTTAAACACATCCTCATGTATACTTTAAATCACGTCTCGATTACTTATAATACCCAATACAACGTAAATACCATGTAAATATTTGTTATACTCTATTGTTTAGGAAATAACGACAAGGAAAAAGTCTGTACATATTGATACAGATGCAACCATCCATTTTTTTTACAAAAATATTTTTGATCTTTAGTTGGTTAAATCCATGGTTGCAGAACCTACAGATACAGAGGGCCAATGTATATTCAAATACACTTTGTTCTCAGAGTCATGGAGAAAACACCACCAACATCAACATTAAGGAATACAGACCAAGACGATTTCTCTTAAAATTCTTTTTTTTCCCCTATAATCTAGCTTATATAATAATTGTACTTTCTATATTCCAGGCACAGTTATAAGTGTTTTACAAATTCTGACTCATGTTTTTCTTCTTGAGAACTCTATGAGGTAGATGCTACTATTATAATACCCATTTTACAGTTGAGGAAACTGAGGCATGGGAATTCACGTAAATTACTCCAAAGTCCACAGAACTTAGCCAGTCTGGCTGAGAGGCTGTGCTTTTAATGACTATATACACTGACTCTCTCAAATAAAAATAAGACATATTTACCTTAGTATATGACTCTGTTCCCAACATATTTTTGGAAGATGACAGTTTTGAAGAGTATCTTCTTTTTTAATCCTCAAAGAGAGAGGATTTAATTAATTACAGGTATCTGTAGAGAACTCCATGAATCCTTCAGGTTCCTGCAACCTAACCCATTTATCTATGATCCCATATGAACTGTTACATCATCTCACTTTTTAGCTCTCTGATTCAGTCACAACTATTCAAAAACACATCTGAGAAAGAATAAATGTCCAAAAATACATCCCTAAAGGAACATCAGTAACTATTACTACCCCCGCTCCATCCCCAATAACAAAGTAGCTTTCAAGAAAAGCTGATAAAACCTTGAGCAAATAAACACACAGCACTTAAGGTAGCTCCTGAGAATACCTCTATACTCACTGCCGAGGGAAACAACTAGCATTTTTGAATTTGAAGAAAAGGTTAAATTGGATCTTGCACCATAAAAGAGAGTAAACCACAAAACGAATCTTAGAAAGCATTTTATTCGAAGTGTTAAAATAAATACAAAGTTACGGTATGTATGTATGTAATAACTTTATATGGAAGCTTCATATAGTCATTCCCATTTACCTTTCATGAGATGTTTGATAAATGTATTGTTTCTTTTTCTTTTTTGAGACAGCATCTCACTCTGTTGCCCATGGTAGATTGCAGTGGCACAATCACAGCTCACTGCAGCTTCCAACTCCTGGGCTCAAGTGATCCTCCTACCTCAGCCTCCTGAGTAGCTGGGACCACAGGTGCATGCCACTGAACCCAGCTAATTAAAAAAATTTTTTTGTAGATATGGGGGTCTCACCATGTTGCCCAGGCTAGTCTTGAACTCCTGGGCTCCAAGAATCCTCCCACCTTTGCCTCTCAAAGCGTTGGGATTGCAGGTGTGAGCTACCACACCTAGCCTGTTTCTGTATTTTATTTGCCTCTCTGTGCACTTTAGCTTCTGGAATGGAAATTAGGATTGTGGATTTTAACCTCACTGATGAAGACAGCATTTTTTTTTCTCAAGGAATCTGAACCGATCCAAACCAAATGATATAAATATATGGAAGAATATAAAAAAAAAACCCTTACTACACAAAGAGAATTTTTGTTTCCCTAAAAAGTGTTTACTTCAAAGCTATTTCTTAAAAAATGCTGAAAGGGTATGGGCGCAGCGGCTCATGCCTGTAATCCCAGCACTTTGGGAGGCCGAGGTGGGAGGATCACTTGAGGTCAGGAGTTTGAGACAAGCCTTGGCAACATGGTGAAGTCCCCGTCTCTACTAAAAATACAAAAATTAGCCGGGCGTGGTGGCGCGCGCCTGTAGTTGCAGCTACTCGGGAGGCTGAGGCAGGAGAATCGCTTGAACCCAGGAGGTGGAGGTTGCAGTGAGCCGAGATTGCACCACTGCGTTCCAACCTGGCCACAGAGTGAGACGCCGTCTCAAAAAAAAAAAAAAAAAAAAAAAAGTTCTCTGACCCTGTCGTGTTTGGGAACCTTATTTGAACAACTTACTGAGTGTAATGGGGTCATGATGGATTTTCCTAGACATTGCTTAGTGCTTCATGGACCTTGCTCCATGATGTTTTGTCAGGAAATGCTGCTCCCATTGGCATGCTTTCTCTCTTCCCGCGGTCGCTGGTGGGCTCCGGGGTTGTACTGGTTATTTGCTTGTTCTCAGGTACATATTTCTCCCTTCTCTTCCCTTCTCAGCAATGCAGCTCTCTCGCCTTATTCTTTCCATGAAAATTCTGCTAATGTAAGACTAGAAGAGAAGATGCCGGGAAAAGCCTGGGTTTCTCTCTCTCTCAATCTTGGAATCTTGGGAAGTGGATTTGTCTTTTCCTCAGAGCAGCTCCCTCTACACTGTCCCTCTTTCCCCCTCCTTTTCTCTCCTTGGTTTTACCCTCCCCCAGCTTCAAATCCCCTCCTTTTGACATAAACTATGCTGCCTTCCATTTTCTGACTAGACCCTGACTAATTCGGGGGTGATCAGGAGCTGTGCTAACCTACACCAAAATTGTCTCTGTTCCTTTTCCTCTGGTCATCACTTTTTTTGAGATTATAGAACAGGGATGTGTACCTTTCACTGTTTTGATGTTTGTGGACAGATATTTTGGCTCTTTAAAAACTTCTGTGAAACATTAGAGAAAATTTCATCTGCTATTGTCTCTTGCAATTCCACTATCAGTGTTTTATTTTACTTTATTTTAAATTGTTAATCAAACTTTATTTTTAATTGTAAATTGTCAACTTATATAAATTTATGGGGTACAAAGTGATGTTATAATTTATAAATATGAAGTGAAATAATCTCTCTTAGCAATTTTGAAAGGTACAACCCTCTAATATAAATATATTCACCATGCTTGGCAATAGAACTAAAAAAACCCTATATTCTTCTGTGAAACTGAGATTCTGTACCCTTTGACTGTCATTTCCCCATACCTTCATCCCTCTCTTCTCATCCTTACTCCACCTCTCTCAACAAGTGCCAGGCTCTTATTTATAAAATGCTCTCATCAGAACTGCATTTTTGCAAAATACCTTTTTTCTAATAACAAGTGTATAAAGAGAGAAACCTACCTACGCACTGACCAACTTCTAACTAGAATAATCCATCCTGATTTCTTACAGCTTCAGGGGTTTCAGACACATAAGCCAAAGGCTGCTTCATCTTGAACTCTCTATTTCTTTCCTTGGCTTGTCACACTCCTTGAAGGAAAGTCAAATGACTCTTGGGAGCAATAGCTATTTATTTATTTCTTGTTTGTTAATTGGAAAAGGTAAAAGGAAAAAAAGAAAAAATAATGTAACAAGCATTAGCACCCATAAGAACATATTAAACTCATAAAATTAAGAAACATTTCTAGTAAAGTTGAAGTTCCCTTGATCTTCTCTCTGATCCTGTTCCCTTTATTTCTTCCCATAGGTCCACACAATGATAATTGGGCATTTTATTATGTCTGCTCATGCTTTAAATTTTGCTACATATATATTTAATACACAGCATATAAATATTGCTTGCATGTGTTTACAAGTTTACAAAAGTGGTGTATCTTGCCAAGATCAGATTGATCTAATCTCTGGGAATAAGAAAGAATAAAATTTCCTGAAATTACAAGCTCTGTTTTAGAAACTGTTCCCTTGAGCAAATTTTAATCTCTAGAGTGATCAGAGTGGCAAATCTTCACTGCAGACAAGAATTCTTGAGATGAGCCTCTTTTTGCCTTAGTGACTTTATGAGGTTCTCTTAGAAAATGACACCAGCTGTGGATTATCTCTTACCTAAGGGCTGTAAACTTGAGAAAAACTTGCTTTCAGAACATTTTCAACAGTAGATTTCTTTCTGAGAAGCTGATTTTTTTTTCTGCATCTATTAAAATCTTCAGGTGGTCACTATAGTGAATAAATACATATTTGCTATATTTTAAATCCCTGGATACAAGATGTCATTGTATTCACAGTTTTATCTGTCCCAATATAGATTTTTCATGTTAGTGACAAAAATTTCAGAAAAAACATTAAAAATGTGAGTTAGTCATAGTATTTATAAATCCATCTTTTTTTTCAGCATGGAAAATTTTAATGATTTTTCAGAAATACACATGGGAATTATAAATTCTTCAAAGGTATACAGTTCTATATGCTTACAGTACCATGAGAAACAGCTGAGTACCTTAATACTTTAATTGGAATGAAATGTCTCCTCACCTTAGGGTGATTTTAATGAAAGCTGGTATGTTAATGAATCTAGCCATTTAGTGGCCACCTGTGACTAAAATACTCAATTACATTGTGTTAGATTTTAGAGTAAGAATTTTATTTCTTTGAAAGTTTAATGAATGCATTCAGTTTCTAATATTTATGGATAATTGGATTGATTGACAATGTCTACTAGTAAAGTGATTAGCCATCCTGGTTTTCCTGGTACCGAGGGGCCTCCCAGGACATGAAACTGTTTTAAAACCATTCCTGGGCAAGCTGGGACGAATTGGCCACCCTACCTATGTAGCTACAATGTGCTGTCTAGGCATGCAGGAGACAGCAATAACTAAGATAATCAAGTCACTGTTCTCATCTAGTGCATGGAGAAAAACAGATGATAGATAAACAATCATGTGTAACATCAGATAGCTATAGGCTATGCAGGGGACTAAAACAGGTTAATGTAATAGAAAGTAGCTGGGTAGCTATTTTAGGTAGAATGTTTGAAAATGGGGAGGTGACATTTAAGCTGAGATGAATGGCATGTAAGTGCTGGTCATATAAAAATAGGAAGAACATTCTGGTCAGAGAGAAAAGTTAGAACACAGTTTATAGGTCAGGAATCAGGTTGGTGTGTTCAAGGAGCCCAGAGGGGTCAATATGCCTAGAGTAGTGCGGGTTTATTAGTGGTCTAGGGCTGCCGTAACAAAAGACCCCAAACTGGGTGGCTTAGCTCAACAGGAATTTATTGCTTCACAGTTCTGGAGACCAGAGTCTGAAATCAGGGTGTCAGCAGGGCTATAGTCCCTCTTAGCTACCAAAAGCTAGGAAGGGCAAGAAAGGATCCTCCATGGGAGGATTGTAGATGCACTGCTCCAATCTCTGCCTTCATTGTCACCTGGCATTCTTTCCGTGTCTCTTTTCTTTGAGACAGTGTCTCCCTCTGTCACCCAGGCTGAAATGCAGTGGCATGATTATGGGTCACTGTAGCCTTGACCTCCTGGGTTCAAGCCATCCTCCTGCCTCAGCCTCCTGAGTAGCTGGGACCACAGATGTGCACCACCATGCCCTGCTAATTTTTTTTTTTTTTTTGAGATGGAGTCTTGCCAGGTTCCCCAGACAGGACTTGAGCTCCTGGGCTCAAGTGAACCTCCCGCCTTGGCCTCCCAAAGTGCTGGAATTACAGGCATGAGCCACTATGCCCCGCCAATGTCTCTGTCTTTACATGGCCTTTTCTTCCAATAAGGACATCAGTCATTGGATTTAGGGCCTTCTGTAATGATGTCATCTTAACTTGATTACATCTGCAAAGACCCTATTTCTAAATAAGATCATGTTCACAGGTATGAGGGTAGGCTGTGTTAGAGATTCAATATGTCTTTTTGGGGGACACAATTCTCTTCACTACAGTGGGCAAAGCCAGAAGTGGCACAAGAGACAGAGATGGAGGCAGGGCCCAGATCATGCAGGTTTTGCAAGGCAAAGTAAGGACTAAAACTCCTGATGGATTTTAAGGAGGAGAGAGATGTGATATCACAGCCAGTTAAAAGTAAGATGACTGCTATGGAGAGATGGACCACGGGATGGTAAGGGCGGAGAGAAAGAGACAGGTTAGGAGAGGGTTGGCATGGCCTGGGTGGTGATAGTGGTGGTGAAGAGGCAGTGAATTGGACAGAGTTGGGATATGATTTAAAGAGAGAACTGCTAGGTTTTCTAGCTTAGAAAGGACAATATGCCATTCCTAGACCCATTCCTCATGGGGTAAGAAAAGATAGCTGCTTCTCTAGAGGGCTGTGGGGAAGGAGGAAGAGATATTTTTATGGAATAAGCAGGTTTCAGATAGGGCATGAAAGAGGAGAGGAGAAGGTTTAGAGAAAAGTTTGAGGATAAAGCAAGTTTCCTGATGATACACTGTACATTCCATAGAATGCACCAACAGGGTTTTAGAGGGTGGAGAGGAAGGGAAATCGGGTCATATTCGTGCATGTGCCTGCTAGTTTGGGTGATGGTGGCTGACAGGCAGGATTTGGGCTGCTGCTGATGACTGAGGTGAAGTGATTGTAAGCATGCTTTTTTAAAGATGCATCATAAGCTGTTTTTTTTCCATAAATGGAAGTGTTAGGGAAACACCTTTAGAAGCAAATGTTGAGAATATGTTAGTTCAACATGTTTATTTCTGCATTGGTTTGTATGAAATAGGTTTACACATACAGCTTTAAAAGGCAAATGTAAGTTTGCTTTCTTAATAATTCATTATAAGCTAAAGGATTAGTATAATAATCTCATAGCGGAAGACAGCCAGTTTAGTGTGTCTCATATGGGAGCCACTGGACAATTGTTTTGTCTTGCAGTTTCCAGAGGCAGAGTGGGCTGGTGAGAGCCAAGGCCTTCTACAGACTCCTTCTTTAGGAGGTTGGGAGTAATAGGCTCCTGGTCAGCTGGCAGAGAGCTGGCATTATCTGGAGCAGGAGGTTAGGCATTGCCTTGTTTCTTGGTGACACAATTAAGCATAGACTATTATTCACAAAAGCCTCTCCCGTTGCAGGGAGCCTCTTCTGCTCATGTGTCAAGTGGTCACGGTGCTAAGGTTTAGTTGCTCTAGACATGTCTACAATTTAGAACTCATGCACCAAAGATGAAAATTCCGTGCTCCGGGACGAACTGCTGTTCCTGGGCGGCCCGGCTAGCTCTGCCTACGCGCTCAGCCCCTTCTCGGCCTCGGGAGGGTGGGGGCGCGCGGGCCACTTGCACCCCAAGGGCCGGGAGCTGGACGCTGCCGCGCAGCCCGAGGGCCAGCTGCTCCGGGAGGTGCGCGTGCTCGGGGTCCCCTTCATCCCTCGCGCCCGGGTGGATGCGTGGCTGGTGCACACCGTGGCTGTCGGGAGCGCGGACGAGGCCCACGGGCTGCTCGGCGCCGCCGCCGCCTCGTCCACCGGAGGAGCTGGCGCCAGCGTGGACGGCGGCAGCCAGGCTGTGCAGGGGGGCGGCGGGGATCCCCGAGCGGCTCGGAGTGGTCCCTTGGACGCCGGGGAAGAGGAGAAGGCACCCGCGGAACCGACGGCTCAGGTGGCGGACGCTGGCGGATGTGCGAGCGAGGA
Organism: Homo sapiens; assembly: GCF_000001405.40. Classification (NCBI taxonomy): domain Eukaryota; kingdom Metazoa; phylum Chordata; class Mammalia; order Primates; family Hominidae; genus Homo; species Homo sapiens. The sequence goes on from NC_000018.10 coordinate 59,969,891, forward strand.
GAACGAGGTACTAAGAGAAAAGCACGAAGCTGTGGATCATAGTTCCCAGCGTGAGGAAAATGAAGAAAGGGTGTCAGCCCTGAAGGAGAACTCACTTCAGCAGAATAATGATGATGAAAACAAAATAGCAGAGAAACCTGACTGGGAGGCAGAAAAGACCTCTGAATCTAGAAATGAGAGACATCTGAATGGGGCAGATACTTCTTTCTTTCTCTCTGGAAGACTTATTCCAGTTGCTTTCATCACAGCCTGAAAATTCACTGGAGGGCATCTCATTGGGAGATATTCCTCTTCCAGGCAGTATCAGTGATGGCATGAATTCTTCAGCACATTCTCATGTAAACTTCAGCCAGGCTGTAAGTCGGGATGTGAATCTTCATGAGGCCATCTTGCTTTGTCCCAACAGTACATTTAGAAGAGATCCAATAGCAAGGACCTCAGTCACAAGAACCATTTCTGCAGTTAAATTCTCATACCACCAATCCTGAGCAAATCCTTCCTGGAACTAATTTGACAGGATTTCTTTCACCGGTTGACAATCATATGGGAATCTAACAAGCCAAGACCTACTGTATGACCTTGATGTAAATATATTTGATGAGATAAACTTAATGTCATTGGCCACAGAAGACAACTTCGATCCGATCGATGTTTCTCAGCTTTTTGATGAACCAGATTCTGATTCTGGCCTTTCTTTAGATTCAAGTCACAATAGTACCTCTGTCATCAAGTTTAATTCCTCTCACTCTGTGTGTGATGAAGGTGCTATAGGTTATTGTACTGACCGTGACTCTAGTTCCCATCATGACTTAGAAGGTGCTGTAGGCGGCTACTACCCAGAACCCAGTAAGCTTTGTCACTTGGATCAGAGTGATTCTGGTTTCCATGGGGATCTTACATTTCAACACATATTTCATAACCACACTTACCACTTACAGCCAAGTGCACCAGAATCTACTTCTGAACCTTTTTCGTGGCCTGGGAAGTCACAGAAGATAAGGAGTAGGTACCTTGAAGACACAGATAGAAACTTGAGCCGTGATGAATGGAGTGCTAAAGCTTTGCGTATCCCTTTTTCTGTAGATGAAATTGTCGGCATGCCTGTTGATTCTTTCAATAGCATGTTAAGTAGGTATTATCTGACAGACCTACAAGTCTCACTTATCCGTGATATCAGACGAAGAGGGAAAAATAAAGTTTCTGCGCAGAACTGTCGTAAACGCAAATTGGACATAATTTTGAATCTAGAAGATGATGTATGTAACTTGCAAGCAAAGAAGGAAACTCTTAGAGAGCAAGCACAATGTAACAAAGCTATTAACATTATGAAACAGAAAGTGCATGACCTTTATCATGACATTTTTAGTAGATTAAGAGATGACCAAGGTAGGCCAGTCAATCCAAACCACTATGCTCTTCAGTGTACCCATGATGGAAGTATCTTGATAGTACCCAAAGAACTGGTGGCCTCAGGCCACAAATAGGAAACCCAAAAGGGAAAGAGAAAGTGAAAAGAAACTGAAGATGGACTCTATTTTGTGAAGTAGTAATGTTCAGAAACTGATTATTTGGATCAGAAACCATTGAAACTGCTTCAAGAATTATATCTTTAAGTACTGCTACTTGAATAACTCCGTTAAGGCTCTGTTTTGAAGCTTACATGGACAGATGTTTAGGACTTCAAGATCACACTTGTGGGAAATCTGGGGGAGCCACAACTTTTCATGAAATGCATTGTATACAAAATTCGTAGTTATGTCCAAAGAATAGGTTAACATGAAAACCCAATAAGACTTTCCATCTTGGCAGCCATCCTTTTTAAGAGTAAGTCGGTTACTTCAAAAAGAGCAAATACTGGGGATCAAATTATTTTAAGAGGTATTTCAGTTTTACATGCAAAATAGCCTTATTTTCATTTAGTTTGTTAGCACTATAGTGAGCTTTTCAAACACTATTTTAATCTTTATATTTAACTTATAAATTTTGCTTTCTATGGAAATAAATTTTGTTTTTGTATTAAAAATTAACTTTTCCCTTTTATACAGAAACCTCAACCAAATTTACCTTACTTTCCTTCCAAAATATCCACTTTCAGGAATATAGGTGAATAACAAATAGGGCAGCATAGCAAATTGCTCAGACTCCAGCCAAATTGAGGTCAACATAGCATGCCCAAATAAGGCAAATCCACCCCGCTACCCCAATAGTTAACACACAGAATACTATGTGATACAGAATGCATTGAAGACCTACAGTCACTGGTAGTTTAAGCCACAGGTCTTCCTCGTGTAACCAGAGACAGAATGGGCTCCTTGCATAAATATAACTCATTGTGTGTATATTAAATCCATAAAATCTCTGGCAGTAAAGCCAGCCTGAAGGGATGGCCTCACCGTCTTAGAACACTGAGATCTCACCAGAACATTGTAAGCCATATAAACAAACAGTAGGGGAAGAGTAAGTAACAGTGAAAACATCTAAAAGATTTAAGTGTTTAAAATGGGCAAAAGCGATTAGGGGAAAAAAACAGGTGAATTTGAAAATAAACCAGGGTAAGGTAAATTCTAGAAACAATGGCATTTGAAATGAAAACCTCACTTAAGTTCACTGGAACAGTAAACAGGAGATTGTTGAGTTTTCTGAAGACAGCAATGACCTCACCTAGATGACTGTCAAGTTTGGGGAACATCAAGATTTTAATGTGTACTATAATGCTTAATATGTCCAAATTTTCAAAATGAAGTTTCTCAGATGTTATTTCTGCCATAGCAGTTACAGTGTAGAGTATCCCATAAATATCTTGGGCTAGAGAAATGCAGTTTATATATACCGTTGGATTTTTATAATAAAGTTTTTTTCCCAAAAAAAAAAAAAGAAAATTCCATCTGTTGGTAAAATAATTGAACACTCTCAGTGTCTTTAAACAATACCCGCTAGTTAGAAAACTTGTATGTTGATTTTTATTGATTATTATTTCGTATCTGATAAAACACCATATAATATGAAGATATAAAATGAAAATAGCTGGGTGTGATGGCATGCATCTGTAGTCCTAGCTACTTGGGAGGCTGAGGTGGGAGGATTGCTTGAGTCCAGGAGTTCTGGGCTGTTGTGCGCTATGCCGATAGGGTGGCTGCACTAAGTTCGGCATCAATATGGTGACCTTCCGGGAGTGAGGCACTGCCATGTTACCTAAGGATGGGTGAAACAGCCCAGAAACTGAGCAGATCAAAACTCCAGTGCTGCTCAATACTGGGATTGCGCCTGTGAATAGTCTCTACACTCCAGCCTGGGCAACATACAGAGACCCTCTCTCTTAAGATAAATATATAAGTAAATAAAAAGGATCATTTCACAATTCTAAGCTTATGTGAATGCATACATAGATTTTTTTTCCTACGCAAATTAATGGTCTTAATGTTTAGACTTCCAGGTCAGCCTAAGATCATGAAAACTCAGTAATAAATCACCGCTACGATGAAAGGGGAAGAAGCAAGAGGAAAAAAAAGTAAATGCTCATTTCTGTCTTGTTTATTATTTTTCAGTTCAAACAGGTTAGAGAGGCCGGGAAGCCAACCAGACCTAGTTGGTATGTCATATATCACATTGCAGTTCATATGCATATTTCTGTCTGGTTCTGTGCAGAGAAGGGAAGACAACAGAGAAAGGAAGAAAACAGCCGGCCTTTCTTCTCCAGCCCCCATTTCTGAGCTGGCCTTAAGGTTGAGGATAAGAGTGAGAATCAGTAGCAACTCCTTTAGGAGTGAACATAGAAAAACCGAAACAGAACTTTTCTTTTTCAGTCACTCCAGAATTAATGCACATAAATCCCTCCCTCCCCAAAAGCATTAAGAAGATTAAGTACTTGGGCTTTTCATCAGTTGCTTTCTTCTGTTCGGAATCATTGTGAACAAGTATGGTGCAAACAAGAAGCTGTCTTTGGACGAAATTCATTTTCCTTTATTTTAGACAAAATTCATTTTGTTTTATTTTAAACAAAACATTCTGACTAGTTTATAATCTACAAAGTATAAAAGTGATTCTTTTTGGTGTACTGATCTGTAGATTTTGACAAATGTAAAGAGTTGTGACAACTACCACAATCAAGATACTGAACCATTCCATCACCCTGTCAGCCCCCAAAATTCTGTCATGCTGACCCTTTATTCAGTCTTTTAAAATAAATTATATTTTTATTTATTCTTAGGCAATTGATCTATGTCAATTGGGCAAAACTGAAGAAAAAATTAACATTTTTAGAAAGATTAACCCCTCTCTATAACATGAGTATAAGAAGTTCTTTTCACTATGGGCCCACGATAATGGGTTTCCACAGTGTAGTGCTTCTCGTGTTCGCCTCACACTATGGGCTCCCCATCAGTCTATCAGCCCCCTCCAGTGTGATCACAGATTGCTTTCTGGATCTAGCAGGATTAGGGTTGCTCTTTGATTTAAGTTGTTGCTTACATCCATAGGACTTCAATTCTCTTTATGTTTCTTCCACTCTTCCTCATAAAGTGGTTATTGATTTCTTCACTATGTTTACTGCTCTTTAAATGTGCTAAAGCAACTCTTAAAACATGGAGCCCAGAATTAGATGCAATGCTCCAGATGTTGATATCGTACATGATGGGCCTAACAAGCACACACTTTCCCCTCCTGGATTCTGAAACGGCAGTAGCGTTTTTATTTTCGGAGCCACAATTCAGTGTTTACTGACTGTGAGTATTCTGGTCAATTAAACAAATGAAAAACATTTAACACATGGCTGTGAATTCATTTTGTCCTTATCCTGTACATGTAGCACTGGGATTTTTACATCCAAGTAAAGGCTTTTATATTTACCCTCACAATGTTTTCTGTGTGAAAATTAGCCATGGGTCCAGTCTGTTAAGATGGGTCTGGATGCTGTTTCTGTGACATTATGTATGAGACATCCTTGCTCATTTGCCATCAAGGATAGCAGGCAGCCAGGATTGCTTGCTCACTGCCTTGTTAGTCTCACATCTCTCTTTAATCTTGATGCTGGCTCTTTTTCGCCCATTTTCTCGTTGCTCATATCTCTTCAAAAGTGAAAGACACCACAGCCAGAGTCAGTAGAAAGAGAAAGGGGACAGACCCAGTGAGTGCTGCTGGACCTGCAGCTCCATGTATGATTTCCTATTTGGGGTCTTATGAGGACACTGAAAACTGGGTCTTCAGCCTGGCCAACATGGCAAAACCCCATCTTTACTAAAAATACAAAAATTAGCTGGGTGTGGTGGTGCGCACCTGTAATCCCAGCTACTCGGGAGGCTAAGGCATGAGAATCGCTTGAACCTGGGAGGCAGAGGTTGCAGTGGCCCGAGATCACAATGAACAAAAAGAGAAAACTTGGCCTTTTCTGGAAAAACAAATGGAGGGGCTAGTAAAAAAAAAAAAAAAAGGTTCATGATTGGGATTATTACCTTATGACGATATATTGGGCAAGCCTCGGAAAGAGCATGGTTTGGACTAAAGAATAGAAGGAACCCTCTATTAGTAACATTTTGTCAGCACATACTTAGTGAGTTGCATTTAAAGGGGAAGGATAGATTGGATTGACTTATAAGGATTCTGGATGCCACTCTTACACGGGCATCAGTAAGAATGCAGAGAATGGCTGGGCACTGTGTGTGGTTCAAACCTGTAATCCCAGCACTTTGGGAGGCCGAGGTGGGCGGATCACCTGAGGTGAGGAGTTCAAAACCAGCCTGGCCAACATGGTGAAAACCCACCTCTACTAAAAATACAAAAAATTAGCCGGGTGTGGTGGCACGTGCCTGTAGTTCCAGCTACTCGGGAGGAGAATCACTTGAACCCTGGAGGCAGAGGTTGCAGTGAGCAGAGATCATGCCATTGCACTCTAGCCTGGGCGACAAGAATGAAACTCCATCTCGGACGGGGGCGGGCAGGTGAAGAGTGCAGAGAACAATGTTTTCATTTTATAAGGCTTGTTTCTAGGACATTTTGGAATTCTTTGCTACTATTCCTTTGATTCTAAAATTTTTGATAATGAAGTGTTTGGATAGAACAGATGTATTGACATCAAAAATATTATTAATGTTTACTCTAATTTTAGAATAATTCATGTTTATTAAACACCAAAGGGATTTCCTTTCTTTTGAAATTATTTCAGATATACAAAGTACAAAAATAAGATAATAAACACTCATGTACCACTGCCCAGATCTTACAAATGACATTGTTGCTACATTTTGCCTCAGATTTTGGAAACACAAAATAAAACATTCCACAGATGTGAACTGAAGCTTGGTCTATATGAAGCTCCCTTTGTGTCCCCTTCAGATTCTTTCCCTGCCCCCATTTTCCACATGTAGCAACATAGCGTTACCATGTTGATTCGTGCAGCTTTTGTTTATTCTTCTTGACTGCTATGCAGTAATTCATTTATGAATATCCCATAATTTAAACATTTCCCTTAGTGATTATTTAGATGAGTTTAAAATTTTTTGATTTTAATATGCTGCTGTGCACATTTTTTACAAGTCTTTGAGGTCACACGTGTTCAAGTTTCTATAGTATATATATGTGGACATGAACTTCTGGATGATGCGGTACAAACATCTTCAAGCTTATTGGACATTGACAAATTTCAAAGTGGTTGTAACAATTTATATCTCCCCAGCATTTATTCCCACAGTATATTTCACATTCTTGCACACCCTTGGTATTGCCAGACTTTAAACATTTTGCCAATCTTACGGGTATAAAGTGGTAGGTTATTTTTATTTTAAGCCTTTACACTTTGTAAATATCAGCTTAATTGAGATATAATTTACATACCATACCACCCACCCACCTTTTTTTTTTTTTTGAGACGGAGTCTCGCTCTGTTGCCCAGGCTGGAGTGCAGTGGCGCGATCTCGGCTCACTGCAAGCTCCACCTTCTGGGTTCACGCCATTCTCCTGCCTCAGCCTCCTGAATAGCTGGGACTACAGGTGCCCACCACCACGCCCAGCTAATTTTTCGTATTTTTTTTTAGTAGAGACGGGGTTTCACCATGTTAGCCAGGATGGTCTTGATCTCTTGACCTCGTGATTCACCCGCCTCAGCCTCCCAAAGTGCTGGGATTACAGGCGTGAGCCACTACACCCAGCCACCACTCACCCTTTTAAAATTATATAATTTGGTGGTTTTCGTTATATTCTCTTTTTTTAAATGTGTCTTTTTTTCACATAAAAGTTTCAGGAAGTAATGTAGTTAAGTTAATCGATTTTTTCTCTTATGATTTATACTTTTTGTATCTTATATAAGATTTCCTTCCTTATCACATTTTTTTTTTTTTAAAAAGAGATGGGGTCTTACTCTGTTGCCCAGGCTGGAGTGCAGTGATGCAATCATGGCTCACTATAGCCTCGACACCCAGGCTCAAGAGATCCTCCCACCTCAGCCTCCCAAGTAGCTGGGACTACAGGTGTGTGCCACCATGGCCGGCTAATTTTTAATTTTTTGTAGAGACAGGGTCTGACTATATTGCCCATGCTAGTCTTGAACTCCTGGGCTTAAGCAATCTTCCCACCTTGGCCTACTAAAATGTTGGGATTACAGACATGAGCCACCGTGCCTGGCCCCTTATCACAACTTTAAAAAGTTATTCTCTTACATTTTCTTCTGAAATTTTTCAAAGTTTGTTTTTCACATTTAGGCTTTTAATTCTCCTAAAATTGACTTTTATCTATGGGGTGAATTTAAGGATCTTAATAATCTCTTTCTATAGACTCCAAACCATGTTTTAAATAGTTTATTTTTTCCCACTGATTTATAATGTTAATTCAGTGTACATCAGATTTCTATATTTACTTTCTAATATGTTTCACCTATGTTTTTTGTCTTTACTACGTCAAGATCACAATGTCTTAATCATTACATTTTACAGTGATATTCCTTAGAATAAGGACTTCCCCTTTCTTTTTCATTAAAAGTGGTTTTGTGGCCCTTTGCTCTTCCAAATGAAATTTAACTTTGGCCTGTCAAGTTCAAAAACCTTAATGAAATCTGAAATGGAATATTAGTAGATTTACAGATTAATTTGGAGAGAATTGACATCTTTATTATATTCCCAGTCAAGAACATGGTCTATGTAATTAAGCTTCCTTAATTTTTGTCTCCACTTACAACATAGGACCAACAGGAGAATGTCAAATATGACCCCTAACCAATCAAGTTAAATGTCAGGAGAATGTCAAATATGACAACTAACCAATCAAGAATGTCAAATATGACCGCTAACCAAGTGCTCTGTGTAGGCACTTAACTGAAGAAAAATCGTAAGATGTACAAATCTGGAAAAGGATACTTTATTTCTTGTAAAGGGTTACAGATAGCAATGTGGCCATTCTGACAGGCTGGGAAGTGTAGTCTCAGGCAAAGACCAGAGACAGGCACTTTGAAGAAGGGGTTGGGTAGGCTTCTAGTTAGTCTACCTGCAGCTTCCCCAGGCCAACAACAGGGTATACCCAAGCCTCCCGTTTTTCCACTATAAAGCTATTCCATCTCTCTGCCTGCCTTTGCAGCTCTGCCAAACACAAGCGATTGCGGCTGGCTCTCTTGCTAGAGCAAGCTCTGAATGAATCACCTTTCCTTGTTCTCATTTGGATGGTCTCCGTTTATTTCTTCCACACAAGAAAGAGAGAAGCACAACAGAGGAACCACTGCTGAGATCTGTAGGATAATGCCTTCTTATACTAACTCCCTCATGGACTAGATCCTGACTGGTGAAGATCCAAGACAGGAGACGTCAACATTCTTGAGGAATAGAGGATGTGTACAGCTTGGCTCTAGATGTTCAGAAGAATTTATTACCAGTAAAGACATGAAAGAAAGGGTGGGTGAATGAGAAGATAGTTCTCTCCTTTATTTGTTTTTCCCTCAGGAGATATGTGAAAGTTGAGGGGGAAAAGGCCCTAGGATAATAGATGGAACTAATAATACTGGACTAGCCCAGACAAGGAGGTGAATTTTTGTTATGAGGTTGATCTTTGCATCCTTTCAGCCGTGTGTTGATTTTAACATCCCTTTGGAAATCCCTCTGGCACATTGTAAGGACCTAATGTATGTTTGCCAAATCTGAATCTGAGGCTACCTGGCCAAGGCAATGTGGGAGATGACTTGAGGTGGCATCAGCCACTTTGGGGTTTCAGAACATGAAAATCAGGCCATTTATCTTTTAGTTCCTCTTCTATTTTCATCTCTGAATAATTTATTCATTCATTTTAAAAATAATATATTTAGTATCCCCTGTATGCTAGTCTCATTAGCCACCTAGAGACCAACTGTAAGTTCTTCCAGTGCTGCCTAACAATTCCAGTTGATCGTGTTTTCTCTTTTCAAGCAAAACTAAATTCTGAGCTAAACTAGATGTCAACCTAAAATGTGAATGGCATTTATCCTTTGTATTACAAACAGTGTAATTGTACACTTTTAGGTATTTTAAAATGTACAATTAAATCATTATTGACTACATAGTTATTTTATGGTCATAATAAAAATTATATAGAAATATAAAATCCATACATTTCTGAGTCACAAAAAATTATTAATAAATATTTGTTATATAGTTCTCTTTTTTAAAAAAGGTGAATGGTTAATGGAATTATCTCTTCTAATGCGTGTTTGCAATTTTTAAAGGGTGGCGTTAGTACAGGTAAATCTCTGGCTTATTCCTGGAACATATTTTGAGCTAAATAGATTTTTTAAAAAGTACCTTACCGCTATGCATCTGCTGGAACATAAAAGTCTGGTACCAGTCATCCAATATCACTTTACTTTTTGGGAAATCCCCACTGAATGGAGCTCTGTTTAGGCACTTAACTAAAAAAAATCAGGCTGGTGTGGTGGCTTATGCCTGTAATCCCAGCACTTTGGGAGGCCGATGCGGGCAGATCGCCTGAGGTCAGGAGTTCGAGACCAGCCTGGCCAATATGGTGAAACCCCGTCTCTACTAAAAATACAAAAATTAGCCAGGCATGGTGGCAGGTGCCTGTAATCCCAGCTACTCAGGACGCTGAGGCAGGAGAATCACTTGAACCAGAGGTTGCAGTGAGCTGAGATGGTGCCATTGCATTCCAGCCTGTGCAACAAGAGCGAGACTTCATCTCAAATAAAAAAAAAAAAAAGAAAAGAAAAATCCTAAGATCTATAAATCTACAAAGGGAGACTTTATTTCTTGTAAAGGGTTACAGCTAGCAATGTGGCCATTCTGACAAGCTGGGAAGCATAGTCTCAGGCAAAGACCAGAGACAGGCACTTTGAAGGAGGGGTTGGGTAGGACCTTTATGATGAACAGATTGGCTAAACATACATATTCAACAGGTTATTGCAGGAGCTATGAATATTCATGAAGGTGATCCTGATGCTTGCATATTGAACAAATTTGCATGTTACATATGATCCGTGTTTACTTTGGGGTGGAGAGTTAACATTTACATGTATTACAAGTAGGCCCCATATGTCAAAAGATCTCTTTAGGACACAAAGGCATTCAAATTCACAGCATCTGTAAACTGACCAGAGCTAGTCCATGGTTGTTGGGTCTTCTGATCTGGAGATATTTACTGTGATCAGTCTCTTGACCACTCCCAGGTGTAGTTACGGCTGGTGGAACAAGGGTTCAGTTAGTCAGCATCTGGTGGTGGATGAGCTGCGATTGTTTCAATAATGCTTATCTCAAGGCCAGTGCTTGTTTAGCTGTTTGTTTAAGGAAAAAGAAAAACCTTGTGGCAGTTAGAAGATAGTTTATTTTTTAAGTGTAGGGCACTGCCTTAGGCTCTGCTTATAATTTGGAATCTTATTGCTAGAAAGAGTCCATGCTGTCAGTCTTATGATCTCTATTTTCATATCAATGCTGGTCAATCCTTGTGTCTAAACTGCAAAAGGGAGGGGATATAATGAGGGTGTCTGACCTCCTGCCCCGTCATGGTGGGGAACTTCATTTTTAAGATTTCTCTGGGGTCTCCTTGGCCAAGAGGGGGTCCCCTTGGCCAAGAGGGGGTCCCCTTGGCCAAGAGGGGGTCCATTCAGTTGGGTGGGGGGCTTAGAATTTTATTTTTGGTTTATAGGGAGAAACCTGGAAAGCGAGTCTCCACGGGCATAATACGTACTGAATCCCCGTACAAGAAATGCAGAGTTCAGGGGCTTGTGGCTTAGATTTGGGTATGTGATTGAGTGGAGGTGATACAGGGCAAGTGAGCCCCAAACTGGAGCTTAGACAGTGAGGGTTCTTGGCTTTGTCCAGGAAAGAATTCAAGGGCAAGCCAGAGCTAGAAGAAAACAGCTTTATTGAACAGGCAGTGTGACAGCTCCGTGACTGTTCCTGCAGAGCAGGGTCACCCCACAGGCAGAGTAGCAGCTCAGGGCAGTTTTGCAGTCATATTTATTCTCACTTTTAATTGCATGCAGATTAAGGGTCGTTTTATGCAGGGAAGGGGTAGTAACTTTTGGATCACTGGGTGCCATGGAAAGGGGGGTAACTGCCAGGTGTTGCTGTGGTAACAGCAAACAAATATGGCACACTGGTGGGAGGGTCTGATTGAAAGCTGTATTTGCCCTGCCCTGTTTTAGCTAGTCCTCAATCTGGTCCAGTGTCTGAGCCCTGCCTCTCGAGTCCAGTCCCTCCTGCTACTTCAGAGATGAGGCTTAGAAAGGGACTCTTAGATGAAGAGAGGCTTAATAGAACAGGCTTTGAAAGCAGAAATTCAGGACACAACAATCTGAACAGGGAGGTCAAAGTGGCATGTGAAAGTGCCATGAAAGAAACATGAAGTGTTAATTTTAGTTCGCTGAGAACAGTGAAAGGTGTTGAAAAGCCATTACCCTTAAAATAATAATTTTCTTTTTCCTTTGTTTTTTAAAGATCAATGACTTTTTTCCAGAAAAAGAAGGAAATTCCTGTATATTTTAGTATGTCCAACTAAAAGCATGCTCAATATATGTTGACTTAATCAATTTATCAAAGTTCATTAAGATTCCCTCCTGCATTAAATAACATGCAGGTTGAAACTCTCACTGCACTCAGATTTTGCTAATGTTTTCTTGTTCCCTAAAGAAAAATAGGCAATAAAGAGATAGAAATATTCCTGTTTTAAGTTAAATCTCAATAATGTTGTCTTATGACTTTTGAATACTTTTGAAATTACAATCCCTCTTTCCTACTATAATGTGCAAAGGTATTTTGATTCTGTGGTGATAGAAAAAATAAAATTTATAAAAATAATTCCTCATCTTTATAAGGAGTAGCTTCAACTCTCAGAATCGTTTTTAAGCTTTTGTTAAAAAGTTACAAAATAGTTGGACACACTTCAAAACAGACCCAAACATGTGTAAGCACATTTATAATTTTCTCATGAAAGTCTACACATCATCTAAAGATATGCTCTTTAAGTGTAGTGTACCATTTTCTTTTTTCTTTAAATTTCAATAACTTTAGGGGTACAAGTGGTTTTTGGTTACATGGATGAATTGTATAGTGGTGAAGTCTGAAATTTTAGTGTGCCCATCCCTCAAGTAGTGTACATTGTACCCAGTATGTAGTTTTTTATCCCTTTCCCGCCTCCCACCATTCCCCATTGTGAGTCTCCAAAGCCCATTATACTATTCTGTATGCGTTTGCATCCTCATAGCTTAGCTCCCACTTCTAAGTGAGAACATATGGTATTTGGTTTTCCATTCCTGAGTTACTTCACTTAGACTAATTACCTCCATTTCCAACCAAGTTACTGCAAAAGACTTTTTTTTTTCAGCTGAGTAGTATTCCATGGTTTATATATGCCACATTTTCTTTACCCACTCATCAGATGACGTGCACTTAGATTGGCTCCATATCTTTGCAGTTGTGACTTGTAGACTGGTACTGCAATAAACATATGTGTACAGGTGTCTTTTTAATGTAGTGACTTCTTTTCCTTTGGGTAGAGGCCAGCGATATGGTTTGGCTCTGTGCCCTCACCCAAATCTCATCTTAAATTATAATCTCCATATGTCTAGCGAGGGAGGCAATTGAATCATGAGGGCCGTTTCCCCTATGCTATTCTCACGTTACTGAGTGAGTTCCCACAAGATCTGATTGTTTTAAGTGTTTGGTAGATCCTCCTTCATTCTTCTCTCACCTGCCGCCATGTAAGATGTGCCTGCTTCCCCTCTGCCATGATTGTAAGTTTCCTGAGGACCCCCCCATCCATGTGGAACTTGAGTCAATTAGGCCTCTTTCCTTTATAAATTACCCAGTCTTGGGTAGTATCTTCATAGCAGTGTGAAAACAGACAAATCCAGCCAGCCTAGATAACATAATGAGAGTGAAGAAGGGAAGCCTAGGCAGGTGAGAAAAGCGAGGCAGGTAAGGCAGGTAAGCAAGCCTCTAGGCAGGCCAGGCAGGCCAGGAAGACCAGGCAGGCCATGCCAGCAAGAGGCCATGCAGGCCAGGTAGGCAAGGAAGGCAGAAAGGAAAACATGTATGGTTTCACTTACCTTCTTGAACATATGGAGTCTATTTAGGGTGGTTGTTACAATATCCTTGTTTGCTTCTTCCATTATCTCTGTCATTTCTGTGTTTCTATTTCTGATTTTTATTTTGGTTGTGGGTCATATTTCTGGTTTATTTGTACGTCTAATACATTTTAAATTTGTGCTTGACTTTGAGTATTAGTTATTCTAGGGCTATTTTAGACTCTCTTTCTTTCTTTTCTTTTCTGCCTTCCTTGTCTGCCTGGCCTGCCTGGCCTGCCTGCTTAACCTGCCTGGTCTGCCTAACCTGCCTGGCCTACTTAACCTGCCTGTTCTTCCTGGCCTGCCTGGCCTACTTAACCTGCCTGACCTTGACCTGCTTGGCTTTTCTTACCTGCCTAGGCTGCCCTCCCTCCCTCTCACTGTGTTGCCCAGAGCCTGGCCTCAAGCTCCTGGGGTCATGCAATCCTCTCACCTTGAGCCTCCCAAGTAGCTGCGCCTATGGGCATGCACCACCATGTTCGGCCCAGTCCCGCTTTTAAGGTAACATCTTTCTGAGGTTTCTACTGAATGCCTGTGTATTCAAGAAGACCCCATGCAAACCGCCATTCCAGCTGGAGGGAATCAAATAATTCCTGGCACTGTATAAGCTTTGGAAATTGTTCATCTTACATCTCCCTTGTAATTGTTTTTTCCCGTGGTAGTTGTTGTTCCCTGACCTTGTGATATTTCCTCTTATGTATGTACAGATTGGAATTCAGCCAAAGACCGAAGTAGATCTCTATTCTATGGTTTGAATAACATTTACTTGGTAGGCTGGGGCACAAATTAGTGCATATGGTCAGTGTGTTAATTTACTAAGCAAGAACCTTTTGACATCCACTGTGTGTATGGTGCTATATTAGGCTGCCTTACACTCAAAGAAATTGGCCAGATATACCATGTGACATATGGAAGAATTGGCTTTGTTTTTAATAACCACCACCACCTCCCCTGGGGAAGTGTCTTTTGATGTTCTCCAATACCTGTGTCGTGTTTAATTACAGGAGGAGAAATACAAAACAACAACAACAAAACAAAACAACCCCCCCCCCCCCGCCCCAAAAGCAGGCAGGTCATAAAGGATGGATTGAAAATAGCCTGCTGACAATTCTTCCGTGAGAATTTCTGTGACTCTCTTTCTACGTCTCTTCCTTTGGATAAGTTTACTTATTTTTATACAGAACTAAAAGGAGTGTGATTGAATTACGCCACTCTTTGATTCAGCTGGCAGTGGCAGCACAGTGTAGTAACTGGCAAGGACTCTCAAGTTGTGCTACTCAAAACACATGATCCCTATATGCTCCCATTAATAAATTCTGGGAAAATCAAACATTTTTATGTCTTAGCATTGATTTGGAAACCATCTGTGGTGCATTATTTACAAGTGTTTATTTTTAATTAACTATTTTTGCCTTTTTTTTTTTTTTAAATTGGAAGAACCTCTTAATGACTTGAAATCCAGTTTGAGTCACCTCTTTAGTCATTGTTACATGTGGTAAGGGAGTGAGAAAGGCTCTGGATTCAAATGCCAGGTTGGAGTCTCAGCTCCACCACTTGTGTTCATTATTTGGCCTCTATGAACTTCGGTCTGCTTCTTTAAAAGGGGTAATAATGGTACTGTATTATAAGATTGTTGTGAGTACTGAATGAGATAATCCATGTAGGGCATTTATTATTATTATTATTTTGAGACAGGGTCTTGCTCTTTTGCCTAGGCTGGGGTGCAGTGGCATGATCACAGCTCACTGCAGCCTCAAATTCCCAGACTCAGGCGATCCTCTCATCTTAGTCTCCTGAGTAGCTGGGACTACAGGCAACTGCCACCATGCTTGGCTAATTTTTGTATTTTTTGTAGAGATGGGCTTTTGCCATGTTGTCCAGGCTGGTCTCAAATTCCTGGGCTCAAATGATCTGCCCACCTCAGCCTCCCAAAGTGTTGAGATTACAAGTGTGAGTCACTGCACCTGGCCAATGTAATGCATTTAGCGTGATTGTGACCACGTAAGTCATCATGGGCATGTTAGCTATTAAGATGATTTAAAAATGATCACATCTTAGTTCTTGCAATTTTACACTGAAATTACTATAAGTAAGCTTCTCCTCACGTGGAAGTCATTAGCTTTACCTGTAAATATGATTGCGGCATCTGCCTATGTTTGACTTTGTAAAGTTTGATTCTAGGTTAAGAGAGGATGACTCATGTCTAAGCAAGCAGTCTCCATTTGAGGCAAGGTTTTTTGTTTTTGTTTTTTTTTTGAGACAGAGTCTCGCCCTGTCACCCAGGCTGGAGTTCAATGGCATGGTCTCGGCTCACTGCAACCTCCGTCTCCCAGGTTCGAGCAATTCTCCTGCCTCAGCCTCCCGAGTAGCTGGGATTACAGGTGCCCGCCACCACGCCTGGCTAATTTTTGTATTTTTAGTAGAGATGGGGTTTCATCATGTTGGCCAGACTTGTCTCAAACTCCCGACCTTGTGATCTGCCCGCCTCACCCTCCCAAAGGGCTGGGATTACAGGCATGAGCCACCGCGTCTGGCCAAGGAAAGGTCTTGAGTGTGCTACACTTGCCTGTGTGAGACTCCTGGTACTCCCTTGCAGTAATGAGTAGATTCGCCCGCAGGTAAAACAAAACCGAATCATCAAATTTGATGTAGTAGATTTGTATTGAGTCAATGAAGCTAAGCTGGAATGATAGTTCCCTGAATTCCCTTCCCTGCAGAGTTTCCTGCATAGTTAGTGTGGTCCAGAAGAGACACTGATGTACGAGATTTGGAAGGCGGAAGAGAAGCAGCAGCATGTTGCTTTTATGCTCAGAAGGTGGGTGCAGGGCCCGGGACCTGTTCTGCTCACGTGTGTGATTGCACCTCTGTTGGCCGCCCTGGGGACATGGGCAGCAGCTGGCCTCACAGCTGCTCCAGCTTCTGTGCCCAGGGAGTGTGTTTACCTTTGTGAGGACGAGTACCAGCAGGTCACGTTCCTCGCTGAAGTTGGGGGCACTGAGAGACTGAGGTGGGATTCGGCCTGGCCACGTATGTTCCACCTTGTCCTTGTAGGCCATGGTTTCTCCTTGCTTTTTCCTACTCACGCCCATCTTTTCTTCTTTAATGACAGACCCATTCCCTCCAGGGCCTGGATACAGAAACAAAAGCCCCGTAAACTGCTTAGTCAACTCCCACAGTTCTGTGGGGTCAAATCACTATAATGAATCCCACTCTTATGAGTTCTGCTTCTTTGCTGGAACCCTGATTGACACCGGGTGTGATAGCATTTTAGCCTTCAGCCATTGGTACTGAGTCCTCTTGAGAAGAGCGTTGTGTGTGCACATGTGTCTTATCAGGTATTGGTAGGAATTTAAAACATAGAGATGCTCATAGGCCAAGCAAATATTGCTCAGTTCCATTAAATAATCCCTGGAGCAATTTCTGGTCCTATCATGAGGGTCAATAAATAGAATGTTGGAGTTTTTGTTTCTTCTTTTCCTTTATCATCCTCTCTTTACTTTTCCAAGTTGCCTCCCACCCCCACTTTTGCCCCAGGTCTGTATTTTAATTAATTAGTCAAAATTTTCATTGAGTGCCTACTGTATCCATGCTGTATATGTGGGAATGTATCAGGCATTGTGCTGGGTACTATGGATAGAGTAGAGAACAAAATGGAAATAGCTTAATGTTGGTCCTCTTGGAGATAGGTGTGAAACAAACAAGTCAACACAGGGATACGTAATTGTAATTTCCAAAAGAACTATGGAGGAAAAGTTACCTACAAACATATCTAAGTTACCTTCTTGACACTCAAGGTTCCTTGGTACTATAGCCTGAATGTTTATATTCCCTCCAAATTCATAGGTTGAAACCAAAACCAGAGTGACAGTATTTGGAGGTGGGGCCATTGGGTAATGATTACGTCATGGTGGCGGAGCCCTCATAAATGGGATTGGTGGCCTTATAAAAGGGACTCTAGAGAGCTCCCTTGCCCTTCTGCCATGTGAGGACACAGTGAGAAGATGCTATGACCAGGAAGCAGGATCTTAACTGACATCGAATCTGCCTTAATCATGGACTTTCCAACCTCTAGAACTGTGAGAAATAAATTTCTGTTTTTTGGTAAGACACCCAGGCTATGGTACTCTGTTAGAGCAGCTGGAACAGCCTAAGATAACTGGTCTTATACAATATGTAGGAAAGGAGAATGTATAAGAATGGCTACCAGGAAAGGTATCTGCACATCAACATTTTTCAGTGTTTAGCAGCCCACAAGGTTGCAGTCTATATGGTACAAACAAAGCCCTGGAACCTTATACTCCCCAGCACAGTTATCTTGGAAACTTCTATCAAACTGAACTATATGAATCATACATTTATTTTTGTTTGACAATTCAGAGAATGTCTTCATATCTTTTCCTCCATTAGCGTTAGGTGATCATGTGAGCAACCCATTTCTCATAGGGCTAATTTATAAGTCTTGATTTATGTTATGCTAGATAACAAGTTTTAATTATAAATAGTAATAGAAAAAGCAGGTCTTTAATTTTGAACTGTCACATGACTTAGGTCACCATCCTCAGCTTTGTGGTAATCTACCATGCCCATCACCTTGTAAGGGATCGTAAGAAATTCATTCCCAACCTTGGTGCTCTTCACTTTCTCATTTTGTCCAAGCTTCTCAAGTTGTATTTTTTGTTCTGTAAATAATTTTCGTCAATATATTTTCTTAAAAAATATAAGGCCATTAAAAAAAAGACAAAGCAACACTCTAAACACAGCAATTATTTTTCTATCTTCAAATTAATTTCCAGTCGTTTTCACACAGGTACATATTTCTTACATAAATTAAGTAATTTGCAGTCTAGCTGAAGAAACATACAGGGAGAAGTTACTGCTGCTGTGCAGTAGATGGCGCCAGACACCAGGTTACTAATCAGCCTGTATTTAAATTAAACGTCTTTAAAATTGCTGAATAAATTTCATAAGTTTGATAACATCTTACTCATTTTAGTTGAGGAACATCAAATTGGCTTAGATTACATTTTTTGTCCAATTGTCATATAGTCCAAAGTTTAACATTTTAAAATGTCATATTGTGAAAAAGTGCTATTTATTTTGGGGAGAATTTTTAAGGGTTTTTTTAAAATTACACTTGTAGAAATTCTATAAATAAAAGTATGCTTAGAGGCAATTATTTTATGTGCTAAAAATTACACATTTATAGTGTTTAAAATACTTTTTGAATTATAGTAGTAAAAAATTGCCTGTTAGGCTGGGCACAGTGGATCATGCCTGTAATCCTAGCACTTCGGGAAGCTGAGGTGGGAGGATCGCTTGAACATAGGAGCCTGCAGTGAGCTATGGTTGTGCCACTGCAATCTAGCTTGGGCCACAGAAAAATACCCCATCTCAAAAAACAAAACAAAAAAATGCCTGTAATCTGTGTGTTGGTGAGGCTGATTTTACTAGCTCTTAAAAAAGGTTTTGTCTTTTATCACTATTCATCTTTTAATACTATTCTCAGGGAGTATTGTGTGTAATGGAGGTGTTGTAGGCAGATGAAATAAGGTGCTGACTTACTTTGTAGGTGGTTAATAGTTTCTTTTTGTAGCAACAACTCAGAATGGGGAGTTTTTAGGTGAATGTCAAGCTTTGGTAATTGAACAGAACCAATCCAGTAATTATTTCAAGTTAGCATTTTAGCCCATCAATGTAAATAATGCTGGATTAGCAACATGTTCCTGTTTTTTACATAATGGAACAGTGTTTCTGTTAGGTATGAATATCCTTGGAAAGTGATATTTTGCACATCTTTAAAAATGCGTGGCTTTATGCGTGAGCTTAGTTCTTAGCTTTATACACACAATATACATATTTCTATTTTGGGTAAAGTTAAAATAACCAAAATAATTAATTATTCTGGCCTTTTTATGTGGCCATTTGACTCTTTTAAGTGTGTTAAAATATTTGCTTTACAAGTAGCTGGTCTTTGCTTATGTTTAGATAAGTACCTGTGTTATTGCCCTGTTCATTTAGTAATCTAAAATTCTAAGCCAGGGGAGCCATCACCAGGTGATACGGTTTGGCTCGGTGTGCCCACCCAAATCTCATCTTGAATTATAATCCCCACATGTCAAAGGAGGGGCCTGGTGGGAGAGATGATTGAAAAATGGGGTTGGATTTCTCCCTTGCTGTTCTCATGATAGTGAGTGAATTCTCACAAGCGTTGATGGTGCTTCCCCCTTCGTGTACACTCTCTCTCTCCTGCTGCCATGTAAGGTGTGCCTTGCCTCCCATTCCATCATCACTGTAAGTTTCCTGAGGCCTCCCCAGCCATATGGGACTGTGAGTCAACTAAACCTTCTTTTTATAAATTACCCAGTCTCAGGTAGTTTTTTTATAGTAGTGCAGAAATGGACTAATACACCAGGGGTCTTATAGTTAGTTGTTTCTTAGTAGATATTCTCATTTATATCATGTGGGGATTCACTTTGGTACATAATTAAATTTCCAAGAAAACTGAAGCTTTTTTCTTAGCCAAATATATAAACTTAAAAAAATTTCTATTACTTGGAAATTTCTTAGACATCTTCTTCCAAATTACACTAAACATTTGACGATCTCTTTCTTAATGAGATGTTTTACTTTATAGTGCTAGTCATTATTTTATTTTTTGCTGCTTGCTTCTAAATGGAATATTCCTATGGAGTGGCTGTAATTCATCGTTTCTTGCATTTTATCATTTAGATAACCTAAATACAAAAAAATTATCAACCACTGTAGCATGGATATAGATATCAGAATGGATGCTAGCTGAAAACACCTGCCTGATCATACCAGCATCTCCTAGTTAAATATTGGCACCTCCATTTACTTCCTCTAGTCTGACTCTCTGTCCAACAAATGGCTTTCTGATGACTAATTTGGATCGCAGGTACTTTGATTGGTGGAAGAATATGCTCTGGAGATGGAATATAAATATTCTGGTTACCACTGTAAAGGTGCATCCCCCTTCACTGTAAATAAATGAGTTGGCATCCAATCTATTGGTGACATGAGAGTTTAGTAGCTGATCTGAAAAGCTGAGGATCAGCTACATTATGGCCAACCCTCCAAGCTGGGAGGCTCTTACAGAGAAACCAGCCCACCCTTCTCTGCTTGTCTTGTCCTGCTGTATCTTTCACATCTCTCCCTTTCACTCCAATGCTATCATCAGCAGAGAGTGAGAACATCTAAACAATGTTTTAATGTGGTCTCAACATTGACCACAAAAAAAAAAAAAAAGCCATTTGGGTTTTGGATAAGAGCCCAAGTTTTAAATCATTAAACTTCTCCATTTCAAAGTGAAGAAGTTTAATGATTTAGTCTCAGACTAGCATGATTGCTGATAGTATGAACTCTGCAATTAAACTTTGTGGATTCAAATATTAGCTTTCCCACTTACTAGACCTATGAGCCTGCTTTCTTCCCTGGAAAATGGGGATAACAAAAGTTCTTAATACAGAGACTTTTAGGAGCAATAAATACATTCAAGATTCCAAAATAGAACTTAGCATATCATCACTATTCAGTGAAGCTTCACCATAATTACCTTTGCTGACCTTGGTTGGGGTTTTAGCACTGCTCAAGTGCTAATCATTCCTTGTGGTAGTTATTTTAAAATTTTCACACTTTGCTCAAGCTTTTCTCTCTCCAATTCCATCCCTTTTTCCTGATTACCATGTCTCCTTCTTCACAGATAAAATATAAACGACTGAATGTAATCTTTCCCAGCATCCCATCATCTGTAGATTTTTTTGCCACATATCCTTTTAACTAAAGGATTGTTTCTCAATGTATGGTCACTAGACCAGTATCATCATCATCACCTGGGAAACTGTTAAATGGCAGATTCTGGGGCCTCATTGCAGACCTACTAAATCAGATTCTCTGGGGGTAGAATCCAGGGATCTATGATTTAACAGAATCTCCCAGGGAATGCTAAAGTTTGAGCATCATTGCTCTAAAGCTTGGGGGTCTGACATGCAGGTCCACTTGACCAGGTCATTCTCTCCCTGGGAGTAGACCTTTAGCTTTATACACCAAGAGAAATAAAATCGTTTCCCTGTGATGTCTGGTGTGAACCATGGGGGTTTAGAGGAATCAAATGATGAATGGCAGGCTTAGCTTGGTTCATCTTTTCACAGTAAATCTAGGATGCCAGTGGAAGTAGACTGTGCAGAATCCATTGGAAAAGACTTTTACTGGGAGTACCTTGGGGTCACGCTGACAATATTTGCTTCAGTATCTCTTTTTTCATTAGTACTTCCATGGCTTTTAACTGAGATATTTCTGCTTTACATATACATATTTAAATTTTTTATTTTTAATTATTATGGGTATCTAGTAGCTGTATATACTTGTGGGGCATGTGTGATGTTTTTATTTTTATTTTGTATTTTAGAGACAGGACCTCTCACTATTTTGCCCAGGCTGGAGTGCAGTGGCATGATCATAGCTCACTGCAGCTTCAAACTCCTGGGCTCTAGAGATCCTCCTGCCTCAGCTCCCCCAGTAGCTGGGACAACAGGCATGTGCCACTATGCCTGGGTAATTTTTATTTTTTAAGATTTTTTTTGTAGATATGGGGTCTCATTATATTGCCCAGGTGAGTCTCAAATGCCTGGCTTCAAGTGATTCTCCCACCTTGGCCCCCAAAATGTTGGGATTACAGGTGTGAGCCAGCAAACCTGCCCTAATGTGATGTTTTAAGATCCCTCTTTACATATATTAATTCATCCAATCAGATTACCCACTGAAAAGGCATATTCCTCTCTATTGTAAATGAAGGAATTGGCATTCTACCTATCGCTAACACAAGTTTGGAACCTATTTCCTTTTTGTATCGATTTGAAAGCTTAATTGCAAGAGCGCAATCTTTTTTTCCCCCCACACTTCCAAGCTCTTAAGTAAAGTTTCCATGATAACAAGGGATTAAATTAGTGCCAACAGACAGGAAACCATGCCAGCAAATAATAATGTTTTACTTTTCTTCAAGGTGGAGAAAATAAGGATACCTTAATATCTGATGCTTCTGTGATCAAATTAATATGTATTCTTGGGAATGGGAAAATGCCATTTTCTAATCAGGTTTTGAGTAATTAACCCACTTACTATCTATTGTCTCCAAAGGAGATAGAAACAGAAAAACCTCTCTCTATGTTAATATCAAACCCAGTGGAAGAAAAGGAAACAAGAAAGGAAATTAGGAATTATTTACAGATGCAAAGAGTAAACATTTTTGACAGGGAACTTCAATGAATACAAGTGGAAGAAAGAAATTTTGATGAGTGCCCATAATTGTGCCAACTAACCTCTGATTATGTGTACTTGTTTTACAATAAGAAATTCATTCTGAGTGAGCCTGTTTCCATGTCTTTAATATTTCTATATTATGTCTCAATATTCCCTAAAGTTCTGCAGAAGAGTTCCTGCCTGTGATGGATACTGTGGTTGGCTTCCTCATTACCCCTTCCGACCCTCTTTCCCCATTTCCCTCTCATTTTACAGTCTTGAAAGCTAAGATCCCACTTCTGGCTCTCCTTCAACTTGGGTGGCCGTGTGATATAGCCTGGCTCTTGAGGGATAAGTTGGAGTCTTCCACCGGGGGCTTCTGTGCAAGTCTTTGCTTTTGGATATAGATGTTTCCCCTTTCTGACTCGATTCTTCATCTCCTGCTGGGAAAATGGTCTCAACTGCTGCAGCTTCACAACCTGCTTGCTACCTGGTATGGTTTGGCTGTGTCCCCACCGAAATCTCATCTTGAATTGTAGTCCACATAATCCCCATGTGGAAGGGACCTGGTGGGAGATAATTGAATATGGGGGTGTTTTCCCCCATGCTGTTCTCGTGATAGTGAATGAGTTCTCACGAGATCTGATGGTTTCATAAGCGTCTGGCATTTCCCCTGCTGGCACTCATTCTCTCTCCAGCTATCCTATGAAGAGGTGCCTTCCACCGTGACTGTACGTTTCTTGAGGCCTCCCCAGCCATGTGGAATTGTGAGTCCATTAAACCTCTTTTCTTTATAAATTACCCAGTCTGGGGTATTTCTTCATAGCAGCGTAGAATGGACTAACACACTACCATTAGGAAGAGGCCAGATGGCTATCAAGCCTAAGGCCTGATATCTTTGAGCTGCTGAAACAAAGCCAGCAATTGTCTACCTCATGATCATAAGTGCAAGGAAAGAAAATCATCACGTGTTTAAACCATCATTATTTGGGTTTTCTGTCACTTGGAGTCTACCTGATACATGGTCTGTCTCAGTGGAACTAGGATAAAACAAGTTTTTGATAAATGAGTCAGAGTGGAGATAGCAATGAGACAGAGACAGATTCAAGAGAGGACAGCCCTGGCACGGTGACTCACGCCTGTAATCCCAGCACTTTGGGAGCCCGATGTGAGCAGATCACCTGAGGTCAGGAGTTCGAGACCAGCCTAGCCAATATGGAGAAACCCTGTCTCTATTAAAAACACACAGATTAGCTGGGTGTGGTTGTGTGCATGCCTGCAATCCCAGCTACCGGGGAGGCTGAGGCAGGAGAATGGCTGGAACCTGGGAGGCAGAGGCTGCACTGCAGTGAGCCGAGATTGTGCCACTAAACTCCAGCCTGAGTGACAGATTGAGACTCCATCTCAAGAAAAAAAAAAAAAAAAAAAAAAAAAAAAAAAAGAATTGAGGACAAAAAAGATAAACTTAAGGTGAGAGTTTAGGAAGTCAGGGAGAAAATTGTCAATATGTTCCTCTCTGAGATGATGCATTATCTGCTCTGATATGCTAGTCCGATAGATAATAATTTCATAGAAATGTTATTTTCCATACAGGCTCAAAGAAGGCTACCAAAAGTTCGTGTTAGAATATGTGTGAGCCTCTTGCACAGTTTCTCAATGGGGTTGCTCTTAAAATTTTGGACATGACTTTTCTTTATATGGAGAAACTATTACACACATGTGAGATATTTATCAGACCAAGCCCCTGCTCATTAAATGTCTATAGTGCCTACCTGTGATTTTGACAAACAAAAATGTTTCTCACATGTCAAATGCCACCTGGGAGGGTGGCCATATGGCTGGTAAAGAACTGCTTTCTTAGAGCATCTAACACGGTGCCCTCAAGTGGATGTATTTGGTTAAACAGCTCCCATTGAGTGGTATGCTAGTAAGCTAGCTCTCTGAAAAAAAGCCCTGATTTGTAGCCTTTGCCAATTTCTATGTTGTAAATACTCCAAATGTGTCAATTTCATGCTGTCCATGGCTTAACCACTGGCTTGTGAAATTTAAAAATATTTAACAGTTGGCTCTTGAGGGCAGGTAGAGCTGGTTTCAGCACACCCATATGCTCATAGAAGTTCAGGGTTGGAAGGAACTTAGGGATTACATAGTACGCCTTGTTTTATAAAAGAAGTAACACTGAAGAAGGTTTACAGTCAGAAGTATGTATTTTGTTATGACCAATCAGTCTTTGTCTAAACAATGCCCCAACAAATTTTCCAGGGAGCCTAAAGTTATTAGTGGCTTAGCCACTAAATGACGATGGTTGTGGAAAGTGACTCAGGTCGCAGACCAGGCTGCAAATTCTTTTCAGGCACTTTGCCTTTGGGTTTATCTAATGTGTAGGTACACTTAATATGTATGCGTTACTTAGGTTAAACATACAAGCTGACATTTATTTGATGCTTCCCATGACCCAAAGGATTAAAGGGGAGAGAAGGAAATGTCCTACCTACAGAGCTTGCTCTATTGTGTCCCCTTGTTTGCAGTAGCTACTTAAGCCTTTGGCTGGAAAGGGGAGGAGAGGTTCTCCTTGGCAGCCTCCATTTCCATAAGATGCGAGATCGTCTTCTTTTGGTCATCTACAGAGTCCAAGTGGTTGCAGCAGTGACATCCCTTTGGAGCTTCTTCCTCCTACATAAAGATTCCCTAAGTGGAAGTGGAGGTCTTCCCTTTTTATGAGACTGGTTACTGCTATAACTGGTATTAGTTTCAGTTAGATGTGTCTGTTGTTCACCCTCTTGTCTCTCCTTCACTGTCACAGTCATCAAGCCAACACTTTCATGATTATATACAAAATTTTCAATTTTAGACCTGGGGCATGCAATCATTTAGACAATAGCCTACGCACTATCGATAGAAACCTTCATTGCTTGGTATGGCCCTGCAGGACTTTCATGGGATTATGTGTATCTATAGTGTCAGAGCCACAACTAGAAATCAGGTCTCCTGGTTTCCAGGCATTAATGAACTTGGCCAAGGTCAGAGAGCTAGTAAATAGTGGAGCCAGAATTCAAACTGTGGTCTACTTACCTACTATAGTACACAAGAGGAAAGGAAGTAGCTGCTGCCAGCTTTGGCTTAGGAAGAAGTTCTAGGTCATATTCCAGCATGCAAGTGACAGAAGCCATTGTCCTAAATCCAGCATCCCATTAGATTGCCTCTGATAAATTGGACTATTAGAGCTATGCCTAATTAGCCTTTTGCAAGAAATGTCCATGATAGCGACGTGGTAACATCATGGACCTCCTCACTACAATTTCAGTCACCTGAAGCAGGGATAGATAACCCATTCTGGGGGCCTGCAGGGCTGCCAATAGCTTTGGAATTAGGTACACTTGGGTTCAAATCCAACTCAACAACTTACTAGATGGGTGTCTTGGGGAAGTTTTATTTTCTTTAAACTTTTGAGTCCCCTCACTGTTTCTGGGCTCTACTAGCTTCCTATGTCATTGTACTTAATATGGATTTTTATTACCTATTTTCATGTCTTCCCCACTAGTCTATGAGTTCCTTAGTGGCATTTTTGGTTGTTAATGTTAGTGTTCCTAGTGATGATTACACTGTTTGTTATGTAATAGGAGCTTAATGAATTTTGGATAAATCACTGAACAGTGAAAGATGGTATGTCTGAGCTTTGACTATATTGGGGAAAGCTTGTCCTATGACTTGGGATATGATTGGGAATATTTTCTTTCTGTAAGTAAAAATGTCCTGAACTTCCTAAGATTTTTCACTATTCAAAATGTTTCGTTGCTGTACAGGTAATGGGGATGCTTTAGGACAAATCAATCCTTGCTTTATCATCTTTTAGACGTATGAGAACCCCGAGAGAACAGGCTAGGCTGGATTTGGCCACTAGGTGGAACGCTTAACCTAATGTCAACACCTGTTGAAACCAGCTGGATTTATTTCCAAACCCTTTATGGATATGAATCTTATGTACAAATGGAAGTTTCTAACATTCTAGAGCTGTCATTTCTCATGTCCAAGAAGACCAGACCTAGGATTTATTTTGTCTCTTCAATATATTGTGAACCTTCAGAATGTAACTAAGCTGCCTCCTATTTAGAAAGCAAAGGCAGAGGTAGAGAATTATTCTTCTTGTCTTTGGTTGATGTTAAGAGAAGAACTCCATGGGCACCGCCCTATAAATCATATGGAAAAGTGAGGGATAATTTCAAAAATAGATATCAGTTTAGTAAAATTTAAATCAGCCTATAATTTAAACAAACTTGAAACAAGTTCTGATGAAGTGATACCCATTTTTTTTCCACCTTGCAATCATTTAAGTATTGTTTCCTATTATAAAATGTCCATTGCCAGAATTACAGTTTTATAATTTAATATAGTACTTTTGTGATATTTGAGAGAATCTTATTTTTGGAAAAGTTGTTTATGGAAAATGTAAACTGAAAACAAAGAAAAGGAAGAGAGTAAAAAACATCAAGGGCTAAAAGGAAGAACAAAGAACAGAAAACCTAAGACCCACGTTGAAAGTGATATTCTAGGAGTATTTGAAGTATGTTACAACTCTATATGACTTTAGTTAGGTTAAGGATGAAGGGAACACTTTCTTCTTCTGTTGGTTAGTTGTACTTTGGCAACTTGTTTTTAGAATTCAGAATTTTCATCTTAGTTTAATAAGAAACTGCTCAAACTTTGTAAGACAAATACACAAAGTCTACACTTGTAATACAGGCTAATTACAAAGAAACCTCTGTTACTATTTTTATTTATTTTATTTTTTTAAAATTTTACTTTAAGTTCTGGGATACATGCAGAACTTGCAGGTTTGTTACGTAGGTATACACGTGCCATGGTGGTTTGCTGCACCTATGACCTGTCCTCTAAGTTTCCTCCCTTCGTCCCCCATCCCCCAACAGGCCCCAGTGTGTGATGTTCCCCTCCCTGTGTCCATGTGTTCCCATTGCTCAACTCCCACTTATGAGTGAGAACATGCGGTGTTTGTTTTTCTGTTCCTGTGTTCGTTTGCTGATGATGATGGCTTCCAACTTCATCCTTGTCCCTGCAAAGATGTGATCTCATTCCTTTTTATGGCTGTGTAGTATTCCATATGTCTGTGTACCACATTTTCCTTATCCAGTCTATCACTGATGGGCATTTGGGTTGGTTCCATGACTTTGATATTGTGAATAGTGCTGCAATAAACATATGTGTGCATGTGTCTTTATAACAGAACTATTTATATTCCTTTGAGTATATACCCAGTAATGGGATTGCTGGGTCAAATGGGACTTCTGGTTCTAGATCCTTGAGGAATCACCATACTGTCTTCCACAATGGTTGAACTAATGTACATTCCCACCAACAGTGTAAAAGCATTCCTATTTCTCCATAGCCTTGCCAGCATCTATTTTTTCCTGACTTTTTAATAGTTGCCATTCTGACTGGCATGAGATGGTATCTCATTGTGGTATTGATTTGCATTTCTTTAATGATCAGTGATGTTGAGTTTTTTTCATATGTTTGTTGGCCACGTAAATGTCTTCTTTTGAGAAGTGTCTGTTCATATCCTTTGTTCGCTTTTTGGTGGGGTTGCTTTTTTCCTGTAAATTTGTTCCTTGTGAATTCTGGATGTTAGACCTTTGTCAGATGGGTAGGTTGCAAACATTTTCTCCCATTCTGTAGGTTGCCTGTTCACTCTGATGCTAGTTTCTTTTGCTGTGCAGATGCTCTTTAATTAGATCTCATTTGTCAATTTTGGCTTTTGTTGCAATTGCTTTTGGCGTTTTCGTCATAAGATCTTTGCATTTGCCTATGTCCTGAATGGTATTGCCTAGGTTTTCTTCTAGGGTTTTTATGGTTTTGGGTTTTACATTTAAGTCTTCAATTCATCTTGAGTTAATTTTTGTATAAGGTGTCGGGAAGGGGTCCAGTTTCAGTTTTCTGCATATGGCTAGCCAGTTTTACCAGCACTATTTATTGAATAGGAGATCCTTTACCCATTGCTTGTTTTTGTCAGGTTTGTTGAAGATCAGATGATTGTAGATGTATGGTGTTATTTCTGAGGTCTCTGTTCTGTTCAATTGGTCTATTTGTCTGTTTTGGTACCAGTACCATGCTGTTTTGTCTTGTAGTATAGTTTGAAGTCAGATAGCATGATGCCTGCAGCTTTGCTCATTTTGCTTAGAATTGTTTTGGCCATGTGGGGCCTTCTTTGATTCCATATGAAATTTAAAGTGGTTTTTTCTAATTCTGTGAAGAATGTCAGTGGTAGTTTAATGGGAATAGCATTGAATCTATAAATTACTTTGGGCAGTATGACCATTTTCATGATATCAATTCTTCCTATCCATGAGGATGGAATGTTTTTCCATTTGTTTGTGTCCTCTCTTATTTCCTTAAGCAGTGGTTTGTAGTTCTTCTTGAAGAAGTCTTTCGCATCCCTTGTTAGATGTATTTCTAGATATTTTATTCTTTTTGTAGAGATTGTGAATCAGAGTTCATTCATGATTTGGCTCTCTGCTTGTCTATTGTGGGTGTATAGGAATGCTTGTGATTTTTGCACATTGATTTTGTATCCTGAGAGTTTGCTGAAGTTGCTTATCAATTTAAGGGTTTTGTGGGCTGAGATGATGGGGTTTTCTGAATATAAAATCATGTTCATCTGCAAACAGAGACAATTTGACTTCCTCTCTTTCTATTTGATTATGTTTTATTTATTTCTCTTGGCTAATTGCTCTGGCCAGAACTTCCAATACTATGTCGAATAGGAGTGGTAAGAGAGGGCATCCTTGTCTTGTACCAGTTTTCAGAGTGAATGCTTTGAGTTTTTGCCCATTCAATATGATATTGGCTGTTGGTTTGTCATAAATAGCTCTTATTATTTTGAGATATGTTCCATCAGCACCTAGTTTATTGAGTTTTTAACATGAAGGGATGTTGAATTTTATCAAAGGCCTTTTCTGCATCTATTGAGATAGTCATGTGGTTTTTGTATTGGTTCTGTTTATGTGATGGATTATGTTTATTGATTTGCATATGTTGAATCAGCCTTGCATCCCCGGGATGAAGCCGACTTGATTGTGGTGGATAAGTTTTTTGATGTGCTGCTGGATTTGGTTTGCCAGTATTTTATTGAGGATTTTCACATCGATGTTCATCAGGGATATTGACCTGAAATTTTCTTTTTCGTGTGTGTGTCTCTTCCCAGTTTTGGTATCAGGATGATGCTTGTTTCGTAAAATAAGTTAGGGATGAGTCCCTCCTTTTCAGTTGTTTGGAATAGTTTCAGAAGGAATGGTACTGGCTCCTCTTTGTACCTCTGGTAGAATTTGGCTGTGAATCTGTTTGGTCCTGGGCTTATTTTTTGGTTGGTAGGCTATTAATTACTGCCTCAGTTTCACAACTAGTTATTGATCTATTCAGGAATTCAGCTTCTTCCTGGTTTAGTCTTGGGAGGGTGTATGTGTCCAGGAATTTCTCCCTTTCTTCTAGATTTTCTAGTTTATTTGCAAAGAGATGTTTATAGTATTTCTGATGGTAGTTTGCATTTCTGTAGGGTCAGTGGTGATATCCCCTTTATCATTTTTTCATTGTGTCTATTTGATTCTTCTCTCTTTTCTTCTTTATTAGTCTAGCTAGCAGTCTATCTATTTTTTCAAAAAACCAGCTCGTGGATTCATTTATTTTTTGTGGAGTGTTTGTTGTGTCTCTATCTCCTTCAATTCTGCTCTGATCTTAGTTATTTCTGTCTTCTGCTAGCTTTTGGATTAGTTTGTCCTTACCTCTCTGGCTCTTTCTTTTTTTTAAGTGGAATCTTGCTCTGTAGCCCAGGCTGGAGTGCAGTGGCATGATCTTGGCTCACTGCAACCTCTGCCTCCTGGGTTCAAGCAATTATCCTGCCTCAGCCTCCTGAGTATCTGGGATTACATGCACCCTCCACCACGCCTGGCTAATTTTTGTATTTTTAGTTGAAACAGGGTTTCACCATATTGAGCAGGCTGGTCTCAAACTCCTGACCTCAGGTGATCCACCTGCCTCAGCCTCCCAAAGCACTGGGATTACAGGCATGAGCCACCATGCCCGCCCCTCTAGTTCTTTTAATTGTGATGTTAGGGTGTTGATTTGAGATCTTTCTAGCTTTCCAATGTGGGCATTTAGTGCTATAAATTTCCCTCTTAACACTGCTTTAGCTGTGTCCCAGAGATTCTAGTATGTTGTCTCTTTGTTCTCATTGGTTTCAAAGAACTTTTTGATTTCTGCCTTTGTTTCCTTATTTATCCAGGAGTCATTCAGGAGTAGATTGTTCAATTTCCATGTAGTTGCATGGTTTTGAGTGGGTTTCTTAATCCTGAGTTCTATTTTGATTGCACTGTTGTCTGAGAGACTGTTATGATTTCAGTTGTTTTGCGTTTGCTGAGGAGTGTTATACTTCCAATTATGCAGTCGATTTTAGAATAAGTGCCATGTGGCACTGAAAAGAATGTACATTCTGTTGATTTGGGGTGGAGAGTTCTGTAGATGTCTATTAGGTCCACTTGAACCAGAGCTGAGTTCTAGTCCTGAATATCATTGTTAATTTCCTGTCTGGATGATGTGTCTAATATTGACAGTCAGGTGTTAAAGTTTCCCACTATTGTGTGGGAGTCTAAGTCTCTTTGTAGGTCTCTAAGAACTTGTTTTATGAATCTGGGTGCTCCCGTGTTGGGTGCAGATATATTTAGAATAGTTAGCTCTTCTTGTTTAATTGTTCCCTTTACCATTATGTAATGCCCTTCTTTGTCTTTTTTGGTCTTTGTTGGTGTAAAGTCTGTCTTGTCAGAGACTAGGATTGCAACCCCTACTTTTTTTTTGCTTTCCATTTGCTTGGTAAATTGTCCTCCATCCCTTTATTTTGAGCCTATGTGTGTCTTTGCATGTGAGATGGGTCTCCTGAATACAGCACATTGATGGGTCTTGACTCTTTTTTTTTTTTTTTTTTTGAGACGGAGTCTCGCTCTGTTACCCAGGCTGGAGTGCAGTGGCACCATCTTGGCTCACTGCAAGCTCCACCTCCCGGGTTCATGCCATTCTCCTGCCTCAGCCTCCCGAGTAGCTGGGACTACAGGTGGCCACCACCATGCCCGGCTAATTTTTTTGTATTTTTAGTAGAGACAGGGTTTCACTGTGTTAGCCAGGATGGTCTCGATCTCCTGACCTTGTGATCCGCCCATCTAGGCCTCCCAAAGTGCTGGGATTACAGGTGTGAGCCATCATGCCCGGCCGGGTCTTGACTCTTAATCCAATTTGCCAGTCTGTGTCTTTTAATTGGGGCATTTAGCCCATTTACATTTAAGGTTAGTATTGTTATGTGTGAATTTGGTCCTGTCATCACGATGCTGCTGGTTATTTTGCACACTAGTTGATGCAGTTTCTTCATAGTGTCATTGGTCTTTATATTTTGCTGTGTTTTTGCAGTGGCTGATACTGGTTTTTCCTTTCCCTATTCAGTGCTTCTTTCAGGAGCTCTTGAAAGGCAGGCCTTGTGGTAACAAAATTCCTCCACATTTGCTTGTCTGGAAAGAATTTTATTTCTCCTTTGCTTATGAAGCTTAGTTTGGCTGGATATGCAATTCTGGGTTGAAAATTCTTTTCTTTAAGTGTTGAATATTGGCCCTCAGTCTCTTCTGGCTTGTAGAGTTTCTGGTAAGAGGTCCACTGTTAGTCTGAGGGGCTTCCCTTTGTAGGTGACCTGGCCTTTCTCTCTGGCTGCCCTTAATATTTTTTCCTTCATTTCAACCTTGGAGAATCTGATGATTATGTGTCTTGGAGTTGATCTTCTCATGGAGTATCTTAGTGGTGTTCTCTGTATTTCCTGAATTTGCATGTCGGCCTGTCTTGCTAGGTTGGGGAAGTTCTCCTGGGTAATATCCTGAAATGTGTTTTCCAGCTTGTTTCCATTCTCCCTGTCTTCTTCAGGTATTCCAATCAAATATAGGTTCAGTCTTTTTATGAAGTCACATATTTCTTGGAGGCTTTGTTCAATCCTTTTCTTTCTTTCATCTCTAGTCTTATCTGCATGCCTTATTTCAGCAAGGTAGTCTTCAAACTCTGATATTGTTTCTTTTGCTTGTTTAGCTTTTGATACTTGTGTATGCTTCACAAAGTTCTCGTGCTGTGTTTTTCAGCTCCATCAGGACATTTATGTTCCTCTCCAAACTGGTTATTCTAATTAGTAGCTCCTCTAATCTTTAATCAAGGTTCTTAGCTTCTTTGTATTGGGTTAGAACATGTTCCTTTAGCTCAGCGTAGTTTTCTATTACCCATTTTCTGAAGCCTACTTCTGTCAATTTGTCCAATTCATCCTCCGTTCAGTTCTGTGCCCTTGCTGGAGCAACACTGCAATCATTTGGAGGAGAAGAGGCAGTCTGGCCTTTTGGGTTTTCAGGTTTTTTTGTTGATTCTTTCTCATCTTTGAGAGTTTGTCTAGTTTTGATCTTTGAGGCTGCTGACCCTTGGATGGGGTTTTTTGGAGGCTTTTTTTGTTGTTGATGCTGTTGTTGCTTTCTGCTTGTTTTTCCTCCAATGGTCAGGTCCCTTTTCTGTAGGGCTGCTGTGGTTTGCTGGGGGTTCACTTCAGGCCCTATTCATCTGGTTTGCTTCTGTGCCTGGAGATGTCAGTCAAGGAGGCTGGAGAACAGCAAAATGGGTGTCTGCTCCTTCTGGGATCTCTGACCTTGAGGGGCACCAACCTGATGCCAGTGAGATCGCTCCTGTATAGGATGTCTGAAAACCCCTGTGGGAGGGTCTCACCCTGTTGGGTGGCCCGGGGAACAGGACCTGTTTAATGAAGCACTTTGTCTCTTGGTGGAGGGGGTGTGCCTTTCCCTGGGAGGAAACCCACTAGTCTGGGCTGCCCGGATTCCTCGGAACTACCAGGAGGGAGGGGTGGCTGCAGGTTCCCCCTACGGGCTCAGGCCCGGAGAGATCCAGGTTCTGTCCCTGAGCCTGTGGCTGGAGTTGTTGGAGTTTCTGCAGGGAAGCCTTGCCCAGTGAGGAAGGATGATTCAGGGTTAGGCCTGAAGAGGCACTCCGGTCGCAGTCTGCCATAGCTGGTGTGTTGGGCTGTGGGGACATGTCTTGAGACGAAGCCGTCCAGCTTCCCTGTCTCCAGCAGGGGAAAAGCGCAGCATGGAGCTATAGAGATAGATGCTGCCTTTCCCCCACCCAGAGAGCTTAGGGTGTTAGGCAGTTGTGAGTCCCAGCTCTGGCTGTTGCCCCTCCCTCAAGGAGCTCAAATGGCTTAGACAGCAGGCAGCTGTAGCTGTGGTGCTGCTCGCCCCTGCCCACCGGGAGCTCAGTAAGCTTAATCAGATTCCAGCTGAGAGGCTGTTGAGATTCTGCAGGGCTCTGGGGTTGGGGCGCTAGGCCCTGGAGGTGTGGGCTTGCGAGTGGGATCTTCCGATCCACGGGTTGCGCGGTTACATGAAAAAGCATGGTTTCTCCAGCTGGGTAGCATGTTCAGTTACCGCCTGTCTTGGCTCCAGGGTGGGGGCTTCCCTGCCCCGTGTGGCTCTCAGGTGGATCACCATACCACGCTGCTCTTCCTTCCTCTCTGTGGAACACGCCAGTCTCCTAGCCAGTTCTGAAGAGAGAAGCTGGATACCTGCTGGAAATAATGAAATCCTCATCCCAGAGGGTCCTGAGCCCCAAGTTCCTGTGCCCCTCTCAGTCTGTGGTTGCTATTCTTATGCCTTCCTCTGTTACTATTAATTGAAGGAGGGGCCTGTGGATCTCCTCCTGAGTCGTAATTTTATTTATTTTATGTTATTATCTTTTTTTTTTTTTTTTTTTGAAACAGCGTCTCACTCTGTTGCGTGGGCTGTAGTGTAGTGGCACGATCTTGGCTCACTGCGACCTCTGCTTCCCAGGTTTGCGATTCTCCTGCCTCAGCCTCCCAAGTAGCTGGGTTTACAAGCATGTGCCCCCATGCCTGGCTAATTTTTGTATTTTAGTAGAGAAAAGATTTCACCATGTTGGCCAGGCTCGTCTCGAACTGCTGACTTCAAGTCATCTGCCTGCCTTGGCTTCCCAAATTGCTGAGATTACAGGCGTGAGCCACCGTGCTCGGCCTTATTTTTTTATTTATTCTTTCACTTTTTTGAGTATCTTACAATTTTTAATTTCATTTTGTTATAATTTTTAAATTTATGTTTTATTTCAATAGTTTTTTAGGAGCAAGTGGTGTTTGCTTACATGAGTAAGTTCTTTAGTGGTTATTTCTGAGATTTTGGTGTACCTATCACTGGAGCAGTGTACACTGTACCCAGTGTGTAGTCTTTTATCTCTCGCCCCCATCATACCTTTTCCCCAAAATCCCCAAAGTCCATTGTATCATTCTTATGCCTTTGTGACCTCACAGCTTAGCTCCCACTTATGAGTGAGAACATAGGATGTATGGTTTTCCATTCCTGAGTTACTTCACCAAGAGTAATAGTCTCCAATTCCATCCAGGTTGCTGCAAATGCCATTATTTTGTTCTTTTTAAGGGCTGACTAGTATTCCATTATATATATATCTATCTCACATTTTCTTTATTCACTTGTTAATTTATGGGCATTTGGGCTGGTTCCATATTTTTGCAGTTGCAAATTGTGCTGCTATAAACATACATGTGCAAATGTCTTTTTCGTATAATGACTTCTTTTCCTCTGGGTAGATACCCAGTAGTGGGATTGCTGGATCAAATGGTAGTTTTACTTTTAGTTCTTTAAGGAATCTCCACACTCTTTTCCATAGTGGTTGTACTAGTTTACATTCCTACTGGCAATGTAGAAGTGCTTCCTTTTCACCACATCTTGCCAACATCTATTCTTTTTTGATTTTTTGATTATATTATGGCCTTTCTTGCAGGAGTAAGGTATTATCATGTTGTGGTTTTGATTTGCATTCCCCTGATAACTAGTGATGTTGAGCATTTTTCCATATGCTTGTTGGCCATTTGTGTATCTTCTTTTGAGAATTGTCTATTCATGTGCTTAGCCCACTTTTTGATGGGATTGCTTGTTTTTTTCTTGCTCATTTGTTTGAGTTCTTTGTAGATTTTGGATATTAGTCCTTTGTTGGATATACAGATTGTGAAGATTCTTTCCCATTCTGTGGGTTGTTAACTTTAGTGATTATTTCTTTTGCTTTGCAGAAGCTTTTTAGTTTAATTTGGTTCTACTTGTAAATTTTTGTTTTTGTTGCAATTGCTTTTGAGGACTTAGTCATAAATTCTTTGCTAAGGCTGATGTCCAGAAGGGTATTTCCTCAGTTTTCTTCTAGGATTTTTATAGTTTTACATCTTAGATTTAAATCTTTAATCCATGTTGTGTTAATTTTTATATATGGAGATAGGCAGAGGTCCACTTTAATTATTCTGCGTATGACTAGCCAATTATCCCAGCACCATTTATTGACTAGACAGTCCTTTTCTCCTTGCTTATTTTTGTTGAATTTGTTGAAGATCAGATGGTTGTAGGTGTGTAGTTTTATTTCTGGGCTCTCTATTCTGTTCTATTAGTCTATGTGTTTGTTTTTGTACTAGTACCATGCTGTTTTGGTTACTCTAGCCTTGTAGTATAGTTTCAAGTTAGGTAATGTGATGCCTTTGGCTTTGTTCTTTTTTGCTTAGGATTGCTTTGGCTATTTGAGCTCTTTTTTGGTTCCATATGAATTTTAGAATAGTTCTTCTAATTCTCTGAAATATCATATTTGTAGTTTGATAAGGATAACATCAAATCTGTAGATTGCTTTGGGCAGTATGGCTATTTTTAACTATATTGATTCTTCCACTCCATGAGCATGAAATGTTTCACCATTTATTTGCGTCATCGGTGATTTCTTTCAGCAGTCTTTTGTAATTTTTATTGTAGAGATCTTTCACCTCCTTGGTTAGATGTATTCCTAGGTATTTTATTTCCTGTGGCAATTATAAATGGAACTGCCTTCTTGATATGGCTCTCAGAATTACCATGATTGGTGTATAGAAATGCCACTGAATTTGTGCATTGATTTTGTGTCCTGAAACTTTACTGAAGTCATTTATCAGTTCTAAGAGCCTTTTGTTAGAGTCTTTAGGGTTTTGTAGGTATAGGATCGTATCATCAGCAAAGAGAGATGATTTGACTTCTTCTTTTCCTATTTGGATGCCTTTTATTTCTTTCTTTTGCCCCACTATAATTTTATATCCTAAAGACAATTTGTTTTGGAAGTGTCTTTTTAATTTAGTACATTGCAGAATACCAAGAAGGAGATAAAAGGGCTCCCAGTCTCAAGAAGCTTAGTTGTGCAATTATTAAGACATTCAAATTTAAAACAATACAAAGAAAAAATAGTGAACTGAAACAAAAAGAAGACAACCTTTGGATTCAGCATTCCTAGATTTCCCAGCTTCTCTATTTAGTAGCCATAATCTCTGAAAGTAACTTAACCTCCGAGCTTCAGTTTTCTTATCTATAAAATGGAAATTTTAGCAATACCAAATGTAGGTAATGAGGGTCAGGAGGTAACATCTAAATCATTTATTCATATGAGAGTTTATATAAAAATTAATAGCAGAATATGGGATACAGACAAATAATATTCTAGAATTATACAGGAATGATTACTTATGCTATAGTGGCTTGACAGGATTTTCAATTTTTAGCAGAATTTTGAAAAGTGTGGAATAATGAAGGAGCTAGTCCAATTATGGAGAATAATGTGAACAAAATTTTGGAGCATTATTTATCTAATGTAATAAAAAACGTAACCTTGTCCAAAGTAGGTTTGTTTAGGGAGCTGAGCAAGATAAGCCTGACAAAATGAAGACAATTTGAATGCCTGGATGGCTGTCTATTTAAGGAGAAGGATGAAACCAAGATGAGCTTTTAGGCTGTATTATGCAGGAATTCTTGGACACGATTCATTCTTAGCCCCAAACATCTGTTTACTGTCCCTATATTTTTGTCTTTTCTAGAATGTCATCTAAGTAAAATCATACACTATTAGCCTCTTGAATCTGGCTTCTTTCACTTATAATTCATTTGAGTTTCATTTATATGGTCGTATGTATCAGTAGTTTGTTCCTTTTTATTGCTGAGGAATATTTTATTGTATGGCTGTATCACAGTGTGTTTATTTACCAGTTGCAAACATTTGGGATGTTGCCAGGTTTTGGCAATTATGAATCAACATTTGTTTAAAGGTTTTTACATGAATATTCAATCTTCTTTTCTCCTGGGTGACTGCTTAGAAATGGGATTGCTGGGTCATATGGTATGCTTATTTTTATAAGAAATGGTCATACTGTTTTTCAAAGCGACTATAATATTTTGCATTCTCTTCAGCAATGTATGAGAATTCATCCATATGTCATTTTATTTGCTTGTTTTAAAAAATGAACTTCATTTTTTAGAACAGTTTTATGTTTACAGAAAAATTGCCAAGATAGTAAAAAGAACTCATATGCCCCACACTGAATTTCTCCTGCTGTGAACAACTTACTATTACATTATATAATTGTCACAATTCATGAAGCAATATTTATTCCAGCACTGAACCAACATTTTTCCAATATTGAGTATATTTTAATACTGAACTGACATTATTATTATTAATGGAAGTCCATCCTTTATTCAGATTTCCTTAGTTTTAACCTAATGTTCTTTTATTGTTCCTGGATGCCATCCAGGATCCCACATTACACTTAGTCACCATATCTCTTTAGGTTGCTCTTGGCTATGACAGTTTTTCAGACTTTCTTTGTTTTTGATGACTTTGACTGCTTTGAGGATTATGGTCAAGTATTTTGTAGAATAT
The DNA here is from genome assembly GCF_000001405.40 of Homo sapiens. Lineage (NCBI taxonomy): Eukaryota > Metazoa > Chordata > Mammalia > Primates > Hominidae > Homo > Homo sapiens. The sequence goes on from NC_000018.10 coordinate 60,008,496, forward strand.
CCCTCCATTGGGATTTGTCTGATGTTTTTCTCATTGTTACGCTGGGGTTATGGGTTTTGGGGAGGAAAACCACAGAGGTAAAGGGGCTATTTTTGTGTCATAACAAGGGTACCTATTATGATTTAGGCATAATTTACCACTGTTCATGTTGACTGTGACCACTTGGCAGAGGTAGTGTGTGTCACATTCCTCCATTCTAAAGTTACCTTTTGCCTCCCCTTAACTCTATATGTGATTCTTTTTTAAAAATATTTTTAATTCACAAATAATAAGTATATATATTTATGGGGTAAATTGTGATGTGATATTTTGATATATGCATACAAAGTGGAATAATTAAATTAATCTAATTAACATATCATTACTTCACTTATCTGTTTTTGTGGTGAGATATTTGAAATGTACTCTCTTAGCAATTTTGAAATATACAATGCATTAACTATAGTCACTATGCTGTGCAATAGATTGCAAAAACTTATTCCTCTTGTCTAACTGAAACTTTTTCTTTGACCAACATCTTTCCACTCCCTCCCTCCCTCCATCAGTCTCCAGTTACCACAATGCTACTGTCTACTTCTATAAGTTCAACTTTTTTAGTTTCCACATATAATTGAGACCATGAGGTGTTTGTCTTTTTGTGCCTGTGCCTGGCTTATTTCACTTAGCAGAATGTATTCCAAGTTTATCCATGTTGTTGAAAATGACAGAATTTTCTTTTTTTTAAAAAAAGGCTGGCTAGTATTTCACTGGCATGTTTAAAAAAATACATGTATCCATTGGTGAATGCTTAAGTTTATTCCATGTCTTGGCCATTGTGAATAACGATTCAATAAACATGGAAGTGGAGGTTTCTCTTCAACATATTGATTTTATTTCCTTTGGATATGTATTGAGAAGTGGGATTGCTGGGTCACATGGAAGTTCTATTTTTAGTTTTTTGAGGAATCTTCATACTGTTTTCCATAATGGCTGTACTGTTTTACATTCCCACCAACAGTGCACAAGAGTTACCTTTCCTTTACATTCTTATCAACGCTTATCTTTCATCTTTTTTTTTTTTATAATAGCCATTCTAACAGGTATAAGGTAATATTGCATTGTGGCTTCCATTTTCATTTTCTTAATGATTAGTGATGTCAAGCATTTATTCATGAACCTGTTAGCTGTTTGTAAGTCTTCTTCTTCTTTTTTTTTTTTTTTCTTAAAATCGCTGGCTTTTATGACGATGTCTTCTAAGAGCTCATTAGAATCTATAAGATAGCAGGAATTTTGCCAACAAGGGCTGCATAGAAACCACAGGGGCAACTCGGCCAGGGCTGCTCCCATTGCGGTGGCCAAGAACTGGCTGAGGGCACGACACTGGACTCTTGGGATAAACACTTTACTCTGGGTGAAGGCTGCATATTTAAGGACACAACTGCACATTTAGATCAAGCAGTGGTGATCTCAGGGCATACACGGAGCTTCATGCTGAGAACACCCAGGGGTCCTCTAGAGTCTTCCTCCTCGTCTTTAATTTCAGAAATTCTGTCTACAGATTTAAGGATTTCGGCAGCAAGATTCAGTATCTCAGCTCTGGAAACCAGTTGCTTAATGGAAGCCTGTGCGCTGTTCATGACCACCCAGAGGTTCTGCAAGGCCACGTCGGCGTTCTGCTTCACCACTGTCAGGCTGGCCCCCTGGTCGCACCGCAAGGCTTCATTCTCTCGCTGGAAGCTGGAGACCTGCGCCTGCAGCAAACTGATTTCCTGTTTCAGTTTCACGACATGGTTTTCTGCCTTTACAGCCCGTTTGGTCATCAGCTCCAGGTTCTGCTCCACCTGCTGAACCACCAACTCCAAGTCGTGGTAGTCGCTTTCCTCGTTGATCATTTTTGCTTCTAATTTCCGCACAAGCGTCCTCACCATTTCTGTTTGAGCTTCAGAGAAGCTCTGAATCTCATTCAGCTTTCTTCTCAGCTTAGAATTTTCACCTTTCAGTGCTTCGTAACTTATCTGCAGCGTCCGCAGGTGCCTGTCTCCCAGAGACTCTCCCTGAGCCGCAAAATCGGTGCTAGGACTCCCTGCCGGAGAGGCCGGAGACACGCGAGAATCAGTGTCACTCAACGCCCACGGGAGCAGAGACTCGGGCCCTGCCAGCTCTGACGGGGTGGAGAAAAAGGAAAGGTATGTGCTGCAGGGCGACGTGCAGGCAGGGACCCTCTCCGGGTGAGTCTGCTGGATGGCGGACGGCAGGTAGGCCCCACTCCATCCGGTGTCCTCATCCTCCTCCTCATCCAGGAGGTCACCGGCCCCTGTCGGGTCCTCGAAAAATGGCTGCCGATACTCCAGGCCATACCCCCCGGTTTGGGAGAGTGGGGAGTTGTGGTCAAGTCCCAGTGAATGCCTCGACGCTTCCTTTGCATAAATTCTGCTGACCGGGTCCTCTTTTGACAGGCCGATGTTCTTGGTCTTCAGAAACTCTTTAAAGGAGAATGGATTTGCCTCTTCAAGATCTTCAAATTTGTCATCTCCAAAATGTGTCTCGTGGGCTCCTGACGGGCTCTGCTTAGAACATTTCCCCTTTCCATAGCCCAAATCGTCGGGAATGGCGAGGCTCCGGGCTCGGGACAGCGGGGTGACGCCCCGGCGGCGCGGGTAGCTCGACATCGCCGTGGGCCAGGCGGGGCAGGCGGGGCAGGACCTGCCTAGCCCGGCAGCGGCGGCTCAATGGCCCCTGCTCTGCCCGTGCCGCGGCCCGTGTCAACCGCCCCCGTCGCCCGCCGCTCGGCCGCCCCCGATCCTCCGAACCTCTCGTAAGTCTTTTGACCAATGTCTATTCAGGTCCTTTGCCCATTTTTAAAGCAGGTTATTTGTTTTTTTGCTATTGAGTTTAGTTCCTCATATGTTGTGTTAGGCCATTCTTATATCACTCTAAAGAAATACCTGAGGCTAGGTAATTTATTAAAAAAAAAAAAAATAAGAGGTTTAATTGGTTTATGGTCCTGCGGGCTGTACGGAAAACGTGGTGTTGGCATCTCCTTCCGGTGAGGGCCTCAGGGAGCTTACAATCTTGGTGGAAGGTGATGGGAAGCCAGCATGTCACATGGTGACAGTAGGAGCAAGAGAGAAGGGGGGAGGTGCCATACTCTTTTTAACAACCAGATCTTGCCTGAACTTAGAGTGAGAACTCTCTCATTACCAAGGGAATAGAACTAAGCCATTCATGAGGATCCATCCTCATGATCCAAACACTTCCCACCAGGCCCTACCTCCACTACTAGGGATTACATTTCAACATGAGATTTGGAGCAAACATCCAAACCATATTATATGTTTTGGATAGTAACCCCTTATCAGATGTATGGTTTGCAAATATTTTCTCCTATGCCATGTATTGTCTCTTCACTCTGCTATTTGTTTCCTTTGCTGTGCAGGAGCTTTTTAGAGTGATGCAGTCCTATTTGTCTCTTTTTGCTTTTGTTGCATATACTTTTGGGGTTATATTCAAAATATTGTCCAGACCAATGTCATGGAGCTTTTCCCTTATGTTTTCTTTTAGTAGTTTAACTACTAAAATAAAGTTTCAGTAGTTTAGTGAAACTACTAGGTTTCAGGTCTTAATTTGTCTTTAATCCAGTTTGAGTTGATTTTTGTATATGGTGAAAATAAGGATCCAATTTCATTCATCTACATTTGGATATCCAATTTTCCCCACACCATTTATTGAAAAAGCTGTCCTTTCCTCATTGTCTCTTCTTGGCACCTTTATTAAAACTCAGTTTTCCATAAATATTTGGGGTTATTTCTGAACTCTATCCTGTTTGACTGGTTTTGTGTCTGTTTTTATGGCAGTACTGTGCTGTTTTGATTACTATAACTTTGTAATATATTTTGCAGTTAGGTACTATGATGCCTCCAGCTTTTTTCTTTTTGGTCAAGATAGGTTTGGCTATTCAGGGTCTTTTGTGTTTCCATACAAATTTTAGGATTGTTTTTTCTATTTCTTTAAAGAATGACGTTGGAATTTTGACAGGGATTACACTGAATCTGTAGATTGCTTTGGATATTATGGATATCCTAACAGTATTAATTCTTTCAATTCATAATCATGCCTTTCCATTTACTTCTGTTTTCTTCAGTTCCTTTCATCAATGCTTTATAGTTATCAATATATAGATCTTCACTTCCATGGTTAAATTTATACCTAGGTATTTTATTTTATTTTTTTGCTATTGTTAATGAGATTGTTTTATTAATTTCTTGTTCAGATAGTTTGTTGTTAGTGTTGAAATGCTACCGATTTTTGTATGTTGATTTTGTATTCTTCAAATTAACTGAATTTGTCAGTTATAATGTTTTTATTTGGTAAAGTCTTTAAGGTTTTCTATATGTAAGATCATGCCATCTGTAAACAGGGACAATTTAACTACCTCCTTCCAATTTGGATGTTTTTTCATTTCTTTTTCTTGCCAAATTGCACAGGCTTGGACTTCCAGTAAAATGTTGAAAAGAAGTAGTGAGATTAAGCATTCCTGTCTTGTTCTAGATCTTAGAGGAAATGCTTTAAACTTTTCACTGTTACAAATATTAGCCGTGGACTTGCCATTTAAGGACTTTATTGTGTTGTGGTACATTTCTTCTCTACCGAATTTGTTGAGAGTTTTTATTATGAAACGAATTTGAATTTCATCAAATTCTTTTTCTATATCTACTGAGATGATCATATAATTTTTGTTCTTCATTCTATTAATAAAATCAGAAACAAAAGAGGAGACATTACAACTGATAGCACAGAAATACAAAGGGTCCTTCGGGAAGCCGAGGCAGGCGGATGACCTGAGATCAGGAGTTTGAGACCAGCCTGGCCATCATGGTGAAACCCCGTCTCTTCTGGAAACTACAAAAATTAGCCAGGTGTGGTGGCAGGCACCTGTAATCCCAGCTACTCAGGAGGCTGAGGCAGGAGAATCGCTTGAACCCAGGAGGCGGAGGCGGAAGTTGAAGTGAGCCAAGATCGTGTCATTGCAGTCCAGCCTGGGTGACAGAGCAAAACTCTGTCTCCAAAAAAAAAAAAAAAAAAAAAAAAAAGAAATACAAAGGGTCACAAGAAACTACCATGAGCAATTATACCCCAATAAATTGGATAACTTAAAAGAAATGGGTAAATTCCTAGACACATATAACCTGCCAAGACTGAATCATGAAGAAATAGAAAATCTGAATAGACCAATAATAGATAAGTAGATTCAATCAGTAAGAAAAAGTCTCCCATTAGGCTGAGGCAGGAGAATGGCGTCAACATGGGAGGCAGAGGTTGCAGTGAGCCGAGATCACACCACTGCACTCCAGCCTGGGCGACAGAGCGAGTCTCCGTCTCAAAAAAAAAAAAAAAAAAAAAAAAAAGTCTCCCATTAAAGAAAAGCTCAGGACTGATTGGCTTCACAGATGAATTCTACCAAACATTTAAAAAAGTACTAATGCTAATCCTTTTCAAACTCTTCAAAAAAAATTGAAGAGAAAGGAATATTTTCAAATTCATTTTATGAGGCCAGCATTACCCTGATACTAAAACTGGACACAGACACTACAAGAAAAGAAAGTTACAGGCCAAAGTCCCCGATGAACATAGATGCAAAAATACTCAACAAAATACTGGCAATGCGAATTCAATAGCACATTAAAAAGATCATTCACTATGGTCAAATGGGATTTATCCCTGGGATTCAAAACTATTGCAACATATGCAGATCAATAAATGTGATACTCTATATGTGGTTTTGATTTCACCCCCCCCCTTCTCAATTATTTTCTCTGTCCTATACCATAAGTGTTTTTTTCTATATAGTCTTACTATCAGCCTTGAATCATGCTTCAGAAAAATTATCAATCTTTTTGCTTTTAAAGCTTATCGATTTGTTCTAATTCAAGAAACTTAAAAAACAATGGAATTTGGGTGATTCTGAGTGAATTGATTGGGGTGGGGCACAGGCATCAGTATCTTTTAAACAGTCCTCACATTTGCCTTCCCACTGGGTACCCCCTTACCTGATGAAATCCTGTTTACCCTCCAGGGCTCACCTGCATATCATTTCCTCAAGGACATCTTCCTGAAGAGTTTGATCTAAATCAGGTGCTCTCATAGCTCCCTGTTTCCTTTCTTTCTTTTTTTTTATTTTCTAATAAGACTAGATTTATTCAATACCCTAGTAAAAGTTTTGATTATAAGTATCCAACAGTATAAAAAGTACAAAACAGATCTGTAGATTTCTAATATATTAATACAAAGTGCATGACTACATACAGTACATCCTACAGGCAAAGAGAGGTGGAAGGGGAAAAAGAAGACTGTGGTTGAGGTCTAGTAATAAATAAATAAATACAGAAGTAGAGATGATCCATATTATAGTATATTCTACCACCAATACTGCAGCCAAAATGTACAAAAAAATCATTTCAAAATAACTCAGGAGGATGATAATGGCTGGACTTTTGTAATTCGCCTCAAAGACTGTGGGAGAAGCCAACTCAACTCGCTGTATAGTCTGTGCATATGGTGGCTTGTAGCATGTAGGTTTTTTCCAAAAGAAGGAAATATAAAATGTTTAGATTAAGAACTATAAAACTACAGGGTGCCTATAAAAGGTGGCTTACTCCTTATTGTTATTATACTATCCAATTTTTAAAATGCAGTTTAAAAAATGAGCACTGAGTCTTGTTATTACAAGGCAGGCAAATGTTTCTCCCTCATTCTGAAAAGACCGAACTGGCGATGCTTTTCCTGAACATTTAGAAAAGAGGCAGTAAGAGTACTCTGGTTTAGGTTCAAGTGAGAGGCTTTTCATGAAAATCTTAGGATTGAAGAGCTCTAAGTTCAGGATATCTCAATGTTCAGAAAGCCTGACTAAAAGAAGCCAAACCAAAACCATTTAATGTGAACACAAACCTCTTTTCTTTTAGTAAGTTTTACTTTTAATACAGAGTGAAAGAAAATAAAAACTTAATAGGCTAAAACAAGTCAAACACCCATTCTACACAGATAAAAACCTTCACAAAGGTCAACTGAAGTAATCCAGAGCTGAAACTGAATTGTAAAGATTTTCAATGAAGTCACAGAACACAAACAAAAGTCGATTATATTTACACACTCAGCAAGCCCTCTAAGAAATGTGCCCCAAGAAGCATTAACCTTTGTTTTGTGCCATCCTGAGGACTTGTACATTTTATTTTTCAGATAGCTTAACATTTTTAATCGAGTGTGTTCTCTACCATGCGGTAATGCTTTGGTACTATTCATACAGGGTCTCGCCTGTCCTAAAGACTTGCCATTTCCCCAAGAGGAGCTTTGATTCTGCTTTAGAAGTTTTACAAAAATTAAAATCTTTATCAAATATTAATATGAAGGGAGGCACAGGATGCAACATATATAGTCAAGTTACCTCTCTGTATATTTAGAAGTTACTTTCTCCTCCAAGGTATTTGCAACAGAAAGCTCAGTCTGTCCTGCTTAATAATCAGTAGTACAGGTTTGAATCATCACAAGCTTGGCAAGACCTTAATATTTCAAAATCATTAACAACTACCTCTAGGGGCAAGTTCATGTTACTGAGTTATGACAAATTTATTATCATGAGGGAAAACAAGTAGCCAGCCATCTTAAAAATGCCCCAACCACTGCATCTCAATACAGAAAGACTAAAAACTACATACAGTTTATCATACAACAAATCCCATCTCTGTCCCCTGAAATTCCCCTAGTTTCATTCATTAGAAGGGGATTAAAAAAAAAAAAGACTTAAAGAGTACTTTACAGCAGCATTCATCTTTCCTATGAAATACTCAGCATCTTAAATATTATGTACCACTCTTTTTTTAGTAAGCTGGACACTGGCTTCAGAGTTTGTGGGACTAGGGGATATCAACCCATTCAAAACTACTGTAGAAATTGTCTTTTGGCAGAATAGCAGGTATCCAAGTTAAAAATAAGAGGGTCATTTGAGACCAGCCTGGCCAATGTGGTGAAACCCCGTCTCTACTAAAACTAAAATATTAGCCGGGTCTGGTGGCGGGCACATATAAACCCAGCTACTTGGGAGGCTAAGGCAGGAGAATCACTTGAACCCGGGAGACGGAAGTTGCAGTGAGCCAAGATCACGCCACTGCACTCCTGCCTGGGTAACAAGAGCAAAACTCCGTCTCAAAAAAAAAAAAAAAAAAAAAAAAAAAGAGGGTCAGTTTGCTGCTTTGTGGTCTTTTCAAAATTCAGATTTTTTTTGTTCCCCTTCTACATAAAAACCTCAGTCACCACTCCTGAGTGGAGATGGGCAGAGGCTCTGGCCCCTGCTCCTCTGGCTTCTCGGCAGCTGCTTTCTTATTGCTGCAGCAAGGCTTGAAGGGATGTGTGTCAATGAGGACTTCCCCAAAACGGCCTTTATAGTTGATCCCACAACATATCTTCTGTCTTTTCCAGTATGTGAGATCTAAAAAGGAAAAAACTGGTGTTCTGTTAGAACCAGAAGCCATCTCTGTATCTGAGCCGTCATCTGACTGGTTACTGTAACGAGGAGATGGAGCTGGGGAGGCACTTGAGGTGGTATTGTGAGCATCAGAATTATGACGTTTAAATTCCTTCTGCAGTTTACTGATCTGGTTGCTTTTTATCCTGTTCCCAGATAGAGTTTTCACTTTCTTTGGTTTCAATGTAGTCTTTAGACTGGGTCCAACCCTTGCATCTACCACATGATTCCAGTTTTTTTTTTTGATCCTGCTGGCAACTTCTTCCATCTTTTCACAAGCAGGACACAGGCATTGCAGATGTCTCCTGAACGAGTCTCATGCAATCCAAAACAGCTCTGGAAGTCCTTTTCATAGCGTTTACTGTCAGTGAATCGAGAACTGGAGGACTTAGCTCTGCAAATACAGTAGCCCTCTATACTTCGGTACATCTTTGGCTTGTGAAAAACAAACATCTTTTCTTCTGGGTAATAGTCTTCCGTAAATCGCGCTTCCCCCTCCGGCACTCCGGTGACTGCTGAGAGAGACGCCGAGCCAGCAAATAAGAATGCTCCCTGGTGGATTTGTTGGTAAATAAGACATCTCGCGTCGGGGGCAGCTCGCCGGGGCGAGGGCGAGGACAGCAGGAGGTGAACCGCGTCGCTGGCCGCCGCCTCCCTCACCTGCCTGTTTCCATTCTTAGAGCGTTGATCATATCTCTAATTCAGAGTTTCTTTATTATTATTATTATTATACTTTAAGTTTTAGGGTACATGTGCACAATGTGCAGGTTAGTTACATACGTATACATGTGCCATGCTGGTGCGCTGCACCCACTAACTTGTCATCTAGCATTAGGTATATCTCCCAATGCTATCCCTCCCCGCTGCCCCCACCCCACAACAGTCCCCAGAGTGTGATGTTCCCCTTCCTATGTCCATGTGTTTTCATTGTTCAATTCCCACCTATGAGTGAGAATATGCGGTGTTTCGTTTTTTGTTCTTGCGATAGTTTACTGAGAATGATGATTTCCAATTTCATCCATGTCCCTACAAAGGACGTGAACTCATCATTTTTTATGGCTGCATAGTATTCCATGGTGTATATGTGCCACATTTTCTTAATCCAGTCTACCATTGTTGGACATTTGGGTTGGTTCCAAGTCTTTGCTATTGTGAATAATGCTGCAATAAACATACGTGTGCATGTGTCTTTATAGCAGCATGATTTATAGTCCTTTGGGTATATACCCAGTAATGGGATGGCTGGGTCAAATGGTATTTCTGGTTCTAGATCCCTGAGGAATCGCCACACTGACTTCCACAGTGGTTGAACTAGTTTACACTGTTGGTGGGACTGTAAACTAGTTCTAATTCAGAGTTTCTAACCCTCTGCACCACTGACATTTTGGGCTGGATATAACTGTGTTCTGGTGGTCTGTCCTGTGCCTTGTGGGATGTTTTGCAGCATCCCTGGACTCTGCCCACTGGATGCCAGAAGCACCTCATCCCCAGATATGGCAACTGAAACTGTCTCCAAACATCGCCAAATGGCCCCAGGAGGGAACCTCTATCCCTCACTCCATTAGAACCACTGCTCTAACACATGGTTATTTTATATGTAGTCTGTCTCCCCCCCATACTATAAACTCCAGCAGGGTGCTTGCTTTGGCAATACATATATACCCAAATTGGAATGATACAGAGATTAGCATGGCCCCTGTGCAAGGATGACACACACTTGTGCAGCATTCTACTAAAAAAAAACTGCAAAACCATCAGAAGAGCTTTCTTCTCTCCTAGATTCCCAAGGACATACCCCAATGCCTAGGCACATCCCAGATGGTGGACAAGAATTTGTTGAATAAATGAATGACTGAGATGGCTAAGCCAGGATTTCACAGCTCTAATGACGGTGAAGACCACAGGTGTCAACAGCAGAGAAGAAAAGGAAGGAATACATCTGAGCCACATTTAGAGAGCAGAAATTAAATTTTATGGGAACACAGTCACTTCCATTCATTTGCATATAATCTACGGCTGCTTTTTGTGCTACAGAAGGCAGAGCTGAGTAGTTGCAACAGAGACCACATGACTCATGAAGCTTTAAATATTTACTTTTTGACCCTTCACAAAAAGAGTTTGTAGACCCCCTTTTTAGAGATTGTGTTTAGAATATAAATCCTAAGTAAACTATTATGAAAGTAGCTAAATGATTTTAATTATTTGCAAAACAGATTTCTATTTTTACACATTTTACCATTGCCCTATTTCTCACACACATGAGAAATTTGCATGCACAAACATGCATTGCAGAGACGTTCTTTCCTGATAAATAGTTTATCCTGTTACTGGATTTTTTTTTTTGAGGGGTTTTGAATGCCTTCCACTCCTCTTTTCCTAGAATGTCAGAACTTCTTTTTTTAAAAAATTTCAATCTTCTAGTTTTCTAAAGATTTTGTTGGGAACAAGGGAAAATTAAGAAAAAGGGTCTCAGTCCTCTGTGTAAAAAACTATTTTTTTTACAGCTTTTGTCATGCTAAAGACACAAATCTGTTTATTTTGTGGTTGCTGACGGAATATATAAATTCTGTCTTGAAGATTGTGTGAAGCTTTCATAGTTCATTCGCTGATTCATTCAACAAGCATTAAGAAATGCCTTCTGAGCACTGGGCCCTGCGGATGCAGAGATGCATAAAATGCATTCTTTGCCGGTAACCTACCAGCAGCAACAGACTGGAAGCAATTACCTGGAAGACAGCCTTGTTTGTGCTAAAATAAAGTGAAAATGGGAGTGCAGGGAAGTTCCAACCAAGGCTGCTTTACAGAATGGAAGGAAGCATAGGTTTTGTATCTTAAATTATACTTTTACTTGTTATTAATAGATCCTAAGGTGCCAGTATCGTTGGTTAGAAAAAGTTTTACCCCCAAATCTAAAACTCAAATGTAGCATCAACTATAAGAATCATGTTTAATTATTTTCCACCAGTCCTCTCCCTATTAGCATGAAATATAAGAATCAAGTTGGCCGGGCGCAGTGGCTCACGCCTGTAATCCCAGCAAATTAGCCGGGCGTGGTGACGGGGTGCCTGTAGTCCCAGCTACTCGGGAGGCTGAGGCAGGAGAACGGCGTGAACCCGGGAGGCGGAGCTTGCAGTGAGCCAAGATCGCTGGGCGACAGAGCGAGACTCCTTCTCAAAAAAAAAAAAAAAAAAAAAAAAATCAAGTTTTATTTGATCATTTCCTGAAAATCCTCTCCTAACTGCTGCTGTTAGCACAGGTGATGTCCTTAGGATTGAGCTCTGCGTGCAGCATGGAACATCTGGGTACTCAGGAGAAGACTGTGGGATTCAGTACAGTTCTGGGTAATCGGGTACCTGCATCTGAGTTCACATGTAACCAAGGTCTCTTCAGGAAGGGTACCTGAGGTTTGTGTCCTTTACTAAGTATCTCTTAGGTTCCAGCCCACTGAGCTGGCATCTTTTCCCAGACAGTATTATTTTCATGGGTGGAGTGAAATAAGGTCTGAGGCAGTGTTTCTGTCCTTGAATGTTGCTGTGTATTGGAATTACCTAGCGAGCTTTGAGTCCTGAAACCAGGCTACTTCCCAGACAAATTACAGTACAACATGGTGTCTGAGGGCAGGACCCAGACAGCTGTAGTTTTTAAGCTCCTTAAGTGACTCCAATTTGCAGCCAAGTTTGAAATGGCTGCTATAAAATCAACAACTCTGAAATGTTAGCTTGCCCTAAAAGTTCCCACTGGGCCTGTTAAACAGATTGCTGGGCTCCAGCCCCAGAGTTTCTGATTCAGTGGGTGTGGGGCAGCTGGGGAATTTGCATTTCTAATAAGTTCCCATGTGATGCTGATGTGCTGTTCTGGGGGAAAACACTTTGAGAACCACTGCTTTAAATTAAAGTAATGAGAAGGAATGACTGTGGGAGAATAGTGGTTCTGCCTATTTCTTCACTAAGTTGGTCCAGTCTGCTTTTTGAAGAACGAGAGTGGAGAGGGTCAGGCTGGAGATGTTACTGCAGTAGTTACTGTGTGCCTTTAAGACATTCTTGGAATGATATATAACCCATCTTTAGAATGCACTTGCCCTATTTGGGAAAACACAGTACTTTTCAGGGTCTCTCACTTTGCCTCTCTCTCTCCCCCTTTCTTTCTCTCTCTCTCTCTCTCTGTCTCTCCCCCTTCCTAGAAAAAGCTTGAGAAGGGAAATTTGTTAAAATACTAAAGGGCATCTAAGGGAATCAGTTGCATTCAAAACACTTTTAATGTTAGAGGAAATTTGACATGTGAAAAAGTTTTTGTAAATAGCGATCTTAAATGCTGTAGGTATTTCTGATGGTTTTTTTTTTTAGCCCTACGGGAACAACTTGTAGCTAATAGCAGAAAGACTCATTCCACATTAAATAACAGTGAGTTCAAAAGTAATACTAAATACAACACAAATAAATAAACATATTTTAACTGTCTATATTGACATCAGCAAAGAGCACCATGGCCACACCTTAATTACCTTAAGCATTTATGAAGCAGTCTCATACCACCCCAAACTGATTTTTCCTTCAGCCCACCTCTTATGTGACATAAAACCAGATATTTATATTACATTCTAAATACCCTTTCAAACACTTCATATCCAACTGAAGGAATACTCTTCTTGCTAGTCATGATTATTTAGCATCTTCTATTTATATATGCCATTTAATGAGTGAAAATTTCCCAGTGGCTGTGAAATTCTAGAAAGTAAATCAGAACAGAGGACACATTCACTAGTAGATAATTACAGTCCCTGGAGAATTTATAACAACATAGATATTTTAGGAAGGAAGTGGTAAAGTCAATTAGGCAAAATCTACAGAAGTAAAATGGCAAGCTGGCCAGTGTTCTCTGAATTTGAGTCCTTATCCTCTGAAAACCCAAGAGCTCTTTGATGTGATGTTTTCCTTTTCCTTATTTAAAGAAAGACTTTATTTTTTAAGAGCATTTTTAGGTTCACAGCAAAATCAAGAGGAAGGTACAGAGATTTCACACATATCCCTTGTCCCCATACAAGCACAGCCTCCCCCATTACCAACATCCCCCACCAGAGTGGTACGCTTGTAACAATCCACAAACCTACACTGACACATCATTGTCACCCAAAGTCCATAGTTTACATTAGGGTTCCCTCTTGGTGTTTCACATCCTATGGGTTTGAACAAATGTAAAAAGACGTGTATCCACCATTGTAGTATCGTACAGAATATTTACCCTTCCTACAGATCCTCTGTGTTCTGCCTGTTCATCCCTCCCTTTCCCAAAAACCCTGACAATCACTGATTTTTTTTTTTTTTTTTTTTTTTAAGACGGAGTTTCGCTCTTGTTGCCCGGGCTGGAGTGCAATGGCATGATCTCGGCTCACCGCAACCTCTGTCTCCCAGGTTCAAGTGATTCTCCTGCCTCAGCCTCCCTAGTAGCTGGGATTACAGACATGTGCCACCATGCCCGGCTAATTTTGTATTTTTAATAGAGACAGGGTTTCTCCATGTTGGCCAGGCTGGTCTAACTCCCGACCTCAGGTAATCCGCCCGCCTCGGCCTCCCAAAGTGCTGGGATTATAGGTGTGAGCCACCGCGCCTGGCTCTGACAATCACTGATCTCTTTACTGTCTCCACAGTTTTGCCTTTTCCATACTGTCATCTCATTGGAATAATACAGTGTGTGTTGCCTTTTCAGATTGGCTTCTTTTCCTTAGTAATAGGCATTTAAGTTCCTTCCATGTCTTTCCACAGCTTGATAGCTCATTCTTTTAGGACTGAATAATATTCCATCATCTAAATGTACTTCCTTTTCTTTTTTTATTCCTTCAAATGATTAATCTTTCTTTCCACTCTCTGTTGCCTGTTTATACAATCCAAGGACACTTAAAAACTCCTTGCTATAAGAGATTATTCTTGTATGACTAAGAGTTTATAAATGATCCAGAGTTGTAGAAAGCAATCTGTTTTAAGAAGAAGAAGCAAGAAGGAGCAGAAAGAAGACATGCTTTGGAGTTGCCTTTCAGCAGTTCCGGCAGGTTGAATGTGAAAGCTAACATAGCCCCTTGCAAGGCTCTCGTGACTACTAACAGGGAAAATACAGAAGTGAGTCTGCTACTGAGTGGGTTCTCAGTCTGTAAATGTTGGTTCCTTCACTTTCAATTGCTTGAAGAGTTTATTTCCTTCAGCAAACATTTACTTAGAGACTTCTCTGTGGCATGTTTTGGGAATACAGAGATATGAAAGATAGTTCCTTCTTCTGGAGGACTTCATAGTGTAAAAGAAAGGTAGAAAAATAAACAGGCGGCCAGGGGCGATGGCTCATGCCTGTAATCCCAGCACTTTTGGAGGCCGAGGCGGGTGGATCACGAGGTCAGGAGATGGAGATCAACCTGACTAACATGGTGAAACCCCATCTCTACTAAAAATACAAAAATTAGCCGGGCGTGGTGGCATGTGCCTGTAGTCCCAGCTACTCGGGAGGCTGAGGCAGGTGAATTGTTTGAACCCAGGATGTGGAGGTTGCAGTGAGCCGAGTTCGCGCCACTGAACTCCAGCCTGGCAACAGAATGAGACTGTCTCAAAAAGAAAAAAAAAAAAAATATATATATATATATATATATATATATATATATACACTGATTGAAAAACTTATTGTAACATTAGTACAGCCAGAGTCTGTGGAAAAACACAAGGCTCAAAAAGTTCAATTTAACAACAATTTATTGAGCATCTACTATGTTTTATATATTATTCTTTGCTCTTGAGATGTATTTGTTACCATTAATAATAACAACAACCACAGTGAACCAAAAAGATCCCTGCCTGAGGAACCAGGGCAGGGTAGGTGTGTATGTGTACAGAAATAAACAGTAAACATCATAAGTTATATGACATTTATAAGTCAAATCCATGTTACTTTAGAGGGTAATAAGTAATAATGATAAGCTGTAGAAGAGAAAAGATCAGAGTAAGTAGGATGGGTCAGGTTGGGGCAGGCAGTTTACGATTTCACATAGGGTGGTCAGCGTAAGCACAGCTGGCCCTTGAACAGCATAGGTTTGAACTGTGTGGGTCCACTTACATGTGAATTTTTTTTTCAATAAATATATTGGAAAGTTTTTTGGAGATTTGTGACAATTTGAAAAAACTTGCAGATGAACCACATAGCCTGGAAATACTGAAAAAATTAGGAAAAAGTTATGTTATGACTGCATAAAATATATGTAGATATTAGTCTATTACTTACTATCATAAAATATACACAAGTCTTATAAAGGTAAACATTTATCAAAAAGTGCACACACTTACAGACCATATGTGGCACCATTCATAGTAGAGAGAAATATAAATGAATGTAAAGATGCAGGATGGAATCATAACTGCATAAAATTAACTGTAGCACATACTGTACCACTGTAGTAATTTTGTATTCACCTCCTGTTGCTATTTCATGAGCTTAAGTGTTGTGAGTATCAGCTTAAAACTGTGTGACCCTAATCATCTCTGAGTGAGCAGTTAATCTCGCCAGTACATTGTGTATGGAAGTAAAAAGTGATGTCTCAAGGTTCTGGCACATTGTGTTTATTGCAATACCATAAACCTTGAATAACATCATGGGGCTCATACAAAGTGCCACCAGTGATTCTGGGAGCACTGCTGAGATGCAGAGAAACGTCAGACACGTCTTGTAAACAGGCAACATATTTATGGCATCAATAAATGCAGTATGGTATTGTGAATGTATTTCTTCTTCCTTATGATTGTCTTAATAATATTTTCTTTTCTATAGTTTGTTGTATGAGTATAGTCTCTAATATATTTAACATTAAAAATTGTGTTAATTGGCTGTTTACGCTATTGATAAGGCTCCCAGTCAACAGTAGGCTATTAGTAATTAAGTTTTTTGGGAGCCAAAAGTTATACATGGAGTTCTGGCTCCATAGGTTGGCACCCCTAACCCCTGCATTGTTCAACTGTGGTCCTCATTGAGAAGATGATCTTTAAGCAAAGACTCAAAGGAAGTGAAGAAATTTACTAGGCTAATTTTAGAACAGACTGTTCCAGGAAGCAGGGATTTGTTGAGTATGCCTGGAGTATTCTAGGAAAAGCTGAAAGACCAGTATGGCTGGAGAAAGAACAAGAGAGAAAGAAGGAAATTATGGTCAGGAAAGGGAACAAGGCAGAGAGAGATCATTTAGGGCCTTAAAGATTGAAGAAAAATCAGTGTAACCTATGACATAGTTTTCAACATTAACTGAATAAACACTATTCTCTACTTGTAATTTTCTATAACAGATATTTCTAATTTCACCATTACAAGTCAACAATCCTCAGAATTTTTGAAATAGATTTCTGAATAATGCAGGGAGGATTGCTGACCTTATTAAACAGACATACTGAGGAACCTAGCTTTATCATGACAAGATTTAATAAGCAGTGATTCAAGATAAACTTTGTGGAAACTGTCATTTCACTACTTTTTATCCTTCTTTCTACCTAATTAAATAAATGTTAATGGGTGGCCTAATGCTTTGTACCATCAAAAGCATGTGATGTGTTTCAACAGCTCCTTTCCTTAAACATTGTTAGGTGCTATTTAACATATCATTTCACACAAGAATTTTACAATGGTTGAATTAAAAAATTTAGAGCTTTTAGTAACTTATTTTTTTATTTCCTGATTTCTCATCAAATATCAGGGAGGATACCCAAAAAGACAGAAGTAAAAAGAAATGTTAAGGAAGCAAAAAAATAGAAGCCTCAACCAAATGTGTCAGTTGTAACAAGAAAGTACATAGAACATCCCTCCCACCATTTTTTTGTTGATATAGATATTTTATTGGTGGTTGTCTGTTTTAGACAGTTGTGCTATATGAACATTGTTATTATTTTAAATGTTGAATTATAACAGAAGTATCAATATGTCACAAATTTTATAAACACACATTTGGAAAATGATACATTTTCCATTTACCATGGTTTATTTCTCCCTACTATTATTGTGTTTTTTGAGCTCTTTCTAATTTTTCTTAGAATAACTAATGATATTGGGCACTTCTTCACAGAGAAAACATCCCTCTCTTTCTCTCACTGTCAATCTATTTATCATATTTTTCTGTGTATATGAAACAAATTCTTAACCTAACAGAAAAAAGGAAATTTACAAGGAAAAATATGTATTGTCTAAGAACATGCCCCTGGGCTTCTGACGCACCTGCTTTTGAATCCTGCCTCTTCTGTGAGACAAACCTGCTTATTGCTGAATCTATTTAATATTTGAACTTATTATATATAAATTTACTATCTACCGCACAGAATCATAATGCAGAATAAATAAGATAAAAGTAAACTATTTTATCACACCCCTTTTCAAAGGACAAATGTTTGACCTTCCAGCAATGTAACAATCTGAGCTTATGCAAATGGGACATCTTGTAAATGCTTATAAACATAAAATGAGCTCAAAAGACTGTAATTTCCAGGACTAACGCCAAAACTGGAAATAAAAATGAGAATAGCAAGGAGACACTGAAAGCCCACAGTGATTGGGGACTGGGTATATGTGATGGCCAAATAGTGGTCGCAGGTGCATATGAAGTGAAAGAGCTCGGAGCAAGTGTCATGCCTGAATCTTAAACTTCAACTCCACTCACTTTCCTTGAACAGTACTGGGAAGCCTGGATGGGAAAAACAAGTCAGCCATGAGGAATTTGTTCCTTTGGCCCTTTCTCAGATGCAAATGTAAAATTTTCTTGTAACCCAAGGTACAGGAGACACTCATAGAATAATAAGTCACTGCTAAAGACAAACTCAAAAAATAATAAAAAATATTTCTACTATAAATATATCAAAACATCCCATCGAAGAGCATAAATTTATACAATTATTATTTGTCAATTAAGAAAATCTAGTGAGGAAAGCAAATGATGTTGCAAAGATGAGTGTTAATTGCATAGGAATTGGAAATACTAGAACAATTTAAAAATTTTAAAAAGGGTTAAAATGATGAAAAAGAGAAGTCAATTTTTTCCCTTTTTTTTTTTTTTTTTTTTTTTTTTTTTGATACAGAGTCTCACTCTGTTGCCCAGGCTGGAGTGCAGTGGCATGATCTCAGCTCATTGCAACCTCCACCTCCCAGGTTCAAGGGATTTTCCTGCCTCAGCCTCCGGAGTAGCTGGAATTATAGGTATGTACCACCACACCCAGTTAATTATTAAACTTTTAATAGAGTGGGGTTTCACCATGTTGGCCAGGCTGGTCTCGAACTCCTGACTTCAAGTGTTATGCTTGCCTCAGCCTCCCAAAGTGCTGGGATTACCGGTGTGATTCACTGTGCCTGCCAGTGAGAAGTAGATTTCAAGTAAAACAAAAGATTATGAAAAAGAAACAAGGGATTCGAAAATAAAGTCCTAGGAATGAAAAATAGGATCGCTAAAATTAAATACTCAATGAATGTACTAACAGCAGACAAAATACAGATAGGAACAGAATTGTACAGGGATTGGTATATTTGAAGAAACTATATCCAAAATACACTGTGAGAGATAGTATCTGAGCAGATACAGGACACAGAATGTAGAATGCACATATGCCCGTGGGGCTGGGCATGCAGGCTAACATGACCAAGCAACAATTGGCCCTGTGTGTCTCTGTGTGTTTGTTTCCAGTTGCTGCTGGAACAAAGTACCACAGTTTCACCAGTTTGTTCATCATTGAATCAACATCATGCTATTTGAATACTGTGATTTCATAATGAATCTTGTTGGTAGTGAAAAAATTTCAAATCTGTTCTTAAAATTCGATCAGGTTTTTTGTTTTTTGGTCTTTTTCATTTCCATATAAAATTTAGAATCATCTTATTGATTTCCCCAAAACACCTGCTGGATGAATGGGGTAAGATTGAATATGTCGATAGATTTGGGGAAAATTGACGTCTTTACAAATGAGTCTTCAATTCATGAGCATGGTGTGTTCATTTATTTAGTTATTCTCTCAGCAACAGTTTAGTTTTCAGTAAATCAAAGGGCACGTCTTTCAATAAGTTATCCCTGTGTATCTGGTTTTTTGCATGCTGTTGTGTACGGTATTGATTTTTATTTTATTCTTCAATTTTTAAAAGTAATATGTACATATATACCATATGAGTTTGCATCCACCAACTTTGCTAAATTCTTTAAAAAATCTTATCGTTGGAGTTCTTTTGGCTTTTCTATGTATGCAATCCTGTCATCTGTGAATAATTACATGATTACTTTTTTCCCAATAATTATACTATTTATGTATTTATTTTGGCCTTATTCCACTGGCTAGGTGTAATAGAGGTGATGAACATCTATGTTTTTTCTGATCTCAGGAAGAAAGCTTTCAGTGATTTCTCTATTATGTATAATGTTAGCAGTAGGTTTTTTCATACATAATATTTATCAGAAGGAAGTTCCCTTTTAGAGTTCATTTGCTGAGAATTATTTTTTAATCATGAAATGATATTAAATTTCATCAAATGCATTTTCTGCATGTCATTTCTCTCATTTATTCTATCAATGTGGCAGAAATAAAGCTATTAGTTGCCAATATTGAGACAATTGAGGAAATTTGAATATGAGCTGTGTATTAGATAACATAGTTAAAGCAATCTTAATTTTTTTCATTATGATGATAGAATTCTGTTTATGTAGGAGAGTGTCCTTGTGTCTAGGGTATACATGTTGAAATTTTTACATCTAAAACTTATTTTTAAGTACTTGTACAATAAATAATATCTATCTCTGTATTGAGGTCCATGAAAACACATACAAGTTGTATCTCTCTCTCTCTTGTTATTTCTCCATCTCTCTATCTATCTACAAATGTAGCAAAATGCTGACAGTTGGTGAATCTAAGTGAACTGTAAGAGTGCCTGGAGTATTCCTTTAATCTTACTATAGGTTTGCAAACAAAAGACGTTTGGGGGAAAATAAGGATAAATCAAATGCAGATTTAATATTGAACTTTTTACCCTTTTAAGTAACTGTACTTTATTTCCATTGCAAAGGTAATATTTATAAAAGCATTTGTATGTGAAACCCAAAGAAATCTCAATAAATCTAAAAACTGAAGTTAGAGACATAATTATCTTACCATATGAAATGAAATATAACTAAAAATTAGTTATAATGTTTAACTATAATACAAACACTTTTAAAGTTTAAGTGAAAACTTTAATTATTATTTAGAAATTAGAAACAGAGATAACCATATCACAACATACCAATTCCGAACAACCAGTAACCAGAGAAAAATTCACATCTTAAATATTTTATCTTGTTGTTACATAAGAAAGATTTAATAATGAACTAACATCCATTATATGCAATAAATATATACACCTATTATGTACTTTCATAAAAATTAAAGTTAAAAAATTAAAACACTCCATCCATTTTATGAATATACCACAATATGTTCATCTAGTCACCTGTTGACAGACATTTGGATTGATTTCAGTTTTGCTTATTACAAATAATACTGCTATGAACATCTGCATACTACTCATACGGGAATACATTTTTATTAACTTATTTTTGGCAAATACTAGGAGCAGAATGGTTGTGCCATGTGGTAGGTATATATTTAACCTTTTTTTTTTTTTTTTTTTTTTTTTAAGATCAGAGACGATCTTTATTTTTCTTTGTGCTCTATATATTTTTTTTTTTATTATACTTTAAGTTTTAGGGTACATGTGCACATTGTTCAGGTTAGTTACATATGTATACATGTGCCATGCTGGTGCGCTGCACCCACTAACTCGTCATCTAGCATTAGGTATATCTCCCGATGCTATCCCTCCTGCCTCCCCGCACCCCACAACAGTCCCCAGAGTGTGATATTCCCCTTCCTGTGTCCATGTGATCTCATTGTTCAGTTCCCACCTATGAGTGAGAATATGCGGTGTTTGGTTTTTTGTTCTTGTGATAGTTTACTGAGAATGATGATTTCCAATTTCATCCATGTCCCTACAAAGGGCATGAACTCATCATTTTTTATGGCTGCCTAGTATTCCATGGTGTATATGTGCCACATTTTCTTAATCCAGTCTATCATTGTTGGACATTTGGGTCGGTTCCAAGTCTTTGCTATTGTGAATAATGCCGCAATAAACGTACGTGTGCATGTGTCTTTATAGCAGCATGATTTATAGTCCTTTGGGTATATACCCAGTAATGGGATGGCTGGGTCAAATGGTATTTCCAGTTCTAGATCCCTGAGGAATCGCCACACTGACTTCCACAATGGTTGAACTAGTTTACAGTCCCACCAACAGTGTAAAAGTGTCCCTATTTCTCCACATCCTCTCCAGCATCTGTTGTTTCCTGACTTTTTAATGATTGCCATTCTAACTGGTGTGAGATGGTATCTCATTGTGGTTTTGATTTGCATTTCTCTGATGGCCAGTGATAATGAGCATTTTTTCATGTGTTTTTTGGCTGCATAAATGTCTTCTTTTGAGAAGTATCTGTTCATGTCCTTTGCCCACTTTTTGATGGGGTTGTTTGTTTTTTTCTTGTAAATTTGTTTGAGTTCATTGTAGATTCTGGATATTAGCCCTTTGTCAGATGAGTAGGTTGCAAAAATTTTCTCCCATTTTATAGGTTGCCTGTTCACTCTGATGGTAGTTTCTTTTGCTGTGCAGAAGCTCTTTAGTTTAATTAGATCCCATTTGTCAATTTTGGCTTTTGTTGCCATTGCTTTTGGTGTTTTAGACATGAAGTCCTTGCCCATGCCTATGTCCTGAATGATAATGCCTAGGTTTTCTTCTAGGGTTTTTATGGTTTTAGGTCTAACGTTTAAGTCTTTAATCCATCTTGAATTGATTTTTGTATAAGGTGTAAGGAAGGGATCCAGTTTCAGCTTTCTACATATGTCTAGCCAGTTTTCCCAGCACCATTTATTAAATAGGGAATCCTTTCCCCATTGCTTGTTTTTCTCAGGTTTGTCAAAGATCAGATAGTTGTAGATATGTGGCGTTATTTCTGAGGGCTCTGTTCTGTTCCATTGATCTATATCTCTGTTTTGGTACCAGTACCATGCTGTTTTGGTTACTGTAGCCTTGTAGTATAGTTTGAAGTCAGGTAGTGTGATGCCTCCAGCTTTGTTCTTTTGGCTTAGGATTGACTTGGCAATCCGGGCTCTTTTTTGGTTCCATATGAACTTTAAAGTAGTTTTTTCCAATTCTGTGAAGAAAGTCATTAGTAGCTTGATGGGGATGGCATTGAATCTGTAAATTACCTTGGGCAGTATGGCCATTTTCACGATATTGATTCTTCCTACCCATGAGCATGGAATGTTCTTCCATTTGTTTGTATCCTCTTTTATTTCTTTGAGCAGTGGTTTGTAGTTCTCCTTGAAGAGGTCCTTCACATCCCTTGTAAGTTGGATTCCTAGGTATTTTATTCTCTTTGAAGCAATTGTGAATGGGAGTTCACTCATGATTTGGCTCTCTGTTTGTCTGTTGTTGGTGTATAAGAATGCTTGTGATTTTTGTACATTGATTTTGTATCCTGAGACTTTGCTGAAGTTGCTTATCAGCTTAAGGAGATTTTGGGCTGAGACAATGGGGTTTTCTAGATATACAATCATGTCGTCTGCAAACAGGGACAATTTGACTTCCTCTTTTCCTAATTGAATACCTGTTATTTCCTTCTCCTGCCTAATTGCCCTGGCCAGAACTTCCAACACTATGTTGAATAGGAGTGGTGAGAGAGGGCATCCCTGTCTTGTGCCAGTTTTCAAAGGGAATGTTTCCAGTTTTTGCCCATTCAGTATGATATTGGCTGTGGGTTTGTCATAGATAGCTCTTATTATTTTGAGATACGTCCCATCAATACCTAATTTATTGAGAGTTTTTAGCATGAAGGTTGTTGAATTTTGTCAAAGGCTTTTTCTGCATCTATTGAGATAATCATGTGGTTTTTGTCTTTGGCTCTGTTTATATGCTGGATTACATTTATTGATTTGCGTATATTGAACCAGCCTTGCATCCCAGGGATGAAGCCCACTTGATCATGGTGGATAAGCTTTTTGATGTGGTGCTGGATTCGTTTTGCCAGTATTTTATTGAGGATTTTTACATCAATGTTCATCAAGGATATTGGTCTAAAATTCTCTATTTTTGTTGTGTCTCTGCCTGGCTTTGGTATCAGAATGATGCTGGCCTCATAAAATGAGTTAGGGAGGATTCCCTCTTTTTCTATTGATTGGAATAGTTTCAGAAGGAATGGTACCAGTTCCTCCTTGTATCTCTGGTAGAATTCGGCTGTGAATCCATCTGGTCCTGGACTCTTTTTGGTTGGTAAGCTATTGATTATTGCCACAATTTCAGATCCTGTTATTGGTCTATTCAGAGATTCAACTTCTTCCTGGTTTAGTCTTGGGAGAGTGTATGTGTCCAGGAATTTATCCATTTCATCTAGATTTTCTAGTTTATTTGCATAGAGGTGTTTGTATTATTCCCTGATGGTAGTTTGTATTTCTGTGGGATCGGTGGTGATATCCCCTTTATCATTTTTTATTGCGTCTATTTGATTCTCCTCTCTTTTTTTCTTTATTAGTCTTGCTAGCAGTCTATCAATTTTGTTGATCCTTTCAAAAAACCAGCTCCTGGATTCATTAATTTTTTGAAGGGTTTTTTGTGTCTCTATTTCCTTCAGTTCTGCTCTGATTTTAGTTATTTCTTGCCTTCTGCTAGCTTTTGAATGTGTTTGCTCTTGCTTTTCTAGTTCTTTTAATTGTGATGTTAGGGTGTCAATTTTGAATCTTTCCTGCTTTCTCTTGTGGGCATTTAGTGCTATAAATTTCCCTCTACACACTGCTTTGAATGCGTCCCAGAGATTCTGGTATGTTGTGTCTTTGTTCTCGTTGGTTTCAAAGAACATCTTTATTTCTGCCTTCATTTCGTTATGTACCCAGTAGTCATTCAGGAGCAGGTTGTTCAGTTTCCATGTATTTGAGTGGTTTTAAGTGAGATTCTTAATCCTGAGTTCTAGTTTGATTGCACTGTGGTCTGAGAGATAGTTTGTTATAATTTCTGTTCTTTTACATTTGCTGAGGAGAGCTTTACTTCCAAGTATGTGGTCAATTTTGGAATAGGTGTGGTGTGGTGCTGAAAAAAATGTATATTCTATTGATTTGGGGTGGAGAGTTCTGTAGATGTCTATTAGGTCTGATTGGTGCAGAGCTGAGTTCAATTCCTGGGTATCCTTGTTGACTTTCTGTCTCGTTGATCTGTCTAATATTGACAGTGGGGTGTTAAAGTCTCCCATTATTAATGTGTGGGAGTCTAAGTCTCTTTGTAGG
Organism: Homo sapiens; assembly: GCF_000001405.40. Lineage (NCBI taxonomy): Eukaryota > Metazoa > Chordata > Mammalia > Primates > Hominidae > Homo > Homo sapiens. Next base: position 60,033,330 of record NC_000018.10, read on the forward strand.
TCACTCAGGACTTGCTTTATGAATCTGGGTGCTCCTGTATTGGGTGCATAAATATTTAGGATAGTTAGCTCCTCTTGTTGAATTGATCCCTTTACCATTATGTAATGGCCTTCTTTGTCTCTTTTGATCTTTGTTGGTTTAAAGTCTGTTTTATTAGAGACTAGGATTGCAACCCCTGCCTTTTTTTGTTTTCCATTGGCTTGGTAGATCTTCCTCCATCCTTTTATTTTGAGCCTATGTGTATCTCTGCATGTGAGATGGGTTTCCTGAATACAGCACACTGATGGGTCTTGACTCTTTATCCAGTTTGCCAGTCTGTGTCTTTTAATTGGAGCATTTAGTCCATTTACATTTAAAGTTAATATTGTTATGTGTGAATTTGATCCTGTCATTATGATGCTAGCTGGTGATTTTGCTCGTTAGTTGATGCAGTTTCTTCCTAGTCTCGATGGTCTTTACATTTTGGCATGATTTTGCAGTGGCTGGTACCGGTTGTTCCTTTCCATGTTTAGTGCTTCCTTCAGGAGCTCTTGTAAGGCAGGCCTGGTGGTGACAAAATCTCTCAGCATTTGCTTGTCTGTAAAGGATTTTATTTCTCCTTCACTTATGAAGCTTAGTTTGGCCGGATATGAAATTCTGGGTTGAAAATTCTTTTCTTTAAGAATGTTGAATATTGGCCCCCACTCTCTTCTGGCTTGTAGGGTTTCTGCCGAGAGATCCGCTGTTAGTCTGATGGGCTTCCCTTTGAGGGTAACCCGACCTTTCTCTCTGGCTGCCCTTAACATTTTTTCCTTCATTTCAACTTTGGTGAATCTGACAATTATGTGTCTTGGAGTTGCTCTTCTCGAGGAGTATCTTTGTGGCGTTCTCTGTATTTCCTGAATCTGAACGTTGGCCTGCCTTGCTAGATTGGGGAAGTTCTCCTGGATAATATCCTGCAGAGTGTTTTCCAACTTGGTTCCATTCTCCCCATCACTTTCAGGTACACCAATCAGACGTAGATTTGGTCTTTTCACATAGTCCCATATTTCTTGAAGGCTTTGCTCATTTCTTTTTATTCTTTTTTCTCTAGACTTCCCTTCTCGCTTCATTTCATTCATTTCATCTTCCATCGTTGATACCCTTTCTTCCAGTTGATCGCATCGGCTCCTGAGGCTTCTGCATTCTTCACGTAGTTCTCGAGCCTTGGTTTTCAGCTCCATCAGCTCCTTTAAGCACTTCTCTATATTGGTTATTCTAGTTATACATTCTTCTAAATTTTTCTCAAAGTTTTCAACTTCTTTGCCTTTGGTTTGAATGTCCTCCCGTAGCTCAGAGTAATTTGATCGTCTGAAGCCTTCTTCTCTCAGCTCGTCAAAGTCATTCTCCATCCAGCTTTGTTCCGTTGCTGGTGAGGAACTGCGTTCCTTTGGAGGAGGAGAGGTGCTCTGCTTTTTAGAGTTTCCAGTTTTTCTGTTCTGTTTTTTCCCCATCTTTGTGGTTTTATCTACTTTTGGTCTTTGATGATGGTGATGTACAGATGGGTTTTTGGTGTGGATGTCCTTTCTGTTTGTTAGTTTTCCTTCTAACAGAGAGGACCCTCAGCTGCAGGTCTGTTGGAGTACCCTGCCGTGTGAGGTGTCAGTGTGCCCCTGGTGGGGGGTGCCTCCCAGTTAGGCTGCTCGGGGGTCAGGGGTCAGGGACCCATTTGAGGAGGCAGTCTGCCTGTTCTCAGATCTCCAGCTGCATGCTGGGAGAACCACTGCTCTCTTCAAAGCTGTCAGACAGGGACATTTAAGTCTGCAGAGGTTACTGCTGTCTTTTTGTTTGTCTGTGCCCTGCCCCCAGAGGTGGAGCCTACAGAGGCAGGCAGGCCTCCTTGAGCTGTGGTGGGTTCCACCCAGTTCGAGCTTCCTGGCTGCTTTGTTTACCTAATCAAGCCTGGGCAATGGCGGGCGCCCCTCCCCCAGCCTCGCTGCCGCCTTGCAGTTTGATCTCAGACTGCTGTGCTAGCAATCAGCGAGACTCCGTGGGCGTAGGACCCTCCGAGCCAGGTGCAGGATATAATCTCGTGGTGCACCGTTTTTTAAGCCTGTCGGAAAAGCGCAGTATTCGGGTGGGAGTGACCCGATTTTCCAGGTGCCGTCCGTCACCCCTTTCTTTGACTCAGAAAGGGAACTCCCTGACCCCTTGCGCTTCCCAAGTAAGGCAATGCCTCGCCCTGCTTCGGCTCGCGCATGGTGCGCGCACCCACTGACCTGCACCCACTGTCTGGCACTCCCTAGTGAGATTAACCCGGTACCTCAGATGGAAATGCAGAAATCACCAGTCTTCTGCGTCGCTCATGCTGGGAGCTGTAGACTGGAGCTGTTCCTATTCGGCCATCTTGGCTCCTCCCCTGATATTTAACTTTTTAAGAAACTGTTCAACTCTTCTTAAGTGGTTATATCATATTTGCATTCCCACCATCAGAGCATGAGACTTCTAGTTGCTTTACATCCTTAGGGTCAGTTTTGTAAATTCTAGTCATTCTAATAGGTGTGTTATGGAATGAATATCACTGTAGTTTGAATTTGCATTTCCCTAATCATTAGTGATGTTGAGTATCTATTTATTACTCATTTGTCATTTAGTTATATTCTTTGGTGAAGTGTCCAAATATTTAGCACAACATTTTGTTAGATTATGTGACTTTTTAAACATTGAATTGTAAGAGTTTTATGAGTATTCTTGATACAAGTCCTTTTTCAGATGTGCAATTTGGAAATATTTTGTTCCAGTCTGTGACTTATTTTTTCAATCACTTACCATTGAGTGAAAGAGCAAAAGTTCTAAATTTTGATAAAATCCCGTTTATCTTTTTATTTCTATTTTTTTTTTTTTTTGCTTAGAAATCATGCTTTTAGAAGTCTTATGTAAGAAATCTTTACCTTGGGGGCGGGGCGGGGACAGGGGCGATCCCCACCCACATCCTGGCTGATTTAAAAAAAAAATCTTTGCCTCACCCAAGGTCAAACATTTTTTTCAATTTCTAAAATACTTTCAGATTTAACATTAAGGTCTATGATTCATTTTGAATTAATTTTTTTTTTTGCATATGGTAAAAGGTATGGAGTAAAGTTTATTTTTTTTTTAAATGGATATCCAATTTTTCCTGTACCATTTGTGGAAAAGGCTATTCTTTCTCCACTAATTGCCTTTACACTTCGCTAAATACGAATTAATCATACATGTGTATGTCTACCTCTGAACTGTATTCTGTTCCATTGTGATTTATCTTCTTGCCAATACCATACTGTCTTGATTATTATAGCTTTATATTTACTCTTGAAATCAGATAGTATGCGTTCTCTTTGTTCTTTTTAAAAGTTGTTTTGGCTATTTTATGTCCTGTGCACTTTCATATACATTTTAGAATCATCTTGTCAAATTCTACAAAAATATTTTGTAGATTGGATTGACTGTATAAATCAGTATTGAAGAGAACTGACATTTAACAACATTCAGTCTTCCAATCCATGAATTCATGAACATGACATGTCACTTCCTTTATCCAGGACTTCTTTAATTTCTCTTAGCATTTCTTTTTAGTTTTCAGTGTATAAGTCTTGTATAACTTTTGTGAGATTTATTCTTAAGCATTTCATATATTTAGATACTATTACAAATGATTGATTTTCCAGAAGATATATAGCTTATTGAATTATATTTTTGGGAATAATATTTTAAAATTTAAATTTCTAATCATTTATTGTTAGTATATAGAAATAGAATGGTTTTTGTATATTGATCTTGCTTCCTGGAACTTTGCTATACTCATTTAGTTTAAGATTTTTAAAATCTAAGATTACATTTATTGTCTTTTGTGTGTTTATATCTTTTTTTTTTTTTTTTTTTTTTTTTTTGAGACAGAGCCTTGCTCTGTCACCCAGACTGGAGTGCAGTGGCAGGATCTCGGCTTACTGCAACCTCTGCTTCCTGGTTTCAGCCTCCCAAGTCGCTGGGAATACAGATGTGTCCAACCACACGTGGCTAATTTTTGTATTTTTAGTAGAGACGGGGCTTCGCCATGTTGCCCAGGCTGGTCTTGAACTCCTGACCTCAAGTGATCCACTCGCCTCAGCCTCCCAAAGTTCTGGGATTACAGGTGTGAGCCAAGGCACCTGGCCAGATCATTGATATTTAATGTAATTGTTAATATCGTTGGAGCAAAAATTACCATTTTGCTTTGGGACAGCAAGAGCAGCCACTGTGAGGAAAGGCATGGACCTGCACCCAGATCCTTCTTCTCTATCTCCTCTGTAGAACAAAGTCCTTAATCTGCTGAGGAAAGGGCAGCACATTTGTGACCTTCAGGTCACAGATGAAGATCCAATGCATCTGGGGGAAGGAAAGAAAAAAGTACCCTCTACTCCTGGATGAGAGAAATATGTCCTGGGCCCAAACCATTAGAAACTTTCTATCATTGAGTGAGAGGCAAGTTCACCGAGAAGACCTTGTCCAGGAAATTCAGGGGCACAGTGTCTACCTAAGAATAAATCTGAGCAGCAACAACAAGGAATGCACATGCCATCTGCCAACAACTGGGGAGAATAGGGCTCCTGACAGCCACAGCCACAGGAAAATTCAGATCCTTTTGCAGACGCCTCTCCACAGACCTCACTAGGTGATCACAGGAAAGACTGGGGGCACGGGGAGATGCTGGAGAAAGCTCCTGATGAAGACATACCCGAGACTGGGAAGAAAAATAGGTTTAATGGACTCACAGTTCCACGTGGCTGGGGAGGCCTCACCATCATGCGAAAGGCTAAAGGCACTTCTTACATGGCAGCGGGAAGAGAGAATGAGAAAGAAGCCAAAGCAGAAAGCCCTTATAAAATCATCAGATCTTGTGAGACGTATTCACTACCATGAGAGCAGTATGGGGGAAACCACCCCCATGATTCAATTATCTCCCACCGGGTGCCTCCCACAACATGTAGGAATTATGGGAGAACAATTCAAGATGAGATTTGGGTGGGGACACAGAGCCAAACCATATCAGTCCCCTTTCTGATGGGGGTGTCTGTGTGCGATTCTCAGGAGTTCTGTACTCTCTTGCTATCCCACAGCAGGACTACAGTAATTTATTAAGAATTTTAGCTGAATTCTTCCTACTAGTTCGACCAGTTTCCAACCTCTTCAGACACACATGTGCTCACATTCTGTCTTTTATTTGAAGCTTTTGGATGTGTTGGTTGTCCCTGAGTTCCTTTCTTTGATGGGTTTTAAATAGTTGTGATTTTGCAAATTATCCAGCTTTTTTTTTTCCTTCAGTGGGAGCACACTCTTTCTAGTTTCTTACATTCTAAGCAGAAGCCAGAAGTTAGTAAATGTTGTTTGAATGTGTGTGTGTGTGTGAAATGATGTAAGGATGAGAGATGTCTTGAAATTGTACCTCATAACATATTTTACTCCCTAAAGTTACAAATATATATGAAACAATTCTATAATGGGAGTCTAAATATTTTAAACATCTAAACATTAGAATTTCTATAAAAGCTCTTTTCAAACAGTTGTTCCTGATTTTACAAAATGCTATGGCAATAAATGAAGCAGGATTTATCATAGTGGTGGTATTTGGTGATGGTGTAATCTACCCACAAGCAAGTGGCTGGTTAAATCAACTCAGTTCATTAGAGACTGACAAAGTATTGCCTTCTTGCTGGTGATGGAGTGGCTTAACAACTCCATTAAAATACTGCATTGCAACTGTGTGCACATGGTATATTCATTCTCCCTCTCTTGTCTTTATGCTCTTTTGATTTTAAGAGACATAAACTCTAGATACATTTTAATCTAGAATTGTTTCAGGTTCCAGATACTATGGATACGCAATATTGTACATTAAAATAAGAACCTACCTTGATATCCTTCTTAATTTACAATATTGTTACAAAGCTCAAAAGAAATGAATGTAATAGAAATGAAAGTACTTAGACTCCAAAATTCTATACAAATATAAAGGTTTAGGATAAGAACTGTCTAAACATAGTGGCTTTTTAGTTACAAAATTAACCATTCCTAGCAAAACAGCAAGAAAATGGACTGGAATCTTTTTCAGATTTCTAGTAAACTACAGGCACAGGAAGATTTCTCAGGTCTTCCAAAGATTGCTGCAAATAACACAGAGAAATTTTAGGAATTGTGTCTTTCCTCTGAAAAGATAGTTTCTTTGTTGAACTATCTATCTTTAAGTTAGACGTTAGCACAATGTTTTTTTTTTAATCATAGGTAGGCTTGAAGCCTAGTATATAAACATTTTATTTTACAGGAAGGAGTTAACCAAATGTAGGTAGGTCCAACAAGATGTGCCTTTATAAATAAACTAAAATGTCATTGTTGAGGTTACACGGTGAATATAGTTTGCTAGTCATAGGCAATTCCTGTCTTTCTTTGGTCCTTATGCTTTTCTGCTTTTAAGAGGCATAAGCTAATCTCAGACATAAACTTTATAAAATCAAAAATGATTGTTTGAAAAGAGCTCTTTTACAACAATTCCATGTCTCTTTCTCAGCCATCTACTTGATGTTAGTTGTATGGTACAAGAAGTATTAGAATACATTATAACTGACCTTAAGCTAGTCCACATTGCTGTGCTAGGCTTTATTTAATAAGAAACCTTAGCAAATCCATTAAATATTGTTTGGGACTATTTCTTAGTACTTTTAAGTGACCAAGACCATTGTATTAGCCAAACATAAATATAAAATCTGCAGTGATCAATAGTATTCGTGAGGAATTTCATACAAAGTAGCATAATTTTCTTTTTTCTTTTTGACAAAATCTTGCTGGAGTGCAGTGGCGGCAAGATCTCGGCTCACTGCAACCTCTGCCTCCCAGGTTCAAGTGATTCTCATGCTTCAGCTTCCCTAGTAGCTGGGATTGCAGGCATGCGTCACCATGCCTCGCTAATTTTTGTATTATCAGTAGAGATGGGGTCTTCCTGTGTTGCCCAGGCTGGTCTTGCACTCCTGGCCTCAAGTGATCCACCTGCCTTGGCCTCCCAAAGTGCTGGGATTACAGGTGTGAGCCACCGCGCCCAGCACAGTAGCATAATTTTAGAGAAGTTCATTCATAGCTGTCCCAGGAAGTAAGAAGGGAAGATTCAGGATAAACCATCATGTGACTTGCTCTCAACTGGATCTGGTAAAAATCGTCATTGAGCTCAGGATTGAAAGGAGAAATCATACAACATGAAGCCTGAGGAAGAATTGTAATATTTGTGAGATAAACTATTCCTCCATTCAGTATATACTGATTGAACACTCCTTTTATGGAAGTAGCGAATCGTAGGATCCTTTCCTCCTTTAACTAGCAACATTACCCCGGTTCCTTTGTCTCTCCTTCACTTGTGGTAATGGGCTAGTACACCACGATGCCCTTCCCCCCTCAACCATATTAACGAAGCTGGTTACATGTAGCAGCCTGTTCCAAAAGTTTACTCCATCCCTCTAACCACAGAGTTTGATTTAGAGGTAAATAAAGGCCCTAAACTTGACCAATGTGAACTCTTTCTAAGACTTAAACTATCACTTGGAGAAATACAGGGAGAGACACACTGAACTCTGACAACATTATTTAAGACTCTGGGTCCAGTGATGCCTATAACTAGATGCACTTCTGAATTTCTAATTTCTTAGGCCAAACTTTTCCATTTATTCTTAATCTAGTTTCTAGTTTTCTAGTTGGGTTATTGTCACTTGCAGCAAAAAGGTTACTAATAACTTATTATGAGTCAGGCATAGTTCTGGGTATGTACTGAAGAAATTATGGTGAAGAACATCCAGGCTTCATACTTGTGGGTGTAGTTGTAGACTTGGTGTGTATGTGTGCACACATGTGGGGGACCGATGTCCTAGGCATTGTGGTTTCTACAATCATGTTGGAGGAATGACCAAATATCATAGTCTACTGCTGAAACTCTTCATGCTTCTGATTCCTCCCCAATTCACTTGAGCTGCTGAATCTGAATTGATGAGGTATGTTTGCACTAAATACACATGTTTTCATTGCTTGTTTGATCAAGAGAAGGTCTCACAGGTCTCTCAGGTTTGATCATAAGCTACTATTAGGGAGTTTTAGAAAAATACCTAAAAGTATCAGTATTTAGAAAAATATTTGCATATGTGCAATAAACATCCTAACTTCTGTGACTAGGAATTGGAGATCAGGAAATATTGTGGGATGATGAGAACATAATCACCAGATAGAAAACCATGATGGAGGTGCTGAATGGAAAATTTTATTCTTTTATTTTTTAGACAGTCACACTCTGTTGCCCAGGCTGGAGTGCAGTGGTGTGATCTCAGCTCACTGCAAGCTCTGTCTCCTGGGCTCAAGTGATTCTCCTGCCTCAGCCTCCTAAGTGGCTGGGATTACAGGTGCACACCACCATACCCGGCTAATTTTTTGTATTTTTAGGAGAGACGGGGTTTCACCATGTTGGCCAGGCTGGTCTCGAACTCCTGACCTCAAGTAATCTGCCCATCTCATCTTCCCAAAATGCTGGGATTACAGGCATGAGCCTCTGTGCCTGGCCTTGGAAAATTTTATTATAATGGAAACATAAATAGGATTTAAAAGAAAAGGATGATGAAATTAGAAATATGAAAGAAAATAGGACAGATAGGAAAGTCATACCTAGAGGATTCAATCTAAATTGTAATCAGTACCCCAAAAGGAAAAATAGAACAGATGAGAGAATCAGAAGCAATAATTAGAGAAATAAGAGAAAAAACATTATCTTAAAAATGACATTAATCTAATAAAAAATGCTCATTCAGTGTTCAGCAAAATAATAAACATGAAACAACACCTAGAGCCATGCTTCCTGAAGTGTGTCCCAGAGACCAATATTCTTATTTGATATTCATCTGAAAAATGATTTTGTGGCCTGGAAAGTTTGGAAAATTTTACGTAATATAATGGCTTCTGAAAGATTCACATTGTGCATTTGCTAGTTAAGTGAGATAATACTAAGACAAACAAATCTAACATATTTTAACACAGAATTTACCTAACTTCTATGACCACTTTTTCGTGATAACACTAATAAAATGTGTCAGAATAGAGTTCCACAGAATTTATTTTGGTGAAACAATGACTTAGACATTTCCTGATTACATCATTAAATTTTAATATATTGATATCTCTATTTCTATCTATTTCAGCTCTATATCTACATCCTCAACTACAACTATTTCTACCTCTACATCTCTATCCCCATCTCTATGAATGCTTAAAATTAAAAAACTATAAATATTCATAAAATAAGAAATGAAATGACTATTTTCTAAACCAGTGAATTAAAAAAAGACATTATGAGTGATTTAAAAAAATAATTTATTGCATTTTACTCAGACTTGACACTAAATGTATATTAATGTAATAATTACTAATATAATAGTATATATTTCTATAATTGTTTATTTTTAAATTATATATTCTAGTATATATACATAATAGTATATATTTCTGTAATTATTGTTTATCTATAATTGTTTCTATAATTATTTCTATAAAAGAAATAATAGTATATATTTCTATAAATTGAAGTCAACATATTTTAGCAATATAGATAGTCTTAAATTTTTTTATATCCTTTAAGCCAGTGATTTTAATCCTGGAAATCTATTCTAATGACTTCATATGAAGAATGGACAAAGAATATACAAGAGAGTTCATTTAATCTTTAAAAATGAAGATACAAGTCATACAAAATGTTTAAAAAATTGCCTATTTGGAAACCATGTATCTGATAAGGGGTTAATATTCAGAATACATAAGGAATTCATATAACTTGATAGCAAAAAATCCCAAATAACCCAATTAAAAAATGAGCAAATAACCTGAATAGACATTTTTCCAAAGAAGACTTGCACACAGCCAACAGGTGTATGAAAAGTTGCTCAACATCACTAATCGTCAGTGAAATGCAAATTAAAACCACAACGAGATATCAACTCATACCTGTTACGATGGCTATATAAAAAAGACAATAGAAAACAAACGTTGGAGAGGGAACATTGTTGTACATTGTTGGTGGGAAGGTAAATTGGTACAGCCTATAAGGTAAACAGTATAGAGGTTCCTCCAAAAATTAAAAATAAAACCACTATATGATTTAGCAATCCCACTTCTGGGTATATATTGAAAGGAAATAAAGCAGTATTTTCAAGAGATATCTGCACTCCTATGATCATTACAGCATTAATTCACAATAACCAAGATATAGAAACAACCTAAGTATCCATTGATGGATGAATCGATAAAGAAAATATTTTATATATATGTGTGTGTGTGTGTGTGTGTGTGTGTATATATATACGTTCACACATATAATTCAGCTGTAAAAAGAAGGAAATCCTGTCATTTGCAACAACATGGAAGTATCTGGAGGACGTTATGCTGAATGAAATAAGCCGGGTACAGAAAAACAAAAACCACATGATCTCACTGATGTTTGGAATCTAAAAAGGCTGAACTCATAGAAGCAGAAAGTAGAATAATAGGTGCCAGGAGGTGAGGAAAATGGGAGATTTTGGTCAGTGGATATAAACATTACAAGGTGAATAAGTTCTGGAGATCTGATGTACAGTGTGGTGATTATAGTTAATAATACTGTATTATTTACTTGAAATTTGATAAGAGAGCAGATTATAAGTATCTTCACCTCTCTCTACCCTCACACAAATGGCAACTATCGGTGGTGATGAGTGTCTTACTTAACTGGCTATCGTAATCAGTATATTATGTATATGTATATCAAATAATCACATTGTACACCTTGAATATATGACTTTTATTTGCCAATTAAATATTTTAAAATTAAAAAATCCTTGTTTACATTTCACTATTATGTTGACTGAGTTTGTGGTGGAATTTTGAGAAAAGTATCCTTGCATATGAAATTATTGGTTTTAAAGTCTTTTTCTTCTCTTTTTTTATGACAGCAATACATGTCTACTGAGAAAAATTATGAAGAAAAAGATAAAAGTAGAAAGATGTGTCAATGCAAATATAACAAAGGATGCTACAAGGATGATTAGGTATTGTGCATATGCCAGGAAATATTTTTCAAATGAGTGAGTCAATAAATGAGAGAATAGGTTCTGGCTGACTCATGGTTTCAGTAAGCTCCTGATGGATTGAATTTATGGTATTTCAGTGCAAATTAACATTTAGCATTCCTTCCAATAGTTATCCTTTTATAAGCAGTTTCCTTGAAAACATTGTGACTATAAACAGCCCTCCTCAAAAAGCATATAAATTGCTTATGAATGAGGAAATGAATATTTTATTTGCTATAGAATTTTATGTTCAATAGTTTTGTGATAGAGTGAAGTTAAAATGGATGGTATGGGAATATGTACTCCTTTGTTTTATCCCTACATTTTTAAGAACTGCTGTACAGCTGTTGAACAACTCTTAAAATGTCTCAAGACATTCATCATTCGGTGCACTGTGTAAATGAAACTTGGCACCAACAATAATCAAGAAACTTGAGTGTCAGCGATGGCTCCCAGTAGGAGATAGGACATGCTTCCTGGACCAGATGGAAGCCCAGGACACAGGGGAGCAGCAGCAGGTAGGGGTGGAAACCTGGAACAATCAAAGACACTGACAGTGGTTCCCAGGGAGAGAATTAACTATTGGAGATCAAGTTCAAATAAGGGCCTTGCAACTCACATCACACCCAAGCAGGCAGTAAGTGTCTAAGGAGAAATCTACTGGTATTACTTAAGAAGGGCAGAATGGAGACAGCAGGATGTCAATCAAAATAAGTCCCTTTTAGGAATTCAGTCCAAAATTAGGAAGAACAGAAACAAGAATGACCCCTTGATGGAGTATACTGGTTGGAATGTGTTAATAATGAAAACGGGAGGATGTCTAATACATAAATCTTCCAGGTTTCCAGAGTTGTCTGTGGGTCGTTTAATAAGAAAAGAGTTCTGAGATTAAGATCTTAACACCAGGTGGTCAGTTTATGCAATATCAATGTGGAAGGAAACCTGAAGACTTGCTAGAGCCACAGGATGAAGGAGTGGGAATTTTGGCATAAGAGCAGACAACATAGGCATGAAAGAAAAAGAGGTTGTCTTTACTTCTAACACCATAACAAACCTGAATGACTTGGAAGGTTTATTAAAACAGGTTGTTTGCCTCCACTCCTAGTTTCTAATTCTGGAGTGGAGTAGGGCCAAAAAATTTGCATTTCTAACAAATTCCCAAGCGATGCTGATGCCGCCTGTCTGGGAACCACACTTTGGGAACTACTACACAGAGGATGCCATGTTGTGTAGGAGGCTGGGAGGAAAAAGCAAGGATACCAATCGTAAGGCGGATAGAGACAGGGTGAAATGCAAACACATTGGAGCTGCTCTGGAAGACACCGAATTCTGATCAGTATCTCTTGTAAAAATGGTGTGTCATTCCAAATAATCTAGGTACTCTGCTTCAAGGAGGTGAAGGAATTACTCCTCACTCTTTAAGCGTGGCCTGTGTATACTGACTTCCTTTAAAAAAGTAGACTATGGAAAGAGGAGAAACATGGAGTAATTTATTGTGCAGAAACTTGACCAGTACTACTTCAACCAGGTGATTAAGGTCAACATCATCAGATATAAGTAATGATGATAGCATGTACCATGATAAGTTGATATGTTGTGATGAAAATGGCAGTTCATCCCTGTGGTTTTCCTTCCAAAAACACTTAACCATAATCTAATCATGAAAAAAAAATCAGACAAATCCCAATTGAGGGATGTTCTACAAAGTACTTGTCTAATACTCTTCAACATGGTCAAAGTCATCAGAAACAAGGCAGGTCTGAGGAACTGCACAGCCAAGAGGAGCCTAAACAGACATCATGACTGAATGTAACGGCATCCTGGAAGAGAAAAAAGATGTAAGGGAAAACCCGAGGAAGTCTAAATGAATAATGGACCTCAGGTAATCATAATGTATCACTATTGGTTCATTAATTGTTAATAAATATGCCATACTAATATAAAATGTTAATAACAGGGGTAACTGGGTGTGGAATATGTTGGAACTCTCTGTACTATCTTTGCAATGTTTCCGTTCTAAAGAATAAAGTTTGTTAAAAAAATCCAAAACTTGGAAATATGGCAATAAAAAGTGGTATGCCACATTACTTCTTGGCAAGGTACAGACCTTTACATGAAAGGTTCATGTCCAAAATAGATATTGGGTGCCTGAATTGTGAGAGTGCGAGGGAGGCAGTAAAATTCTCTTTTAAATATTTTTAGCACGTTGCCTTTTGTGTATGTTACTTATGATGGTCTTTGGAGAAATTTCTCTGATTGCTCTAGGAAGAATAGTTGTTTGTCTTCTGAGCCATTGATTTTTTGCTTTAACATTTATAGATAGTGTGAATCATGCCGCAGATGGTGTCTCCTTCATTGTGACACTGCTAGAAAATTTTGTGACCTACCCCTCGCAGATTAGCAGGGTCTTTCAGCATGCACACCATTCACCCAGAACAATCTTTGTTTCGTGGAACCCCCTTTTCTGGCATTTTCTTTACATTTACTTAAGCCACATTTATTCTGTGAGTAAGTGAAGAAGATGGTTTGCCTTTTTATCCCCCTATTTTACAAAAAGTTCATTCAATAAATACAACTGTTAAATATTTCTTTTTGGATTCATTTCTAAGTAAAACAAATATTATAAGATCAATTTCTTCTATTTTTCCTATTTAAAGGCTAGCACTTCCCTTAATACTGCTGGTTCCTACATTCCTATCTTATTGTTGCCTTTTCACCTGTTCAAAATTCTTAAGAGGGTTATTTCATTAACTAGAACTAATCTATTGGCTTCTTTTCACTCATTAAAATACTTATGAAATATTTTTTATTACATTTTAATCTTTGTTTATTTTGAGACTGGGTTATGAGACTGGCTAATTTTTGTATTTTTGGTAGAGATGGTGCTTCACCATGTTGCCAAGGCTGGTCTCAAACTCCTAGGCTCAAGCAATCCACCCATCTTGGCCTCCCAAAGTGCTGGGATTACAGGCGTGAGCCACTGCTCCCAGCCAAAATATTTCAACAACAAAAATCTCATTGATTGCCTTTGGAAAATGCTGGGGAACCAACTCATTATTTTGAAAAGTGATATATAAAAGGTAAGAATTAGGCATTTACTCTTCCTTTCCAATATGAACTGAATTTAAACAGTTGATGATGGAAGTTTTTATTTAAAGGAGAATTGCAGCTAATAAATGAAGAAGACATGACAGCATTAGAAAATTACAATTTTGTGATTACTAATGACTGACAGGATTAGATAATGATCATCAGTTGCTGCTATCATCACAAAAATGGAGAAAAACAGAAATTATGTATGTCCTGATAGCAACATACTGTGTCACTTAAAAAATATTCTTACCATGAATCAAACCTGAATCTAATCATGACTCTAGGCCTCATGACTAAATTACAGGAAATTCAAGAGGCAGAGGAACAATTAACATTGAATGTGATCAGCAAAGTTCAGACTGAGAGAAGCACTACAGGAAAAAATGGTCAGTTTTTTTTGGTACATAAACTGCAAAAGAAAAAAACTGGAGGGAAACCTATGGGATGAGAGAGACTTAAGACATGTATCAACCACATGCTATAAATTTGGATTTGAGCAGATTTTTTAAAAAAATAAAAAATTGGGACAATTCATACATTTGATAATATTAGGTATTATTGCTAATTTTAAAGACATAATATGGTATTGTGATTATATTAAAATGTTCTTATCTTTTGGATATACATACTGATTTTTTTATTTTTATTTTTATTTTATTTTTTAAATTAAAAAAATTTTTAACTTTTAAGTTCAGGGGTACAAGTGTAGGTTTGTTACATAGGCAAGCTTGTGTTTTGGGGGTTTGTTGTAGAGATTATTTCATCACCCAGGTCTTAAGCCTAGTACCCATTAGTTATTTTTTCAGATCCTCTCCCTCCTCCCAACTCTCCACCCTCCGAAAGGCCCCAGTGAGTGTTATTCACGCTGAGGTATTAATGGATGAAATAATATAATTCCTTCAGTTTCTTTAGCAATAATGCTTGTGTGAGGTTTTTGATGTGACTATGTCTTGAACAAGGTAGTCTATGAAATTACAAAAGTTGAAGCTGGGTAATGTGTAGGACATGGTGCTGTATTATAGTATTTTTCTACTTTTGTATATATTTAAAATTTTCCATAAAGTAAGGTTTAAAATATAATACTAACGTTTAAAATATAATACTAATATAGTGACAACCGATGTCCACAACTCCAAGTTTAAGGAGAAACATTAGGGATGTAGCCAAATTTCTCTTTGTGCTGTTCCCCAATTACATTTCAGTCTCTTTTCTTCAGGCATACTGTTTCCCAGAATTTATCATTTTTTACCCTCATTGATACCTTTACAATTTTACTGCATATACTTATATCTGTAAACTTTACAAAGAATTTCTTGCACATTAAAAAGCTCTGTCTGTGGTGGTGTATCATATATACAAATATATTCAACATTATATTTGTGGGGTTCATTAATGTTGATACATGACATAAAGCTTCAGTTCATTTTTTTACTGTTGTTTAGGATTTCATTGTAGGAATATGAATTTGTCTATCTATTACCTGTTGATGAATATTTGGGTTGTTTCCAATTATTTGCAATTATAAATAATGCTGTATGAAACTTGTATACATATTTCCTTGGCATCCTGAGCAAGAATTATTCTAGGGCTTGTTGCTTAGAAGTAGAAATGTTACATTTCATGGCATGCACACCTTAAACACTGCTAACTATTGCCAGTGGCTTTCCAAGTGTTTATACCAATTTGCATTTTTTCTACCAGCAATGGCTAAAAGTTCCCATTTCTCAAACTTTGACAAGTATTTGCCAATATTTTAATTTTTGTCAAATTGATGGGTATGAAATAGTATCCTTTTTTGTGTTAGTTTGCATTTCTCTGCTGACATCTAGTGAATTTGACTACCTTTTCTCATGCTGTTGGTCATTTGATTTCCTTTTCTGTAAACTGCCTGTTCATATCTATTGCTCCTTTCTCTATTGTGTTTGCTTTTTATTATGCTGATTTGTGGTAGTTCATATATATGTACTGTACTTTTTGTTATTTTTATATATTTCAAATACCTTCTCCCAGTATACAGTTTTTCACACTCTTTTAATCATATTTTTGATCCATGGAAGTTTTAATGTTAATTTAAATGCATCTATCCTTTTCTTTATGGTTTATGCTTTCTGTATTTTTAAAATTCTTTCCCATCCCTAATGCAATAGGAAATCCTATATTTTCTTTTCAAAGTTTAAAAAATTTGATCATTTAATTTGGACCTAAATCCAACAGGGACAGTGGAGAATATGTGTTTTTTGATGATAGAATAGCATCCTCAGCTTTCTTCCTGTCTGAGAAATTGGAAGCCCAGAAGCCTTTTTACACATACAATAGGCTAGTACAACTTTTGCTAATACGTCTCTCTCAAAAACTTTGTGGGTTTTCTGTGTATCTGTTTCCAGTTAACTCTATTTGCCCAAAAATATACTCACAATTATTTTTAATACATCATTTTCTCTATACTTAATTACAAGTATTTTAAGCATATTGCATCTGTGGGACCATGCCCCTAAATATTATAGATGCTGTTTTTGTCAGTAAGACAGCCTACTGAAATCATCTAGAGATGGCTACACTCTTGCCTTGGTCTTTGATACGGGGCTATAACCTAATTTGAAAATCTAGTGGCTGGAGAAGCTGGAGAAGGGAAAGAGTTCAGTGTTTTAGTTAATAAGCTTTTGGTTTTCTTTTCTTTTTTTTTTCAATGAAAGCAAGTTTATTAGGAAAGTAAAGGAATAAAAGAATGGCCACTCTGTAAACAGAGCATGGTTATTTTTTTGGTTATTTCTTGATTATATGTGAAACAAAGGGTGGATTACTTATGCTTCCCCTTTTTAGACCATAGAGGGTAACTTCCTGACGTTGCCATGGCATTTGTAAACTGTCATGGTACTAATGTGAGTGTAGCAGTGAGGATGACCAGAGGTCATACGTTGCCATCTTGGTTTTGGTGGGTTTTGGCCGACTTCTTTACTGCAAACTGTTTTATCAGCAAGGTCTTTGTGACTTGTATCTTGTGCCAACCTCCTATCTCATCCTATGACTTAGGATGCCTTAACCATCTGGGAATGCAGCCCAGTAGGTCTCAGCCTTATTTTACCCAGCCAGCTTTTGGTTTTCTATGTTCCCTCTCATTCTGCTTGCCAAGGTGTCCAGTTGTTTTCTGAGGTTGTGCCTTTCTCATAGAGCCTTTCCAAATGCACCTAAAAGCAACTGATTGACACTTTCAACATTTTGCCTGGAAACCATGAGGCACAGGTTCACATATTTATTTTCTTTCTTTATCTCAGGTGACAGTGGTAGCCATCTTTTGGTTACTATGTAACACAAGTTGTTATATTTCTAGCCACCCATAACAGGCGTTATGGGTGGAACAATAATAGTTTTCTCACAAATTGTCCAGCCTCCTATGAAGTTTCTTTGTCTTCTGTTGTCCTATACCCAAATCAATACCACACATGTTAGCTTTTCATTTTAGCATTTTATGCAAATAAAGTCATGTAATTCTTGCAACTTTACAAGACAGGTACTGTTATTACTCTTTTTGTGGCTGAGAAAATGGGGACTCTCCTCTGATACAGGAGTTTTGATATTAATAGATATCCAATA
The DNA here is from genome assembly GCF_000001405.40 of Homo sapiens. Classification (NCBI taxonomy): domain Eukaryota; kingdom Metazoa; phylum Chordata; class Mammalia; order Primates; family Hominidae; genus Homo; species Homo sapiens. The sequence continues at coordinate 60,051,104 of NC_000018.10, forward strand.
GATTTTGCTAGATAAAATGAATAAGCAAATACTTTTTCTGATTAATCCTAATACTTGAATATTTCATTCATATTTCAACATATTTAAATACTTTTTTGAAATTTAATGTATGTTCACTGGACTGAAAAATGTTTCTTTGATCTTGTTTGTTTATTTCTTTATACATCTTATGTTTTTCTTGCCTGACAGCTTTCCTCTAGTTAAGGTAGGCTACATTGTTTTCTTGGAACCAGTATTTCTTGAAAATATTGTTTTCTTGGAACCAGTATTTCTTGAAAATATTGTTTTCTTGGAACAAAAATACTCTTGAAAATATTCTCAGAGGAAAAGAGTATACAGATATAGAGAATAAAAACAGTAGTCTGAATAGTGACAGAAATTACAGTAACAATTAAATTATGATTACAGATTTAAAGATAATCCCAAAAGTCTTCTTCTCACTGCTGGTACTGCAAATGAGGTTAACATCCATTCACAGTTGTACTACCACTGAAGGTTCCTGGTGATTCTCCATATCTGTGCTATATATGTATGCCTTTCCAGACTAGAAACAATTTCAAAATAAATTTGTTTTTGGTGTTGATATTTTGCAAATGTTTTAATTTTCCTATTATACTGCAAAACTCTCATTTTTCATGATATAAGAGAATTAATGAAGCAAAGTAAATATTTGGATTTTATTTTTGGCTATGAATTTCCCTAACTATAAATAGCAAGTAGTATATGCAGTATTTGTTCAGCACCAGATGACTCACAAGAGATAGAATATACAGTTCTGCTTTTGATAACAGTCCAGATAATGTACAGTTCTATTTTTGATAACATTTCAATACAATTGAAGGGAAGACTAAGACTATTAATGCTAAATAACTGCAGAATTATGGCCATATAAATTTATTCGTGTGGGCTGAGAAAGGAGATATACTATGGATAAGAAAGGAGAGATGAAGTATTCAAAGTATCTTTCTTAGTACTGATGGGATGTGAACATATTGATAAATTTGTTATGAATAGGCGGAAGAAGGTGAACATGTGCTAGAGTATATGCCAGAGGCAATAATGCACCTTGTATTTTGGTATATAAATTGGGGCACTAACTGCTACAGAGCAGCACATTTGAAGCAGGAGTGAAGTCTGGAGTAATGCCATAAATTGGTACCTAGCACTGGCTGGGTGAATAGTAGCAACTAAATAAATATAGTAGGAGGGAAATGACTGAAATAATGCATTATGGGGAGAAAAGAATCAACTTTTGTTGGGCTTTGACTGCCAGATCAAAAAGTTAGATTTGATGTCATATGTGATGGGGAACTTTTTTTTTTTTTTCCACTCAGAGTTATTAGGAACTAACACTTAGCTCATCTCCCAGGTTAGACACATGGAAATCAGCTTTTCTCTCTTCTCTATCTTCTCACTGCTGGTACTGCAAATTAGGCTAACATTCGTTCACAGCTGTATTACCATGGAAGGTCCCTGGTGATTCTCCATATCTGTGCTGTATGCTCTTCTTGGGTTAACCAGTGCTGGCAAAACTTCACTATTGCTTGACAATATACGAAGGTTCCATATTGCCTTTAAGGTACATTTTAATCTTCATACTTTAAAAGCCTATACTGTCTGTTTTTTATTTTCCACTAGTTTTCCATATCTCCCTGCAGACCTTTTTTCTTCAGTAATTATGTGTACCCTGGTTGTTCCCAGTTCACACCAAAGTTTGTTCTAGACTAAGTTAATTTATTCATTGTAATTTCTCAGTCCAGAAGGCCATTCTCTTCTTTCAAACTTACCTCACTTATTAATTTTTTTCACCTGTTGCTCCTTGAGTTTTAAAAAATGGTTTCAGAATGCCTTTAACCCATTTCCCTAACTACCAGACCTAATTAATACACATATTGAAGAAATGTTAAGACTATAGTTCCTTTCCATGTCTTTGTGCAAATCATATACATAAATAAATAAGTAGTGAGTGGGTGAACAGAGCTGGGTTCATTGCAGGAATTTAATACACTGTATGTTGATTTATGGCTAAGTAGAGAGGCAGAAAGCAAATGAATCAGCCTCATTGAGTTGAGGAAGGTGAGACTTGTACCCACTGTTAGGCACTGGAGTTAAAATTCTATAATGATTCCAATCTACTGCATGAATAGGAAGCTCCAGTTTGAATATATATGATGTTCTTGTATTATTATGACACGCTTGTCTTACATCCTCCACTCCAGCAGTGTTTTCCCATGAAGCCTATCATTGCATTTACCTGCTGCTGTTCCCTGATACCTGGAACTGCTTATCATCCTCATCATTTGATGTCACATTTTCCTTTATGACTTTCACTGGTTTAAACTTTATAACTCTTACAATATCTGTTAAATTTTCTTTTTTAGCTTTATTGAGGTATAATCGACAGATAAAAGATTGCACATATTTAATTCATACTTCCTGATGAGTTTGGATATAAGCATACACACGTGAAACCAGAACCACAACCAAGATACTAATTATATGCATTACCTCCCCAAATTTTCTTGTGTGTCTGTGTTTCCCCCAATTTTCTCTCTATTTTTTCTTGATATTATAGATCAGGTTAGCCTGGAAAGTAACAATCTTCAAAGGGATAAAAAAAGGAAGTTCTGCAATTTTTTTCCCCTCAGCAATTTGAGTCATTTTCATTGTTTGGGAAAGCCAACACTGTAATAGCTCAAGTGAATAAAATGCCTCCCTGTCATTTACAGAATCTATGCCTAAGCTCAGAGCCCTGATGAGTCATGCTGAGTCACTGTAGGATGAGTGTCCGCTCCATCTCAGCTGATACCGCTGACCGTTTGTCCTCATAACTCTCTAGGTAAAGGTTGACTTAACCTAGCACACTGTAAAGCCACGTCATCCTAGGTGCAGCCTAGCTTCAACGTTTCCCTCCGGCACATGAAACTAATGAAGTTTCCACTTAAGCTCTCAGCCTTTGCAAAGTGTCTTGATGACCCAGCTTTTAATCATATGTAAATGTGTTTTTAAAAGTCACCTGCTTATGCTTTTGGAACTATTTGACTCAGTGACTCTCTACTCAGTGAATGTTTATAAAAGTGCAGGAATGTTGGTCACCACCCATCCCTTGGTGTTTCCACGGAGAATGATGAAAATGGTCAGCAGCTGAGACCACGCACAATGTGCCCTGCTGTCTCCAAGAGCCACATCTGCCCCCTGTTCTGCTGCTCGGTCTGACTTTAAGCATTTGGGTGACTGGAAGGTGGGCTAGGACACTAGACATGTGAATGGGGACAAATGGACAAAAGATTCCTCATATACTTACATCAAAAAAATAGGGATACTGATCTTGATCTTTTGAAAAACATACAGATTCTCCTCTCCATCCTTTTAAGACTTTCTTACCAAAACTTCAGAAATATACATATTAAATTCTACCTTTTCTGTATATGCATATATAGAATAAATTATGGAAGAAAAGATACCCGATGTTAATAATGGTTAATTCTATGTGGTAGATTAACCACATAGATTTTAATTTTTTTGTTATATACAGGGGATTTTAATTTTTTTCTTATACATTTCTCTCTTTTCTTATACATTTGCTTTTTTCTTATACATTTCTTTCTTTTGTGTATTTTTGAATGATTAGAAAAATAGTAGGCCAGGAAGGGTGGCTCACACCTGTAATCCCAGCACTTTGGGAGGCCAAGGAAAAAGGATCACTTGAGCCCAAGAGTTTGAGGCCAGCCTGGACAGCATAGTGAGTCCTCATTTCCACAAAAAATTAAAAAGAAAACATGACCTGAGTGTGCTGGTGCGTGCCTATAGTCCCATCTACTCGGGAGGCTGAGGTGGGAGGATTGCTTGAGCCTGGGAGGCAGAGGTTGCAGTGAGCTGAAATTGTACCACTGCATTTCAGCCTGGGCGACAGAGCCAGACCCTGTCTCAAAAAAAGAAAAAAAATAATAATAGTAAAATATTAAGCTTTTCTCAGATTTTAGATGCTCCTGCTGAAAGGGTAATAGACCTTATTACCAAAGTGACAGAGCTGCATACCCACCAGGTGGCAGATAACAAAATCAAAATTTGAATTGTTGAAGCTTCACATATGATTCTGATCATCAGTTTTGGAAACCACTGCTTTATGCACGTGACTTTATTAAATTTCTAACTGAAGTGCGCTGCCTTACTCATTTAGGCTGCTGTAACAAAATACCACAAACTGGGTGGGTCATAAACAATAGAAATTTATTTCTAAGAGTTCTGGAGACTGGAGGATGGGAAGTCCAAGATCAAGGCACCAACTGATTTGTTGTCTGATGAGGGCCCACTTCTGGGCTCATAGACATAAATATTCACACCATAGCAGGGGCAAGTCCTGAGTTCATGGAAATGCTCAAAAGGATGGTGGGGCCGGGTGCAGCAGCTCACACCTGTAATCGCAGCACTTTGGGAAACCGAGGTGGGCAGATCACTTAAGGCCAAGAGTTCAAGACCAGCCTGGCCAACATGGTGAAACCCCATCTCTCCTAAAAATATAAAAATCAGCTGGGCATGGTGGTACATACCTATAATCCCAGCTACTTGGGTGGCTAAGGCAGGAGAATTGCTTGAACCTGGAAGGCAGAGGTTGCAGTGAGCTGAGACTGCACCACTGCACTCCAGCCTGGGTGACAGACTAAGACTCTCAAAAAAAAAGAGAAAGTTTTGAGGAAATAGCAGCAACCTTGCTTTTGAAAATTTGAATACAACAATGTAATTATCTGATAAGGAACTACTGTGAGAAAGGAAAATGTTTTCTTTCCATTATAGTAGCACAGTCTTGCTGCACACAATTAGTACCTTAAACAAAGAGTGCAACTTAATTTATAGGAGTCCTTTGTGTCTTGACTATGTGGAAGCCCAGAGCTAGATGTTTTGCTCAGTTTTGGCAACTATCCTTAATAACATTTTTTTCAGCAGTACTATATTCACCTGTTCATCACTGGCTCTTTTTAAATTTATTATTTATTTCTATTTCTATTTGTTTAGAGACAGGGTTTCATTCTGTCACCTGGGCTGGAGAGCAGTGGTGCAATCATAGCTCACTGCAGCCTCAGACTCCTGGGATTAAGGGATTCTCCTGCCTCAGCCTCCCAAGTAGCTGGAACTACAGGTGCACACTACCATGACTGCTTACTCTTTATTTTTTGGTAGAGATGAGGTTTCAACATGTTGCTCAGGCTGGTCTCAAACTCCTGACTGCAAGTGATCCTCCGGTGTTGGCTTCCCAAAGTGCTGGGATTACAGGCTTGAGTCATCAGGCCCAGCCTGGCTCTTTTTAAAAATAAATAATTTTAATGCTCCTCTCTTATATTTGTCTTTTATTGTCAGCTTCTTCAACTTTTTTTGGAAGTGAGAGATACAAGCAACAAACATACAAGCAGATATTTGATATTACTTGCTTTGTCTATTGTATGGAGAATGTATTTTTAATAATAACTGCTCCATAAAAGTGCAATAGACATAAAATGTAATATTTAAATGTTTTTTCCAACTTGGCTTTGGATATTCAATTTTTGCATTAAAAATTATCACCATTTTTATTTCTTTTGATCTTTTAATTCTCTGCTGTTTTATTCAGCACTGTTTAATTTAAAGCATACATAAATTATTATCTCAATTGCCAGGGACATCTTGAACATTAATTTGCATTTTTATTGGTGGAATAAAAATATAAATGAAATTAGTACAAAATTCTGCTAGTGAGTTCTCTATTTAGAGAAGCGAACATATACTATAAGAAACAAAATCATTAGGATTTAATGTAGAGAAGACAAAGTTTTAAAGAAAACTTTACAGCTTTGGTGTGATTCACATGTACAATTGACTCTTGAACAACTTGGGGATTAGGAGTACCAAACATCTGAAAATCCACATATAAGTTTTGATTCCCCAGAAATCTAACTACTAATAGCCTAAGTTGACAGGAAGCCTTACCAATAATATAAACTATCAATTAACACAGATTTTGTAGGTTGTATGTATTATATTTCTTCAAGTCTTCAAAGACTTGAAGAAAGCAAGGGAGTGCAGCAGATATTTGATGGAGAAATATTCTAGGCATTGAAGATGACCAGTGCAAAACCTAAGGCATGCTTGGTGTGTTTGAGGAATAGCAAGAATGCCAGTGTGGCTGGCATAGAGCAAAAGGGAGAGTATTAGGGGATGAGCTCAGGACTCTGAGAAAGCAAGGGAACCCCACTGGAAGGATCTGGGGAGAGAAAGTGACATGGTCAATGATATGATTTCACTGTGTGCCCCACCCCCATATTTCACCTTGAATTGTAACGATACCCACATATTAAAGGTGGGGGCAGATGGAGATAATTGAATCATGGGGGTGGTTTCCCCCATACTGTTCTCATGGTAGTGAATCAATCTCACAAGATCTGATGGTTTGATAAATGGGAGTTCCCCTGCACAAGCTCTATTGCTTGCCGCCATGTAAGATGTGACCTTCCTCCATGAGTGTGAAGCCTCCCCAGCTATGTGGAACTTTGAGTCAATTAAACTTCTTTCCTTTATAAATTACCAAGTCTTGGGTATGTCTTTATTAGCAGCATGAGAACAGACTAATACAGTCTGACTTCTGATTTAAATAGAATCTATTTGGCTGTCATTCAAATTGAATCCTGGAAATGACTTTTGACTCTTCCTTTCTTCCTTAATTTCTGATTCCAACCAACCACTAAGCCACCCAGTTCTGTCTTCTTAACACCTCTTGTGTTTGTCCATCCACTGCACTTCCATTCATGGTATCTTAATTTACACGTAGCTCCTCCTAGATTATCACAATTGATAGATGGTGAGATGCCTTCTTTCTGCTCCTGTCTTTAGGCCCTTTGCTTGAATGTACTTTATCATGTTTCTATTTCAAAATAACTTCAAAATTTATGCTATTTGGAATTATCTTATACTTGGAAAGCATAAAAAGAAAAGAAGAATGGTATTAATTGCATGCTTTTATTGTATGAAATCCCTATTGGGTGATGAGAGAATCCATGGACGCTGACAACACACTGGGAGAGATCTCAGGTTTCTGATTTCTTCTTGCACATTAAATAACAAAGCCTGTAATCCTAGCACTTTGGGTGGCTGAGGCAAGAGGACTGCTTGAGTTCGGGAGTTTGAGACCAGCCTAGCAACACAGGGAGATTCCATCTCTACAAAAAATTAGCTGGGCGAGGTGGTACACACCTGTAGTCCCAGCTACTTGGGAGGCTGAGGCAGGAGGATTGCTTGAGCTCAGGAGTTTGAGGCTGCAGTGAGCTGTGATTGCGCCGCTGCACTCCAGCCTGGGTGACAGAGAGAGACTCAAAAAACAAAAACAAAAATCAAACATGATCTATCTCCCCTACTCCTTTTGTTCTGTTTATCTGGGCAAAAGTTATTGTCTTCATGTGTGATATGGTTTTCAAACTATTTAATAACTAATATTATAAAACTCCAGTTTATCTTGGAGTACCTGTAAGGGAAGAAAAAAATTATTCTAATGTAATTCCTTACTTTATAGGACTTGCAAAAGGAAATGGAATGGTAGAGTACTAGATTTAAAATTGTGGTATTCATATTTATATTTATAATATTGTATTTACAAATACAACATTATTATAATATTATGTTAAAAACACATTACAAATTTCATTAATTTGCTTTACTTATTTAATTATAAATTCTGGTTTATATTTCTCCATTACCTTCCCAAATTTGTACTTTTTCAGTCGACCTAGCCTAACTGTGGTTTTAGCAAAATTATTCGGCATTATTTTGGCAAATATTAAGAACAAACTTTTAAGGTTCTGAATCTTTTAATTTTATACACAACATATATTAACTAGAATAAGAATGATTTGCAGTAGATAATTCATCAATTAAAAGCCATTCGTCCAAGGATTCCATTAGTGTTCTGGAAACCTGTATTTACATTTTCTACCACTCTCTGTATCTCCCTATCTCTCTCTCTGTTTCTCTCGCCATCTCTATTTCTAGCTCTCTCTCTCTCCATTTCTTTCTTTTACTCCCTCCCTCCTCTGTGTCCCTCTCTTTCCTCCTCTTTATCCAACTATATCGAGCCTACTCCCTATTGAATCATCTTGCGTACTGCTCCAAGGTGATTTTCTTTGTGTGTGTGCTGTTCTATTTTCCCAGAATACCCTTGTTTTTCAAGAGTAAAGTATTTGTCCTTTAAGAATAAGACTAAACTGAAACAAGTATTCCTCTGTGAAGAATTCTCAGACTTATCTGAGGAGAGCTGTCTACTCCCTCCCGTTTGCTACATTTCTGAAGCATTTGGATATGAGTATCTTGTCATACCATATTGAGAACTGGTTCAATCTGAAAATCTGTCTTTTTCATTTCTGAAACCTCACTACATATTACGACTCAATGTCTGTCAGTTGAATAAAGGAATAGTGAGAAAATAGCATTAAAGGTTGACTATCCAAATTTGATGATATTAAATAACTATCACAAATTTTGATTTCCAAGATTCCTTTTTTTTCTCTCATTTAACTTGTTTTAGATATCTTACCAACTTCTGTGTTGTCATGGAATGTAAAGTAATTTTGATAAGTTGCTAAATAGAAGCATATTAAAGGTAAAATTATAGGAAACAATGATGTTCTCTCTTGTAAGTTTCAGACCTATCAGTCTTCTATATATCCTCTCTCATCTGTAGTCTGGCTTTATTTTCAATAAATGGTTGGTCTGGGACTCCCAGTCTAATATCCTAGATGAGGAACAAGCTGAGTTTGGGCACAGATTGCTATTATAGTTTTGATTTGGTCTGTTACCCTTAATTGAGAAAAGTCTAGTTTATGATTAATTTATATTTGATTTCTAGACACTGATTATAAAAATACATTTAGAATTTAACTCCTTAGAGTTTATTTATCTTTGATTTCTTAAGTCCATTTTAGATCAATTTTAGAATATATTGATCTTTATTTCCTTAGACAGGGACCTTCTATGTGCCAATCTTGATGATGCTGATTTGTATTCCAAATCTTTTGTGCTCTAGAGAGGCTTTTATTGCAATACTACCATGACAACCAGGGTGAAAAGGAACAGAGCCTTGCAGATGAAATTCCGGAACAGAGTTTTATAAATAGTGCTGTGTCCTAGGTCTCCTTAATTTTAGATTTTGTTTTTATAACTCAATAGTTTTTAGAAGAACTGAAGGTATGGCTTCCTGCCACAGCAAATATTTATATCCACAAAGCACAGGTTTTAAGTACTGGAAATGATTCAAAGTGGCATTTTAAGTTCTAATTTACATGTTCTTCAGCAGTCAGTCTTATTAACAGATGAAATGACTTTTCATTTATGTAAGACAAAAAATCAAATTATTTACTTTTGTAGCAACATATGAACTTTGCAACTTAGATGTCCTACAGGTAACGAAATGTATATGGATTGCATCCTAATCAATAGCACTGAAAGATGAAAAGCCAGTCTTTAGACTCAGTTTCTGTTACCCGTTTCTGCAAAACAAACATAACTGATGGCTTAGTAGCTTAAAACAGCAACTATTTAATCATATCTTCAAGGTGTGCATGTTAACTACGCTCCACTGGGAGCTTCTCTACATGATGTTGACTGGCACTGGAGTCATCTGAGGGCTCCCCTGGGCTGGAATCTCCAAAGTGGAACACTCACATGATTGCTAGTGGGCTCTGACTGTTGACTCAGGAATCTTGCTCTTCTCCATGTGGCTTCTCTTTTTGGCTTGGTCTTGCCATGACATGGTGGCTAGATTCCAAGAGGAGGTAAGTGGAAGGTATCCTCTTCTTAAGGCCAGGGTTCAGAAAGTCACTTCCACTGCATTCGGTTGGGCACAGTGGCCTGATCTCTTTCCAGGGAAGACCTCTTTCTAGGTGGAGGGGGGCGGGGGGCGGTGAAATTATCTCTGTCTCTCAATGTGGAGTGATACATATGAACAGGGAAGGCAGGAATTGATGGTAGCTATTTCTGGAGATGATATATCACAGACCCCTAATAGAACTCTCTAGGATAATAGCAGTTTTATCTGACCAGCTGTTTAGCTCTCTTTAAAACCTAGTTGGTATTGCTATTATTTAAGGAAGTTGATGGTTTAGGCTATTTTTCTATAGAATTAGTAAATGAGGGTTTGTGAAGCTTCTGAAAATGTACGCAGGATTTTGTACAGTGGTAATTTTGGGGTGGTGGTGGTGAAAGAAGCAGTAGTACTTGGTAATCAAATGTCTTAGGCTTAGGAGTCTCACGTAATTTTCCTATTAATTTAGGTGGTGCAACTTATGGATGTATTACTTTGGGTTAACTAGTTAGCCTCTCTAAGCCTCAGTTTCTTTATTGATGAAATGGGCATAATAATATATGTATTTCATTGATTGTTGTAAGTCAATACATGTAAAGATCTTAGCACAGGGCTTGGCACATAGTCATGGTCCAATAAATTTTTTTTATTAACATCATTCTCAATAAGTCAGTGAGCACCAGAAGGAGGAATACCATGGCCCTCTGTTTTCTGAGCACAAACCCTAAATTAGAGGATCAGAAATTCACATTCTTGGACTAAATTTCTTAAGACTCCAATTGAAGTACTTTTGTAAACTATGATAGAACAGGATGATTTCAGGTTGAATCAGGTATTGATATAAGAAATGGGCAGGAAAAGAGTTTCCATGTATTTAAACTTGACTTTGGAAGTATTGTTTGTCCTGTGGCCCCAGTGCCTATAAAGTTTGATAAGATAGGGTAGTGGGATGGGAAAAGATTTGCTCAGTCTTAAAGAACTTGTAAAAATTCCCCAGTCTACATGTGGAAGGTAGAATATAGAGAAGGATCCTGGGATTGATTTAAGGAGTGGGCAGAGAATAGCTGCAGACCGTGGAGCAAAAGGGAAAATGAAAAGCATCCTTGGCAAATGCAGTGTTGGGAACCAGAGACAGAGTAAGATGGCAGCATGACATTTCAGCTGTGTATATTTCACCCCTCAGTTCACCACCCACAGTTCCCAAGCCCTGTGCTAACATCTTTACATGTATTGACTTACAACAATCAATGAAATACATATATTATTATGCCCATTTCATCACCCCTTAACACCCATATAAATGCTTTCTCCAGATGATCTTCTTGTTTATCTTCTTGGTCCTCTTTTCTTTTCTCTTGTCTCCTTGTTCTTTTATTCACCTGACCTTTTAATTTTCTCTGATTCTTACCTGACTGAATCCTCAGGCCAGTATACTGACAACCTCTTGGACATGTGCTTTAGGACTGCTAACTGTGGCCCATATCAATTGTATTAGCCAGGGTCAATTATGGAAGCAAAAACCCTCTGAAGGTTATGGCTTAGAGATGTATTATTGGGATAAAACCTTACTGGCAAAGTGGGGAAATAAGGTTCCAAAGAGGGAATTGGAGGATCAAAGAAAAGTTGGTAACCAGCTCTGAAGCATGGCATGGGAGGACAAGTCAGAGCTTGCAAAAACTCTGGGAAGCCAGGCAGTTTTGCTGGGATGGGATCATGTTGCTTCTGTGTCTGGTGGTGGTTCTTGGGTCGCTCTTGAACACAGCCTGGCAACTGGGAAGAAGAGCTGAAGTGGAGGAGAGTGAGACGACCTGGAATCTATTGGTACCTCTGCTTTGTCTCTTGCTATATCTACCACATTGACCCTATGGAGTAATGGCTGCTACTTCACTTCTGGCATCCAAATCTCACTCAGAATTCCTTGTCAGCTAAGTCTAACTTACGGTTCTGATATGGTTTGGCTGTGTCCCCACCCAAGTCTCATCTTGAATTGTAGTTCCCATAATCCCCACGTGTGGTGGGAGGGACTCGGTGGGAGGTAACTTAATCCTGGGGGTGGTTTCCCCCATGCTATTCTTGTGATAGTGAGTAAGTTCTCACAAGATCTGATGATTTCATAAGGGGCTTCCCTCTTCACTTGGCTCTCATTCTTCTCTTCCTTGCTGCCATGTGAAAAAGGATGTGTTTGCTCCTTCTTTCACCATAATTGTAAGTTTCCTGAGGTCTCCCCAGCCCAGTGGAACTGTAAGCCAATTAAACCTCTTTCCTTTATAAATTACCCAGTCTCAGGTATGTCTTTATTAGCAGTGTGAGAACTGACTAATACAGATCCTATAGGGAAAGAGTTCTGGGAAGTTTGGTTTCAGCCCAGCCAAGTTGATGTAGTGCAAAGTACTACACTATTTGACTCTTATTTTTTCTCATCTCTAATTTTAATGCACCCAGAGCTCTAGGTAATAGATGCTCCTGTCCCCAGGCTTTGCCCTGTGGGACCCATACTCAGGCTATTCAGTAGGGAAATTGGGCAATGTGGTTCTGTTTATGAATAATGATTGTTATATAACTTATCTTGTTTTCCTTGATTCCTTGACTTCCAGGGAATTCAAATCAAACTTTTTTTGCCACCAAACAATAAGTATCTTAAGACTCTCCCACCTTTTTCTTTTTCAGTGCTTTCATCTTCATTATTCTTCTTCATAACATGGCTCCTGTTTATTTATTTCGCATATTTTAAAATAAACATTTAAATACATACATTAAGTATCTTTATATTTTAAAATGCTTTACTTTTTAAAGAGGAAACAATTACATAAATAAAATTTCCAAAAGTAGAAAGTGAATATACATTGAGAAGTCTCTCTCTCTCATTCCTGCCCCTATATATTGGGTTTTTGTTCCTGCATGCCTTGCTGATCTTGCCAGAGATTTTTCTTCTTTGAGACAGGTCTTGCTATGTCACCCAGGCTGGATTGTGCAGCCTTGAACTCCTGGGCTCAAGCTATCCTCCTGCCTCAGGCTCCTTATGCCAGAGATTTTTTAATGCATATAGAAGAAAACAGAAATTTATCTTATTTTCATCCCTTCTTTACATAAATGGTAGCATTCCAGGTACAGTGATCTATGCATTTTATTTTACATGTAACTATAAATATGTATACAACCATGAGAGATTTTTCTAAATAAATGCACATAAATACATAAGACCTTTCTCTTCTTTTGGGAGTAGATAGAATAGTAGATAATAGTAGATAGCAGAACCACAAATTGATGAATGATGAACCAACTATAAGCTATATTCCAAAGTTCAATCAAAATAATTACTGTGTCATCTGTTGTGTTGGATGGTATATATTATTACTTGCCTTCTTAATCCTCACAATGAAATTGGCCCCATTTTAAATTCTGGAATCAGTTTATTTACTCATTGCTTTAGGCTTACTCATCACCCCTCAGTTTACCACCCACAGTTCCCAAGTCAATCCTGAATGATGTGAAAACCATCTTCACATTAATGGTTAATGGTCTTGAATGACTCAATCTGCTGTAGGCACAATTGCCAGTGTGCCTGGGGTAAATCTGCAGAACCAAGGAAGCATAGGCTTTCCGTGTTGCTCATCCATGACTGAGATGCTGGCTCAGGCCCTCCATTTGTCCTCCAGTTAGTCCTCTCTTTAAGACTGGATCTCTGTCTTGAAAGCCTTCCATATTTTCCCCTAGTTAACTTTGACAATCTTTTTCTCAATGTTTGCCTGAATTATCTCTATATTTTCAGCTGTGTACTAGAATCCGGTTCAAAATAGATCCTCTTGGAATCACATTGTTTACAATCCCTTTCCTATGTCTTATCACTACATGGAAACTCTTGTTGCCATATCTCAGATAGTTGATTCAACCCCCCATGCACACTGCTAAGTTAAATCTAAATTCACTATTCCACTATGAATACTCTAGTGGAATCTTATTCACTATTCCACTATGAATTTAAATTCACTATTCCACTATGAATATTCTAGTTTGTACTATAATGATTTGAATGGAGAAATTATCACTAAAACTAGTTCAACAGCTGGGTGTGGTGGCAGTTACCTGTAATCCCAGCTACTCAGGAGGCTGAGGCAGGAGAATCTCTTGAACCTGGGAGGCAGAGATTGCAGTAAGCCAAGATTGCAGTACTGCACTCCTGCCTGGGCGACGGAGTGAGACTCCATCTTAAAGAAACAAACAAAAAACCAAACCCCCCCCCCCGCCAAAAAACCAAAAAAACCTGAAAACTAGTTCAAGTTCTCTGTTCTTGGTCTTCTAGATCTGTTTTCTTTACATTTTCCTTTTAGTCTGGCACACCATGAAACCAGGCACGCCTTACTCATCAAATTTGAATATGTGTTGTGTTTATTATTTTTGTGGATCAGACAGTAGAAGAAATATTGTTGAACAACCTAGTTGCATTAGGGTTAAATAAAAAATTTTAAAAGAATATGTAATTTTACTGACTTTGAAATCTGTAGAAAGTATTTCAAAGAGAAAAGTAAAACTAGCATAGAGTTGTTTCTCAGATCACTGGCCAATGAGTTGCAGGGTGGCTTTAATAATACTGGTGGACTCTTTCTTGGATTACAAAATTTTGACGATTACAGCTGGCTCTTCTCTGATTATACTTTCAAAGACATTCACTCTATTTCCTTTTAAATAATAGATGAACTGTATTAGAAAAGAATTACTCTGAAACTAAGGTACCTATTAATCCAGGGGTGTCCAATCTTTTTGCTTCCCTGGCCACATTGGAAGAAGAATTGTATTGGGCCACATGTAAGTAAAATACATATAACATTAATGATAGCTGATGAGAAGAAAAGATTGCAAAAAAATCTCATAATGTTTTAAGAAAGTTTAGGAATTCATGTTGGGCCACATTCAAAGCTGTTCTGGGCTGCATGTAGCCTGCAGGCCATGGGTTGGACAAGCTTATATAAATCAATTTCTTTTCCAAGTCTTTCAAAAACCTCACAGTCAAAGTGAGGTTCACCTCTTTTGACAACATCTTAAAAATAGAAACATTGTCAGACCTGGTGCAGTGGCTCAGACCTGTAATTCCAACACTTCGGGAAGCTGAGATTCGAGCCCAGGAGTTTGAAATCAGCCTGAGCAACATGGCACAACCCCATTTCTACAAAAACAAACAAACAAACAGACAAACAAAACACAAAAATACAAAAATTAGCTGGGCATGGTAGAGTGTGCCTTTAGTCCCAGCTACTAGAGGGTTGGCAGGGGTAGGAGGTTGTGCCGGGATGGGAGAATCCCTTGAGCCAGGAGGTCGAGTCTGCAGTGAGCAATAATCACACCACTGCACTGCAGCCTATGTGACAGAGAGGGACCCTGTCTCAAAAAAAAAAAAAAAAAAAAAAAAAAATTACATGATACATTTTAATTGCAGATAAATACTGTATCTGGCGGGCTTAAGTCTATCAACTGTTTATTGCACAAGAATAGCCCTAACTGATGAAATATTTATGTGGTATAGTCACAGATACTATTAAATAGGGATTTATTTTACAAGTAATTTAAACATCAGAATCATGAAATCAGAGATAGTAACATTACAGGAAAGGGGTCCGGGTCCAGACCTCAAAAGAGGGTTCTTGGATCTCGCACAAGAAAGAATTCAGGGAGAGTCAGTAAAGTGAAAGCAAGTTTATTAGGAAAATGAAGGAATAAAAGAATGGTTACTCCATAGACAGCAGGCCTGAGGGCTGATGGTTGCCCATTTTTATGGTTATTTCTTGTTGATATGCTAAACAAGGGGTGGATTATTCACGCCTCTCCTTTTTAGACCATAAATGGTGACTTCCTGACATTGCCATGGCATTTGTAAACTCTCATGGCCCTGATGGGAGTGTAATAGTGAGGATGACCAGAGGTACTTTCGTGGCCATCTTGGAGATTTAGCCGGTTTCTTTACTGCAACCTGTTTTATCAGCAAGGTCTGTATCTTATGCTGACCTCCTATCTCATTCCGTGATTTAGAATGCCTTTACTGTCTGGGAATGCAGCTCAATAGGTTTCAGCCTCATTTTATGTAGTTCCTATTCAAGATGCAGTTGCTGTTGTTCACATGCCTCTGACAGTAAGGACCAAGGATTTTAGTTGAAATGCAATAAAAGCACATGGCTCCATGCTTATATTTCACATTATCCTCTAATTAATTGTACATGAAGTTGGAGAATGATGTGTGGGAATAAATTGATCTACTTTGTGATTTTCCCTAAAATTTTAACTTAATTGTAGCTAACAGGTATTTTATCACATATACCATTTGTAGCAGACTGTTTCCTGTAATTATTCAAAATATGATTTCCCTCTTTATGCCCATAAAATGGAGAGATAAAAGTGATTTTTCTTAAAAGGAGGCTTAGAATGTACAAAAATGTACCTTTCTTATTCAGTGCTCTGAAAGGAGGCATTTTCTTCATTAACAGCATAAAATTATAATTCAAGGAGGAAATCTGATACAATGATTTAGAAGTAAAAGAAGCACATTGATTCTCCAAATCTTTAGCTTTTTGTTAGCACTCTTATAATTGCTGTTAAAAGAGCAATTTAGCTCTTAGAAGTGCTGGGAGATAATGCCTTTGTTAGCTGAGAGGCAGGAGAATGCAGTCAAATGGTGACTGTGAATTAGTCTAGGCAGGTTTCTGCTAGCAATCCGGGCTGTATTCAGGTCTGGCTTTGGAAACTCATTGCATCTCAGGTTGCCTATTCATTCACAGGGGAAGGTTGGCTTCATGGGGCAGCCGTGTTGGCACTCTTGGAAGATACAGCTGAAGTGCACGGGGCTTTTTCCTCCTAGGTGCTGACTGAGTGCAAAATTGCAGGCTGTGCTTGGACCACACAAATGCTCGTTCTCACAGCAACCTCTTGTGTGTTCTGAGTCTAGCTTCTATATAAAACCTCAAAGTGTGTGACTGAAATCCTGCTTGGGGAAGAGAAATGTCAAACAAAGATTACATGGAGAGAGTAATTTATAGAGTGGCTGCAGATGGGAGATGAATACAAGTGAGAGAGCCATCGTGGATTTCCTCCAAGGTTAGAAGTGATGACTCCGGAGATCAGACTCCAGGTCACCTGCTCTGCTCATTATGCGCTGGATCTGTCGGAGGCATCTTCTGTTGGAGGCTTAGTCACCTTCTCTTAGTCAAGTCAATAATTATTTTCTTCAATAGATGTTTTATATGCAACAGATAGTTTCTAAATGCCCAGCATTGAGATGGTTGCTGTTAGGAGATAACAAAGAAAAATCAGGTGCAGCATCTAATCTCAAGCATCTTGCAAGACTATTGAAGAGATAAGACAATTAAAATATATGAAAAGACAGCTTGTAATACAATATTTAAATGAAGTTGTGATAGATGGAGCACACCACAGGAATTTAAAGAGATAAGTGTTAGTTAGATGAATTTTTTTTTTTTTTTGAGAGGGAGTTTCGCTCTTGTTGCCCAGGCTGGAGTGCAAAGGCGTGATCTTACCTCACCACAACCTCTGCCTCCCAGGTTCAGGTGATTCTCCTGCCTTAGCCTCCCAAATAGCTGGGATTACAGGCATGTGCCAGCACACTCGGCTAATTTTGTATTTTCAGTAGAGACGGGGTTTCTCCATGTTGGTCAGGCTGGTCTTGAACTCCCAAGCTCAGGTGATCTGCCTGCCTCAGCCTCCCAAAGTGCTGGGATTACAGGTGTGAGCCACCATACCTGGCCTAGATGAATTTTAAGAGATGACTTTATGGGACTAACCTCTGTACTTTACAGGATGGATGGGATTTGTGTGTGAAGATGGGGTGAGTAAATAGGGTAGTTGGGTCAGCCCAGCCCTAGTTGCCCTGTTCCCACTTCCCCACATTCCAGCCCACTGATCTTGCCTCCTACGGACTCAGCTTTAACCCAGTTTCTGAGCCACTCTGAATGGGCCATTTCTGAACTTTTACCTGCTGCAAGACTCCCAGGTCTTTTTTGCTGCTGCTCAGCTACAGGATCCGATGCCTTGTTGATGACTAGAATGCTCCCTTATTTTAAGGTTCACATGTATTGTGGGTTAAATTATGCTTCCCCCTTTTGTCTGAATATGTTGAAGCCCTAACCCCCTGTACTAGTGAATGTGATCTTACAGAAATAAAGTCTTTGAAAATGTGATCAAGTTAAGATGAGGTCACAATGGATTAGGGTGGGCCCTAAATCCAATGACTCTTTCCTTACAAGGAAAAGAGAAATGGGGAACTTTGGACACAAAGATATGCAGAGAGGAAAACATCATATGAAGAGACAGAGTCACACAGGGGAGAAGGCCGTATGCAGATGGAGGCAGATTGGAGGGATGAAGCTACAAGTGAAGGAATGCTGGCTCCCACCAAAAGTGAGGACAGAGGGAAGGATCGTTCCCTAGAGCCAGTAGAGGGAGCCTGACCCTGTTAACAAGAAATTTTTGACTTCTAGTCTCCAAAACAATGAGGGAATAAATTTCTGTTGTTTTAAGCCACCTGGTTTGTGGTAATTTGTTATTACAGTCCTGGAAAACTCATGCACATAGATTTAGAAAACAAGAGCTGCTTGCAATTTTCTTCCAGCACTCACTTAGCTTACATAACCAGAACTTTGTTTTGGTGGCTGTTTCCAGTAATCATTTTATATAGCATTGATGCGATCAGGAATAATCAAAGCAATCAAAACAGTAGACTGGTTAAAATAATGGTAGTTTTGCATGTTCTCACTCATAAGTGGGAGTTGAACAATGAGAACACATGGACACAGGGAGGGGAACATCACACACAAGGGCCTGTCAGGGGGTGGGGGGCAAGGGGAGGGAGAGCATTAGGACAAATACCTAATGCATGTGGGGCTTAAAACCTAGAGGACAGGTTGATAGGTGCAGCAAACCACCATGGCACATGTATACCTATGTGACAAACCTGCACATTCTGCACATGTATCCCAGAACTTAAAGTAAAATAAAAAAATAAAAAAAAATGGTAGTTTATCTCTGCAGTGTTTGCTATGTAATCATTAAAATGAGGTAGAAAGAGATACTTCTTGTGGTGGAAATGACATACTTTTAAGTGAGAAAGGCAAGTTTCCAAACAGTATCTACTGTAATATTTGTACAAAAAGATATATAAAAGTTGAGTGTGAAAAAATATATATCAAAAGGTGAATTGTGGTTACCACTGGGTCACAGGATTATGGATATTTTCTATATTCTCACTTACTAATGTCAATGTTCTAATTTATGTAAAGAACATTTATTTATTGTATGATCCAAAGTCATTTTAAAAATTGATGGCAGATAAATGCAGTTTATGTTCAATTGCATCTTTTATGTGCTAAGCTTTTCTTTTCAGCTATGTTTTGAACACGATACTATCCTTTAAGTTGGACTGTGTTTTATTTTTGCAGCCACAAAATCAGAATATATGTTCTACTTGTAAATAAAGCAGAATCATTTTAATGGGTAAATGAGAAATATCAAATAGAAATATAAACATATTTGTCATTTGCTATTACTATTTAAATTCTGAACATTGTGAAATCTTTAAACAAAGTAAGTTTGGAGCCTCCCTATTAAATTAGATTATATATGTAACAATCCCTTCTCCCCTGGTGTTTCTTAGAAACCACTACAAATTAATTGTTCCTGAGCGTTGGCCTCTGGAATGCACTTCTGCGAAAACCTGATGTAAAAATCATTTCCCAAGTCCTTGACTTGGAATTTGAGTTTTTCTAAGACCTGGGCTCAATCTGCCTCCCATTATTTCTCTGCTGGAGGGAGCCCTATGCTCCAGCAGAGAAATAAATGGAGGTAGATTGAGCCTGGCAGGACTTCTGAACTTACTGTTCAATAACACACCTCTTGCATGTCCACATTCATGTTTGTTTATCTTACCACAGCCATGAATTTCCGTTTCATGTTTCTTTACCTCAGAGGTTCTTCTTCTCTTCTGAGTCATAGACATAATTGAAAATGTGCTGAATCTAGGCTCCTTCCTAGAAAAGTGCTCAGAAATGCTCACAAACGACTTCAGGGCCTTTCTACAATCCTTGAAGCTGGCTCGTGTTCCTGTGGATGCTGAGTTAGGAAGCCCTGAATGTGACTCCCATACATTGCAACCACTCAAGGTAGTCCCTTTTCCACCCTGAAGTCTCTTTCTTGTTAAGTTCAGACCACATTAATTCTTCCTCTTCATAATTCTTACCACTTATGTTTTGTAGGACTTATTTCTAATACTGTGCGTTATAAATTATGTTTGCCTTCGTTTTCTCCTTGGGGATGGAGACTCTATTATAACACTTTATATTACCTATAGTTTTTAGGAAAAACATACTAATAATAGGGTCACCCTAAATATTTGCTCATGCACAGTTGCCTTCACATGGGCTTTTTCTACAGTAAATTAGTTGTGTAATTTTCGAGGTTTTGTATATGATTTTAGGGTAAAGTCCAAATATTTGATAAATTTATAATTTAGCTATTCCCTTAGTACCATAGTACTAACATTTACATTAGAGGCAAATGGACCAGGTTTAACTCTGGCTTTGCCACTTAACAGTTTGATGAGCTGAACATTTTCTTAATTTCTCTTAATTTCTTTTCTATACATAAAGATAATAATACTTACATATTTTCCAGTGTAGTTGTGAAGATTGGATAGCTATTTAAGTAGATTATCACAGTAGCTCCCATGAAAGAGGCTCTGAAAAACATTAGCTATTGTAATTCTTATAAAATACTCTAAATTTCATTTTGCGTTATACAGTTGTTCTCTCAAGGAGAAAAAAGCACATTTGTTGTATTTCCAATATCACGTTTGAGGATAATGCTTATTTCCAAAATTTAAATTTTGTTTAGGTAATCTTTTGTCATTCTGGTTATTAAAACGTTCAGACAAGTTCTTGGTTTTCATATTTTTTGTTGAAAGGAAATTATTTTCTTCCCATCACCTGGCAAGAAATGAACATCATATTCACTTTAGTAAAAGAGACAGTATAACACAAGCAAAATAAGAAATGGGAATAAAAAGTGACTAAAACATATATTTTGTTAGCTTATTTCTAAATATTTCTGTCACCACTTTTTATTTTAGTTTCACAATTTATTAAAAAAGGAAAGACTATTAATTGAATATTGCATATAGAAGTTATGTTAGTCTGTTGCATTGTTATAAAGGAATACTTTGGACTGGGTAATTTATACTTGATCTTAGCCAAAAGGTGGAAAAGTGATGGACTGGGTAATTTATACAGAAAAGAGGTTTATTTGGCTCATGGTTCTTCAGGCTGTACATGAAGCATGGTGCTGGCATCTACTTCTGGTGAGGGCCTCAGGAAGCTGACAATCATGGCAGAAGGCAAAGGGGAACCAGTGTGCCACATGGTGAGAGAGAGAGCAAGGGGGTGTGGGAGGTGCCACATGCTTTTAAATGATCACATCTTCTATGAACTTAGAGTAAGAACTCACTCACTACTTCGAGCAGAGCACCAAGCTGTTCATGAGGGATCTGCCCCCATGACCCGAATACCTGCTACTAGGCCTCACCTCCAACATCGGAGATTTTAACATGATATTTGGAGTGGAAAAACATCAAACTATATCAAAAGTTAACATACCAATAAAGCTCATGGAGACCTTGAATATTACACTTTGTTGTTGTTGTTTTTGTAGCGCAACAGGTTTTTTTTACAGTAACAGTTTGGTTCCGTTATATAAACTAAACTTTGGAAGAACCCTTCAGAAATAGTTTAGTTATTTATTTTTTTATATTGTGCCACAAATGCTCTTCAGCATGCATGCCTTTCACTTTCCACTTGGGGGTTTCTTTGATGAAGACAGTGCGAGCTGGTCAACAATGTTTGCTTCTCAGAGTGTTGACTCAGTGTACTAGCCCAAATACAAGGACACAACCAATATGGAAAAACGACTTCACCCATGAGTCCTCATTGTCACTGTCAAATCTAACCTTTGAAACTACCATTATTTTTAAATTTTTTTATGCTTTTACTTTTATTTTTTTTTAATGTTTTAAAAGTATTTACTCTTTGCAGTGTTAATATTCCCTTTATATTGCTTTTTGTTTGCTTTCTTTTTTTTTCTTTTTAATTTAATTTAATTTTATTATTATACTTTAAGTTTTAGGGTACATGTGCACAATATGCAGGTTAGTTACATATGTATACATGTGCCATGCTGGTGTGCTGCACCCATTAACTCGTCATTTAGCATTAGGTATATCTCTTAAAGCTATCCCTCCCCACCCCCACCCCACAACAGTCCCCAGAGTGTGATATTCCCCTTCCTGTGTCCATGTGTTCTCATTGTTCAATTTCCACCTATGAGTGAGAATATGCGGTGTTTCGTTTTTTGTTTTTGCGATAGTTTACTGAGAATGATGATTTCCAATTTCATCCATGTCCCTACAAAGGACATGAACTCATCATTTTTTATGGCTGCATAGTATTCCATGGTGTATATGTGCCACATTTTCTTAATCCAGTCTATCATTGTTGGACATTTGGGTCGGTTCCAAGTCTTTGCTATTGTGAATAGTGCCACAATAAACATACGTGTGCATGTGTCTTTATAGCAGCATGATTTATAGTCCTTTGGGTATTTACCCGGTAATGGGATGGCTGGGTCAAATGGTATTTCTGGTTCTAGATCCCTGAGGAATCACCACACTGACTTCCACAATGGTTGAACTAGTTTACGGTCCCACCAACAGTGTAAAAGTGTTCCTATTTCTCCACATCCTCTCCAGCACCTGTTGTTTCCTGACTTTTTAATGATTGCCATTCTAACTGGTGTCCGATGGTATCTCATTGTGGTTTTGATTTGCATTTCTCTGATGGCCAGTGATGGTGAGCATTTTTTCATGTGTTTTTTGGCTGCATAAATGTCTTCTTTTGAGAAGTGTCTGTTCATGTCCTTCGCCCACTTTTTGATGGGGTTGTTTGTTTTTTTCTTGTAAATTTGTTTGAGTTCATTGTAGATTCTGGATATTAGCCCTTTGTCAGATGAGTAGGTTGGGAAATTAACATGTTAATTTCCAAACTTCAAGTTAACTGATTAACATTTCATTAACAAACTTCAAATTCACTGATTTGCATTTGTTCTGTATTCTCTATCATAAGAAATATCAAGGATTTTAATAAAATAAATTGGGTACAATTTTGATTTTCCAGGTAGGGCCTGTGGGACCAAATCAGAGTGACTGTCAATTCTCCTTTAAGTCTCTGTGGTGGATGATTTTGTGTGTCAGTTTGACTGGGTGACAGAGTGCCCAGACATTTGGTTAAACATTATTCTGGGTGTGTCTGGGAGGATGTTTCTGGAGGAGATAAACCTTTGGATCTGGTAGATTGAGTAAAGTAGATTGTGCTTCCTAAAGTGAGTGGACCTCATTCAATAAATTGAAGTCCTGAATAGATCAAAAAGAGTGAGTGAGAGGAAATGCCTCTTGCCTGACAGCCTTGAGCTGGGACACTGGTCTTTTTCTGCCTTCAAACTCAAATGGAAACATTGGCTCTCTTGGGGTATCTAGCCTGCTGGCTTTCAGACTGGAACCTTCACCATCAGCTCTCCTGATTCCCAGCCCTTCAGACTTGGACTAGAACCCACATCAGTTTTCCTCCATCTCCAGCTTACCAACTGCAGATCTTGGTACTTCTCAGCCTTCATGGTTGTTTGAGTCAATTTCTCATAATAAATCTGTTTCTCTCTATATACACATTTGGCCCTCCATATCCACAGGATCCACATTAATGGATTCAACCTACTGCAGTTCAAACATATTTTTAAAAAACAATAAAATATATAACAATATAGGGGGCTTCAAGATAGGCGAATAGAGGGATCTGGTATTCGCCTCCTCCACAAACAAGAACCAAAATAGCAAGTAAAATAGCACTTTGAATGTGTCATCTAAGAGATAACATTGGAGTTCAACAGAGAAGTGACAAGAAACACCTAAGGAAAGGAAGGGGAGGGAAGCAAAGAAGCCTGGTTGGCTGGGATTAACTGGGAGCCTGGAGAGGTTCTCCAGTGTGGGGAAAAAGTAAGTGAGAGATCCCCAGCTGTGTACACCCCCAGCACAGACTCCTGCAATCCTAGCTACAGGAAAGTCCCTTGACCCTTGCAGGCTCTGAGACTAACATAAGGTGCTGCCTGGAGACCACACAAAAGCATTGCTGCAGACAGAGAACCCATGTTGGGTCTCACCCCTACCCTTAAGACCAAGCAGCTACAGCATGGCACCATGTTGAGAGCCAAGCCCCAACAGACTGTGTCCTGCCCTGGGGCCCAACAGCCCCTGCATCTCCATATCCCTGGAGCTCCATTGACATCCCTCACTCATAGCTGCTGCTGGCTACTGCCACTGGGACTGAAACAGAGCCACTGAATGTGACCCCATGGCCCCCAGAAATGGGGCTGCTGTGCCTTTTCACACTCCCTGAGAGCAAGCCCCCCTACTCATAGTCATCACTTCTGCTGCTGGCTGCTGCCCCAGGGCAGAAGCACAAGTTGCTGGCAACAACACCACCCTCTCCAGCAGCAGGGCAGCAGCACACTTGCACATGTACTGTGGGAAGCCTCCCCTCACCCATTGCTGCCACTGCCAGCCCCACTCAAGCACTCTGTTAGGGGTCTGAGACCTCTGCCCACCACAGCCAGTGCCCAAATGCACCAGCAGGGGGCCCGAGGAGAGGCCTGGCTTTGCCTCCCTCCCCATCTCCAGTGCCCAGGCCTGTCATCCAGGGACCTGCGGATTGCCCTCTCTACTACCATTGGCACCTGAGCACTCCTCCCAGGGGCCTGGGGATGGCTCTGCTCAGCCTGCCACTATTATCACAGCTGGCACCCACCAGCGCACACCACCTGTGGGCATGGGACTAGCCCATCCAGCCCCTTTCAAACACTGCCAACACCAGCATGAACCACCTGGGAGCCAGAGGGTTGTCCTCTCAATGATACTGCCATCGTCTATACCATGTCCACTTCCCAAGGGTGTACGAACCCATCTGCTCACTTGGACAACCCCTGCCACTGCCAGCACCCAACCAAGTTGCCTGGAGGCCCAAGAATTTGTCCACCTGAACCTGTAAACACTGGTGCCAGCATGTGCCACTGTGGGGCCCAAGGAAAGGCAAGCTTGGCCTACTGCTGCCAATACTGAGAAGACTGGCCCACATGGCATCCTCATCCCCAGCCAAACTTCATCACAGCTTCCACTAACAACTACATCCTAAGCCACCAAAGAAATCACAGACATTACTGATGTTGCTTACAACCAAATAAATTATACAGAGACTACACTACTGTGTGCACCCAAAAACAGAATAGAAGTGCCCCATCCAAACAACACTATAGCTGTATCTTCAGAAAAATGATGTCCCATGTGAAACAAATTCAAAAAAATGGAAGAAGCAACTGGTATACCAGATCTGCTTATGTCAACGTAAGAACACAAGAAACATGAAAAACAAGAAAATATGATACCTTCAAAGAAATATAATAATTCTCCAGCAACTGACTCCAGTGAAAAAGAAATTTATAAATGCCAGAAATAAAAACACCAATAGTAAAGAAGCTCAGTGAGATATAAGAGAGCACAAATAAACAATACAAAGAAATCAGACATGGAGTGAGGATATGAATGAT
The DNA here is from genome assembly GCF_000001405.40 of Homo sapiens. Taxonomy (NCBI): domain Eukaryota; kingdom Metazoa; phylum Chordata; class Mammalia; order Primates; family Hominidae; genus Homo; species Homo sapiens. Next base: position 60,076,617 of record NC_000018.10, read on the forward strand.
AAATTTAGCAAAAATGATAGATATCCTAAAAAAGAACCAAACAGAACTGAAGAATTTATTAAATAAAATGAAAACTAGGCCAGTCAACAATATACTATATCAAGCAGAATAAGAAATTTCAGAACTTGAAGACATATCTTTTGAAATAACCCAGACAAAAATAAAAAAGAATGAACAAAGTATACGTCACATATGGGACATGATAAAGCAATGATTATATTTGAATTTTCAGTGACCCAGAAGGTGAAGAGAAGAGCAAAGGGATAGAAAACCAATTTGACAAAATAATAGCTGAAAACTTCCCAAGTCTATCAAGAGATTTAGATATCCAGATACGGGAAGCCTAGTTATCCCCAAATAGACACAACCTAAAAAGGCCTTCTCCATGGTACGTTAGAGTCAAACTGCTAAATGTCAAAGACAAAGACAGAATTCTAGAAACAGTAAGAGAAAAGCATCTAATCACTTACAAGAACCCTCATCAGACTAAAAGCAAGTTTCTCAGCAGGAATCTTACATCCCAAGAGAGAATGAGAAGATATATTCAAAGTGCTGAAAGAAAACAACTGCCAGCCAAGGATACCATAACCAGCAAAGTTATCTTTCATTAATGAAGGAGAAATAAAGTCTTTGACACACAAACAAAAGCTAAGGAAGTTCATCATCACTAGACCAGCCCCCCCGACAAAATGTTTATAGAAGTCCTATACCTGAAGCAAAAGGATGATGTTTACCATCAGGAAAACATATGAAAGTATAAAACCCACTGGTAGAGCTGACACACAAATAAGGAAGAGAAAGGACTCAAATGTTACCACTACAGAAACCACCAAACAACAATGGTAAAGAAAAAGAAAGGAAAAAAGACATACAAGCAATCATAAGTCAACTAATAAAATGACATGAATAAGCCCTCATATCACAGATTGAATGCATACAGATTAAACTTACCACTTAAAAGATATAAAATGGGTGAATGTATTTAAAAATGACTCAACTACAAGAAACTCCTCTCATATATAAAGACTCATATAGACTAAAGGTAAAGGATGGAAAAAGACATACTATGCAAATGGAAACCAAAATTGCACAGGAATAGCTATACTTCTATAGACAAAACAGATTTTAAGTCAAAAATAGTAAAAAAAAAAAGACAGAAATGATCATTATACAATGATGAAGGGACCAATTTAGCAAGAGGATATAACAATTCTAAACACAATTGCACTCAACACCAGATCACCCAGATATATAAAGCAAATATTATTAAATCTAAAGGGAGAGATAGACTTCAATAGAATAAGAGTTGGGGACTTCAACACCCAACTTTCAGCGTTAGACAGATCATCTAGACAAACAATTAACAAGGAAACATTGGATTTAAACTGTACTTTAGACCAAATGGACCTAACCGGTATCTACAGAACATTTTGCCCAACAGCTGCAGAATACACATTCTTCTCATGAGCACAAGGAACATTCTCCAGGATAGACTATATTATAAGCCACAAAAAGTCGCAACAAATTAAAAAAATTTGAAATCATGTCAAGTATCTATTCAGAACACAATGGAATGAAACTAGAAATTGGTAACAAGAGAAACATTGGAAACTGCATGGAAACTAAACAACATGCTCCTGAATGACCACTGGGTCAATGAAGAAATTAAATAAAAAATAAAAAAATTTCTTAGAACAAATGAAAATCAAAACACATATACTAAAACCTGTGGGATACAGGAAAAGCAGTGCTAAGAGGGAAGTTTACAGCAATAAATGCCTACCTCGAAAAAGTGGAAAGATTTCAAATAGAGAATCTAACAATACAACTAAAGGAACTAAAATATGAAGAACAAACAAAACTCCAAATTATAGAAGGAAAGAAATTGTAAGCATTAGAACAGAACTAAATGAAATTCAGGCTACAAAGTACAAAGGAGCAACAAAATGAAAAGTTGTTTTTCTTAAAAGATAAATGAAATTGATAAATCACTAACTAGATCAACCAAGAAAAAAGAAGGAAGACCTAAATAAATAAAATCAGAAATAAAAAAGAACATATTACAACTGATATCACAAAAATACAAAAGATCATCAGAGACTATTATGAACAACTACATGCTAACAATCTGGAAAATTAAGAAGAAGTAGATACAGTCCCGCTCACATACAACCTACCAAGATTGAATCTGGAAGAAATAGAAAACATGAACGGATCAGTAATGAGCAATGAGATTGAATCAGTGATAAATCTCTCAACAAAGAAAAGTTCAGGACTGTATGGCTTCACTGACATATTCTACCAAACTTACAAAGAAGAGCTAACACCACAATTCTCCTCAAACTTTTCCAAAATATTGATTAGGAGGAAATTATTCCTAACTCATGCTATGAGGCCAGCCTTACCCTGATACCAAAACTAGACAAGCATGCAACAACAACAAAAACATCTACAGGCCAGTATCTGATGAACATCAATGCAAAAATTCTCAACAAAATGCTAGCAAACTGAATCCAACAGCATATCAAAAAGATAATACACCATGATCAAGTGGGATTTTCCCAGGGATACAAGGATGGTTCAATATGCAAAACAATAAATGTTAATCACCATATCGACAGAATAAAGAACAAAACACAGGTGATCATCTCAATAGTTGTAGAAAAAACGCTTGATAACATTTAACATCCCTTCCTTATAAGAACTTTGAACAAATTTGGCATAGTAGGAACAAACCTCAAGATAATAAAGTCCATTTATGACAAACCAACAGCTAACATCATACTGAATGGGGAAAAGCTGAAAGACTTTCCTCTAAGAACTGGAGCAAAACAAGGATGCCCACTTTTACCACTCCTATTCAACATACCACTGGAAGTTCTAGCCAGAGCAATCGGGCAAGAGAAAAAAATAAAAGGCATTCAAATTGCAAAAGAAGAAGTCTAATTGCCCTTCTTTGCAGATGACTGATCTTGTATCTAGGAAAAACCTAAAGATTCCACCAAAATCTCTCATATCTGATACATAAATTCAGTAAAGTTGTAGAGTATAAAATCAAAATACAAAAATTGGTAGCATTTCTATACACAAATAGTGAACCAGCTGAGAAAGAAAACTAGAAATGTATCCCACTTATGATAGCTACAAAACAACCAAAAAAACCATAAGAATAAATTTAACCAAGGGGGTGAAAGACCTTAAAAAAAACTACAAAACACCGATGAAGGAAATTAAAGAGGACACAAAGAAATGTAAAGGCATCCCATGCTCTTGGATTGGAAAAATTAATGTGCTTAAAATGATTATACTACCCAAAGCAATCTACAGATTCAATGCAATTTCTATCAAATTTCCAAAGTCATTTTTGTCACAAAAATAGAAACACAATCCTAAAATTCGTATGGAATTAAAATGGAGCCCAAATAAACAAAGCAACCCTGAGCAAAGAGAACGAAGCTGGAGACATCACACTACCCAACTTCAAAATATATTACAATGCTATAGTAACCAAAATAGCATGGTACTGCTATAAAAATAGACACATAAACCAATGGAACAGAGACACTCCAGAAATAAATGCATGTATTTATAGCTGATTTTTTGACATAGATTTCTAGAACATACATCAGGGAAAGGAATCCCTGTTCAATAAATGGTGCTGGGGAAACTGGATATTCATATGCAGAAGAATGAAACTGGATCATTATCTCTCACCACACACAAAAATCAACTCAAGATGGATTAAAGACTTAAACATAAGACTCAAACTCATAAAATTATTAGAAGAAAACAGAGAAAACATTTGAAGACATTGATCTAGGCAAAAATTTTATGGTTAAGACCTCAAAAGCACAGGTAACAAAAAAAAAGTAGACAAATGGTACCATGCAAAACCAAACAGCTTCTGCACAACAAAGGAAATTATCAAAAGGGTGAAGAGACAACATGTTGAATTGGAGAAAATATTTGCAAACTATCCAACGAGGAACTAATAATCAGAATATACAAGCAACTCAAACTACTCAACAGGAAAAATAATCACATTAAAAAGTGGGCAAAGGACATGAATAAACATTTCTCAAAAGAAGACATACAACTGGCCAACAGGTATATGAAAAAATGCTCGACATTATTAATAATCAGGGAAATGGAAATCATAATCACAATGAGATATAATCTTACCTTAGCTAGAATGGCTATTATTAAAAAGTCAAAAAGTAACTGATGCTATTCAGGATGTGAGAGAAGGGAACTCATGCACTTTTGGTGGGAGTGTAAATTATTATAGCTACTATGAAAAACAGTATGGAGATTTCTCAGAAATGAAATCAGTATATCAAAAGGATACCTGCCTCCCTGTGTTTATTGCAGCACTATTCACAACAGCAAAGATATGGAGTCAACGTATCCTTCAATGAACAAATGGACAAAGAAAATGTAATATATAAACACGATGGCATACTATTCAACCACAGAAAAGAAAGAAATTGTGTCATTTAGAGCAAAATGAATGAAATTGAAATCTCATGTTAAATTAAGTAAGTCAGGCACAGAAAAACAAGTATCTCATGTTTTTACCATATGTGGGAATTTAAAGAGTTGATTTCATGAAAATTGAGAGTAAAATTTAGGTACCCGAGTCTGGGATGGATGTGTGGGTGAGTGGTGGGGTGGGAGCCTTGAAGAGAGACTGGTTAATGGGTACTATGGCAGAGTGGGGTGACTGTAGTTAATAACAATGTATTGTGCATTTCAAATTAGCTAGAAGAGAAGACTTGAAATGTTCCCAATACATAGAAATGATAAATACTTGAGGTGATGGATACACCAATACCCTGGCTTGATCATTACATATTCTATTAATGTAACCAAATATCACATGTACCCCATAAATATGCACAAATATTATGTATCAAAAATTAAAATCTCAAAAATTTTAGTATCCAAAGTGTATAAGACATATGTGTCATATGGAAGAAGAAACAGTAAATCTTAGCCAAAATAATAATTTGTAAGCTTCTTTTGGATAGGAATATTTTGTATTTTTCAAATCACAAACCTTCTAAGTCTCAATTTTCTCATTTAAAAAACATATGCTTGACTTAAATTTGCAAATTCTTTAATATTTAAAATACTATAAAAGAAAACAAATGTATAAAATTTCAAGCCAATTATCTCTATGGAAATTTATGTGGATGCCGCACACAGAAGGAACAAATCGAAGAAAAATCTTACAAGTAAAATTTCACTTATGTAATTTCCTAATTTCCTAAAACAAGCAGTTAAAATAGACATGAAATATCTTAATTTTCAATCCACAGAATAAATAAAACAATATAATTTTATTTTATAACCAAACAATTTTAATTTCCCTATTTTCTTCACATAATATTGTATTTGAAATGAACTTTTTCTATCATATGTAGTGCAAACACATAAGCGTACTTATTCAAGTGCACAGATGTTGTTTCTAGCAGGATTTAAAATTGCTATTATTGGGCAAACTAACATAAAAATGGACCTTAATGTTTGTATGTTGATTCAACAGGATAGAATTTAATGTTGCAAAAAGAAATGATAAGCAGCAGATGAAACAAGTTATTATCTTTGCCTGTATTGCCACATTAATCGTTTATTATTAGAACTAAAATTTTAAGCTTTTTTTTGTTAATATTAGTCATTATCATACATATGCATATACTTTCGTATAAACAACACAACTAATGTATTAGTGCCAGTTATTATCTGTGTGGCTATTAGCAAGTCATATAGTTTTCCTCATTAACAAATAGGCTACCTAAACCTCTGGTTTCTCATTTACAACAGGCAACAGAGTTTTTGAAGAAAAACAATTGGTGTTAATGCCTGGCATGGGCTTAGCACACAAATTCTCAATAAATGGTAACTTATTAACAGTTGATAGGTATTTGTATCTATTGTCAGTGAATTTCAGTATTTTTAAATTTTAAGACAATACTTAAATTTTGCCTTGTTTATAAAAGGAAAAGCCAATTTGTAATAAATTCTCAGAATCGTCTTAAGCTTAACATCTACTTTTCTTTGTTTTCTTTTATGATGAACTACAGCATCTGAATTGGCTTAATTAATTAGCAAATAACATTTTCTAGATTTATAAAGATAAATTAGTCCAAGTCATTTTTTCTTTAAAGGATATCCATTTTTCAACTATTTTTTGCATGGGGACTTTAGATTTTGGGAAAAGCCTTTTTGAGAAGTAGTATTTTAGATTCTATGATTTCTTAGACATACTGCTGGTAAATGGTTTTCTTTCATCTGTGCATGCTACATTGGGTTTCTGTGGGCAACAATCATGCCTTCTGTGGTTTTTGCACTCAGTAACTCTACCCCTTAGTGTGATCTTGCTTCGGTATTAGAGAGACTCAGGGCTGGAAGAGAATATCTGATGTTCTACCCAGCATGCAGTCCTCACCAAGTATCTCTTACAGATTCAAATCTTTTGGTATAACTCTCCTCCCACACACAAGGGATTCACTCTTTTTCAAGTAGACCTTGGTAAGTATATGACCCTTCAAAGATTGTAATAATCTAATTTATGATTTTTATTTAATAACTTGTTTGTTTATAAAGTTTTCTATTGTTTGAAGACACATTTAACTAAGATCTGTCTTCCTACAAGTTTTTACTGATTGATTGCAATTCTGCTCTCTCGCATTTAACAGAATTAAGTTTGGTTCAATTTTTCCCAAAGCTAATCCTTTAAATATTTAAGGAATCTATCATCTCACTATATATATTGTATTTTCTAAGCTGAACATTTCCAGTTTCTGTAGGTGGTCTTTCATATGATGAAATTTCTGAATTCTTCTTCATTCTGGGTGTTATTAGGTTTACCAACGTCCTTCTTGAAATGTGGTGTAAGAATTGAACAATCTTTTTTATTTATTTATTTTTTTTTTAACATTCTTTAGTTAAGATTTTTAACACTCTGAAGAGGCCTGAGCCTAGGGCTTTATTCTTTTGTTTGTTCAAGCTACACAGTTATATTAAGGCATTCTATCTTTATTGGTTAACAATGCAAGCATTTGTTACTCACTTTTTGTGAGTGTATGTGACTGCTGTTTGAAATCCGTTGTGATGTTGGCAAAGTGTCTTAATCATGCACAAACATAAGTAAGAATACTTTTGTTTTTCATAAAGTCATCAATATTCATTTAATTGTCTCTTAAATGTCCTAAACAATATGATTTTTGAGATGGAAAAAAATCTCATAATTATTTATTAAGAGCAATTAGATATTTAAGTTGGAGTAATGTTAACAAATTTTCTAGCATAGTAGTACATAAATGCTTTTTGAAAACATTTCCCTTAATTTAAAAAAATGGTATCTCCAGTTCTAAATCACACATTTACCCATGTAACAAACCTGCACATTCTGTAAATGTACCCTGGAACTTAAAAAAAATTAATTATTAAAAAAACTAAAAACAAAACAAAACAAAAAAATGGGGTGATTCAAACAAAGGTCACATGGTTTGTTATGCCATGTTGCCAATTAATCCATATTAATTATGGGTTATTAATTATGGGTTATTTCCTTGACTGAAAAAGGCTCCTGGCCAAGGGGATTTGCAAAAATAAACTTCTTTGATAGTATAATTCCTACTCGAGGGTATTTCTCCCTTTAGCCTGTGACTTTCATTGTTTGTTTATTAAATTCATGATGAAAATTATTCAGAGGCAGTAGTTCAAGCTTGCAGACATTCTGTAAAAATGGGTCAGCAAATGTTGAGACATACGATGTTTAAATAACTTCCTTAAAATCCAAAATAAAATCATTTCTCACTTTATGTTAATTGTAATGTAAAAATCATGAAGATTGATAAGGGTATTATTCTAACTTGCGTGGCAAATAAATTTAAACATTTATTGGCTCCAACAAGTAATCTAGACTCTGCAGTAGTTACTTTTTCTATCCAAAGTTACATTCACACTTACCACTTTAGGAGATTCACCATTCAGTGAGTAACCACATTTTAAACACCAGATCAAGGGAGAATGTTTTTTTTAAATCAGAAACTAATTTCATGCAGAACAGTGATTCTCAAACTTTAATGAGCATATGAATCCCCTGAGAATCTCGCTAGAATGTATGTCCTGATGGTGAGTCCGGCATGAAGCCTGAGATTTTTGCATTTCTAACATCTCCAGGTGATGCCAATTCTGTTGGTCCCTGGACAACAGTTCAGCTAAATGTTCCAAATTTTGATTTACCATCTCCTTACAGTCATTATTTCGTGTTGAAGCCCTTCACACTTACTTATAAACAGTTATCTTTTTATTGTAATTATTTTTATGTAACCAACCCCTTAGACTGTAAACCACTTCAGGAGTAAGAAGTTTTCATTTGAGCAGAGCTTACGTCGGTAAATAGCATATAAGAAAGAACTCAATACAAGTTTTTCACTGTATTAATAAAGTCATCTGCATTCACTACCATGGTATTTATATTACATAATTTAAAAAATGTTGTGTTAACACAAATCAACATAGAAAATGCTTTAATGTCATCAGTTTTTTAAGCTTGTTATTATCTATATGAATTTGATGAAATGTGCTTAGACTAAGTTTTTTGATAACTTACAAATGAATTGTAAGATAACTTACAAATTGACATTAATTTTAGTTTTACAAATATAGTCTTAAAATTATTTGCACAATGTTAAAAAATAAAATTACAGAAAAGTAAAATTAAAAAAGTGAAAGTCTTTCCTCAATTATTATTCTTTCAAGAATATCACTGCTAACAACTGGTATGTATCTGAATGGCAGATGCACCTGACAGCCATAACTTAAGCACACCTTGAGAATGACTCTATAGTCTAAGAAGAATGTGTGTTCGGAATTCTGAGCTAAGAAATCTGGGAGTGGCCACCCGGAGAGTCATTGCTTACCTAAGAGAAACATTTGAACTCATGGCCCATCCTGTGGAACACACACCATATAGGGAATCAAGGCCCTGTGTTTTGGGTTAAATGAAGGTGGCCAGGTGGAGACTGCTAGAAGGAGAGTGCTAAGTGAAAATGCTATGTAAACTGCATGCTTTTTATAAATGGTAGTTGTTGCTCTGTCCAGCCCACCACCACTGTGCTGCCCTGTATGTAAGTCCCCTCAATAAACCCTCTGTCTCATTTGCTGGCTCCAGGTCTCTTCTTTGGCCTCTTGAACATGGTGCCACTCCTATTGAAATCAATAAGGGTCCAGCACGACAGTATCTTCAAAGCCTTTTCTTCTAGATATACAGTGGTTTTCTTAGGCATAGACACATAGAGGCATACTTTATTTTTTTATTTCTTCCTAAAATTCAGATCATTCTGTAATACTCTTCTGTTTGCCTTAAAAAAACTTTCATGGCATGTTTATAGCTTAATACTTAGTGATTCTGTTTTTAGTACTTGGCATAGTTTTCAACACACGGTAAAACTACTCAATAAATATTGAAAACTACTGAATAAATATGCATTTGATAAGTATTGAATGAATGCTAAATCTAATTTCTGATCTCTGGATCCAAAAAAATTACAATTTGCTTGTTGAAAACTGTTAGCTTCTCACCTCCTCCAATGTTTAGCTACTACAAACATTGTTACAATAAGCTTTTTTTCATCTTTGGCTTTCGTGCACAAGTAATACAATTTCATATAAATAAAGTGACTGGGTCAGACTCTATGAGTTTTGACAATATTATCAAACTACCCTTCAAAAAGGGAGTAGCGTCCTATTCATTATTGCCAGTTGTCTAGGATGACTCTCTTGCTCAGACCCTTACCATCGCTAGAGACTAACAGTCTTTTTAATACGTGAAAAATACATATAATAACAATAAATTTTTATTTTGCTTTTTAATCAAAGTATCACTTAAAATAAAATGCATAAATCTTAAGAGCTGAATGAATTTTTTACATAAACACACACATGCATAATCACCACAAAGCTCAAGCTATAAAATATTTCTACAGAACATGAGTCTTTTGTCTGTCTCCTTAATAGAATGTCAGCTCCCAAGGTCAGAAATTCTTTTTTGCTCACTGGTGTTCTCCAATGCTTAGAAGAGTGCCTGACCCAAGGGAGGCACTCAGTAAATACTTGTTGAGGGAATTTGAACCTTCTCAGCGTGGGGTGGGCACAGCTTCAGGCTCCTATGCACTGTTCATGCTTTGACTTCGGTCCAGGTCTGCAGTAGGGTTGACGGGAGCTCTTCCACATCTCTGCAGTCTCTTCCACATCTCTTCAGTCCCTTCCCACTCTTTGTCTTGGGTCCCGAGGACTCCCTTGCCCCATGCTGTCATGGGAATCCATGGTGAGGTATAAGCTTCAGGCCCTGGACAACCTAATGTATTACAGTGTCAAGATATTAAGGATGTCTAGGATCAAGGTAGTCAAATTTAATGTTCCCCGAATTTTACAAAGGCATCATAGCTATGCTAGCTATATTGACTACAGCCATGACCACATCATCCAGCAAGGCCACGAGTGAATTTCAGGGCTAATCCGCCGGACTCAGGGATTACAGAGTGAGGCTGATGTTGTGTGTCTCCACGGAGAGCACGTTGTACCAGCTGAAAACGCTGATGGCCAGGGAAAGGAGGATGGATGCAAACCTGTAGTAATTCATGTTCAAATCTTAGCTGCTGGCACCTGTGACTGGATTCATAGACCTCCCAAGTCCAGCCTCTTGGGCCATACTTCAAGGTTCCCAAGTCAGGAGTGCGCCTTGCCATGTTGACATAATTATTTTTAACTTGCTTTTCTTGTCAGAGTTTGAACATCTTTTTATGGTTTACATCAGTCATATTTTCTCTCTATGATTTGCTAATTTAGATCCTTTGCATACCTTCCATTGTATAGTTTGCTTTTTTTCTTCTAAATTTCTTTTAATATATAGAGATATTACTTTGGATATTAATTCTATTATATAATACATTAAAATATTTTCTCCTAATTTCTGACTTATCTTTTAACTTTTTTTATTTATAAATCCAAATCTGTATTTCTTTTTATGACACACGGTTTCTATGCCATGCTTTGCAGCATCCCAATCTCTCCTCAAAAATTTCCATATTTGTTTCTCCCTTATGGCATTTACTTTTCTGTGTAGTTTTAAAAAATTATTTGAAATATGTTGGGGCTGTTATATGAGGCAGAGGTCTTTCTCTTTTATATTGGATAAGCTATTAGCCCTATTACATATTTTTCCACACTGATTTGAAAGGTCACACTTAATCTAAACGAAATTTTCTTATATTCAAAGCACTGGTTTTGGATTGTTATATCCACTGATTTATTTAAGTATTCCTATTATTATAACAAGCCTAACTATTAATAGTGTAGGTTCATTAACATCTTTCAACTATTTATGAAAGCTTTAATGTAATTATATTTGTAGCCTTTGATTTTTTTTAACCTCTTTTCCATTTTCTTTACATAGAAAAACAGTTCGATAGTTTCATCATGGCATCTAATTTATTCAAATTAACTGTTACAATGAATGTAGTGGCTTCTAGGTTTGAGGGGTATTTCAGAGTTTTTATTTGTGGGACCAAGTTCCAGTATCTCAAGAACTGAACTTTTCATTATCTCAATAAGGTTATTATTTTATCATTTATTTTACAAATAAATTGTTTCATTTAGCTTTCAATCACCTGCTCAGCAGTTGACGTCTCTGAATCCTAAGAAGCCCTGATAATTATAGCTTTCACTTTCAAATCTTTAATGATTTATTTGATTTTTATTGGCGGTAAGGCCACCTGGCACAGTTAGATGCTTTTGCAGGTTTGTGATGCCTGTCACTTTTCTCTGTGAAGTTCCATTTTGATGTCATTCAGTTTTCAGCTTATGAACCTCGGCTTAAGATTTATTATGATCCATGTGGAGCAAAAGGCAAATGACTGATTTCTTCTCCCAGGATTTGTGATTTTAAAATTTTGTATATTTTCTTTCTTTCTTTGGACTGCAAATTACATGAGTGCAGGGACTTCCGTTTGGTTCATTGCTTATGGCAATGACACAGTAAGCTCTCAATAAATATTTGTCACATGGATGAATGAATGAATATACTAAATCTATGACATTGGTAACATAATTAGGCTAGTGAATTTATCTCAAAGCAAAGTGGTAACAGAACTGTCAAATATAATTTTCACAAAGTTAAATAAAAAATCATTACTCTCCTAGATATAGAGAATGAGCGCATGTCAAACATTTATTTCATTTATTAAAAAGAGAATCAGCAGGATGATAATGTTGGTAAAAATGATAAGGAACATTATAAAGGACTGACTGTTAATAGGCATTTGATTTAAAATTTAAAATAAGTTTACTCAGTTAGATACTAAACTGGTTGCTGTCTTGTAGGCAATGTAATATTTGGGGTTATCTGTTCTATTGGACAGAAATCATTTGCATTTCTAATGGACAAAAAATTATTTAAAAACATAACTTCACAATCTGGGCCTCTGATCAATAGCAGATAAGGAATCCAACAATGACACACTTTCATAGATGATTAAATAATCCTGAAGTGCTCCTGTTAAACAAAGCACTTTGGGAGGCTGAGGCAGGTGGATCACGAGGTCAGGAGTTCAAGACCAGCCTGACCAATATGGTGAAACCCCATCTCTACTAAAAATACAAAAATTAGCCGGGCATGGTGGCGTGCGCCTTCAGTCCCAGCTACTTGGCAAGCTGAGACAGGAGAATCACTTGAACCCAGGAGGCGGACGTTGCAGTGAGCCGAGTTTGTGCCACTGCACTCCAGCCTAGGCAACAGAGCAAGACTCTGTCTCAAAAACAAACAAAAAACAACAACAAAAAAACAATGCTCCAATATATGAAAAGGACACACTACCCTCCGTTTGCCTTATTTCAAAATGTTGCATATTTTTCTTAAAGAATAAATGAGTAAACTGGAAATACTCAATTATTTTAAGTCTGGCCCTTGATTTGATAGCATTTTCTCCAGTCAGAAGTCACTGAAGTGATGTCATTTTTGCTTATTGTCCTCTTCTACATACAGGAATTTTCATATCTTTCTATCCAAAGCTAAAATTTCTGATAATGGTTAAAACATTAAAGACAACTTGGCATATAAATGCATCAGAACTTTTATATGCCTCTTTATATGTCTCTTGATAGTGCTTAAATCCGTAGTAAGATCTTAAGTGTTAGGAAAGAAAAATCTTCATTATGTTTAGAACTTTGAAATAAAAGGCAAAATTTACACCCACCTGATGAGGCATTGGCAAAGGCAGTTGTGGCCTCAGAAGAAATAGCAGGAACCTTCCACTGGTCAAGACTAGATTGGGTCCATTTGGACAAAATAAGAAATTCCTAGAGGAAGATATGGTTTGGAAATAAGAGAACAGACCTTCTAGACCAGATTAGCCACCTATAAGTGTAAATTTGGATTAGGCATAATCCCAATATTAGGTTAGACATTTGGAAGAGATAAAATGGATTCCAACTGTGAATATATTTAACTAAACAAGGAAATGCTTTTTAACGTGAATTTGTGTAAGGAAGTTTTTGAAATGTAAACAAATATTTTTGGCGACATGGTATAGATTATGACTTACATATTGCTATCAGTGAACTCATTACACACACACACACACACACACACACACACACTCCAATTTATAATGTTAATACGTGTATTTTGTTTTGGATCCTAAAAGGGTATTCTAATTTCCTGTAGAGGTCGCTTTTGGTATAACCAACACATTGAAGGAGCAGGACTCTGGGTGAAGTAAAGGGAACGTGTTTTCTCATTAACGCCGCTGCGAACCAACTCTGTGCAGTTGTTCTTCTTTTGCCCTTGGATAAAATTCTGCAAAGGCCCTGCTGCTTAGCTGATTGTTTTCAGATAATGGAAATACCTTTGAGCACTTTGTTTTCAGATAATGGAAATATCTTTAAGTACTTTGGTTCTCCAAAAATAGTCTGAGTTCCATAATTAATATGTCTATTTAAAACTCCTTTCCACCCGCCCGGAGCTCAAGGCTTCTGCGAGTGAGAAGCTTCATTGGAGAAGGGGGATGTGGTTGGCCTCATTTGTTTTTAACAACACTCCTTCTCGATGTGGGAAGCTGAGACTTCCAACTTCTCTGTGGTTGAACAGGGGAATGGGGAGAACTAATGGAAATGAAAATTTCTTCCTGACTGGAGGTGACTTTTTGTTGTTGCTTTTTTTTCTCCTTGGCAGTGAAACGGACTTAGGGCATTTTGTGTGTTTCTCAGAGACCCCACGTCACTGGGGGTTTCTCACCTCTGGTTTCCTGATACAGCCTGGTCCCTTAGACTCACCCCTTAGACTGCAAAAGACTCTCTGTTGGGATCCCATCACCTCTCCAAATGGTTTTCAGAGGCAAAATCTTCTTAAGATAGTTCCTGTTGAACCCTGTTCTATTTTTCTCTGCTACCACTTCTTATCCAACAGACATAGAATAATTATAAATTATTTCAGGGGCTATTTTTACTTTTTGGGGAAATATGTATTAAAAACATGAAAACATGACCATATAAACTCTCAAGGTCCTGGGGTATCCTATTTTGTAACCATCAGTACAGGGAACTGCTTGAGTATTAAGACACATTCCTATCAAAGGCTCAGGCAAGCCTCATTTCTAGAGTATACTATACGGCCTACAACAGGCACCCTCTGGGCTCAAGATCTAGAGGCCAAAGGAAGGGAGCATTAGAGCTTGCATCCCAGATCATGATCTACAAAAGGGGTCCTAAGATGGTAGAATGCCAGTTAATAAAGAGTGTCACTCTTGGCCTAGATTCTTCTCACAGGGCATGGCAGTGGGCTCACTGAGAATCTCACTATTGTCCACTTGCAATCTAACATTCACAGTGGAAATTTTATTGATTATTTTATTAGCAAGCATTCTTTTATCACTTGTTATTTGTCTAGGTCATGAAACACACAATTTACTGTAATAAAGGATATAACATACATTTAGGGGGGCAAGATGCATACAGAAGTTCCTTAATTCACACTGGGATTATGTTTACCTAAACTCATAGTAAGTTGAAAATATCATAGGTTGAAAATGCATTTAATACATCTAACAAAATGTCACAGCTTAGCCTTCCCTACCTGACACATGCTCACAACACTTAGATTAGCCTACAGTTGGGCAAAATCATCCAACACAAAGCCTATTTGATGGAACAGTGTTGAGTATCTCATGCAATTTATTACAAGCTGGACTGAAAGTGAAAAACAGAATCATTGTATGAGCACTTGAAGTATGATTTTTACTGAATGCATATTGATTTTGCAGCATTGTAAAGTTGAAAAACCATAAGTTGAACCGTCATAAGTCTGAGGCCACCTGTAATTATAAACTAATTATGATTTTACAATATGAATATTAAAGATGCTACTATAAGAAAGTGCTAAATTGTGTAATATGGATTATAAGTTGTGCATGAGTTCAGGGAAATTGTGGAAGATCAAGAAGACTCTAGCAAATGGCACTTTTCTGAAACTGTTCCACCAAAGCCTATAATTGCTTTCTGGTTGCAAAATACACATTCTTCCATATTCCCTTGTGGAAATATGTGGTTGGCTTCATTTGTTTTTAACAACACTCCTTCCTGAAGTGAAACTTGTGTTCTTGGCAATATTTGACACAACTGACCACTCCCTTCTTCAAACACTCAGCTTCCCTTGGTTTTGACTCTCCTGCCTCTGCCATTCCTCAGAAGCTTCTCATTCCTCTTTATGGACAGCTCTTTTTCCTCCCTCCCTTCCTTCCTTCCTTCCTCCCTCCCTCCCTCCCTCCCTCCCTTCCTTCCTTCCTTTCTCTCTCTCTCTCTCCCCCTCCCTCCCTCCCTCCCTCTCTCTCTCTTTTTGGCAGGGTCTCACTCTGTTGCCCAGGTTGGAGTGCAGTGGTGCAATCATAGTTCACTGCAGCTTTTAACTCCTGGGCTCAAGTGACCCTCCTACCCTTTCACCTCAGCCTCCCAAGTAGCCAGAACTACGTGTGTGTCACCATGTCCCATGTCCCAGCTCAATATATATATATAATGTTTGTTTGTTTGTTTGGTTTTGTAGGGTCTCACTATGTAGCCTAGGCTGGTCTCAAACTCCTGGCCTCATCTGATTCTCCCACATTGGCCTTCCAAATTCTTTTTTTGTTTTATGAATTGGTATGTTTCAGGATTCCACCACCACCTGCTTACCTTATCAGTCTGCACATTCTCCAAGGGCAGTCTCATTCACTAGCATTTATGCTGGTGGTTCAGATTTAAATCCTTTCTCCTGAAATTCTAAGCTTTCCCTCCAGATCTACTCACCTGGTCCTCTGCTGAACACTTCCATTTGGAAGTCTCACAGGAAAAAACAAACAAGAAACCCTACTCATTACATCCTAAACAGAACTTGTCACATTCTTCCCACCATATCTTTTCCTTATTCTCCTGTGGTTCTTTTCTGTTTAAGTGAAGTAAATGCTTGTTTTCTGGTGTAATTTGAATTTAAAAACCCTACTTGCTTTCAAATGTTTATCTTATTTTCAAACTTATACAGCTCTTAAAATTTTCAGCCTTGATCAATTTCTTTGGTTTACATTATTTTAGCCAGAGATTCTTTCTTAAAATATGTCACCTTCAGAGATAGAATTAGGTCCAGCAGCACCTATTTACAAAGAACAAAGCACACTAATCTAATTAAATATCAACTAATAATAATCATGATTTATTGAGTACTTACAGTGTTCCATGCATTTCACTAAGGGATTTTCATTGTATTTATTTCTCATAATAAATAAGTAGTTACTGCCATGTTAAACAAATAAGGAAGCTGAAGCATATGAAGTCTAAACAACTTTACCAATCTCTACTGGCTGAACTACATGGTGAAGAAATAACTAAAATGCAGATCCTCTGACTCCAAAACTCATGCCCATAACCATTTACTGTACTGAGTACACTGTCCTGGCAAGGAGAAAAACTTCAACAGAAAGTGAGTTAGGGCAGGTACATATTTTGAGACAAGAAGGCTATACAATGGCTTAGGTTCCAGGATGCTGGCCAATACCTTGTAAAGAAGAGAGATACAAGAGCTCTATGAAGCCAAGAGCAGGAGGGCATCTGTCTTAGTCTGTTTTTTGTTGCTATGACAGAATACCTGAGACTGTGCAATTTATGAAGAAAAGAGGTTTATTTTGGCTCATAGTTCTGGAGGCTGGGAAGTCCAAGATCAGGTGGCCACATCTGGTCAGCTTCCTGTGAGGGCCTTGTGCTGTGATATAATGTGGCAGAGAAGTGACAGAGAAAGTAAGCATGGGAGAAAGGATCAAAACACAAGGGGTGATCTCACTTTATAACAACCCACTCTCACAGTAATGAATCCAGTCCCGTGAGAATGAGAAATCACTCACTTCTGAGAGATGGCATTAATTCCATCATAAGAGTGGATTCCTCATGATCCCAGTGCCTCCCAAAGGTCTCACCACCTTTCAACATCATCACATTGGGGGCCAAACTTCAATATGAGCTTGGTGGGGACAAAATATTCAAACTATAGTAGCACTGAAGTCATATGAATGGTCAGAACTCTTGATATTTAAATGGTCTTTTTGAGGCAGGACCAATTAATTTAAAAATTAAGTAGGCATTAAGAACATTAGTAGTCCAGGGTTGTAAAGCTTGATAACACATTTAACTGTTTTCTATAGCTAAGAAGGAATACTGGTTTGATAACATTTTTATTTTAATTATATTGATGACATGATTAATAACATTAATATGTGCTAGGTAATTATAGTGCTAAACCTCATATTAGTGTAAGAGAATAGTAAATTTTAATGCGTTGGAGAATAAGAAGGCTGAAAGAACATTGCATAGGCAATTAATTATAGTCAATAATAGGTATATGACTGCATTAATAGATCATGATTAACTCTTTAAGGTTCATCTGAGAGTGTTTGAAGGATATAGTGAGAGCAGAAGAACCTGTGTGTTAGTCTGCTCAGGGTGCCATAACCAAATACCACAATCTGGATGGCTTAAACAACAGAGATTTATTTTCTCACAGTTCTGTAGGCCAGACGTTTAAGATCAAGGTGCTGTCAGGGTTGGTCTCTGCTGAGGCCTCTCTTCCTGGCTTACAGATGGCTGCCTTCTCACTGTGTCCTCACATGGTAAAAAGGGACAGAGTTTTAGTGTCTTTTCTTTTTCTTATGAAGATACCAGTGTTACTGGATTAGGATCTCACCCTTATGGCCTTATTTAACCTTAGTTACCTCTTTAAAGGCCCTGTATCAAAATACAGCTACCTTAAGGGGTTAGGGCTTCAACACGTGAATTTTTGAACGGATAAAGTTCAGTCCCTGATAAACTGAAATTCACAGATAAGCCAAGACTTCGCCTGTGCATTGGAGTCATTAGAAGCTAGGGCTCTAGGGCTAGACTGTCTGGATCCCAGTTCCACAAGAGAGAGTGCTACTGAAACTCCTCCCCTCCTCGGTCTTTTTTTTAGACAGAGTCTGTCACTCAAGCTGGAGTGTTGTGGTGCAATCAGGGCTCTCTGTAGCCTTGAACTCCTGACTCTAGGGATTCTCTTGATTCAGTGTCTTGAGTAGCTAGGACTACATTGTGCATCACCATGCCCAGCTAAGTTTTTAATTTTTTGTAGAAAGGGTCTCTCTGTGTTGCCCAGGCTGGTCTGCAACTCCTGGACTCAAACGGTCCTCTCCTCTAGGCCTCCCAAAGTGTTGGGATTACAGGTGTGAGCCACCTGGCCTGGCCTGAAACTTTCCTTCTTAAACACTCTCATGGGCTTTTACATGGAGGTGTTAATGACTGTGTCTATCTCACAGGATTGCTGTGATGATTAAAAGAATGAAAACATATAAAGCACATAACACAATGCCTTGCACTTGGGCAGGCTCAGAAAATGTTAGTTATTATTTTTATTGTTGTTGAATAGGTTTTAGATTTTGTCTAAATTAGGCAATGTGTTTTATATTAGAATTTGAAAAAATAATATAAAGCATTATTACAGGAAGGTGAAATTGACATCTGAGATATTAGAAACTTCTTGTGGAACAAAGAATTTATTTAAAGCATAAAGGTCAACTTGTTTACCTCTTTGTTCCTAAGAAGTAAAAATAAATTGTTAAATAATGTGAGAAAAAATTGACTGTGCTCATAGCTGCTTGTTTGAAAAATGTCAACCTTATGAAAAATTTACAAGGATACAATGACAATACATTAATTATATCTTGAAACATGCAAATAGAGGTCAATGTTTAAAAGTGTGAAATTTGCAATGAAGTAGAACTTTCTCATGAAAATAATATATTATTGTAATTTTTCATGAAAACTACAAAAATGCAATGGATATAAAAGCAAAATTTAAGAAAAACTAAAGTTATGGTATTGTAATCTGGTTTCTGATATTGTTCAAATCACAATAAGCTTCTACAGTAAGTTAATACTCTCTAATGAGGGAGATCATTAGAATATTCCTAGGAATGAGTTAAATGATTTGCAGGAAGGAAATATATTAACATAATATTAATATTATGTGAATGATTGAAGAGAATGAGGTGAAAGCCACAATGTCATCTGTGACCTTACTTTGAAGGTTATATACCATTACTTCTGTGATATTCTTTTTATTAGATGTGGGTCACTAATTCTAGCTTACACTCAAGAAGAGGGAATTTGACTCTGTCTTTTGAGAACAAGACTGTCAAAGGAATTTGCAGACCTATTTTAAAATCACCACAACATGAATTAACTTTTCTTATCATGCCCAATCTTTATCCCCTCAACAGCATAGTGTAAGAGTTAATGTATTATATTTTCAATAGAACAGTGCTCCAATAAGACATTGATTTAGGAAGTGGAAACAGGATAGAAGGAAGCTTGCAGAATCTGAATTCCTAGAGATCAACAGGGTGTGTATGTGTGTATGCATAGAGGAATGGGTGGGGACATGGATGATGTAAGGGAGGTAGGTGGGAACTGGATGCAGGAAGTTAAAAAAGAAACTAACTAGACAGCATCTCTCTCTGTCTTCAGAATTGGTATACTTCTAGTCACTGAACAAGTTCAAGTTAAATCCTATGATTTTAAGGGTCGTTGGTCTTTTCAGCTTTGTTTTGGCCCCAAGGTACATAAAATCTTCTTTATGTTGAGGTGCTCATATTGAATAGATTTGTTGGAAGAAACCAATTGCTTTTTTAGTGCTAGAATATACTCTTAGCTAAAGCCATAAGTCAGTATTTATTATTAGGGCTGAGAAGAGACTCAATAAAAGGAAAAGTTCAGTTTAATAATAGAACTAGAAATGTGTTTTGATGGTGACTGTGGGTTGATACTCATGAAGTATCTGATTTGCTGAATAAAACTGGACCTTCTCTTTTTGGGGAAGTGAGTAATGAGTTGTTACTGTGTGATAAGGCTTATGCAGGGCAATTAAGAGGGCTTGGCTTTTCATGGGCAGTTATTAGTTCAAATTTTCTCTCTTATCGTTCTCTTAATTACAAACCTATCAGACTTTGCATACTTAAAACATTTTATTTTTTAATTATTAAGGATACATAGTTGTATGTATTTATGGGGTACATGTGATATTTTGATACAAGCATGCAATGTGTAATGATCAAATTAAGGTTATTAGCATATCCATACCTCATTTATCATTTTTTTGTGTTAGGAACATTCTATTTTCACTCTTTTAGTTATTTTGAAACATACAATAAATTATTGCTAACTACAATTGCTCTATTATGCCTCTGAACATTAGATCTTATTTCTCCTACCTAACCATATTTTTGTACCTATTAATCTTATCCTCTTTATCGCTCACTCTTCACAACCCTTCCCAGACTCTGGTAACCATCATTCTACTCTCTAACTTCATGACATATATATATATATATATATATATCTCCCATATATGAGTGAAACATGCAATACTTCTCTTTCTGTGCCTGGCTTATTTCACTTAACATAGTGTCCTCCAGTTCCACTCATGATGTTGCAAATGATAGGATTTTATTCTTTTTTATGGCTGTATTGATTTGGGAAATATTGTCACTTTGATCTCTTGTGTTCCTTTTATCACACCTCGTTGAATTTTCAGTGTCTGCTGACTCTATAACAACATTGTTAAAGTCTTTTCACTGAGGCATGTACAATGAAGAATCAAAGGGCTTTTATTAATTAATATAAAAATATTTGTAAAACAAATGTTAATGTTTGTTGCTATGGAGCAGATATTTTCTTCTTGGTAGAAAGCAGAACATGGCCCTGGTAAAAATGGTGAGCATCTTGACTGCATGTGTGTTCCCTCATATCCCTGTGCCTTTCTTAACTCGTGCTGCTCTCTAGCTTTCCAAAGCCTACATTTCATTTTGCCATTTCAAACTGCGTGTTACTTTAAGTACCATCTGTCCCCAAATATTTCTCTTAGTCTACCATCTAGGGATTACCATCCCCTTCAACACCATCTTATAGCTTGATGTTAGGAGAAAGACAACACAGTTAAAGCAATTCACGAAGAATATGTATGATTAATAGCCTGCCACATCTTAAAAGTGGGTTTGCATTTGAAATAAATGCAGCAGCAAAACCAGTTGACCCAGATTAATCTCTTGATGATAGATTGCAGGCTTTGGGAAAAGTAATAAAGAAAAGTAATGAAATTCAAATCATGTAGATGACATGTTTGAAGTAAGAGTGGAGAATTAGAAAGAGTTTTTATCCTCCTCAATTTTATAGTTCAAAGTATTTTCTAGTCTATTGGATAGGTTTTCCTATTCTACTGCTTGCAGGCAGACTGCAAAGTTAGAATTAGAGAAATGAACTAAATGTTCCCGTCATTCACCCACCTGCTTAGGACAGAAACTTTGGAGTTTCATCTTTGATTCTTTACATCCTCCCGCATCCCATACTGAATTTGTCACAACCCTGTAGACTCATCTTTCCTGATGCATCCAAGTCAGACCACTGTGCCCCTCCCACAACTTCTACCCCTAGTACGAGGCACCATCCTTAAAACTCACTTTCCACTATGCTCTTTTGCTCACCACGTTCCAACTATGTCAGCCTTTCTGCAATGCCTGGAACATGCATTTTCCTGTGTCTAGGCATTTCGTTTTGCCATTCCTTCTTCCTCCTCCTTCCTCTTCCTCTTGGAGGGATATCTTTCCCCCAATATTGACATGCACCCTACCTCTTTTCAGCCAGATCTTTCCTCAAATGTCACATCACAGAATATCCTAAACATCCTATTTAACAAATCATTGCCCTCACTCTCAGCTATCTCCTTGCCCTGATTAATTTGTTCATAACCAACCCCCAACATTTGTTTACTGTCTTTCTACCTCCCTAGAGCCTATGCTTCCTGTGGCCAAGGACTTTGTGTTTTATTTATTGCTGTATTCCCAGGACCTACACACACAGTGCTTGATATATAGTAGCTGTTTGCTAAATATATTTGAATAAATAAATAAATGACCTTTTAAAAGTAAGCATGTTATATTTATATTTTTTGATAGAGAATAATAAAGTGAATGTGTATTTAATTACATTATTATTTTGTTATTTGAGGTGAAAAATCAGGACCTAGTGACCTAGAAATTACAGAAAGTAAGAAATAGCAAAAACCTATTGTTAAGGAGTTTATAAATAGGAGGAAATAAAAAGAGTATTGCCAATTCCGATAATGCCAAGTACTATGGTCTATATTTTAACCTTGACGTGTACCAGGATTTTCACACAATAGGATGAAAAATTATTAAAAAAATAACACAAGGCAAAAGAAACTGAAGAAAAATCAGGTAGTGATTGGATATTGATTATTCAGAGTTCTTTAGTTGATTTTTTATATATATAAACTTTTTCTGTCTGGGTAGAAAATGTACTGCTGAATTTGTTGAAATATCATTTCTCCACAGTTTCACTCATTTCTCTTGGTACAGTACTGATTTTTTTTCTCAGTATTCAATATTATTATTCCTCTTCGATCTCTGTCTCCCAGTAGTACAATGCTTCTTGAGGTCTGGCTGTTACAAATGCTAGTGGAGTATTAAAATGTTGAATATTTTAGGTTGTGAGCTCATTACAGCTGTCCTCTCAGAAGGTTGATTGCTCTAAAGTAACAACAACAAAAATGGTAATGGCTAATTTTCTAGAAATCTGAGAAGGTACAGCCAGGACAGGTGATGTTCCTGTCATCAGCTGCTCCAGGCAGTCCCATTTCTCCAAGCAATGGCATAAGTGATTTTAAAGAGGGAATACGGCAGTTCTATAATACAGGATGCATTATTCCACTAATGCTGAGGCTCAGGGCCACAAAAGAGAAATCCTTTTTTTTTTTTTTAACAATTCTAGCTGCTGAAAGCACTGGAAAGAATCAATTCAAGTCTATAGGAAATTCTTATGTGACCCTGAGGCGGTGTGATAAAGGGCTCCCTTTGTCATAAATGTCCCCATTTTAATTGCAAAATTGCTTCATTAAAAACATGTTGTATTTCATTTGCTTTCTTCCAGTCAATATATGTGACAAAAATCATATCATCGTATCACTTATGATATTCCTGAGTTAATGTTTTCAAAGTTGTTGTGAAAGAAAATGACAGCAGTTTTTTGCCTATTTGTTCATCTTTCTGCCACATTTCTGTTACTTCAACAAAGAGCAGCTGGCCCATTAAAACCAGCCATGAAAAATGGTGTTATATTTGATCCTGTGTTTATGCTATTTTTTCTTTTTCTGACTTTTTTTATATCTCTGCTTCACTATAAGTCCAAATGTAGAATTATATATACATACATATTTATTTTTTTCTATTCCACGAGTATTTGAATATCTATTCTTTGTTTAGGATTGTTGTAGTTACAAAGGAAGTACACATACCATTTTCATTGGTAGGCTATGACATTGCACACACACGAGAAAGGATCAGAAGAAAATATAAGAAAGTTGGTGGCTGAAAGACAAAGTAATGAAGATTGATAGATTTTTTTCACATAGGATGAGATATGTGTGAGATAAATATGGACCTACATAATTCAGTAAAGTTCTGTTGAGATTTCAGAAGTTAAGAAAAACCTTGAATGTAGCTAATAAATCATTTACATTGAGCTTTACTCTTTTATGCACATTATCTTGTTTGATCCTCACTAATACTTTATGATAAGTAAAGACAGTCATGGTTATTTTAAATATTACTTTGCAAAGAAGTTCAGCAATTTGCCTGAGTTAGTAAGTGACAGAAGTAGAACCCAGATCTCGGTCTCCTGTGTTGAAATGCTGAATGCTCTCCATTATACCAAAGTGAGCAGTAGAGGGACGTTGGGCAGTTTGCATTAGAGAACCAGTAGAGAGGCAGAAGTGATTGCGACATGCCTAGGATAAAGTGGATGTAATAAGATACTATGCTGGGCACTAGAGAATAATGTTAATATTCCAAAATAACCCATTTATTCAGCAGCCATAATAAATGACTCTTTATCCAGAATGGCTGGCTCTTTTAGATGAACAGTGTTCTCAGAATTAGGCCGGGATGTTGTATGTCTACACAATTTCTATTCAATACTTCAAATTCTTGCCTTTAAAAGTAATACCATCATCAAAGTCACACATTAATAACAAAAGCATAACAATGTCCTTGAAACTGTCTGTTACTATCCACACCAGCTTAACTGTGTCACCAGATGGACACCACGACATCATCAATGGGTCACTTAGAGCCATGTATAATTGTATATTTAGAAAACCCCATCATCTCTGCCCCAAATCTCCTTAAGCTGATAAGCAAGTTCAGCAAAGTCTCAGGATATAAAATCAATGTGCAAAAATCACAAGCATTCCTATACACCAATAATAGCCAAATCATGAGTAAACTCCCATTCACAATTGCTACAAAAGAATAAAATATCTAGGAATACAACTTACAAGGGATGTGAAGGACCTCTTCAAGGGGAACTACAAACCACTGCTCAAGGAAATAAGAAAGGACAGAAACAAATGGAAGAACGTTTCATGCTCATGGATAGGAAGAATCAATATCGTGAAAATGGCCATACTACCCAAAGTAATTTATAGATTCAATGCTATCTGCATCAAGCTACTACTGACTTTCTTCAGAGAATTAGAAAAAACTACCTTAAATTTCATATGGAACCAAAAAAGACCCACATAGCCAAGACAATCCTAAGCCAAAAGAACAAAGCTGGAGGCATCATGCTACCTGACTTCAAACTATACTACAAGGTTACAGTAATCACAACAGCAGTATACTGGTACCAAAACAGATATATAGACCAATGGAACAGAACAGAGGCCTCAGAAATAATGCCACACATCTGCAACCATCTGATCTTTGACAAACCTGACAAAAACAAGCAATAGGGAAAGGATTAAAGACTCAAGATGGATTAAAGACTTAACGTAAGACCTAAAACCATAAAAACCCTGGAAGAAAACCTAGGCCATACCATTCAGGACACAGGCATGGGCAAGGACTTCATGACTAAAACACCAAAAGCAATGGCAACAAAAGCCAAAATTGACACATGAGATCTAATTAAACTAAAGAGCTTCTGCACAGCAAAAGAAACCATCATCAGAGTGAACAGGCAACCTACAGAATGGGAGAAAATTTTTGCCATCTATCCGTCTGACAAAGGGCTAATATCCAGAATCTACAAATAACTTAAACAAATTTACAAGAAAAAACCCCATCAAAAAGTGGGCAAAGGATATGGACAGACACTTCTCAAAAGAAGACATTTATGTGGCCAACAAACATGAAAAAACCTCATCATCACTGGTCATTAGAGAAATGCAAATCAAAACCACGATTAGATACCATCTCATGCCAGTTAGAAAAAGTCAGGAAACAACAGATGCTGGAGAGGATGTGGAGAAACAGGAACGTTTTTATACTGTTGGTGGGAGTGTAAATAAGTTAAACCATTGTGGAAGACAGTGTGGTGGATTCCTCAAGGATCTAGAACCAGAAATATCATTTGACCCAGCAATCCCATTACTGGGTATATACCGAAAGGATTATAGATCATTCTACCATAAAGACACATGCACATGTATGTTTATTGCAGCACTATTCACAATAGCAAAGACTTGGAAGCAACCCAAATGCCCATCAGTGAGTAACATCTTCTTGGAGGAGGACAAGAGTGGTTCAGTTTGCCCATAGTTGGTCTAAGAATACAAAGGGGGACATAAGCCCTGTTCTCAGAGGACTTACCTTTTAGAGAAACGTGTTTAGCAATGTGCAGCAATGTCCTCTCAGAGTAAAGAGGTTTGTGTCAGTATTTTAAGGCCCTGTGGAAATAGTGAAATGCCCAGTACCATGTGGTGCTCGTTCATTCCAGGAGGGTAAGCCTTTCCGTAAACCTCTTTAGCCTTCTCGGAGATGTGTTTTTGCTTTGAATCCTTACCCCTGGCTTATTTCTCACAGTTTTCCTTGCTGCATCATTTGGATCAATGAGGCTCTCACTGCTCTTTGGATGAGTCCTGGCTCTTCACCCTGCCAATGTTCTTTGATGGGTGCAGTGCAGCGCCTGGAGTGTTGGTATAGACCTCTTTTAACCTCCACTTCCAACCTTTCTGATTTATATCCTGGGGCAAGTTATTTTCCCCCGGTCCAGTATCTTCATTTGCTGTAAAATGTAGGTTATCGTGTGTTTTCAAAGTTATTTGGAAAAATAAAAAAGAATAATCATTAGAAGCATTGCCTCCCTGTTCTATGCTCCAACTCCGCACAGCCTGATTTTAAGTCCCTATTTACTTTAACAGCTGCTGCTGCTTTTAGTAATGGTAAAGGATGCAAGAAAAAATGCCTATTGAAAGCAAGAATTTTTTTTAAAAAA
Source organism: Homo sapiens (assembly GCF_000001405.40). Classification (NCBI taxonomy): domain Eukaryota; kingdom Metazoa; phylum Chordata; class Mammalia; order Primates; family Hominidae; genus Homo; species Homo sapiens. The sequence goes on from NC_000018.10 coordinate 60,103,521, forward strand.
TCGGGTCTTCTGAATTATCCAGAATGCTCCTATTTAAATGTTTCATCTTAAGTATCACTTTTTATTTAATAGAGGTGGTCTCATTCTTTTGCACAGACTGGCCTTGAACTCCTGACCTCATGCAATCCTCTCAACCTTCCCACTTCTGCAGCAGCTGGGACTACAAGTGTGCACTACTATGCTGGGCTTACCTTTTTTTTTTTTTTAATTTTACTCAAGGTATGTTAGGGTTTATATATTCATCTGCAGTTGCCACTTTGAAATTCCAATGATAGCTACAGACCACAATAACTTCCTGTCCTGGCCAAGGTATGAACTTTCATGGTATCCATCGGGTGGTTAGGCAGTGGGTTCTTCTTGTGGGAAGGGATATACTATTTGGAAGTGTTACTTTCCAATGGACTTCTCTGGTGGTGATTACTGATAATCATTAAAACGTAGACAAACCTAAACTCCAACACAACTAGTGAGTTTTGACATATTGTCAGCTGCTATCCTCGCTGGGGTTATGGGTTGTGCCTGAGGAAGTGGATGGGGTGGGTGATGGGAAGTCGTTTGTGGAAGCAGTGATAGGGAGGGGGTGTAAAAAAGTCTAACCTAAAATATACATTATAGACTTTAACTCATGATATCCTTTTAATAAAGATAATATTGTCCACATTTTAAAGATGAGAAAATTGAATTTTAGAGAGCTTAGTTACTCAAAATCACACAACTGGATTCCTATTCAGGCCAGTCTGACTCCAAAATCCTTAAATACTGGGGCAGGGTGTGATTATGTCCAGCTGGTGAGGCCCACTTGGTCAAGGACTCTGACTTGGTCCTAGATCAAGTGGGCCTCAACCAGCTGGATATAATCTGTTCAGATTCTGACCCTTGCTCTTATACTCATTTTGGATGTCACATTCTCTCATTCTTATAATTCTCACTCAGGACTGTACAAACATGTGGTTTCTAACATGGCTCTCTTGGCCCACCCTTGACTCACTAGCCTAGAGCTGCCATGCATAGTGACCAGCGCTGAGCATTGCACATGGCACTAGCCAAGGCTCACCTCTCATCAAAATGCTTATGCAGAGAGGGTACTTCTAATACTCACAAAAATATTCTAATACACACAAAAATAGTTTTTCATATTCACTGACATAGCTCTTTCTACTCTGGAAGAGGCTAATGGTGGCCCAGAGGACTATTAGTTGTGTTGGAGTTTAGGTTTCTCTCTCTTTTAATGAATGAATTAGGGATGGCCGTTTACATAGTGGATATAGAAGAATTAGAAGAAAAGTTGCTGTCCGTAGACCTCCTCCTCTGCATTCATTAGGTAATGAGAATACAGACATCTTATCCAGAAAAAAAGGTTGTTTATGAGTAATTGCAACAATTCAGAGGGCTGGGGTTCTTAAAGTTGTCCCAGGACCAAGCAGCCTTGTTGTCACCTGGAACTTGTAAGAAATGCAAACTTCAGGGGCCCAGACCTACAGAATCAGAAACTCTGGAGTGAGGACCCAGTGATTTGGTTTAACAAGCCCTTCAGGTGATGCTGCTACCTGTTCAATGCAAGACCATGAGCCAGTTGATGAGATACTACTTAAGTTCTGATGTGTTTAACCTGTGTCAGGACTTGGACATCTTCTAGAGTAGTATCTACAGAAACAACATGTTGTGAACTTTGAAACTGTCATTGTCATACAGGAATAGTTTTAAGTAAGAATCCATATCTGTGGATGCCTTATACTTAGGCAACACTGTCAAAAATGAAATAAAATGAAATATCTGTACTTTGGAGCAGAAAGTATGATTCAATGTTAGTTACAGCCAGGGCTACTTACCAATCTTGGTCTTTTATCATACTTCACTACTTCTATCATACTTCACTACTAGGGATTTGGTAGTGAAGTCCACAAGTTGTGTGGCTTAGAACCATAGAAAAATTTATTGTTTCACAGTTCTAGAGGCTGAAAATCCAACATCAAGGTATTGGCAGGGTTGGTTCCTTCTGAGGGCTATAAAGAAGCATCTGTTCCCTGTTCCTTCCTTAGCTTCTTTGGTTTTCTGGCTGTATTTGGCATTCCTAAGCTTTTAGATGTATTACCTTTATACTCTGACTTCATCTTCACCTGGCGTCCTCCCTGTGTGTATATCTGTGTGCAAATTTCCTCTTTTTAAGAACAAAGCTGGAGGCATCATATTACCAGACTTCAAACTATATTACAAGGCTACAGTAACCGAAACAGCATGAGGCTGGTACCAAAACAGACACTAGACCAGTGCAACGGAATGAAAAGCCCAGAAGTAAGGCCACATACCTACAACCATCTGATCTTTGACAAAGTTGACAAAAACAAGCAATGGGGAAAGGACTCCCTATTCAAAAAATGGTGTTGAGATAACTGGCTAGCCATCTGCAAAAGATTGAAACTGAACCCCTTTCTTACACCATACACAAAAATTAACTCAAGATGGAGTCAAGACTTAAAACCTAAAACTATAAAAACCCTGAAAGGTAATCTAGGAAATACCATTCTGGACATAAGACCAGGCAACGATTTCATGACAAAGACACCAAAAACAATTGCAACAAAAACAAAAATTGACAAGTGGGACCTAATTAAACTAAAGAGCTTCTGCACAGCAAAATAAACTATGAACAGAGTAAACAGAAAACTACAGAGTAGGGGAAAATATTTGCAAACTATACATCCGATGAAGGTCAAATATCCAGAATCTATAAGGAACTTAAACAAATTTACAAGCAACAAAAAAAAATAGCCCCATTAAAAAATGGACAAAGGACATGAATGGACACTTTTCAAAAGAAGATATACAAGTGACCAACAAGCATATGAAAAAAGGGCCAACATCACTAATTATTAGAGAAATGCAAATTAAAATCACAATGAGATACCATCTTACACCAGTCAGAATGGCTACTACTAAAATTAAAAAAAAAAAAAAAAACGATGCTGGCAAGGTTGCAGAGAAAAAGGAATGCTTATACACTGCTGGTGGGTATGTAAATTAGTTCAGCTATTGTGGAAAGCAGTGTGGCAATTTCTTAAAGAACCTAAAACAGAATTACCATTCAACCCAACAATCTCAGTATTAGGTATATACTCAAAGTAATACAAATTGTTCTATCAAAAAGACACATGAACATGAGTACACAAGTGTCACACTATTCACAATAGCAAAGATATGGAATCAACCTAAATGCTCATCAGTGTTAGACTATATAAAGAACACATGATACAAAAAAGAATATGATCATGTCCTTTACAGCAACATGAATGGAGCTGGAGGCCATTATCCTAAGTAAAGGAACAGGAAACCAAATACTGGATGTTCTCACTTATAAGTGAGAGCTAAACATCAAGTTCATATGGACACTAAGAAGAGAACAATAAGCACTGGGGCCTACTTGAGGGTGGAAGGTGGGAGGAGAGTGAGGATTGAAAAACTACCTATCAGGTACTTTGCTTATTACCTGGTTGATTAAGTAATCTGTACACCGAACTCCCACAACAGGCAATTTACCTACAAAACAAACATGCCTGTGTACCCCTGAAGCTAAAATAAAAGTTAAAAAAAATAAAAATAAAAAAAAAACCCAAACCCCATTTCCTCTTTTTGGGAGGAGTCTGGTCATATTGAATTAGGGATCACCCTAATGATCTTGTTTTGATTATCTCTGTAAAGATGCTATTTCCAAATAAGGCCATATTCTGAGATATGGGTGGGGGGTAGGGCTTCAGTATATGTTTTTTGGGGGAAACAGTTCTACTCATAATATACCTACCCAATTGAAAACAGGGAGATGATTGTGAGCATAGTGCTGATAGTCAAGGTAAAGAACACTATAGACATTTTCCTAGAAGTGTTAGTCCAGAATTAGGTGACACTAATTAATAAGCAAAGTGCACTCATATTTAGAACCAGGCTCATAACCAGTATGACATCACTCATCAGTAAGGGGCAAGAATAATAAAGCCTTCGAGCTTTGGTCTACAATTATCTGGGAGCATGTTGCACGGAAGGAGTTGCTATGTGTGCATTAGCTTTCACCTGGGGCTGATACCAATCTGTTGGTGGTGACTACCTGGAGTACTGTCTTGTGGAGATCTGTGGCTCCTCCCAGACTCCATGGATATACTATTGATTTGAATTAATTTGAATTTGAATTAATCTATAATAGCTCAGAGGAGTGAGAGATGGCCTGGTGCTAGAATGGATATAGTTTCTTGTCTCAATAATTTGAGTCATTGATTTTTTTGTCTTGGCCTCAGGAAGGAAACTGGCAGAGAAAATTCAATTTATTAAACAATTGTATGCAAGGAACTCTGATAGGCATTGTTAACATGAAGACTCTGCTCTTGGCTTTTCTATTTTCATTGTTTTGGTTGGATACCTAAATTCTGGGTTTGATCTTAGGATGCAGCCATCATTTTTCATTGCTTGTGCCTGACTTGACTCTCATGAGATGGTCCATGCCTTTATTTCCTTCCCAGCGACCCATTTCTTTCTGAATTGGAATCTTATTTTTGGGCTTTGCACCCTATTCAGGAGATGTAGGACCTCAAAATCTGAGGCTGGGTCTCTGTGCCCTTCTGCCATTATCTCTCCATCATTCCAAGCTTCCTTCTGCCTTTCCCCAAGACTCTGTCTGCGATTTAGCATTAACCATCTGGAACGGCAACTGCCTGACTGCTGGGCTTCCTCATGTTTCCTGTTCTTTAGACTTTCTTGGCCCTTTTGTCTAGGCCCAGTGGGTCTGCTTGTCCTGACCCAATAATTCCTTATTGGGCCAAGCCTGCCACAAAACAAACCCTCGTTCTCACATAAAACCATCGGAGAAATTAAGAAATTAGGAGTTCTCAACTATCTTTAGCAAGATTAGATCACAATCACTTCAAACAAATCTTACACTAAATGCTATAACACATCGGACCTAATTATATTCTCACAGAACAATGGTAAGTAGTGAAAGTAATTTGGAAAAAGCAATGTCGGAGAGTTTTTTAAGAGAGAGAACATATGAGGTCACAAATCTGTGGACATGTCCAAGGGCAGTCTGCAGGTTGCAGGTTAGACAGGCAAGTAAACAATTAGAGAAGCAGAGCTTATAATGGTTGGAAATAATAAAGAATTTGTTCCTTTCCTATTATGACACTAGCTTAGAAAGCTTTGGTTTATAAAAATGAAACTCAAGCACTTTTTGTTCTGATGTCGTAACTTCGTCTATCATCTATCTTTAGGCTCTCAAATACTTTATATATTAGTTCCTCTCTGTTTCTTTGCTACAGTTAAATTGGAATGTTTTCCTGCTCTACTCTAATTCATATTGGGAGCCATGTAGAACACTTACAAAAGGCTTTAAAAATAATGTGTTGGAGAAATGCAAAGTCTTAAATAGAAAGTTTTTTTTTGTTTGTTTTGTTTCTGGTGTTTCCACCATATTTTAGTGACAGATATTCCAGGACAAAGATGCATTATTTACCCTTTTAGGATTATTATGTTTACTTCATTAGAAGGAAGTTTATACATGGATAAATAAGTACACTAACCTCTTAACCATTCATGTTACTATTAGTTAACATCATGGTGATTTTTTACAAGTTACTGAGATATGGCAATGAACAAATGATTGAATGTTATTTTCAGAACTTATCCAGAAGGCGGCTATCATCCTAGGTATCTGTTTAACATGTAATGCTAGACATAAATATACATGTCATTGGGGCAAATAGCAATATGTGGAATATACAAACAGAATTGTTAAAGAAAGTTGGATATCATAAAGTAAATCTATTGAGTAGACACATGAGAATTTCAGAGACTTTGAGTATTAGAATAAACATTTCCTAAAGGAAAAATACAACAGATTTTCAGTTTGTCAAATGCTTGAGCTGTGAAAAAGCCAGGCCAGAATAATCATATTATCTCAGATCAGCACAGATCCAGTAGAGGGGCTAACTGCTTTCCACTATGGTGCTACAAAAGCGAGAGTCATTTAATTTTCTTCTCCATTTGTTCACTTTTATTTTTTTAAAAATAAATTTTATTGTGTATATATTTTTTGAAAATCAATTTTATTGTGTATATTGTGTATATTTGTATATATTTGTGTTGACAACATGATGTGATGGGGTACATTTCTTTAGTAAAATGGTTGCTATAGTGACGAGTTAACATATATATAATTTCACATAGTTACTTTTCTGTGTGTCACAAGAACAGCTAAAATCTACTTATTTAATAAAAGTTCCTAATACAACACGATTGTATTAACTTTAGTCCTCATGTCGTACATTAGAGCTCTAAACTTGTTCATCCTACATATGTTATTTTGTATTCTTTGACCTATACTTTACCATTTCTTCTCCCCCATTTTAATTTTTTAAAAGCTTAGTTTAAGCTCAAAATTTTTCCATGTATTTTGCTTGTTAGTAGCAGTTTTAGTAGCAAGCTATAATTTAAGATAAAATTAGTAATTTCTTGCATATGGGCATATGGGATTTTGGCATTTTTGCAAATATTTTTACATTATTTTCTTGTCACAACACCAGTGTGAAGTATGAAAAGCATCATTATTCTTTTTGTTTGTTTGTTTTTTTGAGATGGAGTTTTGCTCTTGTTGCCCAGGCTGGAGTGCAGTGGTGTGATTTTGGGTCACTGCAACCTCCACCTCCTGGGTTCAAGCGATTCTCCTGCGTCAGCCTCCCGAGTAGCTGGGATTACAGACATGCACCACCACGTCTGGCTAATTTTGTATTTTTAGTAGAGACGGGGTTTCTCCATGTTGGTCAGGCTGGTCTCAAACTCCGGACCTCAGGTGATCTGCCCGCCTCAGCCTCCCAAAGTTCTGGGATTACAGGCGTGAGCCACTGCGCCCGGCCAGCATCATTATTCTTGTCATAAAACGAAGGAAACAGAGAATGGATTGTTCTAAGTTGTTTGTAGGTAAGTACATGAATCTGGGCTCCTCTGTCTGATCTTGGCTTTTGATGACTTCCCCAGGTTGAGGAAGCCATCTGAGGACAATAAAGAGGGAAAGGTTAACAAAAACATCCAAAAACAATCCACAAAACTTGGCCTGATTAGAATTGGGTTCTAGGGAATAGACCAAAGCCCAGCCAACTGCAGAGTCAGTGCTGCTCAGCTGATGTCCAGGTCGTGCCCTTGAGTGAGCATCCTCATTCACAGGCAAAACAAGGTATCTGCTTCTGTTTCTGACTTGAGTACCATCAAAAGCCATTTTACCTGTAAAAACAAACGAACAAAACCCCACAAAAAAATCACTGTTTTCTATCCTAGCATATTTTTATTCTTCATGTTATTCATTCCTTTGATTTATCCCACTATGGGTTAATGCCAAAATAACACTTTAGGAGTAAGAGATGAGAAATATAAAATTGTCACCAGATTCAGCAACTTGGCATGAATTAACGTTCAACATCAGAACTGAACAAGTTTATCTCATTCTATAACCAGTCACTCTCTAGGACACCCATAGAATGGGACATAAGGCAGGATGTTTAGAAAAGAAAGGGGAAGAAAGGCCAAAGTTGGAAGCAAGGGCATTACAGAGCAGAACCAGCTGGGGAGTTTAGGAAAAAAAAAAAAAAGAAAATTATCTGAAATCTGAACTAAAACAAACATGAAGTTGCTTAGTTTTGTCCAGACTCTGATTCCATTTGTTGTTTTCTAAAAAGCTACCATTTTCTTCCATCATCTGGCAAAGTGAAAAGAAAATGGGAAGTTTATATCTGTAAAGTCTAGGTATTCATTGTATAATATCAAGGAGTATGTTTTGTGTTGTTGCCGTAATTATAGTAGTTAAATAACTGTTTAATTATATTCATATACAATTAAATGATAAGCAAATATTTAGGAGTACAAATAATTTTAATATTTTACCATTACATACTTATTGAAGCATTGGTTTTATTAAACTTTCAAAGTAATATGGCAAAAAGGTGGCCACATACCAAATAGTATCATACATTTCTTAGAATCTCTCCTAGCAAATAAACCTACAATTAAATTTAGAGTATGAGTCAGTTGAAAAGACAATTTAATTTTTTTGCCATAGAATTAAAATATTTCTGAGAAGTCAGAGTGCTTTGCAATGTTTGGTGAATAATTTACATAATTCCGGAATAATGTCTCACTTATGGAGAATACACCTACCACTTCCTTCGGTAAACAGAAATAGAGTCTATGGTTTCTAGAATCACTTTGTTTTATCCTTTTTCATTCCTTTGCAAATTGAGCAAACCTGAATAAACAGTAGGTTCTTTCATAGTGCTTCATTTACAGATTTATGTGATATATATTTTCATCACATTGTAAAAACTGGAGAATATCTCATCTGTATATAGAACATAATTATCTGAGAGAATCTAAAGATCACAGCCTAACCTTATTTTTACAGGGTAATACTTCCTCTGACATCTTAAAGTTTGCTTCTGTGTCTAGGAAACTCAATTAATATAACTCCTGGATTCTCTTCACTCATTCCAGGATCATTTATTTTATTAGCAAATTTGGGAAAGAATAATTAGAGTTGTATATCATGTATTTAATGTTATATTTGAGAATATTTAATTTTGCACCAAAAACAAAACCCAGAAAAGTAATGGGATGGATGAAACTGATAGTCTCCATTTGTTACAAATTGTGAAGTTGGAAGCTTGTATAACCTGTCTAAGACAAAATAAGTGAAAGATGTGGGTCGAACATAGATGAAGAATGGAACAAATGAGAGTGCCGCCTGTAGATAGAAATGGAAGAACCAAGTAAATATTAAATATTAGCAAAGCACAGAACATGTTACGTCTACAGTGACAACCAAATCATTCCTAAATCAACCATTTATTGGTGACACAAAGTCTGGCCCCAACTGTATGCTGATGCGGAAATTCAGAAATAAGGCCTGGCTGCTCGGTAGGTTGTAGATAGCTACAGCTGTGGCCAAGCATACTTGCGTCCTCATTTCTCCAATACCACAAGCACGTGTTGGCTCCAGGCACTATCTACCTGTTGGGACCTGTTGTTCAGTCTCAACCCTGGTCTTTGTAATCACAGCATCAGCAGGAAAGGCTGATGTGGAGAGAAATAGGACATATGAACGTTGCATAATCCTGGACTCAGTAGTGTGGTCCTTCCATATCCACCATATCTTATCCCATCTTGTTCCTCTGCTTGTTTCTATATGTTTTAAAATTGATTTAATACATTGCATGAGTTGAGCATCTTAACATGATACATAAGACTTGTTGTTCTGTAACTTTTTAGATAGTTTGTGTGGTATTGTACTTGGAGACTACCATTAGGCAAGGTAAAATTTCTCCTAATACAGGTAGCTCACTCAGTCACGCTTTTCTTACTTTGGGGATCTAGCTGCTCAGAGAGAACAGATGTTCCACAGCTGTCCCCAGGAACAAGCTCTTCTGCTGCAACAGGGAGGCCTGCCAGACTTGACCCCTGAATAGGGAAGTCTGTCTAGTCCTTGCTCGTTTCATTCTCACACCAGCTAGGCCCTCTGACTTAAGCTTTATAGATAATAAAGATAATATTTTGACCTCCCACCTGTCACTATTTAATTTTGTTTTTCAATTTATTCAGCACGTGGGTACAAAAAAGCAATAACATTTGTTGGACCCATTTAGGCTTTCCAAGCTTTCCTCACCTTAGAATTGGGGTCACTGAGGCCAAAGTAGGCCAAGGAACATTTAGACTGTCCTTGTTACCAGGGCGGGTATAGTAGCATTCTTGTTTCTTTAAGATCAAACATGGAGGTATGGGCTCCTGCTGGGACTCTCTGTTGCTCTGTTGTGTTTCAGGTGGGCTGCATCAAATTGGGGCCTTAGTGGTCGCTCTTGTCCTGTATCCTCTGGATGTGGAAGGCTCATGCCCAACACATCTAAAGGACCTAACCCATGGGCCCCAGGTTATCCTGTCCTGGGCTTAATTATCTTCTCCAGTCTGCTCATGTGTCCTATGGCCAATTATGGCTGTATTTCCATCCAGACTTATGGAAGCTTATTTTTTTCTACCTCCTACATTATGTGAACACTGGCTCTGAGTTAATCCTGAGATTAACTGAGGCTGAGTCAAACCAGTGCCTTGTTTCTTCAGGAGCCAGCAGTATAATCCTTTGACATTTTCCTGTAGTTATGTAATCCCTTGACATCTCTCTTGTAGGTCAGTTTTATGCTAAGATGATAACACTTCACTTGTTTTCAAGTACATGGTCTCTCCTAGACTGCTTTCAAAATCTTAGTTTCCTGACTTTAAGATGCTATCCTCTCTGCTCTTTCTTCATTCCATTTCCTTCCACTCAAGGAAGTGGTAGAATTTTACTCCTGAGTTTTCTAGGAAAAAGCAGCTTTCCAAATAAAATGCTTAAAACAGTTTATTTACTAGTAACAAGGAAATTAGTACCTTCTCTTACCTTTAATTTCAGATCTATCAGTTACTCACCTCCAACATTACCCAATTTCTTTGTCCTTAAAGTGTTCATTTTACTTCAAAACCTGTTGCTATCAGTGAGAATAATGACTGCATTTTGCTTATTTATGGCTTCTAGGGCCTAGCACAATTCCTGGCTTAGTAAGGAGGAAATATATCATAGTGATTAAGAGCTGTTAGAGAAAATATATACCTATATATTTGTCACTCAATTTCTATTTTTCTTTTTCTAAAACAGCATCCCAATGTTTCTCTATGGGAAATACTATTGTCCCTGTTAAATATCATCTATTAGGGCTGTTATTCCTGGTGCCCAAGGTATGGTGTGTGCTAGGTCAGCTGTACACTCTCTCCCTGAATTTCAGAGATTTTAAAACCCCTGAAATTTGTTGGAGGTGATTGGTCACAGAGACAACACCCTATAGAGACAGTATACTAGTTCTTTTTCAACTTCATTGAGGTAAAATTTACATAATATGCAACTAACTATTGTAAAGTGAATAATTCAGTAGTATTTAGTGCATTCACAATGTTGTGTAACCACCACCTATCTCTAGTTTCAAAACTTTTTCATCACCCCAGAAGGTGACACTGCCTATTGGGCAATCACTTCTGATTATTTATTTCAGCAGTTCTTCACCTGTTGTTATTTCTGGTTCTTCTGTGTTCCCTCCACTGCTGTGAACTGCTCCAAATCCTTATGACAATTCCTCTTCTACTTAAGCTATTCAAAATCACCTTCTCTTGCTTGCAACAAAATAATTCTAACGAACATGAGATTATAGGTTTTGGAATCAGACAAGTTTCTTCAATGTAAATTGTAATTTTCAGGATTAAATGAGGTAATTTATGTAAGGCAGGTGGAATAGCCATAACGTAGAGTATATACTAAATAAATGATAGGTATAGGTATTAATATTATTATTATTAGGTACTAGATGGCCATTTAATAAATAAATTATGACTCAATAAAGTGATCTTCCCTATGGTGCAGTTACAGTAACTGAATTTGATCAAATCTAGATTGGGTAGGTAACAGGACTAGGCAGACCAGATATAAAAGTACTTGTGCTTGGCAAGGAAGATGAAGAAAGTGATAAAGAAATAAATACTACAGTATTTTTAAAGTTTCAGGTCTTACATTTAAGTCCTTAATCCATCTTGAGTTATTCTTATGTATAGTGAGAGATAGGGGTCCTGTTATTTTCTTTTGCATGTGCCAATTCAATTTTCCCAGCTGTTTATTGAATAGGTATCCTTTCGTTGTGTATATTTTTGTTGACTTTGTCTAAGATCAGTAAGCTGTAGGTATGTGGTTTATTTCTGGGTTCTCTATTCTGTTCCAGTGATCGATGTGTTCTTTTTTTTTTTTTTTTTTTTTTTTTGACGGAGTTTCGCTCTTGTTGCCCAGGTTGGAGTGCAATGGTGCGATCTCGGCTCACTGCAACCTCCACCTCCTGGGTTCAAGCGATTTTCCTACCTCAACCTCCTGAGTAGTTGGGATTACAGGCATGTGCCACCACACCCAGTTAATTTTTTGTAGAGATGGGGGTTTCACCACGCTGGCCAGGCTGGTCTCGAATTCCTGACCTCAGGTGATCCACTTGCCTTGGCCTCCTAAAGTGCTGGGATTACAGGGGTGAGCCACCGCATCCGGCATGTTTCATTTTCATACCAGTAACGTGCTGTTTGGGTTACTATTGCCTTGTCATATAGTTTGAAGCCAGGTAATGTGATCCCTCCAGGTTTGCCAGCTTTGTTCTTTTTGCTTGCGATTGCTTTGGTGACACAGGGTCTGTTTTGGTTCCATATGAATTCTATTTCTGTGAAAAATGACATTGGTATTTTGATAAGAATTGCATTGTGTCTGTAGAGTACTTTGGGCAGTATGGTCATTTTAACAATATTGATTCTTCCAATCCATGAGCATAGGATGTTATCCCATTTGTTTGTGTCATCTGCAGTTACTTTCTTCAGCAATTTGCAGTTTTCCTTGTAGAGATCTTTCACATCCTTGGCTAAATATATTACAAGATTTTTTTTTTTTTGTAGCTATCGTAGATGGAATTAACTTCTTGATTCAGTTCTCAGCTTGATTGTTATTGGTGTATAAAACTGCTACTTAGGAAAAGCTCTTCTGGACATTGGCCTTGGCAAAGAATTCATGACTAAGACCTTAAAAGCAAATGCAGCAAAACTGGACAAGTAGGACGTAATTAAACTATAAAGCTTTAGCACAGCAAAATAAATTGTCAATAGAGTTAACAGACATCTTGAAGAATGGGAGAAAATATTTGCAAACTGTGCATCTAGTAAAGGACTAATATCCAGACTCTAGAAGGAACTCAAACATTTCAACAACAAACAACAAAAAACAAACAAATAACCCCATTGAAAAGTGGGTAAAGGACGTGAATAGACATTTTTCAAAGGAAGACATACAAAATGACTAAGAAGCGTATGAAAAATGGTCTATATGACCAATAATCAGAGAAATTAAATTTAAAACTACAATGAGATACGATCTCATACCAGTCAGAATGGCTATTATTAAAAAGACAAAAAAGAGATGTTGGTGAGGATGCAGAGAAAAGGGAAGGCTTATACACCGGGAATGGTTGGTGGGAATGGAAAGTAGCACAACCTCAATGGAAAACCATATGGAGACTTCTCAACTAAAAATACAACTACTACTCAATCCAGTAATCTCATTACTGGAGATCTACCCAGAGAAAAAGAAATTATTATACCAAAAAGATACCTGTACTCATATGTTTATCACAGCATAATTCACAATAGCAAAGATATGGAATTATCCTAAGTGTCCATTAATGGATGACTAGATAAAGAAAATGTCCTATGTGCATATATATATATATATATGAAAGTTGGAGATATATATATATATGAAAGTTGGAGATATATATATATATTCCACACTATGGAATACTATTTGGCCATAAAAAAGAATGAAGTCATGTCTTTTGCGGCAACCTGGGTGGAACTAGAGGTCATTATTTAAGTGAAATAACTCAGAAACAGAAAAAGTCAAATTCTGCATGCTCTCATGTATAAGTGGGAGCTAAATAATGTAACACGTGGACATAGAGTGTGGAATAATAGACACTGGAGGCTGGGAGGGGTGGGACAGTGAGAAGGGGGTGAGGGATGAGAAATTACTTAATGGGTACAATGTTGACTATTTGGATGATGGCTTCACCACTATGCAATATGTCCACGTGAAAAAGCTACACTTGCTCCCCCTAAATTTACAATAAAAAAGAAAGAAAGAAAGAAAAAAGATATAAATACTCCAAAAAGTGTTGGGGAGTGTTGAGCATTTGTTTCTCCACTCCTGATGTTTATTTCCAAGTGAAGGGATATCAAATCCCTCCTGACGTCTCTCTGCCTGGTCTTTATTTAGCTGATAAGTTTAACAGCAGAAAGTGAGCATGCCATCGTCTACCTCTTCCTCTTCCTTTATCTTGGAAATGAGTTGCCTGTAGGAAGCAAAGGTCCTGCCCTGATGGTGGTGCGATTTGGGAATGTGGGAAGAACTGCCGTGGTCCAGAGGTGCTATGCTGAACGGGTGGTCTCCTTGTTGTACTACTGGATTCCTTCGGGTTCCTTATGACTGTATTACTTGTTTCATTCTTCTTATCTGGGGGATGTTTTAATCAGTAACTAGAGAAGAAAGATACTACTAAGACAAGGAGGAGATTGCAAGGTTGAGAGATAAGAAGAATAAGATTGGAGAGGACAAGGATGCTACTTTTCACCCAGTCACTGGGTCCTTGGGTGTTTATTTGCTGGAGTATTGATGTGAAAGCCATGTGCAGGTGAACCATGGAAAAACATACCTTTGTATAATTTAGGAAAGATAATTGAAGCAACTATATTTACCTGCATTTCTTGGAAGTACCAGAATTAATTTATGAAGCTATTACTACAGACTGAAGCTTAACTTTCTTGATAGTTTGATTTAGAGGCAATGGTTTAGTGCTTCTGCATGGCAAATTAAATAAAGTCAGCCTAGCTCTGATCCATTATTTCTCAAGCTACATTATTTTCTTACCAGAGAAAATCATTTATTAAACTAATGGGAAATAATTGTCCAAGTATATTAGAAGAGACATAATTTCTCCCAGAGCTAATACTTTGTTTAGGATTCAGTTTCAGTTGGTAAGCCTAACTTGAAGCACTAAGTAGGGGATAGGTCAAAAGAGGAAGCTATTCACTTAGAAAAAGTGGGTTTTGCAGAATAGAATCAATATGATGGTGATAATAGCATAGATAAACATAGTAATATATAACATCTTCACATCAGCTTTCTTGGAAAAGAATTATTTGGCTTCGGTAATACTTTAAGTAAGACTAATCACTCTTGTAGAGAAGGAAGTCTTTTTAACTCAACCAGTATGTAAGGAAAGTAAGCAAGAGCTGGAGAAAGACAATCATAAGTTGACATAGTACCTAGCATATCAATACACTCTCATATTGGAATCAATATACACATAGAATATATTAAATAAAAATTGAGCAAGGTATTGAATATACCTAGAATAAAGCCATAAGCATGGCTTTATTTCTCTGCATCTAATCCATAAGTTACTCTTTCCACTGTTTCCACACAGATACAAATTATGTCATTTGTTGTACAAAATGAAAAATTGTTCTTTATGGCTCTTACAAGAACGGTGCTAGTTTTAAAGAGCCGATAAATGTTGGTGACAAAAAAGAAATGCATGATGTAATTCAAGGTGAGTGAAAGACTAGAGACTTCACAGACTAAATTCTGGGCACACAGAGGGGGAATCAGACCTCACGTTGATTTCCTGGTGTTTTCTTGTCAACAGAAAGCCCAGAATCAGACAAGGCTTCCCAGTCCCAGGAGGCTCCTTGCTGCTGCTCATACATGCCCTGTGCTTGTCTGTGCAGCACTTGTAGTTTATGCTGTTCAATAGACTGAGAAGAGTTCTGGGCATTCAGTTTATTTAAATATTGGCCAGCATTTAAGACAAAGATAAAAGAATACCTCTTCCACGGAATCTTCCCTGAGCACCCCAGCAAGAAGGAATTGTTTCATCCTTTGATTGATTAGTTGTTTACACCGTTAGATTATTTACTGAATTTCATGTTATATTAAAGATATATGATTGTCCATATTGGGTCTTCAGCCTGAGTTTTCCGGAGTGACAGCCATAGTTTACTTGTCTTTGTATACACTAAAAATTCTTAGTGGTGTAATGTAAGTGTCATAGTCATTCAATAGGTGTTTCTCGAATGAGATTCTAGTATGAGTGAACAGTGTCAATTATAAGAGAGCAAGAATTTGTTTTTGTGAATAAAAGAAAAAGTATTACTCAGTGTTGGCAAAGATATGGAGGACCAGATGCTCTCCTAGAATGTTGGTGATATCTAAATCATTGCATCCTTTTTGGAAGGCAATTTTGCATTAGTCATTCAAATTTGTAGCACATAAACATTTTGATCCAGTAACATAACTTTGTATGAATAAGAAGAGTAAGACTTATTAGAGTATGTATACACATGAAAATGTTTCTTCCTATAATGTTTATAATAAAAAACACAAACTACCTAACAAACAAAAAATAAATCAATATCTATGTGGGGACATGAATAAGACTTTAACTTTCTATGTATATATCTGCACCATTTGATTTTTAATAATGAACACATAAAAATATATGAAAATAGAGAAAAAAAACTCAGTTGTTTTGTTCTCACCAAAGGAGCTGCTATTCTTTGGGAAGAATCATTCTGAAATAGAGATGCATCTGCCTTCCATCTTATTCTCCCATTTTATTTTCACATGGAAGGCAAGAATAATCTCAGTATATTGTTTGTAGCATTTCTTTTTCTAAGTACTCTACATATCCACCCAGTGTTTTTCAAGAGTTACCCCCAAGTTAAAGCTGTCAATAGCCCTTTATTTCCCACAGGATAAAATCTGAACATATAGACTTTATGCACAAAGTCCCTCATGATTTATTCTATTCATCTTTCCTCTCTGCCTCTATTTTTTCGCTGGAGCTTCTCTCGTACATTTAAGGTTGGTGAAAAAGTCATTGCAGTTTTTGCCATTACTTTTAATAGAATGAGTCATTGCACCAACTGTTGTCTGAAACTCTCCTTCTATTTCAGGCTTTCATGATTTTGACATTTGTTCCTTTCTTTTAGAATGCGTGCCTACCTGGTAGTTTCTTCCTTTTCTTCTGTGAAGCCTCTTCTCATGTGTCACCTTCCCTGTGATGGTCTCTCTGACTATTCAGGTGTCAGGAAATCCTCCATTCCTGTTGCTCTCACACCCCTATCTCCCATCTCCCTCTAATGCTATTGTTGCTCTCACACCCCATCCCCCATCTCCCTCTAATGCTATCACATGTTTATAGGTGTGTCTTATCCACTTGATGAATAACCACTGGGGACAAAGGCTTATTCATCTTTATATTCCCAGCTGGCGATGTTTGCATGAACTTTGTAGTTGATAACATGCTATCAGTGGAAATTATGTTTTGCTTTGAAATGATTATAAAATAGTGATCATGGGCTATTGTCTCATTAAATAACTTTTGCTTTACCATGATTTTAACCATTGTGGTGCAAAGGCAAAGACACGGTTCTCTCCCTTAGTTAGGAAGCTGATTCATCATATTTAGATATACGTCATGCCCTTTACTTTGAAGCACGTTCTTTCCTTACCCAGCGATTTTGAAATACAACATAAATCCTGTTTTAGCTCTTTTTCATGAGGACTTTTTCAGGCCATTCTCTAGACCATCACATCGTTTCTTTCATGCTCTCCTGGACACATCACCACTTGTTTTGCTCCAGGCAGTTCTTTACCAGCTCCCACCCCTTGGCTAGCCCCATGGCATACAGGACTAGATTAAAACCTTTAGAAAAGCTGAAAGAATCATTGTGTCCCTATATGTAATATCAATTAAAAAATTACTAAGTAGGGAAGGGAGTGGTGGCTCAAGCCTGTAATCCCAACACTTTGGGAGGCCGAGGCGGGCAGATCATGAGGTCAGGAGTTCGAGTCCAGCATGGCCAACACGGTGAAACCCTGTCTCTACTAAAAAATACAAAAATTAGCTGGGCATCATGGCGCATGCCTGTAGTCCCAGCTACTCGGGAGGCTGAGGCAGGAGAATCACTTGAACCCAGGAGGTGGAGGTTGTGGTGAGCTGAGATCATGCCATTGTACTCCAGCCTGAGCGACAGAGCAAGACTCTGTCTCAAAAAAAAAAAAAAATTACTAAGTAGTAAAGCTCAAACTTACATATATGCCAAAATGAAAACAACTTCTTCAAAATTCTCTGATCACAAAAATTAACGGAAGAGCAACTTATTTTTCTCCTATGGCTTTGCTTTCAAAAGTCCTAACACATATCCTAGTCTCCACAGTGATAGTCTCGTATCATTGGTAGAGTATCCTGTTGCAACAGAGGGTTTTGTGGAATTTCCTTTAATATTAGACATTTAAACATTTTCATAATTCTAGAAGAGGAGAGGGTCTATTAATATTCAATGGTTGCCATAGGTTTATATAATTTTGGTTTTGAAAGAGACCTTAATGATCATCATTTCAGCCCATGGATTACACAGCTTCACTGAGGCAAAGAACTTTTTTTAAAAATTAAAAAATTAATTGACACATAATTGTACATATTTGTGGGGTTTATAGTGATATTTCAACACATATAATGTGTAGTTATCAAATCAAACTAATTAGTATATCCATCACCTCACACATTTATCATTTCTTTGTGTTGGGAACTTTCAAAATTGAGGTGAAATATTATACTTTAAACAAGCAATACAGAGTGTGGACCAGATGGAGCTGGAATTTAAATATTGGGTTAGTTTTGTTTCTATCACCCCACACTGTCTATGTTGTTTATTTCTGTTTTCTGGAGTGTAGGATTGCCAGATTTAGAAAATAAAAATGCATGCAACATTTGGGACCTACCCATGCTAAGAAATTATTTGTTGTTTTTCTGAAATTCAGATTTTACTGGGTGTCCTATATTTTAACAGGCAGACTTATCTGGGAGTAGAGAGAAAAAAATTCTAATATTTAATGAGCACTGAGCTAGTTGCTTTTACTAATATTTCCCTGAGTTCTAACCATACCTCTGCAATTTTTAAGATTATTTTTATATTTTAATATAAATATCGATGTGTTTTTGTGTTTTTATAAAAGTGGACAAAGAAATTAAGCTTGGAGAGGTCACACTCTCTGTACCAAGAATAGAGCAGAGAAATTAAACTCTGGAGCCAGGAATAGATGAGTTCAAATGTGATTTTCTTTTTGATACTTTGGAATTCTCTTGGGTTTCTTTTGTTGCAATATTTGTTTCATTTCCTCATCTTGAGGAGAAAAAAAATCCCCTCCTTTTTTGTGTGCCAAGTATCTTAAAGAAAATCTAGGTTTTAAGCAGGAACTACAGGAGGAAGGCAAAGCCCCTATAGTAAAACAGGGTAGAGTTTGCAAAGAAGTAGAGTGAGATGAGGAGGGTGGTCAGGCAGGAGGTGACTTAGAGGTTTCCTGGGCAGACTGTGAGGATGCTGAGTCAAATCTAGTAGTCCCTTCCTTTCTTATCTTCTCCTTTCAATGTCTAGTCTTTCCTGATTTTAGTAGATGTTCCTCAATTTCCACCAGCCTGAGCAAATACAAGTCAAGTCATACTGGTCAGAATGGTAAAAAGAAATTGTTGTCACATCTTTCCTTCAAGGTATGGGGAAAGACATTTTTTGGAGTTTAAATAGACTCTTCTCATCTTTCTTCAGGGAAGATGATCTATTTTTGTCTGCTTTTTAGGTGGTGAAGCTTCCTTCCTTTCACTCCATGCCCCATACTTACTTCTTGGAATTGCCGACTGCTCATTCAATCCTCAAGAACCTTTTCATCTCACCTCTTTCTTGTGTTACTGTGTGTGTGTGTGTGTGTGTGTGTGTGTGTGTGGTATGGTTACTTGATTCTGCCCTTGGTAGTTACTGAGACGAGGCTTATTAACCTCCAGATGTCTCCAGGTATTTTTCTCTCTTTTTCTCATCACATGAATTATATCAAAGAAGGAAGGACTCCCCATCAAAGAAACAATATCCTTCTAACCAAACAATCGCAGCCCTACAGAATAGATTTCCAGCTCCCACCATGATGCTACAGATTTTGGGATGCTTCCAGGATATATTTGAATCTGCCCATTGTGGTTTGTTTTTCAGAGTCAGGGCCTTCTCTAAAAGTCATTGTTTGGAACTTGGGCTGCAGCTCTTAACTCTCCCTGTCCCCAAGCCTGTGGAAGACAGTACTTTCTGGTTTTGCTCCATTTTAAACTCAAGATTAAACTCTTAAGCACTTATCTTTGCAGAAGGACCTCCACCTCTGCCTTTTGAAATACTTACTCTCCTAGTTCTTACAGGGAAAATTTAAATCCCCAAGCTTTCAGTCTCTAGGCTTCTTGAGGATCATCTTGTAGGGGGCACAAATTATTAGTTTTCCACTTTTTCTCCTTCAGGGATGCCATATTCTAATTGCCGAGGCCTTGAAGTCATTACCTACAGACCCTGCAGCCTGGAAGTACAGACCTTGAAAGACAAGAGTTCTTACTCAGAAACTATTAAAGCTTAAAGTATGAGAATAGAGTGTTATGCAAATGATTTCAAGTGTGCATCTAATCAATTTTTTCTTCCACAAAGCACTTTTCAATTCTCTTGTACAAATTGAATTTTTCAGCTAAATAATCATTCCACAGACAGGCAGTTATGGTTATTTTCTTCTTT
Organism: Homo sapiens; assembly: GCF_000001405.40. Taxonomy (NCBI): domain Eukaryota; kingdom Metazoa; phylum Chordata; class Mammalia; order Primates; family Hominidae; genus Homo; species Homo sapiens. The sequence goes on from NC_000018.10 coordinate 60,123,801, forward strand.
TCTAATAAAGTTTTCCAACTCAGAAAGTATTGTACATACTGCCTGAAGGTATGTATTTCTTTCATTTTTACATTTAGAATAGGAGAACAATCACCCCCCTATTTTTTTTTTCTTCAATTGATGCAACTCAGTAATTTGTATTGCAACTGGAAGACAATACATCACAGAAACTTTATGGTAGGTCTGGGGAAAAGTGTTATTTACAATAAATGATGAAATAGTTTGTCTTTGGCAATATGATTACATACTAAGAATGCAAAATGCAGCTATGGATGCCTTCCAAGCAACACCATCAAGTCCCTAGAGTTCGGCTGATCGCGCCTGCCTCCACATTGTTTCTTTAGGTTCACACGAACATAACAGAACATCACGTTCTTTCTCCTTTATGGTTCTCCCTTTCTATTCATGACATTGGCAGTTTCATACAGAAAATACAGAAAAAAAATTGGCTTTTGAAAAATTGTTACTCTCTTAAATTAATTTGGCCGTGTAGGTCTATTGGCCAGCCAAGGTCAGATGACCCTAAGCATCAATAGTAAACCTCTTGGTCTTCTGATTGCTTTATCACTTTTTTTTTCTGTAAAACAAAACAAAACTCAGAAATGTTACAGAATCAGAGTATTAAAAAATGTACAAGTGTATATGCTTCCCAGACACAGAAGGATATATTTTTCCTCCACATTTTCACCATGGCAGTATTAAGTAGTGAATGACACAGCATGAAACTGGTTACTGAATCAGCTATGAGCTCAGATGGCCTCAATATACATACTCAAGAAATGTTGCATGTTTAAATAACTGAGAGTGTGCTAAATCTCATCTAAAAAAAGTAGGAGAGGGGCTGGGGAACTCAGGCCACAGTCATGAAAGGATGAATACAATTTCTAGGTTGAATAGATTCACCATATTAAAGTCTTTGAGAATCCAATATGGAATATATCAATTATTTTGCAAAAGGTAGAGAAAGCAGTTCTCAACTTTTGCAAATGAAATACAGTGGAAAAACACTGTTGTATATATTCCAAAGAAATAGTCTTGATTTCAATTCTAACAAAACAACAGGAAAGGTACTCGTGAGCATCTCACGGTTAAGTCAGAAATGATCGTTCACACAGGTCTGATTTCAGAAGTACAACAGCAAGATGCCGCACCATAGACACATCGGTTTAGGCTGTTAAAAGATGGATCATTTTAAAAACTGTGTTTTCCTTCCTTAATTTTTGGTCATTGAAGCTAGCACTTGTTTGCTGAACTGTGGAAGAACTGCAAGGTCACGCACATTATTCATGATAAAGCAACTGAGCTGACAAGTCTGTGCTTAATTCAAGAATAACCAGTAGGAGAGAGAGAAAACACAAGGAGTTAACCACCATCGCCGGTGCTCTCTCAAAGGAAGAGGGGTTAACAGATGAATTCGCAAAGGTAGGCAGATCTATACAGAACACTGAATGCCATGTGTAAATCCTCATGAAACTCCAGAAACAGGAACACCACACAATGTATATACTTTGATTTACACATTCCGTTACAAAAGAAAAAAAGACACCATTACAACTTTGTAACTGCAATCACCCCCCTATTTAATACCTGTTGGGTATAATCAGCACTATATTTGGTCTGGGGAGTTTGGAAAACGGAAAGGCTATTTCAGCTTTCTTAAATGATTTAGGAGTGATGCAGAGTATAAAATCTCAAATTAAAAGTGAAGCTGAGTCATTCCTGGGTCTGGAGATGCCTACTATCAGATTGAAGAAATCAAGAGTACTGCAGACCACTGGGACCTGCCTAGGTGGAACTCAGCATGACTCTGGTGCAGCTGGAAAGAAACATTTGGGAACATTCAGATTCATAGTTTTTGGGTGTAACTTGGAGGATATTTGAAAGTACTTCAACGGAATTGAACACTCAGGAGGTAGGGGACAGATGTTTACAGGCCAATGTTAGATGGAGGGGAAGTAAAAACCAGGGTTAGACTCTCTGGCCAGAACTTGAAATATTTTCCTGGTTATTGGCTTGTCCAGTACTTTCTGTTCAAATGTTCAAGGGTCAAACTTGATGTGTCCTCATGTCTTTTCCTGACTTTGGACTTATGTGGATGCAGGAGCCTTGTCCTTATTTCTTCTCTTCTGTCCCAGTGGTTGAAATCAGGCTTTGTAATTTTAAAAATTGGTTATATCAAAGAGATGGGCCAGCAACTTTTGGTCAAGTAAGTACTCCATTTGACTTTCAAACAACTTCTTTGAAACAGATTATCTCAGATCTCTCTTTTAGTGTAGTAAGTATTTTATGAACCAGGATTAATTCGATCAGGGTCAGTTAAAGTTTCATCACTTCTTTGAGGTTGCTTAATATTTGACTTTGTGTGATCCTACAACATTATTTTTGCTTGAAAAAGGCTTATCTGAGTACTTGAAGCACAGAAGAAAATGAATAGTTTCTTAACATGGGCATACACATAAATTATATAGCATAATTACAAAGAAACTTACATACCCAGGTGAGGGTGAACTTTGGTGGAGTAATTGCATATCTGCGATGCTAAAAGCAATATTTAATCAATATTTAATGAGTAGCTTATTTCTTAATTTCTTTTTCTTAAAGTGTCTTTTTGGAGACAGAGTCTTGCTCTGTTGCCCATGCTGGAGTGCAGTGGTGCAATCTTGGATCACTGCAACCTCCACTTCCCAGGTTCAAACAATTCTCCTGCCTCAGCCTCCCAAGTAGCTGAATTACAGGTGTGTGCCACCATGCCCAGCTTTTTTTTTTTTTTTAATTTTAGTAGAGACAGGGTTTCACCACATTGGCCAGGTGGGTCTTGAACTCCTGAACTCAAGTGATCCGCCCGCCTTGGCCTCCCAAAGTGCTGGGATGAGGCATGAGACACCCTGCCAGGCTTTATTTCTTAAATTCGTAAGGATGATGATTAACATTTTAGGCAGAACAAGTCTTAATTTTGAGAATATCACAGTTAGAAGCTCTTATTCCTAGGCACTAACATCTAAGCTTAATCAAAACCACTTGTATATTTTTTTCCAAATGCTCCCTAAGGGGTAGATAAAGTCCCAGTGTGAGAGTGCAGGATTCTGCCTACAGGGTTATGATTGAGCTGGAATGCCAATTTAAATATTCCCACTACAAAGCCCGTTTTCTTTTTATTATATGGTAATATGATTCTTCTTCCTAGAAGTCTGATAACCAGGTGGCAGATGGAACCAAACTGTCTGAAAATGACAAATGAATGAATAGATGAATGAATAAACACAGATAGCCATGAAGTTCAGGTATCAATTTAAAGCTACAAAATTGAAAGGTAGAAAGGGTATTTGTCTATATTCTTTTTATAATATGCCATTTTCAATCTATTTTGAATGGCAGAAATTCTTATGAAACAGTTGTATTTATTGCAGAGGTTATAATTTAGAATTAAGAAAAACTGTAGATTTTATTTATTTGGTTTATGTATTACTCTTTTGTGAAGGCATTTGTATAGAAATTGTCTGTAATACTACATAGAGAAAATAATAGCATAACACTAAACGTTGTTGTGTTAGGCTGTTCTCACACTGCTGTAAATAAATGCTTGAGACTGGGCAATTTACAAAGAAAAGAGGCTTAAATGGCTCACGGTTTCACAGCCTGTACAGGAAGCATGATGCTGGCATCTGCTCAGCTTCTGGGGAGGCCTCAGGAAACTTTCAGTCATGGTGGAAGGCAAAGGTGAAGCAGGCAACCTCTTCTATGGCTGGAGCGGGAGGAAGAGAGAGAGGGAGACAGGTTGCAGACACTTTTAAACAGCCAGATGTCATAAGAAGTCTGTCACGAGAACAGCACCAAAAAGATGGTGCTAAACTATTCGTGAGAACTCCATCCTTATGATCCAGTCACCTCCCAACAGGCTCCACCTCCAACAATGGGGATTACTATTTGACCTGAGGTTTGAGCAGGGACACAGATCCAAACCATATCAGCTGTCATGATTTTGCAATATTTGCCAACATTCTGAATTGCTTAATATGAAACCCTTAAAAATTAGATTGTTTATTATTTGTCATAATCCCATTGAGTCTAGGATAAACGCAGGATAGTTTCAAAGTACATTATTTATGAATGTATATGTACAGTAAAGCGTTACTATAAACTATATGTGTATATACATATCTCCATTTGATAATAGCCATTTTTTGCTATTTAAATATATTGAATTCACAGCTTTGAAAATAGGTCTGTTTACATTTAGAACTAATGTAATAGAATTATAGTATTCAATAATATTAAGTAATGGCAAAATAGGGTAGCCTTTGATTAAATGGCAAATCAGGTAAATAAATATGCATTAGAAAAATGAGAAATGGAGGTAGGGAGGAAGAGAAGAACAGAGAGAGAGACTGACTCCTATAATGAGTTAGAATAGAGGGACTTGTTAATGACAGTGCTAATGATGGTGTTGATGAAATGTTTAATAACAAGTAATTATTAGTGACAATTATTTTATAGTGCATGTTATTTAGCAAAATTATAAGAGAATTTGTTCTATTCCTGAAATTAAAAAAAATAAAATTTAGTGTATATTATAACTTGACATAAGATTCATTTAGTTTGCTTTTGTATTGAGCTTTAAAGAAATTTCCCTAAAATATAAAAACTCTAAATGTTTACTTATTAAGAAAATTATCAGTTCCAAAGGTAGTTTTTCAATGTTTCATTTTAAAAAAGTTAAAAGTACTTTCATTTCTCCTAAAATTTAACAACATTGATGGGAAACGAAGCAATAGAGAGAACTGGACCTCCAACATTTAACAGAATGTAAATCATTTGAAGATCATTCAGTGGAATTTTTCTGTAAAGCCATAATTTCTTTCTTTGTTTTTAAAGACAGGATCTCACTCTGTTACCCAGGCTAGAGTTTAGTGGTACAATCACAGCTCACTGCAGCCTTGAGCTCAAATAAGTCTCCCTCCTCAGCCTCCCAAGTAGCTGGGACTACAGGTGCACACCACCACACTCAGCAATTTTTTTTTTCTTTTAGAGCCTGGATCTCGCTTTGTTGCCCCTGCCTGGTTTTGAACTCCTGACCTTAAGCAATCCTCCCACCTTAGCCTCCCAAAGTGCTAGGATCATAGATGTGAGCCACTATGTCCAACCATACTTTCTCTTGAGAAGTGATTCATTATCAGTGATTTTAAAAAAGAGATAGTAATTAGGTATGACCAAAATTTTACTAAAGATTTAGAGTATTCTTTCTCTCTCTCCCCAACCCCTCCTCTTTCTTTCACTCTCATTCCTTTGTTTTCCTTTCTTTTTTTCTTTTTCTTTTTCCCTTTATTTCTTTGAAAAAGTATTCATCATGTGTGTTATACGTAGCAGTTATTGAATGAATGAAAACATGTAAAGGAGAAATAAATGTGGGTCAGAACTAGTAAGTATTTTGTGGAAAATTATCTTGGGACTCATCAAAGATAATTTAGAAATGGTCATAAAAATCATTTTAAATTCTACTATTTTCTAGTCATTTTATTCTATAAGTTGTTGAAAAACCAAAATCTTACAATTGGATTTCATGTGAAATTATCTTATGCTGTTGTCTCTCTTTCAAATGCAAAGTTTATGTGTTCTGTGCATGTTAATGCCAATTTTTCATCATCCCACCACGTTAAGAAATTTTCTGTCCCGAATATCTTTGTCATATGTACATATTTTAGACAGCTCTTCTGGCCAAGAATATGGATCATTTGCAGCACAGAGGCAAGTTGATATATGTAGCATCATGACAGTGAAGCAAATTCCACAAAAACTGCTAATGGACGGAGAAATTTCATGGAGAAAAGCTAGCAGACAGAGCTGGAATAAAACAATGGGTAAGTCTGTAAGTGAAAGTTAACTGTTGGCATTTTATTTTCAGGACAGTTGTTCCAATACAGCCTTGTCAGTAATAAAATAATGTTTCATTTTGCTATTCAAATTCTGATTCATCATGAACTGATTCTTTTTTTGCTTTAATCTCAGTAATGAATTTGAACAATATTAATTCAGCATCCTTCAGAGAATACTGTGTTTATGTACATTTTGTATTTCTGTCTTACTTTTGACAAGAGAAGTCTATTAAGTACTTTATCGTAGAGATCTTCCTTTTTTTGGTGAAATGGCACCAGTATCTGCCCAGCTGCCGAAACCTGAAAACAAAGGTCATACTGAATTATTCACTCTCTTTTATTAATACTTCCATTCATCCAATCATCTCTAGGCCAGGTTACCTACCTCTGAATTCCTCCAGTCCTCATCTTTCCCTTCCCCTGTCACTGTCACTATACCAGGGCAGGTTATCTTTATATCTATATCGATATCAATATCAATATCTATATCTTCTATATCTATATTGAGAGAAAGTGCAACAACCCCTTTGTTGACTTGCTAGCAATCAAGTCTTTGATTTGCCAACAAAGTATTCCTTTCAATGCGCAGATTTAATTCATATAGCATTTTCCTATTCACATTTCTTCCACTGCTTGCTGTCACTGGATAAAATGTAAAGTTTCCTTGCATTGCAAAGGGGCCTCATGATCTGGCCCTTTTCACTTCAGCATCTGCTTCTTCCTATTCTCTGTCCCATCACCAGCTGAGCAGAACATCTCATGTTTCAGCCTTCCTCCAAGAAGCTCTCTTACCCACCTCCCCATCCAGGAAACATAAGCTTATCTTTCAAGTCAGGTTATTGTACTCAAGACTCCTCCACACACTTAAAGGCTACACTTTCTGTGACCCTAATGTACCCTGGACTTATTCATCTTATGTTATTACTTTTTTATCTCTACATCAGACATGAATTCATTGAAGCAGAAACATCTATCATTTCTGTCTTGAGTCCCCAGTTCTCTGCATTGTGAGGATAACATAGTATATGTTCAATAAATATTTGTTGAATAAATGAATGAATCAACTACTCTGTGATACATATATATGCATGGATGACTGCAGACAACCTAAGATCTTCATGTTAAAAATTAGCTCATCATTTCTTTTCTTGATTTTCTTGTCTTAGAGTTACGCATCCATTCTCTAAAGTGAAAAGACTGTGAGTAACCTGGTTTCTCTCTCTCTCTCCCTCCCTCCTACCTTTAATAAAAAAGAGATCAGAGTCATATGAACTTAAAATTTACCAAATTTCCCTCAAGTTAATTATATGGCTAATATTTAACTTATATCTTTGTTCCAGGCTCTTTTCATTCCAATTCATTCTCCAAACTACTGCCAGATTTATCTTTTCTGAGATCCCATCTGCATCTCCTCTATTTGAAAATTTTCACTAATTCTCATTGCCTGTAAGTATGGTAGCCTGAATTGTAAGACTCTGCCATATCACCGCAGCATGTCTTTTGTTTACCATTTGACGATAAAACCAATTCTATGTATACCCTATACAATAGTTACACCAAATATTTTGTCTTTCCCAAAATACGCTATATTCACAGGTATCTTAAGATATTTAAACATGCTCATCACTGCTTGGGTCAGTGAACTCCTATATTTAAGACTCAAAGTTGGATGAAAGTTGGATGAAAAGAAATGCATCAGACCTTACAAGATCTTACTCTCTACCCTAATACTCCATTTATTTATTTATTTATTTATTCACTGATTTCTCAAACTTTATTTTTACACTAATTTTAGGTTAGGCCTTATTTTAGGTACCAGAGTGTTAAAAGATTAAAAATAAAAGTTAAATCCTGTTATTAATAATATTCACACACTTGAGGTAAAATAAATAGCATAATATAATTTTTTTGAAAAATGTACTAACAATTTGTTTGATTTTTCTTACAAAACTCTCTAATTATATGCTTTATAGACTATAACATTACAGTTTTTTAAATTGCCAGAAATATCCTCTTTTGACTCCCTGCCTTCCTTTACTTCTCATCATCAGTCTCTGAGACGTATCTTATTTTCTCTTCAGTTTCTCGATGATAATTCTCAATCTCCATTAAGATGGAAGTCTTTGAAATGTCCATAAATCTTGTATATTACTGTAGTGTTGGAGAGAACACTGGAAACGTACTGTTCTCTGAGGTGTTTTTAGTTGTCAGTCATGCTCCTTGAATCCTATTTTTCAGGGACTGCATTTTAATCATGGTTCCCATGCACTGTTAACTATTTAGTTGACTATCTCTCCTGTCATTTGTGAATTTCTTGAGGGAAGGAGCTTATCTTGTTCATTTTTAGAATTCCAGCTCTGCACAATGTTGGGTACATAATACTCAAACATTTTTTGAAAAAATAAGTGAATGAATGAATGAATGACTATTGCCATTTCACTCTTGACTTAGGAGATAGACCCCAAATATTTGTTGACAGGCAGTAGCATTGGTTGCTGACAGAGAATGTTCTTTTCTCTATTTGCTTTTTTCTCTATTTGCTTCACTAATAGTTCAGAGACACTCCAAAAATCCTTTTGGGGATGTAAATGCTACATTTTTATTCTTTGATATTAATGGCATAGATACTCTCTTCAGCAAACACCTCTGAAGGAATTCTTTAGATTAATTGACACTCCCCATCACCTGTCCAGAATGTGCTAGCTCCATTACATGCATTGTCTCATTTAATCCTCATTCACCCCATCTTTTTAAAAAATTGATGTGTAGTAGATGTACCTCGTTTTAGGATACATGTGATAATTTAATACATTCAACTTCTGGGCACCCCTTTAATAGGCCTGCAAACCTCTGCTTTTCTCACTTGACTTGTATGCTTGCTGACAGTCAGGTTCTGTTTGTTCCAAAACCTGTTAGTGCCAGCTGTAGTTAATATGAAAATTATGTCATTTAATTAAGATTGTATAAACTTGCTAATGTTAAATATCAAAAACAAGAAGGTTATTTTTTTCTGGGAAAACTAAGTTGATTCTTTCAAAAGATGTAACGAAAAAGAATTGCTAGAAAACTGCTTTCAAATTAACTTTGGGGAGGTCTCTATAAAAGACTGAGAGGAATATGTAATCATATAACTTCAGATATAGTCTTGGATTCTAGCTCCATTTATTTATTTATTTATTTATTTATTTATTTATTTATTTAAAGATGGAGTCTCGCTCTGTCACCCAAGCTGGGGTGCAAAGGCGCGATCTCAGCTCACTGCAACCTCCACCTCCCGGGTTCAAGTGATTCTCCTCTCTCAGCCTCCCGAGTAGCTGGATTACAGGTGCATGCTGCCACACCTGGCTAATTTTTTGTATTTTAATAGAGATGGGGTTTTACCGTATTGCCCAGGCTGGTCTTTTACTCCATTTATTTTTTTAAAACAACCTTAAGCAAATGCATCATAAGTATAAAGATGAAGCAGAACCCGAGGATTCATATCCAGGAAAAGGCCTAGGTTTTTCTAAGTTAAAAGATCAGCAAATAAATGTACATTTAAATGTTCTAAGCTGAAATAAAATGTTGAAGGTAAATATTTATCGTTTTAATGATTACCCACATTAACTTACTTTTTGATCATTTGATCATGGTTTTGGTTGCTTGGGTAAGATTGCTTCTTATGGATTTACAATCTTCTTTCTAAAATGCTGTATTTATTTTTATTTTTGATAGTAGTCATAATCACATCTAGTAAGAAATTAGTGTGTGGCAGGCTCTGTGCTAGGTCCATTAAATGCGTTGTCTCATTTAATCCTCATTATCCCCATCTTTTTTATTGATACATACTAGATGTTCATAGTTTGGGAGTACATGTGATAACTTAATAACTTTGGATAATTTGTAAAGATCAAATCAGTGTACTTGGGCTATCTGTCACCTTAAACAGTTGTCTTTTGTTTATGCTAGGACAATTTGAATGCTTCTTTTCTAGCTATTTTGAAATATACGATAGAGTGTTGTAAACTATAGTCACCCTAGTTGTCTGTCTAATACTAGCTCTTATTTCTTCTATCAAAAAGTATATTTGTACCCATTAATCAGCCTCTCATCCCACCTCCCTAGTACCCTTCCAGGCTCTGGTAATCACTGATCTACTCTCTATCTTCATGAGATTCACTTTTTTTTTTAGCTCCCACATGTGAGTGAGAATGTGATATTTGACTTTCTGTGCTTGGCTTGACAGTGTGGTGATTCCTCAAGGATCTAGAACTAGAAATACCATTTGACCCAGCCATCCCATTATTGGGTATATATACCCAAAGGATTATAAATCATTCTACTATAAAGACACATGCACACGTATGTTTGTTGCTGCACTATTCACAATAGCAAAGAGTTGGAACCAACTCAAATGTCCATCAATGATAGACTGGATTAAGAAAATGTGGCACATATACATCATGGAATACTATGCAGCCATAAAAAAGGATGAGTTCATGTCCTTTGTAGGGACATAGATGAAGCTGGAAACCATCATTCTGAGCAAACTATCGCAAGGACAGAAAACCAAACACCGCATGTTCTCACTTATAGGTGGGAATTGAACAATGAGAACACTTGGACACAGGGTGGGGAACTTCACACACCAGGGCCTGTCATGGGGTGGTGGGAGCGGGGAGGGATAGCATTAGGAGAAATACCTAATATAAATGATGAGTTAATGGGTACAGCACACCAACATGGCACATGTATACATATGTAACAAAGCTGCATGTTGTGCACATGTACCCTAGAACTGAAAGTATAAAAAAAAAAAAAAAAAAACAATTACTCCAGTTCCCTCCTAACACAAAAACAAAAACAAAAACAAAAACAAAAACCATGCACCTTGATCCAATTACTTTTAGTCACTTTCTACTGAAACATTTGAGTAGATTTTGGTTTCCTAAAAATTATTTTACAGTATCCAAGGGGAAGTATCTCTTCTTCATCATAGCACAGGGCCCTAAGTTGTTGTTTTTTTCAGCATGTGACTATCTTTAGAAAGCCCTCAATTCTCATGGAAACCATTCATAATACAAGGATACTCATGGGCCCAGACAAATTAGTATAGAAAAGTGCCTTACCCTTCACTACAGAACAAGTTAGGAAGGTCAACTGTGGGCAGATGTGCAGGGTCTTGAATTAATGCTTCAGAAGCATAACTAAAATTTTACTTTTCTTTCCTGTATCATCCAAACCAGTGATATAACCCTTCTGAGACTCATGATAGACAAAACAGTTCTCGTGTACCAGATTGCTTTGTATGGGACCATATGTCTAAATCCTTAACCAAAAGTCTGAGATTTAAGAAAAACATAATCCCCAGACACAGTTATTAGGTATTCCAAATCCTGTTAGGCTGTGAGTTTAACTGCTTATGCAAAGTGGATTTGGTCCCTCATACACTGTAGCATTGACATTGGAGAAAAAGAGGCACAACCAGGAGGTGGAACAATAATGTGTTAATTTAATGTTCCACCAAGTTGTTGAGGGGTCAGTGATCTGAATAAACAATGAAGCAAGTTTATAAAATTAACTATGGTACTCCAAAGAACAGATATTTTAAGTGTTTTGTTCAGTTTATTTTTCACAAATGTTATTAAATTTTTATTTTAGTGCATGCATATGTTACGTATCAGAGCTCATAGTTGAACAAAGGAGGGAATAAATTAGCAATTTGGGGAATGTTGAAAATTAGAATGTTGGGTCTTGGCTGGGCGCGGTGGCTCTCTTATGAACTTGAATACAGGTTCATAAAAGTAAAAGGGAAAACTGTGCCTGGGAGAGGCACCAGAGAAGAGAGGAGTCTGATAGTCTGGAGATGAAGTTCTCTGAGAACTCCCACTGCAATTAGGTAAGAATCCACTCTCATGACCATGGTTTCTCAAACTGCTCAAAGTGCTGGTGCAATCCCAGCACTTTGGGAGGCAGAGTCGGGCAGATTACTTGAGGTCAAAAGTTCGAGACCAGGCTGGCCAACATGGTGAAACCCTGTCTCTACTAAAAATACAGAAATTAACTGGGTGTGGTGATGCGCACCTGTAATCCCAGCTACTGGGGAAGCTGAGGCAGGAGAATCGCTTGAACCTGGAGGTGGAGGTTGCAGTGAGCCGAGATTGTGCCACTGCACTCCAGCCTGGGGTGACAGAGCGAGACTCTGTCTTTAAAAAAAAAAAAAAGTTGGGTCTACAGAACGTCATTAAACTCAGTTTGCAAAGTAGAGCCCAGGATATAAAGAGAAAAATTAAGATAGGAGAGCACAACTTGAATACAGGTTCATAAAATTACAAGGGAAAACTGTGCTGGGAGAGGCAACAGAGAAGAGAGGAGTCTGAGAGTCCGGAGATGAAGTTCTCTGAGAACTCCCACTGCAATTAGGTAAGAATCCACTCTCATGACCATGGTTTCTCAAACTGCTAGGTGCTGCCCCCTCTCTGGAATCTTGTACTTTCTAGTTCACCATTCCCAGCTATATCAGCAGCTATTTTTTTTCTTATTTGACACCTCCCTCAGCTTTTCATCCTTGCTGTCCCATTTTTTTCCTTGGGGGTGGGGAATGCTCTCCCTGAATCCTCACATGAATGGCTCCTTCTTGCCACTTTTATCTTCCTTCAAATATTACTTGTTCCAACCCATGTTCCATGACCACCTGCCTAAGGTGGGCACCCACACTCCCATCCCTCTTGCCATCTTCTCTCATCTACCTGTTCTATTACCTTATAGCACCTACTGGTTTCGAAATTATTCTTACTCATTAGTTTACTTGTTTGTTTGTTTTTATTTGTATCTGTCCAGTTTGGTCAGAATATGACCTCTTTGAGGTTAGACATTTGTTTGTTATGGTATTCTCCGTGTTCATAGTAGTGAAGGTAGGCTGAGCATGGTGGCTTACGCCTGTAATCTCAGCACTTTGGGAGGCCAAAGTGGGTGGATCACTGGAGGCCAGGAGTTTGAGACCAGCTTCGGCAAGATCGCAAGACCTCATCTCTACCCAAAATAAAAATTAGCTGAGCGTGGTGGCACAAATCTGTAGTCCTAGTTATTCAGGAGGCTGAGGTGGGGGCATTTTTTGAGCCCAGGAGTCCTAGCCTTCAGTGAGCTGTGATCATGCCACTGCACTCCCATCTAGATGATAGGGCAAGATCCTATTTAAAAAAAAAAATGAAAGAAAGAAAAAAAAGAACACACACACACATATATATATACACACACGCACACACACTCACATATAGGATAGTGAAGGTACTTAATAAATAATCATTAAATAAATAAATGTGTATTGACATAAAAAACACTAACAAGAGATATATGCTATGTTTCCAGTGGTTAAAACAGAAACAGCCTATATACGGTTTTAAAAAAGCCTCTATTTGCACAGGAAAAAGTCTCCTGAAATAAATATATTAAAATATTATTATGATTTTTTCATCTTGTGGGGGGAAAATTTTACTACAGTCTCTATATTAATATAATAAATAACAATTAGCAAATTTATATGCTTATGATTACTTACATGATAAAGTGAAAATATAAGAGAAAAATGTTCGAAAAAGTTGACATCAGTAGAAATTGTGCAAGCAGCACTTTCAAGATGGCGTAGAATGGTTAGCAAACAGCTCTCCTTTGTGTTTCAGCATTTAAAAATAAAGCAAGAAGTTTTATTTTTTTCCTGATTTGATTAAGTGGAGAGAATAAAAGAAGGGCAGCTAGCATATGGAGCCACAGAACTTCTGGCCAATAAAGAGTGTAGAACAACAACAACCAAAAATATAAACTCTTTACTTGTCTAATTGTTTAATTAAGGAGAGTAGTTTGCAGGTAGATGATGGAGAGTAGGTTCTGAAAGTCAGATGGATGAGGATAAAAACCTCCAAAAGAGCATTTGAGTGTAAACTGGCCTTATCTCCAGCAGGACATTCAAAGTAAATCTACCCACTCAGAGCCCTCAGAAGAAGGCTATCTTTGGGACTCTGTTCATATTATCCCACAACCAGATGTGATTCTTATTCTACTTCCATCTCTACCTGACTCTAGTGACACTTTTTGTATGCATGACTTCTGCTGATATGTTTCTTTGAGGGTTGCATGTTTGATATACTTTTGAGTACCCCCTCCAAACCAATACACTGCTTAAGCCATGATATACACTAAATAATTGTTTGTTGCATAAATAAATTCAAAGTATGCAATTTAGGCCAGAATTGACTGACTGTGCATGATCAGTTGAGTGTTTATTAGTAGTAATACAAATGCTACATCATATATCAACATCCATTTCTCAAAAAGTATATTCTTAGTTTGGAAGTGCTAATAAAAACAGTATTTGTTAAACATTTGCCAGATCTTCTTGAGGAGAAACTAACTGCATTGCTTTTACAGCCCTGATCTCTACAGTTCTTAGAACAATGACCATAGCATTCTGAGTCCTTCAAGATTTTCAGGTCAATGAAGGATTTAGACATAGGCAGTGAGTGTGTGGATTTTTTCTGAGAAATTTCTTTGGATACTTAGATGGAAAGAATTTGTTGCGTCCTTAAGTTAGGTCTCCCATGCTCAGCAACTAGGAAGTAAATAGAACTTGCAAAGTTAAAATCCCATTACATGGAATTCTGTAGTTAAATAGGCATGGCAGTATGAGAGAAAAAATGTTAAATAAGTATGACCATGCTTATTTGAGGTTTTGACTATTACTGACACGTGTAATGGTTCTTAATAATAATAGGTCTCTTCTGAAAAAAACTTCAGAAAAAAAGAAAAACAGGAAAAATAAAAATCTTTATTAGAAACAATTCATAGTCATCTAAATCTCATAGACTATTATATATATTGGGATAAGTTAGAATAGAATATAAAAATGCTGTATAGTAATCCATAAGCTAAAACCTTAACAAAATGAAAATGAAGAAATATAAAATAACTCAAGTTTCATAATCTCTACAATGGACTTTCTTAGCATTTTTGGGTTGATGGTCTAATATATCCTTTTCCTGAATGTTATGATCAATGTATTCATGATAAATGTTTTCAGTGAAGATTTTGATCTTTAAGTTATAAAATGTTTGTTAGGAAACCATTAGCGCTACCCATTAGATCTACGAGGTTGGAGGAAGAGGGCTTGACTGGGTGTACACAGCTTTCTTCTCATGGCTCTGTTTGGGGAAGAAGAGATGTCCTGCTCCCCATTGGCACCAGACTCTTCTCATTACATCCTGGGCAGTGCACACAGGAGAAAGAGAAGCCCAAAGCTGGTACAGGTGCAAAGGTGGTGAAATCATTGATGCTATGCTGTGAGAACTCTACCATCAATCAACTAGCACCAGTGGGAAGCTCATCAGAGGAAAAAACCTTTTCTTGTTCATAAGTCGGGACACATGTCCTCTAACGAAACTGTCAGTGTGTAGCTATTGCCGTTACAGCCATTTTCCTTTTCCTACTATGTAGAAAAAGCCCAGAGGGAAAGAAAATATCCCAGAGAAGGCAAGACCCTACAGGGCTGTGAATCGCCTCTCCAAGGTCTGGTGGGAGAATGCTGTCAGTCACATTGCTTCCCAGAGATTAAGTCTATGGTCACTTTGATAATGGCTTGCTCAATTTAAAAACTGTTACTTGAGAGAAAAACACAGCTAGAACATAGTACACCCAACCTCAACTGGCTTTTCTACTATCTCAGGATCAAAATGTACCCTGTTTTCACTCTGCTAATCAAGTATTTGTATGAATATGCACTGTATTCATAAACCCAGTCTACTACTTACCAGATATATTGATGGAGGGTTTGCCTGTCCTTCTCATTTACCGAAGGGCAGAATGTCCCATTTATTTCTCTTGAGCTAAAAGCTCCATTTACCCTTATAAGACAAGAAATTAGCTCAAGCTTCAGCTGGTGATTCCTAGCTAAGTTTTTGAATACAAAATAAAATAATGCCATAATGGAGCTCTTCCTCTAGTTCTCAAGTTTTTGCTTTTTTTTTTTCAAAGCCTAATTCAAGAGAGCCAAAATGCTACATTTCTATGAATCAATCTTTGAACAGTTTAATTTCCTGCTTCCTTGGAAAAGTAAGTTTGTAAAATAAGTTATCTGGTAGATCTCAAAGACTAAAATATCATCATTACTTTGCTTTATTAATGACAGGTTCTTGACAACGTGTCCCTGGACTATGGTGCTGGGGCTAAGAGTCATCCAAACACCCCCAAAACTGTATGGAAAGTGTTTGGTCTGTGCATATTTGTGCTTCTTTTAGGAAAATTATTAGAATAGGCTGCATTGCCTTCATTATAGTCTCAAGATATCCTCAATACCAAAAAAGGTTAAGAAGAACTGATTTGTCAGACATTGTAGAAGTAATATTAGAATATACTCTTTGAAGGGCCAGGCGCAGTGGCTCACGCCTGTAATCCCAGCACTTTGGGAGGCCGAGGGGGGCAGATCACAAGGTCAGGAGATCGAGACCATCCTGGCTAACACAGTGAAACCCCGTCTCTACTAAAAATACAAACAAAATTAGCCAGGCATGGTGGTGGGCACCTGTAGTCCCAGCTACTTGGGAGGCTGAGGCAGGAGAATGGTGTGAACCCGGGAAGCAGAGCTTGCAGTGAGCCGAGATTGCACCACTGTACTCCAGCCTGGGGGACAGAGTGAGACTCCATCTCAAAAAAAAAAAAAAAAAAAAAAAAGAATATACTCTTTGAGACAACAGAAAATATCTTGGACGGCTACCAATTCAAACTATTCCCTCCTGATGTCACTTTTTAAACCAGGATACAGGAATTAATTCAAAGGAAACTAAAATGGATTGATAATTATTTTTAAAGTGTGATATTTAGCCTTTGTAGTGTTGAATATGGGATATTCTCTTTGGCAAACTCCATGAATGAAAATACCCCAGTAAGACAGGCTACATTTAGTTTTACCTTCAAGGGTGCTTTCCTATGGAAATAGATGTTTTTTAATAGTAGCCAACTTCTGAGCATATAATGGGCAACTCATATGAGTTGTCAGTAGTTTTCTTTAAGTTGAAACTGTTTTCCTGAGAAAAATGAGAGACACATTAAAGAATTAATTTTTTTTGAGACAATATCTGCTTTGTTGCCCAGGCTGAAGTGCCTTGGCGTGACTACGGCTCACTGCAGCCTTGACCTCCCAAGTTCAAATGATCCTGCCACCTCAGCCTCCCAAGTAGCTGAGACTACAAGCATGTGCCACCACACTCAGCTAATTTTTGTATTTTTTGTAGAGACAGGGGTCTCACTATGTTGCCGGGGCTGGTCTCAAACTCCTGAACTCAAGATATCCTCCCACTTTGGTCTCTCAACGTGCTGGAATTACAGGTGTGAGCCATCACGCTCAGTCAAGGAATTTAATCTTTTTTTTTTTTTTGAGACAGAGTCTCACTCTGTCTCCCAGGCTGGAGTGCAGTGGCCCGGTCTTGGCTCACTACAACCTCCGCCTCCCAGGTTCAAGCAATTCTGCTGCCTCAGCCTCCCGAGTAGCTGGGACTACAGGCATCCACCACCACTCCTGGCTAATTTTTGTATTTTTAGTAGAGACGGGGTTTCACCATATTGGCCAGGCTGGTCTCGAACTCTTGACCTTGTGATCTGCCTGCCTCAGCCTCCCAAAGTGCTGAGATTACAGGCGTGAGCCACCACGCCCGGCCAAGGAATTTAATTTTAACATAATCCTTAAACTTGTGTCTGTGTTCATTTTGTATTAGATAAACTGTTGGTAACAATTACCTTGGCTATCCTTTTAGCTAAACAATTTAAAGATTAAGATATATAAAAATAATATGATAAAATTGGAGGATATTTGGTAGGTGGGTTCATCTCATTTTCAAAATGTATTTTAAACATTAAATTGCAATTTTTTTTTCTAATACAAATTTCAAGCAGTTATTCACCAAATTTTGTTAAGCACACACTACATACCAGGCACTTGTCTAGATGATGAGGACATAGCAGTGAACAAAAAAGACAAAGTTCCTGTTGTTATGGAGTTTATATTCTGGGGGAAGAAATACGATAAATGAATAAGCACATGAAGTTCAACACCAGATACACAAGATTTGCATGAAGAAAAATAAAATAGGATAAGCACACAAAAGCTATTTAGCAAGTGTAGATGAGAAAGTGGAGGAATTGGAACGTTTGTACACAGTAGGAATGAAAAATGGTGCAGCCTCTATGGAAAGCGATATGGAGGTTCCTTAAAAAATTAGAAATAGAATTACCTACTTCTGGGCATTTATCTAAAAGAATCAAAAGTAGGATCTCAAACAATATTTATATCCCATGTTCATTACAGCATTATTAACAATAGCCAAGATGCAGAAACAATCTAAATATCCATCAGTGAATGAATGGATAAAGAAAATGTGGTATATATTGGTATATATAGTGGTATTTATAAATATGGAATATTTTTCAGCCTTAATAAAGCAGGATATCCTGACATATGTGACAACATAGATGAACCTGGAGGACATTATGCTAAGTGAAATAACCCAGTGATCGAAGGGCAAATACTGCACAAATACCACTTATGTGAGGTACATAAAATAGTCAAACACATAGAACCAGGAAGTAGAATAGTGGTTTCCAGGAGCTGGGGGAAGGGGAAAATGGGAAGCTGCTATTCAACAGGTATAAAGTTTCAGTTATACAAAATGACCAAGTTCCAGAAATCTATTGCAAAACATTGTGCCTATAAGTTAGCATTACTGTACTTTACACCTAAAATTTTGTTAAGAGGGTAAATCTCATGTTGTGTTCTTACTGCAATTGAAAAGCCACAAACAAACCAAAACAAAAGATAATTCCTCCTTGGTTTTTGCTCTAGAACCAGGAAACTTCAGTAAGTTGAAGTCATATGAACAAAAGTATGTGGACAGCCCTATTAGTAGCTTTTATAATGTTTTAAAGAGTATTAATTCTTCCTTTTTTCTAAGAAAAATTTTCGTAAACACATGTAAGAACAAGTGTGATTAATAGTTTTGTACTGTCCTTTATATTTTATATTTCATATTTTATTTACATTAGAAGTCACAAATTATTTCTCACTAAGGCTAAAACCTCTACGAGCTATGCCAGTTGTGACCACTTTTTCTGAGGTTCTCTCAACTGTTGGTAAATCTCCTTCGCTAGGTCAGATACTTCTTCCTCTTCTTGGAGTTATCTCTTGGGTCTCTCTTTTCCCTCCTCATCATCTTGCATCTGTCAGCCATACCAATGGTAGGACTACAGATTTGGCGGAGCTTGCAGTGAGCTGAGATCATGCCACTGCACTCCAGCCTGGGCGACAGAGCGAGACTCCATCTCCAAAAAAAAAGAAATGCTTTGCAAGAAAGCATCGGTGATTTCTTCACTTCATCTTCCTTAGTTACTATGGCAACAGTCAGAAGAAAAATAACCCCAAAACTCATCAAACATGGTCATCGGAACTCTTCCTCAGCTGCCCATCTTCCCATAGGCATTAAATGAATCTTGTGCCCTGGTAGCAGACCTTTATTACTGACTCTCAGCAAGTGATTACTCTGCAAAATAAAATGAAAAAAAAAAAAAGACAAAGAATGAAATTGATTAGTTACAACATATTTCTAGGCTTCAGCATTTTCCATGGAAAAAATAAAAAAATGTATGATAGTGTTCTAATGCCTTGAAGTCAACAACTTCCAAATTTGGGTGAAATGAGTCATTTTGTGAAATTATTTAATACAAATTACTTAAAATTTGGACATTTATAAAAATCAACTTTTAAATATATGAGCTGGGAGGAGGCTATGGTTTAGAAACGATTGTAAAGTATGTGGCTGTTTGTATGTTATTTTTTCCTACCTTCTCTTAGGTATTTCCATGCTGTTTTGTGGTAATAGTGAGGAAAACCAGGTGTTAACTGTCAGGCTATTCCAAGTCATTTTGCCTTTTTGATTTAAATAAAACAATTTAACTATCACCCTACAAAAAGCAGAAACCTGAGTCTCTTCCAAAAGTCGTGGGGGCTCTGGAAGTGATACTTTTCCTCACTGCCTCCAGCCATGTCTTCCCTTTGCCTGAGGTCTTGTCTATTGCAGGTATTTTCCCCTTAGTGCCGTCCACCGTTGACCGACATCCAGATTCTTTCATCATCCAAATGACCACACGCATGCTGAGAGTCTGTAATGGATTTTAATAAAATTTAGGGCTTAGGTGGGTGATGTATTACACAGCATTATGCAACAAGTGAGTTAAAATTGAATAACAGAACTGGGCTGGGTGTGGTGGCTCGTGCCTGTAATCCCAGCACTTTGGGAGGCTGAGGTGGGTGAATCACCTGAGGTCAGGAGTTTGAGACCAGCCTGGCCAACATGGTGAAACCCTCTCTCTACTAAAAATACAAAAATTAGCCAGGCGTGGTGGCGCACCTCTTTGATCCCAGCTACTCGAGAGGCTGAGGCAGGGGATTCACTTGAACTTGGGAGGCGGAGGTTGCAGTGAGCTGAGATCACACTACAGCACTCCAGCCTGGGAAACAGAGCGAGACTCCATCTCAAAATAAATAAATAAATAAATAAATAAATAAATAAATAAATAAATAAAATAAAATATAAAATAAAATGAAAAACAGGGCCGGGCATGGTGGCTCATGCCTATAATCCCAGCACTTTGGGAGGCTGATCCGGGCAGATCACTCACACTGCACTCCAGCCTGGGCAACAGAATGAGACTGTCTCAAAAAATAAAATAAAATAAGTAACATAACTTGCCTACTAAAGTCACTTGGCCATTTTCCCTGAACATCTCACCGTGTAGAGCCCTGGCTCCTGGCCATCTTGCTGGGCCCCTCCTTCTTTTCTCTGCAGGTCCTTGAATTCCCTGTGTCTCTCTCTTAAGCTGTTGGAGAACCTCCAAATTCCTCTTAATGTAGTGTATTGTACAAATTTATTTCTCTTTATTTCGTTTTTCCCCTTGCAGATTATCATTTTTACATTTCCTTTTCAAATCTAAAACTACCGTTAATAGTTTTGCTTAAATAAAGAGCCACTTATCCTAGAGAGAAATAACGTTGCTTACATAGGAAGTACAATTCCTCTAGTCAGTTTTGGCCCTGAATAACAGTTTAATTTTCTTTCACAGAGAATTTAGGGTAGAAATGTGTATTTGTACAAGATACTAATTTTATGTGGATTATGCTGCACATTTCAATAATTGTAACTAATTGATTGGTTTTAGTGATACATTATCTTCTCAGTTTTAAAGGTGAGAAAGATGAGGGGCATGGATATTGTCACTTATTTAAAATCACAAAGCCAGCAAGTGAACAGAAGCAGAATTTGGTCCCAGGCCTTTGAATTTCTATGCCAGGATTCTTTACATTATACCAGTTGACACCAGTATACATTAATATGAAGGCTGCATATAGAAACCCCAACATAATACTTGAAAATTGTCCTCTCACAGTAGTGTCTGAGGTGCTGGCTTAAACTAAGGAAATGGAAAATGTTATAGAAAGGTCAGAGAAGAGCCACTGACTATTAAACAATGGGAAATTGGACTTTGTGGAGAAGACTAGAAAATGTGATCAGATTAATAGTCTGCCACGCTATGATTATGCCATGACAGTGTCTTTAAGGCAGGTTTTATGAAAGGACATGTTTGTGTTCTGTGACATTGACTTCAAAAGGTTATGGTTGTAGCTGAAAAAATTTCTAACTTCCCTTAGTTGATTTGTGGAATCGTGTGAATTCAACTAAACTCTTCAAAGACCTACTTTTTGTTCTTGTTTTTTTTAATCGACAATGTTTGGATTTCATAAATATACTCTATAAAGTAATATTTTTGTATATTAAAAACACCCTTTAAAAACTTCCTGATGGGATAAATGTATCCTGTCATCGTGGCATACTAAATAATGAAGTACAAACTTAACACATAAGTCAAAATTTACACACTACAGTCAGGCAAAAAATAGTTACTATCTACCTATAACTGATCTCATCTTGTTCAGGAGTCTCCATTTATACTGAAGCTGGACTGAGGCTGTCCAGCAGTGGAATTAAACATGCCAATTAAAGAACAATAACCCAGTTCTTTTTCCACTTAAGACAATTTCTTTCAGATTAATTCAGTATTATTTGAGTAAATAGACAATTCAGGGCTTAATTCTCTGCCAGGTAAGTTTCTTCCCTCTCTTGCAGGCCTCTCTCTTCCCTCTTCCTTGTTAAGAAGGGATCAGGTGCTGGAAGATCCCAGATATCCCCCTGGCGTTCATGGCAATAGTGCTTAACTCCAGTGGAGCTCTCTTATCCTGCTGTCTCTGTATAGAGGCCTCTGACCTCACTGCTGTGTCTTGTGCTCTGTTCTCAGGGCATGGGCAATACATGGTGATCGCTCCAGGGTTTTAAACCAGGCTCCCTCCTCTGTTCTCAGCTGGGACTCCCAGGTGATTTCTTCTGATTTTCCTTCACTACATTACCCAGCTAGTGGCTCACTTTACCCTGTTGGGAGACAATTTCCCATGGCTATCTGACATTTCTGCATGTTTTGTGAGCAATGAATGGATAGCTCTTTGTTTTGGACTGTCATTTCGAGGATCTCAACAGTCTCAGGAGGTAGAGATACTGTCTTCTTTGGAGCACAGAGCAGGGATGTTTACTGCCCGTATGAAAGAGCTGGGTTCCTTAACCCGCGTGCAGCCGTCATTCAGTCTTCTTTCTGTTTCCCTGTGGGACTGGGGCTTGCAGAAGGAGCATGAGAGGTACTGATAGCCAGACCATGGTGGTTACTCTGACTCATCAACCTGACCTTCATCTCTGTCCCAGGGGTCTGATGATTTCTTCCAGGATCTATGAAACAGTGGCAGTCTAACTTATTAGCTGGCAAGTAGGGTAAAGTTGCAGACTCTTCTCAGTTTTCGGCACACCCCTCAAGAACATAGCCAGCACCTTCACCTTTCTCCTGAGTTTCACATGGTTCGAGGGACACTTGGGAAATTCACAGTCCCTTCTGCACCGTTCACAGGCCGTGAAGAACTGGAGAGTGCAGTCTCAAGGTCCTTCCCTGCCTAAAGATGCTACACCTCCCTTTCCACGCTACCATGAGTGACTCCCCTGTGCTGGCGCCCCATGACAGGGCCTCCTGAGACAGAGCCAATGGGAAGTAAGGCTTCTGGCTCACTCACTAATCTTGATTCTTGATCTATAAAAAGAAGTTCTGTTGTTTATAAACCCTCTTTTTCCTTTCCACAAAGTCTCCTTTTCAAGGTTGTAGCATGACTTTGTGTCTCAAGGTACCAAGTTGTAAGTCAAAAGCTGTAACTGACTCATTTTATGTGTATTCTTGCTCAAAAGATCCTAATTCTCCTTTCAGCCATGTGTGACCTTGGCTAGATAGAGGACAAATAATTTTGATATGATTCCAAATATTATTCCTGTAGCACCTAGACATATTTGCAAATATGGATAATGAATAGACACATACAGGCTTCTTTAACTTGCCTTGGAACATGAGAGTAAATAACAAAAAATCAATTCAAAAGTATGCATTTGCAAACCTTTCAGGCTATAATTACTTTAGTCCATTCTGTTGATTTATATTAGTCAATGGAGTCGGGAATCTATTGATTCAACAGTATTTAATATAAATGCTGCTAATCTTTTTCTTCATTTGAAACCAGATATGAAAACGAAACAAAGCAGTCCTGGAGTAGAATTGTTTTTATTTCCCTGGAAAAGAAAATTCTCAGGGATGAGCTATTATATTTTTTCAAATACAGTTCAGCTTTAAGAGAAAACAGGTTTAAACTGTCACATAACCGCAGCACATGTACTGTGGGTTTGCAAAGCCACTTGAAGTCAGGGGCCGTTCCTCATGGTGTTCTCAGAGGCTTCTTGAGATGTATGCTCAAGGGGGTGCTGAGGAAGTAAAGAAACGTTTTTTCACAGTTTCGGCATGGAAGCCAGCTAAAATGAGCTTGCAGAGTTTTTTACCTGGAATATCAACATCTGTATCTATGCCTATCTCTGTATTTGTCTATATTATTCACTCAACTGATGCTTTAATGATTTTAAAACTTACTTTAAGCTGGAAAATGATTGTACTTGAGAAGTTGATAGATTAGATTTATTTTATTATTATTTTTAAAATGTATATAAACTCAACGGGTACAAGTGCAGGTTTGTTACATGGATATGTTGTGTAATGGTGAAGTTTGGGTGTTTAGTGTAGCTATCACACAAATTGTGTGTATTGTACCCATTAAGTAATTTACCATCCCTCAACCCACTTTCGCTGTCCCACCTTCTGAGTCTCCAATGACTATTTCAGCCCATATCCATGTGTACACATTATTAGCTTCCACCTATACATGAGTACATAAGGTATTTGACTTTGTTTCTCAGTTGTTTCACTGAAGATAATGACCTGCAGTTCCATCAATCATTTTAAAATAATAAAGTCTACCCTTCTAAAGGCACTGTAATGTTATCTTAATAATGATCTTAAGTAACTCTCTTAAATTAATAATAACAATTTTCTTAAAATAGGATTTTCAGTAATGTTAAATAAATGCTTGAAATGAGGGAGTTAAGCTAATCTCATAGTTTGCCTCCAGCTCTGACGAGCTGTGAATCCACAGTGCTGCAAAATACAGATAATATTTCAGAACCTCTTTATTGGGTGACATTGTTCTAAGTGTCATTCATAATTAATTTCATTTAAAATTTGGTGCCCACAGTTTCAGAATTTTGCCCAAATGTTTGGATTAAAAACAAAGTACCTTTGCAATTTTTTATTATATCAGTACTATTAAATTCATTTTGAAATAGCATATGAATCTAAAATATAGAAGGTTCAAAATATCTATGATTTACCTAGTGTACCTTTTAACTCAAGGATAGGACTATTGATTCATCTGTCACTCATATTGGGCTGGCACTAAGCTAAGGGGCAACATTGAGACATTTTGGCCTCTTTTTTCTAAATTGTTCACCTCACTTTTTGGCTTCTCTCTGTCTTTCCATTTCCTTTTCTCTGAAGGTAGGGATGGATATTTTCTGTTTTTTCAGGATTTTCCATTGTCTGCTTGGGCTTCCATAATAACATAACACAGACTGGGTGGCTTAAACAACAGACATTTATTTGGCCACATTTTGGGAGGCTATACATCCGAGATCAAGGTGCTGCAGGGTTAGTGAGGTCTCCATTTCTGTGTTGTTGATAGCCACCTTCTTGCTGTGTCTGCACATGGCCTTTCCCCTGAACTCACGTACTCAGGGCTGGTGTCGGGGCTGAGAATGGGTGAGCTCTGATGTCTTTCCTCTTCTTGTAAGGACACTAGTCCTATTGGATTAGGGCCCCACTGTTATGACCTCATTTAACTGTAATTACCTTCCTAAAAGCTCTGTCTTCAAATACAGTCACATTGAAGATTAGGGTTTCAATATGTGAATTTTGGTAAGACACATTTAGTCCCTAACAGCTGTCATCAGGCTCTTCTCATGCTGTGAAGTTTTTTCTCATCCTCTGCCTTTAGCTCTCCTCAAAGTGTATCTGTCTTCACTCTCAGTATTCTTTCTTTGCTCATCAAATGAAATAGTTTTTAGTGACTACTAATGAGCCCAGACATTAACTAGAGTGCAAGATGATATATTTGTATTTTAAAAGAAAAGTTCCACAAAAACTACCTTACTGCAAGTTACAGAAGATAAAGATACACAGTTGCTACAGGTGACAATTTTAGCCACACATAAGTAGAAAACATAAAGGCTTTTAGCATTGCACCCTTAGGTCATTCTGTTAGAACTCTGCTTTGCCTGTGGATAGAGACAACTGTAGGCTCCTGGCAGGTTGCCCATATTAAAAAGGGAAATTACAGACTTCTGCCCTTTTGGCTCTCTGACCAGCACCATGGTGGTGGGCAAGAACAAGCACCTTACGAAAGGCGGCAAAAAGGGAGCCAAGAAGAAAGTGGTTGATCCATTTTCTAAGAAAGATTGGTTTGACGCGAAAGCACCTACTACGTTCAATATAAGAAATATTGGAAAGACGCTCATCACCAGGACCCAGGGAACCAAAATTGCATCTGATGGTCTCAAGGGTCGTGTGTTTGAAGTGAGTCTTGCTGATTTGCAGAATGATGAAGTTGCATTTAGAAAATTCAGCTGATTACTGAAGATGTTCAGGGCAAAAACTGCCTAACTTCCATGGCATGGATCTTACCCATGACAAAATGTGTTCCATGGTCAAAAAATGGCAGACAATGATTGAAGCTCATGTTGATGTCAAGACTACCGATGGTTACTTGCTTCGTCTTTTCTGTGTTGGTTTTACTAAAAAACGCAGCAATCAGATACGGAAGACCTCTTATGCTCAGCAACAACAGGTCCGCCAAATCCGGAAGAAGATGATGGAAATCATGACTCGAGAGGTGCAGACAAATGACGTGAAAGAAGTGGTCAATAAATTGATTCCAGACAGCATTGGAAAAGACATAGAAAAGACTTGCCAATCTATTTATCCTCTCTATGATGTCTTCGTTAGAAAAGTAAAAATGTTGAAGAAGCCCAAGTTTGAACTGGGAAAGCTCATGGAGCTTCATGGTGAAGGCAGTAGTTCTGGAAAAGCTGCTGGGGACGAGACAGGTGCTAAAGTTGAATGAGCTGATGGATATGAACCACCAGTCCAAGAATCTGTTTAAAGTTCAGACTTCAAATAGTGGCAAATAAAAAGTGCTATTTGTAAAAAAAATAAAAAATAAAAAAAAATAAAAAGGGAAATTACAAACAAAATATCTCCAGTTAATCGGCCCTAATAAAAAATGAACAGCACTTTGGTTATTCTAATGTACTATCAAATACCAGTAAAAAATGCTACAAGATAGGTGAATTGGAGGATTAAACAAACATTCAAAACCATGTAAGGAAAGACTTTTCTTGACCTAGTGACCTTGGAGAATGGATCTTGAAAAGCTACTTCCATCAAAATAAGGATTGTTGTCACGAACATATCCACTTCAGTGGAGGACTTTAAGGAATTTCCTGGCACCCAGCATCCCAGGATGCTTTGAACTTTTGTTCTTCTAGCTGCTGATTTGCAGAGACCTTGTTTGAAATAATGTTTCTGGTTTCCTTGATACAACGATAATCCTACTAATTCTCTATAGTTAGGCTTTGTTAAAAAATAATATGAACTGGCTTTCAGCTCTGCCTGTGGATTTACTCCTAATGGAAGAGCTTTATATTAAGCTTATAATTTTGAACCCGCCAAATTTTTCAAAAGGGCTATTTTTTGTCTTAGTATCCAGAAACACACTCACAATTGAGGAATCTTGCTTTTCAAAAACAACTTATCTGGTGAGTAACAATACCTGTGACTTCAGAAAAGGCAATATATCTCTCACAACACTAATAACACGATGTTTGGAAGAAAAGCATTATGGCTGCTATTTACATGTGGAGAGATCTATTTGTGCACCCCATCTTTCTGTTCATTATAAGCACATTACAGTCTCCCATTCACCTTAATTATTGTTTCAGAACCCAATAGTTGTTGAAATTTGTGTGTCTCATGAGCTAGATGGAAATAGATAATTCTTGAACAAATGGAAGATTTCAATGCAACAGATTTGGCCTCTGACATTCAGAGGCCTTGATAATTTGGTTAAAGTCACTGGGTAGATTTTAGGCAGACAATATTTGCCCAGTGGCTCAGAGAGCTGGATTGTGTTGGGGCTAAAGGAAAGCAAGAGAAGTCTTTATGTGATCTTAGAGCATGCTTAGGGGATTCTGTTTTACTGATCATCAGTAGGACATCATCCTAGTTGACAAAGAAATCATCACAAGAATATATTTGGATTAAGTGCGGATCTTGAACATCAAATAAGGTCAGGCTAACAGCTTTTATGAGAACTTTTTCTTTGTTTGCTGACTCTGAGATCATAGGTCAGTATGAGTAATACTCACCAATTTTTTAAGTACCCATAGATAGTGCCTTGCTAATTTTGTAGGTTGTAAGAATAAAGAAGATGTTTAGGAAGGAAAAGCAATCTTCCTAAGTATCCTTGGAAGTTGCAGACTTCTATTATTACTCTAAAAGAGTTTAATTGTGTGGAAAGTTGAAAGAGAATGTTTGTTGTATGCATTGTTTTCCTGGATGTTACCTGCCAAATGGAGGCACAGACTCTGATAATGTCCATTAACTTGATTTCTTTCTATGTTCATTTTTTTTCCTTTTTGTGGAGATGAAGGTCTCACTATGTTGCTAAGGCTGGTCTCAAACTCCTGGGCTCAAGTGATCCTCCTGCCTTGGCCTTCCAAAATGCTGGGATTACAGGCATGAGACACCGTGCTTGGCCTCTATGTTCATTTTAATTCTGGCCTAATGGTCTGATTTGCTGCTATCTCTGAGAACATTATTATAGAAATTTATACTGTTGATTGTTGAAAGACGCTACATCTAAAATTTAAAAACCAAAGAATCTGGCTTCAAACCTGAAGTTAAGGCACAGGGAGGAGTCTGTTTGTATATTCTAATCTGTTCTTCTGACACGCTTTGTTCTTTTTCTGTGGAAGCTCAACAACAGATATGTGCAGAGCTTATTAGTTTGTTGTGTTTCAGCTCAAATCTTTCCTGGAATCATTAATCTTAAACTTGACCATGATAGATACTTCAGGCTGTATGCTTCAACTGCCTTTGTCAAAATAGGCATTTGCATTATAATAGGAAAGTATATGAAATTGCCCTGTTTGTTAGACATTTTGCACCGTCTGATTTTTTTTTCCAGAAGTAGCACTGTGGCTTCTGTTCAGAGCAGGTATGTTTACTCTATTTATGTTTAAATAGCATTGCTTAGGCCTTGAGTATGTTGGGTTAGCAGGTAGAATGCTCCACTGCAAGTAACAGAATAGCTGACTGAAATAGAATTAAATGATATGGCTTGATTCTTTTTTCATGTAACAAAAAGTCCAGAAGTTAGTGTGTTCCAGTTTGTTTTAGGCATTCAATAATAATACACAAGACCCAATTTCCTTCCATCTGTAAGCTCTGTCATCCTCAATATGTCAGTGATGTCATGTCTATATCTACGGACTCAAGATAGTTGTAAAAGATTGTAGGATCATGTCCTCATAACACTCTTTTGAAGTCAGGAGAAAGGGCAGGGTTAAAAGCGATGCAGTGGAAAATTTCAGCAAAGAGTGCTCCTCATGTTGGTTTCTTTTTATTCCTAGTTGAATAAAAGCAAGCAAAACAACTATCAGCCATTTTAGCCTGTCTCTAGAATCTGGCCCTTCCTATACGGAGGAAGGGTGGCGGGCATAGCTGTGGGATAGTGAGCCAGTGCTGCCTTGCTCTCGGGCAGTTGCCCCACTATCTCTGGTGCTATCCTTCCTCTTCTTGGTGTTTCCCATAAGGAGACCCAGGCCACAAATCCCCGCCTACCATCTGGAGGAGAAAAGGACATGTCCCAGAAAAACTTTCGGCCCACTTTCCATAGATAAAGCAAGACCATATATGAAACTCATTCTCTCTGCTATGTTCAGTAATCTTAGAGAAGAAACTTAGGTTTTTGTGTCTTCTAAAATGCTATAAGATTTGTCATTGTTTACTAATAGCTACCTTCTTCTTGAAAGCCAGTTGAGGAGAGTTTTGGGGCAACATTTTCTGTTGGTTTTCTTCTGATTTCTTTTGTTATTTCTTCCAGCTTTTTCCTCCTATATGTCTGGGGTTCACTGGGTTCCTGACATACATCTCTTTGCATGCTACTCCTCTTCATTGTGCAATCTTATGTGCTCCTTTGGCAGCAAGTATAGCCTAAATGAGTTGATGACTTCCAAGCCTGGATCTCCAGCTTGCATTTCTTTATTGCGCTCCAGTTCCATACACCCAGTTATTACTGCATAAACATTTTTATTGGCTGTCTCGTTGGTATTTTGAACTCAGATATTACAGACTGAATTAAACTTTTTTCCTCTTTGCACTGACCCCTCCCCTGGCTTGCTTCACTTCCTTCATTTCTGTATCACTGAATGGCCCCTCAGATATACCCGGTGGTCCAAGTCCTCTTTCTCTTCTCTTGAATCCAACCTCCCCCAAAATCCTGTTGACTGTGCCTCCTAGATATTTTTGTAATCAGTCTCCTTTTGTCCACTTCTACTGACACTGCCTGAGTTCAGTCGCTTCTCTTGTTTTACCTTGATTATTCATTGCAGACCCTCATAACAGCTGTCAGCATCCCTCCTTTCTGACCCACAGCTTTCCTTTCTGTAACCCCAAATCAGGCTGATTGTACTTGAAACTCACATCTGAATAAAAGATTTCCCTGTTTAAAATCTTTAGATAGCTTCACATAACCTTCAGGATAAAAATCCAGACTCATAACATGTCAACATGAGATCTTCAGTGGACTTTAACATTTTTTGGTTCACAGACATCTTTTTTTTATTGAAGTGTTTTTTTTTTTTTAATTTTTGGTTTTTTATTTTACTTTAAGTTCTGGGATACATGTGCAGAATGTGCAGGTTTGTTACATAGGTATACATGTGCCGTGGTGGTTTGCTGCACCTATCAACCCGTCATTTAGGTTTTAAGCCCCGCATGCGTTAGGTATTTGTCCTAATGCTCTCCCTCCCCTTGCCCCCAACTCTCCAACAGGCCCCAGTGTATGATGTTCCCCTCCCTGTGTCCATGTGTTCTCATTGTTAAACTCCCACTTATAAGTGAGAATATGCAGTGTTTGGGTTTGTGTTCCTGTGTTAGTTTGCTGAGAACGATGGCTTCCAGCTTCATCAATCTCCCTGCAAACGACATGAACTCATTCTTTTTTATGGCTGCATAGTATTCCATGGTGTATATGTGCCACATTTTATTCATCCAGTCTATCATTGTTGGATATTTGGGTTGGTTCCACATCTTTGCTATTGTAAATGGTGCTGCAATAAACATGTGTGCATGTGTCTTTATAGTAGAATGATTTATAATCCTTTGGGTATATACTCAGTAATGGGCTTGTTGGGTCAAATGGTATTTCTGGGTCTAGATCCTTGAGGAATCGCCATACTGTCTTCATTTATGAGGAAAAGTATGAAACCTTTCTGCCTGCTTTAGTGTTAAATGCTAAGTTTCTGTTCACAGGCCTGTCTCTGCATTTTTGGGGCAAGAACTTTAAAAACATGGTCTAGTCCTTTGTAGCTGTAGTTTATAACATGTCTGATACATTGCCGCCATTTAAAAAGTGATGAATTATTAATTGAAAACGTCTTTCTCTTTAAATGTGTGTGTTTATGGTCAATAGTGTAAGCAATCTGAATACGTATATTACTTTAGGGACTATGTCTGTTTCTGTATTTCAATGGTGCCCCATTTTTTTCATTTAATTGGGATTCTCATTATCTTATTTTTCCCTTCAGTGGAATTATCTGACAATCTGACATGATTGTAGGCTGACTCCAGTCCTCAAAATTTCTATTACAAAATCTATTCAGAATGGAATAATAATTACTTGGTATTGGCAGAGTAAGTACCCAGAAGAGGATCACTAATACTCTCAGTTCTTGATGATGTTTCATAAAAAGGGATAAATTAACCTCCATCCCAATTCTATTTCTTTAAGATATTGAGGCAGAGGCACAGGATGTAGGTTGTGTCACTTCTCTTTTCTTTTTAACCATTTTCTTTATTAACATGTCTCCAGAAATCCTCTTTCTCTCTTGACCAATGCATTCACTGATTACACATTTTACCCTCTGAAGCCAACTCCGTGGTTTAAATCATTTTAGGCTAGCAAGAAAATTACACAGACAAATTCAGTATCGAGCTGAACTAGATACTTAAATGAAAATAGTTGGAATGATATTCAGAAAACATCCTGTGTAAACAAATGGCAAATACAGTTTTAAGAAAGATTATAAATGCACTGCATTTAAATAATTACATGAAAATGTGTATTTTGAACATGACAGAATAAAACATAAATGGATGTTGAATAAAAGCTCAAAAGCATAGGCAACAAAAGCAAAAATAGACAAATGGGACACATCACATTGAAAAGCTTCTGCACAGCAAAGGAAACAATCAATAGAGTGAAGAGACAACCTACAGAATGGGAGAGGGTATTTGTAAACTATGCAGTTGACAAAGGGTTAATATCAGGACTATCTAAGGAACTCAAACAACCCAGTGCCAATACAAACAAATAATCCCATTTAAAAATGGGCAAATGACCCGAATAAACATTTCCTTAAAAAGACATACAAATAGGCTGGGTGTGGTGGCTCACGCCTGTAATCCCAGCACTTTGGGAGGCCGAGGCGGGTGGATCACGAGGTCAGGAGTTTGAGACCAGCCTGACCAATATGGTGAAACCCCGTCTCTACTAAAATTACAAAAATTAGCCAGGCGTGGTGGTGCACACCTGTAATCCTAGCTAATCTGGAGTCTGAGGTAGGAGAATCACTTGAACCCGGGAGGCAGGCAAAGGTTGCAGTGAGCTGAGATTACACCACTCCACTCCAGCCTGGGTGACAGAGTGAGACTCCATCTCAAAAAAAAAAAAAAAAAAAAAAAAAGACAAAGACATACAAATAGCCAATATGAAAAAATGCTCAACATCACGAATCATTAGAGAAATGCAAATCAAAACCACAACGAGGTATCACTTCACCCCCGTTAGAATAGTTATTACCAAAAAGACAAAAAACAACAAATACTGGTGATGTTGTGGCTAAGGGGGAACTCTAATGCACTGTTGGTAGGAATGTAAATCAGTACAGCCACTATGGAAACAGTGTGGAAGTTTCTCAAAAAACTAAAAATAGAACCACTGTATGATCCAGCAACCCCATTACTGGGTTTATATCCAACGACAATGAAATCATTGGTCAGGTGCGGTGGCTTATGCCTGTAATCTCAGCATTTTGGGAGGCTGAGGCGGGTGGACCACTTGGGGCTGGGAGTTTGAGACCAGCCTGGCCAACATGGTGAAACCCTGTCTCTACTAAAAATACAAAAATTAGCCAGACATGGTAGCACATGCCTGTAATCCCAGTTACTCAGGAGGCCAAGGCAGGACAATTGCTTGAACCCGGGAGGTGGATGTTGTAGTGAGCCGAAATCATGCCACTGCACTCAAGCCTGGGCAACAGAGCAAGACTCCATTTCAAAAAAAAAAAAACAAAAAAACTGAAATCAGCATGGTGACAAGATACTTGCACTCCTATGTTTATTGCAGCACTATTCACAATAGCCAAGATATGAAACCAACCTAAATGTCCATCAACAGATGAATGGATAAAGAAAGTGTTGTATATATATATAATCACATTTAATAATAGTATTCTATTACATATACGTGTATGTACACATACATATATGTATATTACATACTTGTTTTAGAAATACATACGTAATAGACATACATGTCTATTACATATATGTATTTATACATATATGCATATGTATACACACACATATGTAATAGAATACCATTCAGCCATAAAGCAGGATAAGATCCTGCCTGTCATTTGCAGCAACATGGATGAACCAGGAAGTTATTATGTTAAGTGAAATAAGCCAGGCACAATAAAACAATCTCCATATGATCTCACTCATATGTGGAATCTAAAAGAGTTGATTTCATAGAAATAGAGAGTAGAATGGTTACCAGAGACTGAGAAGGGAAGGGGAGAAAGGACAGGACATGGAGAGGTTGGTCAACAGACACAGAGTTACGGTTAGACAGGAAGAATAAGTTCTAGTGTTTTATTACACAGTAGGGTGACTATAGCAAATTAACAATGCAGTGTATATATCAAGATAGCAAGAAGAGATTTTGAATGTTACCACCACAAAGAAATAAATGATCAGTGTTTAAAGTATGGATATGATAACTACCCTGATTTAATCATCATACAACATACACAAGCATTGAAACATCGCACTGTACCCTATAAATATGCACAATTACGTATCAATACAAATAATTAAAAAATAGATATTCACAAGTGAAAAGGCAGCTGTGGAGGCCTTTTCTAATCACAGAAAATTGTGCCTTTTAAAAAACTTTCTTGCACAAGTAACAGCCGTAATTTCTTCAGAATACTTACCATGCATGTTGATTTAATCTAATAGGACAGGCATACTTCTTCTGTATATGGTAGAGTGACCTGGTTTTAAAAACTGTCACATGAATGGCTAGAGTGAAATTATAAAGAGCATGCATTGTAGTGCTTGAGTGCCTGCCTCCAAATTCCAGTTCTGCAATTTACGTGCTGTGTAAATCTTGGCAAGTCACTCAATCATTTTGTACCCCAGCTTCCTCTTATGTAAGCTGGGAATAATAATAGTGCTTGAAAGGGGTAACATGAGAATTCAATGAGTATATTTGTCATGTGCTCAGAACCACATCTGGTACTCTGTACATGAGGTCTAAAAGGCGGGGGGGTGGCCATTATTGTCAAGGACACCCAGTCTTCATTGAGCCCATTAAAGATGCCAGCACAATCTGTCTACCTTGTATGCATCGTATCATTTAATCTTAAAATACCTCTTTAAGGTAGGTTTTTTAAAACTGCATTTTACAAATGAGGAAACTGAGGCTTAGTGGTTAAACACTTGCCCCAGCTTAGTAAATGACCATGCTGGGATCCAGTTCACTGTCCTACCATAATAGGGCTCTAAGGAATTTGCTTAAGAAAATGGCTTATTTTAACATCTGATATCAAATTGAAAAAATAAAGTTATCCAGATTATCATAAAGATGTCTTTTCAGAAATCATGGTAAGATGATAAGAGAAGGTATTTACTTTTACTCAGGTATGTTTCTTGTGTTGTTGCCTGCCCTAGTTTATTAGACCCTTGATATGACAAAAAATATGCATGTAAAATCTAATTAGAAAGTACCCCTTGACTTTGAAACCAGCACATACACAGTTTTCTGAGTCCAATAAAAGAAAATAAGAGGGCTTATTGTGAGGCAACTACAAGTGAAATGACCTTCAATAGGTGCTACTGTACAGAAAAAATGTATCAGTAATTATTCTGAATTTGAGATAATAGAAAACAATGAAAGATAAATGATCTAAACTTTAGTCTCTTCAATATTACATTAAATATCACTATAATATTTGTGTCATATTTTAACATATATGAAAATCATTCATAACGATATGTCTCTAATTGGAGCTAACAATTCCTCATGATAAGCACTACCCTAGTACTTTGTAAGTCATGCTCATAGCATCGATAGTCTTTATTCATATGTGTATATATCCCACAGTGTGTGAGGTCCTACTGTATGTGGGACCCTGTGCTATGTGGGCTGAGAAGACCATGATGAGTAAAACAGACTGCTATGACTCTTGCCAACACAGAGCACATAGTGTAATGAGGAAGAATAATTAAAAGAGTAAAATAGTACATTTTCATTCTAAATCATCTGCTTTTCAGTTAATGGTGACTTTATTCCCCCATAAGAATGTGTGAATATTTATTTTATATTTGTTCACCTAAGGAGGTTACTTGAATTGTTTTGTTAAAATTAAGGCCTATTTTAAAGGTAAATTAAATTTTTCCCAAAAGAAAAAAAAAAGACTTTCCACCTGCAATATGTAATGTTTCCAAACTGTGCTCCTAGATTTAGGTCTTGCAAGGGTTACCCCATTTCACAGTGACACTGACTTGGTTTGCTTTCTAATATTATCTTCTTTGATAGAAATTTTACGATCTTCAAGTTTCTTGAGGTACTCCCTTTCTTTTTAAGATCTTGTATTTTCTTATTTGAAAAATACTTACATTTAGACTGCATCACGCTTCACATCAGTTTTGTTTTCCCTTAAAGCACCATTATGCTTAGCCATTTATTTACCCAAGCCAGCTTAAGGCTCCAAGGGAAGGGCGGCCACAGTGTTGAGTACTGACTCGCTCTCCTCTGTTGTGATTGTACCCAGAGAACTAAGAGCATGCTGAGAACCCAGAGAATTAAGAGCATGCTTCCCTCTATAATGAGGAGGAAGAGGAGACTAGAGTTAGCTGAGAGGTGGAGTGGTGGTGGCGACGGGGGACAGCGGGTGGAAAGGGAGAATGCAAGCAGGTAGCAGGCAAATTTCTTGGGGAGTAGCACTGAGTGTTTCAGCCTTCTCCTAATGACAAACAGCAGTGGCCATGAAGCTGTAAGAATGGCTGAGTCCTATTTCTTGGATATGCAGCAGATGCAGGAATGCCATGGAGCATTCTTTATCTCTACAATATCAGAAATATATATTTGTAATTGGAGCAAAAAAAGCACAACATTTACCAAAGGTAGTTATATTGCTGCCTGACACAATGAAGGATTCTTAGTAAGTGCTTTTATGAGTCAATACTCAGATCAAATGTCTTGAGCCTGTGCAGTTATCAAAAATTTAGTTACATGTCATGCCACTTCCTGAAGAAGATTGTCAATAACAAAAGAGCCATTTAATAATGGTTGCTCTCTTTACA
Source organism: Homo sapiens (assembly GCF_000001405.40). Classification (NCBI taxonomy): domain Eukaryota; kingdom Metazoa; phylum Chordata; class Mammalia; order Primates; family Hominidae; genus Homo; species Homo sapiens. The sequence continues at coordinate 60,160,142 of NC_000018.10, forward strand.
TTGTTTATCTGATTAGTTATGGTTAGTTATGGTGCCTCTCTATATTGAGTGCAACTAGCTCTGTTTATTCCTCTTCCTCCAAGCTAGAAGTATCACCTTCAACAACATTTCTCCAGGATATTCGACCGGGGGACACTGTTGTACATTATAATGAACCAAGGGCACACCAGTGGGAGCTGCTGAGCTATAATACACACTTGCAATGAGGTTATCGAAAAATATCCAATATTAGAAATACATATTGTAATTGGAGCAAAAAAAGCACATTCACCAAAGGTAACTATATTGCTGCCTGACAAAATGAAGGATTCTTAGTAAGTGTTTTTGATGAGTCAATACTCAGATCAAATGTCTTGAGCTGTGCAATTATCAAAAATTTAGTTACATGTCATACCACTTCCTGAAGAGGCAGATTGTCATATAACAAAATAAACATTTAATAATTATATATTTACATATACACCCACATATAATTGTAAATATGAATTACATGTATTTAAATATTTATACATTGTTAGCATTAATTTTTTTTACAAGCAATTCCTATTCGCATCTCATAGAATACCACCTTCTCAGGAAACACATCTTCAGCCATGCTGATACTAAGAAACAGGCAATTGTGTTTATGCTGCTTTCTTGTCTCTGTGATATTAGCTAAACTTACAGTTGAATAAAATTACATGTTGGGGTGAGAATTTGGAAAATTACTTGGTTAAGATGGCCTGAGTTCTAGGCATGGCTCTGCCAGAGGTCAGTGAGAAATTCTACAGGCTATGTCAATGTACTTGCTTGTCCTCCTGACTTTCCTTTCTGGTATAAATTTCCCTAGCAGTGTTCCTTGCTCAAAGAAGCAGTCCCGGGCTGTTCTTTGCCCAGGGATATCTTCCCAAGATGACCAGAAATGGCTTCATGACCTAAGGGTGGACAGCAGTGTTCTATTGTACCCACATCATCATCGTCTCACACGGAAGAGATGAGGCCTGTCATCAATCCATCAGATTACTCTTTTGATAGTGCAAATTGGAATTACAGAAAGGTTTCTTTTTGGAGAAGGGCCGAACGAAACAAATACGCAGAATGTAGGTAGGTATATCTTAAGTAAGATAGAATTTGTCTTGAGTGATTTTTACTGGCTTCCTTTTAGGAATCTTATCTTAGTCTATTTTTTTAAAATAATCAAATGAAATAGTTCTTACTTTTCTTCTTTATTGCTGTGTGAATTTTTAAAAAATACTTTTTCTTAACAGCTGCATGTTTGTCTCGGATATTTTGTATGTTGTGATTATTTTAAGGGAGACAATTTAGACACTTACTATAAAATTATTGGGTAAAAAAAGCCAACATAAAACTGGAAACTTTAAATTGTACCCAGTCTTTTTTTTCTAAAAAATGGAAACCAATAGTCTATAAATGTACATTGTGGTTATTATTCTTTTATAGTTTTCCACTGACTCTTCTTATTGATTCAAAAATATTTCAAGAAGTTATTTTTTAGAGCTACTTTTTGGAGTGATCACCAAAGAAATTGAAGAGATCACCTGTCAGCCATCAACACCCTACTGCCCCTGGATAGGTCTCCCTGCCATTATGTAATTCCCTTGAGGGAGGGAACCTGGAGGAGGATGAGAAGAAAAATAATCAAAGAAACAAAACAAGCATGAATTTAAAAGAAAAGCTTTCTGTCAGCTTTCTTCTTATTTTTCTTCTTCTTTTTCAAACACAGGAGTGATTGAATCACAGCCTGCCCTAATGGTATTTTATTGAGTTTCTAACTGCCAAGTCATGTCTGAGCTGCCAGTTTAAGTTTCAAACTTTTAGAAAAAGAACTGTTCCATATCCAGTCATTTGTTCCTATTCAATTTTGCAAAATAAAGAGATCACTTAAAGAACTCTGGGGAAGAGGATATTTGAGTTTTAGGGCCCAAACCCCTTGGCTTAACTTTCTACCATGTTGTCCATTAAAATATCTGAAGAAGGGGAAATTTTTCACCAAAAATTTATATTAAGAATTGAGCAGATGTGGGGTTCAGATAGGAGTTTTTATGGACAACAATACAGGAAACAGGATTAAGAAATAGCATTGGCCTATTTCTTTATTCTACAGTTCCGAGTCTGAAGTGGCACAGCTTTGATGTTCTGTTTGTCATTCTGTGCTGTGGCACTTTAAAAGTAAGAAAAATCATTAATGTATTACAGCAGTGATTCCTAAACCTTTGCGTGCATCTGAATCACCTGAAGGACTTGTTAAAACACAATTGTTGGGTCCTACTTCCAGAGTTTCTAATGCAGTGGGGTGGGACCTGAGAATTGGCATCTAACAAGTTCTCAAATAATTTTGTTGCTGCTGGTTTGGGGACCAAGTTTTGAGAACTACTTTATTACAAGGTCTCTCTTCTCCATGGCAGCTGAGAGGAAATTAAGGGTGTTATTCTGAACTACCTAAAATTAGGAAGTTAACTGTGGTTAGTGGTTCTCAGTCTTGGGTATTTTTTTATGAATCACTTGAGGAGAATTGTAAAAAATACTGATGTCATTATCTTTGTGATAGAAGTAGGACATTGATAATTTTTGAAAGATCCCTAGGTGTTTCCAATATGTACACAGAGTTGAGAATTCTTCATCATTTCCTAATTAGATATCAAGGATTTTCACCTACTCTAAATGAACAGTGTTGGTAGTACCTGGGCAAACTCTGAGAGGCAGAAGAGGAGAATTAGTGAAAAATCCTCTCACAGTAACTTCTAATGCAAGGCTTAGAGTAAGTATAACTTGATAAATCATGAGTCTCTAACACACACAAACAAATGAAAGATTTTTTTCAGCATATGAAACTTTGATGGAGTCTTTTCCTGTTCTGAGTGAAAAGATGGGGTCGTACACCTAAAAGGAAGCCAAATTTTTCTAAGGCCTTCTATTTTTGGGGGGGAATATGGTAGGCATTCTACCTTATAGCATATCCTCCAGCATGTGAACTGAGAGGTTGACTTGTCCACAAGGAGAGAAATTTGAGAACTCATGCTATATTCTAATACTAAGCTTGGCCAAATTGCATTCTGCTCAAGAATGAGTCAACTGAGAAAATCGGATCAAAGCTCATAAAACAGTCTGCAGCCCAAGAGAAGAACATTTCTCTAAGTGTTCAATAGAACATCTTTCTTGCCAAATAGAATTACTAAATGACAAGGAAAGAAAAAACATTTAAAATACCTGCCTGATGGCCTAATTTGTTTTAGGAAAACATTATTTGTAACAATAAATAGGTCAAGATAAATAGAGACTAGCTTGTGATAAGAAGAAAATGGAAGGAATCAAATGGTTCCAGAAGCAATAATAGAAAAGACATATTGCAGGAAATTGAATTATTTATACCATATCTGTATTTTAATAAATTAGCACTAGAAGAATAATAACAATAAGTTAGTTTAAGCTTTGTGCAGTGGCACTATTGTAGCTACTGAGGTTCCTCCAAGGTGTGATTATTGCTAATTAAAAACATTTCCCAATACCACGGTGTGATGACTTGCATTAGAATGGGCATTGGCAATTTTTGACAGTCTCTACAGAGACCGAATTTAAAAAAAGAAAAAAGAGAATTCATTTTTAACCATAATGTGCAAATACTGTATTTGATGTATCCTGTACTCTGTCACTTGTCTTCGAGTGCCAAGCTTGGGTGCTTGGGACCACAAGGGAAGTGCTGTGGTTGGGAGACACTTGATTATTAACCAGGTCACCTGTCTCAAGTCCTTGCTTGAGTTTCTGCTTTCTTGGCAAGAGGGAAATCTCCAGATTTTTTTTTGTCCTTATTCCTGGGAAATCTCGACATAGAGTCCATTCAAATCTGCCGGCTACTTGCTGTGAACCCTAACCCCTAATCTAGTCCCTCTTAGCTTTGAGGGATCCCACAATCACCAAGAGAAATAGAAGTTTCCAAAATGAGACAGTCAAATTAACAATTACCACAAATGATTCCAAAGTGGAGAGAAATGTTTACTTGGGTGAGTCAATGGTCTTTCTCTCTGTCCCACAAAAGAGAAGGTGCCCATACTACACTGCTGGGATAGGGGAGCCACCAAAGAAAAGAGCTCTGGAGGCTTACTGCCAGTGAATTACACACATGCAGATCTGTGGCCTCTTCTCCTTATGATTGGTGGGGTGGGGGTGGGACCCCAGCAGCCCTATTTCAACAGGAAGCAGGTAGGCACCGATCTTCCTAAGAACCATTAGAACGTCACCCCCAACTGAAAATATAGGCAGATTTCCATGGTGATTTAAGCACTTGAAGGGTAAGTACATATTAAAATGTGCCCCCACAAGATACAGGCCTTTGGAAGTGCTCTGTGTGGATGTACCCTCACTTTCTAACATCAACTCCTAATTTTCTCTCCTACTCTGCCTTAGTATTCCATTTCCTGGAATACTCATCTACGTAAGAGATGGAGATTCTGGCCATCTTTTTTTCCCTGTGCCCTGCAAACTCTATCATCTTTGGCTTAGAACGAATGTTGTGGTAGGCTTTCTTTGGACCATGCTTCTACTGGTTGTCAAATCAGAAGGCTCTTGTATCATGAGGTGGAAGAATATAGTACCAATTCCATTCAATTTCCTCCTCCAGGGACGGCATCAGAAACTTTTCCCTTTGATTAGGGCAAACACAGCTTATCAACTTGAGTATGTTAAGTTTCTTTTTTTTAATTTTATTTTATTATTATTATACTTTAAGTTTTAGGGTACATGTGCACAATGTGCAGGTTGGTTACATATGTATACATGTGCCATGCTGGTGTGCTGCACCCATTAACTCGTCATTTAGCATTAGGTATATCTCCTAAAGCTATCCCTCCCCCCTCCCCCCACCCCACAACTTTGGTTTAAAGCAAGTGACACCAATCAGGCTTGGAAGAGATAGAAACTGGGCAACTCTAAGTCACTTTTTGAAAGAAACTTCTAGATTGTCTCACCTACTTTCACAGAATAAATGATCTCTAAACATTTTCTCTCATTGTTGTGTGACCTCTCGGAGGGTTGAAACTGCCTTTGCAAAAACTATAACTGAGACAATTATTACAGTGAAAGAGATCTGACCTAACTGACTCCATCTTGCTTCTAACCTTCATGCTGTCCTTGTTCATTTTTGGGTGGAGGCTGAACTAACTCTGGGATGAACTTACTTTATGGTTTAGCTTTGAAACGGTGATGGTAACAGCCCTTTCTCAAAACAAACCCCCTTCCTACCTAGGGACTAGACTGCCTTTGCAGGACTAACAAATTAGCCACAAGATTAGAAATTATGGTTTAGGAGTCATGCAGCTGGAGGCTGTAAGATTCTAAACTTCCTCAAATTGCTCCTGGGGATAACGTCACTATTGTAAACCCTAATACCAGCACTTGAGACATTTTGCAGACCCTGCATTCGAAGGATCAGTTGGTACCACCTAAATTGATAAACTGGCTCATTTGGTCTTTTGGCCCCACCCTGCCACCCCCCTACCCAGGAAATGACTTTGCAAGAGGACAGCTTCAACTCCCTGTGATTTCATCTCTGACATGACCAATCAGAACTCCCAACTCACTGGCCCCCTACCTACCAAATTATCCTTAAAAAATCAGATCCCCAAATGCTCGGGAAGACTGATTTCAGTAATAATAAAACTCCGGTCTCCCACACAGCCAGCTTTGCATGAATTACCCTTTCCTCCCAACTCACTGGCCCCCTACCCACCAAATTATCCTTAAAAAATCAGATCCCCAAATGCTCGGGAAGACTGATTTCAGTAATAATAAAACTCCAGTCTCCCACACAGCCAGCTTTGTATGAATTACCCTTTCTCTACTGCAATTCTCTGGTCTTGATAAATCGGCTCTGTCTAGGCAACAGGCAAGATAAACCCATTGGGTGGTTGTAGGGTCCACACCTAAGGAAAGAAACAGTGATCAATTGGCTGAACTTGGATCATGTGGCTACTGTCGATCTAGGTACCAAGAGAAAGGATCTTGTAGAAAGAGCTCTAAGACCACTTTAGCCTTATAATGGTAGCTCAAGGCTCTTTGAATATAGAATTTTATTACGCTTCTGCATGATAAAAATACTTCAGTCTTCATATAGAAAAATGAAAAGCCTGTGGGAAAAAGTAATGGATGCAGTGTAGCCCTAAATTGACAATTGTTCTGTACAAGAACAACTAATTTTATTCCAAAGACAGTGCAGCTTATGTTCATCTGAAAATAGTATATTGATTTTATTGTATAACATTGATTCTACTTCTTATAAAACATAACTCTTTTTTATTGTGCTAAAGAAGTTTTCTCCTTCTTCTTGGCTCCTCTTTCATCACAAAGAGCCTCTTTTTAACCCTTTTATTATCATCTCAGATCGCTTGCAAAATTTCTCAGCTCCTAATCCTTTGATGTTCTCACAGGGAGAGAAAATAGGAAAAGGACAAGAGTGCCAGTGACCTCCTTTGTCCTCAGAGTGAGGTGATGTTCTGCTTAAGGACTGAACTATTCATGTCAGTGGTGTCCTTTTATTGCTTATAGGGATGTACAGATTCATTTCCCAACCATCTCAAAGGTTTTCTCTCCTGTGAACTCCAGTAGCCCTCTGTCTATACTTGTGGTCTTTCCCACCCATCTTCAGACTATTTTATTCTCTGAATTGTTAGTATTTTAGAACCACAGTCAGTCTGATGATAAAGGGCTTTCAAAAAATGGTCCACCTTCCATGAGACCACATATCATCAATTTAAGTATAAAGAGTAAGCATATAATTTATTACCCAAATTAGAACACTTTTGAAAGTAAAAGGAAACAATAGAAATCACATTATGTCATTGGCTTTAAACTAGGATTTCTCACAAAATGTTGAATTTTTTTTGACTTGTGGATATATAACTTACAAGGTTAAGAAAATTTGATATATCTTTCATGAAACCATAGGTTCTCTCAATTTCTCCTGCACATTGAACCTTGCCATATCTGATTGTATTCCTCTATTTTTAGTTGCTTTCTACTTCTTGAATCTGGTTTAGATATACATATATTTCAAGCTTGTTATTTTTTCAGCTGTATCCCTCTATCCACCCTTTCACATCTGTACTTCCCCATCATTTTAATCCTTCATCTACATGAGGGTAGATGGAAAGGTGCATTGAAACATACATGAAAAGACATGGGCTGGGCATGGTGGCTCACACCTGTAATCCATGAACTTTGGTAGGCCACAGTGGGAGAATCATTTGAGGCCAGGAGTTCAAGATCAGCCTGGGAAACAGTGAGACTCTGTCCCTAAGAAAAAATTAAAAATTAGCTGGGTATGTCAATATTCACTTGCAGTCCTAGGTTCTTGGGGTTAGGGGAGTGATGAGGTGGGAGAATCACCTGGGCCCAGGGGTTCAAGGCTGTAGTGAGCTACGATGGCACTATTCACTCTATCTTGGGTGACAGAGTGAGACCTAGTCTTAAAAAAAGAAGACACAGATGTATTTAACTGTGAATTTGAGTTATTTAACCTCATTGGCCTCAATTTCTTCATTTGTTAAAGGAGATGACAGTAGTTGCTTAGCCTGCCTATTTAAAATAACAACACACTGCAAAAAAAAAATCATCATAAAGTTCATATTATGATCATAGCATATATCATAATAACTAATGTTTGTTGAACACTTACAATGTTCCAGGGCAGATCTGGTATTTAACCATATATTAAAGTATAAAACTCACCTACTGATTGGTAGGTAGCCAATGTCCTCTACTTACATGGCCATCCTTGTTCCTTCTCCAGGGCCAAGGGGGAAGGGATTCTAGACCTCCTCTCTAGTCCAGCAACAGAAGAAGTAATGCCTGGCACCTCAGCAGATCCCTAGCACCCCATTCCAGTATTACTTTCAGATTGGTTATTGCCAGACAAATTGGTGCCTCCAAAGTCTTGAATTTTTGGCCTCTTTTTTTTTTTTTTGGATTTCCTCTTCCTCTTTTCTTAGAGGGCTGGCCTATATCTTGAACATGGATTTGGCCTGTCCTTGAAGAGGCCCATTGGGCACTGTCTAGGACTCTTCTACCTGCCAAACCACCAGGTAGGCCACTGGGGCTCTTGTGTGTGGCCCCTACCCTTGAGGGTCCCTGGACCATGATAGTAGATCCGGCACCCAGTAGGCAAACATCTGGTCCCACCTGGCTCTCTGAGGTTGTGGCTGTCTGCTGCTGGCCAGTACTTCCCCTCTTAAGGCTGTCTGTGGGAACTTCACCCATCATTGGATTTAGTCTGTAGGATCCTGGAGGAGACACCTAGTGAACTGGTGAGGAGGCCACAATGGAGTCTCTCTCAGACATAGACAAGGTGCTGCTGGCTCTGCTGACATAGTAGGTATCCCTGCGGCAGGAGTGTCTTAGTCCATTTCTTCTGCTGTAATAAAATACGATCATGAGATGCATAATGTTTTGGTCAACAGACTGCGTATGTGACTGTAGTCCTATAAGATTATAATGGAACTGAAAAATTCCTATCACCTAGCGATGTCATAGCCATCATAATGTCGTAGTGCAATTACTTTATTTTTATAAAAATAAATTCAGTGTAGCCTAAGTGTAGCATGTTTACAAAGCCTACAGTGTTTACAAAGTCTACAGTAGTGTGCAGTAATGTCCTAGGCCTTCAGCTTCGCTCACCACTCACTCACTGTCTCACCCAGAGCAACTTCCAGGCCTGCAAGCTCCATTCGTGGTAAGTGTCTGTACACCTGTAAAGGTGTACTATTTTTTTCTCTCTCATACCTCAGTTTTACTGTATCTTTTCTGTGTTTAGATACACAAATACTTACCATTGTGGTACAGTTGCCTATGGTACTCAGTATAGTAAGATACTGTCCAGATTTGTAGCCCAGGAGGAATAGGCTTTGCCATCGAGCCCAGGTGTGTAGTAGGTTACAGCATTTAGGTTTGTGTAAGTGCACTCTGTGATGTTCACACAACAAGGAAATCACCTAACAACGCATTTCTCAGAATGTATCCCCACACTGTCTTTTTTTTTTTTTTTTTGAAACAGAGTCTCACTCTGTTGCCGAGGCTGGAGTGCAGTGGTGCGATCTTGGCTCACTGCAACCTCCGCCTCCCATGTTCAAGTGATTCTCCTGCCTCAGCCTGAGTAGCTGGGGTTACAGGCATGTGCCACCAGCCCGGCCAACTGTATTTTCATATCTTTAGTAGAGATAGAGTTTCGCCATGTTGGCCAGGCTGGTCTTGAACTCCCGACCTCAGGTGATCTGCCCGCTTTGGCCTCCCAAAGTGCTGGGCTATCACAGGCATGAGCCACCACGCCCGGCCATCCCTACATTGTTAAGTGACATGTGATTGTACCTTAGACCAGGTAATTTATAAAGACCACAGTTTTATTTTTCACAGTTCTAGACACTGAGAAGTTCAAGATCAAGGTGTCTGCAGGTGTGGTTGTCTGGTGAGGGCTTCTCTCTGCTTTTGAGATTGTTCCTTGTGGCTGCATGCTATCCCCTTTTTCATCTTCTTCTTAGTGGGATGAACGCTGTGTCCTTGTGTGTGGCAGAAGTCAGAGGACAAGAGAGTCAAACACTGTGTATCAGGGCCTTCATCCTGTTCATGAGAGAGGAGTTCTCACAGCCTAATCACTTCAAATAAAGGCCCCCCTTCTTAATACTCTCACACTGACCATTAAGTGTCAACAATTTTGGAGGGAACACATTTAAACCATAGTGAAGAGGGAGGACAGGGATAAGTGTGGCCTGTGGGACAACTTCAGGGCTAAAAGATACCCAGGATGTGGGGGACCTTTTCACTATCTTTTGAAGTGTGATTCCATTCAGTGGCACAAGTCCTTTAAAATGCACTGAATGCCTGCTTATACCAACATTCAATACTAACGTTATTAATAAGTTATCAATAGTAAATTATCAAATATATAATTCCCATACACATTTCTGTGTTATATAAAGCGAAGTAATTACTTGTGAGATCATGTCCAATAGTAAGCATTATCAGCTCATAAAGCAACCCTTTAGCCCTTTAACTTAAGTGTTTAAAGAAACTGATTTTTATGGAACAGAGGAATTATTAATAAGATTTTAACATACCTGTTATAGTTAGAGCAGTCTCTGGAATATCTCAAAGATGTTAGCATAATTGAAGTACTGATTTTTTTTTTCATGTCCCTAATTTATTCTTTAAGGGAAAAAGGGACTTCGGAATATTAGGATAGGTATTCTACTAAAAGCATGATTATTGATCACTGTCGTTGAAAATGCACTGTATTAGTAGTAGACATGCACCTGGTTGTGATCTGTTTCTAGTGCTTTCACAACCACTCACTAGTTATGTAACTAGGAAAATGTATGACTAGAAAGCAGTGACACTAGCATTTTCTCTGCTAGTAAAAAATACTAGAATCTCTCTAAACCCTTTTAGTTCTAACATGTATGATTAGATCACATTGTTGTAACTGGAAAGAAAGTTTTAAATACTAGTGAAGGTTTGACTTAAACTTCTCTACCTGATGTTGCTTTTGGTCAACAAGGTGTATAGCAGGCTGTCATCTCTGAGACAGACGAAAGAATCACCAGTATAACATGAACTCTAAAAGAAATAAAATGAATATATTCACCAAAGAAACGTTATCTCAATTTTAAAAATTTTCTTTGTGTTGAAAAATTTTTGACACAGCTGAGAACCAAAGTCGCTGTGACTTATTTTACACAGAACCATTGCAGTGCTAAAACTTGTTATTATTCCAATAAATTAAATGGCAATGTATTGTCTTTTAGGTTAAATACTATGTGCGCTTGCATTGTGACTATTCCATGTGATTTTCATTGTGGCAAATAAGTCACATACTTGCTTGTAAGTTTTTCTTACTACTACTAATAAACATTTGGATGCTCAATTGTGAGTGAATATTATATATATATAATATTCCTTGATTATTTCAATGTATATCACACTCCAAATTAACCACTAAAATATACTTTACCACATAAAATGCAGTACTTACAAAAAGGTAGTACAAGTTGACATGTGCTACCTTTATTAGTCCAAATTTCAAAGGGCTGGATATCTACATGTAAAGTAATGAATTTGAACCCTTGCTTATATCATTTACAGAAATTAACTGAGAATGGCTTAAAGATCTAAATAATGGAGGTAAAACTCTTAGAAGAAAACATATAGGAATAAATCATCATAACCTTGGATTTGGCAATGGTTTCTTGGGTATGACACCAAAAACATAAGCAACAAAAGAAAAAAATAGATAAATTGGACTCGAGTATGAAACTTTTTACATCAAAGGACACTACCAAGAAAGTAAAAAAGAATTGGAGCAAATCTTTGCAAGTCGTTTAGCTGATAAGGATCTAGTATTCAGACTACATAAAGAGTTCCTAGAACTCAATAACAAAGAGAAAATCGAATGCAATAATGGCCCAAGGATTTGAGTACACATTTTCCCAGAGAATATTTACAAATGGCCAAGAAACCCATGAAAATACACTCAACATCATTAGTCATTAGGGAAATACAAATCAAAACCACAATGAGATACCTTTTCATACCCACAAAGATGGCTATGATCAAAAACGGAAAATAAACATTGGTGAGGACATGGAGTGACTAGAACCCTTGACCATTTCCAGCGGGAATGTAAAATGTGCAGCCATTGTGGGAAACAGTTTGTTGGTTCCTCAAAAAGCTAAACATAGAGTTACTATATAACCCAGCAATTCCACTTCTGGGAATATACCTAAAAGATTGAAAACAGGAGCTCAAAAAAAAAATAACTCATACATGAATGTTCATAGCAATAATGTTCATAATGGTCAAAAGGTGAAAACAATACAGATATTCATCAACTGATTAAGGGGTAAACAAAATGTGGTCTATCCATAGAATGAAATATTCTTCAGCCATAAAAGAATGAAGTACTGATATACGTTACAGCATGAATGAGCTTTGATAGTAATAAACTAAATGAAAAAAGCCAGACACAAAAAGCCATGTATTGTATGTTTCTATTTATATGAAATATCCAGAACAGACAAATTCATAATGATATAAAACAGATTACTGATTGCCAGGGGCTGGGGGTGAGGCTGGAGGGAATGGTGAGTGATTGCTTAATGGGTATAAAGTTTCCTTTTGGAGTGATAAAAATGTTCTGGAACTAAATAGTGGTGATGGTTACAAAACACTGTGAATGTATTGTGTGCCACTGAATTATATAAACTTTAAGATGATTACAACAGTGATTTTATGTTTTCTGAATTTTATCGCAATAAAAAAGAAGAAATGAAAGGACTGTTTTAAAAAATAAAGTCTATTTTATAAGTTCAAAATGATCAAGTTAAAAGTCTGAAATTTGAGTTGCAGCTTTAAGTGACCTATGACCCGATGTTTGTGTAAAATTTATCCATAAGTCTCGTCTATCCAATTTCTTCTTATTTGGCATTGTGGTAATCCAGATTTAAATGAAATGAGAAAAGATTATGGAATCCATTGACCTGTAGTGGTATATGAAAAAGTAATTTAATCTTCATATAATTGAATCAAGGAGGCTCAGATATGATGTTTCACTTAGTGAAAATCCCCTCTTGCTAAATTATAAATAGTCAGAGTTTCCACTGTATTTTCTTGTGAACTTCCTGAAAAGCTCTTAGAAGCTACATGGTGGTGGTAGTGGTGATGATGGTGGTGGTGGTCTGTGTATTTTATTATAATTTTTTAGAAGAATTTTCCTAGGTCTATGTAAGGCACCTGAAATTTAACTTTACCATAGAATTTTCAGATCATTACTGGAAGAATGATGCTACTTCCCATGTTGTTTAAATTACGGAAGTGACTATGTTGTCTTAAATATAATTCTAATATTTATTTTACCTCATTCATTCTTTGATTAGTGGATTAGTCCATTCTCATGCTGCTAATAAAGACATACCCAAGACTGAGTAATTTATAAAGGAAAGAGGTTTAATTTACTCACCGTTCTGTAGGGCTGGGGAGGCCTCAGAAAACTTACAATTACGGGGGAAGGGGAAGCAAACATGTCCTTCTTCATAGGGCAGCAGCAAGGAGAAGTGCTGAGCAAAGGGGGAAAAGCCCCTTATAAGACGGTCAGATCTCATGAGAACTCACTATCATGAGAACAGCATAAGGGTAACTGCCCCCATGATTAAATTACCTCCCACCAGGTCCCTCCTATGACATGTGGGTATTATGGGAACTATAATTCAAGATGTGATTTGGGTGGGGACACAGCCAAACCATATCAGTTAGGTAATAGGGCACATTGTACAAATACAAGAGTTGTGAGAAGCCTTACTTCAGAGGACATTCTCCCTCCTGCCACGAGCTCTCATTCATTCAGTTCTCTTCCCCAGATTCTTGAGGACTCTTCTGGAGATTTCAGTGCACGTACAATAAAATAAGTATGTTTTACACAAATGACATCTATTACGTAACAATCTTCTGAACTTTAAACAAATTTAATATATGTTTTTGTAGGTTGTTACATACCTGCTTTTATAGATCTCACTAAAAAAGGGAAGGAATGGCAATGTTATGCTTGAATATTTGTTAAATCTCAAAACATTTAATTTGACTTCAGATATAACTTTTGCTACTTAGTTATTAAGAACAAAGGTCATTATGCTATCCCTGTAATGTTGTCTAACATTTTGGCACCTTTTGCTCTTAAACATTTGTGTTTCTGAATAATTTTTGTGTGATTGTAGTTTGAGATTCGGGCTTTGTCTATATAAAGCCAAAATAAGCACTCAGTTAACAAATGCTCTTTTTTCTGTGATGCTAGCTAGGTAACCCTACCTTTTATTTTAAATGATGGACTTTTATTGCCATTGTGTAGCCCTGGCCTTATATATTTGTTCAAACACTTTTTCCAGGTTTTCATCCTTCCCCTAAGTACACTCTATTTTGCCCTAAACTAATACTCATTTTTGAAAATTTTCATTATAAGTGACATAACTGCTAAAAGAGTCATGCTTTTACTTGAATCCAAATGTTTAATTTTAAGAATATTGGTCAGTAGCCAAAAACCTGTGAAATAGAAAAGTGGCAAAATAACGTGAGCCATTTTTCTCTAAAGAAATTATGCTGAAAGTCAAGGATGACTTAAATTCTTCACAAGGCTCCTAACACACTCTGTAGTTTTATTCACATGTATAAAAAACAAAGCAAAAGAATTATACTTTCTAAGAAAAACCTGACAAAATAACAAAATGCCTGATATTAGTATAATAAATTGATATAAATTAGTATTCAAGAGATTGCACTTCTTCAAGGTATAAATTGACTCCCACAAATAAGAGCCAAAGAGTTGTCTTGAGGCTCTTTTGTTGATTTACATATTAATCTTCCTGTAACTGAATATAATTTAATTTAGCATCATTTAAAAACATATGCAAAATGGCATACTTTATAACTAAATGATTATTTTAAAATGTTTTATTCCAATTGACATAATTCTACGACACTCTTTTGAATGTGGAGAAATCATTTAGTCTTGGTAAAATGCACCAATTTTCTAGCATCATAGTTTAGTTTTTCCCATTTATTATAGTTATTGCTACTGTGCAGAGTCATGCAAATAAAAACAAAAATGAAAGATAATTTTAAACAATAGTAATAGTTAACTTTTATTGAGCATTTGTTATGTGCATGCTACTATAAGGTAAATTTACTATAAGGTAAATTCTGAGATACTGGGCATTAGGACTTTGGCATAGGAATATTGGGCAAATACAACTCCACACATAATAATTGTTAAAGTAAATTAAAATGGAGCTCAGTCCTGAACACTCCTGAGCCCACAAAGCCAGTTAGGTAGGCCTCAGAAGTGACCTTAACCTTGCTCAATTTGCAAACGTAAGCAAAACTTAAGGTACTTCTCATAAATGCCTATGTAAAAGAAAAATAAAACTTAAGGATAACCAATCAAAAGTTACCAAATAGTTCATATAAGTAGGAATTTTCCAGCAGGATAGACTAAATAAGGCAACTATGCGACTATAACCAATCAAATATTTTCTTTGCTTTACATCCATGTTCATCCAATAAAAGCCTTCCCCTTGTGTTCCTTTGCAGAGTCCAAAACCAAGTTTGGTTTAGTGCTTCCTGATTCATGAGTCGCTGTTTGCTCAAACAAACTAAAATTGATTGTGCCTCAGTGTGCCTTTTAACACAACAGTCAACCCAACTCTATAAGACAGCATCTTTGTCTTTTTGGGCTGCCATAACAAACCATAAACTGGGTGGGTGGCTTATAAACAACAGAAATTTATTTTTCATAGTTACGAATGCTGGAAGTCCAAGATCAAGGAAGATTAGGTGTCTGGTGAGGGCCTGCTTTCTGGTTCATAGATGGCACCTTCTTGCTGTGTCCTTACATACTGGAGGGAGCAAGGAAGCTCTCTAGGGTCACTTTTATAAGGGCACTAGTAGATTAAATAAGGTAGCCATGTGACTATAACCAATCAAATTGGTTACAGCCTATCACTTCCCAACACTCACTATCCCCCACCAATACTATCACGCTGGGGGTTAGGATTTCAGCGTGTGAATTTTTTTTGGGGGGGGGTTGGTGCACGAACATTGAGGCTATAGCAGGGAGGTATATTTGTTTTCTCCAATAATTAGACGGGAAAACTAAGGTAGAGAGAGACTCAGTCGCTTGCCCAAGCTAGAGGAAAAAGCAACAGTGCTGGAATTTGAATACAGGCAGTCGAGCTTCAGAGCCTACAGTGTCTCTATTTTATTATTCTTTTAAAGTGCTTCAGGATTTATTTTAATATTTTTTACTTTCGCATTAATACTCAAATGAGTTTATTCTATCTAAGATCAATTTTCCACTTGATCACTGGATTTTTTTTTTAACCTCAAAGTCTTTTGGAGTTTACTTTTTACCACTAACTACATGTTCCTCTTAATGCTATCAAAAATTCATGGCAGTCTTGCTTTGCTTATGATCTTGGTAACAATTTATGTATTTATTTTAGAAGCCTAATTGACTAACTTATCTAAAATATCAAATCAAGTTGATCTAAATTGAATCAAATGTATGAAGTTGCATCAAACCAGTACTCTAGGTCACAACCTACTTGTGCTGTTCTTGAAGACATTTTGAAAAGAAACAAAGAGCAAACACTATACATCTTCTGCTCCTCTACTTGATATGTGAATGAGAATTCACATTATTCTTCCAAGAAGGCAAAAGCTGCTGAGACACACTCTACAAACAGGCAGGACTTTGTGCATGCTGTAGAAATAAACTTCCTCACTCTTGGGAGTTTCAATGTAAAAACTGTCAGGGGATTGGATGGTAGAGTTGGCAGTCGGTCAAAGGATACAAAATTTCAGTTAAGGGGAAAGAATTCAAAAGACCTATTGTTCCACTATTGTGGCTATAGTTAATAACAATGTATTGTATGCTTGGAAATTGCTAAGAGAGTAGATTGTAAGAGTTCTCACACAAAAAAAACAAAACAAAACAAAACAAAAAACCCCAAACGCCCAACCTGTCAAAAGTACAGAGGGGAAGTAATTGATGGAGTTGCTGTTTCAAACACCAGCAGAATATATTAGATAATGAACAGTGGTTTTGTCAGGAAAAGAGGCCACCCCTGCATCCCAAGTTAGAGCTATTGGCTACAACCTCCACATTCCAACCTGCAGAAAGCGGGATGGGAAGGGTTAACACAACCTGGAAGTTGCACAGGTTCCTTTTGCTCACATCTTATTAGCAAAAGCTTTGTCATATGGCTACACCTAGTTGCAGGAGAAGGCAGGAGAATTCTAAGTTGAAAATTTTATTAATAGGAAAGAAGAGAACACGAATATTGAGAGAGGTGAATAGCAACGTCTACCGTAAATATGATCAAAATAGGCCCTGTGGCAATACAATTTCACAATAAAGGAGTGCTGTACTTTGAATGGAAAGAAACAATCTGTCATTTGTAATAAAACGTAGTAAACCTTTCAAGTACACACACCATTTTTTAAAAATGATATAATACATTCAAGTACCCATTACTCATCTTTAAAAATTATTAGTTCTGACATAAGTTCATCTTTCCCCCACTCAAATGTAAGCCCCTTCTCTCCACTGTTTTGGAGCAAGTTCCTGGCATTGTATAATTTTATCCATAAATAGATAAGTATATATTTCCATAAGACTGGTGTATTTTAAAAAACACAATCACAATACCATTGCTGTATTTCTAAAATATTAAAGATAATAATTTAATAAAATCAAATATCTATTCAGTGGTCAAATTTCCCTGATTCGTTTCATAAATGTTTTCTTATTTTTATAGTTATTTGTTCAAATTAGGATCTAAATGAAGTATGCAATTTGGTGGACATAGCTTACCTTTTAACCTGCAAATTGTGCTTTCATTTCTTTTTCTTTTCTCTCAGTTTCTTTTGTTGAAAAATGTTATTTGATATAGAATTTCTTATATTCTGGACTTTTCTGATAGCATTCCTGCAGTGTTTCTCAATGTATTTCTCCCTCCCTTATTTCCATAGATTAGTAGTATATAATATGTGGTTGTTTCTTCATGTATTATTAGCAGTCATTGACAATCATCACCTAGATCCACTAAGCATTTGATATTGCACAGGAGCAATATTCTAATTTTTGTTTTTAATTAGAGACAGGGTCTCACTGTGTCACCCAGGCTGAAGTACAGTGATGTGATCACAGTGTGTCCAGAATTAGTTCCTTCCAGTGGGTTCTTGGTCTCACTGACTTCAAGAATGACGCTGTGGACCCTTGCGGTGAGTGTTAAAGTTCTTAAAGATGGTGTGTCCGGAGTTTGTTCCTTCAGATGTTCAGATGTGTCCAGAGTTTCTTCCTTCTGGTGGGTTCGTGGTCTTGATGACTGCAGGAGTGAAGCCGCACACCTTCGCAGTGAGCGTTACAGCTCTTAAAGGCTGTGTGTCCAGAGTTGTTCGTTCCTCCCAGTGGGTTCGTGGTCTCACTGGCTTCAGGAGTGAAACCGCAGACCTTTGCGGTGAGTGTTACAGCTTACAAAGGTACTGCGGCCCCAAAGAGTAAGCAGCAGCAAGATTGATTGCAAAGGGCAAAAGAACAAAGCTTCCACAGCATGGAAGGGGACCTAGAGGGTTGCGGCTGCTGGCTGCGGTGGCCAGCGTTTATTCCCTCACTTGGCCCTGCCCACATCCTGCTGATTGGTCCATTTTGCAGAGTGCTGATTGGTCCATTTTACAAAGTGCTGATTGGTCCGTTTTTAAAGAGTGCTGATTGGTGTGTTTACAAACCTTTAGCTAACACAGAGTGCTGATTGGTGCATTTACAATCCTTTAGCTAGACAGAAAATTCTCCAAGTCCCCACCCAATTGGTGCGTTTACAAACCTTTAGCTAGACACAGAGCGCTGATTGGTGCATTTACAATCCTTTAACTAGACAGAAAAGTTCTCCAAGTCCCCACCTGACCCAGATGCCCAGCCGGCTTCACCTTTCAACAGCTCACTACCTTCTTGACCTCTTGGGCTCAAATGATACTTTCATCTCAGCCTTCCAAGTAGCTGGACCTACAGGCGTGTGCCACCATGCCTGGCTAATTTTTTTTTACTTTTTATAGAGTCAGGGTTTTGCTATGTTGCATAGGTTGATTTCAAACTCCTGAGCTCAAGTGATCCTCCTGCCTCGGCCTACCAAAGTGTTGAGATTACAGGCGTGAGCCACAGTGCCTAGCTTGGTAACCTAATTCTATCACTCTTCATTTGTTAGCCATAGTGCTTCTATAAAAATACTTCTCTATGTGTTTATATATTCTATATTTAAAATTTATTTAAATATATATATCTTCTATATATTTAAATAAATACAAATATACATAACATATAAATGTATAAATATATATTTATATATTTAAATACATTTTAACTTTATATATTTAAGTATATTAATCTTTTGATTACCCCAAATTATATTCTATATAGAAAAGAGAATAAATTCTTAATTTCCCTTATGTGCCAGCTCAGAAAATAATCAGTTGGTTTCCTAATATTGTCCAAAGGTAATCAATGAGTTTCATTTTTCTTTTGGAATATTATGGACATAGATGTAAATATATTTGATATTTTTAAGTCCATTGTAGATATGCTTATAGATACCCAAATTTTAAACTTTTGCAGGGAAAGAGTCTCTTGTAGAATTACTTCAGAGTCCTATAAAGACCTTCATAACGTGCAGATGCTTCTTGGCTTTTTGATATGACAAAACGTTTCAGGCTTATCTTGTACATTTTCTGTTCTCCATTTAAAAATAAATGAATGAATGGGATCAAACTTTTGTATGTTACTTACTGAAATGCTCTACACATTTCTTATTAAATATCTCATAATGTATTTTTTCTAGAACATTATTTTAATATTTGCATAGTAGTCCCATTGTATGATATAATTTATTTAAATAACTCTATTGTTTATTTCCAGTTCAGAATTATAAATAACACTGAGTGAATACCCATGTGTTAAATATTTGCATGTATCAATACTGATACGATTGCTAAGAAAACAGTATGAACAGCTTAAAGGTTTTTGATACATATTGCCAAAGTATTTTCCAGAATATTTGTGTTAATTTGCATTTCAACCATCGTTAAAAATCTTTGAAAAAATTAAATGTTGGCATACCATTTCACTACACCACATGGATAATTTTCATTTAAAAATTCTGGCCAATGCAATAAACACAAATTTTATTCCTTTTATTACCAGTCAGATGAAATGTTTTCATTATCTTTTGAATAATCAATTTATTCTTTTGTGAATTGTCAATTTATACCTCTCTAGGGTTTTTTTGTACTGGGTTTTTTTATTTCAGTAGTTATTTATGAGCCCTAAATTTATTAACTCTTGGTCCATTTTGTGGTTTGCTAACATTTTTCCCAGTTTTTAATTTGATTTTTAATTTTACTTTTCATAATTTTGACATCCAATAGCTTTAAATGTTCATATATTTATCAATTTTTATCTTTATTATATTAGTCTTTTGTTTGGAACTTAAAAAGATCTCAACCCAACACAATTCCTGATAATTCTTAAACAACTCACTTCAAAGTAACACACTTTCAGTGACATTTACCTTATATTGTCATTGCTTGAAGGCAGCTGTACAAATTTTTCTTTATACTCGATATATTCTTCAACTCAGGATAAAAACCACTCAGAGATGTATAACCCAGATATTTTATGGACAGTTCTAAACAAACTTTCCTTCAAGGCATGACAAATTACACAGAATACCAGTTTCTCTTAATATTTTCTACTGGAATATTTCAAAAGCAAAGGAAAGTGATTGTATACATCCAGCAGAAGTGTCAGCAGAGCCTTAGCCAAGTATAACAAGCAAAATGATTCTTTGAATTTTTATTTTAAAGCATAAACACTTATGAAAAGTTTACCTTTCACTTCCAAAGACATCTGTTTGTTTGTCTTTTAATTAAAAGTCGGGTTTATTGTGGTATGATTTATATACAGAAGAAATTATCCTTTTTAGTTGTATAGTTTCATGAATTTTGACTAACGTATATAGTCATACACATTCACCATAATCCAGACATAGAATATTTTTTTATCATCCCTGGAAGTTCCTTTACACCCTTTTTAAACGGTAACCTATCCTCACCTCCAGCCCTCGGCAACCAGTGGTCTGATTTCTCTCTCTGTGGCTTTGCCTTTATCTGAATGTCACACAGGGACACAAAGAGGGGAACAACAGACACTGGAGCCTACTTGAGGGTGGAAGGTAGGAGGAGGGAGAGGATCAGAAAAAACAACTGTTGGGTACTAGGCTTTGTACCTAAGTACTAATAATCTGTACCACAAGCCCCGTGACATGAGTTCACCTATATAACAAAACTGCACGTGCCTCTGAACATAAAAGTTTAAAGAACAAAACTAAAAAATTTAAAAAAATAAAATCGTTACTCATTAAAAAAAAAGTGAAATCCTATAGTATGTAGCTTTTCATCCAGCTTTTTTCCCCTTAGCATAAATGGTTTTGAGAGTCATCCATGCTGTTGTGTGTATCAGCTGCTTGTTCATTTTTATTGCTGAGTAGCACTCCATTACATAGCTGGTATATCTGCTCCCCATTGACATTTGACTTGTTTCCTGTTTTTAGCTATTATAAACAAAAATACTGTGAGCATTTGTGTACAGGTCTATGATCGGACATATATTTTCATGTGTCTTGGCTAAATGGTAGGGATAACATTATGATTAGTATGACAACAGTTTGTTTAACTTTATACAAAATTGTCAACATATTTTCCAAGTTCCTTCACCATTTTTCATCTCTGTGAGCAATGTGTGAAAGTTTTATTTGTTCCATATTCTTGCCTGTCAGTCAGATTTAGGAGTTTTAGCCATTCCAATAGGTGTGTAGTACCATCTTATTGTGGTTTTAATTTGTACTTTCCCAATAACTAATGATATTGAACATCCTTTTTTTGTGTGTTTATATGTCATCTGTATCTGTTCTTTGTTTAAATATTCTGTCTATTTCTTTTGGGTTGTTTTCTTATTAATAACTTCTGAGGGTTTTTATACATTTAGATATAACTTCTTTATTATATGTATGTTTTGCAAATATTTTATCACATTCTGTGGCTTATATTTCTATTTCTATAATTGTATCGTTCAAAGTGCAGGAGTTGCAAATTTTTTTCAATATACTTCTGATTTTGGAGAACATTCGGATTTACAGAAAAGTTACAGAGAGTTCCTCACCCAGTTTTTACCTGTTGTTAGAACTTTATATTGTCAGGGGACATTTGTTAAACTAGGCAACCAACGCTGGCACATTATTGTTAACTAAAGTTCAGGCTTTGTTTGGAGTACCTCAATAACTTTATTTAACGTTTGTTGTTTACACAATACACTGGTAACAAAGACTCTTAGAACTTACTTGTCTGAAAGTGCTTTATTTTACCTTTAATTCAGAAATTTATTTTCTATCTCAATATAAAATTATTGGTTAACTATTTCTTTCGGATATTGTTCCATTGTCTTCTAGCTGGCAAAGTTTCTAAAAATAAGTTTCTGATAATTCTTTTATTTCTTCCTTTAGGTGATGTAACCTTTTTTCCCCTATTTTTTCACACTGTATCTTACAAGAATTTCTCTTTATTATGCCAGTAGGGGCAGGAGCTGCTGCTAGGGAGGTTTCACCAGCTCCAATTGTGTAGATGCCCCAGATTGTGGGGTTGGCCAGTGTCTTGATAAATGAGATAAAGGGCGGGGGCTGGCAATATTAATCTGTTTACTTCTGTTTTAGAAAAGTGAAGAGTGACTCTGGGATTGCTCAGATGTGGATAATAAATAATTTGTTTCCTGTATTGTTTTTGTCAGTTCTCTAGGTTTCACTTTTAATCTGAGAAAATTTTGTCTTTATGAGGATTGCTAAAGAATCTAAGTTCAAATAAACATTGTACTTTTTCACCTTAAGCTATTCTGTGCTTTTCTACACATTTGATTTTTACTGAGCTGTTGTTCATCAAGGAAAGGAAAACTTATTTAGCTGATGCATGACATTCACCACTAAAATTTTGTTTTCATAATAAAATAATCATTAAGTTTAATTTACCAGTTTTATTTGTCAAAATCTCTTTGTTAATTTGTAAGTCTGATGTTTGAATTGCAATGTTAAAGCCATTTAAATATTGATGAGCTTTACTTTATTCATGTTTTCTTTTAAAGCTCATTTTTTGGGTATATTTTGGAGATTCTTATTGGTTTCTTCTTTAGTGAGCATTTCTTAAGTTCATTAATATTTACTTTAAAATAGATTTTTCATGATTGCTTTTTATTATCCTAGGACAGTAACATAATTATCTCTGTAAGATCATCTCAGTATGTCAGTGGGTGACTTCAAAAACTATTTATAAATTATGATCATAGAGGTTCATTCAATATAGAGCATTAGAAAGGCTCAAGAAATTTAGGAAAATACTGTATGTAGAGCTTTAACTCACCATAATTTTGGTATAATGTGGAAATAATAATAACATATATCTATAATAGCTAAAATAAATAATTCATTTACTATATATTTACCCATTCACTAATTCTTACCCATATCATAACACTCACGATGATAAGAAATAAGAAGACATGTATTAAAAAATTATTCTATCCTCAAAGGGCTTATAGTTTTGACTATGAGATTAAAAAATTATGGTCAATAAGTATTATCATGAAATCAAAAGTGATGAGTTGCATCAGAGACTCACATAGATTTTATATATGTCAGGAAAGGTTAGCTTGTGCTAAGATAACAAACAGCCCCCAAGTCATAATGGCCTGTAATGGCATGTGTTTATTTTTCATGCATATTATGTGCCTGTTCTGGGGCCACTGGAGGCTCTGCTCTGTGTCTCTTTACACTTGCACCCAGCCTAAGGGAGACTCCACCACCTGGAATGTTACTGTTGTGTGCCAGAGGAAACAGCAGGGATAGGGGAAACATGAAAATCCACTGGCTTTTCTAGTCTTCTCTCCACATGCTATTGGTTTAAGACAAGTCAAGTGGGTTACTGATTTTAAGGGCATAAGCAAGTTCTACCTACCATGTTCTTGGAAGCAGGAAAACCAGAATATATGTGAGCATCTTTAATGACTACAACATTATAGAAGTTTAAAGCAGGAGAGATTGTATCCTGATGGAAATGACAAGAAAAGCTTCAGGGGGAAGGTGACATTTAAGTTGGAATATTATTGAGGAGTATCATTTTAGCATCTGGGATTGAGGTAGCTTTGTGAAAATCATGTATCTTGTAAAACTAACTAAATTTTGAAAACAAATGTTACTTGAATATAGTTGACTCTTTTTATGAACCTGTCTCAGCATGATATTACCATTCAAAGAATCATTAGTCCTACATGGAAAAAATATTAAAGACTTTTGTGTGGTGCAAGTATGGGAGATTCTTTTCAGAGAACACATTTTAAAAACTTAGCAATTTTTCTTGTTTTCTCTCTCTCACTCAAAAAGCACAGAACCTGCCTCCAGAAGGTCATTTGCCCGCTCTTTCGGCTGACTCCACGCTGCATCAGGGTGATTCCACATTGTGTTGATTACTCCGCACCTCCCCTCCTCTTTCAGGATTCCAATCTGTTTTCCTGAGCCTGTCTCCCTATTTCAGCGTAAATAAGTCAAGCCTTTCTGGATCTTTTTCAATTCTCCTGGCTATTGGTTTTGTAGATAGTCTCACCAAAACATGCCAAGCCCGGTAGTTCTCAAACAAACACTCCTTTCTTTTGGAAGGTGGGGAGGGGACAAGGACGCGAACACACCTATATTGATATCTTGATGTGTTTTACACAATGTCATGTGTGTGACTGTGCTGTTTTCACAGAAATATGCCTCCTAAGGCTGGATAGAATCTTAGGTTATCAGCTGGTCCTGCTCTTTGCTTTCAAATCATTGAGGCATTATCACTGTCACATTACTGTGAGACCTGAAGAGGTGGTTTGATAGGCTAAGGGTCATGGATTTATGTAATGAATCATGGATAAACTCCCAGTCACTGACATCCTGACGTTTTTACCACACTGCACTATCTGAAATTTTACGCTTTCTGTTTTTTCAGATTGTCATTCTTCAATAATTAAATTTCAATATACATCAATTAATATCTAACTAGCAAACAGCCTGCCAAATTCTGAATCTCTTACTTAAGAGCTAGGGATGAAAAGAGCTGATTTCTATATGGTCATGGTCCCGACCTTCAAGGCATTCACAGTCTAGCGAAGAGGCAAATCTTCACTCCTGTTCTCACACGATTTAGTGAACAGATGATTAGAAGAATAAAGAAAATGGAACAGGAAAACCAAGGACAAGATTCTATCTGAACATGGAGCAATAATAGTCATAAAGGTGGTCTGTCACATTTCTGATATATACAAATAGAGCCCTTGGAGTAGCAATTGGAAGGTCCACTTTCAAGTCATGGTAATGCCACTGTCTCAGCAATGGCACTCTATTTTGTAATCTTAAGCATATCTCATTATTTTTCCATTGTTTAGTTTCTTCATCAGTAAAATGGGAGAGTGTGAAGGTCCTTCCTGAAAGGCCTTCTGTGACATTTTAAATAAAAAGCAATCTATGAGTTTGAATTTGAGATTCTGAGAGATAAGATTGATTTCAGTGACACCCCACAGTTTGTTGACAGCCAGACTAAGAAGTCTTCTCTTTACTCAGGTGCTGCTTCTGAAAAATAATATGATTTTATTAATCAAAAAAGGGCTTTATGAAAGCATGTACTCAAAAACTCTATTAACTGAGTTTAGGATAATTTTTCTTTCTGAAAATACTGCAAATGCATTCTTTAAAAAATATAATAGCTAATGTAGTCAGGCAAAAAAGAAATAAAAGGCATTCAAATTGGAAAAAGATAAACAAAAATGGCTCTGATATGATAGACACTGCAGAAAAGCCAAAACATGTCCGATAAAAGCTCTGGATCAATAAATGAGCTTAGCAAGATCACACGATACATGGTTAATATAAGAATGTCAACTGTATTTCTATATGCTAGCAATGAATAAGTAGAATTTCAAATGTTAAGAAATGCATTTAACAACAGCACAAAAATAGTAATGAATCCAGCAAAATACATGTGTAACCTATATGTTGACATACTGCAATGTGCTGATAAAGGAAATCAAACAAGGCTAAAGAAATGGAGAGATAAGCTGTGTTCATGAATTGAAAGACTCAATATTGTTAAGATGTCAATTCTTAACAAAACTGACAAGCGATATTGATAGAAAAACTGGTGAAATCTGAATAAAGTCCCTTGTTTAGTTACAAAGAGAGCAAAACAAAAATTGGCTCATTTCTTCTAGTTAGAGAAAGTGTACATAATATCAGAATACACATCAATAATAAGTAAACTGCATGATATTTGCTTCAATTATTTAATTGATAGAATAAATTATATAAAGTAAATAGAGATATGTTGTGCTGTGCTTTGTCCCTGATACAGATTCAGCATTCCCATCAAGGCAAATTAATTTCTTGAAGAATCACAGTTAAATTTACTTGTATGAAGCACTAAGTATGCCCAAATTACAAATAAAATACTGAAAACTTATGTAAAAGATGGCATTTTACACCAATAAATAATTGTTGATCTGCAATTCATGTTAAAATGCAATGGTCAAAATATTTAACCTCAGGTACAGTACAATTTGGTGGTTTCATTTTTCCCTTAAGTAATGCATTTAATTGCTCATGGTATATGAAATATTTGTGCAATCAGAAAAAATCAAATAAAAAACAGGACTTCAAAGGACTTAGTTTTCTAATAAAGCAACAAACATAAAAGGTATGGTGTTTCCCTACTGGGTGTTAGAAGCAATGCTTGGCACCTATAGGAGATTAAAAAGTGAGGAGGGTAATTTACAGTCCATTGCCCCCTTCCCCAAATCAAATAGTTATATTTCATATTCTTGCTGAAGGAATAAAGCACGTATATATGAACAAGTAGGAAATGGTCATAAAAACAGATACTAAATACGGTTTCCACTGTACAGATACTTTCTGATAATGATAATACCTACCTTGAGAGTTAATCATGAAAGTTAATTAAATGACATTTATATTAAATCACTACATAAATTGCTATGAGTGTTGCAAATGTTATGTTATTTCATTATTATTAGGAATATTATTATATGAGGGAGTAGCATAATGGAGAAAGAGCATGGACTTTGATGTTACACACACTTGGCAAAGTTTGGCTCTAATGCATGCTAGATGGGTGATTAAAGTTACTTTATTTCTTTGAGCCTCAATTTCCCCCTATGTGAAATGGAATAACTTTTTACCTAATAGGGTTGTACAGATGATGACATGATATGCTCTACGTTTGGTGCTTGTCACTGAATCTTGCATATCGTAATAGAAGTTCAAGGAATGTTAACCTCCTTTCTCTTTCTTGTTATTATAAGTGATTCATTACTAATTTGTTATGAAGACATTGCCATTCCCCTTGTCTGCTTTATTTTTAACCCATTTTCTCAGAGGGTAAACAGGCTAGCTAAACGTAAAGAATCATTAGGGAAATAACCTCAAAATCTTTTTTTCTTTTTTGGACATGAGCAGGATATTTTAAAAAGTAGCCTCTGGGATTTACCCAGCCCCTACATTTCTATTTATCTCTCTACCCTCCTTAGAGTTGTCCCATCCCGGGCTGATGGTGGCTCAGCTACCTTGGCCTTTTCAATGGTGTCTTAGCTGCTGAGGTCCTGCAAATGGTGCTTCCTCATTTTGAGCCTATGGAAACATTTTTAAACTTCTCATTGTAATGATTGCACATTGGGATTAGGGGATAAGGAAAGCAAAAACATATATAAGCCTGCATAAAGAAATTTCTGAAGAATTTTGTCCTGGATAGCAATAGCAAGTCTAGGATTAGGTATGGTGCATGCTTTGTTTGTAAATGTAAAATAAATGAGAAATGAAATTATGCTAGCCAGCGGGTCCTGGCTACAAGAAGACTTTTAATTTCTAAATGTTAGTTAATTCTTCTTCTCTCTAAGATAAAATATTTAAACTAGTGATAATTGGAACTTCACTTCTCTGGCCATGTCTTAGGAACCAATGAAAGATAAGTCAGTTCTTTTGGGAGGCTGAGGCAGGTGGATCACCTGAGATCAGGAGTTTGAGCCAGACTGGCCAAGGTGGCAAAACCTCATCTCTACTAAAAATACAAAAAAATTTAGCTGGGTGTGGTGGCACCTGTAGTCCCAGCTACTTGGGAGGCTGAGGCAGGAGAATCGCTGGAACCGGGGAGGTGGAGTTTGCAGTGAGCCAAGATCGCACCACTGCACTCCAGCCTGGGTGACAGAGCAAGACTCTGTCTCAAAGAAAACCGAAAAAAAAAACAAAACACAAAAAAGGGTAAGTCAGTTCTGATATAACTACTTTTGGATGAGGTGATACAGCTGGGAGCTGGCTTTGCTCCCGTAGATGGGAGCCACAGGATGGTGAGGGATTGCGGTGGGAAGTGGGGAAGAGGGGTTAGGGAGCATGGCTTTCTAAAAGGGGTGAGCCCTGGTCACAAACTGGGGTGGTTGCAATTATTGGTACAAACATCCCCTTTCAGATGATGGCCTGAATATTTTTCCTACTGTTCTCAATCCTCCTCTGAATAAAAATGTTGAATAAAAATCAGGTTTTGTTTTTCCTTAACCTCTAATCCCAGTATGCAATCATTATGATATGGTTTGGCTGTTTCCTTACTCAAATCTCACCTTTAATTGTAATAGTCTCCAGGTGTGATGGGTGGGGCCAGGTGGAGATAATTGAATCACGAGGCAGCTTCCTTCATACTGTTCTTGTGGCAGTGAATAAGTCTCACGAGATCTGATGGTTATATAAATGGGGCTTCCCTTTTACAAGCTCTCTTGGACCTGCAGCTACGTGAGGCATGGCTTTGTTGTTCCTTCTCCTTCTGCCATGATTGTGAGGCCTCCCCAGCCATGTGGAACTGTGAGTCAATTAAACATTTTTCCTTTATAAGTTACCCAGTCTCAGGTATGTCTTCATTAGCAGCATGAGAACAGACTAATACATACTACAATGAGAAATTAAACATTTTTTTACATAGGTTCAAAACAAGGAAGCACTGTGCAGGACCTCAGCAGCTAGAACACCCTTGAAAAGGCCAAGATAGCTGAGCCACATCAGCCTGGGGCAAGACCACTGTTCCCCTCTAAGGAGCGTAGAGAGAGAAATAGAAATGCAGGGGCTGGGAACATCCCAGGGGTGATTTTAAAAAATATCCTGCTTATGTCCAAAAAAAAAATGTATGTCCCCCCCACAAAAAACCAATGACTATTTAGTCTTAGCTAGCCTGTTTACCCTCTGAGAAAATTGGCTAGAAATAAAGCTTCAGACTTCCCTAGAGGTCTCGAAGGAGTCATTAATATTGCATTTTCAGAGTTACATCCGTGCCAGGGGAAAGTATGCCAGGACACTTGGCTAGCTATGCTCTGGGCCAAGATCAGAGAATGAGAATGGGGTTAATCCTTCGTTTCCCAGACCAGTGAGGAGGATCTCTTTTTAAAGCACCCTATGCAGAAAGGGTATAGCTAAATTAGGAAAAACTGAAACATACGATTTTTCTATATTTAAAATAAGCTGTTTTACATCAATTTAGGTCAGAACCCCTCTTCAACACTGAATAACATTCATGTCTAACTGCATGTATGTGCTGTCTCTTGGTTTTGGTGTTTCTCAGAAAGAATCACAGGCAGATGGGAAGCAGGTAGAACATGAGAGAAGCAGACAAGCAAGAATAGAGGGAGAATGTGTGGCTGCCATGCTGCATTTGTGACTTCTAATTTTCTGATTTAATGAAAGATATCAGTGCCCATTTGTTTCATTTGCGTGTCAAAACTGTAACCCCTCTTCCCACGTCAAGGCATCTAAGGGCAAGGAATGTGACTACTGCTGAAATCAGACATCACAAGAACTAGCCTCAACCTTTAAAGCTGAAAGAAACTTTCAGCATTTTCACAAATATCTCTATCAACTTTTTTCTGTAACTAAACTGTGTTTTTCTTAAGCAGCAGCATTTAGTTTTAAAAAGAAACTCATACAGTTAGTTCTATTAATTTTTTTTAAGGTTTGCATTGGGCCTGACAATACAGCAAAAACCTGCTTATTTTCTTTAAAAGGGCGTGCTTGCATTCATTTGTGTAGCACCACTGCCAGCGGGGAGAATTCCAGATGTTTTCCACTTTATTGGTTAAGTGGGTCTGTGAGAGGCAGACACAAATCTACCATTGTTTCTATAGAAAATTGTGCTTCATGTTCCCAACAGCTGATCTGCTGGCAAAGTTTTGATGCCAACAAAATATTGAATTAAAAGGTTTTGTTTATAGTTAAATACTGTATTACTCCATATAGATATGAGAGATGACATGAGAATGACTAGGAATTCAGGCAGGCTGGAATGTCAGCAGAAGTCTTTATGGAGTGTAATGGTTTCATGTGACCCTTGAAGGATAATTGTAGTTTAAAAATATTTACATGATTTAGATGAGAAGCTTGAAGAGGATTTTTTGTTTTGTTTTGTTTTGTTTTTTGCAGCTGGGAGAGACGAGATTAAAGGCAGACAATTAGAATGAACATCTTGTTGAAATTGAGGAAAAACTCACTGACTAGACTGAAAAATTCTTATTTGGAAAAAGAATTTGGGAACAAGCTTTGGGATAGAAGGTTGGGGTTTGGATAGATTATGGTAAGGATTTGCACTCAGAGCGAGTCTGAATTTTTTTTTTTGAGACAGTCTTGCTCTGTCACCCAGGCCGGAGTGCAGTGGCGCAATCTCGCTCACTGCAAGCTCCGCCTACCGGGTTCATGCCATTCTCCTGCCTCAGCCTCCCGAGTAGCTGGGATTACAGGCGCCCGCCACCACGCCCAGCTAATTTTTTGTATTTTTAGTAGAGACGGGATTTCACCGTGTTACCCAGGATGGTCTCGATCTCCTGACATCATGATCCACCCTCCTCGGCCTCCCAAAGTGCTGGGATTACAGGCATGAGCCACCACGCCCGGCCGGAGTCTGAATTTTTTATGTTAAATATGAAATGGTCTGTTTCTGCATAGAGAAGTGACATAAAAATGTGATTAGGAAGAGTAATCATTTTTAAGGTTCTTTCAGGGAAAAATTGGAGAGGGACGAGATTAGTGTCTGATAAATCAACTTATTCTGCAGCTTGGCTTGAGCAGTTCTTTTTTTTTTTTTTTTTTTTTAAACAATTTCAGGGAAAAATCCCTAAAGCAGCCATTACACACCATCCATTTATACCACAAACTCTCAGTTCGGACTCTTGACTTCTGGAAGATTACCTCATCTTTTTTTTTTTTTTTTAATTGAAAAGATAAAAACTGTAAATTATGAACTCCCTCTTTTTTTTTTTTTTTACTACTCTTACTGCAATGTACCTTTTTTTCTTTATGGTCTGAAGGATGTGTATTTTAAATTTTCCCTCCCCTCTCCTCCCTCCCTCCTTCTTTCCCTCCCTCCCTCCCTTGTATCTCTGTCTATCATCTGTCTAATTCATCTCAATCATCTGTTTTCCCTAAGCTCTCTCCTTCACCTGTATGTATTCTAGATATTCTTCCCCACTTTTTGAGGCAATTTTCTTGCTTCCATGTCTCCCTTTAACTCATCTGACAGAGACTGTTTAACTTCTATTTGCCATGTAGTTATAATTTCTTTTGTATCTTTTTAATTCCTGAAGTTCTTGATAATTACTCTATTTTTTCTCACCATTCCTGCCTTCAGTGACTCTAGATAAATCAAAAAGTCATCTCTCTGTTCATCTTATTCTTTATTTTTACTTGACATAAACCAATGCATAATCACTCCTTTTTTGTGTTTTTAAAAATTAGGATTTTTTTGTCAGTTGTTTTGAAAACTCAAAACGTTATCCAGTATGTCTCCCTATATTTAGAGTTATTCTTTGTCAGCTTAAAAAAAAATCCCTCTTATTCTCCCCATGCCCTAACTCTAGCGGTGAGTTCAGTATTCCCAAATCTTCTCTGTCTACATACAGAAGACTTAAGAGATCAGTATGTCCCAAACTAGTTGGAGTAAGGATAATATCAAAGGTAGAAAAAAAAGATAAGCTTTTTGGCTATGGGATAAAATACAAGTAAACGTTAACAGTGGTCCTTCTTGCTTCCCACCTTCTTCCCAAAGTTCCCAAGTCTTAGGAGAAAAAGAAAAATCCCTACCTATGTGTGATGTGGAGTGCAAGTTTTATTTCTCACTAACCCAGGCAGAATGCAGAGTGTACTGATTGTGAAGAGAAGCTGGTGAGTTAGTTGTTTTAGCAGCCAATGATTCCCCAAGGATACTTACTGAGTCCTTTCTGTTCCTGCTGGAGGAAGACGTCATTTCCATGCTGTTAGCATGTGAAACAATAGTGGGGCTGACAACGGAAGTGCCTTCGTTTGTTGGTTAACTGACTTATACTTCTGACTTTAATTGAGAGTGGTCAGGCATTTATTGGCTTAGAAAGCTCACACATAAGGAACTCACATGTCCTCTAAAATGGTAATGTAGCTGCTTTTATTTTTCAAACATAGATTTGACACCTAGACACAAACCATGTCATTATAATCAAATTGCAATAGTCAACTTTATATTTAAGGCATTCAAACTCCCACTAATTTAGTAGATAGTCTGATGACCAAGGAAAGACCATCTCATTACAAAATGGTGTTTACTTAAAAATGTGAACTGCCCAAAAGATATTGTCCCTAAAATTTCTACTGACACTGTCATTCAGCTTTCTCCAGAGAAACAGAACCAATAAGATATATCTCCTATATCACTAGTATATTTAGTTCTTACTTATTTTAGAGATCAAAAAATTGGCTTATGAGATTACAGAGGCTGCGAAGTCCAAAATTTGTAGGACAGGCTGGTAGGCTGAAGATTCAGATAGGAGCTGATGTTTCAGTTTTAAAGCCAAATGTCTTCCTCCCCAGGGGTACCTCAGTCTTGCTTTTAAGGCTTTCCCAACTGATTGAATGAGGCCTACTCCTATTACTGAGAATAATCTTTACCTAAAGTAAACTGAGCGTAGATAACCACATCTACAAAATTCCTTTGCAGCAACATTTAGATTAGTGTTGGATTGAATCACTGGGCACTGTAGTCAAGTTGACACATAAAGCTTACCAGGACACATTTTCCTCAGGAACAAACTCTACTTTCCAATCTTTACATTTCCAAGATTTGAGAATTCTTAATGTTAAACTCGATGTGAAATAATTTGTTGAACGTTCTTGTTTATTTTTTCGTTCCCCAAATGTCTCTAGATTTATTCACTCTAACAGACATATTGTAAGTGACTACTATATACTTGGCACTGGCAAGGTGTAAGGCCACACATACACCGGGAACTGTGCCTGTCTTCCAGGAGCTGTCTACCATCATCCTTGTGTAGGTTCTCCAGCCTGATGTTGAAATTATTGCAATAAAACCATTCATTTGATGTTGCTTCTCCCTTGCCCTCTTCCTTGTGTTGTCTGGCGGGGAATGATTGCATGTCTTAATAGGCTGTCAAAAACCAGTATTAGTTTGTACATGATTGATCTGAATCATAATTCCTTTTTTTTTTTTTGCCTGAGATTTGTCTGTGTAAGTAAACTTGCTACCGAGGAACACATACACAATTACTTAGCAGTTTAAATTCATATTAATATTTATAGCATTTATTCTTGCTGGAATGAACATATAGTTTGTATTCCTACATGTAAGAATATTATTGGAAAAAAGTAAATTTGCATGAACCAATCTAAGAGCAAACATACATCTTCATCTACTTGTTGCTACCCTAGTCTTCCTTAGCTCTCAAAAATCTAGTAGTTAATAAACCCAAAAACACATACACGAGTTAATTTTTTAAATTGGTACATAATATTTGTATGTATTTATGGAGTATCTGTGATATTTTGTTACATGCATAGAATGAATAATGATCAAGTTAGGATATGTATGGTATCCATTCTCTTCAGTATGTATTATTTCTATGTGTTAGGAACATTTCAAGTCCTGTATAATTATTTTGAAATGTGCAATACATTGTTGTCAACTGTAGTCAGTCACCCTATATGACACTTCATCTGGAAATCCTTCCTGATTTAATTCTAAGAATCTGAGTTGCTTTTCACTACAATTTCCTAAGTCCAGACATCAGTGACTTCCTCGGGGGCTAATTTGCAAGGGAAATAATGAGGAACAGCAGGACTCTTAGGAGCTGCAAAGGTAATTTGCTTATTTAACTATTACTAAGGGCAGGAGGAACAGCCAGGCCAAAATGGCCTGTGCTTTTGCATAGCATCATGGCTATTAGAATAGGGGCCTACCATCCCATTTTAAAAAGTGGTGAAGAAATAAAACAGGATAAAAGACAAGTAAAGAAAACCTGAAATTGAGCAGCATCCTTAAGACAGTTATGAAAACAGAATAGTTACTGACATAGAAAAATCCTATTCATTTCATTGCTTTTTCTTTAAAACATTTTCTACTGTGGTAAAATAATATAACAATTTCTGTTCTCCCTTTATTATCTAGCTATTTGGTAATACGGAATGTCTTTGTATATAGAAAATGATAATATAAAAATCATATAGCCAGTCTCTGGTCCCAGATGCTGTTCTTCTCCATCCATTTCTTTTTCTTCTAAGAGATGTGCAGTCCATTAATCTGATATTTAGGAATGGCCTATTGTGAATGTTCACAAGTGATTGTGGTGAATCTAATCTTTATTAGTTTGAAACTCTTTTACATATTATATAATTAGTAAGCATTTATTATTTCTGTATCCTGGTGGATAAATTCAATATTAATTTCTTTGATAGTTACAATGCATTCTTTACAGTGAATAATTCTGGGCAATACGTTCTTTTTCTAGGCACTCTCTATGAAGCAGCTGCAGATTGTATATTATTTTATTAGTCATGGTGACCTTAACTGAGATGAAACATTTCGGAATTTATGTCCTGAACCAAGTAACAGTGTTTAAATTACTTAACTCTCCAATATTTCAAACAATGCAACCATCCATCAAAGCTAAATGTTATTAATATAAAACTAATGCCTTGAGGGAAAAAAGGGAATAGGAGTACTAGGTACGAGACAGTCTTTGGTTCTCTCTTGGCAAGTTTATATGCATATTTTTAAACTTTTAAAAAATTTTGGATCCGGTTTGCTTCAGTGTTTAGAATATTTTAGTTGAAAGTATATATTTTTAAAAATTGTACTCATCTCTACAAAATTAAATGACAGAAGAGCTATTTGGGGGTCATTATACTAGAATAGCAATGGGTACAAATCGCAGAGTTAAGTTGAAAAACTATAGCACATGTTAATTGAGTTTACATAAACTCAATTCTGATCCTGCACCCATTGAATAGGTTCCTTTTTTGGAGTTTCTTCTCTCAGAGTCATCCTAAGCTCCTGGGGCTAAGGAAGGGCCACAGTTTCAGGGAAGCATCTCAGGGCCTTACTGATCACTGATGAGATACCTGCATTTCTCTGCCTGTTGAGTTGGGTTTTGTGGCCCTTCTTGTTGTAAAGCCTGCTCTCATCTTTGGCGAGACTAGGAATCTGGCTGCCCAGCACTGATTCTTACGAGGTGCTCCATAGACCCATACCACTGAGGGCCTCAGGAGGGGATGGGAGTGGAGACAGAGCAGAAGCCCAGATTGCTCCCTGCAGTCAGAGTCCTCCTCCCCTGAGAGCCTCAGACTTGGATTTCTCTGGGGCCCCTGGAGCATCTCTTCACTTCTTGTAGGCTTCAGAGGTACCCACCCTCTCTCCAATAAAATGACTTACAGTCTTTTAAAAAGGCTTTCCAGCTGGGCATGGTGGCTCATGCCTGTAATCCCAGCACTTTGGGAGGCTGAGGCAGGTGGATCACTTGAAGTTAGGAGTTAGAGACCAGCCTGGCCAACATGGCAAAACCCTGTCTCTACTAAAAATACAAAAATTAGGCGGGCGTGGTGGCATTCACCTATAATCCCAGCTACTCGGGAGGCTGAGGCAGGAGAATTGCTTGAACCCAGGAGGTGGAGTTTGCAGTGAGCCGAGATTGTGCCACCGCACTTCAGCCTGGGCAGCAGAGTAAGACTGTCTCAAAAAAAAAAAAAAAAAACTTTCCAAAGACCTAGATATACACATATATATACACATATTTACACATATATTCACATACACACATATATATATATATATATATACACATATATATATATATATTTTTTTTTTTTTTTGAGATGGAGTTTTATTCTTGTTGCCCAGGCCGGAGTGCAATGGCTGATCTCAACTCATCGTAGCCTCGCCTCCTGGGTTCAAGTGATTCTCCTGCCTCAGCCTCCCGAGTAGCTGGGATTACAGGCATGTGCCACCACGCCCAGCTATTTTTTTTTGTATTTTTAGTAGAGACGGGGTTTCACCATGTTAGCCAGGATGGTCTTGATCTCCCAACCTCAGGTGATCCACCCACCTCGGCTTCCCAAAGTGCTGGGATTACAGGCATGAGCCACTGTGCCCGGCCCAAGACCTAGATATTAAAACAAAACAAAACAAAACACACAAAAAAACTGTGTTCCCAGTCACATGCCCTCAGACTCCTCACAGCCAGCGATGGAAGTGAGACCCCCCCCAGTAACAGAGGGGGTGGCGACTGCTGTGGCCACTGGATTTCAGCCTCTTTCCAGCAGCGACTCTAAGAAGCGCAGCGAAACTCAACCGTATCCAATCCAGTTAGTTACTGGCCCAGAATTATAGCTTCCACCTGCACCTTCTAGCCACCATGGCAACCTCCTCTGAAGAAGTTTTGCTGATTGTAAAGAAAGTGCGTCAAAAGAAGCAGGATGGAGCTCTATACCTCATGGCAGAAAGAATTGCTTGGGCACCTGAAGGCAAAAATAGATTTACAGTCAGCCGTATGTATGTAGATGTTAAATGTCAGAAAATTAGTCCAGAAGGCAAAGCTACAATTCAGCATCAGCTGGACCTACATGAAGGAGATACAATTAACTTCCGTTTTCCCAGTGAAAACACAGCAGTGAAAGAGCAAGATGCAGTAAAGGACCTTCAGCAGCTGCTTCCCAAATTCAAGAGGAAAGCAAATAAAGAACTGGAAGAGAAGAACAGAATGCTGCAAGAAGATCCTGTTTTGTTTCAGCTTTATAAAGATCTTGTTGTGAGCCAAGTGATGAGTGCTGAGGAATTCTGGGCCAATCATTTAAATGGGAATGCAACAGAAAATTCTTCCACATCCAATCATAAGCAGGATGTTGGCATTTCTGCTGCATATCTGGCTGATGTCTGGCCCGAAACCGATGGCTGTAACGGTCTGAAATATAATTTAACTTCTGATATCATTGAGTTCATATTTAGGACCTATCCAGCAGTGAAAATGAAATATGCAGAAAGTGTTCCCCACAACATGACAGAGAAGGGATTCTGGACACGTTTTTTCCAGTCCCATTATTTTCACAGGGATTGGCTGAATACAGGGTCAAAGGATCTCTCTGCAGAATGTGCCAAAATAGATGAAAAAGGCCTTAAAACAATGGTTTCATTAGGAGTGAAAAACCCACTACTAGAATTAACAGCTTTGGGAAATAAGCCATTAGATGAGGGCTATGGCATTTCCTCTGTGCCATCTGCTTCCAATTCTAAATCCATAGAAGAGAATAGTAATGCTGCCATCAAGAGATTTAACCATCACAGTGCCATGGTCCTGGCAGCTGGACTCAGGAAACAAGAAGCAGAAAATGAGCAAAATAGCCCAGCAGCATGGATGGAAATTCCAGAGATGCAGACTGCTTTCAGCCAGTAGTCAAAAGGGCGAAATCGCAAGAGTCCAGTGAATATGAAGACTTGGGGAAAGATAATTCTATAAAAATGATTGCACTAAACCTCAAGAAGTCAGGTAGGTATTATCATGGTCTAACTCCAGTCTAGTCACTACAGTATGCAACAATAAGGACATTATTCTTTTCAAAGTATTGGGCAAGAAATGGAAGCTTATATACCCAAGTTAATTGAGGTTCTCTTGAGTAGTGCTGCCAGTAGTACCATCATAGCACTGTCACCTGCAGGGGACCTTATGCAGGGAGGAACACAGCAAACCATAAACCAGATGGTGCCAAGTGATATTCAGTCTGAATTGAAACACTTGTATGTAGCTGTTGGAGAACTTCTATGGCATTTCTGGTCCTACTTTCCTGTTAATACACCATTCCTAGAAGAAAGGGTAGTGAAAATGAAAAGTAATTTGGAACGATTCCAAGTTAAGAAGATCTGCCCATTCCAAGAAAAGATTCGGAGGCAGTATTTAAGCACACATTTGGTAAGTCACATAGAGATACTCCAGGCAGCCTACAAGCTCCACACATGGCAATTATGGTGTCTGATGAAAGAAAATGTGAGGTGGCTATGATGCTCACAGCTTTTGTGAGATTGAGAGAACTAGGACCTGCAGCAACTCTGGAAACCCTGCCTGTCAGACAAGCAGATGACCTCACAGGAGTGATAAGAAACATCTGCTCCATGCTGACTCCCAGGGCTGATGCTATCCTGCTTGCACATTGGGGACTGAAAGTAAAGAAGGGACTAAATGCTGGCGAGGTAAATTAGGGCAGAACCAAATGAGCTAAGTTGCAAATATATACATGTATACACACACATACACATATATATGTAAATGTGTATGTACATATTTTAAAAGACTTTACTGCAGTTACTCAGGAACAGCTTTTCATTCACATTTGAGCTGCTTTCAGAAATTAAAACCACTTTTTTAAAGGGTGCATTGATAAAATCTGAGGTTTTTTGCTTGTTTTCTTCTGTGTAAACTTTTTTTCCTGTGTGGCACAGGGTAGACCTTAAGTATTTCTCCTCCATCCTTTATCCTCCACACTCCATTAGATCCTCAAGTTTTACTGAATTCCAATTATACCTTCCATCAGCAAGTTAAAAAGAGTACTTTAAAGCAAAGGGAGACTGCTGCTCAACCATCAGGAAACAGTTGTCAGAAGACATCATTGGTCCTGTGTTTCCTACAGAAATAAGAAACAATAAATATTGCACTGAATGTTTGTGGTTTGGAGTCCCTGAATAATAAAGAGGGAATATATTTGCAGAAAGTTGCATAGGGTTTTTTATGTAGAATTTTGTCAGAAGACAATGTTGCTGCATGTTTTTCTTTGAGTGCAAATGTACATGGCTAATTTTTAAGATGGCATTGCTTTGAAAAGACGATATTGCATTTTTAAGAGTTTAAAAATCTTATGAGTGAGAAATATAAAAAAATCTTATTTTCACCTCTTTAGAAGAAGTAAAAGATATTTCTCCTATCTCCTTTCCTCTAGTATTTGACTGTTACTGTCCTTGGCAAACCGATAATCATTGCATAGAGACTGAAAAGCTTAAGTGCAAAAAAAAAAAAAATTTTTGTTTCTGGAATTCATGTCATATTTTGTTCCTGATGGGATCAACTGACTGTTTAAGACTTTGGATGTCTTGTATTAAAAATTACACAAAAAAGTGTAACTTTTTATACTTACTCCTTTAACTCTTAAAAAAAAATCTGTGTTCCAAAATCCTGGAGGCAAGAAATTAGAAACTCATGCAACCTTGACGTGAGTGGGGATGTGTGGGAAGCATAATTTATGAATACTAAATTAATTACCATTTTAATATTAATAATTAATGTGTCAACATAGAATCCTGCTAAAAGGTTTTTTTTATCTGCACCTTAAAAGTGCAGGGGTGATTTTGTGGCTTTTCAACACTTCTAATGGCCTTCCTTCAATTTCAGCTTCTTCTTTCCCTGAACATGGCCTGCCATAGGAATCTGAACTGAAGTTAAAACAAGAAAGAATATCTCTTAGTACATTAACCAGATGCCTCTTTTCCAATTAAGGACTGAAGTGGGCATTATAAATGCAAATAACTCAATATACTTGTCATATAGACACGATAAGGCTTACCTGATAAGCATAAAATCCTTGAACCATAGACCCAAGAGAAGACAAAATAAAATGTTTTGATGGCCATAAAGCTGCATGAGAAGAGGATTGTGATGAAAAAACAAATGTGACAGCTCTGTGTAGAGGAGGCTTATGCTGAGGAGGACTGTTTCTGAAT
Organism: Homo sapiens; assembly: GCF_000001405.40. Taxonomy (NCBI): domain Eukaryota; kingdom Metazoa; phylum Chordata; class Mammalia; order Primates; family Hominidae; genus Homo; species Homo sapiens. The sequence goes on from NC_000018.10 coordinate 60,199,901, forward strand.
GTTGGGTTACATGACTTGGAATATTGATGTTTCTGCCTCTTATTTTGCATTCCTTATTAATTCAGAGCATGTTAATGCACTTGTACTCCTTACATTTATACAGACAAAAAAGAGGAAAAAACAAAATAAACCATATGTTAAAAAGTATACCTTCATATATTTTTCAATGATGCAAAGGGAGGTAGAGAATGAACCTTTGGTGAACATTTGCTATGTATTGGGCTCTCGCAAGTAACTTCAAATAACTTATTTAATCCTCACAATGAGGTATGTAGGAGGGATACATATTCCTATGTTACAGAAATGGCAAACAAGGCTCAGGTAGGATTAATAGATACTCCACACCGTATTGACGTTCAAAATGTAACAGTTTGACTTTGCTGTGTACTGAAAGCTTGCAGGTTTTTCAGTCCTGCCCATTCATTTGTAAAGTGAAAAATTGCGAAGTTATAGTGTGTTATGTACTTAACTCAGATGTTCCATACTTAAGTTTAATTTGTTGATTTATAATCCTAGAATGAGACTGAATTTCCCATTCATACCTGGCAGTAAAGATCATAAATATTAGTTGTGGTAGTTCCTAAAAATAGATATTTGGGGAAGACCTACTGAATCAGACCCTCCAGGTGATTCTTAGGATTGTCATCAGCAGACTAGTTTGCCTGTGCTGTGTTGGGTGCCAGGCTGAGTGCTACCAGGCAAGGGCCATGGTTATAATCCTGACACCTAAAGCCTCCCACCCTCACTCACCCAACTGATCCCTATACAGCTTCAATGGGCTAGTAAATGGCCTCATAAATGCTGTCTTAACACACTGAGTTTGCTGTTTCGAGTACGTGAAACCACAAACCTAGAACCTCTAATGTTTAGTTATGAGAAAGAGAATTTCTAGGTGAGTCTAGTGGTTTCCTTTGGGTTTCCTTTAGTTCATTGATCTAACACCACCTCTACCCCAAGAGAATCACCTGCTTCTCATTAGCAGGTGTTCCAAGTGGGAACTCTTTCCTCTCTTTTAAGATCAAGAACAACAGGGTGGGGCTTCCAAAATGGCTATTCTCATAAAAAGGAATGAGTTAATGGCATTTGCAGCGACCTGGATGACATTGGAGACTATTATTCTAAGTGAAGTAATCAGGGATGGAAAACCAGACATCATATGTTCTCACTCGTAAGTGGGAGCTAAGCTGTGAGGATGCAAAGGCATAAGAATGACACATGGACTTTGGGGACTCGGAAAGGGTCGAAAGGGGGTGAGGGACAGAAGACTACAAAAAGGGTGTAGTGTACACTGCTTGAGTGATGGGTGCACCAAAATCTCACTAATCACCACTAAAGAACTTACATAATCAAAAACCTCTGTTCCCCATAACCTATGGAAGTTAAAAAATTAAAGTGATAGTAAGGAATAAAAATGCTTTTTCATGAAAACAAAATGGCATTTCTAAAATCTAAGAACAAAAGGAGGTGGAGGGCTTGGAACAAGAGTATGTAGGAATAAAAGTATCTAGCATATACCATTAATAATGGAGGTATATACCAAAGTTCCATTTCCATTCAGTCCCACTAGATCATTCCCAGGACACGCAGAATTATTCCATTCCATACGCTGCCTACAACTTGAATTTTGAAGGGTGCTTACAACTTTCCTAGATTTCTTTTTTAGCCTAGCTTCCTACACTGTTTTATGACCCTGGGTTAGGAATGTGGTCAGCACCTTTTCACTTGGTGACCAAGACAAAGAGAGTCCTGGGGCCCTGGCTTTCTCACGTTGTGGACGACTCTGGACTGAGGCACATGTCTCATCCCCAGTTGACTTCCATGTGAAAAGTCTCATTCTCCAGGGGTGTGCCAGCCTCTTACATCTAAGATTTGTACTCTCCTTTGCTCAGATGTACAAAAACCTTAAAGGCACTGGAAGTACCATAAGTATAGTGCTATTAGACCCTGGGAGAGGGGAGAAGCATTCCTCCAGGGGTGCCTTCTTCCCTCCTGTTGATTATGGTGGTTTTGCTTCTGATTGTACCCTATGAAAGACCATCTATTCACTCTTTCCTCAGCAGCCTGGCTTCCTCAAGAGAAATTACCCTTGTACTGCTGAGGTTCTGGAATCTAACCTCCACATCGTCCATGAACTCTGAATAGTGCTACTGTCGAACTCCTCATTTAACAAAGCCATTTCTCTGCCTTTTCAAGGCTGTAGAACTAGTCACAGATGGTTTTCAACCGTCTTTCACTTAGGAGGTTTCCAATAAGTTGTCTGAGATTCTCATTAACCCAGTCTTCCCAGATTACTAACAAAGACCACAAAGTTGTGAGCTGTTAGCTGCTGCCCTGGCCCTGTGTTGCTGCACAAGAGAACCTTGCTGCCTCCTGTCCCATTCCTATTGCTTAACACCAAGGAAGGTTGACAGGTCCCAGGACCTTAGGGAACTGTGTTACCATTGTTGCTGCCTCTGCTGCAGCCCTGAGCCCTCCTATGCTGCCTGGTGGCTGTCAGAGCCATGGTCACTAAAGACCAGGGGAACTTTATCCTTTAAGAAATGACCTCTAAGTAAACAGTCACCCAGTTATACATCAGAGAAGTGACGGAGAAGTCCTTACTCCACATAAGTTTAACCTCAAATCAGCTTTGTGCCTGCATGCTCCTTGCTACCCTCTTGTCTGTTGTGGTCTCTCTCATTGCCCATTTGCTTCTACCGTCTAATTTTGCACCCTGGCTGATAAGGCTTCTCTGGTTCTTAGCCCCTGCTTCCCTTCCTTGCTTCTTCCCTATTTCATTAACTACTAAATCAATTTCTTCTATTCTTATTCTTTCAAATCTGTATTCTACACTATGACTGGTACAATTTTTCTGAACTTCAAATTTCCAAGTGTAAGCTCCTGTTCACAATATTTATATGACTCCCTTTTGCCTGCAAGGTGAAGCCAAAGCTCTTTTATGCATTGCACAGAGTCTTCCTGGTCTGGCCCCTCCCTAGTGCCCTGTCCTCTCCCTTCCATGCTAATGTGCGAGCCATCACTTCCTCTTGTGAGTTCTCACCACACATTATTGCCATTGCATGTGTTCTTGTCTCTTCCTAGAATGCCCATCTGTCTCCTGTCTTCCTGAAAACACTGTTCATGATTAAATCCCTGCTGAGGCATTACTTTTTACATGAAGTGCTCCCTGCCTTCCAGACTCCATTAATTGTTTTCTCCACTGTACCACTTGTGAATCTCACAGGCTTTTTGGCTTTTTTTGTGCATTGCATATCACAGTTTTATTTGTTTACAAATATTTTTAAAAGTCTTTTTAAACATCTATTTTGTGGGTACATAGGTGTACATATTTATGGGTACATGAGATGTTTTGATACAGGCAAACAATGCATAATCACATCAGGGTAAATGGGGTATCCATCTCTTCAAGCATTATCCTTTGTGTTATAAACAATTTTTAAAACTCTTTATTTTTAAATTACAATAAATTATTGACTGTAGTCACCCTGTTGTGCTATCAAATACTAGATCTTTTTTATCTAACTATATTTTTATACCAATTAGCCATTCCTCCTTACCCCTCCTGTCACCAACTACCCTTCCCAGCCTCTAGTAGTTATTCTATCTCCATGAGTTCAACTGTTTTAATTTTTAGCTCCCACAAACAAGTGAGAACATGCAAAGTTTGTCTTTCTGTGCCTGGCTTGTTTCACTTAACATAATGACCTCCAGTTCCATCCACATTGTTGGAAATGACAGGATCTCGTTTTACGGCTGAATAGTACTTCGTTGTTTATATTATGTTTACCACATTTTCTTTATTCATCTGTTGATGAACACTTAGGTTGCTTCTAAATCTTGCCTATTGTGAACAGTGCTGCAATAACCTTGGAAGTGCTGATATCTCTTCAATATACTGATTTCCTTTTTTCTTGGTATATACCTAGCAGTGAGATTGCTGGATCATATTACCATGTAATCTATTTTTAGTTTTTTGGGAAACCTCCAAACTTCTCCACAGCGATTGTCCTATTTGGTTGGTACAAAAGTAATCGTGGTTTTTTCCATTAAAAGTAATGTGTCAGCCTCTGCGATGTGTTGGTGAGCATTCAGAGGCATAAGTGAGAGAAGAGGAGTAAGCGTTGCATTTTCTGTTAGTTCTAGTACCCAACATTTAAGGAATTCTGGGGAGTGGTTGTCCAGCCCCATCCACTGCTTAGTATATATTGGCAAGAAGGAAGGAGGAGGTTTTTGCCATTAAAAGTCATGGCAAAAATTGCAGTAACATTTGCATCAACCTAATAATTTAGTCAGCAGTGTGTGCCGGTTCCCTTTTCTCCACATCCTTACCAGCATTTGTTATTGCCTGTCTTTTGGGTAAAAGCCATTTTAACTGGGGTGAGATGACAGCTCATTGCAGTAATATCTGTCTTTCTTATCAGACTTTGTCTATGAAAGTGGAAACTATGTCTACCTCAGCATGGTGCTGAGCAGGCTGTAGACACTGAACTAAACTTCAGTAGCTACTCCGTGTTGAACTGAATCCCAAGAAGAATGCCTGTTTTCCAGCCCTTGCTCTGGGCACTGAAACATCTCTCCTTTCCATTGTGACTTCAAGACCTGACCTCTAGCAGGCAGACCTGTGAGGTATCAATTGGCATTTCTCATTCTAACCCTCCTCCTTCCCTCTTGCCAACATATACTAAGCAGTAGACAGAGCTGGACAACCACTCCCGAGAATTCTTTAGATGTTGGGTACTAGAGCTATTAGAAAGTGAAATGCTTAATCCTCTTCTCTTACTTATGCCAATGAATGGTCACCAACACATCACAGAGACTGACACCACTGCCTTTATTCTCAACTGTTTTCAAATGCTATTATTTTTATGGACATTGTAACTCTATGTGTTTTGTACATCTATTTATGCTTCTCTGTAGATAAATATCCTACTGACAATTTCTGGGCAGAGCATTGCTGTCCATGGGCTTCACAAGGTGGTCTTGTGTTGTAAATCTATTACTTATATAAAAGTGGCTAGGAGGTATTGCAGCAATGTGGTCACTAGGACAGCTGGACTAAGAGCTCTCCTTTCTCTGGGCCCTTGAAGTAAAGCCACATATTTGTCAAGCCGGGTTAGAAGATTCACTGTGACTTTTTAGGGCTGTCTCTTTCCTCCTTTATGGAGTATTCTTAGCCTGTGTTCTTTTCTTTCCTTCTGTTCAAAATTCTGACAGCTCACCTCAAGCTTCACATTGACCTGCCAAATCACCCTAATGTCTACTTTGTGCTTTTGGTAACATCATGAACTCCTAGTTTTACCCTTTGCCTGTCATTTAGTTTCTTAATTTCCCAAAGCCTTTATAGAGACTGATATCACTGCTCAAAGTGTAAGCTCTCACAGATAACACATACAACTTAAAAAGTCTTCAATGCTTAATCCAAGAGAGTGTCTAGTGGTGGGACAGTGTCTAAGGTGGGAATACCTTGTGGGATGGGCAGATGTTGGGCAGCAGTTTTTGTTTTTTTTTGTAGGAAGTAAATTCTAATTACCTTTATATTATGGGGAATAAATCATTTCCCCTAAGCGTGTTTAGTTGTGGTACCAACAGAAAATGACATCATTTGCACATAACAGTGTGCAAACAATAATGATTTAATTTTATTAGTTTTCTTAGAAATGTGGGCAGCCATGTTATTTCATTTGTAGATTTTAGGGGAAAGATTTAGAAACATGTCTTACAAGAAATCTCTAAGTATGATCAACTTTGAAAAGAGAAAGGTCTAAAGCAAGATTTTATTATGGAACAAGATGATCTCTGAAAGGTAGTCATGGAATGAAGGGCGACAGATTCTTAGGGGTTGTTTTAGAAAACTGAGCTGGAACCAATGGTTTACAGTTATATAGAGAAAAAATATAGGCTGTATATATTTTTAAAAAAAGAACAGAAAAAAACTTGGAAGTGGACCAGGTTATCCTGGGGTAGTGAGGACCCCTTTATCTGAAATACTTATGAAGTAGCTGAAAGATTAACAGGGATTCTGAAGATAACTTACCCAAAGCATGTGTTTGGTTGATGTACATGATATCTAAGAGCTTCTATGATTCCATCAATTGTCATTTTAGTTTGGTGTATGTAACATAGCATATATTGATTGCTGATTGGTGGTGAGTTGTCTCATGTTTTATTTGCTAAATCATTTATTTGTAGATGTTTATGAAATCTACCAGTGTTTCTAAAGTTCAATCACCTTAGCGTTAGAGGATATATGAGAAGGAAAAGATGAGTTAGTGGTGACAAGAAACTGGAGAAAACATCATGAGAAAAATAAATAATAACAAATAGATTTTGAAAAGTAAGTGGTGCAAAAACAATGAGTTTTGTTAATTATATATTGACCAAAGGGAATGATGAGAGGAAAAACATTTTTATTTAAAAATTACATTTGTATATTTTATTTTTCAGTTGTCAAAAGTCATCTTCTGTAGAATTTCTACTGTTTGGTCAGCAACTATTATGATGTATCAAACATAAAAATATTGATCAAATGTCCTGGAGAAACAACATACATCTTAGTATACATGGTGAGCTGCACTGATGCATGGTTAGTTACAAGCACAGGTAAAAGAGAGCTTTCCAGAATGCGGGATGATTGAAGTAGGGCCTTTGTCTCTCCTGCTCACATGTGTATTTCTAAAGCCTAGCATAAGGTTTGAGATAGAGAATTGCTCAATAAATGTTTGTTGAACAGATAGGTAACACATGGTGTTCCTGTGTGCACAGGACAATTGAAAGAGCCTCCACTTATCTTTCCATAATTTCCACAGTTTGCACAACATCTTGTCTCCAGCAGAAATATTTTCCCAAGTTCCAGCTTGGGTTCTGCCTTTCCCTTGACTATCCTAATACTCATCGATCTCCTTCTTTGAATTCTTATGATATGCATGGCCTCAATTGTTTCGTTTAAATTTATCATATAGTTAACATTGTCTTATTTCATTGTCTTTGCCATGTTTGTATTGGACCCAGAACTAAATTATCATTGCCCTGTTGCTAATAATATCTTTTTTTTTTCCTGGTAACAGAGGACAGGGCATTGAGTAAATGCTTACTAAACATGTGTTCATTTGATGGCATTAAGAACCTAGAAGTATTTGGCAAAAAGGTAGGCTTACAGAAACCCCCATTCATTTTTTATTTTTATTTTATTTTTTGAAACAGGGTCTCACTCTGTTTCATCCAAGCTGTAGTGCAATGGCACGATCACAGCTCACTGCAACCTCCACCTCCTGGGCTCATGTGATCCTTCTACCTCGTCCTCCCAAGTAGCTGTGACTACAGGCACGTGACACTGCACATACCTGTAGTCAAACTTTAAATTTTTTTGTAGAAATGGGATTTTGCTATGTGGCCCAGGCTGGTCTCAAAGTCCTGCCCTCAAGTGATTCTCCCACCTTAGTTTCCCAAAATGGTGGGATTACAGGTCTGAGACACTGGGCCTGACTAATGCCCATTAATTTAAAACCACCATAGAAAACTTATTACCAGGCTTGCCACAGAGATTTGATGGATCTTTGATGTGAAAAGAGGAGATAAGAGTGGGAAGATGAGAAGAGAAATAATGGTGGGTTCTCCCCAGAAATCCTTTTCTGAAATAAGAGGTAACTTGCCCCCGCCCAATATCCATGGTGTTGATTTCATTCAAAATAAGGTGGCCGAAGTAAGCTTCCCGTCCCAATATCACCCCCAAAAGGCTTGAAGTTGACTGTATTTAGAGTATCTACTCTCCTACCGTAAGACAATTAGAAATCTTGAAGTTTCTTCCAATCCACATTCATCAGTCATTCCAGTGGAAGTGGAGCCTCCTCAGAAGCTGTGTAGCATGGTGGGTGTTAATGACACAGAAGAACAGTGCAAGGCAACAGGCCAAATAAAAAAAGATGATGCTTATGGCCTACTTTGCCTTTGTTAAATCTACTTTAGCCAGTCCCCTCTCTAAGGTCACTTGTGCCACCAGAAGCAAAGAAAGGCCCACTTTTCTAGAGAAAACATACTTCAGTAATTTAATATGCTTTCTATCTAGAGAAAATTCTGTGGCTGTGTCTGTGTTATAGATGCTGCTTTACTGGTTCAAGAATATTTAAAATCATAAAAAGTAGCTTCTTGTGACATATCATTAAGTGACAATAAATCAGGTGGATAAATAGTATGCACAGTATGATTCTAAATGAAACCTTTCTGCACAAACACACCTGCATAATTTATTTATTGTTGTGTATTTTTATTTAGACGAAAGCTGAAAGAACATGCATCAAACTTTAGTATTGATTATCTCTAGTGCTTTTAGTGTTCATCATAAACTTTTCCTGCATTCAGCCCATTTTTTATGTTTTCGCAACCAATAGACAACACTCTTCGCAAGTGGCTTTAGTCAGCAAGAAAACAGGGCTGGGGATAAATCAAAACTACAATTACTCTTGCTTTTTAAATGTAGAAACTGGAGATCAAGCCAGGGTCATCATTACAATGCAATAGGGAACAGGATATTCTAACTCCAGGGCACTCCAAACATGCAATAGATATGAACCAATTCTTTGGGTTTAATAAAGAAAGTAGGAACTGAGGGACATATAACAGAAGCTGTCTAGGAAATAAGTTTGTCTTGGTTTGGAACCAGGGAAGCTGTGGAGATAGAAAATCTTGCTCTACACTTGATATTTTCCTTATCCAGGGAGCTTCAACACTTCATGTGACATGGTAGAAACTTGAAGAATTCATAGGGAGTGATAGAAACTGAACTAGAGGTCACAGCTCTTGGAATGGGGAATGTGAAGGACTTGGGACAGCTCTGAGACCTGGAAGTCACTGGCACAAACAAGTGTGCCCCATAGATGCAGGTCAAGCCCAAATGATGAGAAGGGCTACGCAGACTGCAATAAAGGGGCTGGGTGTTTTTGCTTCCATTCTAGTTCAATCTTCTTTTCAATCCAGGGTTTTTGTGTGCGCGTGTGTGTGTTAACTTCTCACGAGAAGTCATTCACCTTTCATTTGAATATTTCTAAGATTGTTGTTTACTAATGCTAGATATAGCCTGTTATTTTGTTAGCTAGCCCATTAGATACTATTTCTCTTGTGAAAATTCCGCTCATTGCTTCTAATGCCCAGGTAAGTTCTATCTTCCTCCTCACAACCCTTTATGCTCTTGCAGTTGACTTTTTTTGCCCCTTCAACACTCAACTTCAACTTTCTTCTCTCTGGTTTGTGTCTACTGTCAAGACTGTAAGAGCTGAAGTCTTGATTTCCTGGTCTCCCTTGCAATTAGGGGTGCCCTTTGACATAGCTCTTGCCAACGAGATACATGTTGAAATTTATAATATAATCTCTTCCCTTTTCTTCTTCTTCCTGTGAATACAGAGCCCAAGCAGCTATCTGGAAACCACAGAGAAAGGTCATGATAACTTTGAGTTACTAAACCTAAGCAGACAACTGCTTACTTCCAGACTTCTTCATATGAGAACAAATCAACCTCTCTTTGCTTAAGCCACTATAATGAGGTTTTTCTTTTACTTGTAGGCAAACACAGTGGTAACTGATGAAGTTTCATGTTTGATGCCCCAACATTTTCTTATGTACTGTGGATGCTAACAAATCATGTCCCTCATCCCTGACAGGTCTTAGTGCTTTTCTGCTTCTGAGTAAACATACCCTTTTCTCTCTACCTGAAGGCTCTTCTCTCTTGACCAGAGTCTACTTATCCTTCACATCTTTCTTAGATGCAGATCCCCAGCTAACAATATTTTCTTATTTCTTACACTGAACTCCCTGCAGCTTTCTGAAGTGCCTCTCTCTTGCTACTTTCCCAATTCTGCCATAAAGCTTAGTTACTTGTATATTCATCTTCCTTATGCACTCCTGTGTTGAGATTAAAGCTGCTTTGATGCTGACTGTACCTCCTTTCTCTGTATCCTCCTATCTCTAAGTACAGGTTGAGCATCCCTAATTTAAAATCCAAAATCTGAAATGTTCCTTAATCCAAAGTGTTTTGAACACTGACATGACACCACAAGTAGAAAATTTCACACCTGACCTCATGCGATGGGCTGGAGTCAAAATGCAGTCAAGGAGAAAGGGAAACCCTCATATGCTATTGGTGGGAATGCAAATTAGCACAGTCACTGTGGAAAGCAGCATGGAGGTTCCTCAGAAAGCTTTGGTGAGTGTTTAGATTCAGACTAAATACTTGATTATACAAGAAATTTTATTTCCTTATTGTAAAAATGTTATTTAATTTGATTCTTCTGGGAACTAGACAATCTCAAGGGCAAGTCTTCAATATCATCCGAGTTTGATTAAACTGAGTACTCTTTAAAAATCAGGCTGTTTTTCTTGAGCTATTGTAATACTGAGATAAAACATACTTAAGGAGAAGGAGGGGAAGATGGGAAAAGAAGCAAACTGATAATGATACGAGGGGAGAAGTAGCTGCTTCTGCGTTTGGATATGTGCTCACTAAGGTAGAATATTAGAGCTGAACTGATTAGAAAACTCTGCTAATAAATTTTACAGTGAAATGTGTTATGTGGCTTAGGGGCTGAAATCTCCCCAATGCATAGCACTGTTGTTCTGTGAATCCTAATTCATTTCAATATTAATTAAAGTTCATTTGTTACCATTTATCTTAATATTTTAAATCCAAACTTAAACTTTTCAAGAGTTTTATTCAAAAAATAAAAGCAACTAGTACAGGTAGAGAATGAGATATGAAATAAATCAAGCAAATACAATACTGGAAACAAAAACATATAACTAAACCAATAGAGAAGGACTTCCGTTTGCTGTCTAATTATTTTGAATATACATTAAGTTGTGCAAGAATTAAAAGGAAAAGTTAATTTTATTTTACTGCTATCAAAGACATCGGTAGCTGCTATTTTCAAGTTTGACGTATTTATACCTGTCTAAACATGAAATATGAATAAACCATGATCTATAAAAATATAGTTTATCATCTCTTGGTATCAGGTGCTTTTAAAAATATTTTCGATTCTCTAATCAGATGTATAAACACAAACCATTTGAGTCAGTTGAGAAGTATTACATAGAAACATAACCATGTGTCTTCATGGTTTATGTATCTTTAATATATCTAATTTAGGACAATAATGAATATAGATGCGATTGTTGCTTTGGCCTAGAGGAATTCCTCTGATAGAAATAGCCATTGTAACTGCATCTGCATAAAATTAATCTCAGATTTGAGAGACTTGGCTGATTAAAATGTAATCACTGAGAGTTTAGAATACAAATTGTCTGGTTTACTTTAAAAAATAGTTGTAAATATTAACTGTTAAAAATTAACTATAAGGAAAAGGCATTATTTGAAAAGTAAGTAGGTAAAAAAATTTACTGTTTCATAAAATAACCAGGCAGTATTTTTACAGGATTTGAGGAGGTGGTAACCTGAAAAACCAGGTAAATAACACAAGAGGTTACATGACTGTATATAAATAAATGAGGAAAATTCTAGATGCTAAAGTGGCTAACGAGAATTTCAGAGCTCTGTAAAGACTGAGCATTTATAGCTAAACTGTAAACTTCTAAATAAAATGATTACTAAACACACACATTTACACAGACTAATATATTTTATTATGTACATATTTGATATATATTCTTTATCAGCTAATATTTTGAAACTTCAACATGTATACATACATATATGTATATGTATAAATTTATAAATTATATACAAGCTCTGTTATACTGATTTTATAAAAACACAAATAGAGACATTTTAAAAAGTATAGTGTAAAAATGGCAAAACCCCTGGTATTTAACTTTTCTTATTCATTTATGGTACAAAAATGATTTTTCTCCTACTCAGATCTTATTAGTGGTGTTCTGGTGGCTTCTTAAATGTCTTGCTCATACTGAGTCTCATACAACCATAGGCTACTTTTTTGGAGGCTGAATATGCATTTAGTGTGAAGCTTATCACTGGTTCTGCTGGAGGCGAATTTATACTATAGATAGTCTTCTTCTTATCAGAGATTGAGGATCTCACCTTTTCTCATTGGATGATTATAATTTTACCTTTGAATTGGGGTTCCGGGATGGTAAAAATAGCTTATTTTTTCAGTAGGAGAAATATCAGCTCTTATATTTTCTTGTTGATCACATGTACCTTACATTATAAATACTATCAACAACCTCTGCTTTCTTTGTATGCAGGTTTTTAAGCTGTGTGTCCATTTTGTTAGAGTTGAGTTAAGATAGTTCATATAATCTATAAATACTTTTTCCAGAAGTCTACTTTGTAATATTTTGATGACAAATAAGGAGTAAAAACTGCAACTTCAGTGAGTCTTCTGGTAGAACTCCACTCCTCCCTCAGATTTCTCCTGTGTCCTCCTTGACATTTGACTATATGATATATATCAATCCATATAGTAAATGTTAGTAAGGCCTAAATACATTCTTAATTTTCAAGAAGTCTACTACTAAAGCATTACTTTTCCCCATGGCCCAGTGGATTATCTTGGCACATCCTGGGATGAACACACTCATGGCACTTTGGAGGCTCTGATATGTACGTGTAATGGTAAGTAAATTAGCTTTCTGGGGAAAGACAGCTATTTGGGCTGCCTGTATGCAAATAGCATCTTTAATTTATCCTTTTTTTCTAAATAGAGACACACAAATATTTGTGAACTCAGGAGTCTTGTCTTGAGTAAGCACAGTACATCGAACACACTGACCATTGCTCAGACGAATGCTCTATATTAACACAGAGGACAAGGAAAGATCGTGATATGGTTTGGCTCTGTGTTCCCATTGAAATCTCATGTCAAATTGTAATCACCACATATTAGGTGAGGGAGCTGGTGGGAGGTGATTGAATCATGGGGGCAGACTTCCCCTTTGCTGTTCTCGCAATAGCGAACAAGTTCTCATGAAATCTGGTTGTTTAAAAGTGTGTAGTGCATCCCCCTTCGCCCTCTCTCTTCTGCCACCACGTGAAGGTACTTGCTTCCCTTTGTTCTTCTGCTATGATTGTAAGTTTCCTGAGGCCTCCCAAGCCATGCCTCCTGTACAGCCTGCAGAACTGTGAATCAATTAAACTTTTCTTCATAAATTACCCAGTCTCAGGTAGTTCTTTATAGCAGTGAGAGAACAGACTAATACAGCAATGATTGCTTGGCTGGATTCATACTTGGATACTCTGTGCTCTTCTATTTAGTAGAGTTCTACCACTCTATTTAGTTTAATTCTCTCTCCTTGGTTATCTCCAGTTCTGTACTTATTAGATTCAAAGGCAGATAGAATCTTGAAGTTTAAAGGCATCTAAGATAACTCTAATCTAACTCCTATTCAAAGCATAAATCCTCCCAACGAATGCCATAAAGATGGATATCCAGTTTCTGGGTTTCCACTTATAGCACGAGCTTCTTATTTCTTCAGTAAGTTTGGTGTAATGGCTCCCATTATGACTTCTAATCCTCTTAAGGCCAAATATTCCCAGTTCTTTAGTTGGGACAAAGATAACAAAAAGTTGCCAGTATACTGCCGTTTCTCTTTTAGTATCCTGTGGTTTACTTTGCCGGTATTTATAAAATAAATATGTGTGAAATAGACAGGAAATAATAACCAAAAATATTCCAAGGTTTTTGTACAGAATAAAGTGATTCTGTTAGGTCCTTTGATTTGGTCATTGTACTGCTATTAATGTAGACTAAAAACACACTTTTTTTTTGTAGGAGACAGAATTTGATGATTGTTCAAAATCCATTAATCCACCAAATATGTCTACTTTTCCTATTTTAAGAATTTTTATAAGCATTCCTGCTAAGAGGCATCCCTTTCTATTTGAGCATCTGACTTTTGGAAAGAATGAAATCTCAGAGCTTTTTTGTTTGTATCTGTCACTGTGGTCTAATTATGTGTTTTTGAATTTTTATTCTGGTCATGTGATGAATTAGCTCTATTTAGTTTTGTATCTGATTAGTTTTGTACCATGTTTATAACTTTTCCCCTCTGATTTGACTTTAAGTTTTCTTGTAAACAGAGACCTTAAATTATGCATATTTGGCCAGGTGCAATGGCTCATGCCTGTAATTCCAGCACTTTGGGAGGCTGAAGTGGGCAGATCACCTGAGGTCAGGAGTTCAAGACCAGCCTGGCCAACATGGTGAAACCCTGTCTCTACTAAACATACAAATTAGCCGGCCATGGTGGCATGTGCCTATAATCCCAGCTACTTGGGAGGCTGAGGCAGGAGAATCACTGAACCCAGGAGCTGGAGGTTGCAGAGAGCTGGGATCGCACCACTGTACTCCAGCCTGGTAGAGAGAACAAGACTCTCTATTAAAAAAAAAAAAAAGCCTGTTTGCCAAGACACATAGTATAATATTTTGTAATATTAGATTCTTAATTTGTCCCGATTTGGTTGTCAAAGTGATACAAAATTATGTTGCAGCAGGATTATCCTTTACTAATTTGAAATCAGGTAAGGCTGGCTGGCCACATGTTGCTAATAAAAGAGGGAAGTGTTGAAAGAGAACATGGGCAGCAGTTGTTACGATGACAGCATAGAATTGTGAAGAATTAAAGTCCAAGATGTAGGTAAAATTCCAGTCTGGAACAGCTAGTTCTGGTGGACTAGCATATTCTGAAAAAGACCTGTCTACATGGTCTTTGTACAGAGAATATTTGAATATTAGACTCATTGGACTTCTGTGCCTATGAGTACTTTCTTTTTTTCCTGTAGCATCTCTAACCCAAAGACTAGCCTATGCAGATATCACTTATGCTTAGAATTGCTGAAGAAGGGCTTATTCCCCAACACCATTGCCCACACATACATACAACTCTTACGCCTCCCTTGATATCTGCTAAGACACTCTATGGGCCTGGTGATAACATGGGTTTTGTTAGCTGTTTGAACCTTAGAGTGGATTAAATTGAGGTAGGTTTTCATTGATGAATCCCTAATTGTCCATGGGAATGCCACAGAGAAGGTGTGTATTATGGGAGTTTGGAGCCTCTCTAGCCCAATAATTGTGGTATTAATCTTTCTTCCTGGGGTCATCCTACCTATTAGAAACTTCCAGACTGATTATGAGGCCTGGGTAATCACTTCCTGCCTCTGTTTCAGAAGGGCACTTGAAGCTTTAAAAAAGTAAAAAGTTGGTCAGACCTCATCAGAAACGTAAGCATAAACCTTTTCCAAATGTTTCCAATAAACAACAGCAACAAAATGATAGAAAATGTAACATTATTCTACTTACAGAAATGGTTTTCAGAAAAATGTAGCTTTGTGTCTGCCTGTCTGTCATGCCAGGATTTACTGGGTGCCACCAGAGTTGTGGTGATCAAGGGCCAAACAGGCTGATCTTAGATTTGTTGCAGAAAGGTCAGGTTCAAATAATGTGAAGGGAGAGAAATCTGGGATTTTCTCTACAGAATCGCCACATAAGGCAATTCGGACTTACTTGATCATTCATCTTTTTGTCATTGCCAGGAACTGAGAGACAGTATTGGTCTGCTGTTGCTAGGAAGTCTGCCTACCGGTCTAAAATCTCAAAAATGTGGCAATCTTCTGTTCTGAGACAATATTATAATACTCCAGATTTGGTCAATACAGGTCATGTCTTAATTCTGTTGTCATTAGTTCCCGTTTGTTAAATGTTTACAGCGTGGCAGGTATACCAAGCACAGTTTCAGCAGAAACTGAGACCACAGGGTAGAGCTCATACATCCTCAAGACTCAGCTGCAGTCCCCAAAGTCCCCACACCATTTGACCAGTAGGGCTCCATTCTCTGAATTACGTGCTTCTTACTGTTGACATCACCATCCTGAAAAAGTGTTGTATTTATTAAGCTCCTACCAGGTACCAAGTGTTGTCCCAACTAAACAGATTATTTCATCTACTACCGTGAGTTAGCTACCATTATTATCACAAAACTATCATTATCACCATCTGAGGTTATCCTGGCCCAGAGGTATCAGGTCGCCTGTCCACACCCATATAGCTATTAGGTGGCAGAACCTGGAACAAAGTGAGTCTTCATGCAGCTCATGCTCCTTGCCATTCTGCTCCTACAAGTGTGCATAGGAACCTGGTGAAAAGAAACCATGACTAGGGAGATGTTTACTTCTAAAATGTATTTTAAACTTTTATGTGAAATATCCAAACACATTGTTGTGATAGTTGTTATGGCATAACAATTATTCAACTGCCTAAGAACTGTCATGGTTTAGCCCAAATCCTAGCAAGTGGTTAGGGAGATCAGCATGCAAAGCATGAATGGGTGATGTAAGACTTGAAGTTGAGAATTGATTCAGAGGGTTGCTGACTGTATAACCTTTGAAATAATGTATTCCTATATTTTATAATGCCTGTCAATGTTAAGAATATTGTCTTACAAGCTAACATATTTGTTTTGTTAATAAGTTTTTTTCTTGTCTATGCTCGTGGATTCATTTTGTGTCAGCATACTAAAAAGTTTTACCATGTACTGCAGTCAAATTAATTCAGAAAACATTAGTCTGTAACATATATTCTCACACAGGATTATTCATCAACCAACAATTATGAACTTAGAATCTAATATGTATTTATAGCTACACTAGATACACAGGAAGGTAAAAGATTTCCTATTTTGTTGGGAGCAGCAAATATTGTTCTCCACTTGTCTTTTACCCATACAATTTTCCCTGCTTTTGGAGTACAAGAATAGTATCTCCTACTGATTTATATTCCATAGCAATGGAGAATATACTATTGGAGATACAGTGAACATACAATAAGGATATTCTAATAAGAAGCTAAAATAAACAGAAATCAATCTATTTGCTTTTTAAAATTGCCAACCATTTATTCAGTGTGACTATGAAAATGAATTTTCAGCCACATTGAAATATTTTAATTAAGGCTCTGTCCTCCCTCCAGCCAGGTTGATAGTTCTGCCTAAATTGACTGAATCCAGTTAATCATGTATAGCCGCAGTTGGTGGCATTTTAATTTAGAATTACTTTGTAGAATTTGAATAATTTCTCACTAAGATTTGTACCCTGACTACTTAATTGCTTTTTACTGTTATCACGTCTTCTACCCTAACAGAGAATGAGAATCTTAAAAAATAAAGTACCTGTGGTTTGCTTTTTGCATTTGCGGTACTGATGAATTTTGTAGAATGCTTTTCACTCTTTCTTGTCAAAGGATATATTATAACTTAATGAATCCTTATTAAAATCTCAGCATGTCACATTACAGTGATAAAGGAGAAGAATAGTAAGAGTGAAGATTTGAGGGATGGAGAACAGAGAGAACAGAGCTGGTTTCTAAAATAGTTCCATGCTGGTCAGGTCATTGGAAGAGGCTTCCTGTTCTTTTATAAACATTCTAACATGGAGACTGGCAAAGCAGAGTTTTTGCGAGAAAAGAACTGATTTTAAAAAGGTGGCTTCTTAGATTGATGTGTTTTAACTTTGTCTGCTGAATCTAAAGAATAAGGAGAGATCATCGCAAAGTAAATGGAATTGGATATAGTTCTCTGAATTACTTGGGGTTAGTCCAGATTATTTCGGTTCTAAGCAACAGATACTGATACTGACTCTTACCAAACAAAGCATGAGCAAACAAAGATTTATCAGAAGGGTGCTTGTTAGTACCTGTATTCAAAGGGAGAACTAGTCAAACCTCAAAGGGGCAAGGCCAACCAGGACCAACCTAGCAGGGCAAGCATGTCTCCACACTGCCTATCTTCAGATGAGCATTTTTTTCCTTTAGGCAAGTTTTTCCAGGTGGTAGTGGGAATGACCAGGAGCAGCTCATGAGCTACATCTGTGATTCAGAGAGGATGGGACTCTTTCCCCAGCTCAGACTCAAACACTCCTCGAAGAGACTCTGACTGGCTTAGCTTTGGTCATATGTGCCTCCTTCATGGAGAACTCAGAGGGTTGTGGCTAAAAGCACAGGCTCTGGAGCTGGAGCACCTGCTTCCTACCTCTGTGGTCTTGGAAATGTTACTTAACCACTCTGCACTTCAATTTCTTTATCTGTAATATGGTGTTAATCATAAGCTTTTAAAATGAGGGAAATTTGTAGACCTGGGCAAAAGAGGTTCCTGTTCAGGTCTTACACTGAAGACGGTTATGATGGGCTGCATTGTGTCTCCTTCAAATTCATATGATGAAACCCTAAATCTTCCTACTTCAGAATGTAACTTTAACTGGAGACAGGGTCTTTAAAGAGGTGATTAGATTAAAATAAAGCTGTTAGGTTGAGCCCTAATCCAATTTGACTGGTGTCCTTTTAAGAAGAGGAAATCTGGACCCCTGAAGAAATGCCAAGGATGTGCAGGCATCAGGGAAAGATCGTGTTAGGACAAAGGGAAAACAGTTATCACAAGCCAAGAAGGGAGGCCTGAGAAAGAAAGCAACACTGTTGACTGACACCTCAACCTCAGACCTATGCCCTCCAGAACTATAAGAAAAAATGTCTGTTGTTTAAATTACATACGATATGGTTTGGCTCTGTGTCCCTACCCAAATCTCATTTTGAGCTCTAATCCCCATGTGTAGAGGGAGGGAGGGGGTTGATTGAATCATGGGGGTGGGCTCCCCCCATGCTGTTCTCATGATAGTGAGTTCTTACAAGATCTGATGATTTTAATAAATGGTAGCTTTTCCTGCACTCATATGCTCTGTCTCTCTTGCTGCCTTGTAAGATGTACCTGGTTTGCCCTCTGCCATGATTGTAAGTTTCCTGAAGCCTCCCCAGCCATGTGGAACTGTGAGTCAATGAAAACTCTTTCCTTTGTAAATTACCCAGTCTTGAGTTTCTTTACAGCAGTGTGAAAACAGATTAACACACCTAGTCTGAGGTATTTAGTCATGGGAATCCTAACAAGATAATACAAGAGCTTTGCAAATATCGAGCTTTGAAACTCTCTGGATTTTTGTTTTTAGTCTTACAGAAAGGCTTTGAAACATCAATAACCAAATGGGCAAGTGAGAATTAGGGGAGAGGACCCAAACACTCAGGGGAGTGGGCAGAGCACTAAGTGCCGGGGAGGGGCTATGCACAGCCTCTGCTTTGAGAAACCAGGAAGGCTTCTCTTGCTTTGCCTTGGATGCCCCAAACGAGGTGGCTGAGCAGACCAGGTTCCCCAGATAATAGCACCACCTCCTCCTTCCCTTCTGCTAGGGTGGGAGAAGGTTTGGGGAGGCTTTTAGAGTGGTTTGAAAATCCTGAATGGGAAGTGAGATATTAGAGAGGAGTTTGTGCACTCCTGTTCCCTGGGGGCACGTTTAGTCCCTAATTTGGTTATGGGTAAGTCCTTTCATGTTAGGCATAGGGTTTATTTATAACATTAAAATTAGACATAAAAAATGTAGCCTCCATTTTTATTCTCGCCTGGGACCTCACAAATAACTAAGGATGAGTCTGAATGAATTAATACATGTTAGAACAAGGCTTGGCCCTTAAAAGCATTTGAGAATTTTTATTTTATCATGATATTTGGACCAATTCCTGCGGCAGGGTTTGAGGTCTATGATGGCCACATCTTCAGTCATCTATTCTGCTCTATGGTACAGAAGTTGATTACTATAATTAGCAACCCTCATCTGAACTATATGGATTATAGAATACTTTTCTATAGGAATGGAAAAGCTCTTTTTAGAAAATGAAATTTTAATTTTAGAAAATGACATTATTCCCTAAAATAAGGAGTTTATATATTTTTCTCTTTGATGTATAGAAATGATTTTGATTTTATATTTACTTTATTCCAATTTTATATGGAATTTTAATAAGCACCTTAAGGCAATTTGCAGCCTCAAAATTTAAATTTAACATTATAAATGTTGTGCTTGAAACCCAAATTTTAAGACACTAGGGAAGATGAGATAAAATAAATTATCCAATTTATGTAATTGCACTCCCTCATTTTCATAGAACAACATGTTTTTAAATAGAGAAAAAATGTTCTATAATCTAGGTTAAAGTCCCGGAAGTATCTTTACCACCTTAAACTTCTGGGGAAGAAAATCTGCAGAAGAACTTTTGAGAAAGGAGAAGAAAGCTATTATTTCTGATAAAAGGAGTAGGAACGTAGAAAACATTTTGTATCATTAACATTCACCTCTTTCACTGTATTGCAGACTGTTACCCTGAATTTCCAAACAATAAATTCATTCCAGCCAAATCACTAAGACACCTAGTGGATGGGTTGGGGGAGAGCTGTATGACATTTAAATTTGGCCTGCAGTGATATAAAACGTGAAACATAAGTAATAAATTATAGATTGGATTTAGTAATTTATGAGAAGCATTTTATTTTCCTTTTCCACCTTGATTTTCTTTTATTATACTTTAAGTTTTAGGGTACATGTGCACAACGTGCAGTTTTGTTACATATGTATACATGTGCCATGCTGGTGTGCTGCACCCATTAACTTGTCATTTAACATTAGGTATATCTCCTAATGCTATCCCTCCCCCTCCCCGACCCCACAACAGGCCCCGGTGGGTGATGTTCCCCTCAAAAGCACTTTATTTTATATGAAAAGAAAGTACTCTCTCTTTTCACCTGTGTCAAAATTGCCTTACAAAAGATCTTTCACACTTTAATCCAACATTTTACTTTTTAGGTAGACTTTTGAAACTTACTCAACTGCAAGCAATATCATTTTATTTTTTTAAATATTGATATGTAATATTTGTACATATTATGAAATACATGAGATATTTTGTTACATGCATAGAATGTGTAATGATTAATTCAGGGTATTTGGGGTATCCATGACCTCCAGTATTTATCATGTCTATATGCTGGGAACATTGCAAGTCCTCTCTTTTAGCTATTTTGAAAGACACAATACATTATTATTAACTAGAGTCACCCTACTCTGCTGTAGACCATTAGAACTTATTCCTTCTATCTAACTGTACATTTGTACCCATTAACCTGTTTCTCTTCATCCCTTAACCCACTGACACACCCTTCCCAGTCTTTGGTCTCTATTGTTCTACTCTCCTACATGAGATCGATTTTTTTTTTTATAGCTTCGACGTATGAGTGAGAACATGCATTATTTGTCCTTCTGTACCTGGCTTATTTTACATTACATAATGACATCTAGTTACATTTATGTTGCTGAAAATGGCAATGATTTTATTCTTCTTTATACCTGACTAGTAGTATTCCATTGTGTATATATATATGAAATTTTCTTCATCCGTTCTTCTGTTGATGAACACTTAAGGTTGATTCCATATCTTTGCTGTTGTGAACAGTGCTGCAATAAACATGGGAATGCAGGTATCCATTTGATATACTGATTTCTTTTTCTTTGGAGATATACCCAGCAGTGGGATATTGGATCATATGGTAGTTCTATTTTTTTTTTTTTTTTGAGAAATTGCCATACTGTTTTCCATAGTGGCTGTACTAATTTACATTCCTATTAGCACTATACAAGAGTTCCCTTTTCTCTGCATCCTTGCTACCATCTGTTATTTTTTGTCTTTTTAATAATAGCGTTCTAACTGGGGTGAGATGACATTAGTGGTTTTGATCTGTATTTCCATAATGTTAGTGATTTTGAGCATTTTTCATATACCTATTAGCCATTTGTATTTCTTCTTTTCAGAAGTGTACATTTGTGTTGTTTGCCCACTTTTTAATGGAATACTTTTGCTTTTGAGTTGTTTGAGTTCCTTATATATTCTGGATATAAGTCCCTTGTTGAATGACTAGTTTGTACATATTTTCTTTCATTCCATAGGTTGTCCCTCCACTTTGTTAATTGTTTCCTTTGAAGAAGCTTTTTAGTTTAGTATAGTCTCATTTGTCTATTTTTGGTTTTGCTGCCTGTGTTTTTGTGGTCTTAGCCAAAAATGTTTTGCCTAGAACAATTTTCTGAAATCTTTTCTCTGTTTTCTTCTAGAGGTTTTCTAGTTTCAGGTCTTTCAATTAAGTCCTCAATCTATCTTGTGTTGATTTGTGTATATGATGAGTGAAAGAGGTCTAGTTTCATTCTTTTGCATACAGATTGTGAATTTTCCCAGCACTATTTATTGAAGGGGGTTCCTTTTCCCCCATGTATAGTGTTGATGCCTTTGTTAAAAATCAGTTGGCTGTAAATATGTGGATTTATTTCTAGGTTCTCTATTCTGTTCCACTGGTTTATGTGTGTGTTTTTTATACCCAAACCATGCTGTTTGGGGTACTTAGTCTTATATTTTGAAGTTGGGTAGTGTGATGCTTCCAGCTTTGTTCTTTTTGCTCAGGATTGCTTTGGCTATTGGGCTCTTTTTTGGTTCCATGTAAATTTTAGAATTCTGTTTCTATTTCTGTCAAAAATCACATTGGAAATTTGATAGGAATTGCATTGAGTCTACAGATTGCTTTCGGTAGTGTAATCATTTTAACTATATTCATTTTTCCAATCCAAGAACATGGGTTATCTTTACATTTCTTTGTGTCCTCTTTAATTTATTTCATCAGTGTTTTGTAGTTTTTCTTTTAGAGGTTTTTCTCCTCTTTGGTTAAATTTATTCTTAGGGTTTGTTTTTTTTTGGTAGCTATCATAAATGGAATAGATTGCTTGTTTTTTTTCTCAGCTGGTTCATTATTAGTGTGTAGAAATGCTACTAATTTTTGTATGCCGATTTTGTATCCTGAAACTTTACTGAATTCATTTATAAAATCCAAGTTTTTTTGTGGAGTCTTTGGGTTTTTCTAGATATAAGATCATGTAATCTGGAAACGGAGAATTTGACGACTTTTCCAATTTGAATGTCTTTTATTTCCTTCTCTTGCCTCACTCCACTGGCTAGGACTTCCAGTACTATGTTGAATAGGAGTAATGAAAGTGGACATTCTTGTCTTGTTCCAGATTTTAGAGAAAGGGCTTTCAGCTTTTTACCATTTATTATGATGTTAGCTGTGGGTTTGTCATATATGGCCTTTATTATGTTGAGGTACATTCCTTCTATGCCCAGTTTGTTGTGAGTTTTTTCCATGAAGGGATGTTGAATTTTATCAAATGCTTTTTGTGTATCTATTGAGATCATTATATGGTTTTTTTCCTAAATTCTGTTGCTGTGATGTATCTCACATTAATTGATTTGCACATGTTGAACCATTGTTGCACACCTGCTATAAAGCCAACTTGAAAATGGTGTATTATCTTTTTGATGTACTATTGCAATTGGTTTGCTAGTATTTTGCTGAGGGATTTTGTGTCTATGTTCCTCAGGAATATTAGCCTGCAGTGTTCTTTTTTTGTTTGTCCTTGTCTGGTTTTAGTTTCAAGGCAATGCTGTCCTTATAGAATGAGTTAGGGAGAATTTCTTCCTTTTCAACTTTTTTGAAATAGTTTAAAGAGAATTGGTGCTAGTTTTTGAAAATTTGGTAAAATTCATCAGTGAATTCATCTGGTCCTGGAGTTTTCTTTGTTGGGAGACTTTTTTTTTTTAAACACAGATTCTTGCTCTGTCTTCCAGGCTGGAGTGCAGTGGCACAATCTTGGCCCACTGCAACCTCCACCTCCCAGGTTCAAGCAATTCTCCTGCCTCAGCCTCCCAAGTAGCTGGGACTACAGGCTCATGCCAGCACGCTTTGGGAGACGTTTTTTCTTTTCTTTTTTTTTTTTTTTTCACTGATTCAATCTCATTACTCATTATTGGTTTGTTCACACTTTCCATTTCTTCCTGATTCAATCTTGGTAGATTGTATGTGTCTAGGAATTTATCCATTTTATCTAGGATTTCCAGTTTGATACTATATAGCTGTTCATAGTAGTCTCTGATAATCTTCTTAATTTCTGTGGTATCACTTCTAATCTTTTTTTTCCATTTTTGATTTTGTTTATTTAGATCTTCTCCCTTTTTTTCTTGGTTAGTCTACCTGGCAGTTTATCAGTTTTGTTTATCTTTTCAAGAGAGCAACTTTTTGTTTTACTGATCCCTTGTATTTATTCGTAGTGTCTATTTTATTTCTGTTCTTTGCTTCTATTTTGGGTTTGGTTTGTTGTTGCTTTTCTAGCTACCTAAGGTTTATGGTTAGATTGTTTATTGAGAACCTCTCTACTTTTTGGTGTAGGCATTTATTGCTATGGACTTCCCTTTAACCACCACATTTGCTGTACACCATAGGTTTTGGTATGTTGTGTTTTGATTTTCATTTGCTTCAAGAATTTTTAAATTGTTTCCTTTTCTTTCTTGATCCAATTCTGGAGCATGTTGTTTCATTTCCAAATATTGTAATCTATTTGTACAGTTTTCAATGTTCTACTTGTTATTAATTACTAGTTTTTTTCCTTTGTGGTCTGAAAAGATAGTTGATATTATTTCAATTTTAAAAAATGTTTTGTGAGTTGGTTTTATGTCCTAGCATATGGCCTATCATAGAGAGTGTTTCATGTGCTGATAAGAAGATGCATATTCTATAGCTGTTGGATTAAGTCTTCTATAAATATTTGTTAGGTCCATTTGATCTAAAATGCAGTTTAAATCCAATTTTTTTGGTTAATTTTATGTGTAGATTATATGTCTAATATTGAGTACATGTTGAAGTCCCCAGCCATTATTGTATCGGAGTCTATTTCTGTCTTTAGATCTATTAATGATTGCTTATATATCTGGGTGCTCCAGTGTTGGGTGCAAGTATGTTTAGAATTATTATATGCTGAATTCCTTTATGATTTTATAATGACTTTTTTCATTTTTTTTTACTGTTTTTGACAGCATATGTTTTGTCTAAGCATAGCTGTTTCTGCTTTTTCTATCCTTTAAGTTTCAGTTTATATGTGACTCAGGTGAGATGAGTTTCTTGTATGCAGCATACAATTGGGTCATAATTTATTAATCCATTGATCCATTTTATGTCTTTTAAGTGGTAAGTTTAGTTTATATTCAACATTATTATTATGGCATTGTCATTAATAAGCCATTTTATTAGTTGATTTCTGGTTGTTTTATATGTTCCTTATTCCTTTCTTTCTCTTATTGTTTATCATTGTTGTTTTGGTGGTTATCTGTAGTAGAAACATTTGAGTACTTTCTCTTCTTTGTGTGCTTGCTTTACCAGTGGGCTATAAATTTTCTTGCATTTTCATGATAGTAGATATTGTCATTTTGTTTCAAGGTATAAGATTCCTGTAAGCATTTTTTGGTTGGCTTAGTTTAATGGTGATGAATTCCTTCAGCTTTTGCTTGTCTGGAAAAGACTATTTCTCCTTCATTTATAAAAGATAACTGCTGGTTATAGTATCCCTTGACTAGCAGTTTTTTTTTTTCTTTTGGCAACCTGAGTATATCATTCATACCATTCTCTCCCGGCTTTTTAGGTTTCTGAAGAGCATTCTCCTG
This sequence comes from Homo sapiens, assembly GCF_000001405.40. Classification (NCBI taxonomy): domain Eukaryota; kingdom Metazoa; phylum Chordata; class Mammalia; order Primates; family Hominidae; genus Homo; species Homo sapiens. The sequence goes on from NC_000018.10 coordinate 60,225,265, forward strand.
TTAGTTTAATGGGGATTCTTCTCTAAGTGACAGCTTTTCCCTTACTGCTTTTAGAATTCTGTTACTGACTTCGACAGTTTGACTCTAAGGTCTTGTGGAGAAGACATTTTTTCAATTGTATTTTTTGGGGGCATCTCTGAGCTTTTTATATCTAAATTTCTAAATCTCTTGCTAAATTTGGAAGTTTTCAGGTATCATTTTGTGAATTAAATTTTCCATCCCTTCTGTTTTCATCTTGTCTTCTGGGACACCAAAAATTTGAATATTTTGTTGCTTTATTGTATTTTATATGTCAGTAGGCTTTGTTTATTCATTTTTTAAAATTTTGTCTCACTGAGTTATTTCAAAAGACCTATCTTCAAGTTTTGAAATTCTTTCTTTTGCACGATCTAGTTTATTGCTGAAGCTTATAAATGTATTTTGTATTTCATTTAATGCATTCTTTACTTCCAGAATTTCTGTTTAGTTCTTTTTTATGGTATCTTTCCTTTTGGTAAATTTCTCATTCATATTCTGAATTGTGTTTCTGATTTTTTTTGCGTTCTCTTGTTTGTTGCTGAGCTTTTAAAATATTATTATTTTGATTTTTTTTCCTTGGATTTCATGAATATCTTTTTCATTGCAATCTGTTGCTGGAAAATTATTGTACCCCATTGGAGATGTCATATTTCCTTGTTTTTTAATGTTTCCTGTGTTCTTAAATGGATATCTGTGCATCTGGTGTAGCAGTTGCATCATTCAATATTTTGAATTTGCTTTCATTGGGGAAGACTTTTTCCTGACAATGTATCTATGGTCCTGGCTGGTTAGGTTACTTTGGCTTTGATTCTGGGTGCAGGCAGTAGTATAGTCTCCATGTGATTTCTTTGACTGCAAACAGCATCAATGCCATCTGTGGTTTTCTCAGTGGCTTAGGGTGTGGTTGTTGGTGGAATCCATGGTGAAATTTTGCTGAGGATGGGAGCACAAAGTGAGCCAGTCCTTGGGGCCCAGTGTTGGCAGTGGCAGGATGAAGATGATTCCTTGGGCAACAAGGTGGTGTACCTTGCCAGTGGTGTTGGTGGGTCCAGGTGGACTGATTCTTGGGCCTACAGGCAGCTTGTTTAGATGTCAGTAGTGGCAGCGATGGGCCAGGTAGGTGAGCAAATCCTTGGTTGACTTGGCATTGGACATGGTGTAGTTGATGGCAATAGCAGTGATGGGACAACTCTCTAGCTCCCAAGCCATCTGTGCTGGTGCTGGTGGTGGCTGGAATGGGCTGGGTAGGCCAGTCCCCAGACCTGCAGGTGGCATATGCAGGTGGGTGGCAGCTCTGGTATTAAAAGCTGGTTGGGTGGGTCCAACCTCAGGCCCCTGGGAAGAATGCCCATATAACAATGGTGGTGGACTGAGCTGGGCAATCCCCTAGTCCTCACGTGGCATGTCTGGGCACTGGAGGAGGTGTGGCTCCTGGCTGGTAGGACCTGTCCTTAGGCCCCCTGTAGTGCATGCAGGCACTGGCTGTGGTAGGAGGGGAGGGAAGTGATCCTCAAGCCCCTGGTGGAATGCTTGGATGGGGTGATAGTGGTTTCACTTCAGCCCTGCTACTGGGGAAGGTGGGGTTGTTTTCAGTGGAAACAACTGTATGCATGTGGGTAGGGAGCTTGTTCTTCACTCATGCATCAGCCTTGGCAGTGGCAGTCTACAGTGGTGGCAGTTAGAGGTGTTGGGATCTGTCTTCAAGTCACATGAAAATGCATGGTGGCTCCACTGCTGGGGACAATGAGGTCATTGACAGTGGCTTGCACTTTCGCCCTGACAGGAGAAGCCAGCTGCAGTGTTGTCTACGGATGAGGGATTTCAATGGGGCTACAGGGTCGCAAGAGATTCAGGGCCTGTTATGCCGCAGTGCAGGATACTATCTGGTAGAGGCAGGGCTGTCAAAATGGTACCTTGCTGTAGCTGCTTAGAACTTAGCGGGATATGTGGGACCTGGCCTGAGCTCTCTTTTTAGGGCAATGCCATCATGTGGTCTCCAGTCAGCCTCCAATGTTAGTCTCAGAGCCCATGAAGTTCGAGGGGCTCTCTTTGCCTAGAATTGCAAGAGTCCATGATAGGCATGTGGATGATCGGGTGTCTCTCCATTACCCTTTCCTTGCACTGGGGAACCTCTCTGGGTTCCCAGCTTATCCAAGCTGAGAAGGCTGTCTTATTTCCCTCTCCTTTCTTGCTTTAGGTATTTCCTGTCACTTCTCTGTTGAATTCCAGTGTTCTCTCTGAACTGATATATTCAAAATGTGATGATCTATGCTTTTGCTTCTTCTTTGTGGAGGGGGCAAGTATCAGATACCTCTAGTCAGCCATCTTGAAGCTGCTCCCCCATTAGTCAGCAATATAGCTTTAAATTGGTCACCTGTATAAACAGGCAATGCTCAGTGATATTTGTTCCATTTTCATCTCTCTCCCAAATGTGGCATTTGTTCTGTTATCTAAATGAGAAGAACGCAGGGCAAAAATGACATTCCAGAGGTTGAGACTTTTAGTTATGTAATTGGAAATCAAGTGCATCCATATAAATTGTCATTTTGTTGATCTATGGATTTATATAGTTCACGGGTTAGGCCATTTTGTGTTGCTGTGACGGAATACCTGAGGCTGGAAAATTTATAAAGAAAAGAGATTTGTCTCATGGTGCTACAAGCTGCACAAGAAGCATGGTACCAGCATGGTGAGGACCTCAGGGAACTTACAGTCGTGGCAGAAGGTGAAGGGGGAGCATGTGTATCATATGGTGAGAAAGAGAGTGTGGAGTGGGAGGCGCCAGACTTTTTAACAACCGGATCTCACATGAAATAATAGAGTGGGAACTCACGCATCACTAAGGGAATGGAACCAAGTGATTCACGAAGGATCTGTCCCCATGACAAAAACACCTCCTCCCAGTAGACCCCACCTCCAACAATGGGGATCACGTTTTAACGTGACATTTGGAGGGGACAAATATTCAAACTGTATTAGTTCCTAAAGGTGGAATTTTAAGGCTTTGGCTTATTTCATTTCTAAGCTCTAGGAAGGGCTTGTGGGGAGGAGCTAAAAGTAATATTAATGGTAATCTTATAATTAAAAATTGGTTATAGTGTGTTAAAATAGTAGTATGAAAGACAATAGTATTCTTCCATTAAAAATATTCATTGGGGTTTCACTATTTGTCAGCCATTGTACAGGGTGATATTAAAACCAAGCTTGATCTCTGCTTTCCTTGTGTTAACAGCTTCATGAGTGAAGCAGCATTAATTTAAAATGCCGTGTGACACCTGTTACCATGAAAAGTTCATGCCACTATTCATGCCCATACTGTGGGTACTGGACACAGACAGGTGTTCCCAGAAAGATTTTTCTGCAAAAGTGACCCTGGAGCTGAGTTCTGAAAAAGGAGAAGGAATTGACTAAGCTAAGTGGAAAGCAAAAAGCTTTCAGGGCATCAGGAACAGCATGGAGCAGAGCCCTGAAAGTAGGCCAGCAGACTAAGGCAGAGATAATAGAAGGAATCATAGTGTCATCGGAGGCTGATAATTCATAGTAGAGTATTAGTGTTTGGGAGTGAAAAGTCTCTATGTGAAGTGATGTAATTTGCTGCAAATTCTGTGGATTACAATAGCAACACTAAGTGCTTAAAGGAGTGATATATTAGATGCACTGGTTTTTAAAAGGACTCTGTCTCTGCCAGATGTACTACATTGCACTGACGTCTGCTGGATCTAGATGACCCATTGAGCCAAACAATTAATGATTTTAGTTCCGCAATACTTGGCTCGTTTTTTTTCCATGCAATGATCTATTATGTCCACTGAGGGCTATAGAATGTTAGAGACAGAGAAATTACAGGCGTCCCATGGGAGATCAATCTTTTCTTCAGATAGAGAAAGTAAGGTTGAGAGGAAGCGGAAACTTTCCATGGTTTTGTGGTTACTTAGTTACGAAGCCAATACCAACCTATCAATTGATTAAATGTAATTCTATAGCTTTTGTCCATCACACACAAATGATGATTACAATGTTAACTGTTTTACATGATTCATTATTCCCAGAAGAGTTTGTTTGTTCACTTTTCTGCAGCCTCCAAAAGAACATCATATGTGTGAAAACAGATTAACACACTCTGGCTCTGATATTGATGATGAGCTGTTATAATATTAACAATGCTGCATATTGTGGTGGCAGAAATCCAAATGAACAAGAGATTTTGGATATAGCTTGCTGCAACACGGAATAAATGCTTTATACAAATGGGAATTCTTTAAAATCAGTCATGAAACCAGCATAAATTGGTTTCTTGCTGTGGGGGGTTTCTTACTGTGAGTAGGCAAGTTTGATTTAGAGGCGTGGTGCAGAAATTTAATGATCTACATCAAAATACAGCTTACAGATACCTTGATTCTTTATAAAGATCACATATGCTTGTCTTGAATTCTCATACATCCACTCAAAGCAACACACACAGTCATTTCCATCACATTTCTTTCAAATTGGTGACATAATGCAGCTTTTGGGAAGCTGAACTTGAGCTGAAAACTACTCTATTAATTGCATATCACAAATCTACTTTGTTGTTTAAATAGAAGATCCTCAGTGCTGTATTTAGTAAGATGGTATAGAGATTTCAAATGTGTCTTCATAATTTATTTATTGTAGAAAGACTACAGATCACTTTGATTATTTTAATTCTTTGATTAATTTTCTGTTTTTGAGATGGGGAAGGGAGATGTCTTCAAACAGTAAAATTAGACTTGATGGGAAAGGCCACTGGAATATTTAACTGGCCTAAGAATTATTTCCACAAAGCAATTGTGTGTTTTTCTGTTTTATTTAAAGATGAGGATTGTTTTCTATGCTCTTCATTGCAAATGCAGTGTTTTGGTGAGATCATTTGCTTAATGCATCATTGCTCTTAGCTCCTGTGTGTGACCTCTCTTGTTTTCAGCCTCTCAGCTGTTATATGGATCACAACACTGCAATGAGGTTTAAAAATGTTCTATTGAACTATAAGACCAGTAACCAATTTAAAGCAAATTTCTGTGTTGTTTCATGTCTAGTACATTTTAATAAATTTCATTTCTTTCCCACACTGTATTTCCCCCAATAATATTTATATATATTTGTCTTTTTTATTATGTGTTAAGACCTTTGAGGACAAAAACTGTGTCAAGTTAATTTTAAATAAATGTATAATCCAAAATCCAACAAACTTATAAAACCATCTTTCAGCTGAGAGCTTCCTTACTATAGGTGCATGTGTGTATACATGCACACACAGCATCATACAATATGGTGCATCTGGATTTATATAAATATATAAATACAAGCATATATGTGCATATGTTTTATTTTTACAAATAAAAATGTATTCTTAAAATATCTACATTCATGTCGGCAAAGATATGAACCAAAACATCTAGGTAGTTGTTAGTAATTTGTTCTACTCAGATTAAAATATTATTTTGAATTTTTACTTTGCCATTCATATTTCTATTTTTTTTTGGTTCCTTTAGAAAAGGCATTTATTTTTTCATTTGCAACAAGATGAAGTTGGTAAACTTCAGGGCAGTAATAAGAGGATATTTGGAACAGTGTAATAGTAAGTGAAATATACATACCAGATTTTCCTGGCGATATCTTTGTTTTTGTTCAAAGATCTGTTTATTAATTGATAGGTTCAAAGATACACTACTTGACTTTGGGGGCTGGAAGAAAGTGGTGGTAGAAGCTGTAGTTTTTACCAGAACCTGTCTTTAGGAACCAAGTTATGAGTGGTTCTCTAGTCCTGGGAACAGCTATGTAATAGATTGTATTTATATATTTCCAGAAATTTATCTCTAGCAAAAATTCCTAAATTAAAGGAATGTGGAGATGCCTTCATTCATTTCTTCATCTAGCATTTACTGAGCACAAATTTTATTCTAAACGCTGTCTTAAACTCTAAGAACACAAGAATGAATTAGCTTCAGTTCTCCTCTTAAACGACTCTCAGCTGAAGAGTCTGAGATTCCTACATAGCAATTGATATTCCTATGTGTCAAATGTAGGTGTTTGCGTGCATGGGCTCATGCATGTATATGCGTTTCAGTTGTCTCATTTAGGTATGAGTTTTCTTGTAGGAGTCTATTATTTTTTCCATGAAAATATATCCTAGGAGAAAAGATCTTTGAGAAGCTAAAACCCCTGGTGTCTACTCCAAGTCACCATAAGGAAGCTGTTTTGAGGAACAGAAAGGATATGGGTTTAAAAAGTAATTGAAAAAAATTGTATGTATTTATCATGTACATCATGATGTTTTACCATATATATAATATATGTGCACACTTTGCACAGTGGCTAAATCAAGCTAATTAACATATAAATATTTGAAGACTTGGGTTTTGAAGCCATAGAGTCCTTGCTTGAAACCTAAGGTCTGGCAGTCACTTTTATGATCTTCTTCAAGCCTCTCAACCCCTCTGGGCTTTGCCAATGACCTAGGGATGATAAAACCCCACTCCCAGTGACATGCCAAGAAATTGAGATAATTTGGGTAAAGTGTCTAGCATGTGGGTGGCACTTGATAGTTGCTTGGAATAATTTGAGTCCAATTGTAAATTAATACCATAATATTTTTATGTGGAAGAGCCAGTCTATCATTAGGGTCAAAAGCCCTTTTCTGGAACAAGCCTGCCTGGGTTCTGATCCTGGTCCTGCTCTAGTTTATACGATTGTGGGAAAATTACTGAATCTCTTTGGACTACTGTTTCCCCATGGTATTATGAAGGAATAACAAATGAGTTAGTGTTAACAAAATGTTAAGAACAGCTCTTGATACATGGTAAGTACTACGTAAATGTTGGTTAAAATGAAATAGATGTGCTTTATTTTGTTCTATCGAATCTGTACTCAAGTTAGATATAAACATAAACCTTTAATATTTTTGAGGCATTTAAATTTATTTTTTAACAATGACGTGACAGAATCTGTCAAACTACTGATTAGATTATCTCTAGGCATGTATTTGGTGTGTCTCTTAGTAATAAAAATTAATGAGTAGACTAAAAAGCTTTCACATAAGTAATTTTACTTCCCTTCTCATTTCGGGTACTGTTCTTTTATTTAGTATTTTTGTTGCTAAATGTCTTCGAGCTTATATTTTAGAAATAAATTCATAGAATTATGGGTGTTCAGAATTTAAGAAGAATTTATTTCAATCACCATATTTCATTGCTGGGTATAATCTAATAAAATTCCAGCGTGATGAATTGACTTGTTGCCCACTCTGAAAATGTCTGAAGGTGAGAGATATCAAAATTAGTGGTTACAATGTGACTTTTCAAATTATCATTGTGGATGTCAAGATTTCTGCAACTGCTGTTGTTCATGATTACAAATACTGGGGCTGTTCATAGTTTCACAAGCAGCTTCACCAATATGACTCACCTGAAATTTACATTAACATTCTCTAGGTAAGGAGTCACAGCTGTTATCATGATATTGCAGAGCCAGCTGTTATAGTTAAGTTGCTGAAGGTATTTGAGATTACAGCAGCAATATTGTTTGGGTGTATTACTAAGTCAAGAAGCTATTTATCTTTTACTGCCAGTAATGTAAATGTCAGAAGCCTAATTTATATTTCTGTTTTTTCCTGCCAAAGACTTTAGAGATATTTGGGAAAACACCAATAAATTGTAAGAAACATTTGGAAAAGAGAACATTTATAATATGTGTTATCTACCCTTTTTAGATTCTAATTATCTAGTTTCTAATAAAAGATTCATTTGTTATTTAATTTTATCTCTCCCTGTACTTACTTTTTGAATGATATTGTTAAGTAATTAGGTTTGCCACAAAAAATATAAGATATCCATTCAACGTTAATTTCAGATTTATAGTAAATAATCGTACTTATACTATAAAATTATTCATTGTTTACCTGAAATTAAAATCTAACTGGGATTCCCGTATATACATTTGCTAACTCCGGCAATCCAGATTTAGATTTAGCAGTGTGAAATTTGGAGTAAAGAACAAACTCATACACTGATTTGGCTACTTTATGGCTTTTTGACAGTATACAAATTATCTGAGCTTTCTAATTCTTACTTTTTTGGTTTATTTTTATCTGCAGTGTGGAAAAAATAAGACCTATTTTGCATACCTGTTCTGTATACAGCAATGTTGGTTTACCTTCCATTTGCCATCCTAAATGTTTGAAAACAGATGATTTACTCATATAAATAAACCTACTTTTTTCTTTTGGTTTAGCATAGGTTACTTTAAAATTCTCATCAAAATCATCTTTTAAATATATATATGGTCGATGAAATCTGTTTAGTTTCAAATCAAACACCTAGGCTATACAATACAGGCACTGATCTGTGAAAATTTCACTACAAAAAGTTTGTTTTAACAAATCAATTGAATATATAATTATCACATTAAATTACATTTATATATTTCCTGAAAAGTTGTATGAATCCGTGCTATATGCTCATCACAGACTAGCAAAGCCCATTACATTTGAAGAATTACACCTTCATGAACGGAATTATTATTTTTCCATTTGTGCTAAAATAACCTTTGCAAATTAGAATTCTGTGTCGAAAGCTTTGTGATGTGCAAACGCTGATTTACTTCAGGCTGGAGAAAGAAATGCTTTAGAGAATGGAAACCTCCAAGTAAGTATGTTTTCTAGGTAATTAAACTTCTGTAATATTTACATTTCTATAATTATAAAGGAGGTTAAGAATCTTTTAAAATATTATGACTTATTTAACGTGCAAAAAAGGTTAAACTATTATACAATGAATATATTTGTTCATACCATACAGTTCAGAAATACAATATTACCAACTTATTGAATCTCCCAGTATTTTCTTCCTTCATCATATTCCCCCTCTCTTTCCATTTACTGAAATTTGGAGATTATCATACCATGTATTCTTTTTTAAATGTAACTTTACCTTGTAAGTTTACATTTTAAGCAATATATGTAGCCTAGATTTGCATGTTTATAAACTTTATATATAATGTCCACTCTTTTATCCTACTCTTTTTCCTGCTTAGTGTCAGTTTGGTAGGATTCATCTATGTTACACACATATCTCTAGTTCACTTCTTTCTACAGCTGTTATACATTTGCCATTACTCAATTGATCGACAATCAGGTTAGTTTCAGGTTATTTTTTCAGTTGCAAAAATTGCTGCCATAAACATGCTTTGCTTATCTCTGTGCATATGTATGTGTTTTGTTAGTCTATATTCACACATATGAGTGAAATTTCCGGGGCATGGGAAATACATCTTTATGAGACATTGAACTGCTCACCACTATCATAGTATCCATTTAAACAGACCAACAATGTATAAGAATTCCCTTTGTTTTACATGCTTTCCAATCTGATTTTGTATGACTATTGTATGCACAGTTGGATCACCTTGTGGTTAAATTTTCATTTCCCAAATTGGTAATGAGTAAAACATCTTTTCATGTATGTAATCGCCATTTACAATTTATCTTCTGTGAATGGCTTCTTTTTCCTACTCTACTATTTTTTTCTCCTTTTGTTATACATTTGTAGGAGTTACTTATACATGGGGAGTTATAATCATATCTGTGTGTCTCTGTATGTGTATAATTGTTGACTCTGATTTTTATTCTCTTATGTACAGAAAGTTGAATCTTAACATGGTTTATGTCTTAGTTCATTTTGTGCTGCTATAACAGGATACCCAAGACTGGGTAAAAATTTATAATGAACAGAAATTTATTTCTCAAGGGTCTGGAAGCTAGGAAGTCCAAGATCAAGGGACTAGCATTTTGCAAGAGCCAGTTGAGACAGATTCTTTGGCCACAAGACCCTTCTTATAAAGGAGGTCAAAATTAAATATTCTGTACCTTTCAATCAAAGGTGTATTGGAGCCAGCTTATCCAGCTTGCAAGAATTGACTGCCAAATTTTCAGAAATTTTGCAATCTGGTTGTTAAGCCATCCGTACCTGGAATCAGTCATGGCGGGAGTAATTATAGCATAGAAATTAGCAAACACTGTGAAGCAGAGCTTCCCCTATCTTTCCCCTGTCTCTCTCCAAAGAGCCAGTTACTAAACATTTACTGTCACATTCCTTTCATTCCAGCTTTTTTCAGTCAACTCCCAGTTGTTAGACCTCTAGCACTTCCATCAAACCTTCACCTACTAGAGTGTCCAAAATGCTTTTCAGCATTTTTGGCTACATATGCAGGTCTCTATCCATCCTATTCATTCTTTTCCCACCTCCAGATACCTCCATTGTGTCCGTCACTCCTCCATTAGCAACATCCGCTGCATGATCACCTTTCCTTTTAGCATTCTTTCCATCTCTATTCAAATATTACATTGCAATGATGATATCTACAGATCTTATCCCAAATAGCTTTTCCAACCTCACCACTCTCCTTTGCTCTTTTTTTCACAGAAATTATTATTAATGATTATTATATTACATAATATGCATTCTTATATTTACTTTCTTTCTCCCACCATGGAAATGTAAACTCCCTAAGTGTGAGAACCTTGTTTCTCCCACTGTATTTCTCAAACTTAGAACAAGTTTTGGCACATGAGAGATATTTGTGTATTTGTAAAAGGAATAAAAGAAGAAAACAGAAAGGGAAGATAAATTTCCTCTATTTCTTTGCTGTAAGTAAAACTTTTTTTTTTACCTTGAGGACACAGGTTCTCCTGAATCTGAAGTGGTAGCTGTTGTTTTTTTGATGTTCCACATTCACTGAGACCAGGAGGTAGACAAGTATCTTTCTTTCTTTTCACTGCAATTCTAGGTTTTTACTCACTCAAGACAAAAAAAATGTTTCTTTTTTCTCCTTTTGTTTTGTTGTTGAGGTTCTTGACATTTGCTGTACCACCTTTTCCCATCCTCACTGTTGTTACCCTGTGATGTTACTGCCTTCCTCTCCACCCAGTGCTCTGTCATCCTGGTGGTTGTGATGGTTAGCAATCACATGACCATTCAGCCAACACCATTTTTTCTTGGATCTCTTGCCCCTGCCCTAATCCTTTTATCCTTTACTTCAACCATCCATTCCCATATTCACACCTTTGGATCTTGCTATTCTCAGTAATTGCTCCATTTCCAAAATCACTGATTCAATAATCTAACTCTGACCATAGCCTCTCTCCCTCCAACTTGCTGGAATAACCCCACTACACTCATCCTCCAACCTCTTTAAGCCATCAAACCATTGATCTGCGTAATTTCTCCCATTTCTGCTGCTACCTGCTTTCTCCATTTCTCTCCTAACCTAAATTAGAAACCATGACCTGCAATTGCAACATTACTCCTGAAAATACCCTAAAAATGCCTGGTCCTTCTATTTTCTCTGCAGCTCACTGGACCAACTGTAATTTGGATGAATTTAGCTCTTCATTTTTTTTTTTTTCATGACTGAGCTTAGTTGTCATTTTCTGAGTGCTCCCGGAGAAATTCACATAAAAGAGAACATTAGTTTCTGTCTATGTTTATGTTTCATTGACTTCCAATGGTCTTTTCGTACTGCTTGACAGTCCAATTAAATCGCTGTACAATGTATTCTCCGATTTTCAAAATAGCTATTTCAAATTTTCTTTACTCTCTTGAACATTCCAAATCCCATTCTCCATCCTACTCCTTATTCTTAGCAGTCTTGCCTTCCTCTCTCCTTTTTAGAGAAGACGGAAGGCCTCAGAAACTTTCATTCTCTATATCAAATAAACATACCTCCCTACCCCTGAATTCACTGTCTCATTCCCTCCTACTACTTTATAAGAGTTTAAGTATGCAGGTCATCGATCCTTGACAATTTTTAAAAACATATTTATTGAGATATAATTGATATATAAAAACTCTGCGAATCTAATGTATAGAATTTAATGAGTTTGGGTATATCTATACCCCTGTGAAACAATCATCACAATCAAGGTAATAAACATCAATTACCTGTAAAATTTCCCTATCCCCTGCTGTGTGTTTTATTTGTTTGTTGCATGATTTTTTGTGTGTGTGGTAAGAACACTTAACATGAGATCTACCCTCTTAACAAAATTTTAAAGTGCACAATACAGTATTGTTAACTACAGGCACTGTATTGTACAGTAGATCTTATATTCATCTTGCATAACAAACTACTCCATCGAACTACAACTCCTCATTTCCCCTTCCCACCAGTCTTCGGCAACCATCATTCCAGTCTTTGTTTCTATGAGCTTGAGTATTACAGATACTTTATGTAAGTAGAATCATGCAATATTTGTCCTTCTGTGATTGGCTTATTTCACTTAGCATAATGTACTCCACTGTTTATTTATGTCATATGTCAGAATTCTCTTCTTTTTAAGGCTGAATAATATTCCATTGTATTTATATGCCCAATTTTCTGTATCTACTTATCTGCAATGGACATTTAGTTTGTTTCCACATCTTGGTTATACTGAGTAATGCTGCAGTGAACGTGGGCATGCCGATTTGTCTTTGAGATCTTTATTTCAATTGTTTCGAATATGTACCTAAAAGTGGGATTGTTGGATCATGTGGTAGTTCCATCTTTCAGATTTTAAAGGAAACTCCATAGTTTTCCACAGTGGCTACACCATTTTATGTTCTCACCAACAGTGTGCAAATTTCTCCACATCCTCACCAGCACCGATTATCTGTTTATTTTTTGAAAATAGTCATGCTGACAGGTGATATTTCATTGTGAAATATATCACTGTGGTTTAGATTTGTATTTCCCTAATGATTAGCTATGTTGAGCTTTCTATATACCTGTTGGCCATTGTATGTCTTCTTTGGAGAAATGTCTGCTCAAGTCTTTTGCCCGTTTTTAAATCAGATTATTTGATTTTTTGCTATTGAGTTGTAGAAGTTCCTTATTAATCTTTGATATTAATTTCTTATTAGATAAATGGTTGGAAAATATTCCCTTTTATCCTTTAGGTTGCCCATTCATTCTGTTGATGGTTCCCTTTATTGTACAGAGCTTTTTAGTTTGATGTCATATTTGTCCATTTTTGCTTTTGTCATGAACCCTTAACAATTAACATAAATTAAACGACAGCCCAGAAAGAAGAAAACCAGGAAGGTTTTCTCCGTGCCTTTCCCTTCCTTCTGACACTATTGAATGTTTGCTGTGGCTTTTGGAAATATTAAGTACAGAGTTAGGGACCATAAATTTGCCTGGGATTTTAAGGGGAGATAGTGCCAAGATGTGATACTTGAGTAGACTATTGACAATCTGAACTTCTTAAAAGTGAAGTTTGTAAGACATACTTAATACTGAACTAATAACACTGAGACCTAAAGAAACCCATTTCCTTGAGAGACGGTTCAGGCTATAGCTGCTCAAAGAACTCCCAGTATGCATGAGCTGTAAAAGTCCCTTCTGCTGAGATTGCACAAGATAGGAAATCGAGGAAGATGTTCATTTTTTGGACTTTTAACTCAAAAAAGCAAGTTTTTTTCCTTTTTAACTTTTATTTTAGGTTCAGGGGTACATGTACAGGTTTGTTACACAGTTAAATTGTGTTTCATGGGGGTTTGGTTTACAGATTATTTCACCACCCAGGTAATAAATGTAATATCTGATAGGTAGTTTTTTGATCCTCACTCTCCTCCTACCCTATGCCATCAAGTAGGTTCCAGTGTCTGTTTTTCCTTCTTTGTGATCCTATGTACTCAGTGTTTAGCTCCCACTTGTAAATGAGAACATGCAGTATTTGGTTTTCTGTTCCTGTGTTAGCTCACTTTGGATAATGGCCTCCAACTCCATCCATGTTGCTGCAAAGGACATGATCTCATTCTTTTTTTAAGGCTACATAGCATTCCATGGTGTATATATACTACATTTTCTTTATCAAGTCTAACATTTATGGGCATTTAGGTTGATTTCATGTCTTTGCTATTGTGAACAGTACTACAGTGAACATATGCGTGCATGTGTCTTTATGGTAGAACAATTTATATTCCTTTGGGTATATACCCAATAATGGGATTGCTGGGTCAAATGGTAATTCTGCTTTGAGTTATTTGAGAAATTACCAAATTGCTTTCCACGATGGCTAAACTGATTTACATTCCCACCAGCAGTGTATAAGTGTTCCCTTTTCTCCACAACTTCAACAGCATATGTTATTTTTTGATGTTTTAAAAATAGCCATTCTGACAGGTGTGAGATGGTTTTCACAGGGTCCTCATTGTGGTTTCGATTTGCACTTCTCTAATGATTAACGATGTTGAGCATTTTTTCATATGCTTGTTGGCCACATGTATGTCTTCTTTTGAAAAGTGTTGATGTCATTTGCCAACTTTTTACTGGGGTTGTCTGTCTTTTACTAGTAAGTTTATTTAAGTTCTCTATAGACTCTGGATATTAGATCTGTGTCAAATGCAGAATTTGCAAATATTTTCTCCTATTCTGTAGGTTGTCTGTTTACCCTGTTGATAATTTCTTTTGCTGCACAAAAGCTCTTTAGTTTAATTAGGTCCCATTTGTCAAATTTGTTTTTGTTGCAATTGATTTGGTGTCTTAATTATGAAATCTTTACCAGATCCTATGTCCAGAATGGTATTTCCTAGGTTATCTTCCAGGATTTTTATAGGTTTATACATTTAATCTTTAATCCATCTTGAGTTTATTTTTGTTTATGGTGTAAGGAATGGGTCTAGTTTCAGTCTTCTGCATATGGCTAGCCAGTTATCCCAGTACCGTTTATTGAATAGGGAGTCCTTTCCCCATTGCTTGTTTTTGTTGATTTTGATGTAGATTAGATGGCTTTAGTTGTGGGGCATTATTTCTGGGCCCTCAGTACTGTTCCATTGATCTATGTGTCTGTTTTTGTACCAATACCATGCTGTTGTGGTTACTGTAGGCTTGTAGTACAGTTTGAGTCCAGGTGACATGAGAAAGAGAATATGTGCCTGGAGGTATAGGCTTATAAACAGCCCCCCCAAGTGCGCCTGTCTCTTATGGTCGAGACTGCAGAGGTGAAATAGACTCTAGTCTCCTATAGCGCTCCTGGGCTTATTAGGAAGAGGAAATTCCCGCCTAATAAATTTTGGTCAGACCGGTTGACCTCAAAACCCTGTCTCCTGATAAGATGTTATCAATGACAATGGTGCCGAAACTTCATTAGCAATTTTAATTTTGCCTTGGTCTGTGGTCCTGTGATCTCGCCCTGCCTCCACTTGCCTTGTGATATCTGTGACCCACACCTATTCACACACTCCCTCCCCTTTTGAAACTCCCTAATAAAAACTTGTTGTTTTTTGCGGCTTGTGGGGGCATCATGGAACCTACTGACATCTGATGTCTCCCCCGGCTTTAAAATTATTCTCTTTTGTACTCTGTCCCCTTATTTCTCAAGCTGGCTGACACTTAGGAAAAATAGAAAAGAACCTACGTGAATATTGGGGCAGGTTCCCCAATAAAATAGGAAGTCCTTTCCCCATTGCTTGTTTTTGTTGATTTTGATGTAGATTAGTTGGCTTTAGTTGTGTGGCATTATTTCTGGGCCCTCAGTACTGTTCCATTGATCTATGTGTTTGTTTTTGTATGGATACCATGCTGTTTTGGTTACTGTAGGCTTGTAGTACAGTTTGAATCCAGGTAACGTGATGCTGTCAGCCTTGTTCTTTTTGCTTAGGTTTCCCTTTGCCATTTGGTCCCTCTTTTGGTTCCACGTGAATTTTAAAGTAGCTTTTTCTAATTCGTGACGAATGTCATTGGTGGTTTGATAGGATTAGCATTGAATCTGCTTTGGGCAATATGGCCATTTTAATGATAATCATTCTTCTTATCCATGAGCATGGAGTGTTTTTCCATTTGTGTCATGTATGATTACTTTGAGCAGTGTTTTGTAATTTTATACAGATTTTTTACTTCTATGGTTAACTGTATTCCTAGGTGTTTTATTCTTTTTGAGGTTATTGTGAATGAGACTGCATTCTTGATTTTGCTCTCAGCTTGGACATTATTGATACATAGGAATGCTATTGATTTTTGTACACTGATTTTTGCATTCTGAAACTTTACTGAAGTTGTTTATCATTATCTAGGAGCTTTTGGGCAGACACTGGGGGTGTTTCCTAGGTATAGAATTATATTGTCTCTAAACAGGGATAGTTTGCCTTCCTTTCTTCCTATTTGGATGGCTTTTATTTCTTTCTCTTGCCTGATTGCCCTGGCCTAGACTATGTTGAATAGGAATGGGGAGAGATGACATCTTTGTCTTGTGTTAGTTTTCAAGGGGAATGCCTCCAACTTTTGCCCATTCAGTGTGACGTTAGCTGTAGGTATGTCATAGGTGGCTTTTATTATTTTGAAGTATGTTCCTACAATATCTAGTTTTTTGAGGGTTTTTAACATGAAGGGACATTGAATTTTATCAAAAAGCCTTTTCTGCATGTGTTGAGATAATCATGTGTTTTTTTTCTTTAGTTCTTTTTATGTGATGACTCACATTTATTGATTTGCGTATGTTGAGCCAAACTTCCATCCCAGAGAGAAAGCCTACTTGATTGTGATGGATTAGCTTTTTGATGTGCTACTGAATTTGGTTTGCTAGTTTTTGTTGAGGATTTTTGCATCTAAGTTTATCAAAGCTACTGGCCTGAAGTTTTCTATTTTTGTTGTGATACTGGCTTCATAGAATGAGTTAGGGAACAGTCTTTCCTCCTCAATTTTTTAGAACAGCTTCAGTAGGAATGGTATCATCTCTTCTTAATATCAACTCATCTGGTGGAGTTTGGCTGTAAAGCCATCTGTTCCTGGGCTTTTTCTGGTTGGTAGAAAAGTATGATAATTTTCCTTCATACTTTACATCTCTTCGATTTAGAAATCTTTGGATTTTAATTTTTAGACAGATTTAATCTTCAGATTTTACTTTTCCCTGGGAATTTGCTGGGGTAGGAGTCATAGCCAAATCTGAGGTATCTTGGGTTCATTGTACTTTTACAATATGAGGTATCTTCATATTATCATTTAATTTCATTGCAGAAATTCTGATGAGTATTGGCCAATGGGACTGGAAATAATTTGTGATAAGAAATAGAACAGAGATGGAATGTCCAGACTTAGAAAAGATCATCCTGACTTTATTAGTTAATATACATGTCAGAGCATTGTGGGGGTGAAATCTATCCTGATCACCAGTAGCCTCAGGTGGATCCACAGTGGAGCAGGAGTTTGGTGTTCGGAGAGTAGCCTCATAAAAGTAGAGACTAGACTTCCCTGATAGTCTGCTGACCTTCTTGTCCAATGCGATGTCTAATATCCTTGCTTTATCATGGGCTTAATAGTTAAACCTCGTGCATTAAGTGAACAAAAAGCAAGATGAGGTAGGGAGGGATATATTCCTCTCCTCTGATTCCAGCTCAAAGGGTCACTATTGTAGTACCTTTCTAACTTTTCTCTACCCCTCACTTGCTCCTCTCCAGAGGGAAAGGAGTAAATTATACAATCGAGAAAAGGAATCTGGTTGAGACCTTTTCTACCTTCTCTTTACTGTTTGCTGGATGACTGCTCCTGCCTATGCTGCGAGCTTAGCTTAGACCTGTGGATAGGTAAATATCAAGTAGGTTTTATCCCCTGGATGGAGGTTGATTCAACATACACAGATCAATAAATGTGATTCATCACATAAATAGAACTAAAAAAAAAACCCACGTTATTATCTCAACAGATGCAGAAAAGGCTTTCAGTAAAATTCAACATCCTTTCATGTTAAAAACTCTCAAAAAACTGGGCATGGAAGGAACATACTTCAAAATAATAAGAGCCATCCTATCATTCAGAACAGGAAACTCACTGTTCTTCTCTCTGTCTCCAACTGAGTTTTTAACTAACAATCACACTGATATTTTGATCTCTCTATCTTTGACTCCTTAGTCTCATAATTGGTCAATCATCTCTTGCCTGGATTATTGCAGTGCCCCTAACTCTTCTCCCTGCTTCCCGTCTGGCCCCCAGTCTCTGTTCTTAACACAGTAGCCTGAGCAATTCTTTTAACCTAACTTGGATCAAGTTGCTTTACTCTTCCTCACTCTCCAATGGCTACATACCTGGGTAAAAATCTAACGTTTACACAATAGTGTATCAGACTGCACAGATGATGCAACCGTTACCTCTGTGGTTTCAACTCCCAGGCCTGTTCCCAAGACCACTCTCCTCACTCTCTCTGTCTGGCCTTACTGTCTCCTTGTTTTTCTTAAACACTTGTCAGGCCTCTGCACTCTCTGATCCATGTTCCTGAAACATTTTTCCCCCAGATGGTTGCATGGTCATCTGCCTCACCTCCTCAGGGTCTGTGCTCAGATAGCAGCTCAGCGAAAACTTGTCTCCCTTAATTAGAATTGCACTCCCTTTCCTTGTATACACCCTACCTCCCTACCTCACTTTATTTTCTTCATAGCTTATGTCACTCTCTGGCAAAGTATATATTTTGATTATTTATGTATTTATTGTTTGTCTTCTTTCTAAAATGGAATGTAAACTCAGTGAAGGCAGGGGTTTTGTCTGTTGTCTTCACCACTGTACTTCCAGCACGTAAAGTAAGTTCATAAAAACACATCAGTTAAGTGAATAAACCACTTGGGTGTGTTTTTAAGAAAATGGAGAGAGTCAAGTTACTAAGAAGAGAGTAAACTTAGATATGAAATCTAAATAACACTGTGTTAAGGAATGATGCTCTATCCAATTTATTCAACTATAAATTGACTTATAGATAACCTATAACTTGTAGATAACATAATTTAGCCTAATAATTTATTAATTTGTAAATAGCCGAAACATTCTTTTTACCCCTATGCTGTATAATATTGTCCTTAAAAACAGCTCTGAAAGGACATCAGCACTTCTCAAAAGAAGACATTTAAGCGGCCAATAAACATATGAAAAACTCAACATCACCATCATTAGAGAAATGCGTATCAAAACCGCAGTGTGATGCCATCTGACACCAGTCAGAATGATGATTATTAAAAAGTCAAACAACAGATACTGGTGAGGCTGTGTAGAAATAAGAATGCTTTTACACTGTTGGTGGGAATGTAAATTAGTTCAACCATTGTGGAAGACAGTGTGGTGATTCCTCAAGGACCTAAAACCAGAAATACCATTTGGCCCAGCAATTCCATTACTGGGTATATACCCAAAGGAATATAAATCATTCTATTGACCAGGCACGGTGGCTCATGCCTGTAATCCCAGCACTTTGGGAGGCCAAGCTGGGCGGATCACGAGGTCAGGAGATCCAGACAATCCTGGCTAACACAGTGAAACCCCGACTCTACTAAAAATACAAAAAACTTAGCCGGGCATGGTGGTGGGTGCCTGTAGTCCCAGCTAGTCCGGAGGCTGAGGCAGGAGAATGGCGTGAACCCAGGAGGCGGAGCTTGCAGTGAGCCAAGATCGCCCCACTGCACTCTAGCCTGGGAGACAGAGCAAGAATCCGTCTCAAAAAATAAATAAATAAAAAATAAATCATTCTATTATAAAGATACATGCATGCGTATGCTCATTGCATTGCTTATTCACAAGAGCAAAGACAAGGAATCAACCCAAATGCCCATCTTTGATAGACTGGATAAAGACAATGTGGTACATATACACCATGAAATACTATGCAGCCATAAAAAGGAAAAAAGATCATGTCCTTTGCAGGGACGTGAATGGGGCTGGAAGCCCTATCCTCAGCAAACTAACACAGGAATGGAAAACCAAACACCACATGTTCTCACTTATAAGTGGGAGCTGAACAGTGAGAACACATGGACACAGGGAGGGGAATAACATACCCTGGGGCCTCTCCGTGGGGCCTGGGGGAGGGAGAGCATCAGGACAAATAGCTAAAGCATGGGGGCTTAATACCTAGATGATGGGTTGATAGGTGCAGCAAACCACCGTGGCACACATTTACCTTTGTAACAAACCTGCACGTCCTGCACATGTATCCCAGAACTTGAAATAAAAAAAAATTAAGAAAAAGCCCTGAGGCACTGAATGACTCTGAAGTTCCGAAGGAATATTTTAAGTGACCAAGTGATCAGAAATGCTGTGGGGCTAAATGCAGTTTCAAGTATATGAATTCCTTGAAATTTGGCAACCTAGGGTTCATATTGTCTTAGCTAGTCAGGAAATCCAGTTTGCCATAACACTTTATTCATGCATTCAAACTTACTTGCTGCGTCCCTACTAAATGCCAATCTCTTAGGTCAGGCAATGGCAGCATGAGGTGGACAAGCTTGGTCCTTGCCTGTGAGAGGTGAGTGGTCTGTGAATAGGGAAGTCTACTGTGTTTTACTTTGTATCTCATCCCCTGTGATGGAGACTTGCACTCATGTATGCCTGTCCCGCAGTCTTACCTTCAGGAAAAGTTAAATTGGTTAAAGTTCATTCTGTTTCTCAAGAGCATCACTTACTAGTAGAGAATATTCTCAATTAAAAAATGACTAAAGGCCGGGCGCGGTGCCTCACGCCTGTAATCCCAGCACTTTGGGAGGCCGAGGCGGGCGGATCAAGAGGTCAGAAGATCGAGACCATCCTGGCTAACACGGTGAAACCCCGTCTCTACTAAAAATACAAAAAAAATTAGCCGGGCGTGGTGGCGGGCGCCTGTAGTCCCAGCTACTGGAGAGGCTGAGGCAGGAGAATGGCATGAACCTGGGAGGCGGAGCTTGCGGTGAGCCGAGATTGCGCCACTGCACTCCAGCCTGGGCGACAAAGTGAGACTCCGTCTCAAAAAAAAGAAAAAAGAAAGACTAAATACACACCATCTTCTGCATTGTTACATGTGGTGTCAGAAATTGTTTTTTCATCTTTCATATTCACTTGCTCCATATAGTTAACATCATTTCCTCAAGGAAGAAAAGAAAGAAAAAAAAGTGGCAGTACTTCCTTTCTGTGGAACAGTGGCCCCAATTGGTATAGGTTATGTTGCTTAGAGCATGAGACAGACATGCCGATGAGAATATTTATCTGATAAGTTGCTTCCTAATTTTGGGTTTATCAGACCATCATAATTATATTCATTTTCTTTGTTAAATCAATTCAAATCTATATTTTTTCTTTCTTTATAGTCAGCCTCAGGAGATATTGATTTCACCTTTGATACAATAGAACTGAAAAATTGTGACTAACATTATTGCTTTGGCTAATGGCAGTGCTTTAAAATGTATGGTTTATTCTATGTGTAACTAAAACACTTTACATAATTTGAAATATAAATATTTGCTAGATATCAACAGATTAATTCTTCCAGATTATGATTGTGTCTGTCCCCTAATCTCTGCTTGTCATAATTATTGTATTGCTGGAATCAACAGATGAACACTATCAAAGGCAGTTTTGATTTCCTAAAATGTGCAGTTAATTCAATTAATTCATAATCCAAGTTATCTGATTTGTTTTTAGGGATGATCTTTTTGAGACTCTGTACACCTGGGGATCCTTATAGCTGCAAGGGAGGTATCATTAGCAACAGCTGTAGATTAGGAGTTGGGAGGTGAAACCAATAAGCGGTTTTGTGGTTCTGGGCCAATCTCTTAATCTCTGCAGCTAGTTTCCTCTTTTAAAAAATGGAGGTATCTCCTCAACTTTTCTTAAGAGCATTTGGAGACAGTACAATGGGAAAGATCATTGAATATTATAAGAGCTGTATCTATGCAAATTTTAAAAATTGTTAAAAGTGATGCTGGTACAAATACAAGATATATGTTATTATCATAGTTACTGTGTTTATATTACCTTTAGGCAAATATTAATATTAGAAGAGTCTTTGAAAATCTGCAGAGTAATAGAAAGGGAAGATTTACTGCAATCATATGATTCCATTAAACACGATCTTTGTGTTTAAGCATTTGAAAACACACTTCTAGATTAAGACTCTAAATGGTGCTTGATAATGATGGATTTTTATGTAATTAAAATAGCTTTATGGAATTAAAATATGCCACCTCATTGCTGACTGCAAATGAGGAACTGAAAATAATCATTTGTTCGTGTTTTCATTTTTCAACTGGAAATATCTCTTTCTGGCCATGCATCTGTGAAGGCTTAGTACATTTTGTTCTTTTAATCTATGCAGGAAGGCCCTTGCTTATAAATGGGTTGCGTTCCAAAAGTACATTTTAAGTAAGTTTTTTGGAACAGAGAGAGCTCTTTTCTTCTCCCAGTTAAAAGGATAAAAACAAAAAACAAACCCTAAAGGCTCTGGGATTTTCCACTTTCTTGGCTTTGCTCAAACTTTCTCACCTGCCTAGAATAACTTTGAATCCTACCTGTTCATCAAGGCCCCAAACTGTCAGTTCGTTGAGAGCAGAGATTATACCACGTTTATTTTGTATTTTATTTTATTGTTTTCTGTAGAGACAAGGTCTTGCTATGTTGCCCAGGCTGGTCTTGAACTCCTGGGCTCAAGCGATCATCTCATCCAGGCCTCCCACAGTGCTGGGATTACAGGCACAAAACACCGTGCCTGGCCCATGCATCATATTTATTTGTGAGAACTGAAGTATCCCCAAGTTTTCAGCCCTCTCAGGTCATCCATTTCTTTAATGTAGAAATGTAGTAGCAAAAGCCTCACTCCACAGGACAGAAGGAGCCTATCCTCTTCCCTGTGACTACTGAGGGTCCTGGGGGAGGGCTTTTGTCTCTGTTGTTGCTTTTTCTCCTCTGCTCTGCCTACTCCACATTCCTCTGTAGGTTTTACCTAAACAACAGACCAGGGCCACCGAAATTGAAGAAAAGGCTGTGGAGAATTAGCAGATCTTGGTGATGTAACACTTTGCAAAGGAAGAACATTGAAAATTGTGTGTAGATCGTATGCTTCTAGAGACCAGCCCATGCCAGACATGGCATCCACCACAATCTCTGCGTGTCCACCATTCATGGCCTTTGTGTCTCCAAGGCCCACTCTTCTTTCCCCTATGGGAGTGCCCTGGGTTCTCAAAGCCCAAGCTCCAGTATTCCTTCTTCCTTCTTCTGGCTCATTAGTAAAACAAACAAAAATCAGTTGACATATCTCTCAGAAACCTGTTGCCATCTCTATCCCCACCAGTATACACCAGGAAGAAAAAACATTAGTATCCAGAATAATTAGCCTGTTTGAAGCTTTGGATGATTTTGCCAGTGTTTAAGACTGCTTCAAGACTATGCATAAAAAATGTGACTAACAGCAGCTGCATCACTGAAAGTACTCAAGAGCGATCCCTTGAGAACAAATAAGAAATTGGCTTTTCTTAGAAATCACAGGAAATAAATTGCTTCCTCCCATTGATTCATTTATTTCCCTCATCTCTTTTGGCCAATCTGTCTAGAAGTTTTGTTGATTGTGCTACTTAGAAGTCTCTCAAATATGTGTTTCCTCTGTATCCACCATGCCACTTGTTCTGGAATAGACGCTAACAACCTGAACCATTGCAATAGTTTTATTATATAGGTCTCCATGGTTTCAGTCTCTTCTCTGACTCATATCTTTTATAAAGGGACAGATGGCAAATAACTTAGGCTCTGTGGCCATATAGTCTCTGTTATAACTACTTAAATGTGCCATTGTAACTTCTAAAGCAGCATACACAATATATAAACAAATGGACATGCCTGTGCTTCAGTAAAACTTTATGGACATTGAAATTTGAATTTTGTGTGTTTCATGTGACATAAAATATTCTTGTTTCCATTTTTAACCCCCTTTAAAAGTACATGAACCATTCTTAACTCACAGGTTGTAGAAGAGCAGGTGGTGGGCCAGATTTGACCCATAGGCTTTAGTTTTAAGTCTCTTTATACTGTCATAAGTGACATTTCCAACAACTGCAGAAAGAGTCAAGCTTAAATTGCTCAGCAGAGCATAGTGGCCCTTTCTTTGCATCATTGCCTATAACCTATATTGCTATTCTTATCTCTGACCTTTTCCTCTAGCTTTGATACTCCCTATACTTTGGTCACACTGGATTATCATTTGTGACTCTAAAAATACTGCAAGGATGTGAACACCTATATGCCCTTCCTTATACAATTTGTCAGAAAAACTCTTCTCCTCCATAATTTGTCTAATTAGCAGACTTCCATAAGATACTTACCAAATGTTGTATTTTCATTATAATTTTCTCTGAATTTTCAACTCAGCAGAAAGTGATACTCTTTTATTTGCATTCCCATGGCACTTGTATACACACAGACACACACGCGTGCACGCGTGCACGTGCGCACACTCACACTCTTTTGTGATAGTGTCTGGCTCTGTCACCCAGGCTAGAGTGCAGTGGCATGATTGTGGCTCACAGCAACCTCATCCTCCCTGGCTCAAGCCATCCTTCTACCCCAGCCTTCTGAGCAGCTGGGACTACAGGTGCACGCCACCATGCCTAGCTACTTTTTAATTTTTTTTTTTTTTGTAGAGATGGGGTTTCACCGTGTTGCCCAGGCTGGTCTCAAACTCCTGAGCTCAAGCAATCCACCCCTCTCAGTCTCCCAAAGTGTTGGGATTACAGATGTGAGCCATCATGCCCAGCCCTATATTTTTCTGCACAGAGATTATCTTTAAACTTTAATAGTTTAAAGAAACTATAAAAAGTTTCTTGCTTCTTTTTCTTTTTGAAAAATCACTTATCTTTATTCCTCTGGCAATGAACTACTTAGCACATAGAAAAGTGCTCAATAAATTTTTGTGGAACAAACAGACGACTTGCCGTTATTGTTTATTGGTGATAAGTTGACATTATCATCATTATTTTATTTTTCAGATTGTTTATGAGGAAAACAATGATCTGTGTAATCACAAGATATGTCAATAACCAAATCATGAGATGGGGCTAAAAAGCTATTCAGTATCATCTCTTATAATTAAGTACATTTTATTAGAGTTCTTTTTTTTCTGAGCATTTATCCTTATTCTTGCCTCACGACTTTTGGAAAATATTCCTCTAGCTCAGTGTATCTGTACAGATAATGTCGACTGTACCCAGAAAATCAAGAACTCTTTGACATTGAGATTTGAGAGCTCCTGGGGATATCTTCCAGTTCTTATTTTACTTATTGGTTGGTGTCTTGGCATCATGGTCATTTTGATGATTTTTTTTTTTCCAAAATGGGTCCTAATAAAGGAAAGATACATGTGAAAGAAGTGACACATTAAACTTCTATTAATCATACAAATTTTAGTATGAACTAAAGGGGAAAAATAAATTTTACATGGAGGATTATCAACATACCAAAGTTCTGAGCTCTCCTGGGGTTGGATAAGACCATTGTCTTAACAATCGTCGTCATTCTGTCATATCGTGTCAATGATATCTTAGCATAATGAATATAGGTAGCAGTCTATCTTTTCAACATGCAGTACTCTTGAATACTAAAACTTGTGTAGTTAATTTGCATATAATTTTTCTTCATGTAACAGAATGATGCAACTGTCATGTAAGATGAACCCTATAATTATTAATAATGCTTTTTATAAAAATAGCTCCTCTATCAATTTCCCTCATCAGTTATTCTGGGAGCTGCTACATTTTGGGTTATTCTCTTTCCAATAATCTATAGTCCTGGCTCATTTGGCCTGAAGTGATAGATAGTAATGTGTCAACACTCATAAGTAAGGTTCTAAGAGGAAAAATAAGAAAACCTTTATTTACCTCCTTGATACTTTATAATTTTATAGGTGATATTTCTAGGTTATCAGGTCTGCTAATGTATTTCTCAAGTGGTTTTAAACACACGCTAACTTAATATTTTACTTACTCTTTAAGCTAATATATTAAAAAATTTGTGTGTGTGTGTGTCTTTAGTAGTGAAAAGAGTTGTTTTTTTTTTTAAATGGTCTTCAATATTTTCCATGGTTTGAATGTATCTCTTAAAGCTTGTTTTGGAAACTTAATCCCCAATACTAATGTTAAGATGTGAGAATTTTAACATCACACACCGGGGCCTGTTGTGGGGTGGGGGGAGTGGGGAGGGATAGCATTAGGAGATACACCTAATGTAAATGACGAGTTAATGGGTGCAGCACACCAACATGGCACATGTATACATATGTAACAAACCAGCATGTGGTGCACATGTACCCTAGAACTTTAATAAAAAAGTATATTAAAAAAGAGGACAACTCTAAAAAAAATTAAAAATAATTAAAAAAAAGAATTTAAAGAGTTGGTTAGGTCATAAAGGATCTGTCCTCATACATGGATTAAGGTCATTATTGCAGGAGTTTGTTAGAGCAAGAATGGGCTTGTTATAAAACTGAATTGAGCCTTCCCTCTCTTTCTCTCTCTCTCTCTCTCTCTCTCTCTCTCACACACACACACACACACACACTCTCTCTCTCTCTCTCTCTCTCTCTCTCTCTCTCTCTCACCCTTCCACCTCCTGCCATGGGATGATGCATCTAGAAGTCTCTTGACAGATGCTGGCACCTTGATGTTGGACTTCTAGCCTCCAGAACTGCAAGAAATAAATTTCTTTTTAAATCACTCGATCTGTGGTATTCTGTTACAGCAGTGCAAAGTAGACTAAGGTAATGTCCCATGTTCTTTGATTCTTTCAAGATGCCATATAACTTATTAAAGTCAGAATTCCTGGGTTACTTACTTGATCTGCCATTTACTAGCTTTGTGATCATGGGTGAGTTTCTTAACTGCCCTCTGCCTCATTTTACTCATCAATAAAATGGGATAATAATAGTATGTCATAGGTTGTTGTAAAGACTCAATGAACTAATACAGGTAAGGTGCTTATAACAGTACCTGGTAAATATCAAAAGATCAATGAATGCTTTTTATTGAGTATTTTATTGTTATTCTTTGTGGTTATTATATTTCCTCTTAACAAGCTCTTTCACCGAGTTACTATAACGTCCAACCAGATGACCAAAAGAGTGAAAAATATGTAAAAATTGTATTTGATATTATAGAAGTAACAGTATAATACTTGTTTTATTACAATTCTAAATTTTCAACTCGTGTTTTTCTTAGATACGTATCACGTTGTACTATTTCCAGGTCATTGCTCTTTTTATTTTCTGTTTTTTTTTTTTTTTCGTGCCTCCAAATCCACTTAAACTTCTATTAATATATTATTGAGGCTGGCCATGGTGGCTTATACCTGTAATCCTAGCACTCTGGGAGGCTGAGGGGGGCGGATCACTTGAGGTCATGAGTTTGAGACCAGCCTGGTCAACATGGTGAAACCCCGTCTCTACTAAAAATAAAAATAAAAAATATTAGCTAGGTGTGGTGATGCACATCTGTAATCCCAGCTACTCGGGAGGCTGAGGCATGACAATCACTTGAGCTCAGGAGGTGGAGGTTGCAGTGAGCCAAAATTGCGCCACTACACTTCACCCTGGGTGACAGCGTGACTCTGTCTCAAAAAACAGAACATTATTGACACTTAATAGACTTATGTTTTCTTATTTTCATTTATTCATAAGTACAACTCACCTTGAATTATTGTTAGGCATGAGTAAAAACATCACAAAAATATTCTGGCTGAGACAAGCTAAAATTAACTCCAGTAGAAAGAAATAAAATTTAATCTAGTCAAATGGTTATTTGCCATATAAGAGAAAAAAAGTTTGTAGAATTCTAACTTGGGAAGTTTTTAGACATTATTTCTTTGAATTTTTTTTCCCAGTCTCACTCTCTTGCTTCTCTGGTTCTGCAATTCTGGTAAAATAAATGTTAGAAATTTTCTTCAAGTCTCACAGGTCCCTGAGCCTTTTTCATTTGTTTTGCTGTTCCTTTTCTCACTGGTGTTCAGATTGGATAGTTTCTATTGTCCTGCAAACTGACTAAGTATTTCTTCTCTCCTCTCCATTCTACTGTCAAGTCTGTTCAATGAGTTTTAAAATTTGAGTTATTGGATTTTTCAGTTATCCAAATGTTGCATTTGGTTCTTCTTTATATCTTCACTGAGATTATTTTTTTTCACGTGTTCCAAGTATGTTTGTATTTCTCCTTTAAAGCATGTTCATGATGGATGATTGCCTTAAAATTGTTGTCAGATAATTCTAACATCTCTGTCATCTCAGTGTTGACATCTATTTATTACCTTTTGTTCATATTAGGTGTGATTTTCCCATGTCTTAATATAAGTAATTTTAAAATTAAAATTTTGAAATTTGGGGTATTGTGGCATGAACCTTTGAATCTTAAATATTCCATTTTACTTGGCTTCCTTGGACACGGCTCCAGCAGGGGAAGGGATTGGTTATGAACTTGTTACTGACAGTTTGTGGGGAGGTCTAGAGTCCTCACTTAGCCTCCATTGGCATGAGGAGCTAGGAGGTGGGATGGGAGGAGGGTCTCTTCATTACTACTGAACAGGCTCCTCACTAGGCCTCAGCTGATAACACCCTGGCTGGTTGGGGCAGGAATGCCTTAGGGTGGGAATGGACAGAGATTGAGAGGGACTAATCTCATTGGCAATGGGCAATGGTGAAAGTCTTAATTCTTTACCAGGCCTCCTTTTTCACTACTGGGTATTAGAAAGGATGAGGTTACCTCACTACCACTGGGTGGGGTGGAAATCTTGCTTGTATGAGGTGGGGATAGGGTTGCAACTTTTTCTTGGACATTCGGCTGGAGTAAAGCAATTATTATCTAAACATTTTCTTTCTTGTTAGGCTTTCCCTTTCCTGATGTTGGTGTGAGAAAGGCATATATTGAGGCTTTTTTTTTTTTTTTCTGTCTTTGCCCAGTGATGTTTCAGGGTCGCTGACTTTCCCAGCTCTAAATATGGGAAGTATGAAACCAAATGAAAACACAGGAAACCTGCCACTGTGTCGTTGCTTGGGACCCAAATGCCTAGCTGGTTGGCGATCTTCTTTCCACCTTTCAGTGTCGTCTCATGTTTGTTATATATATATAATGTGCAGAGATTTTACTTATACGTAGAGGAATAGGGAAAGTGGAAATCAGCCAACCAACCAAGACTTCTAACTAACATGAAAATACATTTGAATATTTGAGATTTGTGGACATTTCCAGCAAAATTACACCAAATTGCTCAAATAAGTCCAATAAAACTTTTTTCCCTAACCTGTGATATAGATCCACCATGTACCAGAAGTAGAAAAGAAAACAATGCTCCACATTTCTTATACCACAAGGTGACATTTTCATAATGAGAATAATTTTTATTTTATCATCAGATCTTATAAAATCCTATTAGCACTTTACATCCAAGCCGATAAAAAATATCTCTGGAATATTCTATATACCAATGGGGTTGACTCAGTTATAATAGACATGATTTTGCATTTAGGTTACATTTCTTTTTTACCAGAGGAGAAAATAGCAATGTTTGATGAAAACAACCAGATTTGTGGACTTCTCTACACTTCAACCATTAGCCCAAGAATAAGTCAGGACAAATTTTTTATAAAGCAAATCTAACACGTAACATACCAATTAGAATGAAGACATGCCATGACAATTTTCAGCATATTTCATGTTTTCCAATATTTTTATCCTAAGTTCAATTATATGACATATATTCACTATTTATCAATCAACTGTAAGTTCCCCAAAACTGTATTGGATGTTACCTAATACTAGGTAAGAGTTTGTCATCTGTTCTCCTCAGCCTGTAGATTGTCCTTTTAATGTGTCTGTGGCACATTGGGGTTGGGGTACTGTTTGTCGCCATGGATCAGTTTTTAACATTATTGAGCTAAATGATCTGTGTAGAAGCCAATCTCCCATTTGGATGGAGTGTCAATACATGACTGTGTAAAACCAAGGCAGGATGTTTTATATATCTGATCTTGAAGAGTCATCCTAGTGTATCCTTGGGAGAATTTGATTATATGGGTAGTTACAACAATTGCTCATGGCCACAGCTGTTTTGGGCATTTTTGTGAGAATGTTAGAAATTAATCCTGTAGCTAAAATTCAGTGGATCAAACTGAATTGCTGACTGAGTCTCAGAATGTAAAATTAAAAAAAAAAAAAGAAAACCTCCCTAGGTAAATTCCTTGACAGCCCTGTCAATGAGGTGTTGAAAACATTTTAAATTTAGTCCCGTATCTGCTGCATAGACGTGGTCCATGAGCTTTGGTATACATGTTTTCCTGTCTTTCTTTAAAAATAAAAGAAAGCTAGTTCCCTTTGGCTACTATTAACTTCCACTGAAAGGATATAAAATACTAGCCAGTATAGATGTTTTTCAAATGTGCACTGACCAAAATATCAAAGAATAGCAAAACCTCATTTTATGAGACTTTTATTGATACTATATGTCTCCTCAAATGTACAGTTTATATTATGAACAAGAGCCTTTGCCTGATTTTGATTCATTGCAAATTTATACCACAAAAAGGATACAACTGGAAAAATGCATTGAGGAAGTCAGCTGAGAATAATATACCCTTATTTATGTTTTCTCTTTTTATTACTATTCAGTATACTGAAATATACTGCCCATTCTAAGGAGGAGTATGTTGGCAAAATAAGTGGAATAAAAGGAATTTATCTGTTTTATATTTTATAATTGGTAGATTATGTTTGTTTAAAATGATATGAATTCATCAAAACCATTGCTTTTAAACATACATAGCAAATTAGTACTTTTTCCAATGAAAAGAGAGTGCTTTAAAATGTTGCCATTAAAAACAATTAAAAACAAAACCCATATGATCATCTCAGTAGATGCAGAAAAAGCTTTTGATAAAATCCAACATCCTTCATGATAAACACCCTCAACAAAGTATGCATCAAAGGAACATATCTCGATATAATGAGAGCCATCTATGACAAACCCACAGCCAGCATCATGCTGAATGAACAAAAGCTGGAAGCATTCTCCTTAAGAACAGGAAGATAAGGATGCCCACTCATCATTCTCATTCAACACAGTACTGGAAGTCTTAAGAGCAGTTAAGCAAATGAAAGAAAGAAAAGGCATCCAAATAGGAAAAGAAGAAGTCAAATTATATCTTTGTTGACAATATGACTTCATACCTGGAAATCCCAAGAGACTCCACCAAAAGGCTCCTAGAACTAATAAGCAACTTTAGTAAAGTTTCAGGATACAAAATCAATATGCAAAAATGAGTAGAATTTCTATACACTAGTAGAATTCAAGCTGAGAGCCAAATCAAGAATGTAATCCTATTTACAATAGCCACAAAAATATTAATATAAAGTATGTAGCAACACAATCTCTAACCAAGGAGGTGAAATATATCTTTACATGAGGAACTACAAAACACTGCTGAATGTGTTTTTAGATGACACAAACAAATGGAAAAACATTTCATGCTCATGGACTGGAAGAATCAATGTAGTTAAAATGGCCATAGTGCCCAAAGCAATCTACAGATTCAATGCTATCCCTATCAAATTACCAATGCCATTTTTCACAGAATTAGAAAAAACTATTCTAAAAATCACATGGAACCATAAAAGAGCCTTAATGCCGAAGATATCCTAAGCAAAAAGGACAAAGCTGGAGGCATCACATTACCTGACTTCAAACTATATTATAAGGCTACAATAACCAAATCAGGATGATACTGGTGCAAAAACAGACACATAGACCAATGCAAAAGAATACAGAGCCCAAAAATAAAGCTGCATACTTATGACTATCTGATCTTCGACAAAGTCAACAAAAATAAGCAATGAGCAAAGGACTCCCTATTCAATAAATGGTGCTGGGATAACTGGCTAGCCACATGCAGAAGGATGAAACTGAACCCCTACCTTTCACCATATATAAAAATTAAGGTGGATTAAAGATTTAAATGTAAGATGTCAAACTATAAAAACTTAAAACCTAGAAAATATCTTGTTCATTAAGCCTTAGGCAAAGAATTTATGACTAAGTTCTCAAAAGCAATTGCCACAAAACCCAAAATTGGCAAATGGGACCTGATTAAAGAGCTTCTGCACAGTCAGAGAAACTATTAACAGTGCAAACGGGCAACCTACAGAATGGGAGATAATATTAGCAAACTATGCATCCAACAAAGGTTTGATATTTAGAATCTATAAGAAAGTCAAATCAACTAGCAAAAACAACCCCATTGAAAGGTGGGCAAAAGACATGAATAAACACTTCTCAGAAGAAGACATGCAGTGGCCAAGAAACATGAAAAAATGCCCATCATCACTAATCATCTGAGAAATGCAAATTAAAATCACGAGATACTATCTCACACCAATTAAAATGGCTATTACTAAAAAGTCAAAAAATAACATGTTGGTGAAGCTGTGGAGAAAAGTGAAGGTTTATCCACTCTTGGTGAGAATGCAAATTAGTTCAGCCACTGTGGAAAGCAGTTTAGAGATTTCACAAAGAGCTTGAAAGAGGACTACCATTTGACCAAGCAATTCAACTACTGGGTGTATACCTAAAGGAAAATAAATGATTACAAAGAAGACGTGCACTTGTATGGTCATTGCAGCTCTATTCACAATAGCAAAGATATGGAATCAACCTAGGTGCCAGTCAATGTTGGACTGAATAAAGAAAATGTGGTACACTGTTGAATACTATGCAGTCATAAAAAGAATGAATTAATGTCCTTTGAAGTCACATGGATACAACTGGAGGTCATTATCCCAAATGAATTAATGCAGGAACAGAAAAGCAAGTACTGCATTGTTCTCACCAATAAGTAGGAGCTAAACATAGGATAATGGACATTAAAATGGAAACAATAGACACCAGGGACTACTAGACAGTGGAGGGAAGGAGGAGGGCATGGGCTAAAAAAGTATGTATTGGGTACTATGCTCACTACTTGGGTGATGAGATTATTCACACCCCAAATCTCAGTGTCTTGCACATCTACCCCCTGAATCTAAAATATAAGTTGAAGTTATAACAAAATACATCAAATATGTTCTACCACAATAAAGATGTTTGATTACAAGAATATTTGAAACATTTCTGGTTTCTAATTGTTTTTGTAATAAATGTGCATTAAAACAAACATCCTCTGCTATAGCAAATCTTTAGGTTTTGAACGTAGGTTGCTACGTCACTTGAAACAAAGTCTTTTTAATTTTTAATACTTAAAAATCATGTTGTAGTTTATGAGGAGCTGGAGAACTATCACAATGGGGAAGCAAACCACAAAGTCAGTTTCCTACTTTTAAGTTGTGTTATAGAGAAAGTTGTTCAATTTTCTACAGAACGAAATTGATTGACCTTTTGTGATGAATTAGACACTAACTGGGCCATTGACGGTGGATAGAACACCCACTAGAATGCCTTTTCTTAAGATTTGCAAACACTTGCTTTTTCATTTTGGGCCAATGATGGTTTCCATTGTGGATGAGGATTCAGGTCTTCTGTAAACATGAGATCTTAACATTGCTTACTGTGTTAGTCAGGAACACATTATCTTATGATTTTTTTTTTGCAGGAGCTATCTCTAACACTCAAAAATTCAAGGTCCAGTCTATAAAAAATGTTATAGAGTTTGTTATCTTTAAGAGTATATCTTGAGCCATCATTTAAAGAGTTATATAATTGTCTACTTGGATGTACCAAATCTCTGACCTTTTCAAGTTATCTGTCTTCTAAGATTATGATCATGTATCTTTAACCTCCCTCATTATTTTTGTCAGAGAACTCTGGTTTTTGCCATTATATGATTGTTGTATACTTTTTCTTATCCTAACTATACTGTTTCTGGATTTTATAAGTTTTTCTCTGTAAATAATGATGATTTTTGTGTTAAATGCAACAAATAACTTGATAATATACTTCAAATTTTGCATTAATCTTCACTTGTCTTCTTCAGCTTAAATAATTTTCTAAACGCTTATTACATGCTAGAGCAGAAGTAGGAATTAAAAGAGATAAACAAGAGTTGATACCTCCGTATTCATGGTGTGAGGACAGGGACAAAGGAGCAAGTCAGATAAATAACTTGAACATGATTTAAGGAAAGCAGTAAGAAGAGAACTAAACAGAGTACCACAGGAAGTCAAAAGAGGAAATGATTCATTCTGTCTGCAGGGACTGGAAAAAGTTTTACAGAGATAATGCATTTAAACCAACTCTTCCCAACAGTGATCAAATGGAGAGGATCGGACATCTTAAGAAAATGGAATAACAAATAGCAAATCTGAGTAGATCGAAAGCAAATGCATTGATTTTGGGACAATGACAAATCATATAATGTAATTAAATTATGGGTGAGAGGGTGTGTGTGTGTGTCTGTGTGTGTGTGTGTCATGCTATTGGGAGGCAGGTCATAGCTGTGGATCTCAGGGTGACAGGAAATGTACAGAACAGAGGCTGGTAATCTATTTTTTTCCAATAAAAATACAGCAATTATATAAAATTAAATGGAATCATATGCATAAAGTTTAAATCAAGCTTGTCCAACCTGTGGCCCACGGTCTGCATGTTGCCCAACACAAATGCGTAAACCTTGTTAAAACGTTGTGAAATTTTTTGCAATTTTTTTTTTTTTTTAGCTCATCAGCTATCATTAGTGAAATTTATGTGTGGCCCAAGACAATTCCTTTACTTCCATGTGGCCCAGGGAGGCCAAAAGATTGGACACCCTAGTTTAAATCATTATGGACTGAACATTGCCACACCCTAGAAATCGCCAATATGCTTTTCCTGATTACATCTCCCCCGCCTTCTTCCAGCATTAATTAGAATGTGTTAATAATTTCCTTGCTTTCCTCTATAATTTCTATCTTTCAAGTGTGTATCCCTAAACTACAATGTTGCTTTTGTGTGTTTTTGAACTTCTATGAATGGAATAATTTTATGTGTAGTCTTGTGTAACTTGCTTTATTATTTATTATTAATATTATTTTTGATTGACAAATTGTAATTGTAAACATCTATGAGGTACAGTTTGTATACAACGTAGAATGATGAAATCAAGCTGATTAACATATCACCTCAGTTACCTATCATTTTTTATGGTGAGAAATTTGAAATTTGCTCTTTTAGTTACTTTTAATTATACATTATTATTGACTATAGTCACCCTGCTGTGCAATAGATATCAAAACCTATTTTTTCTGTTTGAAACTTTGTATCCTTTGATTAACAGCTCCCCATACCTTTCCTTTGTCCATCCGCAAGCCTCTGGTAACCATCATTCTACTCTCTACTTTGATGAGTTCAACTATTCAAGTGTCCATACATAAGTGAGATCCCGAGTTATTTGTCTTTCTGTGCCTGACTTATGTATGACTTGCTTTAATTGATAAATAGTATGTTTTTAAAATTTCTTTGTATGGATATATTATAAGGAGCAGAATTCTCTTGTAAAGATAATTTATAACTTTCATAATTTCCTTAGTTTTATAATCTCACAGTTGATGGGCACAATGGTTGTTTTGGTTTTTATGAGCAATGCTTCTGTGCAATCTCTCCTTATTTATGTGTAAGAGTTTAGGGTATATACCTAATTATGGAGTATATAATAACCTTCTAATGTTCCTTTGAGAAATATTTTTGAGTAAGGAGGGTTCTGACTCCCCCAAAGAAACTAAAGATACATATTCTGCCCATTGGGATGGATGGCCATGCTCTAATCCTCCTTTTATCTCCAGGAGAAGCTGAAAGCAGCTCCAGCTAACCATGACTTAGCTGGTTGGAGGTAGGTTATGCAGTTGTTCAATTTTGCTAGAGAACATTTTCCTAAGTGGTTAAAACAATTTATACTCCCATCAGCAGTGGTGAGGATTTATGTTGTTTCTTATGCAAATGACACTTGTTATTAAGTAGCCATAATTTTTTGCTAATATGGTATGAGTGTGAAATGAAATCTCTCTGTTTTGTGTTTCTCTGATTATAAATGAGATTGAACACCTTTTCATATGATTATTGGTCATTGGTGGTCTTCTCTGAAATTTTTAATCAATTCTTTTTTATCATTTTTTATGGGGTCACTTTTTTCCTGTGTATATATAGAAGTTCTTTGTGTTTTTTGAATACTAATCTTTTGCCCATTTTTGTGTCACAAAATTTTCTCATAGGTTGTAGTTTAGTCTTTCTACATTCTATATGGTGGTGATTTGTTTATATTTTAGTTTACCTGAGTGTTTTCCCTTTTTAATAGGTGAAGTATGTTGGTTTCATATTTTAAGATCCTTCTTACAGTTTGGACTTTATTCTGATGGTAATATGGAGTCATCAGGAGGCACTGAATCTAGAGATGGGAGACCAGTTAGAAAGCATCTTCAAAAATGCAGATTATGAGGGCGTGAAAGTAAACACTTGCAGTAGGAATTCAAAGGAAGAGGCATTTGGAGTGTTATTTAGAATGTTGAACTGACAGCCATCGATATGTGGAAACGTCCATGAGCATAGAGTTTAGAGGACAGTTATCTTTGTTTATGATGCCATTAACTAGAGGGATTATTGGCATAGATATTTAAAATATGTTAATTTTGAGACCATTAAACTGTAAGATCTTCCGAGAAGGTAAGATGTGGGTCTAGCTCTCAATAGTGCATGCTACAAGGTGATATATTAATCTAGGAGTTATCAATTCACAGGAAGTAACTAAAGCCATGGAAATTCACTTAGGAAATATTTAAGATCTTGGAGAGTCTAATTTCCACAAAAAAGGGATAGTGTTTATCTTTTTCTCTGCTTTGTCAACAGTATCCAGCAAAATACATGATGCGATAGGTGCTCAGTAAATGTATGTTGAACTAATGGATACCTTGAACCATTATTTAAGAGCATGAGAAGGAGGGAGTAGCTAGGAAAGGAGCAAATTAAAAACTTGGGAGAACAAACAAACCAAGTGGTGAGGCTAATGAAGACCATTTTCAACAGAACCAAGTGACACAGAGTGGGAGAGTAGTTTCTGTTGACCAGTTGGAATAGATGCCTGATTTCAGAGTTGAAGAGTGGTAGGAATGAGGGGGTAGACATAGCAAGGTAGCCTATGTTTCACTGTGTGGCAAGACAGAATGTTGTGGTACCCGGTCGCTGCTAAGGAGTGCATATTGATGGATTAGTTCAGTTCTAAGTTAATATCTACAAAAGAGATTAAGTGCTAACATAGAGATTGTCCAAAGAAATGGATTAGAGAGAGGATAGAAAAGGATTAATATAACAGAAGGGAGCTTGGAGCTAAGCAAGAAGGAAACCAAGCAATGAAAATCCAAGGAGCAAACAGTGGCTTGAACTGGGAAAGGTCATTTGGCAACAGAAACTGGAGACAGCTATGATATGTGTTACGAGAAAAATTGTGGTGAGTAGTTTACAGGTAGATTCATACTATTTTAACGGGCCACTGAAAAATTTCCTAAGGGCATGCTTAAATAAGTTTTATGAACCCTGACCTCTGATTAAGGTGGATATCGGTTCAAGGGAAGGTACTTTTTAAACTAGAAGACATTCAAACATGATCATCGACCAAGATAAATGTTTTTGGTAAGGATTGAGACTCACCATTTCAAACCAGTTTAAACATGTTTAAAGAAAAAATAATCCCAGTATCCACTGAGTTTAATTCATTTCAAAAAGGATGGATTAACAGGGAGAGTCCTAGGGTCCCAAAAATTTGAATGAATTGCTCCAGGGCTCTAATGCTTGTAGAAGAAAAGTCACCTACAGGTCAGTGGAGATTTGCTGTGCCAATTACTTACGTAAGACTTAGAGGGAAATTATGACCCAGGACTGACCATTATTATTAGTCTAAACAGATAAGCTAGGGCTAACTTTCATAATTTTATTTTGTAAAGGATTTTTTTAAAAGGAAACTACAGAAAGCATTCTACAATTTTCCGAACAAGTTCTTTTTTGTTTGTTTGTTTGTTTTCTTTACTATGAGTGCTGCCTTGAATTCTTTCCAGTCTTTGTTGTTTAGTTTTTTGTGGTCTTTTTCCAACCTAGAGTTACAGAAGTAAGACCCACAATTGTTCAAATTCTGCAAAGAAAATGTATCTCAAATCTTGTCACTCATCTGTCAATATTTGACGTGAAACAGCTGCTTTTTCAGATGCTGTCCTGAGTTGAATAGTGATCTTCCAAGATTCATGTCCTTCTCAGAACCTCAGAATGTGAACTTATTTGGAAATAGGGTTGTTACAAATATAATGAGTTAAGATGAGATTATACTAGAGTAGGGAGTACCCTTACTCTAGTATGACTGGTGTCCCCATAAGAAGAAGAAAAGAGACACAAAGACATGATAGTGCCATGTGATGATGGAGGCAGAATTTAGAGTGGTGTTTCTAAGCCAAGGAATGCCAATGATTACCAGCAATAATGGACGTTAGAAGAGAGGCATGGAATTGATTTTCCCTTAGGTCTTTCAGAGGGAGCATGACTTTGCTGGCACCTGGATTTTCAGACTTCTGGCCTCCAAAACTGTGAGAGAATACATTTCTGTTGCTTTAAGCTAACCAGTTCATCTAACTGTTACAACTGCCCAGGAAAGGAATACATGTACCACTGGTTTCTTTAAACAGTTCAGGGAATAAAGGCGGTTGGTCCACTGCAGACTTCTCAAATGCCTGTTTGAAAATTTGATGGATAGGTAAAAACAGAACTGGGAAGAGTGGTGCTAAAGAGCAGGGGGGAAATAATCACAATCCGCTTAGATTATGTGATAATTTTAGACTGCTACCAAGCAGTCAGAAAGTTAAATAAATCAGGGTTTTCACCTGGTTCTTTAAGATCTGTTGGCTGTGGGAGGTAGACTCCGGAAAACCTACTTGACTGGGGATACATAGCCATTTGTATCTTGCTATGAGACTTTTTAGATTTGAAGGTGTTGCCTAGGTAACTTGTCCATGTTGAGCAATTCTGGTATGAACAGAAATGGAACTTGGCTGACCAATTAGACCTGGTAGAAGAGGTAGCAATTTTCTGCATTAGTGTTCCAGGCTGCCGTAACAAAATTCCACAGACTAGGTGGCGTAAATAACAGAAATTTATTTTCTCACGTTATTGAAGATGGTAAGTCTGAGATCAACCTGGGTTGACGCAGGGTGCGTCAACTCGGAAATCTTTCTCCCTGGCTTGCAAGATGGCCGCCCTCTTGCTGCCTCCTCACGGGCTTCTCTCTGCACATACCCCCTGGTGTCTCTCCATAAGGACACCAGACACTAGTCAGACTGGATTTGGGCCTCTCCGGAAGATCTTGTTTTAGCTTAATTACCTCTTTAAAGGCCCTAATTTCAAGTACAGTCGTGTTCTGAGGCACTGAAAGTTAAGTCTTGAACATATGAATTCTAGGGGCACCTAATTCAGCCAATAACAGATATCTAGGAAGGGTCAACGTTCAAGATAATTGAGAAGTATTTATTTCTCTGTTCTATAATTGGGAAGAATACAAATGTAAAGGGGAATAACATCAAAAAAGATAAAAATATTGCCACTTATTGAGGATGTCAAGTGAATACATTCCACGGATTTAAAAAAGGGTTCCTGAGTTGATCCTCAGAATGGAGAAAATACACCACTCTGTCATTTAAATGTAGCTAATATTTTCATGTGTTCTGTCATAAATGAAATAGTAGAACAGAAATTGAAGATTTATTATTGAGATCAGAGACACTGACATTTACTACAGAAAGAAATTAATTTCTTTATGAAACTTTCAAGCTTTACTGTTTTCTCTGATTTCTTACCAGAATTGTTTTGCTCATCTGTACAAATACTCAGTAAGACATAGGGATGCTGTGTTCCTCATTCCTATCTGGAAATATAATAGCCACACACAGTGTCTACTCATAAATAACACATACTAATAAAGCTTCTGTAGAGCAGAATAATTTAGACAAAGTGCCAGCCTCAGGGTTGTGAAATGTGGCTTCAACTATTAATATTTTCTTATATTAAATACATGTTGTGCAACTTATCCCTGACACTTCTTTTGCCATTGCTGAGAAACCAAAAGACTATTTGCCTATATAAAACTTTAGAATGATAGGAAATATATTCCCTTATTGATTGTCCCACTAAGAGTAGGCCATAATAGGTTTAATGTCACCTGTAGGCATCAGAAGCAACATGGCAGGAATGATAGGGATGGGGGAGAAAACAGGATCTGTAAGTGATGTCTGAAAGACATTATAGGTGTAGGAGGCAAGATGCCTTTTCCTGAAGAGTAATTCTACCTCATATTTACTGGGTGTGCCTGGCACTGTTAAGTGCTTTGCAACTATAAGCCTTCTAAGGTGGGTACCCCTTATTTCTACTAACAGAAGTAGAAATGAAATCAGAGATAAGTAAGTTGCCCAAAGTTGGCAAACCTAGCAAATGATAAATTTGGGATTTGAATCCAGGTCGTCTAAGTCCAGGGTCTACACTCTCAACCATCAGCCTGTACTCTCTCTCTTTAAAGCAAGGTTAAAAATCTAGTGTTATTTAAAACAGGTAATGGGGGTCTTAAGTCCAAAGACAAGAATCAACAGGTCTCAAGTTTCAAATAATCCACTAAATTTGAGATCTGGGTGGTCTGGCAGTAAGGGATTATGAATTTCAAAAGTCTACCCAAGTGGCACAGAAAACCCTCCATAGGAAAGAATGTTGTTGAAAAATGAGTAAGAGTTCTCCTCTTGCCTTCTCACCTGTGAGAGAAAATTTCCTCAGTTTGTGGAAGGACTGAAACCTGAACATGATGGCAGATGGAGATATCCGAACAAAACAGAGGAGAGATCTGGCTTTCAAGGGCTTTCTTTTTCTCTTTTCTTTCTTTCTTTCTTTTCTTTTTCTTTCTTTTTTCTTTCTTTTTTTTTTTTTTTTTTTTTGAGATGGAGTGGAGTCCCACTCTGTCACCCAGTCTGGAGTGCAATGGCACGATCTTGGCTCACAGCAACCTCCACCTCCAGGGTTCAACCAGTTCTCCTGCCTCAGCCTCCTGAGCAGCTGGGATTACAGGCGCCCACCACCACTCCTGGCTAACTTTTGTATTTTTAGTAGAGATGGGGTTTCACCATGTTGGCCAGGCTGGTTTCCAACTCCTGACCTCAGGTGATCCACTCGCCTCGGCTTCCCAAAATGCTGGGATTACAGGCATGAGCCACCGCCCCGGCTTCTAGGGCTTTCAAAGCTTGTTCACATTCCTTGGGGCTGCAGGTTCCTGATGGCCAAAGATGTCAAAGTTTCAGAAGAACACACACAGCCCCTATGGAAGATTACACTCCGCATAAACTCCCAGTCTATTCGGAAGAGACAGAATGGCTGCTTGGCACAGGCACTGAGTCCTGGCAAAATCTAGCTTCCACTTAAAGAAGCTGATAGAGTGCCTCATCAATAGCTGACTTGGAGCTATCTGAATCATCCTAGATAATTGAATCCCACATCCAGCTTTTCTTGGTTGCTTTCTTTTCTCACCATAGCTCTGATAATGTTCTGGTCAAACAATCTTCTTCCTGCTTTCACCACTAATCTGGCCTCGACCTCATTCATCACCAGCATGTCAGTCCCCATAGAAATGTTGTCAGCTTCCATTTGGAACAAGATGATATCTTAGTCACTTAATAGTTTATTATGTAACTGACTCTTTGACAGCACTCTGGGCACAATGCGTTTTCTCAACCTTGGTGCAGAACAACA
This sequence comes from Homo sapiens, assembly GCF_000001405.40. Classification (NCBI taxonomy): domain Eukaryota; kingdom Metazoa; phylum Chordata; class Mammalia; order Primates; family Hominidae; genus Homo; species Homo sapiens. The sequence goes on from NC_000018.10 coordinate 60,266,797, forward strand.
CGTCCCACGCCATAATAGGACTGTGAACAGTTCAGAAACTTGTATTTTATAGTTGCCCTTTAACTAGTTTAGAGTTAAATTGTTCAGTGTGACAGAATGTACTCAGTACTCTGGTAATAAATATGAACACTATCTTACGGGCTTTAATCCTCACATATTGTGGTCATTTCTTGCTAATCAGTAATTTAGCAAGTTGAGTTAAAAAGTGTAGCATCATGGCTCTTGAATATTAAAGTATATTCAACTCTGAAATGAAATTCTATTTACTTTTATTTGTTTAATCATACAAAGTTGGATTCTGTTACTGAAATATTTCTTCCAAGAAATATTTTTCTCCTTGAAAGTGGAGTTAAATTTCCGATAAGTTCATTTTAGATAGATTTTGCAATTCCTTTTACTTAAAAATCAAGTTTAATTTTTCTGTCTGTTTTTCCAGAAGTGAAACTGCTTTTGAAGGTTGTACTTTGTTTTAGTTAGAGTCTGATACATTGGAGAGTTGGAAAAACACTTTTTGAGTGTTTCTTTCATTTTGCAGGACCTTCTATATTGTAAAAATCAATAAAGTGCTTGCTTGCTTTTGGTTTGAAATACATGACTTTGCTCTCATTGCTTAATAAGAATGCCCTATAAATGCCCCTTAATCCTTATTTACTAAAAGTTAAAAAAATTGGACAAATTCTTATTAAGTCACTAATCTATGCAAGAGACTTTGCCATGCATGTCAAGCCTTACAGAGAGGGATATTTTTATCTTTGCCCTACTTCCATGCCTTAGACTACACCAAGTATAACATAAGACCTCTTAGACATACTATAAATATTGGCTGATATATAGCTAGTGAAAATAATTGAAGAAAGACTTTGCTTGTTAATATACTTAGAAAATCCATTAAAGAATGCTGATGGCCTTTCTGTTTCCAAAATGCTTTTACAATCACATTTGTGTTTTTTTCCCTACAATAAATCTGAACCAAGTTGGCATTTATATTCCTATTAATATTTATAAGCAAAGAAACGGAAAATGTGAACAACTCAAGTGAATGGTGCAATCACAGAGCAAGTGTGAAAGAAAACACCCTGTTTTAAGTTTTCTGAATGGCACAAAGATTCTTGTCTGTTTGCTGCTGTACTCTCAATAACGCCAGACTGCTTGTACCTTATTCGGCTGACCACCGTGGCATTTAGCCTGCCACTGTTGCTAATGTCACCTTGTTGCCATCTATGAACACTTGCTCTCATTGGACTAAGTGGTCCTAAACACTGTACTTATTTCAGAGCCTGTTGCTTTTCCACCCGGCCTCCCCGTGTCTCATCTATTTGAAATGCATTCCTTTGGCTCAATATAACCATTCCAGCACTCCCCTAATTATTCCTTTTCACCATGTACCAGTCTTCAGAAGTTTCAAATTGCATCGTATCAGGTAATGTTTTTAAAGCAGAACCTGAAGATAACATAAATAGTTTGTTTTCTGCAGCACTAACCTGGCAGTAACACTTGGAATCAATTTTCAGGTCTCCAAAATAATTTGAACATTACCTAATACCACTATCTTACAATAATAAAGTAAAATTAAGATAAGTTGTAGTCAAGAATGACTCTGAAATGGAATAGTTATTTGAAGTTCAGGTATCTCATTATCTTTGCCATTTCTCTTGTTGTGGTTTTGTCTGCGATTTTTATAAGCCAATGTTTATTATATTTTTTGTAATGATGTGATTTGGAACTAAATTATTTTTCTGTCACATCTTCTCAATCAGTGGAAGGTAATGCACTAAAAAAAAAAAAATGTAGTGCAGGCCAGGCACAGTGGCTCATGCCTGTAATCCCAGCACTTTGGGAGGCTGAGATGGGTGGATCACCTGAGATCAGGGGTTCGCGACAAGCCTGGCCAACATGGTGAAATCCGATCTCTACTAAAAATGCAAAAATGTAGCTGATCATGGTGGTGGGTGCCTGTAATCCCAGCTACTCGGGAGGCTAAGGCAGGAGAATCGCTTGAACCCAGAAGGTGGAGGTTGCAGTACGCCGAGATCATGCTACTGCACCTCAGCCTGGGCGACAAGAGCAAAACTCTGTCTCAAAAAAAAAAAAAAAAAAAAAAAAAAAAAGTGCAAATGCCTGGGGTTCAGTGGATTACTAAAGGAAACTATTTAATCTATTTAAAATGATTTCCAATTAGTGAAGATTCTGTATTAACCATCTCTAACTCTGAAAAAAGCACAGCACTTCAATCTAATTATTGGTTGACTTGGTATATTAATGAAAAATGTCATTGATACTACTAGTAGAATTTTAGCAAAAATTATAAGCTATATGTGGTTATTAACATACAATATAAGGTAGTAAAATAATATTACACTGTACCGTTGATATGTATGAATTTATCATTATACTATAAACGGACTAAAATAATAAAAACTTGATTTTTTAGTGGATTTGCATTTTTAGAAAATAGCAAACCATTTTATCCTCACTCTAGCATAGTCAGGAAATATAATAAATTAGCTTACATTAGCTATTACTCATTATCATAAAATAATTTATATGGAATTACATTTTAAACATTTTATACTTGACTTCAAATTGGAGCATATCCAAATTATTTTTACAGTGTAAAGGCATCATTGAAGACACAGTTCTAGAAACCAAAGATAAAATTTCAAAATACCAATATTTCCATCTGGTCTTTTTAACCTTTGTTGGTCTTTGAAAGTTGACTAAAGTCTCCAGACTTTGTTTCTCTCTCGTGTCGAAACTACACTGGGACACAAGAACCGGCACACATTTGTAAATTAGCATACACTTTCAATCCATGAATTTTCAGATGAAGAATGACTGCTCTACAGCATAAAGAGTTTTATCTGGGATAGTTGCTAAACAAGTATTAAGCTCAGAAAATTAACAGTGATTCTGAAAAATATTCAAACAGCAGTGCGAATGGAAACTGACAATATATCAAAACTGGTTTGACAAATGTATTAAAAAATAACTTTGTTTCTATTGAGAAACAACTCATTTAAGCTTATTAAAGATAGGTACATTTTCCTGCTTTTAGTTTTTAATAATTTTTTAAGCAATGGAAATAAAACATACCTTCATTTTGATTAGAGAAATATGTTTCATGACTGTTTTTAAGAGAATATTTACTTATTCACAGTTCTTCAAATTTTAAATTGTGAGATTGAGAGTAGCTTGGAGAATTTAAAAACTTTTTTTAAAAAAGCTAACTGAATAGTTTTTGGCTTCATAATTTTTATTTTTATTATTTTTTTCCAGTTTGTTACCTTTTTATTTTTTAAAAAGTATTTTCCGTTTTTATTTTAGATTCACAGGGTACATGTGCAGGTTTGTTACATGGGTATATTATATGATGCTGAGTTTTGGGGCATGAATGATCCTATCACCATTGTAGTGATTTTAGTATCCAATATGTTAGTTTTTCAGCCCTTCCCTCCTTCCCTCTCTCCCTCCTCTAACAGCACCCAGTTTCTGTTGTTCCCACCTTTATGTCCATGTGTATCCACTGCGAAGTCCTCACTTACAGATAAGAACATGCAGTATTTGATTTCCTATTCCTGCATTAATTCACCCAGGATAATGGCCTCTAGCTGCATCCGTGTTGCTGCAAAGGACATTATTTTGTTCTTTTTAGTGGCTGCATAGTATTCCATGCTTCATAATTTTTATTGAATTATTAGTGTTAGCAGAGATATTTACACACGACAGGTCCAGAAATTATTTGTGGCATTGTTGCGAGGGAAAGTCTCAATAGTATTTATACATCTATCATAAATATACAGACATTCTATAATCCTTATTAAATGCAGAAATGTTTAGAGACTTCAATGATTTGAGATATAGAGTTCGTGTACTTCTTTGGAGGGATGGGCAGTTTATAATCAAGAATGAGTCTAATCCATCACTTATTAAATCTTTGGCAGTTAAAACATTAGGATCTAATTCATATGAGGATCAAAAGACAAATATGGGTCCTATAGCAGTGGCATCCTCTGGTTCAGAGTGACAAAAGAAGGATGGAGCCAGCTACACAGTTCTTTGCTATTCCGAGGACTGGATATGCTTGGTTTTGAAGGACCTGTACAGTGAAAACTCTGAACTTAGTAGAGTTGTACTAGTCCATTTTCACACTGCTATAAAGATACTACCTGCTACTGGGTAATTTATAAAGAATGGAGGTTTAATTGACTCACAGTTGAGTATGGCTGGTGGGGGGCCTCAGGAAGCTTACAATCATGGTGGAAGGCAGCAGGAGAGAGTGCAAGCAAAGGGGAAGTCCCACACTTAAAAACCACGAGATCTCCTGAGAACTCACTATCATGAGAACAGCATGGGGGAAACCACCCCCATAATCCAATTACCTCCCACCAGGTCCCTCCCTTGACACATGGGGATTACAATTTGAGATGAGATTTGGGTGGGGACACAGAGCCAAACCATATCACCATATTCAACCAATATGGTTTTATGAGAAGAATAAGATCTATTCATTATGGCTAAATTACCAGAGATCAAAGAGGATCATAGTGGTAAGCTAAATTACCCTCTATTTTTAAAAAATGTTCTTTCCACTTTCTCAAAGTGTGATATTATTATGCCATCATATTGTCAGAGGGAATAAAATGGTGAGGGCATTGTAATTTTATATTTCTAACCTATGTCAGCCTAAAAGATGACATTTTTGAGGTAGACTTGACAAACTATATTGCAAAGTGACAATTAAGTGAAAAAGGCCAAGCATGGTGTCTCATGCCTATAATCCCAGCACTTTGGAAGCCTAGGTGGGAGGATGGCTTGAGGCCGGGAGTTTGAAACCAGCCTGGTCAGCATAGCAAGACTCCATCTCTACAAGGACGTGGTGGCATGCACCTGTAGTTTCAGCTACTTTGGAGGCAGAGGCAAGAAGATTGCTTGAGCCTTGGAAATCAAGGGTGCAGTGAGTCATGATTATGCCACTGCACTCCAGCCTGGGCAACAGAGAAAACTCTGTCTCAAAATCAATAAATAATCACTGAAAAAGAGCTCTTCTCTCCTGCCAAAGCCATATGATTGATTTCATTTTTTTCATGACTATAAGCCATTGGAAGCTTTTAAGCTGGACAGTAGCATGTCTTAATTCATGCTTTAGAATGTAACCTTGGTGGCTATGTGGAAGAGCATCTGTAGGTTGGGAGAACTGGTTGCAATAAGACTCATTAGGGGACTGTTCCACTGACATAGTCAAGACATAATTAGCATCCAGACTACAGCAGGAGATTCCAGATTGAAGAGAAGACATTGGGAGACATTTGGAAAATCTAGAAGAAATAGAACCTATTTTTTGAAAAATACTTGACATTAATATTAAACAATTTCTTTATCTTTTAAATTATATTTTGGGACTTACGGATCTGGAGTATAATGGGAGATGCTTTATTTCAAATCTTCCCAAGCATCCTACACTCTTGAAAAAGAAAATAAAAAAGGAGCATGAATATGACTACATTTGACCAACATCTTCAGCATTGCTTGAAGGCGTAGGGTAATACAAACTTAAAATTACCTGTCAGCAGAGAAATAAGCCCCAAGTTTTAATACAGCTTCTGCTGCTCCTGCAGGCTTGTAAATGTGGAGAACAGGGAAGGGAGACATAAGATCGAAAAGTCTCAGTGGAAACATAAACGGATACACTCAGAAAGAGAAAGTTTGATAATAAAAATGCTGAAATACTTACCACATTTCTAGGGCTCTGTAGTTGACAACACTGGCTACAGGGAAATAAGCAGGACTGGAAGTTAGAGCCTCAGAAAGCATTTGTTTCTTGGGGATAATCAGAAAAGTAAAGAAGGAGAGGGCTATGAAGAGAAATAAACAAATGAAGGAATCATTAAGGATCTTATCTTTCCCCTCCTATAACCACAACCACAACCACCACCATCCATTAAAGAAACGAAACCTTATTACACTGAACAAATAGTCTTCTAAACTTGAAATATTATCCTAAGATGCCTAAAAATAGAGAAAAAACTCAATTTAATTCAAAACTGCTGTCACAAGTAACCTAACAGTGTTAATCCAAATATTTCAACCGATGAAAATTCTCCTAAAACAACTATGAAACAGAATTAGATGGTAACAAAACACTACAAACTGAATTAACTATCTTCATATAAACATTTGGCGATAAGAAACATTTTAAATCAGTAATTCAAAAACTAAAACTCTAACAAAAATGCAAATTGAACAAAGGAAAGAAATAGAAGAAAAAGACTATTGGAAATAAAGGTAAAACAAAACATACAAAGTGCTCACTGTAGAATATATTCAAGTAATAATTAATAAGGGACATTGAAAGACTGGGCATGGTGCATGCCTGTAGTCCCAGCTACTTGCCTGGGGGGTGAGATGGGAAGATAGTTTGAGCCCAGGAGTTCAAGATCAGCCTGAATGACATAGAACCTGTCTCTAAAGTTAAATTTGAAAATTAAATAATTAAAATATTAAAAAATTTAAAAAAATTATAGTAGTAAAATAAGAGACATTAAACAAGAGGAGGAAAACAATCAAGAGGATGAACATAATACAACGAACAAGGTAAAAAAGTGTCAGAGAAAGTGGATCAAGTAAGAAGGCAAATAACATCCAATAGATGTATAATAGAATCCCTAAAGGAAAAAAAAAAACAAAAGCAATAAAATAGAACTAATATTTAAAATTATAATCCAAGAAAAGTTCCTGGACCTAAAAGACAACCAGAATGCTTTTGGATTAGGCCCACCGATGACCTGGGAAAATTGATCCAGGACAGTCAACCAGAAGATACATTCTAGTAGAATTATGAAAATTTTAAAAAAACAAGCAATGGGGAGAGGATTCCCTATTTAATAAATGGTGCTGGGAAAACTGGCTAGCCATGTGTAGAAAGCTGAAGTTGGATCCCTTCCTTACACCTTATACAAAAATTAATTCAAGATGGATTAAAGACTTAAATGTTAGACCTAAAACCATAAAAACCCTAGAAGAAAACCTAGGCATTACCATTCAGGACATAGGCATGGGCAAGGACTTCATGTCTAAAACACCAAAAGCAATGGCAACAAAAGCCAAAATTGACAAATGGGATCTAATTAAACTAAAGAGCTTCTGCACAGCAAAAGAAACTACCATCAGAGTGAACAGGCAACCTACAAAATGGGAGAAAATTTTCGCAACCTACTCATCTGACAAAGGGCTAATATCCAGAATCTACAATGAACTCAAACAAATTTACAAGAAAAAAACAACCCCATCAAAAAGTGGGTGAAGGATATGAAGAGACACTTCTCAAAAGAAGACATTTATGCAGCCAAAAGACCCATGAAAAAATGCTCATCATCACAGGCCATCAGAGAAATGCAAATCAAAACCACAACAAGATACCATCTCACACCAGTTAGAATGGCGATCATTAAAAAGTCAGGAAACAACAGGTGCTGGAGAGGATGTGGAGAAATAGAAACACTTTCACACTGTTGGTGGGACTGTAAACTAGTTCAACCATTGTGGAAGTCAGTGTGGTGATTCCTCAGGGATCTAGAACTAGAAATACCATTTGACCCAGCCATCCCATTACTGGGTATATACCCAGAGGATTATAAATCATGCTGCTATAAAGACACATGCACACGTATGTTTATTGCGGCACTATTCACAATAGCAAAGACTTGGAACCAACCCAAATGTCCAACAATGATAGACTGGATTAAGAAAATGTGGCACATATACACCATGGAATACTATGCAGCCATAAAAAAGGATGAGTTCACGTCCTTTGTAGGGACATGGATGAAATTGGAAATCATCATTCTCAGTAAACTATCACAAGGACAAAAAACCAAACACTGCATGTTCTCACTCATAGGTGGGAATTGAACAATGAGAACACATGGACACAGGAAGGGGAACATCACACTCTGGGGACTGTTGTGGGGTAGGGGGAGGGGGGAGGGATAGCATTAGGAGATATACTTAATGCTAAATGACGAGTTAATGGGTGCAGCACACCAGCATGGCACATGTATACATACGTAACTAACCTGCACATTCTGCACATGTACCCTAAAACTTAAAGTATAACAATAATAATAATAAAAAAAATTTTAAAAATAAAATTTCATCAGGTTGCCAGACTAAAAGACAAAATAATTTACAAGGAGAAGGGCATTACTCTGGCATCAGACTTCTGAGAACAAGCATTCAAATCAAAGCAAAAATGGAGCAGAATTTTCAAGACATTTAAGGAGAGACAGTGATAACCAAATAGTGTGTTCTTTCTAGGCAAGAAAGGAAATTAAATTGCTTTCTTAGTTTGTGAATACTGTCAAAACCTGAAAATTTCATTTAATATATCTATATTCTCTTATTCTCTCTCTCTCTCTTCCCTCTTCCCCCTTCCCCCCTCCACCTTTTTTTTTTTTTTTTTTAATTTTGAGATGGAACCTCACTCTGTCACCCAGGCTGGAGTGCAGTGGCACGATCTCAGCTCACTGCAACCTCTGTCTCCGTGGTTCAAGTGATTCTCCTGCGTCAGCCCCACTAGTAGCTGGGACTACAGTCATCTGTAGTCCCTAGTAGCTGGGACTACAGTCACAAACCTGGCTAATTTTTGTAATTTTAGTGGAGACGGGGTTTCACCATGTTGGCCAGGCTGGTCTTGAACTCCTGACCTCAGGTGACCCGCCCGTCTCGGCCTCTCAAAGTGCTGAGATTACAAGTGTGAGTCACCATGCCCGACCTCTATATTCTCTTTTATTTCCATTTGTCTCAATTTGCTTACACCCACCGTGTGTTAGGCACATGTAGCTGAGCTTATCACATTACAGACAGTTGTAAATTCTAGATTTATGTGCTGCTACCTTGAGTATATAATTCAATTTATATATTAAAGAATTAGATAATTTAATAAAATTATAGGTCTGTAAAATTAAATTTACTTGTAAAAAGTTTTCAAGTTTGGAAATTTTAAGTTTATAAAATTAAAATACTACATTAAAAATATTCAAAGAGCCTTTGAAAAAAATTGATTCTTCAGTGAAAGTTTTTTAAAGCAAATTTAAATATTCATAAAATTTTATCTATGTAATGCCCATTCTTATTCACTTAATAACACACATAAACTTTATTCTGAGTAATTTTTAAATATCTCATTAGTACTATTTTGCTTACAAAGAGAATCCAAGTTATGATCCATCTTTGATAGCTGCTTTCTAAGATATGGAGTTCAGGAGAATAATATCATGTGATCTCTCATGAAGCCTATTTTTATTTTCTGAGAATTATTTCAATTCGTTTTTTTTCAATCAAGCTGTTTGACACACTACCAATGTGACTGAGATAAATCTGGAAGGATCGTTGACTTCTATCAGTCCCTGTTTTACAGAGAATATGTTCCTTGATAAACAGTTTGTAGGACTTACACCTTCTCTAAGCACTTTACAAGCGTTAGCTTATTTTCTTAATGCTTACAGAAGCATTCTTTTCTAGGTATTATTTTTTGCCAGTTTACACATGAGAAAACTTACAAGGTAATACAGTTAGTAAATGACAGAAATGAGATTTGAACACCAGCATTCTGGCTCCAAAATCTGTACTTCAAATCAAGAAATCAAAGGTGGACTTATAAGTATTGTGATTTTCATGAATAAATTAGTGTTACTTGCATGACTTAGAATGCCTTATAAAAATCCCAGGAGGTTTTTTTTTGTTGTTGTTTTTGCATATAAGATACAATAGACAATAGAAGTAAAATATAACAAACTCTAATACTCAGGTGACTGAAAAGTCATAGATGAAAAAACCGAAAATCACTGGTTGTTCTGTGATTTAAAAAATAACCATGGGATCCGGTAGATGTGGCTGCCCAGAATCAAAGTTGAAATTGTAAGCAAGAATGGATACAAGAGATAGAAGTTAGAATTCATAAAGGGTAGTTTATTTCTGATAATATCGAAGCAGGTGACGTTAACAAAATTAAATTTATCATGATTAACACTGAGACAAAGCCAATAGAAATTCTGAATCTGGTTGAAGAGTATGGGCATACTCAAAGTTAGCCTGAGATGGATTCCACTGGACCATGAATCCACATATATTCCTTCTCTTCAAAGTTGTGGCAGATACTGCACCCAGCTGTTGCATCTTGTCAATAGGATTTAAATAATTTGACAGCTTTGGACTGAGTATCATTGACTTTATGTCTCTGACCAAAGTTTTATAGATGGAAAAATAATTAACTTTCCTTTGCATTACAACCATAAAGTCTCACTCAACTTTTTATTTACAAGAATAGTTAATTGGTAAGTCAAATACTTTGAAAGAATAAATGTTTAATGTTATGGAATGCCTTTTTTCTCCCCAGTAGACATTCTGTTCCAGTAAACTGACACGATTTATAAGTAGTTCAACAAAATTTAGTTTCTTATACCTGCAATAAATTGTGTAGAAAATCTTCTTAAATAATCTTTCAAGGTTTACATTTTATACTATATGTTTCTGAAGCATTTAAATGTTTTATAAATATTTCCATGTGCAGTCTCATGGAAAATAGTTTCATACTAAAATTCAAAGGAAGAAGATATTGATTAAAATGAGCACTGATTGTGAAGTCAGAAGGACTGGTTTTATGTCTTGGTTCTGAAAACGAATAACTTGATAACCTTAGGAGATTAACCCCTGTAACATTTAGCTTCATAATCTGTAAAATAAAAGTCATAATAGTATCCTGCCTACCTTACTATGGTATTATGAATCATATAGTGTGTATGAAAGTGTGTGAATTATAAACTTGCAATCAAATGTATATTAAAACTGCTAAGAAATAAAAATATGTCCACTTCTGAACTCTTTGATTATGTTGTACTTATTGAAGAAAGGGTAGAATATTCACTATGTATCAAGTAAATAATGCAAATAAGAATGATATACAAGTTTATTGAATAAATATGGACACAATTAATGTTACTATTTCTTAAAAGCTATGTCTTTGATTTCAGTAAGAGCTAACTGTCCTTAACTTTTGAAGAGGTAGAAAGAACAGGAAAGTCAAAACACTGCTATTTGTTAGCAGTGGTTTGGAAAAGTAATTTACCCCTTTGTTCCTGAATTTCCTTATCTCTTGTCTCTCTGTGTATATGTATATATTCACACACACACTCACAAACACACACATATATATATATATATCTCACTACATAGGTATATACAGATATATGTGTGTGTGTATATACCCATTTAAATACATATAAAAATGTAAGTCTATGAATCAAAAGAGAAAAATTCAGCTAATCGCATAAGGCAAACAATGTAGTCATATCCCCCTTTTTGGTACTCTGCCAATCATGTTCTATGGCATACTTTCTTTCCATTTGTACAATAAAGCCTCAGTTACTCTTGTGCTCAGTTCCAGAGAAGAGGTAACCAATAAAAAATGCTAATAGGAATTGGGATCAAAGCCAATGTCTTCTTAGTCACATTCACATTAATTTCCAACACTTGACATTTCTACAGCAGCATCCTACAGTGTGCCTTCATGACAGTACGTCACTTTTGGAAGACAGATTTAGATTGGAAAACGTTTTCTGACTAGATGCTAAGTTATTTGGAAAACGTCAAATAAGAATGCCTTATCTCTCAAACATTTAGGTTGGTTTTTGTTGAACTGAGTTACTGAAATTAAATTATAACTATGCTATTGAGATTTTGGGACAGAGAAATATTTTGCAGGAAAAGGGTGATTTCATTGTATTGTAACTGCAATAGATTCTATGCTTGTTAGTGGACCTGAGTGGCTTGCAAAATGGGGAAAGGGTCAAAAATTAATCACCAACTCACTCATTAGTTAAGACAAATGAATTGCAACCTCACAGTTATACTTGGGGGTAATTATTAAGAGCCAGGAATAGGCTAGACTACTAACAGGGTGACTGCAGGGGCATAGTAATTGGCAGAAAACAGTATAGTAAAGTTCACTGACCATCCAAAATCGGGAGGTAATTTTATAACAAATTGTTCTTCAAAGTGGAGAAGAAAATGGAAATGATATTTGCAGAGGTTTGAACAACTTAGGTACCAAAACCACATTTGTAAGGGAGTTAACTGATTGCTTGAAGACCTTATCAATGCTTGGAGGTTTTAATTTTTTCCCCAGAAATATAATATACATAATTCCACTGCAAGTTTTTATGTTCCTAGATCAGAGGAGAATATGATTGTTGCTATTTAAATTCTTGTTATCAGTTATCACCATCCTAAATTACCTTGTTTGCTTGTAATGTTTTTTGTTGTCTCTCACTCTCCTGGAACGTAAGTTGGAAGAATGTGAGGGGCCTCTCTTATTTACTACTTTGTTACTGATGCCTAGTATAGTGTCTGACACTTAGTAAGTGCTCAGTATGTATTTATTAAAAATTAAATTATTTGAAGGCAGATTATAGTGAATACAGAAGAAAGTGGAAAATAAAAATGTGCTAAAGTAGTCACGGAGGAGATGGGGGATTTCTTTGCTAAGCAGTTTTGAATTGTGCATTGTTGCTGGAAAGAAAAAGCCTTAAAGATGATTTAGGAAATTGCCATTGTTATATTTCCTGAAAAGTGCTAGATTTGGGCCAACCAGTATTACCTTGTAACCATGTAATTTTTAGAGTTTTACACAGTGGCATGTAGAATTTGTTGCCAGTCTGCAAACATTCCTGTTAGAACCAATGGTGGTATTTTGGCTCTCTGGTAATTAATACTCAGTGGGGTTCCATCTGGTTCAGATTTAATTTCTCTCATGAATCTGATTCATCAATGATTCCTGGCAGATTAATGACATGGAATTAGCTTTTGAGTGTTCATACTTTTGGTTTGAATTGATTGAAACGTTTCTTACTTTAAACCAATTGGATTAGTACAATTATGGAATTATAGAAACATTTCTTTATCCATAATTTTTCCAAGATGATAGAGTAGCAGTTTAGTAAATTTTTGTCCTTTATATTAATCACTATTTTTTTTGAGACAAGGCTTCACTCTGGCACCCAAGCTCAAGTGCAGTGGCATGATCATAGCTCACTGCAGCCTCAAAACTCTGGGCTCAAGCCGTCCTCCTGCCTCAGCCTTCTAAGTAGCTGGGAGTAAAGGCACATGACAGTACACCCAGCTATTTTTTTTATTTTTTGTAAAGGCAGGGTCTCGCTATATTGCCCAGGCTGGTCTTGAATTACTAGGGTGAAGCAATCTTCTCATGTCAGCCTCCCAAAATGCACCTGGCCTAATCACTTTTTTGTTCTTAATTTGTTTCACTCATTTTTTTAATCTTACATATGTAGAATCACACATTAACAGTCTCATTTGTGATCCTCTCTAGTTTCTTTCAAGTTTGCATTCCTGTACTAATAAGAGTAGAAAACATGCAATTTCCAGATGTCCTTGAAGGGAGCGTGCAGGCATATGACCTCGATTCTACCAATTATATATTCTTTTTAATTTATCATTTTGAGGTTAAGATTATGCTTGTGGGATTCTTCCATACTGTTGCATGTAACTGTAGTTTGAACATTATATTGGCTGTTTAGAATGAAATGGGATAAATATTTATTAATATGCTTATTTATGCTACTGTTGATTGGCATTTAGATTGGTCATTTTTTATTTCTAAGAATAATATTGCTTTGCTTAATCTTAAACACATCTCCTCTGTGTGCTTGTGTGAAGCGCATACCTAGGAATGAAACTTTGGGTCATAGAATTCTGGATATTTTCAACTCTAAAACATAATGACAGACTATTTTGCAAAGTGATATAAACATTACACACCCACCTTTAGTGTATGAAAACTCTTGTTCCATCTGTCAACTGATGACGCTTGATATCGTCAGGTTTGTTTTATAAAGAAATTTCAGTGGATGTGTTTAGATATTTCACTGTGCTTTTAATATACTTTTTTGTTCTTTAAGAGGATGAGCACTTTTTATTACATTCAAGAATCAGGTAGACTGTGTTATGAAACGGCAGCTCAAGATTTTGCCTATTTTTCTCCACTTTAATTATATAATTTATGTGCTTTATGATTTAATTTACTCTTCTTTATTTGGGTTTACTTTCCTTTTATTTTTTTCTGATTATAGGTTTTAGTCATATTCTTAAAATTTTTTCAAAATGAAAAAGACATTTTTTTCTAAAATATATGCCTTTGAGGGAATAAATCTCTCTCTAAACCCGGCTTCTTCTTTATCTCACAAGGTTTTACTTGTAGTATTTTAATTATTATTCTGTTGAAAATATCTTTTTCTCACTTATATTATGCTTTCTTTTACTCTTATTTATTATGTTTTTTGTTTGTTTGTTTTAGTTTGCGTTTGTTTGTTTGTTTTGAGACAGAGTCTTGCTCTGTCGCCCAGGCTGGAGTGCAGTGGCGTGACCTCAGCTCACTGCAACCTCTGCCTCCTGGATTCAAGCAATTCTCCTGCCTCAGCCTCCCAAGTATCTGGGATAACACGCATGTGCCACCACATTCAACTAATTTTTGTATTGTTAGTAGAGGCGAGGATTCTCCATTTTGGCCAGGCTGATCTCGAACTCCTGACCTCAGGTGATCCGCCTGCCTCAGCCTCCCAAAGTGCTGGAATTACAGGTGTGAGTCACTGTGCCTGGCCTATTATGTTTTTTATTTCCAAATACATAGGATTTCGCATTATCATTCTCCTTTGTTTATTATAGTTTTGGGACTTAATTCCAACCAGTGTTGTTGGTCTTTCTTTGTTGGATCTTGCTCTACGACCCAGCATATAGTCACTTTGTTCTAAATGTTTTATCTGCACCTGAAACATTGGGTTTTCTGCAGCTGTTAAGTACAGTAAGTAGTCCATACCTGATTATCAGGTCAAGCTTGTTAGTTATTCATATTTTCTACATCTTTACAGTATTTTGTGTTTTCTCAGTGATAAGTATACATTAAAATCTCATATTATTTCTTTATTTACTGCTCATTAAAATTTCTGTAATTTTGCTTTATGTACTTTAAAGTCTTTATTTTTTTTTTTTTTTTGAGACAGAGTTTCACTCTTGTCCCCCAGGCTGGAGTATAGTGATGCGATCTCGGCTCGGCACGGGGGTGCTTGAACTCACCGCCTCCTGAGTTCAAGCAATTCTCCCGCCTCAGCCTCCAGAGTAGCTGGGATTACAGGCGCCCACCACCACACCCGGCTAATTTTTGTATTTTTAGTAGAGACAGTGTTCGCCATGTTGAGCAGGCTGGTCTTGAACTCCTGACCTCAGGTGATCCACCGACCTCAGGTGATCCACCCACCTCGGCCTCCCAAAGTGCTGGGATTACAGGCGTGAGCCACCGTGCCCGGTCACTTTAAAGTCATTTTTAGGTGCATAAAAATTAGAATTTATATATTTTCCCGGTTAATTGAACCTATATCATTTTTAAGTGTTTATCTCCAATAGTACTGTTTGTTTAAAGCCACATTTGTCTGTTTACTAAGCTTCATCATTATTCCTTCAGGCATTTTATTTGGTATTCTCATGAAGTGTCTTTTTCTAGCTGTTTACATTCATTTCTTCTGTTTCACTTTATTTTAGATGTGTCTCTTGTAAACAGCATGTGTGTATGTGTGTGTGGAAAAATATTTTTATCTTTCAACTGCAACACTTAAGTCCATTCATATTCAATGTAATGCCATATGTGGGTTTCAATCTACCATTTTAATATTTTCTATTTGTTACTCTTGTACCGTGTACCATTTTCTCTTTTCTGGACATTTTTGGGTTTATTGAATATTTTTTAAAAATTTCACTTTTCCCCGTTACTTTAAAATATAATTTTTAAAACTATTCTTTTATTCTAAAGCTCTTATTTTGTTTTCTTTAATAATCATGGTCTAAGTTAATTGGTACTTTTGTCTTGATAGACAATGAAAAGACCCAACAACCTGTGAGTTCTATTTATTTTCTCCTATGTGCCATTGTTATTTTATAATGTTACACACATTTCAAATACTCTCAATAATTATTATGATAGCTTGAAACAGTTAGCGTTATTCTAGACTTACCCATGTGCTTCTCTTTTTCTTCTCTGCATTTGTTTTTGCATTCCTAACTTTCAATCTGGGATTACTTTCTTTCTGTCTGAGTTTCTAATTTGAGAAAATGTGTCTGTTTACTAAATTTGAATCCTCAGCATAATCCACTGAAAATATGTTTTGATTGTTTTGTGTTATCAATTGGAGTTAAGGTGGGGAAAAGTGGTCACTACCCTATCAAGCGGGAAGGCAATTCGAATGATTGATGTATGTAAATAAACTGTTTATGTTCAGCATGATCTTAAATGAAAGGCCGTGGGTACCTAGCTGGCATACTAAACATACTAACGTTTTGAGTTTTTATTCACCCCTCTAATCATTATTTTAGTTTTTAGTTTTTCACTTCTCTGCTGAATACTTCTGATTCAAGAGAGTTGCCTGTGAGTTCAAAATGGAAATAATGTTATTATTTTACAAAATTATTTACAAAAATACATGCAATCCTTTTATCAATACTTATATCAACAGAAGCCTCTTAGAGAAAACAATGCAGGAAACCATTGGTTTAAATAACAAAAAGTGACTCTTCATTCTGGTGAAATCCAAAGTCTGTCGAGGGAGTGGGAAGCATGTGCCCAGAAGAGCAAACAATCGATACTGGGTATATTGGGAGCTTTTTGATGGACAGCATTAAGACAATAAATAAAAATTAAAATAAAAGGGCAGCACGAGGGAGTTTTAAGAGCAACAAATCATAATTTTAATCAATAAAAATTGCTCTTGGGAACCTATCTGATTGCTTTTGAAAGTAATTATAGTGCTGCTTCAGCTTGTTCTATGAAATACCTTGGAGGGGTAGCATCTAAATAAACTACCATGATTGGGTTTTTACAAAGCATGCTTACATATAAATTATAAATGCAGTACCATTTGACTTTAAAGTTTTAGAAAAATCTTTCTTCCCACAACCAGCATGCAATCAGCCAATAAAAATGCAAACACACGTCCAGTTATTACAGCAAGTGTAAAAACCTCACTGTTTTTATATTGTAATAAGATCATATACTTGTTATACATTGAAGACTAAAAATGATTTCTAACAGTCATGGTTTATTTCCATAAGGATTTCATTTTATTAGGTATTTCCTAAAACAAAATTATGCCTTGCAATCTGTTTTGCTAGTTTTAAGAAAAATCATGTTTGAATGATTAAAGGAATGAATATTCTGCAAAGTGCATAAAGCTTGCCACTTTGAAGGCTGACTTGATTGATTGTATTTGCAGATGCAGGTTTCCAGAGCCAGACAATATTAGCTATGATGTTCCTTGCATTACCTTACCTAAGATTTTTTACCTTAACGTTTCCATAAATAAATGAACCTACCTTCACAAACCAAATAAAAGCCTCATACATTTGTCATTATTGGCAAAAATAAAGTTGTCATTTTGAATTTAGATACTATAATAGAGGGCGTAATTAATGTCATTCTTTGTGTAGTGCTAGTTCTCTTTTCAAGATAACACGTAGTCAAAGATTTCTATAGCAGCTAACTCTGGAGTCATTATCATTTTGATTTCTTTGTGGTGAGTAAGACTGATTACTTTTATCACCATTTTCAGGATATATTTATATCTTGTACACATCAGATCATCTGATGAAGGACATTCATATCAATGATAATACCTTGTTAATCAGAAGAAGCTAGAATCAATAAATTGAGACTTCCATGTATTTTTTAGAATAAGTAGACTTCTATTAGAATATGACTTTAGAAACTGAATACTAATAACAGAATGCCCAGTTCTTAAAGTCTACTTCAAGGGCACAGGCCTAAGAAGTTGATGTCTCTATCCCTTGAGGACTCAAAGGAAAAACAGCTATATTTTGTAAAGTTCATGTAACATGTCAGTTTTTCAGAAAAATAACCTGTTGCCAGTCAATTTTTTCATTGTATTTATTTAGACTGTAAGTCAGACAGTTCACTATCATGTTTTTTAAGACTGTAAAAGAAAACTGAGATAACATCATATCTCTAATGATTCTCCTATATTAGAAAAGTACATGTTTTTCAAAATCACTGTATTAGAAACCTTCAAATATATTTTTCTCTATTTATAAATTTTATCTACACAGGGAGAAAACTGAAATGGTAGTCAGAAGGATCATAATAGCCATCTGAATATATTTTCCTCACAGGCCCTTTTCGGCCACCATCCTGTCTGGGAAACTTCCAAGACCACAGTGTTTGTTGATTATTCTTTTAGAATATGTATCTTTTACTGTACATGTATCTCAGGTACAGAATCTGAGGATTTTTACCCATAATGCAATCATTTGCATTATGCAAATGATGATCAATGTACACTGAAATATGCTCTAACATTGTTCTTTAAATGGATTCACCTTATTTCTTTAGGCACTGGTTGGAGATTGCTAGGTTATGAATATTTTATGAATAAAGCTAACGGATTAACTTCCATTGTTTACTTCCAGTTTTTCTCAGTCATCCATTCCAATCTAACATTAGTGTTTAGATAGAAAAAAATTTTATCATGACTAAGTTCTGTGTTATATACGTGTTTGTGTATTTTCTTTTTTAGCAATGTTTTAATTAGATAAGAAATGGCTACGATGAAGAAATTCAAGTTGCAGAAGTATAAAAATGTAAAAGTGAAAAAGAAAGGTTATAAAGTGGCTAATTAAACAAAAATTACTAAAAGTATAAGTAGTTAAATTCTTTGAACTCTCTAGTGATACATAAAATGAACATATGTATGTAAATATATATATGCAAAAATATTAGAACAGTTTAGTGTTTATATACAATGATTATACAATATGTAAAATTCTATATTTTTATGTAGTAATATGCCAATAAAGAGTTCTGCAAATATCCCTATAAGTATGTATCCAAAATAATGTCTACTTCTCATAGTCTAATGCTTGCAGATTATTGCAATTTTGATCATTTTTTGCTATTTTGATGCATAGCCTGTAATTTTCTATTAAATATTTGAGCAAATCTATATATCTCAGAATCCCAGAAACATTGTAAAGAGTTCAAAGCTGGAGGCTATTCACAAAAGAGGAATCTGTGATTTCAAGTTTTTGAATTATTTTATGGAAATTTGATATGCTCACTACGGTACAATATAAAAGATGAGAAGTAAGTTTATGTGGAGAGATCAAGACATCAGTTTTGGCCTTAAATGATTGAATTGATTTCCTGGGTTCCATTCCTTCGTTTCATTTCTCACTAGTGCTATTTGTAGACACTACAGGTGTGAATAAGATGGTCCATTCTTATTTAAGGAGGGTGTAGAAGACCTGCCTGTAACAGAGACTAAAAAAACTGAAGAAGAACCAGGAAATAGTAGTGGTATAGGATCTGAGTAAGGAAAAAAATCAATAAAAAGAATGTGATAAAGGGTGACAAGTATTGTAGAAAAGTTGAGGAAGATAAGGGCTGAAATATACTGTCAATGCAGAGGTTTTACTGATGATGGCCATGCTTCTCAAATGGTTTAAAGGATGAGAAGGAAGCTGAAAAATGGGACAGCAAGTATAGGCTGCTCTTTCTAGAAGCTTGTCTGTTAATAGATTCACATTTTACTATGCCAGAAGATTAAAGGAGAAGTTTTGCTTAATCTCCTTTTAACAATAAAGGTAACAAATATATAAAAATGGTGAAATAGAATTAAAAACTCCTATATTCTTGTTAATTAGTATTACTCTTTTATATTTAAATAGTACTTTTTAACGCTGGGATGATAGCTTTGCCAACTTAGGAAAATTCTTCTATATCTTTTAATATTGCTCCTTCTCTATTTTCTCTTTCGTCTTCCCTAAGACTCCAATTATATGTATGTTAGGATTTTCCTTATGTCTCATAAGTGTATAAGAAATCTGAAGGTCTGGCTGCCTAGTAGCACTTATATGGAAGTCAGAAGTGGTGGCTATGACTTACATCTTAAGACTGTTAAGATTTGTCATGGCAAAGAATGCATGTGTGTTTCCCTGGAACAAGATAAACAGGAGGAAAAGCGTAGGGTAATATTAAATCATATTACATTAATATGCCTGGAATGATTACAAAATCCTTTGAGAGAAAGAAGGTACTGGTTTCTCAGGGAATGAGAAAAGAGGCAAAGGTCACCAGCTAGAAAGGTGTATTTGCCTGCACTGAAGAAACCAGAGTAAAAAAGCTATAGGAAACTATAAATGGAGAAAACAAACCCTAAAATAGTATTTTATGAGACTTCTTTAAACACTAACCAAGACCTGGGTGAGCTTATTTCATTTCATAGCCATGTTTGTAAGTACAAATTTTTTGGCTTCTTGTCTGTATCTTGCCTCCTCTGATCCTACACGTAGTAGAAAATGCAATAGCAGAGGGAGAAGAAGACAGTAAAAGTGCAAGGTGAAAGAAAAAAGCTCACCCAAATCATCTACACATACCACTAGTGGCCAGAGAGATTCTATAATTTAAATTAATTTTGAATATTTTAATTATTGAAGAGGCCATATAAATTATTAAACTGCACTCTTTTGAGAATAGAAGTAAAAGTATCACTTTTTATTACTTAACAATAATGAGAAAAGTCATAGACCTTGCCCTGAATTTCATCCAAGTAGCAGGAAAGTCTGCACAAATAAAATCAATTTTAAGGTACTTTGCTAGATGAAAATAAGGTTACATTATAAGTTATTCCATGATCATGCTTATTCAACTAAATCATTACACATTTCATCAATATCAACTAAAGTATATGGAAAGGCCATCCTTTTGTATCCACTAAAAATATCTGAGTTTATCTGAAATGGAAAATAATTATATAAATTAGTATATATTTCAGGTAATAAATATCTTTTATTTTCTGTTTTCTTCAAAAATTTCAAGTTAAAATATATGCTACTTTATTTAAAAATGGCAAGAACTTTTATTCATAATGTACTTTTTTAGTATTTCTATTTTGTACTACAGAGAGGGTTTTTGCAAAATTACTTATCAAAAGAATTTTTTATAACAGCATTTGTAGCAAATGAAGTGTAAGGCATTGATGCAATATCTCAGTTTTAGAGACCCGTCACAGCTACGTGCTTCGGTTTGCTGTGCCATTTTTTCCAAATGTCCATTTCTAAGTGTATATCTGAAATCTATCCTAATTAAAAGTGATGTTTATAGCATGAACTTTTTGAGAATATTAAAATTTTAAATGCCATCGAAATATCCATTATGTATTTTTAGTTTTGTATATCTTATGAATCAGGCTGCTGTGGATATCAGCAGTTAGTTAAATATACTCTGTCAGATCATAACACCCCTATGTATCACCCATGACAGCACAGCATGATTTAATAATAATGGCACGATTAAAAAATGAGGAATCACTTGGAAAAAAAAGCCTTTAGTATGATTTTATTGCTTGGATAATCCAGACTCCCAATTTGCACTTTTATATCAGTAAATTCTATTAGTGATAAATCAAAATTTTTAAGTTTTTCAAAACTTTATTTTCTCTAATTATAAGATTAAGATGAATCACTGAGTTATTTTCCTTATATCTACAGGTATATATATTTATGGTTAAGTGTCTTATTTGCATTTTTCTTCATTTCTACTTTCTCTCATATCTATGCCACCGAATTCTTGACTTTTATAAATGCATGCTTGCAAGTTCATGTCTGCTTTATAGCCTATAAAAATAAGGACAGTCACATTTCAATCGTATTCTCCTTTCAGATCTTTTTTGAGGTTTGGCATTTCCATTGAATTTTGTGAACCATTTGGCAACCATTGCTTAAACACACTCCCTTTTGTTTGCTTCATTCTTAGCCGAGTAGTAAAACTCCAACGATGATGATGATGATTATTATTATTTTTTTTTTGAGACGGAGTCTTGCTCTGTCGCCCAGGCTGGGGTGCAGTGGCGCCATCTCTGCTCACTGCAAGATCCGCCTCCTGGGTTCACGCCATTCTCCTGCTTCAGCCTCCTGAGTAGCTGGGACTACAGGCGCCCACCACCATGCCTGGCTAATTTTTTGTATTTTTTGGTAGAGACGGGGTTTCACCGTGTTAGTCAGGATGGTCTCGATCTCCTGACCTCGTGATCCGCCCGCCTTGGCCTCCCAAAGTGCTGGGATTACAGGCGTGAATCACCGCGCCTGGCCCCAAAGATTATATAATGAGGATTTCTAGATCTCATCTCATTCCTTGCATTTCAGAACCTTTTATTTGGCTGTCACACATTACAGAATGCATGGCTGTATGTACAGGAATACACAAATAAAAAAGCTTAAAACATATTCCCTTAAAGTTTATTACCCAGAAAGAAACATTGCTCTTGTTTACATCATCTGTGTATCTACCTGTCAATTAATCAATCCATCTTTCTTTGGACATTTGTGCAGAGAAATAAACATAGAAATAGATGGGTAGATAAAAATGCTTTTATAAATATGGTTTTATACTGAAAACACCATTCCTAAATAAAAGGTAGTGTTTATTTTTACCTACATTTCACACAAAAAGAAGTAAAACCTGAAGGAATTATGTAATTTAATAAGTATTTCTTAATCACAAGACATATTATTTCTTAAAAGATCCTTGTAAAACTAAGAAAAAATATTATGAGAAACTTAAGAGGTAGAAACATTATTTTTCATGTCTCATTTTTAGACAGTTTTGATTTTTCTTGCTGTATAAAGTAGGGCACTAATATTTACCCACTTTTCTATTTCTTTTTTTCCTCACTTCCCTTTTCAATATTTCTATCAATATTTTGCATTGTATCATTATATGAGTTTGCTGTTCTTTAACCACCATTCCCATGTTGTTTAGTGTGTGCTATTTAAACAGACTCAGTACTCACTATCAGTTCTTTTGCCACAGCTTTTCCAATATCAAATTCTTTGTTGATTAGCACAAGTTTATCCTACCTTCACCCCCCTCCTCAAAGAGGATCAGAGTTACCATTTATTCTTCGCTTTTTCAAGTTGTCACATTTCTTAAATTATATCTTGACTCGCCGTAAACTGTTGGGTCATTCTTTCTGTGTCTCCCCATCCCTACTCTAAAGTTGTAGACATTGTTCAATTGCCTTCTGACAGTTATAATGTTTGGAGAAATGATTTCTCCAAGAAGGGAGATTGTTTCCTCTTATGGATTTGATATTTGTGTCTAGAAGACATGTTTTGTTTATCTTTAAAGTTTGACAGTGACTAGAATACATATTTTTATTGAGCATTTGTATTAAATTTTTATTTAATTTTAATTTTAAATTAAAAATTTATTTCCTCTTTTCTGCAAATACAGATTTTTCTTTATTTCAGGGAAATTTTCTTATGTCCTCAAATTATTCTTTTTTATTTGTTCAATTGTCTGTCTTAAAATCATGTCTCCAAATGTTGTTTTTGCTTTTTGCTTTTTAAAATCAGTCTTGTATATATTTTAATTTCCTTCGAATTGGCTTTTTAAAACACTTCTGGATTTTAGTTATCATTTTGATGTGTTTCCATATGTGCAATGCCACTTGTTTTCATTTTGTTCATGTTTTGGGAGCTCTGCACAGACATTCTCTTGCCATGAAGTAGAGTAAGTGAATTAATCGTTCTTTTCCAACTGTATCTAAAGTGATTTCTTTTTCTCCTCTGAGCTGTTACTTGAGGGCTGCAATATTATATATTTTCGTGGCCTGAAGGAATGGTGTGGAGAGTTAGAGAGTTTAGAAGCAAAGACTTCCACCTATGTTAGGCCATCTAGGAGCCATAGTCTCTTCTGATATTTTTCTTAAATTTTGGGTACCAGAATTCGTACTTCTTAGGAATGAGTGTGTTGCATTTCAATGATAGACGTGCCCCTTATATGGCACATATTGCTGAAACTGCTGCTTCCTTCAGAAAAAGCCTTTCCACTGATCACTTTCCAACAACCTCACCTCCTTCCCACATCATTGTTTATATCCTTCCTTGGGCTGAAGGAATAAAAGATGAACAAAGTACTCAATTTGCCTCCCTCCGGCTTTGGGTGTAGGACTGGGTGTTTTCAGGATTGCCATCTCCTTAGAAGAAGATACGAAGTCTGGAGCCCGGGTGAGGAGCTGAAAGCTCCACCTGCCTCTCAGTTCTGCCATAGAGTCTTCTGTATTCTCTGGTTTCCAGGCTGTACAGTCTACCATACTGGTTATCGCATACTCATTGTTGATGATGGCTGTGTTTGTCAACTTGACTAAGTCTGGGAACCACAGTGCTAAGAATTACCTTCTGTGTTTTGGCTCAGAGTTGGCCAAGAGAGGAATTTGGGTGAGATGTAGAAGGGATATGGGAAGCGGAAGCCATTCCTCCCCTCTGCTAACGTGCGGCCTGTGTACCCAGATGCTGGCCTTGCAGACCAGTGGTACAGTCTCTCCAGCCGGCACCTGACTTGACCCTCAGAGGTGGTAGTCGTACAAAGGCATGGAGCTGACCATTTCATAGACCTTTCCATGTCATTCTACCTTGGTGGCTTCCTGGTTTTCCCAGCAAGCTCTCACTTTTCTGTTGCCAATTTGGCCAGCTGGTGAGTTACTTTTTTTTTTTTTTTTTTTTTAAATCTTCTGGTTCCCCCATATTTTTGTAATGTGTATTCCTCCCATAATCACTGTATTCACATAACATGTCTAGTGGCTCTAAATTCCTGACTAAACCCTATGAATACACTGTTGATTTTTCCCCTTTTTGACGTGTGCGTGT
The DNA here is from genome assembly GCF_000001405.40 of Homo sapiens. NCBI lineage: Eukaryota > Metazoa > Chordata > Mammalia > Primates > Hominidae > Homo > Homo sapiens. The sequence continues at coordinate 60,291,571 of NC_000018.10, forward strand.
GTGTGTGTGTATAATTTTTTAGTTATTTGTTATTTAGGAATAGAAAATTTGATAATTTTTCTTCATTAACTCAAAATATATTTTTTGGATGTTTTTAACTGTGAATCTATTCTTTTGATTTTTTTCAGAAGGTGGTAACCTTTTTCAGTCAGCAACCATAGCTGCTTCTTTACCTCAAGTCATTTTTTTCCTAACACAATCTTTAGTACTTTGCTTATATATTCTACTTATTTACTCACCCATTAAACTGCATCAGATACTACCCTATGACCTTCATATCGATCACCCTTTTTCTCTGCATTTTCATTTATGTCCTCATTTGAATTCTGACAACTTAAGCTGATGTTTACCACATCACTGATTTTATTTTCAAAACCTGAATGATTGCCTTTATTGTCTCCTTTTAATTGTGGTATTTATTTACTCTGTTAAGTTTTTATATCTCTTCCTATGATTTTTCACTTTAGCTTGGTGTCTAGTTATGGCATTCTGCTTCAATTCTGTTGGGTCATTTTTTTCCCCAACACTATTGAGAATATCAAATGATGTCCTGAATATTTTCTTCTATATTCTTTAGTAGATCATTGTTAACATACACTTATTCTTGAATTCTCTCAGAAGCTGTTTCTTTTCCTTTGTTCTAGATTACATAATTGAGAAGAAAAGCTGGGTGACTGTTCCTGATTCTCTGTTAATTTGTATCATGGTTGAGGCTGGATCTTAGATATAACGCTGGAGCACAGGTTGATATGCATGAATCCCTTTCTAATTCCTGCCAAATGCACCAGCTGCACTAAAGTACTCTTATATCTAATGTAATTGTTAAAAGCAGGGTTTTGGAATCGGGCCCCAGGGATTTGAATCCTAGGTCTCTTATTGAGTTTGTGTATTATAATAGCGCCTACATCAAATGGCGGCTACTGTGAAGAGTAAATGAATTAATTCAGACAGAGTACTTAGAACAGTATCTGAAACAGTAATAACTTAATCAGTATTATCTGTCAGTTACATCCTCTTCCTTATAAGTAACGTAGTGATTTCCTCCTACCACCATATGATTCTTAAATACTTTAAACAGTTGAAGTCCAGGTAAAATCACAGCTCTCAGCATTGAAGATTCTTTCACTGTTTATTTTTATCTAGCATTTTAAATTTACTGATAAAAATAAAATGTTTGTTTTCTATTGCTCACAATCCTGTTTTCTGAGAGCTGTTTTAACATAGAGATTTTACTTCTTAAACGTGGTTATATACTGTCTAACTTCTGTTGACTTTGTGTAGTATAATAGAACCTACAACAAATGGCTACGACTGTGAGGAGTAAATGAATTAATTCATACAGAGTACTTAGAACAGTATCTGAAACAGTAATAACTTAATCAATATTATCTGTCAATTACATCCTTTTCCTTATAAGTAATGTAATTATTTCATCAATGCCTGTGAGTAGAGGAAATGATTGTCAATTTTCTAGTTGGTATGGAACATAAAATTTTAGCCAGGGGCTAGGCTTTGGTTGAAGAATCATGTCTTTCCATTGTTTTGAAAAATGTGATCTTATTTTCACAATTTGAAGCCTAGGTATGCTTTTTTCAACCCATTTATAGTACAAAGTTTGCTGTCTGTCTTGGTTGCTGCTGGTTGTGAGTTTTGTCTTTTTTTGAGTTTTCATGAATCTTAGATTTTTAATTTGGGGGGCTGCTGCACTAGGGTGCTGCTGGTTAGATGCCATTTATTATCAACTGCCTGGGTTGCTAATTTAATAAGAATTTCAGGAGGTGTTGTGAATAATTGAAATTCTACCAGTATGTAATAAAACAAAGAAAAAAATCAGTATTGTAATACATGTATCCAAGAACTTCATTATATTAGATACTATGATGTATAGATTGCTTCAAATAAGGTCTGCTTTTTTCCTCACAGTACATATTTAATACGAAATGTATTTAATAATTGATATTTAGATACTGGTGTTTAGTAGATGGCTATTTTTGGCTAAAAGAAATCATTATATCATATAACATTATAACCATTCTCTTTCTTCTCATACTATCTCCTTACCTAATTGTGGTTGTTGTTTATCTCCTAATCAGTGGTGGTTTGTCTATTCTTTATTTTTCATTTGTTTTAAATAACCAGGTAACTCCTGCACATTTCTATTAAATTGTTCAATAAATATTATAAATAGACAAGTTCACTAATGAAACACAAATATGAAAAGAACAATAGTTCTATTTTAACTCACACATTTGAGGTGAGAATTTTAAAATATACTTTCAGCAACTTTCAAGTATATAATACATTGTTAGTAACTATAGTCACCACGTTGTGCAGTAGATCTCTTGAACTTATTCCTCCTGTCTAACTGAAATTTTGTATACTTGACCATCATCTCCCAATCCTGCTGCCCCTGGTAACAGCCCTTCTACTCTGTTTTTATAAGCTCAATTTTTTTAGTTGTTTTTTTTTTTTTTTTTTTTTTTTGAGACGGAGTTTTGCTCCGTCGCCCAGGCTGTAGTGCAGCGGCGCCATCTTGGCTCACTGCAAGCTCCGCCTCCCGGGTCCACGCCATTCTGCCTCAACCTTCCGAGTAGTTGGAGCTACAGGCGTCCGCCACCACGCCCGGCTAATTTTTTTGGATTTTTAGTGGAGACGGGGTTTCACTGTGTTAGCTAGGATGGTCTCGATCTCCTGACCTCGTCATCTGCCCGCCTCGGCCTCCCAAAGTACTGGGATTACAGGTGTGAGCCACTGTGCCCGCCAACATTTTTAGATTCTACGCATAAGCGAGAAGATGTGATTTTTGTCTTCTGTGTCTGGCTTCTTTTATTAAACATAATGTCCTCCAGGGGCATTCATGTTGTCACAGATGACAGAATTTCCTGGGTTTTTAAAGCATAAATAGTATGTCATTGTGTATATATATGTTACATTTTTCTTATGCATTCGTCGGTTGATGGACGCTTAGTTGATGCCATATTTTGAGTGTCTTGAGTAATACTGCCATGAACAGCGGGAGTGCAGATATCTTTTTGACATACGAATTTCATTTTTTTTTTTTTTGGCTATGCATCCAGTAATAGCAGAATTGTTGGATCCTATGGTAGTTATATTTTTAGTTTTTTGAAAAGTATTCATACTGTTTTCCCTAATGGCTGTACTAATTTACATTCCCACCAACAGTACACAAGGGTTCCCTTTTCTCCACATCCTCATCAACACTTTTATTTTGGTCTTTATCATAATAGCCATTAGAGAATGATAATTAGGTTTTAAACCTTACCCATTGCATGCAAAATTGTAAACCAACTATTAAATATATTTTATATATTTTTTGGGTAGTTCTTCAAATCTAATCAATAACCATGTATAAATTGTGAACTACCTCCCTTTCTAAAAGCTCAAGTTAGCATATTTTAAGTAATATTTACTGATAACAACTCAAGATTTAGCTTGCTGCATTGAAGAAGAAAATCCAAACTAGAAACAGGGCCTATCAGTTGAAAACACAAAGCAAAGAAATAAACAAATTAGTGTTGATTAATGATAATATTTGTAGTATAACATAGGCTAAAACACTGGGTAGTTCAGGACAATTTTCTTTGAAGGTCTGCAAAAAGAAAAATCAATTTTCTAAGACAAATCTGTTGAAAACTGAGCTTCCATGTCTAAATTGAAGTAGGCAATGATTTTTTCTTTTTACTTTCAAATTGCTCTAGGCATTTCTAGAGTGGCAAAAAAATACATACTAATTTCACCTTTTTGGATTAAAAGTAAACACTATTAAATGAATGCAATTTTGGTAATTTATAAATATTTTACTAGAAATTCATTTATAATTTACCTATTTTATAAACTTTTTTATGTCTTTAAAGTCGTATCTTATGAAATTTAGATAAGAGGATGAAGAATGGGAAAAGACGGTGAGTTATAAAAAAGGGAGAGAAGGCAAAATGTGAGATAGGCAGAGAAGAATAAATCATGAAAAAAAGAGGAGAGACAAGAAGGAAAAGAAAGGACTCTTTCCCCAGAAGTAAGGACTAGAGAAAAAGCCATCAGGAGCCAATCTAGCTTCTTTCCTCCACTGTTGCTGTGTCAACTGTAATTGACTGATATTTTTCAGGCTGGCTTGCAGACCTTAGAGGTTGTAGCCATTATTCTTTCCTGAATACTCATTACATAGGCTCCTGTGCAGCCTCTTCCCTTCAGGGCTGCACTGACGAAGCTTCCTCAGTGTCAAAGCTTCTAAGCTTTCTAAATGAGAGACTTCTGTTCTAATCACATTAGCTATCAGATGTTCTCACCAGTGTTAATTCTCACCTGGAACAAAGTCCTTCTCTGTCTTTGTTACTCATGTTGTCTCATTTGGAGTAAATTGAAAGTGTGGCTAACTGTAAATCAGTAACCTGTGCCTCTCTCCGTGGAGTGTTTTGTTCTCTTCAGTGCTATTCTGCTTCCCGATTCTGCCACCTCAGGGATTCTTCACAGTTGCCTGGTACGCAATACCTAAACACTTAAGTAACATTCTCTGTCTTTGAAATACTCAGAATATGTCTAGCTTGGATGCCTTTTAGAGATTCTACTTAAAGAGACCATCGATTTTTTAAATATACATTTAGAATATCTCAGAGATAAGTTTCAAAGCATTTACATATGTGCATTGTTCATAATAAAATAGATTTGTAATTTATTGGCAAAGTATGATATAGATTCACAAACAGTATAATAATATCATGCCAGTATAAGAAAAAGATTAGCTAAGTGCTGCAAAACAAAAATAGCATTATGAGAAAAATATAAAGTGGAATTCTTAACTTGATTTTTGAAACTGTGGCCAAGCTGCTAATATTGTTTTATTTGCCTTGGGACAATTAAAGAGTGTTTATGTCATACCCTCATTCAGTTCACCTGTATAGCTTCTAAAAAACCAGATGAATTGTGGTAGATGACGATGAAGTACAATAAACGTAAGTAATAATTCCAGTTCCTACTGAGCTGGATGTAGTATTAGAGATTTAATACAGATTTCTTCCTGTCTTGAATATGTATGTGGCACATAATAAAATGGAGAGGCAAAGCTAACATTAATATCTGGTGATTAGTTTAACTTTCTAGTTCATTTGTTGAGTGCCTGTGCTAGGTACATGGAATCCAGGGTGAATATGGAATGGTTTTTATGCCACTAAGTAGCTCACAGGAAAGTGGTGAGGAAACAGAAATGAACAACAACTTATATCAAACTAATATGCTCTGTGTTTTCCAAACAGTAAAATATCAAGACATTTACTATATTTATATATGTCTGTACTGTCACAGATCTCTTAGTTTAATGGGTGGTCCATTACCTTATCTTTAGGAAACAACCTTGCTTATATGTAGGTCTCAGTTATTCAAATCATGTAGACCATGGTCCCTGCTCTCAAGATACCCTAAAGGAAAAAGAAAGTAGAACAGAGACTATAGAACAAAATGCCTGTATCATCATAAACTCTCTGATTACTTTCCATTTGTAAACTAAGCTATCATAATAGTTTTCTATGGAATTAAAAACTTTATGTATGTAAAGCACTTTGACATGTGTCTTCCATGGAAAAGCAGGTAAGAAATGGTAGCTGTTATTATTTTAAGTGGATATAAATGCCACAGTAGCACAGAAGAGAGAAACTTGTAAATCAGCTGTTGGGAAATTGTGGAAGACTGCAAGGAGGAGAATTTGCATGGCCAAGTTTGCTCTACCAATTAGAAAATGAAAACAAAAAGTGCAAAGGACCTTCTTGGTAGATAGAAGCAGTATGTGGTAGAGAGCAGCAAGGACCCATGGCATTTTAGAGAAATCGTGAGTGGCTTATATGGCTGGAGAGATGGAGCAATTGGGAGTTGGAGACAATTGGCGAGGGATCCTTTTGGATAGTTAGGCATTGGCTGGGCAGTTTGAACTCACCTAAGAAATGTGACTGATTGAAGGCATGGATTTTAGAGTGAGAATGATCGGGCTTAAAACCCAACTCAAACCTCACCAGCTGTGTGATGTTTGGAAGCTGTATCCACTCTCTAAATTGCAGTTTTTAATCTGTTAAATAGACACAATAATATTGCTTAACTCACAGGATAGTTGAAAAGATACATGAGATAAGGTAATATAACAAATGTGTACTACATCACAGTTGTATCATTTGTTGAATGTTTATTATTAGCCTAAAAGTTATCAAAATCCACAGAAAGATTTAAGCAGGGGAGAGAGATGATCTTATTTTAATTATAGGGGGTTCCTTGGATGAGCATGGAGATAATGGATTGTGGTTAAAGAGTTGCAGAGTTTGAATATAGGGAAAGAAGCTGAGATGGCTTTTGTAGGGTGAGAAATGAGGAAGCAAAGTCATAACTATAGATATGAGGAGGTGGGAAGATAAAGGGATTTTAAGAAGGTCAAGGCCATAAATTTAGTGGCTAATTCAATAGGGAAAGTGTCTGAGTGAGAAGGAGAAATGGAAGCTTATTCATGTGTTTGACTTGGCTGACCAAAATAGGTTTTGGAGTCTTTCACTGATGTGGAAGATATATTAGAAAGTTCAGGAACAAAGTAAGTTGAGGAGGGGAGAGCCAGGGGATATTCAATAAGAAATCTGCAATAATTACTTGGAAGCAGGTGGTCCTAGTTCATTTTCTGTTGCTTACAACAGAATACCTGAAACTGGGTAACTTATAAGTAAAGAAAAGTTATTTCTTACAGTTACGAAAGCTGGGAAGTCCCAGATCAAGTAGCTGCATCTGATTAGAGCTTTTTTGCTGGTGAGGACTCTGCAGGGTCCTGAGTCAGTAAAGGGTATCCTATGGAGAGAGGCCTGAGCATGGTAGCTCAGGTCTCTCTCCCTCTTTTTATAAACCTGTCAGTTCCCCTCTTTGATAATCCATTAATGCATTAGCTCATTAATACATTAATTCATGAATGGGTTAATGTATTCACGGGAGCAGAACCCTCATGATCCAACCACATTTTAGAGGCCCTTACCTCTCAATAATGCCACATTGGGGATTAAGTTTCAAAATATGGTGAAGGAGACATTCAAACCATAGAAGAAGCATAGATTTAGCAATAAAAGGAGTTTCTAAATAGAGGTAAAAAATATGAATCAGCATGTAAAGGAGAGTTAAAGCCTTGGAAGAAAATGAATTTACTCAGGAAGAATAGAGAGATGGGAAAAGGTGAAGACAGGGCCAGGTGTGAAAACCATCAGTGAGAGTGTAAGCAGAGAAAATCCTTTGAATGAATCTGGGCAGGAATGGCTTGAGAGGTAGGAGAAAAGCAGGCTACAGTAATACTGCAAAAGCATGATGAATTTTTCAAAATGGTTAAGTGAAATTCAAATGCTCAGAAAAGTGTAGGAAGGTAAAGTATCAGAATTTTTTGCTGTGGGAAAGAGAAAACACAATTCAAATGAATACACAAAAATCGAATTTTATCTCATGTGACAAGTAGAATGAAAATTGCTCTGGGTTTGGTTTACTTAGTGGGACTGTACAAAGTGATGATAAAATCATAATTGTTCCTACAATAAAAGTCTTCCCACTTAGGCTGGCTCATCTTGTAATCCTACAATGCTTGCCATAATTCCACATAGCACATACAAACCTTGAAACTTCCAGAGACAGAAGGAGGAGTATTATCTTTCCCTGCCCAGCAGACTTTCTCTTACACTTTCTGGTAGGCAGAGTAATGCCCCCCACTGACGTATCCACATCCTAATTCTTGGAACCTGTAAATGAATTATGTTGTGTGCAAAGCTGAATTAAGGTTGCGGCTAAGATTAAGATTGCTAATCAACTGACCTTAGATTCAGAGTTTATCCTGGATTATCCAGGTGGACCAAGTGTATCACAAATGACCTTAAGAGGAAGGCAGAAAAGGGAGAACCAGAGTTTTTGCAATGTGAAAATGATGTGGTCCTATATTGCTTGTTGTGAAGATAGAAGGATGGGGCAGGCATGAGACAAAGAATGCAGGCAGCCTCTAGAAGGTTAAAAATAGCAAGCAAATGGATTCTCTCCCAGAATCTCCAGCAGGAATGCAACCTTGCTGGCATCTACATTTTAGCCCAGTGAGACCCATTTTGGACTTCTGACCTCCCAAACTGTAAGATGATGTTGTGTTGTTTTAAGGCAGTTTGTGATAATGTGTTACAGCATCAGTCCCCAGCTTTTTGACACCAGGGACGGGTTTCATGGAAGACAATTTTTCCATGGACCAGGACAGAGGGAAGAGGGGGATGGTATTGGGATGATTCAAGTGCATTACATTTATGGTGCACTTTATTTCTATCATTATTACATTGTAATATCTAATGAAATGATTATACAATTCACCATAATGTAGAATCAGTGGGATCCCTGAGCTCATTTTTCTTGCAACTAGACAGTCCCATCTGGGGGTGCCAGGACACAGTGACATATCATCACGCATTAGATTCTCAGAAGGAGTGCGTAACCTAGATTCCTCTCATGCACAGTTCACAATAGGGTTTGTGCTCCAATGAGAATCTAATGCCGCGGCTGATCTGACAGGAGAGGGAGCTCAGGTGGTAATGCTTGGTACCTGTGGCAGTGATGGTACAGGTGATAATGCTCAATACGGATCTGTGGCCTGGGGGTTGGGGACCCCTGTGTTACAGTAACTACAGAAAATGAACATACACCCCCATTGGCAAGAGTTGCATTGTGGGCCCAAGCCTAAAGTATTCACTTCCAAGGGGAATTGAATTTCCTAGACAGGCTGAGGCTGTTGTGAAGCATATGGTCCCCTGATTCCTGAAAAAGTCTTGGGGATGGGAGGGAAAGGCTGTTGGATAGGCAACAAACTATCATATTCAGGGAAGGATGGATTATTTATCTATTAAATTTGACAGTTTGGAGGCCAATAATGATATATAGAGAGGAAATTCAGTGGGCAATAGGAAATTGGTGGCTGACAAAATAAATATTTTAAAGTAACTTGTACATAAATAAAAGGCAATATAGAACCCTAACCATTTATATAGAAATACAATTGTTTTATATTTTCTTTTAATATGGGTGATAATGGAAATCTTTTTATGTAGAAAGAGCCAGAGCCAGATGGCAACAGGAGTGAGAAAGGTAGAAGATGAATGATTGAGGATGAAAATTCCCTCAAGAGATTTTATTTGACCAAGTATGTCCACATTGTTGCTTAAAAGCATATGTTTACTTCCTGTAAGAAATCTGTAAAAATCATTTTAGAGTATGAATAACAATCGTCTTACATGTTTATTTTACAAATTTTGATTTTCTCTGTAATGGTAATTCATAAAACATAGGTACTAATATTTCACAATTCATTTATTTATATAATAATTCTACTTGTACCTAGCATCAATTCAATGAAAGCTGTGATTAAGAGGTTTCACACGGATGGAGCTGGAAGCCATTATCCTCAGCAAACTAACACAGGAACAGAAAACCAAATAGCGCATCTTCTCACTTACAAGTGGGAGCTGAACAACGAGAACACATGGACACAGGGAGGGAAAAAGCACACACCGGGGACTCTCAGGGGAGGGCAGGGGAAGGAAGAGCATCATGATAAACAGCTAATGCATGCATGGCTTAATACCTAGGGGATGTGTTGATAGGTGCAGCCAACTACCATGGCACACGTTTACCTATGTAACAAACCTGCACATCCTGCACATGTACCCCGAACTTAAATTTAATTAAAAAATAAAAAAGAAAAAAGTTTCAAATTATAGTGTTAGCTAGAACTGGTGACGTCTTCCTAAATACAGCTTGAAACTTCATAAAGGAGCTCTCCTGAGATTTCTTACCATGGAATATCTTCCATTTGAAATCTCCCCTAATAGGATATTTTCATACTTCAGAAATTCACTCTCTTGGGTTCATTTCAAGAGGGGCTTTATATTGATGACTGTCTCTCTGGGATAGCAACAGAAGGATAATTGGGTAGAGTGACCAGCCTGGTTACAATCCTACATCTATGATTATATGACTCCTGTTCTGTTCTTTAGCATCATTTTAAACCAGTTTCTTGAATTCAACTTTTCTTTTGGAATGCGTGAGGCAGATTTTCCCTGGGTTATTGTTCCATGTTTATTTATACAACAACCACAGAGTTAGAGGAGAACAAATGCCCATAGGAAGAAGCTGACGATTATTGCCGTGGCAGATAAAAACTCCCTGCTATTTATTATAATCGAGCAGAAGAAAGCGAATAGTGGAGGCAGAAAGTTTGTTATCGATTGCACAGCAACCCTACTATATTCCTTTTATCAGCTCTTCTCAGTAATCTCCAAAACTCCTTTCAACACAATCTTCTCTATTGTCAGATTTCCTTGCCTATTAGTCAGGCTCACTCTCAGCAGCTGATGTACTTTCTTATTTTATGCAGATTATAGAGTCCAAAAAAAGTAAGTTCTGTAATTTTCCACCTAGATATAAGAACTTAACTCTCACCATTCATTCTTTTCTTTTTCTCTCACATTACGATTCACAAGACATGTTTTTCTCTACTTCAGGGATAATTCCTTTACCTCCCCTCTGGATCCCATGTTCTGCCTGCCTGCTCAGGAAATTTTGATTACTCCCCTTCTTATACTTCCAGTCTCCTGTATTACTGATTTCTTCTTGCAAGTGGTTAAACTTAAACTTATGCCTCCCATTAAAATAAAATTAGCAACAGCACCAAACCCAGCAACAATAAGGTATCATTATCATCAACAACATCAGTAGTTCTCACAGTTCCCTCTGATTCTCTGTTGTCTTCTCCCCTTTGCTTTCTTTTTTTGCATTGTGCTTTCTGAGAAGTTTCTACACTGGGTGCCTCCAAGGCCTCACTCCTGAGCTCCTCGTAATCTGGCTTCTGCCCTTACCCATTCCGTGTTAATATGGTGCTACTAAATTCTGCAGATCACGTCATTACTTTTCTTACTTGGCCTCTCTCCTAAGCAGGCTGTATTTCTTCATTGTTGATATTACTTATCATTTTGTCCCAGCCCTTCCTCTTTTCTCACTGGAATATTCCTCCCTGGAGGTTCTTCAACCCCAAGGTTGTAGTGAGCACTTATTTGATGATATGCTGATATGATAATGATTGAATAATGGTATGCTAATATAATGCTGATAGTGTTGATGGTTCCCTTTTGAACAACAGATTTCTATATCAATCTCATGTTCAAAGCTGAAATCATTCCCACTAAACTGTCTCCTTTTCTCATGTATCTTATCTCAGTGAATGGTGCCAACATCTATCCAGTTCTTTCAAAGGGAAAACAAATTAGCATTTTTAATTTCTCCTTCCCTCTTGCTATCTCATATCTAATAAATCAGAGGGTCCTATTCTATCACCCCAATATTGCTTGTGTTCATTCATTTCTATCCATCTGACCTGAATCTAGTTTATTTCATTATAATCTTTTATCCAGATGGCATTAATTGTATATGTGGGAGCCCTGCTTCTAACATTGTCCCTCCAAATGGGTCTCTCTACTGTAAGCTGAATGATCACTCCCCTGCTTAAATCCTCCTGTGGTTTCTCATCATAAATTATGATCTCAGAAAGGCTTGTGAGGTGCTTTTAGGTTTGACTCCTAACTCTTATGTCTTGTTTTTTCCCCTGTGCAAAACATTTTTTAAAAAATTTCTGTACTTTTCGTTTTACTAGAATTTTGAATCTTTGCTTCTGAAACAAACACTCATTGCCTTCTTTTCCTCTGTCCTACTTTACCTTGCAAAATGATTTGGTTAACTTCCATCTATATTTAGATCTTAGCTGAATCTCTGAATAGGCCAATAATAGGCTCTGAAATTGAGGCAATAATTAATAGCTTACCAACCAAAAAAAGTCCAGGGCCAGATGGATTCACAGCCAAATTCTACCAGAGGTAAAAGGAGGAGCTGGTACCATTCCTCCTGAAACTATTTCAATCAATAGAAAAAAGAGGGAATCCTCCCTAACTCATTTTATGAGGCATCATCCTGATACCAAAGCTTGGCAGAGACACAACAAAAAAAGAGAATTTTAGATCAATATCCCTGATGAACATCGATGCAAAAATCCTCAGTAAAATACAGGCAAACCGAATCCAGCAGCACATGAAAAAGCTTATCCACCATGATCAAGTGGGCTTCATCCCTGGGATGCAAGGCTGGTTCAACATATGCAAGTCAATAAATGTAATCCAGCATATCAACAGAACCAACGACAAAAACCACATGATTATCTCAATAGATGTAGACAAGCCCTTCGACAAAATTCAGCAACCCTTCATGCTAAAAACTCTCAATAAATTAGGTATTGATGTGACGTATCTCAAAATAATAAGAGCTATCTATGACAAACCCACAGCCAATATCATACTGAATGGGCAAAAACCGGAAGCATTCCCTTTGAAAACTGGCACAAGACAGGGATGCCCTCTCTCACCACTCCTATTCAACATAGTGTTGGAAGTTCTGGCCAGGGCAATCGGGCAGAAGAAGGAAATAAAGGGTATTCAATTAGGAAAAGAGGAAGTCAAATTGTCCCTGTTTGCAGATGACATGCTTATGTATCTAGAAAACCCCATTGTCTCATCCCAAAATCTCCTTAAGCTGATAAGCAACTTCAGCAAAGTCTCAGGATACAAAATCAATGTGTAAAAATCACAAGCATTCTTATACACCAATAACAGACAAACAGCCAATTCATGAATGAACTCCCATTCACAACTGCTTCAAAGAGAGTAAAATATGTAGGAATCCAAATTACAAGGGATGTGAAGGACTTCTTTAAGGAGAACTATAAACCACTGCTCAATGAAATGAAAGAGGATACAAAGAAATGGAAGAAGATTCCATGTTCATGGGTAGGAAGAATCAATATTGTGAAAATGGCCATACTGCCCAAGGTAATTTATAGATTCAATGCCATCCCCATCAAGCTACCAATGACTTTCTTCACAGAATTGGAAAAAAACTACTTTAAAGTTCATATGGAACCAAAAAAGAGCCCGCATCACCAAGTCAATCCTAAGCCAAAAGAACAAAGCTGGAGGCATCACGCTACCTGACTCCAAACTATACTACAAGGCTACAGTAACCAAAACAGCATGGTACTGGTACCAAAACAGAGATATAGACCAATGGAACAGAACAGAGCCCTCAGAAATAATGCTGCATATCTACAACCATCTGATCTTTGACAAACCTGAGAAAAACAAGCAATGGGGAAAGGATTCACTATTTAATAAATGGTGCTGGGAAAACTGGCTAGCCATATGTAGAAAGCTGAAACTGGATCCCTTCCTTACACCTTATACAAAAATTAATTCAAGGTGGATTAAAGACTTAAATCTTAGACCTAAAACCATAAAAACCCTAGAAGAAAACCTAGGCAATACCATTAAGGACATAGGCATGGGCAAGGACTTCATGTCTAAAACACCAAAAGCAATGGCAACAAAAGCCAAAATTGACAAATGGGATCTAATTAAACTAAAGAGCTTCTGCACAGCAAAAGAAACTACCATCAGAGTGAATAGGCAACCAAAGAATGGGAGAAAAATTTTGCCATCTACTCATCTGACAAAGGGCTGATATCCAGAATCTACAATGAACTCAAACAAATTTACAAGAAAAAAAAAACCCATCAAAAAGTGGGTGAAGGATGTGAACAGACACTTCTCAAAAGAAGGCATGTATCCAGCCAACAGACACATGAAAAAATGCTTATCATCACTGGCCATCAGAGAAATGCAAATCAAAACCACAATGAGATACCATCTCACACCAGTTAGAATGGCAATCATTAAAAAGTCAGGAAACAACAGGTGCTGGAGAGGATGTGGAGAAATAGGAACACTTTTACACTGCTGGTGGGACTGTAAACTAGTTCAATCATTGTGGAAGTCAGTGTGGCGATTCCTCAGGGATCTAGAACTAGAAATACCATTTGACCCAGCCATCCCATTACTGCGTAGATACCCAAAGGATTATAAATCATGCTGCTATAAAGACACATGCACATGTATGTTTATTGCAGCACTGTTCACAATAGACTTGGAACCAACCCAAATGTCCAATAATGATAGACTGGATTAAGAAAATGTGGCACATATACACCATGGAATACTATGCAGCCATAAAAAATGATGAGTTCATGTCCTTTGTAGGGACATGGATGAAGCTGGAAACCATCATTCTCAGCAAACTATCACAAGGACAAAAAACCAAACACCGCATGTTCTTACTCACAGGTGGGAATTGAACAATGAGAACACATGGACACAGGAAGGGGAACATCACACACTGGGGCCTGTTGTGGGGTGGGGGGAGGGGGGAGGGATAGCATTAGGAGATATACCTAATGTTAAATGACGAGTTAATGGGTGCAGCACACCAACATGGCACATGTATACATAAGTAACTAACCTGCACGTTGTGCACATGTATCCTAAAACTTAAAGTATAATAAATAAAAATAGATTAAAAAAATGATTGACAGCATGTTTAAAATTAAGATCATTCGGTTAGTATTCTAAGCAATGTTCAAGAAATAGCAAATTTCCTCTTGAAATGTTTTGTGTAATGTATTAAATTTATATTGCTAGTTTAGGAATGGCTTCAAGTGCTGATAACTCTCAAATAATTAGACTGGTTAAGCACTGCTCTATGTAAATGGAATATCTATTTTAGTGCACAGATACTACAAATTAACCAGAATTATTCCAAATGAAAAATTAAAATTTTATTTACATTTCATTGTAATTACTTTCAGATATAATTAAAATTCTTATTCTTTTATATTCCAAAAAAAAAATGCTACTTGTTTTGGTAAACTTTGCCTGATTGCTCCCCTGCTACTGTGTTGAATGTTTCTCGTCTTCACTTGGTTGTAGGTTAGCTTCTCTGGAATCAGATATTGGGATGGAGATCGGCTTCCAAATTATTTATCATGGATCTATCCCAGTGAAAGGAAAGGAACCAGGGTTGCGTAAAGGAAGGAATCAAACTACCATGTGGGGGATGAGAAAGCTGCAGCCAACCTAGCAGGGTGCTGTGAAATGACTATTGCTCATCAGAGCTGTCCACTTTGGGCTAAAATCATCCAACCTTATCCCCTCAATGGATGTAGGCTGCCACAGGATGGGCATGACCTTGATTGAAGCAGCCCTCAGCTGCTAAAGTGTGGACAGCTATCTTCTGACCGCAGTCCCCACAGCTAGTGAGCACACTCTCACTGAAAGGGTATCTAGGCCGTGTACTTCCATGCTTACTACACACTCTTTTGCCCTGGAACATTGTACCATTGTGCCTTATCTTATTTGCTTTTTGATTGTTGGACTTATTTGCATTCTATAAGTTTCATAAGCAACTTAATAATTTTTGTCTTATTCCATATTGTGTGCTCAGTATACAGCACAGGCTTGACACACAGTGTGTACTCAATAAATAATAGGTTGAATACATGGATTTGGGGATCTATTTTCTCAACATTTTTCTTCCTAATGATTGCTAAAAATGTCTTTACATTCTAGCTCAGTTATTTGTCTTGGTTTAGAGTCATCCAAACATTCTAATTATTCCCCAATAAAAAACCAACAAATTTATGGCAACATTTTCATGCATTCCTGGGAAAGGGTTCAGATATCTAGAAATAGAAAATTTTTATAAAACTGCACAGTACTGATTGTAGTAAGAAGAATTTATCCCAGACATAAAATACTTCAGGCAATGCCTCTTGTAATTACTAGTTTCATCGGATAGGAAAACCTTTTTGGTGCCAATACCACCTGAATCACTTCACTTTTTATTTCTACCCATTAACCTGTCATTACATCAGGGTTCAGCCTCACACTCAGAAGCAAGCCACACATTCCTTCTTGGGTTTTATCCAAGTTACCAATCACAGTACCACTCTTCCTCAAGGAAGTGAAATGAGTTTTACTGTGCCTAGGAGGGGACTTAATTTAGAAGAAAACATATTCAATGTTAAATTAGGGATTAAAAATATTTTGATGGTTTTTCCATGCATTCATCTAAGTCTGTACCTTTTTGTATTTCGTGTAACCTATATGAGTAGATGAGTGAATGAAAGGCCAGTTACTAAGCTGATATTCTGAAATGAAACAAATTTGTTTCTTTTACTAAACAACAAAACTATTAATAATAGAGTTGAATTTGTGTAGTTGTCATGCATGAAATATTAATGACAAGTGTTAAATCAGCAAGATTTAAATATTTTCCAAGACAGATTTTTCTTAGTGCTTTTCTTTATATCAAAATTTGTGTTTCAGGGCATGCAAACCAATTCTAAACCTGAAAACAGAGTTGGGAAGGTAAATTTTCTGCAAAAATTGTCTATCAAAGTGAAACAGAAACAATTTCCTCTCCTTCTCAATTATCTATATCAATTTTTGCTTCCATTACAGTGGATAATTCAATACTAGCATTAGAAATTCAGTACAGGTTATTGCATGCTTAGTTAAGACAGAATACAGCACTATGAACTAAAGTAGGCAAAGATATAGGTAACAACAGGGCTCACTGTGGGATATAATTGATAGTAAAATTTTTATAAAAGAGATAGAAGAATTATTTAGAATTTAGACATAAGGCTTAATGAAGTAGTCCGCAGAAGTTATGGAGGCTGGGGGATGTCTGGGACTCCCTTCTGGGTTTCTTAGATGTCCTGTGATGTCGATTTTCTTCAGTTCTTCAACTGATCATAGAGGCCAGGGCTCTGATTCATACCTCTTAAAACAAGCCATTTCTGCTTTCATCTCAGATATTTTTGGCCATTTACTTGGTTCTGAAAAATTGAGAAGACCCAACACTAGGCCATACTTCCATATCTCGAGTTTGAGTGTTTCTTAAGCAGGCAGTCCAGACACTCTTTAATGCAAACTTTTTTTGTAACAATTTGCATGGTTGATACTGGGTTGGAAATCTTGCACTATATAACAGTGAAAGGAAATTCTGTGATAGCTGCAACTTCACATAAAAATATTGGATGAGTTCATGTCCTTTGCAGGGACATGGATGAAGCTGGCAACCATCATTCTAAGCAAACTATCAGAAGAACAGAAAACCAAACACTGCATGTTCTCACTCATAGGTGGGATTTGAACAACGAGAACACATGGACACAGGGCGGGGAACATCACACACCGGGGCCTGTTGTGGGGTGGTGGTCTGGGGGTCTGGGGGAGGGATAGCATTAGGAGAAATACCTAATGTAAATGATGAGTTGATGGGTGCAGCAAACCACCATGGCACATGTATACCTATGTAACAAACCTTCTGGTTGAGCATATGTACCCTAGAACTTAAAGCATAATAAAAAAAAAAGTTGGACCATGGAACAGAAGAAGAAAACTAGAGCAATGTCTATATCAAATGATTCTACTCACTGTAGAATTTCTTTTAGATATTGCTTATAATAATTTTAAGACAGCCTTGGAAGAATTAAGCTACTTAATTTCTCTTCAGCAAGTGACACAATAATTATCTTTCATTGAGTTAAACCAGTTGACTTCTGGCTTTTATGAGTTGCTTATACAATGTCACTCTCAAAAATTTCATAATCTAGTGGTCCTTTAGGAAACTCCAAGCCTGTGATGTTTTAAAATGTGTCCGTAAAGTCATCAACTCTTCATTTTGAGAAGTGGAACTTAATTTCTCTCCTCTTGAGTGTCACTGGAATTGCTTCTGATAAGTAGAAGTGGTAGTGTGCAAATTCTGAGACTGGGTCATAAAAGGCACTGGGGCTTCTTCTTGATCTTTCTGTTCCCTGTCACTTGCTTTTGGAGAAGCCAGTTGTTATGTCATGTGCAGTTTTATGGAGAGTCTCATATGATGAGAAAGCAAGGCCTCTTGACAACATCCAACAAGAAATTGAGGCTTACTTTGAGCAGTGACTGAATTCTCTCGAAAGTGGATCCCCCAGATCTAGCCAGTCTTCAGATTTCTGAAGCTTTGGCCACATGTCAACTGCAGCTTCATTAGACTCTGAGCCAGAACCACCCAGCCAAATTGCTCCCAAGTTTCTGATCAACAGAAACTGAGATAATAAATATTTGTGGTTTTAAGTTGCTAATTTTGAGGAATTTGTTCCACAGCAATTGATAACTAATACAAGCACATAGGCAACTATGTAATGGTGAAAATATTTCTTTTTCAAGCAAAGTTTCCTCTGAAAGAAAATGTCATGCTCTAATAGAGGTAACCTAATTGATTGAGAACACATTTGGGCTTCCTACTTTATAAAGGAAAAGGCTCCCCAGTCTCATGACTTTTTTTCTCCTGCTCTGGCATGAATTGCTGTTACACTGACTGCTCTTAGTCCTTAAATGTCAAGAAAGGTGTGCTTTGTCAGAAACAGGATTTGAGTTGCTTACATTTGAGAATTTTATGAAGAAATGGGAACGAAATAGAAAACGTGTTCATTTTTGCGGTATAAATTTTTTGGCTTCCCAGAAAAAAAATTTCTATTAAATTACTGCCAGAAGGGGCCCTTTAAAAATACTTCTAAAAGAGAAAAATAGAGCCCATGCAGAACCATTTTCAGGTGGATTGCATTAAGTTTATTCATAATTTGGATGAACTGGCACATGTTCTTGGCAAAAAAAGAAAGTCTCTTGTTTAAGAATGTTCTCCGTTATAAATCCTGATGAAAAATTACTAGTTATTTTAGCTAAGGTGTCATTGCTTATAAGGAGATTGACAAGTATGTTTCACCAATGTAAGAATTTTTTGGGGAGACCATCAAAGCCTTTTCAGTTTCACTTCAGGTATAAACCTGAAGACATTTAAAAACACATCTTTTAAAGGCTACTATTGTTCAATCAAATGCTATTTCTTTTCTTTATTTTTCTGACATTAGTGATGAAGATCAGGTCAAAGATGACTTCATTGCCATGACTACAAAGAATTGATGTGATATGTTTTCAGCTCAAGTGCTCCTAAATCATATTGGATTTTTTTTATGTGTCATGTCAACAAAACAAGTTGGAATCAATCGTTTGTGGGAAACAGGTCACATATGTGGCCATGTTAAAGTTAACTTGACAATTTTAAGCTTTTTATTCAAGCCAAAGCATAGCAATCTTCATTTAGAGTCTGACCTTTGAGAATAATTAAAGTTTTATTATTGGATTTTATTCTTTCCTTTTCTTAAGGAAGTGGCTTTTAAAAAATGAAAACAAAAGGTTGAGGGAAGCATTAGTTTGGTGATATTGTTTTGCTTTCCTCTTTGAAATACATATCCAATTGAAAGTATTGTGTGCATTTTTCTGCATGATTACTCTGGAATGGAGAGCTCCAATGTTTTCAACAAAGTAATCTCAAAAGTGTCCTTTGACTCTAAATGTTGAATAACACTTATTGACACATATTTTTTCTCCTATTTTCCTTCTTTGGAGAATACTTTTAGAGGTCATTGAAACTTCACTCAGTTTAGCTCCATTTTACTTGAAAACTTATTCATTGATTACCTTGGATAAATACATTGATAATTTATGCCAAGGGCTATTTATTTTTCTAGTAGACACACTTGTAATGTAAACCAATGTCAGATCTACTGTAGTACACTGTCAAAACTATCACCACCTGAGAACCTTGAAACTTTGCCTTTAAATATACCTGTACATTTAAAAAAGCAAATGTAACATGTTCTTTAGGAAAAAAATTCTCTATTTTTGAGTCTAAAAATGAGCTCAGCTACCTCTTTAAGAGATGATATAATGATGTGCCACACCTGCCTTCAGAGAACTGAGTACAAATTTTGGTATGGTTCAAATTTTCTGGCTTTCCCAGAAAAAAATTATTAAATTACTGCCAGAAGGGGCCCTTTAAAATATTTTAGAATAGAAAAATAGAGCCCATGCAGAACCATTTTCAGGTGAATTGTATTAAGTTTATTAATAATTTGGATGAACTGGCACATGTTCTTGGCAAAAACAAGGGAAATCTCTTGTTTAAGAATGTTCTCCACTATAAATCCTGATGAAAAATTACTATTTTAGCTAAGAAGTTATTGTGTATAAGGAGACTGACAAGTATATATTTCACCACTGTAAGAATTTTTTGGGGGACTCTCAAAATCTTTTCAGTTTCACTTGAGGTATAAACCAGAAGACATTCGAAAACACTTTTTTAAAGGCTACTATTGTTCAATGAAACACTATTTCTTTTCTTTATTTTTCTGACATTAGTGTTGAAAATCAGGTCAAAGGTGACTTCATCACCATGACTACAAAAGAATTTATGTGATGTTTTCAACTGTTTACTCCATAGTTCATTATCTGCCCTTATATAAGTAATCTTCAGAAATCTCACACAGTGAAATACTTAAAAGTAGATTGAATTAAAACTCTATAAAACACATCATACTTACTTATAAAATTAACACAAGACCTAGTACAAGTTATCAGCAATATTTTGATGGTTCACTTATTTAAAGTATATATCAGTCATGATAGTTTATATTAACAACACAGCTTCTATTAAGCTAACATTGGAATAGCATGAAAGATATTTGCTTAGAGGAAGTAGTTGGTGAAAATGCTCTGAGTCTTTTTGTTGCTCAACAAGGGAACTTTTGGCAAGTTAACAGTGAGCAGGATTATCTTTCTTTAGAAAACAATTTTATAAATTGAATGCTATCTAAGAGCTCATTAGGGGACTATTTGGCATGTGAAATGCATTTTTTAAAAAAGTTTAGTTTGCAAGGCAACAAGCCTAATTTAATGCAAAATATAGGTGAAATATTATACCTTAGCAATTAAAATAGTGAAAAGATTTATATGTGAAAGTTGACATGCATATTGACATTTTACATATTACTTTTATGTTTATGTGAAGGTAGAAAAGAGAAAGAGAAGTGAAAGAAGAGAAAGAAGAAAAAAGTGAAAAAATTATTATAAATAATATTTCAAACAGCATTTTAATTCCATATATTCCTATTTCCTCAAAGGTTCCTGAAGATGACTCTTGTACTCTCCTGGCCAATTTAGCCCTACCTCTAGTGTTATCTCGTTCTGTAGTCTTTGTACTTGTCTTCCATTTCAAACCTTTTCCAAAACCTATGTCAAAATAGGTTTTCTTATCTTGAAAATAGATTGGGGATCACAGCACTATTTTTTTTACACCTAGAAAGTAATTTGTTTGGCTATGAAGACATGAAGTAATTAGTATTACTTGAAATAATGTCTAGTTTCTACCTTATGAAAAAACATTATCTTTTAGTTTGATTAAAAAACATACAAATTGGCCCTTGAATAATGTGGGTTTGAACTGCTCAGGTTCACTTACACACACATTTAAAAAAAAGAAAAGAGTTACACCAAGTGTTCCTGCTTCTCCTGCCTCCTTTTCACCTCCTCTACCTCTTCTACTGCAGAGATAGCAAGACCAAGTCCCCCTCTTTCCCCTCCCACTCATCCTACTCAATGTGAAGGCAATGAGGATAGAAACCTTCATGATGATCCACTTCCACTTAATGAATAGTAAATACATTTTCTCACCTGTTTGATTTTATTAGTAACATTTTCTTTTTCTAGCTTGCTTTATTGTAAGAATACAGTATATAATATGTATAACCTACAAAATATGTGTTAACTGGCTACTGATATTATCGGTAAGGCTTCCAGTCATCAGTAGACTATTAATAGTTTAGTTTTGGGGGAGTTAAAAGTTATACACAGATTTTGAACTGCAAGAGGGTAGGTACTTCCTAACCCCCTTGTTGTTCAAAGGTCAACTGTACATCCTTTTCATAGAAAAATGTAGAAATATATCAAAAAAAGATGATAATTTTTAACCTTGTTTTGTGTTTGTATTTGTCATACTTTTATAAAAATATACCTACACAATTTATTTTTAAAGAAAAAATGAGATTCTGCTATTCTATTGAGTCTAGAACCATCAATTATTAAATATAATTTTTCTTGTGCTGTTAAGAATGCCACTGTATTACAATGCTTTAAAAAAATCTTAGATTTTTAATAACTCTTTTTGAAAGAACTTGTTATTTAGACATATAATTTTAAAAGGCTGAATAATATTCCATTATAGTTTCTTCATTCATCTGTCAACAAACTCATCAGTTGTTTTTGTATGTTGGCTATTGTGAGAAATGCTGCAATGAACATGGGAGCACTGGATCATATGGTAATTCTATTTTTAATTTCTTTGGGGACACCCACACTGTTTTCCACAGTGGTCACACCAATCTACATTCCCACCAAGAGTGTACATGTGTTTCCTATCTCTCTATTCATACAAACACTTGTTATTTCTTGGCCTCTTGATAAAAGCCATCCTAAAAGGTGAGAGATGATATTTCATTGTTGTTTTGATTACATTTCCCTCATGATTAGTGATGTTGAGCACCCTTTAATATACCTATTGGCAATTTATGTGTCTTCTTTGGAAAAATGTTTATTCAGATGCCAATTTTTAAACTGGGTTACTTGTGGATTTTTTTGTTTACTTTGTTTGCTATTGTTTGTTATATAATTTGGATATTAACCCCTTATCAGATATGTGGTTTGCCAATATTTTCTCCTAATGTGTAAGCTTCTTTTTCATTTTGTTGTTTGTTTCCTTTGTTGTATGAAAGCATTTTAGTTTGATGTAGCTGTAAATATTAAATATGCATTCTTAAATATTTTAAAATCAATAATTCATAATATGCTATGATGTGTGTTCTGTTATATAATCCACATTCTATTATTTAAGCATTTGGGCTCTTTTGATCTTTCATCATAGAAGCAATGCAGTAATAAGAATACTTTTAAGAATGTGCATATTTTCAAATTGCTTCTATAAAGATGGTTCCAGTTTACATTTCTATTAGGAATAATATTCATCCTCTATTAGTGATCATAAAGTCTTCTAATTGATATCTACTTTATATTTCTTTTAAAGTACACTTTTCTGCTAATGGTTTGTGCCTTCCTTTCCAGTTTGGAATATTGGTCTCCTTACGGAAAATACAAAGGCTAATTAGTTATTTTGTAACATAGTTTTTAATGTAATATAACTGTTCAATTGTTTCTTTTCCTACTCAAAGGTTTAAATTCTCCTTCCCTCTCTCCCTTTCTCCCTTCCTTCTTTCCTTTCTTTTTCTATTTTTGTTTAAACTTCTAGCTCTCTTATACATCCCTTTCATTCCATGGAATCGGACTCATGCCTGTATATTTCCAAGATTTATCTATTTCCAAGAATCAGACAAAGGATTAACAATTTATCTCTTTCCAATAAATATTTGAGAAAAGTGAAAAGTTAATTTTACCTTAATTAACTTTAATCAGTTAATTTTTACTTTTTTATATTTAAGACATGACAAATTATTGATAGTTCTAAAGAAAAGTAAAAATATAAAAGTCTAGGGCTGTTTCACATGCTAACTGAGCACCTCAGTTTGACACTTAAAGAATTTTTAATTAACTGGGCTGATGTGAAAATAAAATGAATAATAAAGTCGTGCTGGCAATTTATAATTTTTCAAGCAACTTACAAGAAATTTAAAATAGCTGTAAATCAAGGTAAGTTTATCTCTCCAAGCTGTGTCTGTATATTAATTTCAAATGACAGAAAAATAGATATTTTTTTTGCTGTACTACACACACACACACACACACATATACCCAAATACTTGGCTCTGCTTTCAGAATTTTCTCTCAGTCTAGTAGTATTCTGTAGATTGGGAAAGATGAAACAAAAAATATGGGAGTGTCAAAAACATGTAAGTGGTAAAATAGATCCATCATAGCATATATTTGAAGAATAGTATATTATATCTGCAATAAATGGGTAATTTTTTTCCTTTTTGTAAAGTTTTTCAAATATTCTTATATTTATAGGATATAAGAGATGTTATAACTGCATTATTAAAAGAAAGAGATCTGAAGATGGACCTGGGTTCAGATATAGGTCAATTCTGAATGGCCTGGCCATGCCATTCAACTTGTCAAAGCCTCACATTTTTTATGTATGCAACAAAGGATACCACCAGCATCCCACAGGGTGGCTGAGAAAGTTGAATGTGATGTTTCATAGACAGCACTCATTTTAGAGGTTAATACATAAGAGGTGTTCAACCATTATCCCTTTTGATGATCACGGTTATTGTTGTTAATGGAGGAAGTGAAATGATGGTTTGAGGATTCCTTCTTGCTTTCTGAGGAGGGAAGCCTGTATTACATTTGGTACAGGAAAATTGCAGGTATAGGAACTTTCTAAACCATGGGTGGTCCTACAAATATATAGGTTGGACATGTACAGAATCACATTTTTGCTTCAGTTAAACATCTTGTTCCTATCCCAGCCTTGTTTGGTTGGGTAAATACCAATCTGATAATAAACACATTTGAACAAACAAACTACCCCTTACACAAAATACCTGAATGTGAGAAGCTGTTCAGAAAATATAACCTTAAATTACTTGCAGCAGAAATATTATAAAAAGAGTTGAGGAGAGTTCTATGTAAGCAAGAGTGGATGAAGGAATTGTAGTCCATTTGCTCTTGTAGATTTAGCAGATTTACTAGACCAGTAATTGTCAAGAAATTGTCCTCATAGGAGAAGAGGGTCCTTCATGGACAGAGAATTTTGTCTATGACTTTCAGCCCTTCAGCCATTCAATCCAAATTTATTGACCTAGGAAAGGAACAGCACCAACTGCCTAGAACAAGAAAATAATTGTTTAGTTAGAGTTAAAAAGCAGAGTTTTACAAGTCTACAGTGGGACAATCCCACTGATAGCCTGTATTTCATGAGGGAGAAAAAAGTGTATTCTCAGACTTCCCTAAACTGGTTTTCATATGTCAACACAAAGCCTAAAGGATTAAGTATAGAGAAAATTACTGAGTAAATTAAATAAAGACATGATATAAAGGAAAATTCTGCTACCCAGGAAAAGGAAAGTCCTTTCTGTTCTCAAAGGAAGAGCTTGGAAGATAGCTAGAGCAAACAGGAGGCACTAAGTCATGTAGGGATATCCTAATTCCTACTCAAGAATCAACATTTCTAGGGAAGAGGAAATAAGTATCTAGATTGGATGAGAGAAATGTGAGAATCTTTGTGTTGGTAATGTCTGGGTATAGCCTCTTAGGCACATTTCATGCAGCTTCATATTCAATATGTTATCCAAAGTGGCTTGGAAATGGAAGAATAGCTGGGGGTGAGGCCTAGAAGAGCCAGCATGAGCATAATTACATAGGTGCCCAATCACACATCCTGTTTCAGGAATGAGCCCATTTATAGGTTCCAATGAGAGTGTAATTTGTGAAAGAACCAGGGAATAGCCCTGGAGCTGAGAAGAGGGGCTTCATAACACAGGTATCTCTCAACCAGAGCCAATATGATTGAGGGACAGTATGGTTATAGCTTTGTAAGAAACTGCCAAGCTATTTTGTAATGTGGCTATACCATTTTGTATTCCCACCAGCAATAAATGGGAGTTCCTGTTGCTTTGCATCCTTGACAACAGTTGGTATTGTCAGGTTTTTAAATTTTAGCCAATCTAATAGATATAGAGTAGAATCTCATTTTGTTTTAATTTGCAGTTCCTCAATGGCAAATGATGTTGATAATCTCCACATATGCTTTTTCTCATCTACCTCTTATTTGATGAGGTCTCTAATTGGTTTCTTATGGTTGAGTGCTGAGATTTTTTTGTGATTTGGATACAAGTCCTTTATCAGAGAAGTATTTTGCAAATTTTTTCTCCCGCATATTTTGGCTCTCTGTTGTTAGGTGTATACACATTTAATATTGTTATGTCTTCTTGAATAATTTACCTCTTTGTCATTAAGTAGTGCCTCCTTTTTCTTCTGAATAATTTTTCTTATAATATGGTTTGTTTTCTCTGAAATTAACATAGCTACTACAGCTGTTTTTTTAAATTCGTGTTAGCACGGTGTAGCTTTCCTCATCCCTAACTTTTAACATATCTGAATCTTTTTATTCTCAAGTCTTTATATTTAAAGACCCATATAATTGGGTATTTTTTAATTCCTTCTGGTAGTCTTTGTCTTCTAATTCATGTCTTTGGATCATTGTATTTAGAGTGGTTATTGATATATTTGAATTAATATCAAACATGTTTGTAACTTTTTAATGCCAGAGGCTTCTTCTACATTCTCTGAATTTAGTTGAATATTATGATTCCATTTATCTCCTTATTTGCACATTAATTATGCTTATTTTTAAATAGTTTCCCTAAGGTTATAAACTGGAGTGGTAAGATAGATGTTTAATTACTCACATTTGCCTTCAAATTACACCAATTTATTTCATGTGTAATGCAGGTAACTTAGAGAATTCTCAATACTTCCCTCCCTTATAACATTGCTATCATTTATTTCCCTTATCCATATGATACAATCACCAGTAAACCAATACATGGTTATTATTTAGTATTATTATTGAATTAATTTATTTTTCTACTCTTATTTTCTAATTTGGGGTTTGGGGTACATGATTTTTCCATAGTTGTTGAACTATTTTATATTCCCAGCAGCATGTATAAATTCCCTTTTCTCTGCAACCTCACCAGCATTTGTTCTTTTTTGATTTTTTAGTAATGGTCACTCTGACTGGTGTGAGATGGTATCTCATTATGGTTTTGATTTGCATTTCTCTAATGGTTAGTGATGATGAGCATTTTTTTCATATATTTATTGTCTACATGTATGTATTCTTTTGAGAAGTATCTGTTCATATCCTTTGGGCATTTTTAAATGGAATTATTTGTTATTTGTTTGTTGATTTAAGTTCCTCATAGATTCTGGATATTAGACCTTTGTTGGATGCATAGTTTATGAATACTTCCTCTCAATCCATAGGTTGTCTGTTTACTCTGCTTATAGTTTCTTTTTTTGTGCAGAAGCTCGTGAGTTTACTTAGGACATACTTGCCAATTTTTTATTTTGTTGCAATTGCCTTTGGAGACTTTGTCATAAATTCCTTGCCAAGGCGAATATACAGAATGGTATTTCTTAGGTTTTCTTCTAAACTTTTTATTGTTTTTGGTTTTACATTTAAGTCTTTAATCCATCTTGAGTTGATTTTTATATATGGTGCAAAAAAAGTGGTCTGATTTCAATCTTCTGTAAATAGCTAGCCAATTATTCCAGCACCATTTATTGAATATGGAGTCTTTTCCCCATTGTTTGTTATTGATGACTTTGTTGAGAGTCAGGTGGTTGTAGGTGTATGGTTCTATTTCTGGGTTCTCTACCCTGTTCCATTAGTCTTTATATCTGCTTTTGTACCAGCCCAATGTTGTTTTGCTTACTGTAGCCTTGTAGTATTGTTTGAAGTAGGGCAATGTAATGCCTCTAGCTTTGTTTTTGTTGCTTAGGATTGCATTGGTGATTTGGTCTCTTTTTGGTTCCATATGAATTTTAGAATAGCTGCTTCTAATTCCGTGGTATAAGAATAGTCACTCATTTTTGTCTTCCATTGCCTGAGAGATCCTTCTCCATCCTTTTACTTTGAGCATACGGGTGGCATTACTTGTTAGATAAGTCTCTTGAAGACAGCAGATAACTGTGTTGTGTCTTTATCCAACTTGCTACTCCATGCCTTTTAAGTTAGGCATTTAGTCAATGTACATTCAGTGTCAGTATTAACATGTGAAGATTTGATCTTGCCATTGTGGTGTTAGCTGGTTGTTATGTAGACTATTCTATAGTTGCTTTGTAATGTCAATGGGCTGTGTACTTGCTTTGTAATGTCAATGAGCTGTGTACTTAAATGTTTTTGTAATGGTAGTTATCTTCTTTCATTTCCATGTTTAGCACTCCCTTTGTCACCTCTTGTAAGGCAGGTCTATTGGTAATAAATTCCCTTAGCATTTGTGTGTCTGAAAAGGATTTCATTTCTCCTTTGTTTATGAAACTTAGTTTGGCAGGATATGAAATTCTTGGTTAGAATTTATTTTCTTAAGGACATTGAAAATAGGACCTCAGTCTCTTCTGGCTTGTAAGGTTTCTGCTGAAGGGTCTACTGTTAGGCTGATGAAGTTCCCTTTGTAAATGACCTACCCCTTCTCTCTAGCTGCCTTTAAGCTTTTTCTTTCACATTGACCTTGGAGAATCTGATGACTATGTGTCTTGGGGATTGTCATCTTGAGTAGATAACATCTTACAGGGGTTCTTTGTATTTCTTGAATTTTCATGTCAACCTCTCTAGTGAGATTGCAAAAATTTCTGTGAAACAAACTTTCAAATATGTTTTTCAAGTTGCTTGCTTTTTCTCCTTTTCTTTCAGGAATGCCAATGAGTCATAGGTTTGCTCTCTTTATATAATCCTATATATTAGAGGTTTTGTTCATTTGTTAATTAATTTTTTGTCTGCCTGTGTTGCTTTGAAGGAGTGTTCTTCAAGCTCTGAGATTCTTTCCTCAGCTTGGTCTTTTCTATTGTTCATGCTCCAATTGTATTTTGAAGTTTCTATGGTGAATTTTTCATTTCCAGAAGTTGCTTTTTTTAAATGATTATGTCATCTTTCAACTCTTGGATTATTTTACTGTTTTCCTTGTATTGGGTTTCAGCCTTCTCTTTGTCCTGATAATCTTCCTTGCCATCCAGATTCTGAATTCTATGTCTGACATTTTAGCCATTTCAATCTGGTTAAAAAATCATTGCTTGGGGGCTGGTGTGATCATTTGGAGGTAAGAAGACACTACTCTGGCTTTTAGAGTTGCCAGAGTTTTTGTGCTGGCTCTTTCTCATATGTGAGAACTGATGTTTCTTTATCCTTTGGAGTTGCTGTCCTTTGGAAGGGGCCTTTTGTTTTCATGCTCTTTATTGCCCTTGAGGATTTGACTACAGTGCAAGTTGTGTATGGTTGAATGGTTCTGATTCTGGATGCTTTTAGAGGCCATGGATCAGTTGTATACTTCTGGGCTGCATGCTCTAATTCTGGCTGGCTGGAACTGGGTCCATGGCTGTGTCTTCTCATTCCTTGACATCAAGCTCTGGCTGAGTAGGAGGGGCTGAAGTGCTCCTAGATGACTGACATCAGCCCATCATCGGGGTGGTGGGGGTGACATGCATGGGAAATATCCTGGTGGGAGTGGTGGAGGTGCCACGGGTGAATATGCTCCAGAGGGTTATGGGAGGGTGCACTATGATGGGAGGCTGTCAGCAAAAGTGCTCTGGTGTGTGGTGTGGGGGCACTGCCGGCAGGAAGCACTGCAGCTGGGGCAGTGGGGTTGCTGCAAGGGAATGTGCTCTGGAAGGGTGGGAGCAGGGTTGCAGGTGAGCATGCTATGGCAAGGGGCTGTCAGCAAAAGCACTCCATTGTGAGTGGTGGGGGTGCCTGGAGTGGGAAGCACTCCAGCAGGAGTGCCAAGGGTGAACATGCTCCAGAGTGCAGGTGTCGAGGTAATGGCAAATGTGCTCTGGCAGGAAACCGCCAGCAGAAGTGCTCTAGTAGTGCTTATTATGATTTTAAACAAGCAGCTATCTTTTATACCAATTAAAATAAGAAAAATATTTTATTTTGTCCACAGTTATTTCTTCTCCGATAGTTTTTTCTCCATGTAGATCCATGTTTCTTAACTCTATCATTTTCTTCTTCCTAAATAAAATCCTTTAACATTTCTTGCAGTGAAGATTTGCTGGTGATGAATTCCCTCCGTGTTTTATTGTTTGAGAAGGTTCCACTCATCTTGTTAACTGCTGTATTCCCCAGCAGCTAGAACAATGACTGGTACATAGGATTCACCAAATATTTGTTGAAAGTAAGAATCAAAGAAAGAATGGCAATGAGAGAGAGGCGAGGAGGCATAGAGATACATATGTAACATATATGATGTATATGAATATTGGTGTATGTATGTGCGTGCATTTGTGTGTGTTTGTGTGAGACAGAGATAGAGAGAGATAGAGATTAGCAGTATAGGAGTATAGAATCTGATGTTACTATGGTTTGTAGTTGGTAAGGGACAAGATGACCTTGGTTGAGACACTCAAGGAGAGTGTGTGGAATAGGAAGAGAGAAAACACAATGTCCGGCACCCTAGAGAACACATATTTTTAAGAGGCTAGAATGGCAAACACAGAAGCTAAGGTTTCAGATGATTTTATGTTAAAGAAAAGGGGGATGTCAAAAAGTTGCCGATATTCCAGAGGGTCCAAACAACTGAGAATGGCAGTAGGGTCATTGGATTCACCAATTTGGTTTGGATGTTTTTGCTTCCAATGGCTTTAGTGGAGGGGAATTTGTGACTCATGGAGTTTCTTCCATCACCTCATAGAACTACCTTCACTTAGCTGGGATTTTATATTTCACTCCTAAGCATATATTAAAGAATCTTAGAAGAATGAGCTTTACAAAACCTGCTGATGAATTTACTCTGGAAGCATTGCTAAAGTTATTGACCATTCTCTTTATGAAAGGCAACATGAGAATTGTAGAGTAAGTATACAAAAAAAGTTAGCTTACCACCAGGAACTCACATACTTTCTCCCGACTCTGGGATATTACTGAGAGATTTTATTTTCTGTGTTCCTGTAACTTTATTTAATTTTTCTATAATGGTAAAGTACGGATAATAAAAAGTCATACATGCTAATGTTGTTGGTAGTGTTACAGGAGTCATTCAAGCAAAGCACTTGCTAGTGCTTGGCTCATGGTTAAGTAATTCATAAGTATTGATAATCATTTGTATTTATAAGCACAATTACTTTATATTTTCTTATATATGTTCAGAAATTCCCTGTAGAACAAAGAAGTGTATGAAGAAAATACTTTTTGTTCCTGACATAAGAGTTTTGATATCCATAGGCAAGATATGGAGAGATTCATTTTACACAATTATTCCATACCACGTTATTGACATCTCTAAGACCTGCTGCACCAATGTAGGATGAAGCAGTGTTACTTCCATGATTATATAAATGCTAAGTTCAAATTTACAATAGGACTTTGGCTTTGAGCTCTGTTTTGTGTATAGCAAAGTTCTCAAAGATATCTTAGTATATCATGAACTCTAAATATTTTCCCCTTCCTAGGTGACAGAGTTTGCTTTGATCCATCTCATCTTTCAGCTTATCTACTTTGTGACCAGTGGCATGTGAGATTACACAGCAGAGTCTCCATGAAAGAAGTTCATTAAATGATAGTGACCTCATGTAATTCATTGACAACAAAGATATATTTGTTCCAGTTTCTCACACATGGTTTTGCCCAGGATTAGATTTTCACATAAGTGATTCACTTTATTGACAATGTAACTGGCAAAGAATTTCTGGTTCCCATGATACTTGAGTTATGCAACTTTTAAGTGGCCAAACATAAACTTTCTCCCTGGGATCTTCTTTTGTCTAATCTAGCTTTCTTTGAGTTTTACTTTACATTTTTGCTATGGAGAAATCTTTTTAAAAATTGTGCCAAAAAATATAACATGAGATCTACCTTCTTAAAGTTTTTAGTTAGTAGTTCAATATTGTTAACTGTAAGTCCAATCTTGTACAGCTGATCTCTAGTACTTTTTTATTTTGCATAACTGAAACTTTACACATATTGAACAGCAACTTACCATTCTCCACCCTCCTCCAAAGCCTTGGAAATCATCATTCTACTTTCTGCTTCCATGAGTTTGCTACTTTAGATATCTTATATAAGTAGAGTCATGTAGCATGTGATTTGCTTCACTTAGCATAATGTCCTCAAATTTCGTTTATGTTGCTACATATGACAGGATTTTCTTCATTCTTCATTTTAAAGGCTGAATTATATTCCATTGGCTCTATATACCACATTTTCATTATTCATTCATCCACTGATGGACATTTACCAGCCCTCACATCTTAGGTGCTGTAAATAATGCTGCATTGAACATACAAGTACAAATACCTTTTCCAGATTCCAATTTTAATTCTTTTGGATAAATACCCAGAAGTGGGATTGCTGGATCATATGGTAGTTCTAGTTTAAATTATTTTGAGAAATTTCAGATTTTTTTCCATAGTGCTGCATTATTTTACATTTCTAACAACCGTGCACAGGGTTCTAATTTCTCCGCATTTTTTCCAACACTCATTATTCATTTGATTGGACAATGGCCTTCCTAACAGGTGTGAGGTGATATCTTATTGTGGTTTTGATTTGCATTTTTCTCATAATTAGTGATGCTAAACATCTTTTAGCATACCCATTAGCCATTTGTATTTCTTTGGAGAAGTGTCTATGAAAGTCTTTTGCCTATTTTAAAAATGGATTCTTATTATTTTTTTGCTGAGGTATAGGAGTTCTTTATACACTATGTAGTTTAACTTCTTATTGGATATGTGACTAGTAAATATTTTCTGTTTCAGAGATTGCCTTTTCACTTGTGATTGTTTCTTTTACTGTGTAGATTTTTAGTTTGATATAATTTCACTTGTCTATTTTTGCTTTTGCCACCTAAGCTTTTGGTGTCATATACAAAAAAATCATTGTGAAGATCTATGCCATAAAGCTTTTCCACTATATTTTCTTCTAATAATTTTAACGATAGTTTTAGGTCATACATTTAAGTCTTTAATCAATTTTGATTTGAATTTGTGTATGACATAAGGGTGCAATTTCATTCTTTTCCATGTGGATATCAATTTTCCCAATACTTCTTACCGAAGAGACTATCCTTTCCCACGTGCATTCTTGACACACTTGTGGAAGATCAGCTCACTGTATATGGGTAGGTTAATTTCTGGGATGTTTGTTCTATTCCATTGACCTATAAGTCTGTTGTTATGCTGGTACCATACTATTTTGATTACTATAGCTTTGTAATATATTTTGAAATCAGGCAGTGTGATGCCTCTACCTTTGTACTTCTTTTTAAAGGCTGCTTTAGCTAGTTGAAGTCCTTTCTATTTCCATATAAATTTTAGGATTTTTAAAATGTTTCTATAAAAAATTCCACTGGAATTTTAGTAAGGATTACACTGAATCTGTAGATTTCTCTGGGTAATATGGTCATTTTGACAATATTAAATCTTCCAGTGGTGAGCATAGGTGTTTTTCTATTTATCTGTGCCTTTAATTTCTTTCAGCAATGTGTTGTGGCTTTTAGTGTACAAGTCTTTCATTTCCTTTGTTAAGTTCTAAGTATGCAAATATCCTTAACAAGATACCAGCAAACCAAATTGAGCAGCATATTAAAAGGCTCATACGCCATGACTAAGTGGTATTTATACTTTGAATGCAAAGATAATTCATGTGAAAATCAGTCAATGTGATAAACCACATTAACAGAGTGAGGGATAAAATCATGTTATTGTCTCAAATGCAGAAAAATCATTTGACAAAATTTGACACCCTTTTATAATGAAAAGACTTAACATACTAAGAATGGAAGGAAGTTGCTTCAACTTCTTAAAGGTCTTACATGAAAAGCCCATAGCTGTCATCATACTCTATGATGAAAACCTGGAAGCTTATTCTCTAAGATCAGGAACAAGCCAACGATGCTCATTTTCACCACTTGAATTCAATGTAGTATCAGAAGTCTTAGTCAGAGCAAATAGGGAAAAATAAATAAGTAAATGCCATCTAAATTGATAAAAGAAGTAAAATTTTAAATTGATAAAAGAAGTAAAAAAGATTATGTCATCATGCAGATGACATAATCTTATATGTAAAAAACTGTAAAGCATCCACCGAAACTGTTAGAACTACTAATAAATTCAGTAAAATTACAGGGTATAAAATCAACATACAAATATCAGTTCTGTTTCTGTACACTAGCAATGAACAATCCAGAAGTCAAATTAAAAACAATCCCACTTCCAACAGTGTCAAATAACTGTAAATAAATCTTGAAGCAAAAATAAATAGATTCATTAATTCAATAGGAATAAAAGGACTCAACTCCCAAAAAGATTATATTTATTCTACAGCATGGGAAACACGTCCTTTTTAAAATGTATTTTTGCCCTAAGCAGTTATAGCTCAGTGAAATAGCTTCTATGATGGAGGCAAAATGCTACTGGAGGATAGAGGAGGACATCTGGTCCAGAGGGGGACATCTGTGCTGTGGGTGAGGTTCAGGCCCCTGAGTATATATCTGAACAGTGTGTTAATGGAGTTGTGGGGATCAACTGGATGAAGATAGAAGGGAATAATATGGCTGACAAAGACAATAAACCCAGTAAGAAAAGAGACCTTCTTTATAACATAAAAAGTTCGGTATGCCAGAGAAGCTTTTTGTGTGTGTGCGAGAGAGGAGAGAGAGCTATAGCTTTGGAGGGAGGGAGGGCTAGATAATAAAGGACTATGTGTACTTGTACAAGTTCATAGTGTCTCTGAAGATAAAGGTGGTTCATTTAGTAACTTTAGACCAAGGAGATTTACTTTTAACAAAAATCCAACTTGTCAGAAACAAACGATGCTTTTAAAGATGTGGGTTTGAGTCTCGTGACAGAAATGTAAGTTAGGAAGCTATCGATAGAAAACAAAGAAAAGATGTAAAACATTTAGTTTAGATGCTTAAACTAAAAAAGAGGTAGCAGAGGTGGAAATGAGGGGGTAGCTTCCAAAAAAACAGATAAGACTCGGTGACCAATCAGATTGGCCTGATAAAAAGAGGGAGAATTTTAAGATTAACTGCAGGTTTGTGGTTAGGAAGTGTTGGTAGACAGTAATGCCATACATTGGGTCCTGCTTGTTTACCTCAGTCATCAGCAGAAGTGTAAGATTCCATGGTCGACTATTAGTATCTCCACATTTATACATATCCTAATGTAACCCTATTCTTCAGTCCTTGTCATTTCAAATCCTTGTGCTGTGGCTCTAGAAATTATATTCTGTGAACAGGTAATTTCCCATATCTTAAATTGCTTGATCTTTTCACCTTAACTAAATTTGGCTGTTCTCTGAAGTCACTGCTTCCCTTTCAGAAATCAAGTGAATTATTATTATTTTTCTTATGAATTTCATTTTGGGGGGCTAGGGCACTGAATGGCTATTCTTCTTCCGTCAAGTCTCTTGTCATCCTTCATCATCATGTCCAGGCCAATGTTGTTCAACCCTAATTAAGAAATCTTCTCTCACACATTGAGAGGTCATGTTATCCAGACATATCCTCAAGTCCACCTTTTCATCATTGCCATTCTATGACTGGACATTTATTCATCCATTGAGGACTTTGGACACTAGTTCCCTGTCTCCTCCTCCAACCCATTTCCTGTCAACATCTACAATGATGCCTATTCTACCTTTGTTCTTCCAGTTTCTTAACCACAACTCCAATGTGTTTTTCTTCTGTATTATATGAGCCACCAATTCTTATGGGTATTTTACAAATTAAAAAAAAAACCAAAATCACAAATGCACACTCCTTTCCTGTCCAACACTGAGTTCCGACTCTTACAGCTCATGCTCCAGTAGTTACTCAACGTCATGTTGACCTACAATTTATTGATTCCATATCCTTTTTTTCCACTACAGTCTCCTTTATCTTTTCACTTTTTCTGTGTACTGCTCAGTATGTTGATCTATAATTGTAATCTTTCCCCTGAAAATTCACTTCCCCTCAATCAACTCCCCTCTCCCTATCCCCTGATGGTCATACTTGCCTTGCAAAACCCCAATCCTAGATGAACTCAGTCATATAGATTCTTTATGCCTGCACTCATGTAGCTGAACACAGTGAGAAAAAAAATACATGCAGTGGGGCTCACTGGTTTAATATCAAGTTTCTGATATCAGCACTGCCATATAATCCAACATTCTGCTGCTTATAAACTAAATTTTCTCATTTTCTAAGCCAAGAGTTGCAGACATTATAATCTCTCCTTAACCTACCTCCTTTTTTGTCTTTTGTACTGCCATACCCAAAACTTACGGTCTTAACTCAAGCACTAATGAAAAAATAATAGGCCCACACACAAAATGTTTTTTGTTTTCCTACACATCTTTGAGATTACTCATATTTGCATTTATCTTTACTTTTTAAAATCTCCTAATACAACTGAGGATGTGACCTTCTTCCTTTCAAAGGCCAGTCTCTTGATATGTGTTCTGCAACTCATCTGCCCTCAAGGCCTTTTGTTTCCCCAATTCTCCCCTTTTTTTCTTGTATCAATATGACATGCCATAACCAATTATTCTCACCAGCATGCAAAAACACTGTAAAATTTCCCATGCTCAAACAAAAGAAATATCTACAAACACACATCTTAACCTCACATCAGCATGCATTGATGGCTGCTTTTTTAGTGTCATTTTTCATAGCATAATTTTTCAACAGAATTGTTCATATGTATAATCTCACTTCCCCACCCACCATAGTTTGGGCCCTACTCAGTGATTCCACAGAAAACTGTCCTGGTTAAGGTCACAAACAACTTTTATATTTTTATATTATGTGGTCTTTGATAATCCCATTGTTTTTGGCCTCTTCGTAACATTGGGCCTTGCTAACAATTCCTCCCTCGAAACTGTCCCCTTTTGTCTTCTCTGACTACCACCTGCCTCTCATACTTCTTGCTTCTTCTCAGTTTCTATTGCAGTTGTAGCCTCTTATATCAGACCTGTAATTGTTAGGCCTCATTCTCTTTGCTTTCTACACTCTCTCCCAAGAATACTTCTTTTCATTGGATTTTAAATGTTACCTATGTGATGGTGACTTCCAAATTTGTACTTCCAGCCCAAGTGTCCCTGTGTTAGTTTCCTAGGGCTGCCAAAACAAATGATCATAAACTTGATGGCTTAAGACATCAGAAATGGATTCTCTCACAGTCTGAAGGTCAGAGTCCTAAATCAAGACTTTGGCAGAGCAATCCTCCCTCTGCAGGCTCTAAGGGAGATTCCTTTCTTGCCTCTCTGGTTTCTGGTGGCTCCAGGCATTCCTTAGCTCGTGGCTGCATGGCTCCAATCTCTGCCTCCATTTTCACATGATCTTCTCCTTTTTCTCTTTGGAACATATTTGTTGTTGAATTTACAGTCCACCCAGATAAGTCAGAATGATCTCATCTGGAGATTGTTAACTTAATTACATATGCAAAGACACTTGTTTCAAATGCTTTCAAATTTATAGGTTTCAGAGGCTATGATGTGAATATATCTCTTTCTGGGGCCATCATTTGACAAACTACAGTGTCTTTTTAGTTCTGGATTTGTACATGTGACTTGTTTTTTATGCTGCGTGTTCTCCGAGCATCTCAAATTTGCCTGCTTCAAAATATAAATTTGATTTTTCAG
This sequence comes from Homo sapiens, assembly GCF_000001405.40. Lineage (NCBI taxonomy): Eukaryota > Metazoa > Chordata > Mammalia > Primates > Hominidae > Homo > Homo sapiens. The sequence goes on from NC_000018.10 coordinate 60,328,783, forward strand.
CTGCCCTTCCATATATGTCTCCATTATCTTCTGTATTGCTCAAGCCAGCAACTTGAAAATTATCACTTATTTCTTCTTTCTGATTCTTCCCATCTAGTCCATGAACAAGGGCTCTTATTTCTTCCTAAAAAAATACCTCAAATCAGTCCTCTACTCTCCATTTCTACCATCTTCTCTCCTTGTGTTTTGTCTTGATAACAGCAATAACCTTTTACTACTTATCTACACTTACACTTCTGCTCCGCAGCAATCTGTTTTTCCCATCCAGCTAGAAAAATCTTTTAAAAACATAAATGCCATGCTTAAACACTCCAGTAGCTTCTTATTGCACTTTAAATAAAATACAAAATCTTTTGGCATAGCTTATGATCCAGCCCCAACACTGCCATCAAAATTATCTTATGCCACACTCTCCAGCATTCATTACACAGTGGTTTCCTTTTAAATTCTAGGACATGCCAAGCTGTTTCAACCTCTGTGCCTGAGAACCTGCTGTTTCTTCTTATCTGCACATTTCCCTACTTGTCATATGGCTGGCTCCTTGTCATCACTCAGATCTCACAGTAAGTTCCACCTCTTCAGAAAGGCTGCTGCTTAAAATCCTTTCTCCACCAGTGCTTCCTTCACTTCTGCTGTGATTTTCTATTGCTGAAACTTGTATAGCACTGATTAGAATCTAAAATTTATATTCTTATTTTTAGAGCTTGATTTTTGTTTGTCTCTCTCTCTCTCTCTCTCTCTCTAGGAGGTAAGCACCGTAAAGAGAGCTAGTGCTTGTTCCATTTACCAATGTGTATTCGGAAACTTGTAGAGTTCATGGCAGGTAGTAGATGGTCAGCAAATACATAACAAATAAATACGGTGAGAAACATAGTTGTTGAAGGAGTTCACCTGAGTAGGAAGCAAATAAATTCAGTTTTAGATATGTATAAGATGCTTTTAGTAAATAAGGGAGTGTCTGTGTAGTAGTAGTTAGTTATATGTGGGAATAGAATTCTGGAATTTGACTCTAGGGTAATATGTCAGCCAATTCCATAAGGGTGAAAGTAAAGTCAAAATAGTGAAGGAAATCACACCTAGTGAAATGTTGTAGACATGAGGACCCAAGGCAGAGTTCTCAAGTACAAAAGAAATTCAAACACTGGCAGAAGGAAAGAAGCCTTTGAAAAAAATCCTAAAAGCTAACCGGAATCACAGGAGAAACTATAGATAATTGGGGCAGGAAGTCGATGAAAAAAAATTTCCAGGAAAAGGGAATATTTATGGAGCATCTTCTAGGTGAAGTTAGTGTTCCAGGCACTGTGCATACAACAGGAAAGAAAGACCACTAGAGAACATTTTCCAACTTTTTAACAATTTTAAACATAATTATATAGGTATTATAATTTGAATGAAAAAAAAGTTGTCAAACAATGACATCGTTCTATTTTTTTATTATGGTAAAAATGACATGTCATAACCTTTACAATTCAGTGGCTTTTTGTACATTCACAGTGTTCTGCACAATCAAGGCTACCAAATTTCAGAACATTTTCAATTGCCCCCAAAAGAAATCCCATACCCATTAGCAGTCACCATGCATACCTCAGTCCATGGCAACTACGGATCAACTTTCTATCTCTATGGATTTATCTTTCATGGATATTTTGTATAAATGGAATCATACAGTAAGGATGTGGTCTTTTGTGTCTGGCTTCTTTCACTTAATGTCTTCAAGGTTCATTCATGTTGCAGCTTATATCAGCACTTCCGTCCTTTTGATGGCTAAACTATAAAGATACATGTAAAATGGATTATTAGTATGAAATAATGGAATATACGCACATACCCACACACACATACACTTTTCATTTATGTATTCATCAATTGAAAGACATTTTAATTGTTTCTACTTTGAGGCTATTGTGAATAATGATGTCATGTAAGTTTTTGTTCAGATTCCTGTTTGCAGTTCCCATGGGCCTATATCTAGAAGTCAGATTGCTGGGTTATTGACAATTCTATCTTTAACTTATTGAGGAAACACCAAATTGTTTTCAACAGCAGTTGTTCATTTTACATTCCCACAAGCAATATATGAGATTTCCAAATTCTCCATATCCTTATGAATACTTGTGTTATTTTTTTCCTTTTATTGATTGTAGCCATCCTAGTGGGTATGAAGTGGTATCTCCTTGTTGTTTTGATTTTTTTCTAATGATTGATGATGTTGAGCACCTTTTCATATGCTTGTTGGCAATTTGTCTATCTTCTCTGGAGAAATGTCTATGTAACTCCTTTGTCCATTTTCAATTGTATTATTTGTCTTATTGAGTTATGAGTTCTTTATATATTTTAGATACTAGATGCTTATCACTTATGGGATATATGATTTAAAAATATTTTCCCGCATCTTATAGCCTGTCTTTTCATAGTTGATAGTGTCCTTTATGCACAAAAGCTTTTACTTTTGATAAAGTCAAATTTATCTATTTTTCCTTCTGTTGCTTGTGGTTTTGGTGCCATATGTAAGAATCAATGTGACACACTCTCACTGGAGAAGCTGAAGTTCTGTTTGTGGGAGAAATTTCTGACTTTACCTGGAGCTGAGTCAAGTTAGAGAGCTGAGTGAAATACAGGGGTAGAGGAAGCAGCAGAAAGGCCTTGGGAGCTCCCTGCATCCCCAAGCAGTCCATTCCTGCCTAGCACCACAGGGATCCATCAGGAGGATGGCCAGAGGAGCAGTGGGTAAAACTCCACAGGGAGATGGAATTCTCTGGCTGAACTTTGTAACAATTTGAATGGGATGAGAAGCCTCCTGGCCAGAACTCAGGGGAGGGCGCAGATCAGGCATGCAGACTTCACAAGTCAGGGAAGAAATAAAGCTCTTTTCTCTCAGAGCTGGAAGGCAGATAGCCTCAGGCAAGTTTTCAAGCCCATCTTGCCCACTGCCTAGAAAGAGACTCAGGGCTACTGCGGGCACAGTGGGAATGAGACCGGCCCTTCTGTTTGCGTGGGAGCTGGGTAAGGCCTATGACTGCTGGCTTTCCCCCAATTCCCTGATGACCTGCATGTCTCAGCAGAGGCAACCATAACCCTCCTTGGTACACAACTCCAGTGACCTGGGAATCTCATCCCCATCCTCCACAGCAGCTGCAGTACGACCCACCCAAGGAGAATCTGAGCTCAGACATGCCTAGCCCCGCCCCCACCTAATGGTCCTTCAGTATTCACCCTGGTAGAGGAAGAAAAAGGCCATATAATCTTGAGAGTTCTAGGGCCCCACCCACCGCTGGTCCCTCTCCACACTGTGCAGCTGATGCTTCCTGGAAAGTGCCACCTCCTGGCAGGAGGCCAACCAGCACAAAAACAGAGCATTAAACCACCAAAGCTAAAACACAAGACTCCTCATGGAGTCCACTTCACCCCCCTGCCACGTCCAGGCACTGGTATCAATGGCTGAGAGACCCATAGACGGTTCACATCACGGGACTCTGTGCAGACAACCCCCAGTACCAGCCTGGAATCAGGTAAACTTGCTGGGTGGCTAGACCCAGAAGAGAGACAACCATCACGGCAGCTTGGCTCACGGGAAGCCACATCCATAGGAAATGGGGAGAGTACTACATCAAAGGAACACCCTCTGGGACAAAAGAAACTGAACAACAGCCTTCAGCCCTAGACCTTCCCTCTAACAGAACCTACCCAAATGAGAAGGAACCAGAAAACCAACCCTGGTAATGTGAATAAAACAATGTTCTGTAACACCCTCCCCAAATCACACAGGTTCACCAGCAATGGATCCAAACCAAGAATAAATCCCTGATTTACCTGAAAAATAATTCAGAGGGTTAGTTATTAAGCTAACCAGGGAGGGACCAGAGAAATGCGAAGCCCAAGGAAATCCAAAAAATGATACAAGAAGTGAAGGGAGAAGTATTTATGGAAATAGACACCTCAAAGAAAAAACAATAAATTCAGGAAACTTTGGACACACTTTTAGAAATGTGAAATGCTCTGGAAAGTCTCAGCAATAGAATTGAACAGTAGAAGAAAGAAATTCAGAGCTCAAAGACAGGGTCTTCGAAGTAACCCAATCCAACAAAGACAAATTAAAAAAAAAAAGAAAATATGAACAAAGCCTCCAAGAAGTCTGGGATTCTGTTAAATGACCAAACCTAAGAATAATCGGTGTACCTGAGGAAGAAGAGAATTCTAAAAGCCTGGAAAACATATTTGGGGAAATAAGGAAAACTTCCCCAGCCTTGCAAGAGACATAGACATGCAAATACAAGCAGCACAAAGAACATCTGGGAAATTCATCACAAAAAGATCTTCACCTAGGCACATTGTCATCAGGTGTTCCAAAGTTAAGACGAAGGAAACAATCTTAAGAGCTATGAGACAGAAGCACCAGGTAACCTATAAAGGAGAATCTATCAGATTAACAGCAGATTTCTCAGCAGAAATCCTACAAGCTAGAAGGGATTGGGGACCAATCTTCAGCCTCCTCAAACAAAAGAATTATCACTAACAATTTTGTATCCAGCGAAACTAAGCATCATATATGAAGGAAAGATACAGTCATTTTCGGACAAACAAATGCTGAGAGAATTCACCATTACCAAACCACCACTACAAGAATGGCTAAAAGGAGCTCTAAATCTTGAAACAAATCCTGGGAACACATCAAAACAGAACCTCTTTAAAGCATAAATCACATAGGACCTGTAAAACAAAAATACAAGTTAAAAGCAAAAACAAAAAACAAAACCCAAAGCACACAGGCAACAAAGAGCATGATGAAAGCAACGATACCTCACATTTCAATACTAACATGGAATGTAAATGGCCTAAATGCTTCACTTAAAAGGTACAGAACTGCAGAATGGATACAAACTCACCAACCAACTATCAGCTGCCTTCAGGAGACTCACCTAACACACAAGGACTCACATAAACTTAAAGGGGGGGGAGAAAGGCATTTCATACAAATGGACACCAAAAGTGAGCAGGGGTGCCTATTCTTATATCAGACAAAATAAACTTTAAAGCAACAGCAGTTAAAAGAGACAAAGAGGGAAAGTATATAATGGTAAAAGGCCTTGCCCAACAGGCCAATAGCACAATCCTAAACATATGTGCACCTAACACTGAAGTTCCCAAATTTATAAGACAACTACTAATAGACTTAAGAAATAAGATAGCAACAAAATAATAGTGGGAAACTTCAATACTCCACTAACAGCACTAGACAGGTCATAAAGACAAAAAATCAACAAAGAAACAATGCATTTAAACTATACCTGGGAACAAATGGACTTAACAGATTTATACAGAACATTTCATCCAGCAACCACAGAATACACATTCTATTCAACAGCACATGAAACTTTCTCCAAGACAGACCACATGATATGCCACAAAGCAAGCCTCAACAAATTTAAGAAAATTGAAATTATATCACTCTCTCGGACCACAGGGGAATAAAACTGGAAATCAACTCCAAAAGAAACCTTCAAAACCATGCAAACACATGGAAATTAAATAAGCTGCTCTTGAATGAGCATTAGGTCAAAAAGGGAATCAAGATGGAAATTAAAAAATTCTTTGACCTGAATGACAATAATGACTCACCTTTCAGTATCTCTGGGGTATAGCAAAGGCAGTGCTAAGAGGAAAGTTCATAGCCCTAAAAGCCTACATCAAAAAGTCTGAAAGAGCACAAACAGACAACCTAAGGTCACACCTTAAGGAACTAGAGAAACAAGAACAAACCAAACCCAAACCCAGCAGAAGAAATAACCAAGATCAGAGCAGAACTAAATGAAATTGAAACACATAAAAAATACACGAGATAAATGAAACAAAAAGCTGGTTCTTCAAAAAGATAAATAAAATTGATAGACCATTAACAAGATTAGCCAAGAAAAGAAGAGAGAAAATCCAGATAACCTCACTGAGAAATGAAACAGGAGATATTACAACTGACACCATTGAAATACAAAAGATCGTTCAAGACTACCATGATCATCTTTAACACATAAACTAGAAACTCTAGAAGAGATGGATAAATTTCTGGAAAAAATAAAACCCTCCTAGCTTAAATCAGGGAGAATTAGATACTCTATACAGACCAATAACAAGCAGTGAGATTGAAATGGTAATTAAAAAATTGCCAACAAAAAAAAAGCCCAGGAGCAGATGGATTCACAGTAGAATTCTACCAGACATGCAAAGAAGAATTGGTACCAATCCTTTTGATGCTATTCCACAAAATAGAGAAAGAAGACACCCTCCCTAATTCATTCTATGAAGCCAGCATCACTCTAATACCAAAACCAGGAAAGGACACAATCAAAAAAGAAAACTACAGACTGATATCCTTGATGAACAAAGATGCTAAAATCCTTAACAAAATACTAATTAACAGAATCCAACAGCATATCAAAAAGATAATCCACCATGATCAAATGGGTTTCATACCAGGGATGCAGGGATGGTTTAACATACACAAGTTAATAAATGTGATACACCTCATAAACAGAATTAAAAATGAAATAATCATCTCAATAGATGCAGAAAAAGCATTCAACAAAATCCAGCATCCTTTATGATTAAAACCCTCAGCAAAATCGGCATGCAAGGGACATGCCTTAATGTAATAAAAGCCATCTATGACAAACCCGCAGCCAACATAATACTGAATGGGGAAAAGTTGAAAGCATTCCCTCTGAGAACAGGAACAAGATAAGGATAGCCACTCTCACCACTCCTCTTCAACGTAGCACTGGGTCCTAGCCAGAGCAATCAGATGAGAAAGAAAGAAAAGGCATCCAAATCGGTAAAGAGGAAGTCAAACTGTCACTGTTTGCTGAGGATATGATCGTTTACCTTGAAAACCCTAAGGACTCCTCTAGAAAGCTCCCAGAACTGATAAAAGAATTCAGCAAATTTCCAGATACAAGATTAATATACACAAATCAGTAGCTCTTCTATACACCAACAGCAACCAAGGAGAGAATCAAATCAAGAACTCAACCCCTTTTACAATAGCTGCAAAAAATAAAAATAAAATACTTAGGAATATACCTAACAAAGGAGTCAAAAGACCTCTGCAAGAAAAATACAAAACGCTGCTGAAAGAAATTATAGATGACACAAATGGAAACACATCCCATGCTCATGGATGGGTAGAATCAATATTGTGAAAATGATCATACTGCCAAAAGCAATCTACAAATTCAACACAATCCGCATCTGAATACCACCATCATTCTTCACAGAATTAGAAAATACTAAAATTCATAGGGAGCCAAAAAAGAGCCCGCATGGCCAAAGCAAGACTAAGCAAAAAGAACAAATCTGGGGGCATCACACTACCTGATTTCACACTACCTGTAAGGCTAACCTGGATACTTACAGCCAACTGATCTTTGACAAAGCAAACAAAAACAAAGTGGGGAAAGGACACCCTTTTCAACAAATGGTGCTGGGATAATTGGCTAGCCACATGTAGGAGAATGAAACTGGATCCTCATCTCTCACCTTATACAGAAATCAACTCAAGATGGATTAAGGACTTAAACCTATGACCTGAAGCTATAAAAATTATAGAAGATAACATTGGAAAAACTCTTCTAGACGTTGGCTTAGGCAAGGATTTCATGACCAAGAACCCCAAAGCAAATGCAATAAAAGCAAAGATAAATAGATGGGGCCTAATTAAACTAAAGAGCTTTAGCATGACAAAAGGAACAGTCAGCAGAGTAAACAGACAGCACAGAGTGGGAGAAAATCTTCACAATCTATACAACTGACAAAGGACTAATATCAAGAATCTACAACAAATGCAAATCAGTAAGAAAAAAACAATCCCATCAAAAAGTGGACGAAGGACATAAACAGACAATTCTCAAAAAAGATATACATACACAAATGTCCAACAAACATATGAAAAAATGCTGAACATCACTAATGATCAGGGAAATGCAAATCAAAACCACAATGTGATACCGCCTTACTCCTGCAAGAATAGCCATGATCAAAACATCAAAAAACAGTAGATTTTGGCGTGGATGCGGTGAACAGGGAACACTTCTACACTGCTGGTGGGAACATAAACTAGTACAGCCACTATGGAAAACTGTGGAGATTCCTTAAAGAACTAAAAGTAGAACTACCATTCGATCCAGCAATCCCACTATCGGGTATCTACCCAGAGGAAAAGAAGTCATTATCCAAAAAAGATACCTGCACATGCATGTTTATAGCAGCACAATTCACAATTGCAAAATCGTGGAACCAACCCAAATGCCCATCAATCAACGAGTGGATAAAGAAACTGTGGTGTGTGTGTATGTATGTGTGTGTGTGTGTGTGTGTGTGTGTGTGTGTGTGTGTGTATATATATATATATATATATATGATGGAATACAATGCAGCCATAAAAAGGAATAAACAGCATTTGCAGTGACCTGGATGAGATTGGAGACTATAATTCTCCTGAGTGATGTAACTCAGAAATGGAAAACCAAACATCATATGTTCTCACTGATATCATATTTTTGTAGAGATGGAGCTAAGCTGTGAGGACGCAAAGGCATAAGAATGATACAATGGACTTTGGGGACTTGGGGGGAAGAATGGGAGGGGGCGAGGGATAAAAGGCTACAAATATGGTGCAGTGTATACTGCTCAGGTGATGGGTGCACCAAAATCTCACTAATCACCACTAAAGAACTTACTTATACAATATATGTCATCTGTACCCCAGTAATTTATGGAAAAAAAATAAAAACTTAGGACAATAATATTCCTCCCAAAATGCCAGATATAAAGTTATTAAGATTTAGTCCTGTGCTTTCTTCTAAGAGTTTTATAGTTTTGTCTCTTACATCGAGGTCATTGTTCCATTTTGACTAAATTTTATTGTGTGAGGTGGCTATCTTCATTCTTTTGCATATGGATATGATCTAGTACCATTTGTTATAAATGATACTATTCTATCCTCATTAAATAATCTTGCCATCCTTGTTGAAAATCAGTTTACCACAGAAGTGTAGGTTTGTTTCTGGACTCAGTTTTATTACATTGATCTATACTGCATGTCTATGCTTATGTCAGTATCATGCTGTTTTGATTACTGTAACTCTGTAGTAAAATTTGATATTGAGAAGTGTGATTCCTCTAACTTTATTCTTATTTTCAAGACTGTTTTGGCTATTTGGGGCTTTAGCAATTCCATATAAATTTTATTATTATTTTAGAGGCAGGGTCTTGCTCTGTCACCCAGGTGGGAGTGCAGCGGCATAATCATAGCTCACTGTAGCTTTGAATTACTGGGCTCAAGAGATCCTCCCACCTCAGCCTTCCAAGAAGCTAGGACTACAGGGGCATGCCACCACGCCTGGCTATTTTCTCAAATATTTTTGTAGAGATGGAGTCTCACTATGATGCCCAGCCTGGTCTTTAACTTTTGGCCTCAAGTGATCTTTCCGCCTTGGCCTCCCAAAGTGCTGGGATTACAGGTATGAGCCACCACACCTGGCCTCATATGAATTTTAGAATATACTTCTCCATTTATGCTAAAAAGGTAGTTGGAATTTTAACAGTGATTGCACTAAATCTAGAAATTCATCTGGGGAATATTGTCATCTTAACAATATTGATTCTTCTAATCCATGAACATAGGATTTTTTTTTTTTTTTACTTAAAGTTCTCTTTTATTTCTTTCAACAATGTTTTGTAGTTTTCAGTGCACAAATTTGCACCTCCTTGTTCCAATTTTTTTCTTAAGAGTTTCATTCTTTTGGATGCTACTGTAACTGGAATTGTTTTCTGAATTTCATTTTGAGATTGTTAACTGCAAGTGTACATAAATATAACTGATTTTTGCATGTTGATTTTATATCCCAAAACTTTGCTAAATTTATTAACTCAAATGTTTTAAGCATTTTGAGGGCATATTTTCCTATGTAAGATCATGTTGTCTGTGAGTAGAAATAGTTTTACTTCTTCCTTTCCAGTTTAGCTGCCCTTTAATTCTTCTACTAAGTTTGCTTTAGGTATAACTTTGAAGTGCAATGTTAAATAAAAGTGATGAGAACCAGCATCTTTCTTTATTCCTGATCTTAGGGAAAAAGCTTTCAGTCTTTCACCATTAAGTGTAACGTTAGCTGTTCATTTTATAGATGCCTTTTATCCAGTTCAGGAATTTGTCTTCTATTTCTAGTTTTTCAAGTGATTTTGTCATAAAAATGGTTGGATTTTGTCAAATGCTTTTTCTGTGTAAATTGAGATCACATGTTTCTTTCTTTTCATTCTATTCATATGCTATATTATATTGACTCCTACTTCCTCCTGGGGGACCTTCTGCTTCACCTGACACCTGATCTGCATCACCTCACACATCATGTTCTTTGTAGATAGAAGTAGGTGAGAAGGCTCTGCAGTGGCTAGTGGGTGGCTGATCCCTGCAGGCGAGCTCAGGTGCCTAGCAGCCTGGTGCTAGTGATTGCAGCCCCAGTCACTAAGGCCTCCCCAGCTGTTTTTCATTTTTAAATGTGCTTATTCTCTCTCAAATAATTGCTCTTGGAAATCCTCTCTCCAGTTCCAATCTCAGGCTTGGTCCCTCTTATTTTGCAACTCATCTTCTTTAGTGTTCAGGACGGTCTCTTTGGGAACATGATATTTGAGCTGAGACATATTAGGTGAGAAGGGCCAAGCAATAAGAAATTTTAGGAAAAGAGGGTTCCAGCAGTGGCCTTTTCTCTGAGAGCTTTGTTCTAAAGCTTGGAGAAGTGCTTTTCTCTTGGGCACCCTTCATATTATCTGTTTTCTGCAAACTAGACTTGAGGAACTTCCTTGAGTCAAGTTTTTTCAGAGAATAAAAATATTTTCAGTCCTCACTGATAATAAGTAGCTCTTAGTTATTAGACACATTAAAAAGAAATGATGGAGAGGGCAAAAAAGAGTAAGGAAATCATATTATTCAAAGAAATTGGGAGATTAATAAAGTGTAAGGGAAGGAGAGCCAGAGAGATGTACACAGTGAAGAAATGCCCATTGTGTTGAGATGAGCCCGTATTATGAGCAATGGTAGATTTGGGCTGACAATTTTCTCTCCCTCCTAAATGAGTGTCACAAAAATATTCTTAAAAATGACACTTGAGTCCTCTACAGATATGGAAAGAAACAGGCTAATTTACGATTTCTAATCCAACAATGTGTCAGTCTTTCTATTTGAAAAATGCAGTAAAGTAATGGCTTTTGCTGTGTGCCTGAAAACTTTTCTACTTTGCCAAGATAATTCTCTTTTTCATTCTTCCTTTCAGATGAAATCGGTGTCTTGAATCTGAGTTATTCTTATTCAGATTTTTAATGGAAAGACAAAAAAGAAGCATGAAAAAATCCCCAAACTATACAAACAGAGAAAAATGACCAAAAATGAAACATAGCTCATTAAAACCTCCATCTGTGTCAAGACAGAGCTTATTGAGAAAGTTGGCTTTTATTTCTCATGGCTTTCCAACCATTAATTTTTATCACCATATACTGCACTGTATTCCTTAAAATCTGTAGTTTATCCCATTCAAGGTCAGTAAAATAATTCAGGCAAACGAATGGTAAATTCAGGACTATAGGTTGAACTACAAACTTTTGGTTGAATGATCTAAGATAAAATAAAACTCGTTAATTTTTGACGATTTATAGAATCTTGGAATTTGAAGGTTATAAGCACCTTTAGTGTCTTCTAATTACTATTTCCTATTGGAAGTCTTATACTGTATCTGAAATGAAACAATTATCCTTGTTGGTTGTGACAAAACTGCTCTTCTGGTCACCCTTTTTTCTTCTCAATTCTCCCTGTAATTTTGACCATTAATTCTACTTAGAAAATATTCTCAGTACTCATTTTACACTTTAAATATACAAGTGTACCCCAGTTGATATCACTACCCTGTTCTGAGCATGAATGAAACTCCTGACAAAAAGGATAGCAAATAATGGTGACTCACAAATCACACTACAAAGGTAGAATTAACCAGTCTTTGTAAGTTACTAATTAAGAATATAATATTCTTAATTAGAATACCACAACTCCAGGTTTCTTAGAATAGACAAGTTGTAAAGTCATAAACAAGAACAATAAACTTGTGAAAGGGTTCAAAACATGTCCCCACACAATATGCCTCTCTGGCATACTGGTTATTTTGAGCTGAAGGGTCTTGTAAAGCAGCAGGTGCAGTTAAGGATCTCTTACATTGCCTATCTATCTAAAAGCAGGTCATAACATTCTTAATCAGAAAGGTGCCCTCCCTGTACCAGAAAGAAAATAACATTTTTATCTCAGGAGACCAGGATTCATGTTGAAATGGACTTGTACAAACAAACCTACTAAAATAACACTTATCTTTCATTAGTTTTACCCCTATATTTTCTAGTCACTGTACTGCCCCTAACCCAAGCCCATGTGTTCTGTCACATTTGCACAATTTATGCTTCTTTGTGTTAAAAAGGTATAAAGGCAAACTTTGTGTTATTGTGCTTTGTTACTGCACTTCATAGATCCTGTGTTTTGTTTACAAATTGCAGATTTTCAGCAACCCTGTGTCAAGCAAGTCTATGGCACCATTTTCCAATAGCATGCGTTCATTTAATGTCCCTGTGTCACCTTTTGGTAATTATTGAAATATTTTAACCTTCCATTATTATTATGTTGGTTGTTGATATGTGTGATCAATGCTCTTTGATGTTACCAATGTAATTCTTTTAGGGCCCACAAATTGGGCTCATATAAGACAAGAAACATTATCAATAAATGTTGTGTGTGTTCTGATTGCTCCACAGATTGGCTGCTCCCCAGCCTCTCTCCCTTTCCTCAGGCTTCCCTGTTCCCTGAGACAGAATAATATTGAAATTAGGTCAATGAACAATCCTACAATGGCTTTCTAAGTGTTCAACTGAAAGGAGGAGTCGCACATCTCTTGCTTTAAATCAAAAGCTAGAAATGATTAATACTAATGAGGAAGGCATGATGAAAGCTGAGATAGGCTGAAAGCTAGGTCTCTTGAGCCAGCTAGCCAAGTTGTGAAAGCAAATAAAAATTTCTTAAAAAAAAAAAAAAAAGTGCTACTCCAGTGAACACATGAATGATAAGAAGTGAAATAGCCTTAGTGCTGATATAAAGTTTTAGCAGTCTGGTTAGAAGCTTAAACCAGCCACAACATTCCCTTAAGACAAAGCCCAATCCAGAGAAAGTTCCTAACTCTCTTCAATTCTGTGAACGCTGACGGATGTAATGAAGCTACAAAAGAAAAGCATGAAAGTAGCAGAGCTTAGCTCATAAAGTTTAAGAAAATAAGCCATCTTCATAATATAAAAGTGTAAGGTGAAGTAGCAAGTGCTGATGTAAAAATTAACTGTAGCGAGTTATCCAGAAGCTCTAGCTAAGGTCATTGATGAAAGTGGCTATAGTAAACAATAGATTTTCAATGTAATTGAAACAGCCTTCTATTGAAAGAAGATGCCATTTGGGACTTCCGTAGCTAGAGAAGTCAATGCCTGGCTTCGAGTGACAGAATGGCTTTCTTATTAGGGCTAAATCATCTGGTGGCACTAAGTTGAAGCCAATGCTTGTTTACAATTCCAAAAATTCTAGGTCCCTTAAGAATGATGGTAAATCTACTCTGCTTGTGCTCTGTAAATGGAAGAACAAAGCCTGGATTACAGCACATCTGTCTATTGCATGGTTTACTAAATATTTTAAACCCACTATTGAGACCCACTACTCAGAAAAAATATTGCTTTCAAAATATTACTGTTCATTGACTAGGCGTCTAGTCGCCCAAGAGGTTTGATGGAGATGTACAAAGATATCAGCGTTGTTTTCATGCTTTCTAATTCAACATCCACAGATCAGGGAGTAATTCTGACTTTTAATTTTTACTATTTAAGAAATACGTTTTATAAGGCTAAAGCTGCCATAGCTAGTGATTCCTCTGATAGATCTGGGCAAAGTAAGTTGAAAACCTTATGGAAAGGATTCGCCATTCTAGATGCCATTAAAAACATTTGTCATTCGTGGGAGGAAATCAAAATATTAAAAATTAACAAAAGCTTGGAAGAAGTTTATTCCAGCTCTGATGGATGACTGTGAGGAGTTCAAGATTTTAGTACAGAATATAATGCAGATGTGGTAGAAATAGCTAGAGAACTAGAATTAGAAGTGGAGCTTAAATGTGATGCATTATTGTGAGATCGCTGCAATCTCACGATAGAACTTGATTGGATGAGGAGCTACTTTTTATGAATAAACAAAGAAAGTGGTTTCTTGAGACGGAAACTACTCCTGGTGAAGATGCTGTGAACATTGTTGAAATGACAAAAGATTTTGAATATTACGTAAACTTAGTTGATGAAGCAGCGGCAGGGTTTGAGAGGACTGATTTCAATTTTGAAAGAAGTTCTACTGTGGGTAAAATGGTACCAATGGCGTGGAATGCTACAGAGAAATTTTTGTGAAAGGAAAAGTTAGTCAACGCAGTGAACTTCACTAATGTCTTATTTTAAAGAAATTGCCACTGCCACCTCAACCTTCAGCAACCACCACCCTGATCAGTCAGCAGCCATCAATATCGAGGCAAGACCCTCCACCAGCAAAAAGATTACAACCCTTTGAAGGCTTGGATCGTTGTTAACATTTTTTAGCAATACAATATTTTTAATTAGGTATGAACAATTTTTAAACAATGCTATTGCACACTTTAATAGACTGCAGAGTTCAAACAAGACTTTTATATACAGCGAGAAACCAAATATGTATGTGACTGGCTTTATTGCAATATTTACTTTATTGCCATGGTCTGGAACCAAACCTGCAATATCTCTGAGGTCTGCCTGTATAAGTTTTGGGGTCTAATAGTTTCTTTGGGTCTTCCTTTTCCTTCTAAAGACTCTTGTGTATACATTAAAAATTGTATGCTTTTCTCCTGTTAATTTGTCTTATATCAGTTTCATTCTTAGGACCAGCCATAGAACCTGAGAGGATAGAGAAAAGTTTTTCCCTCCCATGCATGGTTCTGGTTTGAGAGCACTGGTTTCATGGAGTTGATGCCACTACTAAATACCTGAAAAAAGTTTGTTGCTACAATTTAGAAAAAACTCCAAACAAACGTAAATTAAATATCAATAGTAAGTGTTTGTGAATTGATCTCTTCTTTCACATATTAAAGGCACAAGAGATATTTGTTGAAGGCATAAATGAATCTCTGGTAAATATAACAAGTTTCCCTATTTTCTAAAAGCTGTCTTGTTGGAAACATAAATGCAATCGGTCACAAATTTCCTAAAGCAGATTATTCCTTCAACTCAATATTCTTCTTTAGTAGGATTTCATTTTTATTACTAAATGCATCTTTCTGTTAGAGCGGGTTATTGAAACAATATTGTCAATGCCAATAGTTGCTTTTACTTAAATTTACAATTCATAAAAGAAACTGACATTTTCTTTAGGTAGGGAGCATGTCTGTTGTCACTATTTTATGTGTCTAGTAATGCCAAGCTTGTTTTAAAAATATAACATTCCATTATTTACCCATCTATTTCATTTTTCTCTATCTTTAGTTCTCTAACTCTATTCATACATTTTAGTATGGCTTTGATTTACACAGCTTTCAAACTCCCTATATAAAAGAAAATGTCTTCCTACCGTTTTCACTTCTATGGGGCTTAAAGAGCACAACTCTGATTTTCAGGTAAAATCCTTTGGCTACTATTTTTTTCCCCATAGGATCTCACTGTTGGAGATTTCCATTTTAAATGTGGCTTTAATCACATTTAGGCATTGAATCTCAGGACTGCCTTTTGCAAACTCATCCAGTAGAAAATTTGCATATCAATACTTCTTATGAAAGCAAATGTGCTAAAAATGAAAAATGTATATAAATTTGAAAGATCTGCTTTGATCATTTGTTCACGGTAGCTGGCAGAATTCTTTGTTTTTGTTTTTGTTTTGAGACGAAGTCTTATTCTGTTGCCCAAGCTGGAGTGCAGTGGCGTGATCTCAGCTCCCTGCAACCTCTACCTCCCAGGTTCAAGTGATTCTCCTGCCTCAGCCTCCCGAGTAGCTGGGACTACAGGCATGCACCACCATGCCTGGCTAATTTTTTTTATTTTTAATAGAGATCGGGTTTCCACTATGTTGGCCAGGCTGGTCTTGAACTCCTGACCTCGTGATCCGCCTGCCTTCGCCTCCCAAAGTGCTAAGATTACAGGCATGAGCCACCATGCCCGGCCAGAATTCCTTATGTTTAAACTGAAGAACATTTATTTCTTTTCCTTTATAGCTATGGTAAATAAGAATGTGTGGGACTGTCTCATTTACAGTTAAAAACCTAGAAAACATCTTCCCTATTCATCTGGTAATATGGCTATTATTACTTATTCTACATTGTGAGGAAAAAAGAAAAAGAAGAGAAACATTGAAACAGTCCAAAGGGTTTAGGAGACAAAAAACTAAGGGTATAAAATAGAGGAGAACTTGCCAAGAGGAGGAGGAGGAGGGTATGTAATCTTCTAAGGGGACTGCCAGTTTATCAGTTATACATCCTGAAATTAAGATATAATATTCACATTGTAGTGCTTCAGCATTATGCAGATACACATTTTTTTGACTTAAAATTCAGAGACAAAAATAGTCCTATTTTTGTCACAAACATGCAGGTTTGTGAGAGGGGTATGCATTTGGCATTTAATATTCTTGTTGGCTTGATTTGACTTGGTATTTGAGCCCTATAGACAGTTCCTAATTGTTTATGCCAGTAGAGGGACTCAGTGATAGGGGTAATTTAAAAATCATTTGTTTTTATTTTTTAATGAGCATTTTTTTAAAGTAAAATGGGTAAGTCACCTTCTTCTAGAATTTGCTGTTCTTCAAGCAAAATATTTACCTCTATTGGCAAAACTCATTTTTGAAAAATTAATCCTCTCAACTTTAATCCTGTTTTCAGCTCAAATGTTGAAAATGCCAGGGTTGGACAGCATCATATTTCACTTATTTTGATTCCAAGCCATCACTAAGTAATGTTTATCTCCCTTTAAGCTCACTGTCTCTTTAATCCACATTTGTCTGACTGAGGGCGAGGAAAACTCACTGGTTTTGGCTGGCAAGGTTGTCCTTGTAGTAGTGGCAGTATATAATCTATGCCATGCCTGCCTCTCATGAATTTTCTTTACCTATCTGCTGCTTCTATAATATAGTAGCTAAAAACATCATTTTTTCTTATGAAAAATTTTGCACACATAATTCTAAGCACAAATAACCTCAAATAATACTCTTCTCTATAAAGAATATTTAATGTCTGCAGTTACTATTTCTTTAGCAAATGTGAGCTGAATGCCTGTGCCAGGTGCCATTTGACTTATGGGGATGCAGCAGTGGCTAGAACCTGGCCCTAGCTCACCCTGAGCCAGCACCTGGTGGGAAAGACAGGCAACACACACTCAGAACAAATAACTGGAACCTAATTAAACTAAAAAGCTTCTGTACAGCAATAAATAAGTAAATATATAAATCATTAGAATAAACAGACAATACACAGATTGGGAGAAAATATTTGCAAACTACGCATTCAACAAAGGACTCATATCCGGGATCTACAAAGAACTCAAACAAATCTGCAAGTAAAACACAAATCTCATCAAAAAATGGGCAAAAAACATAAATAGACATTTCTCAAGTTATACATATGGCCAAAAAATATGAAAAAATGCTCAACATTACTAAGTATCAGGGAAATGCAAATTACAACCTCAGTGAGATACCACTTTACCCCTGCAAAAAATGGCCATTATTGAAAAGTCAAAAAAACAATAGACAAATGAAGTGCTTATACACACCTGGTAGGAATATAAATTAGTACAAACTCTATGGAAAGCAGTATGGGGATTTCTTAAATAACTAAAAGTAGATCTACCATTTGATCCAGCAATCCTACGACTGGGTATCTACCCAAAGGAAAAGAGTTCATTGTATCCAAAAGACACCTGTACATGTTATTTATTGCAGCACAATTCACAATTGCAAAGATATGGAACCAACCTAAGTGCCCATGGACCAATAAGTGGGTAAAGAAAATGTGGCATATACACACTATGGAATAGTACTCAGCCATAAAAAAGAATGAAATAATGTTTTTTGCAGTAACTTGGGTAGAGCTGAAGAGCATTATTCTAAGTGAAGAAACTCATGAATAGAAAACCAAATACCATATGTTCTCACTTATAAGTGGGAGCTAAGCTATGTGTACGCAAAGGCATGCAGAGTGGTATAATCAACCTTGGAGATGCAGAAGGGGGATTGAGGGATAAAAAAGTGCATACTACTTAGGTGATGGGAGCACTAAATCTGACTTCACCAATGTACAATTCATCCATGTAACCAAGAACCACTTGTACCTCAAAAGGTATTAAAATAAATTAAACATTTTTGATATTATACTCATAATAAATGAGTCTTCGATATCAGGGTGAGAAATGATAGAGACAATTAAGCATGGGAAGGCAATGAGTGACTGGATGGGACAATCTTTTAGAAAAAAATGATGCTTTGGATACTTTGAATGCAATGAGCAATGAAACTCATGGATGTCTGGGCAAGATTATCACCATAAGAGGAAAGAGCATGTGAAAAGGCCTGAGGGGAGAGGAGGATCTTGTGTTAGGTAAATGGCAGAAAGAAGGTGGGGATGGAGCTCCTGGATCCCAGGAAATGAGGCATAGCATGAGCTGGGCCTAATCATGGAGAATCTGATAGGGGAATGGGAGGATCTGGATTTTATTCTAAGAGGGATGAACCATCATTTAGAGTTTTAAGAAAGGGAATGACACCATCTGATTGACGCATTACAGTTTACATTTTAAACTCTACTGGGAGACTTTAGAAGACTTGCTCAGTATCACACGGAAAATATATGACTCAGCTAGAGTTAACTATTGAATTCATTCAATGAAATGCGGTAGCGAAGTAAATTTAAAGATAAACTTATTCATTGAATTTCAGAACCTCAAGGTTGACTTGAGATTAGTCATCTGTTACTTGAGGTCATTCTTTTTTTTTTGTTTTGTTTTTTTAAGACCAGGTCTTGTTCTGTCATCCAGGTTGCTGAAGTGCAGTGATGAGATAATATATTACTGTGGCCTCAAACTCCTGAGCTCAAGTGATCTCCCACCTCAGCCTCCCAAGTAGCTGGGATGTGAGCCACCATGCCTGGCTTACTTGAGGTCATTTTCTATTATTTCTGCCAATTGCTTTTGTAACCTTTTCCTAAACGCAAGATGGGGAGTTTCACATCACCTTAGAGGGAATACAAAAACACTTTTGTCCTGTCCTGAATGTGAGATGATTCTTTTTTTTTTTTTTTTATACTTTAAGTTTTAGGGTACATGTGCACAACATGCAGGTTTGTTACGTATGTATACAAGTGCCATGTTGGTGTGCTGCACCCATTAACTCGTCATTTAGCATTAGGTATATCTCCTAATGCTATCCCTCCCCCCTCCACCCACCCCAGAACAGGTCCCAGTGTGTGATGTTCCCCTTCCTGTGTCCATGTGTTCTCACTGTTCAATTCCCACCTATGAGTGAGAACATGCAGTGTTTGATTTTTTGTCCTTGAGATAGTTTGCTGAGAATGACGCTTCTCAAAAGAAGACATTTATGCAGCCAAAAAACACATGAAAAAATGCTCATCATCACTGGCCATCAGAGAAATGCAAATCAAAACCACAATGAGATACCATCTCACACCAGTTAGAATGGCGATCACTAAAAAGTCAGGAAACAACAGGTGCTGGAGAGGATGTGGAGAAATAGGAACACTTTTACACTGCTGGTGGGACTGCAAACTAGTTCAACCATTGTGGAAGTCAGTGTGGCGATTCCTCAGGGATCTGGAACTAGAAATACCATTTGACCCAACCATCCCATTACTGGGTATACACCCAAAGGATTATAAATCATGCTGCTATAAAGACACATGCACATGTATGTTTATTGCGGCACTGTGCACAATAGCAAAGACTTGGAACCAACCCAAATGTCCAACAATGATAGACTGGATTAAGAAAATGTGGCACATATACACCATGGAATACTATGCAGCCATAAAAATGATGAGTTTGTGTCCTTTGTAGGGACATGGATGAAACTGGAAACCTTAATTCTCAGCAAACTATCACGAGATGATTCTTTTTTAGGTTGACTTGTATTTTGTTTTGCTAGGGTTGCCATGACAAGTGCTGTAACACTCTATTAACAGAGATTTATCTTCTCACAGTGTTAGAGCCTAGGAGTGCAAGAAGAATGTGTCATCAAGGTTGTTTCTTCTGAGACCTCCCTCCTTTGCTGGTAGATGGCCATCTTCTCTTACTTACATCAATGGTCTTCCCTCCATGTGTGTCCATATCATAATTTCTTTTTATGAGGACATCAGACATATTGGATTAGGACCCACCTTAATTACCTCATTTTATTTTGATTACTTATTTTAAAGACCCTA
This sequence comes from Homo sapiens, assembly GCF_000001405.40. NCBI lineage: Eukaryota > Metazoa > Chordata > Mammalia > Primates > Hominidae > Homo > Homo sapiens. The sequence continues at coordinate 60,349,323 of NC_000018.10, forward strand.
TCTCCAAACAAAGTTATATTTGGAAGTACTGGGGGATAGGGCTTCAACATATGAATTTCAGTGAGACATGATTTAGCCTATAACAACCTGTAATCAGTATTTTACTTACCCCATACTTGCTAATCAGGGAGCCACATGGAAAAACATGAATGAGCCACAGCTTCCTCGTTTTCAAAGTAACTTTCTGGCAGTATATGTAGGGAGGCGGGGGTGTCTTGTGTCCATTCCCAAGTTCTCCACTTGGACATTTTTTTCTTTGGGGCTCTTTCTCCTGCCAATTCCCCACCCCTCTTTACTTCACTGCTCATCCCTACATAGAACTCCAAGGAGGTGCAACAGAGGTGCTAACCTGGGTTCAACCCCACTTTGGTCTGTTCCCCATGAAACTACCATACAAGGCCATATAAATGTATTACCTCTTGTGGGATAGGTGAACATAACCCCAAAGCATCACCATGTAGGAGGTGAGAATGTAAAGTGGTCCACTCTGGATGATATTCCAAGAATTCAGAAGAGTGAAAGCTGAGGGCAGGACAAACTATGCCAGATAGTTGTAATTCTATAACTGCAATGACATAGTGCAAAATGGTAGAAGCCAGCACCTAGAATTCTATCATCCAGAAGGCTGCGGCTGCTGCTGGGGTCAACAGCCTGAGGGGCAGAAAGAAGTGTGATTCAGCAGGTAAAAAACCATCTAAATAATAAGGCAAAAATATCTCACTGAGGCTCAGTGTGTGGACAGTGTTGCACGGCAGGTGAACAATAGAAAGCATTTAAGGTAAAAGCCTTTCTAATCTTCATCCCTGGCAAGGATGAGAACAGAGATGCTCACATTGTCAGGCAGTTTTTCAGAGACAGGCAGGAAATGTCTCTCTGGACAGACATTTGTTGGATTGCTAACAATGGATTGTTAGCAGGCAGCAGGCAGTAACATCAGACAGCAGATAGCTGGCTTACAGTCACCCTAAATCCTGGAAGGCTGGGGCATACAGCAGATAAAAAGATCAGGGAGCAAGCCAGAAACCCAGTCACCAGTGCTTAATGCTGAGACGCAAAGAGAGAGTGGATAATTAACATGGGTAATTTGATGGCATCTTTCAGAACCACTGCCTGAGGTCCTGTTGCCTAAGCCTAGGCTTGTCTTTAGTCCTGGGATAAAGCTGGACCAGTGTATGGGCTTCCTAAGTGAATGAAGGAGAACTACAGAAGTAGGGAGCCAGACACAACAGGATAGTAGACCCTAAAAGAGGAGTAAAGAGAAGTTCAAGGCAATGACAATTCATATTAATATCTTGATACCCAGTAGGTTATCTGTTCAGAAGATGTGAAATGGCCAATACTGAAACAAGTTAAGGTTGCATTACATTGTGGGAAAATCGAGCATCAACTCAGGTGCCTGGGTTTGAGTTTTGGAGTCCAGGAAAAAAGTAGGAGTAAGATTGTCATCCCCTTTTCTAAGGGCATTGTGATAATGTGCCTAGTTTGCTTTGTGCATATTTTGGAATTGAAATCTAATCATGTACAAGCTTAATGGTGTGTTTCTTAAGCATTACAGAAGGAAGAAGATAAAAAAAACATTTGATGATTAAATTTGTACAAAAAAGAACAACCACAAAAGCACTGCAGGCTGTAGCTCTCCGCACCTGTTAGCAATTCAAAAAGAGCATCGAGGGGGGCAGAGAGGGAAATATCACACTGGAATCACAGCTTAATAAAAGTTAGACAGCTTGAACACTGCAAAAATCATTTAAACCCACCAGCCATGGGGGTTTAAAGCATACCCTATAAATGCCAAAACATTGTTACACCATCCACTTACACCAAACCGACTCATCACCTCCTTTTTTCCTGCTGACAATGTATCCTCTGCCTAATGAGTCATTTCTGGCATCACTTTGTTCAGCTGAACTAAAGCAAGCATTCTGAATTATTAATATTTCTATATATTTCTTTTCTAAACTACATACTCAAATACACTTGTGGAACAATTTTACTTTAATGCCAGAAATGGCCATTGAATGTTTCATACTTAATTATAATTTAAATGTCGCACAGATGGGATGGTGGGTTACTTATGAAAAATGCTTCACTGCAGACCAGACAGAATTAATTAATATATTTATGATGCCTTAAAAAAAAGAGAGATGCCTTGGTGCTCTAGGAAAAGACGTAATTATCTCTGTTTTTTCCTAAAGGGCAGCAGTGTTGGTGTGAGGTTAGTTTATGTTGCCCTTCAGAAAGAAATATAGCACCAATTCTGCTATTTATTTTTTCCTTCTTTGTTCTTTGAAGGCCACACTAAAAACTCACAAATGTTAAATTTGAGAGTGGAAATAATTGTGGATTTCTAGAATCATGTGTCGTTGAGGTGAGGTATTTTAGGAAGTTCCATATTGATGGGTTTTAACTACTGTATTAGTCAGCATGGAAGCTAAGTCCCTCAACAGACCATCTGCAAGCTGGAGATCCTGAAATGCCAGTGTAGCTCAGTCCAGGTCCAAATGCCTCGGAACCAGGGAAGTCAATGATGTAATTTTCAGTCTGAGGTTAAAGGCCTGGGAACCCAGGAAGGCCACTGGTATGTAAGTCCTGGAGTCCCTAAGCCAGGGAGCCTGGGGTCCTAATGTCCAAGATCAGAAGAAGAGTGTGTCCTATCTCCAGGAGGAGAGGAAACCTTTTCCTCTGCCTTTTTGTTCTGTGCAGATCCCCAGCCAATTGTTTGATGCTCATCCACATGGAGAGCAAATCTTCACCTCAGTCCATGTGGACCCAGATGCCAACCTGCTCTGGAAACACCGTCTCAGGCACACCCAAAATAATGCTTTACCATTTCTCTAGCTAGTCCTTAATCCAGTTAAATTGACACTTGAAATTAACCATCACGTGTACTTATTCCTAGCTATGTGCGTCCGGGCAAGTTACTCATCCTCGATATCCCAACATTCACTTTGTAAAATTTTAGGAGACCATAATACTTATCTAAAGGATGTTGCCAGCATTATAGCAGCTAACTCCTTAGAAGTGCTTAACACTCTTAAGTCAAAAGAAGTGCTCAGTAGATGTTTGACACTTTCAAAAGTATTAACACAATTTTACTGCTATTGTGTATATTTGGAAAATGATAAGAAAATTCTGCAATAGAGAAGCAAGAGTCCCTGAAGATTAAGATCCTCTGCAGTTTAGATCTTACCTCTTCAAACTATTACTCTTCCTCAGTTAGATTCTGCATTTAGGCAAAGCCAGTTCATTATTCTCTGAATCTGACGTGCAGATTGTCACATCCACTGTTCTTCTACTCTGTTCCCTCTGCCAGTCTAGGTTACCCTTTCCTTCAACCCCTCAAGCAACCTAATCCACTCTTGTCTATCATTTTCTGGGGTGTAAAAGTTGTGACTGTCACTCCTTTGGAACTTTTAGATAGAAACAGAAAAACAAATTATTAAAAATTTTTAAAAGGCAACAAGCTGTCTACCAAGTTAGACTGCAAGCTTCATGCAGGCAATTTTCTTGTATCTCTTGGTACAGGTGACACCAAACATGATAAACCACACTCTCAATGCCGATGATGATGATGCCTCTGCTCCTCTTGGTCTTTTCCTATAATGACTTTACTTCATTTCCTTCATTTTTGCCATTTTTTTTTGATTTGGAAGTACCAATATCTCACATTTGAAAACTGTTACTTGACTAGCAATGGAATCAAATATTACACTAATTCAATGTCTGAGGACATTCAGCATGGAAACATTGAAAACAAATATTAATGCTGTCTTATCTTGCTTCTAAGAGAGATTTTTATTGACTAAATAGCAAATTTTATATTTCAAAAAGTTAATCTCAAAATATAAAATATTGCAAAAACAGATTTTGAACTTGAAGTATCTGTTTAAGATGACTCACTTTTTTTTTTTCTAGTAGGGAAATTTTTCCTGGTGTTACCATACCAAAATCTTTCAGGAAGTAGGCAAGTTTGAACCATTGTTTCTATCAGCTGATTGAGTAGTCAATAACCAGAGTGCCTACATGAATAGATAAACACAAAATAGCCCTGGAGCAGCAACCAACAGCCTTGAATTCTAGATGTTCCTGGGAAGGTCAAAAGTATAAGATTCAGCATACAGACTTACTCTCAGCTGACTTCATATATCTGGTAGTTGCTGGGGGTGGAGAAGTCGATTCTGAAAAGTCTCCAGAAGCTTTTATTGGTAGGATCAGCCCTCCACATACACGACATAATAGTATCTTGGTGGATCTTCGCAGCGCTAGATTAGCTCAAGTCTGTAACACGGAGGCCTATCCCCGAGTCTACAGAAGGATTCTAGATTTCTAAATACAATGGTGTCCCTGGTTGCTTCTGGGTTGTTCAGTATAACCAAAGCTGGAGTGAACAACCATGGACTTTTATCTAGCTTGGATTTCAGTATGGTTGGTATTATGATAGCTTCCTCAAGGGAGCTAAGGGCATCATGTTCTTTTCTAAAGGAACACGTTTGAAAAACTAATAAGACCCCACAATTCTTGTACATGCAAACTAAGGTAAATGTATCAAGTAATATAAAAAGCAGAAATAGTCAAAATCAAATAGAAAAATGATTTAAAGAAGGGGAAGTGAATTTTAAGTCCTGATCCATAAGGTGATTTGGGTCAGGGCACTCTTAAAAGTGCCCTGTTGATTTTAAACATTAAGCTAAATGTTGCTTTATAGGAACTAGGGATTTCAAGCACTTCCATAAAGTTTTAGCTCATTAATTTTTATTCCCCTTGGGAACTAGCTTTTGGCTGATTTATCTAAGTCAGAACTTTTTGAGTATGAAATTCTTTTCACATTCATCTCATTACGTTTTTTCAAGTTCATCTTAAGCCATATATATACGTATATATATATACACATATATATATATATATACACACATATATATATATATATATATTTTTTGCCATTTTGTGTAAATGTGTATGGCCCTTGGAAGTCCTTACCAGGAAAGAGAAAATTTGAGACGTTAAGGAGCTTAAAATTTAGTACTCAGGATTTTCATAGAAAAAGTTATCACCACAGACTGTATTCATTTGATGACCACACGTAACAGATTTTCCAGTTCCAATTTGAAGACCATATCCTACATCTTAAAATTTTCCTCCTTCATTTGCCTCCTTCTCTTTTATTGCTATGCTGTTAAGGCATGATTAAGACACTATTAAAAAAATTTTAGTGGTTAACACTGATAATGTTTTCTCCCTTTCAGAAGATTTTTGCTAAATCATAGAACACAATGGATTTTTAGTAAATGCTCATTCAAATGGCAGAACATTTTGGTTGCCATATGTAGGCTTGATTGAAAGTGAAATTTGTCATGGTTACAAAATTCATCTTTTCTTTGACTTCCTGAAGCCTACATTTCCAGATCGGCCACTACTTGCTTTGAGGAAAAAAAATCTAATATTATACCCTTGATAAAAAGAAAGTAAATAATCTGTCATAAAGCATCAGTAATTAAAACTGAAAAGTCCTTAAAAATTCTAGATCAATTGCATCATGTGAATTTGTTTTCTCATTTATAAATGGCTTATCAATAAGTGGAATAAAACTAAAAATGAATGAATTACTCCTTAGGAATAAGTATTACTCTGTCCTTTGTCTTAATAATCAAAACAGAATGTGTAGTTTAAAAATGTGAGTTCAAATGTGTTGATACCAAATGTTGAAAAAATATAAAAATAGTATTTTATAGCTCATTTATTATTTGTGATAGCTACATCAGAAAAAACACTATACAAACATTGGATATGGTTTCCACCAGAGTACATAATTTTTGTGTTTTTTAAAATTATAACTAAGAATTTTTTAAAGAAACTGTAATATGGTTAAACTGTTAAGAAGGATTATAAAAATTAGTATAAAATATAAACTCTGTTCTTGCTTGACTTCTTAGAATCTCATTGAATAAAAGGAGACCCACACAGATGTAGTGAGTCAGTACTCTCAAAACTCACTTCAAACATATTTGTCTGTGTAGCGTTAATATCAATGTTTCTGTATAGAATCTCAATTCCCTTATTTATCACGTTCGACTATCCTTTTTTTCTCCCCCCCCTGCCCAAAAAAGATGAGGTCTTGCTCTTTTGCCCAGGCTGGAGTGCAGTGGTGTGATCACAGCTCACTGCAGTCTTGAACTCTTGAGCTCAAGTGATCCTCCCACGTCAGCCTCCTGAGCAGTTAGGACTACAGGCATGTGCCACCATGCCCAGCTAATCTTTTAAAAACATGTTTAGAGATGGGGCTTCACTATGTTGCCCAAGTTGGTCTCAAACTCCTGGCCTCAAGTGATTCTCCTACTTCAGTCTCCCAAGTACTTGGGATTATAGGTGTGAGCCACTGTGCATGGTTGCAGCATCTTTTTATAGCACCTCCTCTCATTATTTTATCTGTACCTCTCATATAACTTTTTCTTTCTACTCCCTGAGATTTATCAGCCTGAAATTCCTTTGGTAAGTTAGGGCTTCTCTTATAATACTCTTATTGGAAACTGCATATTACTTTCTCTCAAAGCACTTTCTTCCTTCCTTTTTCTTCCTTTCCTTTCCCTTTCCCTTCATTCCCCCTTTTATTTCTTCCCTTCCTTCCTCCCTCCATTTCTTTCCCCATTTCTCCCTCCTTGTATTATATCCCAGGCATTATTCTAAGCACTTCACGTATATTGACTCTTGTAATCTTGTTAATAACCTGTAAGGTAAGCATGTAATTTTTTCCATTTTATAAATGAGAAAATGGAGGCATTTTGTTGTCCAGGCCCCAGGCCTGGTTAGTTCTGTGATGCGGTGATGTCATCAAGGCCCAGGTCCTCTCCATCTCAGGCTTCTGCCATTCTCCTTGATGAAGGCCTATTTGACATTCAGTCTTTAACTCTACTTTTGTCTTTGAATCTGATCATCTTCCTTTTATCCAAAACAATCACATGAAAGCAAGGCTCTGTTTTCAAAAGTTTCTAAGACATTATGTAACAAAATATTTAAACAAAAATGTAACAACATAATGCAGGACAAAATTACCTAAGTGTCACAATGAATGTATCAAGCAAAAATAAGCATTCTCTATGACTTCAGTGGAAGTGGTCAGTATGTTGATAAAGGAAGAAAAGCTAAGTTCAATCAGTGTGTATCAGGGATATGTGTGGATAGTTGACCCCTCTGCTCCCATCCTGGAGAAGAATTTAAATAAAAGATCAGTTCAGCCAGAATCTTGTTCAAGTACAGCCCTCTGTCACACTTGGCCATAACTCTTTGTGTGTGTGCATATGTGTGTGTGCATGTGGTGTCATACTCCTTGCTTTTTCCCATTCATTTTCTGCAATCACACTGGCTATCACTGATGCCTGAGAAGATCCTTCTTGCCTTTTTTCTGTGCTCAGTAACAGCTGTAGGTGGTCTCAGCATGCTTCTGTGGGGTTCTGAAGTCTATCCCTGGCAGCTGGGGCTCCAGCTTTCTTGCTTGATATGTAGGCAGACCATCTATGAGTGGATGGCTCCTGCTTAGAGAGAAGTAAGGCTCACTCCATCCATGCATCCGTGAATAATAGATACTGCACCAGGTAGGACACAGTGGCTCAAGTCTGTAATCCCAGCACTTTGGGAGGCCGAAGCAGATGGATCACCTGAGGTCAGGAGTTCAAGACCAGCCTGGCCAACACGGTGAAACCTCATCTCTACTAAAAATACAAAAATTAGCCAGGTATGATGGTGGGCGCCTGTAATCCCAGCTACTCCAGAGGCTGAGGCAGGAGAATTGCTGGATCCTGGGAAGCAGAGGCTGCAGTGAGCTGAGATCATACCACTGCACGCCAGCCTGGGTGACAGAGCAAGGCTGTCTCAAAAAAAAAAAAAAAAAAAAAAAAAGAAAAGAAGAAAGAAACAAAACCACTGCCTGCAGATTCTTGCTCTGGACAGAAAAGGGTGAGTGTGCCTAGACTTTACTGCCACTGTCCTTAGCCGAGCTAGCTAGTCATCTGTTATCTGGGGTGAGGGAGATGTTTGCATTTCAATTTCATCTCCTGGTGTTTTGGAAGGGTACAGTTCCTAAGAAGAGCTCTTCACAGAACTACTTGTTGGCATAATTAGGACAACATTAACTCAGTCAGAAAGGTAACATTTATGGAAAATTATGGGAAAATGATTTAGCTGTACTATTGAGTTTTCAATAAATATTCAGTATTTTCAACCTCTTAGTCTGTATTGGTTCTTTGTCTCTGTATATAATCTTCCTTAAAACTTACCCATTTTGAAGAAATTATCTCTTATTACTATGTGCTTCATTCTATTCAGTGCAGCTTGTTAGCCGAAGAATCTGTATTCTGTTTCTCTACTCCATCTCCCATTCTACTTCTATGTTCCCAGATGAGCCTCAATCAATCTGATGTTGGCTTCAACATTTTACTGAAAATTGGCTCTTCCTCTCATGTTTCATATTTCTAAAAAGTCATTTCATCAAAATCTCAGTCTTCTTTGTAATTCTATTCTCCAATAAATACATTAAATTTCTAGTTATAAAATTTTCTGAACGCCTGTTTTTTCTTTGCTGAAATGATTGACATCTAATTCCTTAAAACTCACTCCTCCTTGGGCTTGAATCATATTGTCACTCTTTCTAGTTTTACCATTACTTCTATAGTCATCACTTCTTGGCCTGTTCTTTGTTCACTAGCCCTTTAAACACTGCTATTAACAAAGCATCTAACTTTAGCTTTTTTCCTCCTATTTTTACATTTTCCTTTCTTTATTCATTCATCCAATATCTATCCAGCTTTTATTATAGAAAAGTTCTAATCTAGGTATTTATAATTCTTCAATGAACGAATTAAAAGTTTCCTGTCTTCACATAGTTTTAGGTCTAAGTGGAAACAGACAAAAAATATTATAATTTGGTAAACTATGTGATTTGCTAGAAGGCATTGTGAAAAAAAATTTTGAAAAGATCAGGGGAATATGGAATGTTGGGCTGGTGCACTGAGTTTGCCTTTTTAAAAAGAATTCTCAAGGTAGGTTTCAAAGAGGAGACATCTGAGCAAAAACTTGAAGGAGATGAAATAGTTAGCTATGTGCATATCTAGGGTATAGCTTTCCAAATAGATGTAAGAGGCAATGCAATGTCCCTAAGGTAGGGCTGCTTGGCATGTTTGATACAGCCATATAGACCTCCTTGATGTTCCTTGGAGTAAGAGAGAAGTTTTAGATAGAAAATCTAGGCATTCAAAATAGACTTGTAAGTCTGGGATTTCTTTTAGAAAGCCAAATAGAGATGTTCAGAAAATAGTTGAGTAAGTAGGTCTGCTATTGAAGAAAGCTATATAAATTGAAGACATAAATTTAGAAGTCTTTAGCATAGCCATTGTATGAGTCATAGAATGCAATGCATTCCATACTATTTGTGGTAATGTGGGTGTAAGCAAACCCACTGTATTACCAGTCATATAAAATATAGCACATGCAATTATGTACAGTACATAGTAAATGATAATGGTAATCAACAATTATTTATGTATTTACTCTATTTTAATCCTTTAGCGTGCACTCCTTCTACTTATTAAAAAAAAAGTTAACTGTAAAACAGCCTCAGGCAGGTGCTTCAGAAGGTATCTAGAAGAAGGCATTGTTACCATAGGAGATGCCGCTCCATGTGTGTTATTGTCTCAAAGAGTTGAATAAGATGTGAAGATGGAAGACAGTCATATTGATGATCCTGACCCTCTGTAGGTCTAGGTCAATGTCTTAGTTTTGGTTAAAAAAACTAAGGCCTATGTTTGTGTCTTAGTTTTGAAACAAAATGTTTGAAAAGTAAAAAAAAAAAAAATAGTAAAATGCATATAAAATAAGAATGTAAAGAAAATATTTTTGTATAATTGGACAATGTATTTGTGTATTAAGCTGTGTCATTACAAAAGATTCACAAAGATAAAAATATAAAAGGCTTATAAAGTAAAAAGTTATAGCAAGCTAAGGTTAATTTTATTATTGAAGACAGAAAACATTTTACATAAATTTAGTGTATCCTAATTGCACAAGTTTTATAAAGTCTATAGTTGTATACAGTAATGTCCTAGGCCTTGACACTCACTTACCACTCATTGACTCACCCAGAGCAACTTCCAGTCCTGCAAGCTCTGCTCATGGTAAGTGCCCCAGAGAACTGTACCATTTTTGTATTGTATTTTTAGTAGAGACAGGGTTTCACCAAGTTGGCCAGCATGGTCTCGATCTCTTGACCTTGTGATCCGCCCACCTCGGCCTCACAAAGTGCTGGGATTACAGGCGTGAGCCACCGTGCCCGGCCCTGGATAACTTTTAAAAGTGTTTCCTCCAGACTCATCTGGCTCATTAACCTTTCTTTTTTTCTTTTTCTTTTTGTCTTACAAGTCTCTTTGATTTTATTAAGTGACATCATTTTTTTGTTCTGTTATGAATGTGTGCTGTTCTAGCCCTTCAATAAGCCCATCATTTATTTTCACCGTGTTGTCTATAGACACTTTTTCTGCATTGTAAACATCATCATCATCACTATTGTCACAATCACCTTGCTTCAGAGCTAGGCTACCTTACCCTAGCTGACCATCAGTCAATGAATGAACAATAGAAACCCCATTATTGATGTTAAAAACTTCTTTAATGTCCACTTCCAGGTTGCTGACAAACTCTGATGGTATATTTTTTGCACATGTAAGGAGGATAGACATCATTTTTCTCACTTGACATACTCAATTCTTCATAGTCATCATCTTGTTCATCATGATCACTGAACATAGTCACGGGCCAAAGTTTGTGCCAGGCAAGCATACTGTGTCTTTAGTCACTGTGTTCCAAGCATTGATGTCAGCATATATAGCCTCCTTCATGCTAAACTTTTTAATAAAAAGCCTTCCACATCCACAACTCACCTCTGTTTACTGCAGCTAGCATGGTGCAGTAATGCTGAGGTTTGGGGTATGAATGATCCTGTCACCCAGGTGGTAAGCTTAGTGCCAATAGGTAGTTTTTCAGCCCTTGCCTTCTTCCCCCTCTCCCTTCCTCTGGTAGTCCCCAGTGACTATTGTTCTCATCATTTTGTCCATATGTACCCAATGTTTAGCTCCCACTTATAAGTGAGAACACATGTATTTGGTTTTCTGTTCCTGCATTAATTCGCTTAGGACTATGGCCTCTGCTGCATCCATGTTGCTGCAAAGGACATGATTACATTCTTTTTTAATGGCTGCATAGGATTCCATGGTGTATATGTACCACGATTTCTGTATATAATCCACTGTTGATGGGCATCTAGGTTGATTCCATGTCTTTGCTGTTGTGAATAATACTATATGTCTGCATTTTGGCTGCAGCATGTAACATAAGATCAGGTGTAGAATTTTCCATTTGTGCCATCATATTGGTGCTCAAAAGGTTTTTGGAGCATTTTGGATATAGGATTTTTACAATAAGGATTCTCTAACTGTACTTATCTCCTACTATCTTTGTACATACTCAACTACAAAATTTATATGTATATTCCAGACTTCTCTGTACCTGATTTTTAAGCAGGATTCTCAAAAAAAAAAAAACTACCAAACCATATCAATCATGTCCTGTCCATGTCCTTGTCTATTTTTTCCCAAGATGATTTATGAATTTGTAGGAACCAATTTTCTTCCTTTCCTTCTCCATTGTAAATCCAAAAAATCACAGATATTTGTGTCAGACTCTATGCACCTGATCTTCATTCAGAATCTCTCTAATTTAATGTTGGAGTGAAAGTGCAGTGACTGGAGTTTAAGTTTCTGTTTCAAGGAGAATTATGGGATGATGAAAACAAAGTAAAAAGCAGGGGTCAAATTTTGTGTCAAGGAACACTTCAGTTTTAGACACATTGAGTTTAAGGTGAAAGTAAGACATTGATGCAGAAAAGGTAGAGATGTGACATGGTATCTTAGAAAGGAAAGTTAGAGGTAAGCCAAAGGTGAAAAGGTAAAGATTTTTCTTCTAACGTTGATAGTAAATAGTTTTATAACTAATAGATAACAATGATATCCAGAGCACAATATTTAACATCATATCAATGATCCTATGTACACAAAATTACAAAAAAGAAATACCCAAAGCTTTCCAGCTTTCTTCATAAATGAAAAAATTCAATAAAAATATAAATACTATGTGTCATTTTAGTAAAATCTCCAAATATTGTGAAACGTATATAGGATATGAACGTGTTGTTTTCAACAGGGCCATTTTAAAACCTCGGTAATACAAATGAAACAGATTTAAATTGAGGAATTAAACTTACTGCAAAAAAAAATGTAGCATAGTGTTTTTCTCCCCCTTCAGGAGGAATAGTGATCAAAGTTATTGCTATATATTTACTTTTAAATTTTATTTAGTGATGACTCACATTTAACAGCGAAATTTCCCACGCTGTTTAAAATCTTAGAAGTTAAACCGTGATTATTGATTTGCAGATGAATCCTATACAAAAACGTATTGAATCGTTTACTGATTGAGATGCTAAAAATTTTCCATTTGGCTTTATATTTGTGGGGTCTCCAGGTGTCTCTTGTCAGGGAAAGCACTGTTAATAATTGTAAACTGTGATTATTAATTTTATTAACCCAAGGACAAATCAACCATTCTATCACAGATCAAAGCTCTTTTTTTTTTTTCTCCAAGTGGCAGGTGTGCTAGGGATCCTTTATTTCTTATAAGCAAATGTAGCTTTGTATGTTCCTGCTCACCACAAATATTACAAAATAAACATATCCATTTAAGTTTCATGTAATACTAAATACATACAAAAGAATATGTCATATGTCTCCAAGCCGTGAAGCACAATATTATACGTTAAACCCATGATTTAACATAAGAATTCCAACATTACTGAAGCCATTGAAACAGTCTTTCTGCACACCTCCACCCACTACTTTGCCTGAATATTTTTGAAATGTTCAAATTATCTTTATATTTAAAATAAGAAAAACAGGAGTTTGTTTTTACTTGCTCCACTTGTCAGAAATGAAGTATCAAAAACAGATTTGAATGGATTGCTCTCCATGTTAGAGAAGTGAGGATATCCAAGTCTCTATCACCATTTAAACTCTTCTAGGATCTAAGCTCTGATAATCTTCTGGGTATAATTTGATTGTTTTTGTAATATAGCTGCCTACAGTGACAAATGCCGTACTAGGTTTTTAAAATCAATTATCTAATTTTACATTATTTAATATTTATCATTAACCATATGATAGATAACAGATATTATCTTCATTTCATAGATTAGACTTTACGTGCTTAAGAAATTCAAGTAACTTGGCCAAGGTTCAACAGTTGGTAAATAGTAGATCTGGGATTTGAATTCAATACTCATTTAGTTCAATCTTATGTTCTTTCTACTCTCATGCACGCAGCTTTAGTGTGTATGTGATGGGCTGATATAATAGCTGAACATAAAGATGTAATCATAAATTTATTATTTATGGTTCCTTTTCAAGGGTTTACATTTTATATCAGCAATCTCAACTTAGATAATGATTTTTTATGTTAACATTTGAATTCATGGGATAAAGTGTAGTAAGTATCAATCCATTTCTGAATAAATGAGCTAATTGGTTATTTCATATTTGGCACATTATCTTCAAATTAGCCTTTTCCAATATTAAATGTGACACTGCAAATTTTAGAACAATTAACATTTTTGGTGATAACAAATTATCCTTTGGAGTACAGATATGCCCATGTATTATGTTCAAATATATTTACATAAAAATGTAATCAAACCCAAGGAAATTTTAAAATATGACTTAAGATAAAAATTAAGCTTAAGGCCTAGCTATGTTGATTGATAGAATGGCTGAAAAAGATAGAAAACTAGTAAGTCTGCATTTATTCATTTATTTTATATTTTTTAAAACAATAATAATTACCATTTTTGAGTGCCTATATATATTGGGAACAGTTTTGTGGAATATAACACTCTTGATCTTATTTAATTGCCTTTATCCTTTAAAGATTCCCATTAGGCAAGTATTTTATTATTATGATTTAATTACGAGAAAATTAACTTCCACAAAATCTCACAGCTTAAAAGGAGTATAACCAGAATTCAGTCCTAGGTCTCTGCGACTGGGAAAGCCATATTTACCTACAGAACAAGGTTCTTGAAATTTGATACAAGGGAAACCTAGATGGGGAGCCAGAAACGGGGTCTCGGGCTTTACTGCTGCCACTGACTACACATGTGCCATCAGGCAGGCCCTCTGAGTCTACTTAAAAGGGTGGAAAGGTGATATAGTCACCAAGATCTGATCTTATTCAAACATAACTTCTCCACAAATCAGTAATTTGGCAATTGCATTTCCACCACCCATCTTTCTGTTGTAATGTTTATTCTTTTAAAAAATATTAAGACATTAAAATGTGCTTATTGTAGTAAATGTACATAATAGAAACACACTCAATAAAGAAAATCAACATGCCCCTCAATATTATCACTCAGGAATAATGACTACCAATTGCTCATGACTTATGAAAGGTAATATGCAGGAGGTACATAAGTAAGACGATGGTACTTTCCTCTAGATAATTTGTATCATGCTAAGTATTTTGTTTTGTATGTTCCTTGTAACATAAAACCCATGTCAATACTGCTTCAAAAATTGTTTTTAGTAATATCAAAATATTTAAGATGGGCAACAGAGACCTTGAGGTGGGTGGGGGATACATGGAACTATATATGGAGCTTCGGACATACAGTCTAAGTGCTAAGCAAGCTGCTAAGTGGGGGAAATTTTGTACCTTCTTCGTGCAAGTTGTGGCAATTGCTATGCAATTTTTAAGTCAACAAGTTTTGAAAAACACCCATTTCACCAATGAAAAAATTATTTCTATTATATTCTGCACATATTCATTGAACCTCTGTGATTTTTTTTTTTTTTTTTTTTGAGATGGAGTCTCACTCTGTCACCTGGCCTGGAGTGCAGTGGCCCGATCTTGGCTCCCTTCAACCTCCGCCTCCCGGGTTCAAGCAATTCTCCTGCCTAAGCCTCCTCAGTAGCTGGGATTACAGGCACCTGCCACCACGCCCTGCTAATTTGTGTATTTTCAGTAGAGACGGGGTTTTACCACGTTGGCCAGGCTGTTTGCAAACTCCTGACATCAGGTGATCTGCCCGCCTCAGCCTCCCAAAGTGCTGGGATTACAGGCGTGAGCCACCACTCCTGGCCATCTGTGAAAATTTTAATAGAAGTATGTGATGACACTTACCAGCTATGTCTGAAGTGTATGCTTCTGACCAGTATCATTCAAATATTAACTAACCATCCTTTAAAGATTAAAGGATAGCCACGAACATCATCATATTCATACCAGAGTTTTTTTGTTTAGTTGTATTTTTAAATATTATTATTTTTTAAACTTTTAACTTCAGGAATACATGTGCAGGTTTGTTACATAGGTAAACTTGTGTCATGGGGTGGGTGTTGTACAGATTATTTCATCACCCAGGTATTAAGCCTGGTACCCGTTATTTTTCCTGATCCTCTCCCTTCTGCCACCTTCCACCCTCTGAAAGGCCCCAGTGTGTGTTGTTTCCCACCATGTGTTCATGCGTTCTCATCATTTAGCTCACACTTACGAGAACACACGCCTTTTGATTTTTATGTTCCTGAGTTAGTTTGCTAAGGATAATGGCCTCCAGCTCCATCCATGTCCCTGCAAAGGGCACGATCTCATTCCTTTTTATGGCTGCATAGTATTCCATGGTGTCTATGTACCATGTTTTCTTAATCCAGTCTACTACTGTTGATGGGCATTTAGGTTGATTTCATGTCTTTGCTATTGTGAAGAGTGCTGCAATGAACATAGGCATGCATGTATCTTTATAACAGAATGATTTATATTCCTTTGGGTATATACCGAGTAATGGGATTGCTGGGTCAAATAGTATTTCTATCTTTAGGTTTTAGAGGAATTACACCACACATTATTCCACAAGGGCTAAACTAATTTACACTCCCACCAACAGTGTATGTATTCCCTTTTCTCCACAATCTCGCCAGCATCTGTTAGTTTATGACTTTTTAATGATAGCCATTCTGATTGGTGTGAGATGATATCTCATTGTGGTTTTGATTTGCATTTCTCTGATGATCAGTGATGTTGAGCTTTTTTTCATGTGATTGCCATACTGGAGTTTTTAAAAGTTCATTACTTCCCGGCTAAACCGGTGAAACCCCGTCTCTACTAAAAATACAAAAAATTAGCCGGGCATAGTGGCGGGCGCCTGTAGTCCCAGCTACTTGGGAGGCTGAGGCAGGAGAATGGCGTGAACCCGGGAGGCGGAGCTTGCAGTGAGCCGAGATCCCGCCACTGCACTCCAGCCTGGGCGACAGAGCGAGACTCCGTCTCAAAAAAAAAAAAAAAAAAAAGTTCATTACTGTTCTTTGGTATTTAGCCAAAGGAGTTGAAAACTTAGGTCCACACAGCTTTATTTAATTGCCAAAATATGGAAGCAACTAAGATGTTCTTCAGCAGGGGAGTGGATAAACTGTGGTATATACCTATAGTGGAATTTTATCCAATACTAAAAGGAAATGAGCTATTAAGCCATAAAAAGACATACAGAAAACTTAGATCCATATTTAAATTCAAAAAGTGAGAGAAGCCAATCTGAAGAGACTGTCAACTATATGATCCCAAGTGCATGACAGTCTGGGAAAGCCAAAACTAGAGATAGTAAAAAGACCAATGGTTATCAGCTGTTGGGGAGAGGAAGAGATAAATAGGCAGAGAATAGAGTATTTTTAGGGTTGTTAGAAACTACTCTGTATGATACTATCATGTTGGATACAGATCATTATATATTGGTCCAAACCCATAGAAAGTACAACACCAAGAGTGAACCCTAATGTAAACTATAGACTTGGGTGATTATGATGTGTCAAGGTAGGTTAATCTATTATAACAATTGTACCACTCTGGTGGTGAATGTTGATAATGAGAGGTTTTTCATGTGTGGGGAAGGGGGTACATGAGAAATCTCTGTACTTTCTGGTTAATCTTGCTGTGAACCTCAAATAAACATGCTTTCTTCAAAAAATTAAATATCAAACACAGTAGAACAAAAGGTGTCTGATATTAGGTTTTATCAGAAAGTTTATTCTCATCTACCATTATTTTCACAACAGAATAATGATGTAAAGTTTTATCACTAATAAACTGGAATTTTTGAGGGTAGGTACACCAGATCTCACATCAATGATCCTCAGACAGTTACACTTAGGAGGTGATGTGAGCCTTCCATTAGTGGTGGCTTCCTAACCTAACAATCATACTTCTAAAACTAATCACAATGAAATAATAAGGAATGGGTGACTTTAGGGTTTGTGATACACATTGCATAATGTCCTCTAATGCAATTTTGTCAATTTATGTTTCAACATAAAAGGATATAAAATCACCTACTTTACTACCTCCTCTACAATTGTGAAAATTAATTTAGCTTTTAATAACGTGAATTTGGTACCATAAAATTTATAGCAGCCATTTGTCAAAGGCCACTCCAATGCTATAATTAAATTCTTTTTTGCAGGCAACATTTATTTCCATTCCTTAAGAATATTCCAAGGGAACATCTGTTTGTACTTCAAGTTGACTAATGTAGACTATCTAGTTTCCTTTATTCCTTTGGTTAAGCCATAATATGGATATGTGATACAAGTGCATTTCTGGGGCCTTGATCACTATGCTGCAGTGTCCTTGCAGTAACTGTAGAGTTCTACTCCTTTCTTATTTCCACTAAAAGTGCTTTCTTTCCAGTAGGATTCTGTAAAGCAAAACAGCTTAGGCCAAATGCAAATGCAATATGTTCACATTTTTATGCACTTTAAAGCATCGGTCCATTGAACCAAACTAATATGAACATTTGGATTTTTTCCTATTTTTCTTTCTCTTTGCATTAGTGTATCACAACAATACAAAGAAATTTAAGAAAAATTGAGTGAAAAAAACATGAAAGAAATATAAAACAAGAAGTCAGGTAAGAAGCATTCATTGAAAACATATCATCTTTAACACTATTGGTTTCTAGATTAGCAAGAGAAATAGTAAAGGAAAAAATAGCCTACAAGTTTAAAAAAAAGCTGTAGGAATAACATTTGATTAATGGAATAACTTTTTGAAAGATGGAAGAGAAGACAATACTCTTTACCATGTTCCGGTCTCCTTCCACTCCCTTTTCCTCACCATAAAGAAGCACTTGTCTGATGAAGTCAGATTGTAGGACACCCATGGTGCCCAAGTTTATTAATCTCACCAAGGTAAAATCTTCAAATATCCCTCCTAACACATTTCAAGAACCTATGCAACCTGAAAGAAGGCAACTGCTGCACAGAAACCTTCAAGACAGTCCATTGTAACTCCTCTGAACCACACTGTACCCTAAGCCGCCTCATATAGAAATTCCTGGGCCACCAGCAGGGTTGGGATATGTGTTTAAAGCCCCTGCTCGTGGGTACATGTTTTATGGCATTATTTATTTGTTTGTTTATGTTTTTCATCAGTTGAAGTGGAAAGCCAATCCATAACCTGGTAAGCATTCTTCTCTTTCTCTCTCTCTCCCTCTCTCTCTTGCATTTCGTTCTCTTTTCTTCTTAACCATGATGTTCAGGTAGTCTTTTGTTGGTTGAAAGGTGACAAGATGTCAATTTGTGGATTTAGTAGGAGAGAGGGAGGGGCAGTTTGGGGCCTGTAGGCTAAGCCATGTGCTACAGCTCAGTTTCCTTGGAGGTACTTCACTGGGTTGGGGATGGAATGTCTCAGACACAGGATGGTACCATGCTTTCCATTTAGCATAATTCATATGTATTTCTCCCTAATGGACACTGCATGTGGAAGAATAATTCTCATTTGTGCTAAGTTTTAGATAAGCCAATGTCCTTAGCTACAGATAGCTCTAACTCCTAAGACCATAACTGGACAAATCAATCTTGATATGGCTTAAACAATGACTAATTCTACTGTCGGTAGTAAAACCAAGATAATCTGATGGGACAGACATTCCCTTATTACTTCATTCATGCTGTGATTCCACATCTCTCTATTTATTGATCATGGATTTTCAGAAGGATGGCTAGAGGTTGCCTTTATAACATTTCTGTGTGCAACCAATGCCTGACCCACTTGCTTCCCCAGTGACCACCATGGCTTCTATTGTCCTTCCCTGAAGACACTCTAGGTAGGGCGAGACAATGATGGCTAGGCAGCTGCTACATAAGAAAGTTCTGCCCCGATCTGTCATCATTGCCACCACTGAAATAGATGCAGCATCAAGAATGGTCAAGGTGAGACTAAATGGGAAACCACTTTCAGAAGTCAAGAATATTTTCTCTCTCTCTAGATTTTTTTAGTCTCTCTAATATGTTAAATATGAAATATGCTATTCCCTGTGGCAATAAAAATATGAGCATAAGGCTTTTCTTTAAGGGGCTCACATCCTAACAGAAGAGACAGAATGCACAAAAATAAAACAGCAAGGAAAGTGAGACTGCAATATGGAACTGGGGATTCCAAACAGGAATCTGAATATTATGGTTGGATAAGGTCTGAAGTCGTGATGACATGTTGTTATTAGATGTAAGGTGAATGGAGCGGAAATAGAATCCCCTTTCCTTGAGGGGAATGTTCTCATACAATTCTGTGAATTTCAGTTCTTTGCTCCTAATATATTTAAAATTACCTACTTGGAATAACCACTTTCTCTGCATCTGCTCTAGCAGCCATGGTCACTACAGTATCTTCATTTCGTGTACTTCAAGCTTGTTTCCTCCAAATCTCCAGCCCCACTCTCACTCTCTGCTCCCTCCTGTATTCATCCTAAATATACTTGCTTAAGCCTACAGTTTTAAACCATAACACTTCCCCAATTGATACAATAACAATCCAGCTAGAGCTGGTGGGGCTCCAAATCTCACTGGATGTGGAATGGAGCTTAGAGGTGGCTTGGGTAAGGCCTGGCCTCTGAGGGAATCTTGTTTTTACTTGAACAAAAGGAAGCAACTTGAATAGAGGAAGACTTGGAGAATAGAAAAACTGAGTAAGAGACAGTCTCTGCACTTAAAGGAGCTGAAGTCCAATATGGTACCATGGCATATAGGGGAGGGTGCTGTTATATGGCTCGTTCATGAATTATACACACCCTAACACTGTAAACCACTCCAGGAGAAGGTATGAACCTGAAGAAGGAGGAGCCAGGATCTGAGATGGCACTTGGAGGAGAAATAGGATAAACTGGGAAGGGCAGCCACCACAGAAGATGGGGTGTGCTCATAGCTCTCTTTTTCATATCTCTAGTCCCTGGGATTTTTCAGATTCATGAAATGAAAGAATGGACAGGAAACGTAGCAATGAAAAAAACATAACTGTGTCCCTCTACTGCTATAGACTATGATTGTTAGATTAGTGTATATTTAAATCCTCACATTCACTTTTGCTTCAAAATAGAGGAATTGCAGTGGAATTAAAATTTCAGCTTTAGTACCACTTCTTATGTGTAAACTTTAACTTCACTATTATCCTTTAAGGTAGTGTTTTCAGATGAATGTTGAAAGTGTTTCTTGGGTCTTATAATCAGTGTAAAACATTTAGATTTGAGTTAAGGAGTACCTTTGCATATGACTTCTGCCCATGAGCATTTGAAGACCCTGTAAATCCTAAGATAGTTTACTGGTAATCCTCAACCTAATATATTCTTTTGCTTTATTTTAAATTACACACAGATTAGAAAGTACAGTACAAATTTTATTGCTCAGTGGCCAAATCTGTAGGATTATTTTGGAGCAAAACATTTTACTCTTCAAGAAGTGGCTGTGGAAGGCTAGTTTATTGCATGACATCCTCTGGGGTTTGGTAGGTGCCTCCCTTCCTGCTTAAAATGTACCAGCATCACAGATACCTTTATTTTAGTTATTTACAAATATTGCCAGAAAACACTTCTGCTATGAATTTGGTTTTGAAGTTTAAAATCCTTGATAATCAACATTTGTACTCCAGTTCAAAAAATCAGCAATAAGTAAACAGCAAGTCATTTTCATGTGAAATGAGAAAGAATTCGATGTCAGTCCTGTACTTCTCTAGAAACAGGAAGCTAAATCTCTCAGTACAATATTACCTTTTCTGGACACTTCAGCAGACCCTGAATCCTTGTTTAAAGGGGGCATAAATCCCCATTCTCTGTTTTATTAATATTGTTTAGGGATAATTTGGTAACAGGAAATTTAGCTTGACATGGCAACTTAGGTTTTCCAGGACACTTTCATCCCTATAGCTGCCTTTTCCCACCCACCCCAAACCGAATTGCCTGTGTGAAATATCAGGCTGTTTGCTAAGGGAGATGAATCTTTCTGTGTCTGAGAAGTACACATAGTTTTCTAACTCAGCATCTCTCTTTTTTCAGCACCTGTTTTTCTCTCTAGAGGAGCTTCATTTCTACTTCTGCACAGGGAGGATGAACAAACCTTTAATTAAATTACTTGAAATTTCAGTGATGATATTTTTAAAAATGATTATACATCTATTCTTTAAATATTTTCCCTTAACTGCTAGAATGAACTCTCTACATTTCAATGGTGGATAATATAATATAATAAAGCATTTATTAGAATATGTTTAATGAGGCTCTGATTTCTATGTTACGAAAGCACGCAAAGTGTCCAATGCTTATGAATAACACGAAGGAGACATTGTTAAGCTTTTAATAAGGACTTTTCTTTTTGTAAATCCACAGTGCCTACAACCTATAACATAGATTCATATTTTATGGCCAAAAAAGTAGCATGACATTGGAAATAATACAGAGACTGGGCATTTTTTCTCATTAAAAATCATAGGCTTAAATTTACACAATGGATATTCTCAACCAGTACCCTACACGGAAGAGAAAGCTGTTGCAGAAGTACAATATTCAGGTAGGGTAAGAGTGAAAAAGTCTCTTATGCATGTTCCTATATTGCGTGCTCTGTCCCCATTTAATATCTGCTAGACAAGTCACAAAGGCCTCCCAGGGGATAGCAACAGATGATCTCTTTGAAGGTTTTCCTCAGTTCTTGACTCCGGAGTGCATAAATCAGAGGATCGATGATTGAATTACACATGATCAGTATGAGATACAAGTTAAAGTGAGACATGAAGCACACACAATATGGATTCTGAGGACAAGAGATGTAGAATATTAAGTGGAGGAAGAATGGGGCCCAGCAGACAACAAAGACGCCAATCAGGATGGTCAAGGTAATCGCTCCCTTCATATTGGCACCTTGGCGGATGGCACCAGTGCCGGGGAGGACAGCAATCCTCTTAATGTGAAGCCTGGCCATCAGGAACATGTGGACATAGAGAGAAGCCATGAGAGCCAGCATGGTGAAGAACATGGTGATGAGGCAGATGATGACAGCACTACTATCTGAGTAAATGATGAACAAAATGCCTGAAACCGTGCAAGCTGCCCAGATACAACTTATGATGATCCCAACCCGCTTAACTGTCATAATGTTATGGTACTGGAGAGCATAGAAGATAGTAAAGTACCTGTCCACTGCAATTGAAAGCAGGCTGCAAATGGATGCAAGCAAGGAGCTACAGATCACCGAGTCAATGACATTATCAATATTCACTGTGAAACTCTGTGCATCCGTATCTGTACTGTTTAATAGGGTGATGACAATGGTTTCTGATCCATTTGAAACGCTCACCAGCATATCAGCCACAGCCAAGCTGCAGATGAAAAAGTACATGGGTGAATGCAGATTCTTGTTCTTGGCTATTGCCACAATCACTAAGATATTCTCCAACAAGCTGATGACACCCAGAGTCACAAACACCTCAGGAGAGACAAAAAGTTGCTCGTAGCACCCTCCATCAGAGTAGCCTTTTCCAAGGGACTCACTGGCATTGCTGTGCAGTCTGTAACTGCTGCGGTTCCAGAGGTGCAGAGAAGTGTGCATCCCACGGTGGGTGGAGTTCACCATGCTGGCAGGAGAATTCCAGTGTCCCCCTGAATTGATTTAACCTCCTGGGTCAGGGAGTCGTCTCAGTTATTTCCTCCAAGTCTTTATCTGTCTGAAAGTTGTGAGGCTAAAATTGCCATGCCTGCTGTGAGTAAATGTCACAAGTCCAGAGCTTGACATGGAGTTTTTAGTCTCTTTTAGGTACGACTCTAATCATCATCACTTTAAAATCTTGGGCTTCAAAATATTCATTCTCAGTTGAAAGAGTCTGCTCTTTGCTTTCTTGTTCTCACTTCTGCTTTAACTTTAATCTTATGCATTCAAGTCTGTTCAAAATAATTTTCCTTGAAGCTGCCATGCCATTGGGAGACGAATCTGTGCGCACATGCTCACATCGGCTGCCTCTCGGAAGCTTCTGTTTCCAGCCTGAGCGTTGCTTTGAGTGTTAGGGGCTGTAGGCGCCAGCTGCTGATTTTTATGATGTGTGGAGAGAAAAAAAACATGTTCACGGTGGCTCCTCCTCTGCTTCCTTCTGACCAATCCCAATGCAATGGGAGTCTGTGAGACAGGATTATGTTTCAGAGACACAAATTGCAGGGTGACACAGATTCAGATGCAGAAGCTCCTGAAGTCTGAAGTCGAGAAGCAAGCCGGATAAGAGACTGAATTTCCCTTTTTAAGTTTTCAAGGGAAACAACTTGATCCCTAGAGGCCATTCTGTGATATCAAAACAAGCTATCTTCAGGCAGCCAGGTTCATTCTTATGTAAAAGACATCATGTGTGTGTGTAAAATGAAATGGAAAGTATACTGTCTTATGTTCCTGAAACAGATACTCTGCTTTTTGGCTAGGATACTGAATTTATTTACCTTCTTAATTTTTTGTTTTTATTAAGAACCCAGCCAGTAGTGGTTCAGTTAAAATACCTGAAAAACAGAGAGGATATTTAATGATACAGATAGACATGGTATGGCTGGAAGAACTATGTAGGTAGCTATAAATTATGAATGGGTTCAAAAGGGGTTGATTTTAATGCACTAATATCCCATATTTCTCTATTGAGGAGTTTGTGTTATAGCTGAAAAAAGGTGCTTTTTATTTACAATATTTTAAACTCATACGGCATTAATGTAACTATGCTTACACTGAACTCAGGAAAATAATAAGCTGCATTCTGTTTTTTTTTTTTAAGCAACTTTTTTTTAAACCTCCAGAGTTTAACGTATCGTAAGTTGAACCGACAAATACCTAGTAACTTTACTTATCAAGCCAAGACTGGTGATACTAGTTAGTTATTGAAGTTTCTGAATATTTTGCTTAAGGTGGTTTGAAAGATGGCAGCAAAGTTACTTTCCAAATTAACTGAACAACAGATTATACAAAATTTTGTATATTCTTTTCTTCTATGATTATTTTTGGTTTTAGTGCTCTATAGTTTGTAGCTGCTTATTTCAGGGTTAATTCTGAATCTCAGTTACTTAGGTTGGGAATGTATCCTCTTTCCTTTTGTGACAGAGACAATACTAAGTATTGTTCCTGAGCATTGAGATAAATTAACGTCTTCCATCCACCTTTGGAATTGGGTAGGACCTTATGACTAAATTCTAGCTAATGGCATGTTGACAGTGGGGCTCATCGCATTAGCTCTTTCATAATTTTACACAAGTTTTCTCTCCTGTCTTTGAAATCTCATGTTACAGGTGGCAGGACCATATCATGAAAGGAGCCTGTCTCTTGAATGATTGCACAGAGCAGAACTCACACCTCCAACTCCCTTCCCCTGTATTTCTGAATGCCTAATCATCTGTATATTGTAAAATGCTGGAATGGGCTTTCCTGAACATCATGAGCTGGAAATAATCTTACCTTCCTCTTGCCTTATTTTTTCTCTTTTTAAAAATTGACATATAATTCACATACCAAAAAAAATCACCTCTTTAGTAATTAAATGGATTTTTGGGGGAATATATTCACAGAGTTGTGCCATAATCATCACTTTCTATTTCTAAAACATTTTCATTATCCCATTAGCAGTTGCTCCCCATTTTACCCTTTCCTTATCCTCTAGGAACTGCTAATCTACTTTCTGTCTCTATCAATGTGCCTATTTTAGACATTTTATATGATTGAAATAATGCAATATGTGGCCTTTTGTGGCTCACTGTTTTCATGTAGCATAATATTTTCAAGGTTTGCTTACACTATAATGTGAATCAGAATTTGATTTTTAAAAAATTAAAACAGGATCTTGCTCTGTCACCCAGGCTGGAGTGCAGTGGCATGATCATGGCTCACTAGGTTCAAGTGATCCTCCTACTTCAGCCTCCTGAGTAGCTGGAACTAAATGTACCTCCACACCCAGCTAGCTTTTAAAAAATAATTTTGTAGAGATTGAATCTCATTATGTTGTCCAGGCTGGTCTCAAACTCTTGGGCTCAAACGATATTCCCATCTCGGTTTCTCCAAGTGCTGAGATTACAGGCATGAGCCACTGTGCCCAGTTTTGATTTGTTTTTATGGCTGAGTAATATTCCATTGTATGTATACATTTATATATATATATATTTTTTTTTTTTTTTTTTTTGAGACGGAGTCTCGCTCTGTCACCCAGGCTGGAGTGCAGTGGTGCAATCTCAGCTCACTGCAAGCTCCGCCTCCTGGGTTCACGCCATTCTCCTGCCTCAGCCTCCCAAGTAGCTGGGACTACAGGTGCCCGCCACCGCACCTTGCTAATTTTTTGTATTTTTAGTAGAGACGGGGTTTCACCGTGGTCTCGATCTCCTGACCTCATGATCCGCCCGCCTCGGCCTCCCAAAGTGCTGGGATTACAGGCATGAACCACTGCACCTGGCTGTATACATTATATTTTTAAATGTATTCATCAGTTGAGGAACATTTGGGTTATTTCCAGTTTTGGCTATCACGAATTATGCTGCTAGGAATATTTATGGACAAATTCTTATGTGACAGATGATTTCAATTCTTTTGGATACACAACCAGGAATGGAATTGCTGAATCATATGATAACTCTGTTTCTTGTTTTGAGGAACTGCCAAACTGTTTTCTGAAGTGGCTGCACCATTTGACATTTCCAGTTAGCAATGTATGAGGGTTCAAATCTCTTCACATTCTTGCTAGCACTTGCTATTGTCCATCTTTTTTATTTTAGCCATCATAAGGATATGAAGTGAACTCTCATTATACTTTTGATTTTCATTTCCCTAATGCCTAATGATACTGAAGATGATTTTACATCCTTACCAGTTACTTGTGTAATAATCTTTGGAGAAATGCCTATTCAAATCCTTTGCTCATTTTTAATTGGATTTTTTTAAATTATTGAGTTGTAGTGGCTCTTTACATATTCTGGGTACTTTTGCCATTTCAATTATTGATAGTGTTCTTGAAACCACAAACCTTTTAATTACGATGATGTTAAATTTATCAAATTTTTTTGGTTGCCTGAGCTTTTGGGATCATATTTAAAAAAGGATTGCCTAACCCATGGTTATTAAAGTTTACACTTATATTTTGATATCTTCTGTTTGATGAGAAATTGTTCTCATAATTTCCTTTAATTTTTACGTATAGTTTTCGCTAATCCTTTGAACATGTTTGAACTGATTTAAAGGCTTTATATATTAAGTGCAACATCTAGACTTCCCCAGGAATAATTTCTGCTGACTTCCTTTTCCTAATGTGTATGGGCTATATTTTCTTATTTATTTGCCTGCATTTTATTTATTCATTTTTGTTAGAAACGGGGAATTTTGAATAACACAATCCAGCAACCCTGAAAATCAGATTTTCTCTCTTACCCAGGGTTTGTTGTTGTTGTTGTTTGTTATTGTTGTTGTTCAGTAATTTTTCTTAAATAATTCTAGAATGTCTGTATTCTTTGTCTTGTATGATCAATGAGGTCTCTGCTCTGATAGCTTATTGGTCAGCTGATAAGTGGACAGAGATTTCCTTAGATGTCAGGAACTAACATCTCCCCTAGTCATTGCTGAGAGACTCTGTGTCCATGATGGGCATGCCTTTGACACTTAGCCAGGCACTGGGCAACTCTGCCTTGGCCTTACCTTCTGCTTACACACAGCCACAAAGGTCAGCCAGAGGTGAGAAGTCAAGACCTTCTTAGTTTTTGTTGTTGTTGTTGTTGTTTCTGATCATAAGCACAGTCCTGCATGTTTGTACGGCTTTCTAGATTCTCAGGAATATATTAGAGTTTTAATAAATTCCTATGGACATCTCATTTTCTTGAGCTTTTTCTTTTAGGCTTTTTGAATAGCTGATTTTTTTTCGCCAACTTCTATCCATTGCCTTAGGCAGCCATGATGTTAAGCAGTTGTTCTGATTGTTTCCAACAAATGTCCCTGAGGAAAAGACTGTTCTCCGTGGGTGAGTTCTGAGTTAGGTCAAATAAGAAACCCCTGCAAGTAGAGTTTGTCAGGAAACCAACAGATAGGTCAAAATAATGATGGCATCTCTGGTAACGGGAATGGAGCTTTGAAGAAGATCCAACCCCATTTTGCACCCTCCATTTCCTGCTAGACTGATGCTTTTAAACATTTTTATAGGATGTTAGTTGTCAAAGCTACTGCAGAGCTGGTGAGTTTGGAATGGGAAAATATGTCTAGTTAAAATGCTGCAAGTTTCACTCTTCTTACTTCAATTTAGCCATTTTCCTGAATAAATTTACCTTGGGTTATTTGAAGTATTGGTCAATTTTCAGAGTTCTGAAAGTGTTAATCCTGACAAGCTTTGCAAGTGCTCTAGTTGTTTTAACCGATGAGAGAATTTTCAATCATCCTGATGCTCTCATTTCCACTCTCATCTTCCATCTATTGCCTTTTATCTGAAAAAAGATTAAATTATATTAGATTCATCTATGGCAATTTTCTTCCTTAACAGACTATCTAATAAATGATCAAATAGTTATTTCATACTTATTCTAAATCCTATATAAACATTGCATATAAAAACAGAATAAAAGAACTGGTTAAAA
Organism: Homo sapiens; assembly: GCF_000001405.40. Classification (NCBI taxonomy): domain Eukaryota; kingdom Metazoa; phylum Chordata; class Mammalia; order Primates; family Hominidae; genus Homo; species Homo sapiens. The sequence goes on from NC_000018.10 coordinate 60,377,338, forward strand.
ACTTGAATAAAATAAAAATGTTAATTTAGAAATAATAGGTGAAATTAGTAATAAAGAACAAAATTAATTACTCCCTTAAAATTTTTTTCCCATAAAAATGTTTTATTTATGAACAAAAGGATCACACTGAAGTCCCAGAAAATTACATACCCTCAACATCAAAAATTTAATCACTGGGTGTAGATTTATAAGATCTTTATTGTAAGGTTAATTGTGCTGAAAAGTTGATCTCGAATATGGTATTTTATTTGTCCGCCATGGTTCATATTTCTCTACGAGCCAGAAGAAATACAACCAGTAATATTAGACACATTGATAGTATTTTTGAAAATTTATTTCAGATTTCTTTTGTAATCCTCACAAAATTGAATTAGAGCATAATTTATTTCTGTTCTGAGAGAAAAATCTTGTTTTATATTTTATAACAATAAATGTGAAACATTAATATAGAAAAATGTTTACCAAACTATGATACATGGAACACTGTTTTTAGTTGTTAAGAGTTTTTCCACCACAAAATATTAATGAAAGGGAATGCTCTAATGTCAAATAATTTTTAAAATATTGCAAACTCATTGCCCTCTTGAAGTTTCAGAGTTTACATCAGCAAACAAAGTTTCAGAAATTGCCTAATACAAAAATAAACATTGCTTAACCCCCATATTTCTTGAACTTGTTGGAACATAGAACCCTCCTTCTTCCACTTTTATTTTCAAGTACCTATTACACTCATTTCTGTTATAATGCTTGTTTTGAAATGTAAATTTGTTCCAAACTTAATTCATATATCAGGGAACATTTTGAGCATAGGATAAATTGTGTATTTTTGCCCAGTTTTGTCTAAGAGAGACGGTAGTTGAATGGGGAAAAGTGCATCTGGTTGAACCAAGACACGGGAGCATGCAAAACACACACACCTCAAACAATACAGCTCACTGAGTGTCAGGAGGCACAGCCATCCACAAGTGGTGTTAGAATTTCTTGTGAGAATTTACATAATCATCCTTCTATCACTTTATAACTCATAAGCTACAACCCTTCTGAAACTGACTTCCACAAGCTAACTGCAGATTTTTTAAGTGCTGTATGTATTGCAGGTTTATGTATTTTTAACTATTAGGCATGCTCCTGTTTTAACTATAAGACAATGGGCCTGGTTTTATTGGGTTCTTTTTTTAAAATGTATCACTGATAAAGTTTTTGAGTTTTATGTGCCTAGTGCCATTTTTTCCGTAAGCTCTGTTGTTTTTATTTTTATTTTTTGCATGATTTTTCATAGCACACTGATTTTTAAGGAACATATATATTATGTTACAGCAGAACTAAATGTAACTATAATTTGGAATTTATATTCACTGAATCACAATTTGGGAAACATTGACCAAATTATTCTGACTATAAAAATTCTGCTCACTTAAAAATGGGTAATAATTACCTTATGAAATATAATCCTAATTTATTAAAATGTAGCTCCTATGTCTATAGGCTGATGCTTACATGTCTCCTAGTTTGCATAATTGCTGTCCGTATATAGAATGTCCCATTAAAATGTATATCATTAGGTACTGATACTTAACATATGAACATTTTATACCCCATTATAAGATAAACACAATTTTTCTCATTATGATGTTTAACATATATTTTAGAGAAAAATTATATAAAATATGATAAAATACTTTTGTTGAAGCCCATATTTATTATTTTTAATATAAAATAACTATGGTTCTCTAAGGAATTAATTATATAACTCCTTTGTTTCTAAATATTTTACATTAAACAACACTAAGATCACATAATTTTATTAAAATATCTTTAATCCTAATGAAATATTACTAATTTGTTTATAAACTTGACACTATGAAATATGATTTTATCTTAAAATTTTAGAAAATTTAGCATTTCAGCATTTCCTTCCTATTTAGCTTATAGCAAGATTCATTGTGCAGTTTTGCTATGGCTGTCTTAAACTCCTCTCTAGTCAGCTTAATTTTCCTTTTTTCTTTCACTCTTTCTATCAACCAGTATTTTACTGAGCACCTACTATGTTCCCAATATGGAGGCAAACAAGATATATGTGCTCTGTCATGGAGGAACTGCAGTGTAGATACCATCAAAATGCGGAGTCTTAATGCAGAACTCAGGCTGCAAGGGAGTCTAGGCCTAATTAGTTGTAAGCTAATAATTCCTACATTCGTGATCAGTGATATAACAGCCATCAGTTCAAGAAATCTCTGCTCAACTGAGTCTTAACTTATTACTGGGGGGGGGGGATTTTATTTAGATAAATATTGGAGAATTTAACTGTGTAAAAGAGGTAAAGAGGGCTAGAATTCAAGGCAGAGGGAATAATTTCCACAAATTCTGGTTGTATAATATGATATTTCAAATTTGGGGCATAGCAAATATTTTGGAATGGGTGGAGTACACAAAGAAGAGACATAGGAAATGAGTGGAGATGTCAGCAAGCAACAGGTTATCTAAGGCTTTGCACATCATGCCAGAGTGCCAGGGGCCCAGGACATTCCTTCCAAACCTTGAATGCGTCCTACATTGCCTTTCGGATAAACAGCCTTGAGACTGAAGGAGGAATATAACATTTACACTTTAGGAAAAGCACTGCATGGAATTATGAAGGGTAAAAGTGAAGAGTTAATATACTCTTTGACACTACCAAGATACCATTTCAGAAGCCCAAATAAGAGTTTGTGAAGGCTTGAGGTAAGCCAGTAACAGCTTAGGTAAGAACAAGACTATTTATCCATCAACTGAATGAGGAAGAGAAAGGACTCTTCAACGCCCTCTACTTTTTGGCTTGGGCGAATTGGTTATGTTGGTGCCATTAAGTTAGCAGGTACACAGGCTGGCTCTCTTAATCTCCATTTGGATCTGTTTCAGTTTGGAGTTTAGAAAGCTAAAATCTATATTGCCTAGGGTCCTTTGCAGCCTGAGTTTTGTAGGTGAATTAATTTTTCCCAGTTAGATACAGTCTTCATAGACTTGTTAATAAGTGAGGCAGAAGTCATCTTCTTGCAGCCATGGTAGCTGGCTAACAGGTTCTGGCAGACGTAGGCTTTGGCATTAGGCAACTCCACTTTTATGTATCTGGTTACCCTCTTTATGTATCAGGGATAGCAGTACCAATGGCAGCTTTCTGATCTGCAGATCACAGCCCAGGTGCTATAAAATTGGAATGAAATAAAATCGTTGAAGGTCTACAACCATCCCCAAATTTATAAGCACCTTTATTTCCTGTATAAAGTCCCCTTCTACTTGATATGCTGAGAACATATCTGTTTTCTGTATTGAATCCTGATTGTTATATGCAGTCAAAGAATATTGAAAGAGAAATTTATTAAGAGATAAAGCACATTTAGTTTTTGAAATTTTGAATTTGCAGTGTTTTTGCCATCTCTAAATGAACATATCTATTTAGCAAAACTAGATGTAGAGGTCAAAAGAATGATCTAGTATGGGGCTGAACATGGTATCTCACCCTCATAATTCCACCACTTTGGGAGGGTGAGGTTGGAGGATCACTTGATGCCAGGAGTTTGAGACCAGCCTGAGCAACATAGTGAGACCCCATGTCTGAAAAAAAAAAAAAATTAAAACCAGCTGAGCATGGTGGCATGTGCCTGTAGTCCCAGCTACTCAGGAGACTGGAGTGGGAGGATTGCTTGAGCACAGGGGTTCGAGGCTGCAGTGAGCTATGATCACACCATTGCGCTCCAGCCCAGGTAACGGAGACAGACCTCATCTCTAAAGAAAAGAAAAGGAATGATCTAGTAGGAAGACATATTTTCGTTGCAGTAGATACATGCTGTAGGGGAAACGGTCGGCTTCTACTAGGATGGGAGGAAACGGCACTATAAACAGAATAATGAGGAACACATGTATTTTTGAGGCAAATGTGAGAAACAAAATAGGCAAAGGAGTGTATATCTTTTCAGTTTGTGGTTGTATAATATGGAGTTGTATAATAAGGTTCAGTTTGTTGTTGTAATTTCATGCATCTTTCACTAGTCTTTTATAGTTTACTTCATACAGATTCTACCCACATTCTGTTAGACTTGTACTTATATATTACTCTTTTGGTGTTATTGCATTTAGAACTGGTCCTTGGGCAGGGCGTAGTGGCTCACTGTGTTAGTGCGTGTCTTTTCAGAAGAGGATACCAAAATGGGATTAAGCATGTAAGATTTAACTAATAAAATAACGGTGAAGAAGAAAATGAGGAGCCAGGACAAGCTAAAAGAAAAAAAAAACTTGTCAAATCATGAAATGAACTTGCCCCTGAGTGGAGAGAGGGAAGAAAGGGTGGAGGGAAGCGTCCTAGACCTCCTATAAAGTCTAAGGAAGGTTGGCATGACTGCTGGGGAGCACTCAAACTAAAGCTGGCTTTCAGATGGGTCCCGCGTCTCCCTGTAATAGACCTGATTTGGTATCCCTGCTGCACAGTTATTGTCTGGAAGCAGCCTGGGGGAAGAATAAGTATGCTACTGTTGAACATTTCTCCCAGGATCTTGAGTACAAGAATAGTGGAAATAAGGAACGAAGAGTGTTTATGTAATTCCCTCCTGCCTCCCTTACCCTGGAATAATGTCATCTCAAATGACAAATCCTTTCTTGCCTTTAGCATTTAGTGTTCTCTCACACAACTACCCTACCCCAGCAGAGTACAATAAATGTTGCCTGAACTCTTCTCCTCAGCACTTTATTGCATGACTGTGCCATAATGATTACTCTTTTGTCATTTGTTGCTTGTATATCTGTCCTCCTGAAAGGCGTATGACTTTTTCCAAGTCAAGGACCAGTTACTATTCTTAGGATGTTTTCAGTAATCCACAGTGTTTTACAAAATTAAGAAAAGACAGGAGAAAAATAGAGTTTTCCAACCTTGATTGATTGTTGGATGGATGAATTATAATTTCTAATTTCTATATTTCTTTATCATATTTTAAAAATTTATTTTGAAGTTTACCTACAGTAAGATTCAGTTTTTGGTTGTAATTTCATGCATCTTTCATCAGTCTTTTATAGTTTACATCATAGAGATTCTACCCACATTCTGTTAGACTTGCATTTATATATTTACTTTTTTGGTGTTAACTGCATTTAGAATTGGTCCTTGGGCAGGGTGCAGTGGCTCACACCTGTAATCCCAGCACTTTGAGAGGCCAAGGCAGGTGGATCACTTGAGGTCAGGAGTTCAATACCAGCCTGAGCAACAGGGGGAAACCTCATCTCTACTGAAAAAAAAAAAAAATTAGCTAGGCGTGGTGGTGCATGCCTGTAATTCCAGCTACTTGGGAGGATGAGGCAGGAGAATCGCTTGAACCTGGGAGCCAGATGTTGCAGTGAGCTAAGATCGCACCATTGCAGTCCAGCTGGGCAACAAGAGTAAAACTCTGTCTCAATAATAATAATAATAATAAATAAAAACTGGTCCTTGCATTGTAGGTTTGACATTATTTCTTCATAAATGTTGGCAGAATTCACCAGCAAAAACTTCTGGGTCTGGAGTTTTTGTTGTTGTTGGAAAGCAGTTAAATATAAATTTAATGTATTTAATATGTATGCATCATACGATTCAGTTTATTTTTTTCTTGAGTGAGTTTTGGTAGTTTCTGTCTTTAGATAATTGATCTATATTATCTAAGATTTTGCTAAGATCATTCTTATTTTGTTAAATGAAAACTATGTTATTGATGTCCACTTATTTATACTCACACAATTTTAATTTAGATAGGAGTTTAAAGATTTTCTAGACTAATTTTATTATTTTAAAAATAAATTTTTAAGTAACAAAGAAATTATGTTAGTTGTCCCAGTTCATACTCCAAATGAATGTGATAGTTAGAATTACAGTACTGTTTCTGTGATTCCAGCTATATTTCACTCCCTTTAATTATATTGCACTCATATTAGTTCAGAGATCTGTCTTACTCGTATATGAAATCAATCTGCAACAGTAATCTAATCCTCCAAATTCTCAAGCAAGGTCCAACTATCTCTGAATATCACAAATGAAAACCTCTTAAATAAAGGAGCAAGGTGGAAAAACTTTGAGGAAAATAAACTTTCAATCAGCAGTACCTTGGAGAGATCAGCCTTTCTGTATAAACTCTTGGTTCTTGTTTTCTGAAATCAGTGTGGTCACTGATTTTTGTGTGTGTCTGTTTTGTTCACAGTACCATTACTGATCAAAATCGGACATACAAATATAGACATATAATTTCCACTAGATTAGCACATTCTCAGTAATCCTGATCACACTTAAAAATAAAATAACATACTGCTAGTTAGGTCTGTCAAAATAACTGTGTGTATGTATAAAAAAATGTAACTGATTGTCTCAATTTCATCTCCACAACGTTAGGATAATCATCATCATCGCATCAAAGGGTTACTGTAAGAATTAAATGAGCTAATATGTATGAAGCACTTTGACTTGTGCCTTGCACAGAGTAAATATTATACAAGAAGTAGCTATATTTATTTATATTTTTCTAAAACTATGTTTATGCTACTAAATAGTTATCTGGAGTTTACCTGGGAATTGCATATTCTTTTCAGGATTCACGTTTTTTGGCACACTTAGATTATGGGAGCAGTTTTAAAAAATATTTTTGGTTATGAAATCCAATTTCTTATCCATGTAAGCACTGAAACAATTCCTCTTTATGTGCGAACACTCAGTGATACTTCACATACCATTAAGCTTCTATTCTCAGCACAGCTAGCTCAGAGTGGCACTGTTTAATCACTTTATACTAAATAACATGTAGGTTACAATTAGCCACCCAGTGGGCTCATTTGCTTATATATAAATGGAGTCTTGTAATCAAAATCTGGAGATGAGTCCTCCTTTGTAAGGAACCTGATGTGGTCTTTGTACCAATTAGTCACTTTTGAGAAAACCTAGTTCTTGCTCTTTGATGAATTTTCCTTAAATATGGGGTGTGGGAAAAGAAGAGTAGGATATTTAAAATCTTGTCTTGCCTTGGTAGGGAAAGACATTATGGTAGGGTGCCTTGTTTTATTAAGTTTCCTCCAGTAAATATTCAAAAAAACTAATATATACTTAAAGTCATAAGTTTCTATGTGCAGTGAATACATTCTCAAAGCTTTCTCATAAATCTAAACTTCAAAATTTTCATTTGTTTTTAATTGAGTCTTCTGCCATTATCTACTACAACATTTATGTTAATAATCTGTGCTTAGACATTATAGGTAAATCTCTACATAGATAAAACTATAACAAATTTATAATAAAACCTAGTATTTCTCCATTCCTGATTTTATAAATTTGGATTTTCTTGTATAGCCTGCCTCTGACCATGCCTGTGCTGTTTCAACTGTTTTTGAGTACATCTGGTGAAATATAGTTGATGGTTTTGTACAATAGCACACACAAGGCTCTTGGATTTTCCTATGACTTGAAAAATGAGAGATTATGCACATTTTTTGCACTTTAATTGATCTTTTATAATAGGAAAGAGAAGCGTGAAGTCATATCCTGTAAATAGTGAGTTTTGCCATTTCATGGATTTGAGACTCCATCAGATGTCCTGCAACATCTAACAAACACATCTTGCACTTTCTTTTATAAATTATTTGTATTCAAGTTGCATTTGTGTTTGGCAAGAACCTGTTCAATTTGTTTTTTAAAATATCAAAAGGGAAGTTAAGGATGTGTGATGTTTCTTCTCTTGCTTGAGCTCGGTATGTGTCTGACTGTGTATCCTTCACTGGAGAGAGAAGGTGGTATTGCCCATAATCCCTTAAGCCAGGTGTCTGCCTGGATGAAGAAAAAATGGTGATAGCATTTTGGTTTGTCGCAAGGTATGAGATGTCAGAGATGACCACATCTGAGTTCGTGTGTGTGAGGCACCTGGAGACTGCAGAACATTGGGTCCTTACTGCCTCCCATATATTTTTTTCAAGCAAGCTATTTAGTAGCAAGGAAGAATGAAGTCTACTCAAATTACTTCAAGTGCAAGGGTTTAATTGTGAGGCTCTATTAAGGGTTGAACTTCTGTTCTAGGGACCAAGCACAGCCTCTTCAATCTGTTCCATGTGATGCCATGGCTTTTTTTTCTCTCTATTCTCCATTTTCATCTTTGTTTTTTTCTGTCTAGGCTCCTCATCCTGCACCTCTACCTTCCGTAGAAACTAACTTCAGCCTTCCCTGGATTCCTCATGACCTCAACACTACCTTACAGAAACTGCATGTTCAGCACCCACTGCTAACCTTTAGGTTTATTCTGTGTTTCAGTTCAAATATCTGAGAGAGTATTGAATGCCACAGCACATCACAGGCCACAAGCCAGCACATGGAGTAGCCCTTCTCATGTTAGGTATCATCTCCACATCCTGTCAGCTGTGATGGCCACAAGGGCAAAGTGATTCAACATAGGTTTCCATGAGCAGGAATGGTGGTGGCCTGGATAGCCTCACCTAAAGGGGATGGTTGTTGGGGGCAGGTTCCATGATTGGAGCTTAGTACACAGTCTCTGCTGGGCCCTCTTTTGGTCATTACGCAACTTGTTCAAAAGGCAAGAAAGGGAGTTTTGTCTCGTTTTGGGCTATGATTTTAAATAAGAAATGGCTTCACCGTGGAAGTCTACTTAGCTGTCAAAATGATAACCTGAGACAAGAACCGCAGGGAAAGTTAATCTCAGCATGTTACAGTGCAGGTGGCTAGGTCACACCCGTGTTCCTACCTGCAGTTTCTTTTTCTTAGGGACCTTGGTTCCGTATTATTTTTAAAAAACGTCTGTATACCTTCAAAGTGGATTACTACTACAATTCCTTTTGACCTTTTGCACTCTTGGATTCTGTTCGTAAGAGCGAGCCAAAGTGTGGCCACAGATAATGTGAATGTTTTAATTGCCAACTCAGAGATGAAATAAGGCCTAAAATAGCAGTCTATTCCAGAATAGTTGTTAAATCATGTACTAATCCTAATCAAAATGGGGATCTTTAAAAATCAAAAATTTGATAATGAAATGTTCTATGTCTTCTTTCACCCCAAGAAGCAATATAGTTTTGTGACAATTTTAGATTAGTACATTTTATAACTCCTTCCAAATATCTGTTAAAGTGTTAGGACAATATGTCCTTTCGCTTAAAATGTACATTGCAAAAATTTATCATAGATACAATGTTTTCCATGCAGACTCAATTAAAGTGTCTTCTATTGGTATATCATTTGTTTGCAAAGATGGAAAATGTGGCCAATAATGATTTGGAAATGTAAACTAAGGCCTAAGATGTGGGCAGATTGGATTCTGAGAAAATATGCCGCAAACCTGCTTGAAATCTTTTAGATGCAGAGTAGATTTTCCCTCTACCCACACTTAGGATAGTCATCTTACAAGCATTTTTAACAGCTTCTTCTCTCCATCTGCAGGAGTCTTTCTACTTAGTGCATGTATGTCTTTGAAACAGATCTGACTGGAAAAGTAATAATGATTGCACTTCTGAGGAGAATTTCCAGGTACACAGTGTCTCAACATTTTAGCAGAGTTTCAAACTATAGCATCAGAAGTACAAAGCTACAAACATACAAAAAATCATTTGAGAGGTTTAGATTTCTTTTATACATATTTCTTTAGTGAATTTTTAATAATTTTTTTTCATTGTTTACCATCTTCAAAAAGGACTAACACAGAAATTAAAATTAAAAATCAAATATAGTTAAGTATTTTCCTCCTTTGAAAATAGGTAAATAGTTCCTTAATAGTATCTTCATTTATTAAATTAAGAGATTGTATATGTTTAGAGAACATGAGACTCTGAAATTAATTAGAATGATTATTTTGTCCTGTTTACTAGAACATATTTGGGTTATTATTTATCCTAATAATTTTCATCTGTTTTAAATTTAAAACATAACACACTATTTTCAGATAATTTTACTTAGGTATAGGAAAGCCCAAATGATCTTTGGCAAAGATCTTTAAAATTTAGAGAAAAAAATTACATCTTTTATAGGGAATCAAAGGGAGAAAATAATAGCGTATCTATTGCAATTATCTGTCTCTCCGTAAGCCATCTACCCACTCATTCATTTATTCATTTACTCACTATTTACTAAGTGTCTATGCTATACTAGGCATCATGCTAGTACCCTTAAGAGAAACAAGTAAATAAGTTAACAGTTTTTCTTTCAAGCTGTTTGTATACTAGTATAAACAAGTAGGCCCCAATAAAGTAATGTGGAAATTCAGAGAAAGATACTTAACAGAGATATTAAGAGAGTACCATGTGTGAATATGTAACCCAGCTCAGGAGGGATCACAGAGGGCTTCCCTAGGAGATAATACCTGCACCAAATCTTAAACCTTAAGTAAGAATAAGTAATATGGAAGAAAAGAAAGATGGGGATTTCAGACCCAGGGAAAAACTTTAGCAATGGTCAGTGGTATGGAAGTAAGAAACAGCATGGGATGTAGTGGATATGAGTCACATAAGGATTATTAGAATATAAAGTAAGAGTCAGAAAGTGGGAGGAGAGGGGAATTAGTTTGGCATAAATCTTATAGAAGACTTTTCTGAAGATGTTTGACTTTATTCTAAAAGGATAGATAAAATTTAAAATAATGTTAGATGCTAGATAAGCAACAAGAACTTGATATTGAACATTGGTAATAGGACTGTAGATGAAAAGATATTTTTTCATGTAAGTAGTAATAAAATGAAATTTGCAACATGGTGATTTATTGGATTTTAAGAGTAAATAGAGGAAGGAGTCAGGAATAAGTTCATTTTCTATCTTGGCCTGCTATATGATTAGATGTGCCATCACTCTACAGTGCTAACAATGTAAGAAAAGATTACTGATTCAGTTCTGGACATTATAAGTTTTTTGCAGAGACAGAGAAGGCTAAAAGCCAGTTAATTATATGTCTATCAAGAGGTGAAGTCTGACCTATAGACTTGAGAGCCAATAGATTGGTGATTTTGCCTATAGATTGCATAAATTGAGGGAGCGAGCACGCAGGTAATGGAAGCAGACGATGACATATTCATTTGCCATAATGTCTGCATCAAGGATATCCTGATACATGAACACATAGTTGCAGCTTATTTTGGAGACTTTAATTAGGCATCCAAGAAGTTTCCCAGGTTAGCATACAGAAGGCCAATATCGTGGTGATCTATGCTCCAAAGTTCCTGAGATTCAAAACACAATATTGCTAGAGTATGCGGCATCATATATGCTTTGATTTAAAAAACACTTCAAAGTTGCATCCCAGCTTGAAAACTCAAAGGCGATCTCAAATAACCAAAGTTTTCTACCAGATTTTCATTTTCCCTTCCTCCCCTCCCCTCCCCTCCTCTTTCTTCCCTTCTTTGTCTCTGTTGCTCATGCTGTACTATAGTGGTGTAATCAGGACTCATTGCAACCTCCAACTCCTGCGTTCAGGTGATCCTCTCTCCTCAGCCTCCTCAGTAGGTAGGCTTACAGGCACATGTCACCATTCCCAGATAATTAATTTTTTTTTTGTAGTAATCAGATCTCATTCTGTTGCTCCGGCTGGTCTTGAACTCTGGGTCTCAAGTGGTCCTCCCAAAGTGCTGGGATTACAGGCATGAGCCACTGAGCCTGGCCCCATTCTTATATATTGACTAGCATAGCATGTCCATTTCATATTGTACACATATTGCATCCACTGCCTTGATGCGTTGACATTTCATAATTATATGCACCATCATTTTGCCTGTTGATGTGATAATTAACTAATGAACTGAGAATAAACTAAGTATTTTTGAAAAGTTAATGACAGTCAACTGTGTGGAATTATGGATGCAAAAATTTATTGCATTGTTTTAGCTTTCAACATCATATACAATTATATTTAATAGGTGTAGGGCATTTGGATTCTTTAGTTAATAGAGAGACTGTTCTTTTCTTAAAAATTATGTGAGAGAAAAAGAGCCTGTTTTTATTATTTAACTTTCTTTCCTTTGGCTTACTAACAGCCCCTTTTGGTATTAAACAAAAGGCATACGAACTTTTAGATTAGTGCCTCAATTTAATTGTTGTTTGCAAATGTGACAAGCCACAATCTTCCAAAGCAAGTACATAGTTCTATTTATGGATTTTCTGTCTAGTGCAATTAGTGGGATATAGTTTTACCAAGATGACTCTAACACTAGACATAAGTCTCTTTAACAAGATTAATAACAGATGTTAGTTCTCTGGCAATTAAATAATATCCTTTGGCTTCAGTTGCTCCTCACACTTCCCCAGTCAACAATGTCATTCAATGTGAATTCTGTTACTCTAGGACATGACTCTCATTTGGCTTTAAAGTTTTAGAACTTTGAAAACATATTACTCTGTAGCTGGTTTTGCAGCTAGCCATAGCTTTTGTCTTGGGGAAATTTCCTTACACAAGATTTATTAACATTAAACGAGTTTTGTTGCCTCTTTAAATGAACAGTATATTGAGTGATTATGTAAACATTATTATTTAACCTCTGCACACTCATTGGATATAAAATCACCCAAAGATTTTTTTAATCCAAAAAGCATAAATATTCCCAAGTCACATTTTTATTGTAGCTCAATTGTCTTAGCCTTCCATTCCTCCAAAATTCCATAAAATTATTTATTTATGCATAATAGGGGAGACCAAATTTTCTATAAAAATTAAATTTAGTCACAGTACATTCGACTGCTGCTTAAAAGTCCAACTAGTCAAGTATGCTTACAATTCTGATCTGATATTTTCCATATCATAGCCTTTGCTTCTGTTTGGCTTCTAGTAATTTTAAATATAATGCCTGCTCCTGGATTAGGCAGTAACATTTAATATAGGTAATATTCTGCTTTTATGATCATTGATGATGGATTATATCAGGATTACAATGTTTGGCATAGTTTCACAAACCTCATTTTAATACAGTAAGAGGGGTAAAACCTTTTAATTCAACGTTAGAGGGACTACATAATATTTCATAATCATAGCTTGATTATTGCTCCATGATGAAATCTAACATTTGTAAAAAAAATTTACGATTTTTCCTGAAATTCTTTGCGTGTTTTTTTTTAAATTCTATCAACCAGAAAATTCATTAAGTTTGTATATTAGTTCTCTAGGGCTATCATAACAAAGTATTGCAGACTGGGTCACTTAAACAATAGAAATTTTTTTTCTCTCAGTTCTAGAAGTCCAAGATCGAGGTGTCAGCAGGGTTAGTTTCTTGTGAGGATGCCCTCCTGGACTTGTGGATGGCTTGTCTTCTCCCTTTATCTTCACATGGTCCTCCCTGTATGTCTGTCTGTGTCCTTATTTTCTTTTCTTGTAAGGACACCAGTCATATTGCATTAGGGGTCACTCTGATAATATCATTTTGACTTACTTACCTATTTAACAGCTCCGTCTTCAAATGCAATCACATTTTTTAGGACTTCAACATATGAATTCTGGGGGTTTACAATTGAGCCCATAACAGTATCTCTTCTGCCTTTGTCACTGGACTATAGGTTAATAGTCAAATAGTCACTCTTTCATTCAACATATGTTTAGTAAGCCCAGGAATATTTTAGGTGCTGGGAATGTAATAGAGACCAAAACAGACAAGTAATATTCTAATGGAGAATGTAGAGAGGCTAAATGAGTCAGTGATGCTGATAAGTTGCTGTTGCATTTTATATTAAACTTCAAAGGTGTGGAAGTCAATATGAAAAGATTATGTCAGGACTTATAAGCAAATCAATATTTAATCCCAATAAGGCATGGCCATTGCTAGCTCTCTAGAAACTTCTAAATTTATTACTGTTTACTGGCAGTATAAACTATAGTAAAATAAGTTTGGAGTCAATGTAAAATAGTTTATTAGGGTACCTTGATTTTTATTTGCACATTTGTAAGGTGTCAGGTATTTGACAGAACTTGAAAATGTAAACTGCAGCTTTATTAATGTGATATTTCATTTAAATGTGTTTCATTACTAATGACAGGTTTACAGTATCTACTGCAAATCTGCTATAGTCACAGAGCCAACATTTCTAGTTTTGGATTTTTTGTTGTTGTTGTTCAATGAATAAGCATTTACATATTCAATATAAAAGTGCTAATGAAATGTGAATTTTAAGCTAAAGTTCAGATCTTCATATTTTATCTATATTTCTATAACCCAATTATAGTTTTCTATCATAAACTCACATATCTATTTATCATTCATAACATTGATAAGTTTTGCATAAGTGAAAACAACATTTAAACATTCAGCCCTACTCAAGGGTTTCCTTTATTTCTCAGGGTTATACCTACTCATCTGTCTAGTCCTGACTCTACATCCTCTGCACTTATTCAGTTGTCATGCTGTATTACTGCGGCACAAATAGCCCTCTTTGGACCCTCATCTGGCCTGAGGCCTATGTTGACACCTGCTGCTGGTATCATGGTCCCATCAATTTCTCATCAGGAATGATGCTGGGTGCTCAGGCCTGCAGTTGACTGGGTAGCCTGTGGGCATTCAATATACTCCGAAGCAGCCCTCTTACATTGCATTGCTTGGTTGGCAGATCAAGTCATCTTTTGATGTTGCCCCATCTCCCTATTTTTGGACAACCTTCTGATAAACAAGTCTGTTCTCATTTACAGCTAACTTCTTTGCCTAACTGAAGACAGCTCAAATAATTCTCATTCCATTGATTCAATTTCTCTTCCTCTCTTGTGGTCTGATTTGCACATAGCTTGGCGATGGCAAATGATAGCCAGATGGAGGGAAATAAGTGGCCTATTAGTAAGCTCTGGAAGGGTTGTGTGGCTCCCAGTGTTTGAAGCTTCCTGTAGAAAGTGCAATAATTGACCATTGCTTTTCTCACCAGCATTTGGTCGAAGTTCTAGAGAAACAAGAAACATTCAACCTAGTTTGGGTTACTTGGATATATTTCTATGCTATTGGATTTTCTTTAAGATGTATAATTTGATGCATTAAAAATGTGTCAGAATTTGTGAATTTGTATCAACTCTGGAATAATTGTCTGTCACCAGAAGAATAATGTTCCCTTGATCAAAGTGAGAGGCTTAAGTCTTTTGATCAGTGGTTTGAGGTAAAAATCCTTGATTATGTCTCAATATGCAATATGACTTTAGTGAATAACTCGGTGACCTGATCCATGATTTTATAATTCTTCAGTTATTTGTTGACAGAGGATAAATTGGGATGGAAATCGGAAATGACTAGCTGTGAAAGCACTGAAAAAGGAGTATCTCTGTTAAAATTAAAAGACATATTTTTCTGTTACCAAGTAAGTTTTAAAGAACAGTTTCAGTTACTGATGAGTATGCACTTATCTTATTTTGGTCAGTGTACTGGGCTGCCCTTTGGTCAGAAAAAATGAAATAAAGGAAGTTCTCCAGGGCTTATTTTTCAGATATTGGTTTTAAGTAAGCAAACTTATAGCCTAATAATATTTGTCTTAAGAGTCTCATAGATATTTATTTCTCAAAGGAATTCGTATGCTCAATGTGCTATGAGGATGGCAAAAATGAATTAGCTGCAAAAGCAGAGTCTAAGAATTTACTGCAAATTGAAAATAAATCTACTTTTAAACCACCACAGCGATAGCTAGAAAAGTTACTTGCTTAACTGTCTGATATAAACACTGCTCCACAAGAGAAATGAAAATATATAGCTGGAAAAAAAAAAACCTCAACTATTCATTTTCTGCTCTTTGATCTTATTTTTTGGAGAGGGACTAAGATTAAAGTTTATCCTATCCCCCATATACACTATAAATATGAATAAATAAGCCAATTAAAATGTTTCCTCATAAGATACACTTGAATTATTAACCACTTAATAGAATGACATACTTAAACACATATAACCTAGCTTTTTATCTTTTTTTTGGGGGGGGGAAAACATCTAGTTATAGTAATAGGACTTGATATCAGTATTATCTGTTATCTTAGATTTCCTCACCAATTCATATATCTGTGTAGATATAATTAGTTAAGATCATTTTAAGGGCATCCTCTAATGATTCTCTTTCTGTTGTTTTCAATAAACTTGTTTTGACTATGACAAAAATGGCTTCAGAAATTATGCTATTCATGGTTCCATCATTAAAAATTCAATGACATTGGACAAGACAGCATTTATCTGATCCTTAGTTTCCCCATCAGTCAATTGAGAAGATGAATAATACCTAACTTAGTCATTGTGAGGCTCAAAAATAGTGTATGTGACAATCTATTTTCAGCTGCAAAGCACTCAACAAGTGATTACTTTTCCTAAGGTAAGTACAGTATCTTGAAGAAGCAAGCAGTGTGTTGTCACCTGTCTTCATCAGGTCTGCCTTAAATCCATAACAAACCAGAGGCATTTCCAAACCAGAACTTGCAATTGATGTGACGTTTTTTGTGGTATTTCGTCTCTAGACTTTTTTTCCATGGTTAAGCCAATGTACTTTTACATCTGTCTACAACTGGAGCGCAAGTGGATAGTTTCTCAATTATGTACTGAACTGCATCAATGTAGGTAGTCAACCTGAATGCTTAGGCCTCAAAGTCTTAGGTTTCATATATTTTTAACATTTTTATCTCAGTAATTGTTTCATCTTACTAGACCTATCACTCTGCTTATGACCTGATGAATTAATGAAAGAAGAACTACATTTTAACACTATGAAAGCAGTCTTTTTATTTAGAAAATTTTACCTGTTTAATGATTCAAGTTTGTTGTTTTCTCTTTAGTTGTTGAAATGGTTTTTTTAAAAAATAATGAATTATTATAATTAGGGCTACCCAATGAAATATTTATTATGGGAGAAAATAAAAATAGTAAGAGAAGAATCTTTTAGACAAAAAGACCCAGGAAAGAAATAAAGATTTGCAATACACATCAAACTTTTTAGAATTAGCTCTATGGAAATATTTGAAATTATAAGGAAATCAAATCCAAATATGACCATTTCAATTTCATGAATTTTTAAAAATGAAAAGGCCATAGTCTTAAGAGGTTGTCATCTTCAAGTACCAATACAGGGTATTAATTAGAATTTTATTTCATGGATCAGTGCAATAGGTAAATAAAAAAAGTCAATGTTTCCTCACTTTTGACCATATACCATAAATTTTAGGACTTACAAGTGCAAGGACATTTAAAATAAGAAAAAAGATTACTGTGTGTCTTCAACAGAAAACTGCACTATTTAGAGCATAACTTTCTGTGCTGTCAGATTCTAGTTCTATGGAGGATATGAACTTTCATTGCCTTTTACAATTTTATCACTCTGTAAGTAGTTGATAAATAATAATAATGCAAATAATTCTCAACTATAAACTGACAAATAGATTCTGTCAGAGGCTCAATTTAATTTTCTTCCTTTCATGGAAGAACAGTTTTGAGTCAATTTACAAATTCACTTCAGTGTTCCTAATCTATACATTTATCTGTTCTTTGGATTCCCCTTTGTATTTGTTATTAACATATGCTTGGCTTCTTCATAATAATGAATTAATAAAATCTTTAAAATGTGTTCATTTTATATTTGCATGAAAATCATAATTTTATTTTTATTTGAAAATTTCCCGTTGAACATTTTGTATGTATCCAATACATACAAAAGCACTTAGTGATTCCGCATCTCATACCATTCTTTGGAATTTGTTTTCTAGAAAATTTTAAAAATTGAATTTAAAAATTGAATTAATTAATTTAAAAATTGAATTCAGGTTTTATTTAGTTTCATTGGTAATTGCATGGTTAACCAATAAACAGTGAGCTTTCAGTTACAGGACGTTTTCAAGACAACTTTGGCTATTAGAAAGTACTTTTCTTTATCAAGCCAAAATCTTGATGCAATTTTTAACTGTTGGTTCTAGTTCTATTTCTTATGGCTTCACAGACCAAATATCCCCATTGCCACATCATGGTACTTCAAAATAGTTACATTTACTATTAGCTTTTTTCCTCCTTCCAGGATAAATCTCCTGTATTCTTTACCCATTCCTCATTTGAGATGGATTAAAATTCCACAATTATCTTAAACACTCTAATTTGGCCCTACTTCATGCGTACACCCCATCCTAATTCTATAAATATTCACTGAATATTGCTTTAGCAAATCTGGCAAGAACATCACTATGGTTATTCATGTAGACAGAAAACCATAGGATGCACTGCTGCTCATCCATGTCTTCTGCACACTGCACTTCAACACATTTTTGCAGGTTTACATTATTACTCAAGTTCACCCTATTAAATTTAGCCCATTATTTTAATCTCTTAACAACATTTTAAGTCATTAGTCTTGTTTTGTTTTTTCATTTTCCAATATTTGTACGCCTATTTTGTGTCTGACACTGCCTTAACCCATGGGAATAACAAAGATAAGAATGTAAGAGTTCTCTTTTTTTTTTTTTTTTAAGTCTAGTGAGGGAGGGAGACTGATTGATTAGAACCCAGACTCTTGAATGCTAAACAGATAAATGCTGCCATGAGAAAATAGAAATGATCTTATTCTTCTCTTTGGGAGACAAAGATGGCCATTTGATTTTCCGCCCAGCTTTGTGAAGATTAGCATATTTTATGTACAAGTTTAAGTGTAAATATATTTTTTTGTGGTACCAACTGTGGTATGTTTAGAGATCCTAAAGTATGGGCATGAATAAAGCCAAGATAAATTAATTGCTGCTTTCTCCATTAAATTTCCTGATAGTAGTGACATTTTAAGAACTACTGAAGTAAAACAAGGGAGAAAACTAGTTCAATAAGATACAGCTTAATTAGGTCTTTTTATCAATTTATTTGAACAAATGAGCTCAGAGTATGCTCATATGACTTCGCATTTAAATACTGGAATTCTTCTAGTTCCATTTACAGTTGACCTTGAACAACATGGGTTTGAACTGTGTGGATCCACTTACAAGCAAATTTTTGTCAATACATATATTGGAGGGTTTTTTTTTTTTTTTTTGGAGATTTGGGATCATTTGAAAAAACTCACAAACCACATAACCTGGAAATATTTAAAAAATTAAGAAAAAGTTAGCTATAAATGCATATAATATGTGTAGATACTAGTTTATTTTTATCATTCCCTACCATAAAATATACAGTTATTATAAAAAGTTAAAATTTATCAAATTATACACACACTTACAGATTGTACATGGCACCATTTGCAGTTGAGAGAAGTGTAAACAAATGTGAAGATGCAGCAATAAGTCATAACTGCATAAAATTAACTGTAGTATATAGTGCACTTCTGCAAAATTTTGCTGGAGTCATCTCCTGTTGCTATTATGTATGTGAGCTCAAGCGTTGGGAGTATTCACTTAAAATGCCCTGTGAGGCCAATCATCTCTGGTGAGCAGTTCATCTTTCCAATAAATTGCATATCACAGTAAAAAGTGATCTCTTGAGGTTCTTTATATTTTTCTCTGTGTTTTGTGCAATACTACAAACCTTGAATTACACCATGTACCTCTGTGAAGTGCCACTAGTGATGCAGAAGTATTCCCAAGAAGCAGAGAAAAGTCATGACATTACAAGAAAAAGGTGAACTGCTTCATATCTACCATAGATTGAAACCCACAGCTGCAGCTGCCCACTATTTCAGAAAATCCATCTTATAGACAAATGACATGAACTATATCAAAAACTATATCAATAAATACAGTACAGTACTGCAAATGTATTTTTCTTCCTTTTTTCATAATACCATTTTCTTTTTACTTTATTGTAAGAATACTGTGTATAATACATATACAAAATATGGGTTAGTTGACTGTATGTTATCAGTGAGGCTGTCAGTCAATAATAGGCTATTTGTAATTCATTAAGTTTGGGGGGAGTTAAAAGTTGTATGCAAATTTTTGACTGCACAAGGGTTGGCGCCCCTGACCTTCAAGTTGTTCAAGGGTCAACTGTACTTAGTCTTCCTCTTTGTAGGCTGCCAAAAAACTATCTAACTTGAGGTAAATAGAGAAGTCGATTTGAATAAGATCTCGCTTGGTTTGGCTTCAACTCTATGTGGATTAACAACCTACAGCATGTTTCTCTAAAGAGGTGTGTCATGCTAACCTTGCGCAGATGATTTTTACACCCTTTCCCTATTATAAACCAAAAGTTAATTTGAAAAAAATGTGGCATTTTGCTATAATATAGTCCAAATTTATTCATGCTACTTGGCTTTGAATACATTTATTTTTATCATTTCCCATTTTCTTCTACCAGAAAAGGCAATTAATACCATATTTCTAAATGTTTTAATATTTAGATTTTCTTAGTGTTTGTATCATCTTCCAATGATTTGTATTTTCCCCTTGCACCCCATTTAAAGGAATTGGAGATGTGTTAAATATTTTCATAACTCATGTGTCAGCATAGGCTGCCATAACACATTACCACAGACTAAAAAACAAAAATTTAATGTGACCTTTCCTTGATGCTTATTTGTGGACAGAGAGTGAACAAGAGAGAGGGAGAGGAAGGGATATTTTTCTATCTACCTTTTCTTCTGAAGCCGCCAATCCTATGAGATTAGGAACCCACCCTTATGGCCTCATGTAGTCTTAATTACCTCCTAAAAAATGATATCTTCAAATATAGTCACATTAGGATTAGGGAGTCAACATAGGAATTTGTGGGGATGGGGGAACACAGGCCCATTCATGGCACCCATCACAGAATGACAGTATGCACACATTGGATCATATTGTGCCCAGCTCATTATCTCAACAGCAACTTAACATTTTTATGTCAGGATTTGATTTTAAATGACTTCTAATCATTTTCCATGAAACAGAAAACAGTTATTATATCTGCTGCTGGTCTATTGCAACCTAATATAGGGAAATGGATTAGTGTCGGACTAAGAGAACTCCCGAAATATATACATCTATGCACCCACAGAAATTAAAAATGTTTTAAAAAGAGAACTCTGCCAGAATCTTTACTCTGCCACTTGCAAATGACGTGACCTCTGCAAAGGTAGAACATTAAATCGGTTAACGTAAGTTAATATATGTTAATATAAGTCAAGAGCACTAAACAATATGTGACATGTAGTAAAATTCTATAGGTGCTAGCTTTAATATCATTAATATTACTCTTATTATCAATTTTTGTAGGCAAATCGTTCCTATTTCTCCACCATTTCCCATTTGACAAGAATGAGAACATTTTTTGCATTCTAGTCACTAACTTCTGGAAGCTTTCTAGTTTGTCTTTGATGCTTTCAGAAAACAGTGTCCCATAACTGAACAGGCATAGTATATTTCATAATACAGTTAAAAATTCAGAATTGGCCAACCATGTACTAGATCAAAATAATAGCTCATAGAAAAAGAAAAGTACTTATGCAATCTTTTCTTGATTTCATTTAATTTTTATAAAAGATAGCATTTCAATAAAAGTAAAATGGCAGTTTAAAAGTATTTCAAATATTAAAATATTGGTATTTAAAATATATATTAAACATTTATATTTTTATACAAAATATTACTAAATTTTATATTTAAAAATTTTATTTTAACGAGAAACAAGATATCACTTAGGTGTAAATGTTAGGAAAATCCAATCAATTGATAGATATTCACTAAATAACTGTACATTCTGGATTTCCTAATAATTCACTGTATGACTATTAAAGTATGTTATTTCTGAGGATTCGTTAGAATATTAACTCCATCAGAGCTAATATTTGTCTACATTTTTAACTTTTTTATTTTCACCACTTGTAAGAGTGCCTGGAACATATGAGGTCATTAAGTAGTTGTTGAATGAGTGAATGGTCAGTAGTTCACTGTAACTACTATTCATTTGCCAGAGTTTATGACTTGTCCTGGGGATATAAAGAGTACGTGTGCCCATGGAGGGAATGTGCAATGGGAAAGATGAAATAAGCACAATTCAAAGTAACTTGTGACAGAGACATATCAACTAAGTGCAGGAAGACCACAAAGAAAGGCATCTCTACTTCTACCTGAAGTTGACAGACAAGGTCAGGAAGTGATTCAATGAAGAGGTGATGGTTTAGAAGAGTATTGAAAGATGTATGAAACTTTACCAGTGTGCAGGGGCACAGGAATGTGGTAATAATTCTGTATAAAAAAGAATAAATAATAAGTCTTGGAAGTAGAAAGCCAGTAGTCTCTGAAGAGCTTCATGTACCATACTAAAGAGTCGGAACTTTATCTCATTGGTAAGACACTGAAGAATCTAAGCAAGATGTTTTTAGAACGGTCACTCTAGCTGTGGAGCAGACAACACTTTGAATAATGTAAGTCCCTGAGCTTTGCAACTGCTCAGAAGTATAGTGGAATACTCGAGTCCCCAAATCCTATAGGTTTCAATTAGAGTGGCCAGAGGTAGGGGTGGAAGTGAAGGGTATTTTGTCATTCCAGAGACATTCAGAAGCTAGAATGGATAGGCTCGAATGAGGCAAATGAAACATAAGAAAGACTCTTGAATAATTCTGAGATTTCTGTTTTAGATAACTGAGTGGGTGAAGGTGTCAACAATTACTAATGAAAAAAGGGCAAATATGGCACAGAAATCGGATGGTAATAAGCTTGGTTTTGATGAATTAAAGTTCAGGTGAAAAAGCTAGACTATAATATTGGGGTACAGAAGAGAGATCAAGTTTAAATTTAAAATATATAGGTAGCTGGTGAAGGCACGTGTTTAGACAAGATTGTCCATGGAAAGTGGGAAGGGCTTTGGGTCAAAGGTGAAACCCTGTGAAAAATCAACACTTAAGTTTTTCTAGATGTGGCGAATGGGTAGAAGAATGTGTGAAGAGTCTAGGGAGGCAGGAAGAGAATCAGGAACAAAGGCATTATGAAGTATCAGATGTGAGAGCTGATGATGAGGTCAAATGTGCTGGAGAAAGTCCATGGATGAAGTCTGCAAAGTGTCAATTGTGCTGCACTTGCAGAATGCCACTGGGGACTTGGGCAAGAAGAATGTGATGGGCGTGGAAACCAACTGCAGTGTCTTGAGTGATGAGAATGATGAAGTGCAGGCAGAAAGACCACACCTTGAAGAAGTGATGGGAAAGACAAGGAGAATTATACGCCTTGACAATAGTCTCCGATTCATTGAGATCTACCCCTTCAGAAAGATTAATGCTATTTCTAGATGATTTAGTTTTATAAACAAATAAATTTTCTCTTTTGATTTTAGTCCGAGTTGAGCATAAGGAGTATTCACTGAGAAGAGTGGGAGTTGTTGAGATAAAAAGGAAAAAATAGGAGAGGCCAGAGTAAGGACGGCATGTTTTGAGGCAACGAATAGAAATTACGGAGATCCACGTGGAATCTGTGTGGACACCCAGGATGGGTTCGGGTTATAGAGGATCTTGAAAAAAGGGCAAAGCATCATGGGGACAGGATATTTGTCTGTTTTGTTCACTCAACAATAGATACTCGACAAATACTGGTGAGATGAATGAATGTGGGATCTGGTGTGTTACAGTGTGGTGGGGGCGGGGAAAATAATTTTACTTTGTTAGAAGTGGAGTGATGAAAGTTTTAGCTTCAGATACGCTGAACTTGAGATGACTCTCTAACAGCCGAGTGAAAAATCTAGTAGGCAGGTGGAAAACGACGGTTGGGTCTTAGGTGGGAAGATGTGACTTGAGAGAGACTGACAGTGATCAGCGTGCAGCAGAAAGATGAATCCACAGGTAGATGAGAACTTCCTTGTATAGAAACAGGGTTGCCAGGCCGGGCGCGGTGGCTCATGCCTGTAATCCCAGCACTTTGGGAGGCTGAAGCGGGCAGATCACGAGGTCAGGAGATCGAGACCATCCTGGCTAACACAGTGAAACCCCGTCTCTACTAAAAATACAAAATATTAGCCAGGCATGGTGACGGGTGCCTGTAGCCCCAGCTACTCAGGAGGCTGAGGCAGGAGAATCACTTCAACCCGGGAGATGGAGGTTGCAGTGAGCAGAGATCGCCCCACTGCACTGCAGCCTGGGTGACAGAGCGAGAGACTGTCTCAAAAAAAAAAAAAAAAAGAAATAGGGTTGCCAGATTTACAAAACAAAAATGTATTGGATGCCCAGTTAATTTCAGACAAACAATGATAATTTTTTTATCATAAGTATGTTTCATGCAATATTTGGCAGCACCAGATAGAAAATATAAGCAGAGCAGAAAGAACACATAATCTACATTTATAAACTTTATCTTGGAGTTTGTGCAGTACTGGATCTGAGGACTTTTCTTTCTAAATTCCTAAAAGTTCTTTACACAGAGATAAGGAATGGAAGTCACAGGAATATCCAGACAATCATTCTCTAAAATATGATTTTGAAATAAAGGTTGGGGGGGGGAGGTGGGGAAGTACAAGTATTCTTTGTCACATTTAGAGGAAATGGATTATTTTAAGATTTTTTGAGACAACAAAAATGCTTCAATAGTTTTTCTACTTTAGCAGGAGAAATTCTACTTTAGGGAAGATTTGAGGAAAGACAGGTTGGTAATTTAATTTTGAGAAACATTGCCTTTTGCTGAAACCTCTTGTCCTCTCTCTTGATCAAATATTGCAATCTTGTTTGAGCCATAAATTATAGGCCACGTGTGAATAAAACAGGTAATATAAGATCTTTCATTTATCTAAAATATTTATGCCTACTGCATAGCTAATGAAGGAAGGAATATAACTGTACAACTTCAAAACTAGCTGTTAGGACTGAACACACATAAAAGTTACCATAATTTCTTTTTTTATTATATTTTAAGTTCTAGGGTACATGTTTACAACTGTGCAGGTTTGTTACATATGTATACATGTGCCATATTGGTGTGCTGCACCCATTAACTCGTCATTTACGTTAGGTATATCTCCTAATGCTATCCCTCCCCTTCCCCCCACCCCACGACAGGCCCAGGTGTGTGACATTCCCCTTCCTGTGTCCAGGTGTTCTCATTGTTAAATTCCCATCTATGAGTGAGAACATGCGGTGTTTGGTTTTTTGTCCTTGTGATAGTTTGCTGAGAATGATGGTTTCCAGCTTCATCCATATCCCTACAAAGGACATGAACTCACCATTTTTTATGGCTGCATAGTATTCCATGGTGTATATGTGCCACATTTTCTTAATCCAGTCTATCGTTGTTGGACATTTGGGTTGGTTCCAAGTCTTTGCTATTGTGAATAGTGCCGCAATAAACATACGTGTGCATGTGTCTTTATAGTAGCATGATTTATAGTCCTTTGGGTATATACCCAGTAATGGGATGGCTGGGTCAAATGGTATTTCTAGTTCTAGATCCCTGAGGAATCGCCACACCTACTTCCACAATGGTTGAACTAGTTTACAGTCCCACCAACAGTGTGAAAGTGTTCCTATTTCTGCACATCTTCTCCAGCATCTGTTGTTTCCTAACTTTTTAATGATCGCCATTCTAACTGGTGTGAGATGGTATCTCATTGTGGTTTTGATTTGCATTTCTCTGATGGCCAGTGATGATAAGCATTTTTTCATGTGTCTGTTGGCTGCATAAATGTCTTCTTTTGAGAAGTGTCTGTTCATATCTCTTGCCCACTTGTTGATGGGGTTGTTTTTTTTTTCTTGTAAATATGTTTGAGTTCTTTGTAGATTCTGGATATTAGCCCTTTGTCAGATGAGTAGATCGCAAAAATTTTCTCCCATTTTGTAGGTTGCCTGTTCACTCTGATGGTAGTTTCTTTTGCTGTGCAGAAGCTCTTTAGTTTAATTAGATCCCATTTGTCAATTTTGGCTGTTGTTGCCATTGCTTTTGGTGATTTAGACATGAAGTCCTTGCCCATGCCTATGTCCTGAATGGTATTGCCTAGGTTTTCTTCTAGGGTTTTAAAGTTATCATAATTTCTAATGGCCTGGTATAAACATGTGAGATACACACCCAGTTTATTTTGTAAGGTTCTTGAGATTTACCCATAACTGAAGAGGGCATCATTTGGATATAGAATAGAGAGGCTGTATTTTGCACAAAAGAATAAAAGATTTTTCTCCTTTTGCTGTAATGCTTTTTTGTTTTTTAAATTTTTAAATATAATTTCATAAGACATACTTTAACATAAATGTCTAACTATAATTGTAGTAAAGAGACTCCGTTTTGAATGTTTGACCTCTGACAACTTTCATGTCCCCACTCTCCTTTTTACCCTTTACCTGATATCTGGGCAACCTGATTAGAAAGCCCAGCACCCTCCATCCCTTGGCAGTGGTGGCAATTTCAAATCAGCCAAGCTCCACCTGGGTGGGTACCTCTATCTAGGCTCAACTCTCAGCCACAACAAAAATCCAAGCCACCACTCCCCTCCTCTCTTGTTTTACTCTGAAAGAAATACGGGTTTTTCTTGAGGAATCATTTTGCTGTTTGCTATATGAATAATAAGCTTTATAGCCTAAGCATTGGTGCCCATGTGCCATTCGTCCTGACATCTATATGTGCCTGGGGAGGAGGAATGCTGACCAGCTTACAATAGGGGATGCTAGGCACCAAAATAAAACAGTGAGCATGTACATCCTTTTTCTTAGTAGAGTCATTCTGTGACGTTTGTCCCTTCCCCTCTGTTCCTGCTTTCCTATATTAGCGATCTCACGTAAGGTACCTACCACGTTGGACTTCTAACACCATAGATTAGCTTTGGCTACTTTTAACTTATATATGTAGAATAACATAGTATACATTCTTGCTGATTTTGCTCAACATTGTTGATGAGATTTGTTAATATTGTGTTTGTTTAGAATATTTAGTTCACTTTCACTGCTCTGTAGTATCTCAATGAATATACCATGATTTGTTTGTCTGGGTTTTAGCTGTTGTGAATAGTGCTTCTACCAACATTTTTGTTTTTACCTTTTGGTGCACATTTGTGTTGGGTATTACCTAGAAGTGGAATTACTGGATCATTGTTCATGTGTGTGGGCTTTGATAGTGACAAAGAGTTCTCCTGACAGGTTATGCCAATTTATATGTAGGGTGAGGTTTAAAAGTTGTCATTTATACTTCTAAACAGAATAAAATTTTCTCTTATATTTAAAGCCACTAATGAGTATTTTCTGTGTATTCATATATCCTGAATTGTTTTAGTATTGGTTAGATTCAAAGTTTAGGTTTTTCCTTATATAGTGAATTATAATAATTTTATGTTGTCTCAGCATCCATTTTGAATTCAGAGTTAGCTTTCTCATACCAGAAGCAGGGCTCAGTTGGCCTTTACACAGTATCCAATTCTACACCACACTCAAATGGCTCAAGCTCGTGGCTGAGACTAGAACTTAGAGGCATTTACCCCGCCCAGCAGATTGGGCTTCCCACTGTACTGCTGTCCTTTAAACGGACCACAAAGGAATTTGTCTGCATCCTTAGGGTGACCCACATCCTCTTCCCTATATGTCCTCCTAGCTGCTAAATACTCTTCCGTTTCTCTGCCTGATTCTTCATTCCTGCCTCCTGTGACTCAGGGCAGGAGAACTGCCCTCCTAACTCATAACAACCTCCTTGCCTAGCATCTATAAATAAAAGTCTCTGAACTTGTTTTCCATTGTGGTGGTGTATTGAATTTGCACCCTCCTTCCGAAGAACCAGGGGCTTCCCCATGTTGGGTTTTCCCCAGAGCTCCTGGAGAACACAAGATCAGCCTCCTTGCACCAGAGTGATGTTCAGACAGGTGAAAAGTGAATATGGGTCAGAAAAGAGCCACAAAGGTGTCTGCCAGTATAAACAAGTTTCCTGTGTGAGAGATCCTGGTAACGGGTAGGACAAATAGGTAAAAGAAAGATCCTGTGAGAGATACTCTGTAAACACCCATGTCCAGCTCCCCTTCCTCTCCCATTAGAGTAGGTTGCTGGCAGCTCTGGTACTGGAATCCCAGTTTAGCTGAGGGCTCCCAAAACACCTTGATAGACATATAAAGAGTATAGAGTAATAGACAGTGCTTTGAGATGCTGTCAGTGCCTCAATTACATTCTGATTATTTTTGTACAGCACAGTTTTGATAGAAGAGTTTTAACCTTTCCTTAAGTCTACAGAATGGATTAGTTTCCAGTGAAGTGTTAAGAAGGGTTTGGAAATTCAACTAATCCTCATATATATCAGGAAATTTATTTCTTGTATTACATTGGCTCTTTAGCTAAACCCTGTTTGCATATATTAAACGTCATTTAGAATAAAAAATGTTCTTTTAGAAAAAGCAGGGCACATTTTCTATTTCTTTTGCTGTGATGAGTGTCTGACTTAGTCCTGCCACTTCATTTTCACCTCCTATCGGTTATGACGATCGCTTGTATATAAAGTTTTGAAACAGAGTATATGGCTCTTAAAATTAAGTGGCAATATCTGCATTAAGGTGTCTATTCTTGTGAAGTTTTAAATGAAGATGATAAAGTGATGATGCTGATAAAAGTGTACCCTCAATTATATACATTATTCAAATAAGCTTAACCTATGATAAAATTAAGCGTAATAAATCAATGGAGAAAGAACTAATAATTCAATAAAATGTGCTGAGGAAACTGGCTGTGAGGAAAGTGTTTAATTTTGCTCTTTTGATCTTTGTTCACACTCTATTTCAAGATCAATTCAAGATGGATTAAGTAAAACAAAAGGGGAAGAAGAAAGAAAAGGGATAAAGTCTCTAAAAGATGAATCTTTATATTATTTTGAGATAGGATAGTATTGCCAAGATTATTTTCTTTATACTTTCATCCATTGAACTTATGTTTATATGCCTTTTTTTTCTAACCACATAAAAATTCACACAAGTGAAAGGCCAAAAATTTTGTTAAAATTTTGAAACAGACATGCCAGCTATGTATATGTCTTATTTAAACTAACAGAGCTAAAAAAAGAAATATACAAAAGAGACTGCAAATAGAAAACATTTCTGAAGACATACTTAACCATGTTAATAAACAATGAAATATAATTTC
The DNA here is from genome assembly GCF_000001405.40 of Homo sapiens. NCBI lineage: Eukaryota > Metazoa > Chordata > Mammalia > Primates > Hominidae > Homo > Homo sapiens. The sequence continues at coordinate 60,406,250 of NC_000018.10, forward strand.
AAGCAGTATTTTTGCTGATTGTTTTGGCAGTCAATTTGGGAAATATGAATGAGACACTGTTAAACCAACAAGGGATTAGTGAGCTGAGCCCTCTCACATTCTTTCCAAGGAGATATGAATTGGTCCAATCTTTCTGAAAAGCAATGTGCAAGGTTATCAAGAATTAGGAGATTTTAACATGTTCTCAGTGTTTTTCTTTTTTATACATTTCTTCTGGGAAAATTACTTGATAAATAGTAATTAATTATACATTAATTAAAACCACAATTACTTTTGCACCAGCCTAATACCATTCTGGACATCAGCTTTGGCGAAGAATTTATGATGAAGTCTCCAAAAGCAATTGTATGATGAAGACTCCCAAAACTGTTCATGGCAGTGTGATTTATAAATCCTGAGCTTAGTCAACTCCTGATTGAGGAAATAATACATGAATGTATATACATATAATAGGATATTGTGAATCTACTGAGTTTGATTACTTCAAAGAAAGCTTGCATATAACAAATCCACAGGCAACATCCATGGAACAGGCAAAAGCTGGAAGCATTTCGCTTGAAAACTGGAACAAGACAAGGATACTCTCTCTCAGCCCTCCTGTTCAACACAGTATTCAAAGTCCTATCCAGAGGAGTCAGGCATGAGAAAGGAATAAAAGGCATCCAACTAGGAAGAAAGAAAGGCAAACTATCTCTCTTGGCAGATGACGTGATTCTATATCTAGAAACCCCATATGCTTTGCCAAAAGTCTCCTAGAACTGATAAACAGCTTCAGCAAAGTTTCAGAATACAAAATAAATGTAGAAAAATCAGCAGCATTTCTGTACACCAACAACATTCAAGGTGAGAGCCTAAGCAAGAACACAATCCCATTCACAGTAGCCACAAAATGAGTAAAATACTTAGAAATACGGCTTACCAAGGAGGTGAAAGATCTCTACAATTAGAATTACAAAACACAGCTGAAAGAAAGCAGAGACAACACAAACAAATGGAAAAACATTCCACGTTCAGAGATAGGAAGAGTCAATGTTGCTAAAATGACCAAATTTCCATTTAGCAAAGCAACTTACAAATTCAGTGCTATTTCTATCAAACTAGCAATGTCATTTTTCAAAGAATCAGAAAAAAAACTATTCCATAATTCCCTTTCACATGAAACCAAAGCAGCCAGAGTGGCCAAAGCAATCCTAAGCAAAAAGAACAAACCCAGAAACATCACACTACCTGACTTCATACTAAAAGGCTACAGTAACCACAACAACCTGGTATTGATACAAGAACAGACACGTAGATCAATGCAGTAGGATAGAGAACCCAGACATAAAGCCAAACACCTACAGCCATCTCATTTTTGACAAAGTTGACAATCATAAACAATGGGGAGAGGACTCCCTATTCAATAAATGGTTCCAGAATAGCTGGCTAGTCATATGCAGAAGATTTAAACTGAACTCCTTCCTTTCACCATATACAAAAATTTACTCAATATAAATACTTAAATGTAAGACCTAAAACAAAAATCTAGAAGAAACCTAGGAAATATTACGTTGGTGCAAATGAAATTGTGGTTTTTGCCATTAAAAATATTGCAAAAACCACAATTACTTTTGCACCAACCTAATACCATTCTGGACATCAGCTTTGGCAAAGAATTTATGATAAAATCTCCAAAAGCAATTGTAACAAAACCAAAAATTGACAAGTGGGACCTAATTAAACTAAAGAGCTTCTGCATGGCAAAAGAAACTATCAAGAGAGTAAACAGACAGCCTACAGAATGGGAGAAAATGTTCACAATCTATGCATCTGACAAAGGCATAATATCCAGAATCTATAAGGAACTTAAGCAATTTAAAAAACAAAAATCAAGCAACCTCATTAAAAAATGGGCAAAGGACATGAATAGACACTTCTGAAAAGAACACATACATGCACCCAACAAGTATATGAAAAAATGCTTATTATCACTAATCACTAGATAAATGCAAATCACAACCACAATGAGATACTATATCACACCAGTCAGAATGGCTATTATTAAAAAGTCAAAACACAACAGATGCTGGCAAGGCTTCAGAGAAAAGGAACCATTTATACACTGTTGGGAATGTAAATTATTCCAGTCACTGTGGAAGGCAATGTATAGATTTCTCAAAAAAACATAAAACAGAACTACCATTCAACCCAGCAATCCCACTACCAAGTTTATACCCAAAGGAATATAAATTGTTTTGCCAAAAAGACACATGTACTCATATGTTCATTGCAGCACTATTCACAATATCAAAGACATGGAATCAACCTAGGTGCCCAACAACAGTGGACTGGATAAAGAAAATGTGGTATCTATACACTATGGAATGCTGTGTAGCCATAAAAAGGAATGAAATCATGTCCTTTGTAGCAAAAGGGATGTAGCTGGAGGCCATTACCCTAAGCGAACTAATGCAGGAAAAGAAAACCAACTACTAGCATGTTCTTTCTTACAAGTGGGAGCTGAACATTGAGTGCATAGACACAAACATGGGAGCAATAGACACTAGGGATGACCTGAGCAGGGAGAGTGGAGTAGGGTCACGGGTTGGAAGGCTACCTATCAGGTACTATGCTCACTACCTGGGTGATGAGATCATTCATATGCCAAACCTCAGTGACAGGCAACTTATCCATGTAACAAACCTACCCATGTACCCATGGAACCTAAAATAAAAGTAGAAGAAAAAACAGAAAGTTTGCCAAAATTATGATAAGTAGTAAAAACAAAACAATAAATTTGTTATGGCATCATCTGCCAAGTGTTAACTAAAAACAGTTTCTGACAACATGGCTAGCTAGAATTAATTCGTACTTAGGTATAAACATATGACTGAACTATAATAGGATGTTTGTAAAAAATATGTTCTTGTTGTAGCCCTTAAAAGCCTCTCATTATAGATCATCATGCTTGTTCCCTTTCCATTGAGCAGATGGAGACAACCATGGTGACTTTAGAAAGAATGGGTTGATGGTGAAGAAGGTTTATCCCTGAATGAACACTCCCCCCATGCTTACTGCCTGCAAACACACTCACACATGTGGCTGTTGAAGATGAGTAAAAATAGACTTCTATCAAATTTCAGCTATTAAAAGTTTGGGATGTGGATTAGTGAAGCAGATACTAGTGTTACCCTAAATGATACACCTGCAGGTAGTGTATGCAGTGTGTGGAGAGAGAGAGAGACTAGTAGAAAGTAGGAAGTGCCTTGATGCATTTAGAATAGTCTCACATTTTTAGGGAGAACAAGTTTCCCTAAGACGTATCAGGATTACAGATGTGCGGATAACATTAAGAGTAACAACATATGTGTCATGGGCTCTTTCTATATTTGCTCATGGAAAGTAGAATGCTACTCACGTATTTTTCTGGAGCCTCTAGGAGTTTTCCTCAATTTAAGCTGATGCTTCAGCCATCTAGCATCCCGCAGTCAGGCCCTTTTTGAGGATTTGGGGTTCCTCTCTCCACAATGCATTGCCATGGCTACCAGGTATTACCGTCTCTTGGGGTATTTCTGAGGAGGAATCAGAGTCAACAAAACTAAAATTCCACTTTCAAGTATAAATCTTTTCATTTTGTTTTCTCAGGTTCAGCACTGGGGGAAAAAAAACCCCCTAAATATTGCTTATTGTTTCAGAGATGTTATCTTTCTCTTTGGTGCACTGAGAGAGACAACATGTTTCCTTTATTAAGGAATTCATTTTGCCAGAAAATTAATTGTGCTTAACCAAATTAAGCTGCTAAATTTGATATAGTGTGGTGATAACATTAGAACATGTCTAAGATGTCATTGTTTCTATTGGAATTAAAAGGATTATTAAAAATAGCGGTTAACTGAGTCTTTTTTCTTTAAATAGAGTGAGAAAATCTTATTGTATCAGTTTTATTCCTCAAGTGATTGATTTTTATGCTTTATTACATTTTACCACATTTGATTCTTACAGTTAAAATTTGAAATTTAATATTTCTAATGATAATTTTAATAATGCTTTTAGCATTTTCAGATTTACTGTAATCATATTCTTAAGTAGCACAATTACTCTTATTTTACATATTTTATAAACAACTGAGGTCAAACAATTTTTTACTTAACCGAGGGTATATAATTTTGACAAAGTCAGAATGTGGCTTGTATTTGCCAAAATCCCAAGAAGAAGTGGGTGGCATACTTGAAACAGGATAGACCAAAAAGATATTCAGGCTATGTGATGGTTAATATTGAGTGTCAACTTGATTGGATCGAAGGATGCAAAGTATTGTTCCTGGACGTGTCTGTGAGGATGCTGCCAAAGGAGATTAACATTTGAGTCAGTGGACTGGAAGAGGCAGACCCACCCTCAATCTGGGTGAGCACCATCTAATCAGCTGCCAGTGTGGCTAGGATAAACCAGGCAGGAGAAAATGGAAGAGCAGACTTGCTGGGTCTTTCTCAGTCTTTCTCTTTCTCCCATGCTGGATGTTTCCTGCCCTCAAACATCAGACTCCACTTTCTTCAGCTTTTGGACTCTTGGAGAGACTTACACCAGTGGTTTGCCAGGGGCTCTCAGGCCTTTGGCCACAGACTAAAGGCTGCACCATCAGCTTCCCTATTTTTGAGGTTTTGGGACTCGGACTGATCCACCACTGGCTTCCTTGCTCCTCACCTTGCAGATGATCTATCGTGAGACTTTACCCTGTGATTGTGTGAGTCAATTATCCTTAATAAACTCCATTTCATATATACATCTATCCTATTAGTTTTGTCCCTCCATAGAACTGTGACTAATACAGGCTATTTACCAAGACATAGGTGTGGATAGTGTAGGAGCAGAACTGTAACCTCCTGGAATATTGAAGGGAGAAGGTGAGGGGCAATTACTAGAACGTGGAGGGAAAGATTTCTGAAGAGTCAGCTGCCTTGAGAGATTCAGTGACCTTCAGTGGAGGGAATGAGCCAGCTCAAGGCAGCCTTGCAGGAAGGGAGATGAGGAATAAATATGTGGACTTCATTCTTTTCCCTCCCACTGATCTTCCGCCAAGCTCCCCTTTCACCAAATTTAACCAGATGCCAAAGGAAACATTTATATGCCACATATAAGTCAGCTCTGGGTGGGGGTGAGGGATAGGGCAGAGAAGGTTCAAGAAGTTTCGAGAGGCAGGGGATCTGCCACAGGACCCCGATCTCCATTTGACTAATGGGTGTCCCTTCTATTGCCTTTGCATTCAAGAAGATCCTATCCCACTGGATATCAGGAATTAAGTGATGATTCAGAAAGTCTCCATCCTTGTCCCTTTTCTCATCTTGTTCTCATTGTACTACTATTGGTAGAAGACGATACAGATATAAATTACTGTCCCATAAGATTTCATTGAAACCTGTGAGTTATAAATGATACTACATGATCAGAGATTAAAAATAACATTGTACTGTATATTTGTTATGTTTTTGGCAGCTCGCCTTCAAATTTCCTTGCTGTACACATGATCTCTTATTAGAGAGTTACATGCTTTTCACCCAGACTTTGCATCTGGAGAAGGACATACACATTGAAGAGACAAATTACTCGAAGCTGCCTCTGTGGAGTTAAGAGCTCTGCAACAGGAATTCTAGATATGAAAGGACGTTCACTTCTGGTGGCGTCATCAGGGAATGACCAGAGGTGGCAGCACAGGCAGTTGTACCTCAACCAGACAATTACCATGGTTAAGATCTTGGCTTTCCTTTCTGCTACCCAGAAGACTATCTTAATTTCTGTTCTTTGTTGATTCTGTGAGATGTCTGGTGTTCTACTCATAAACTTATTTTCTACTTGAATTAGCAAGAGCAGATATTACGGACTGATTGTATCTCCAATTCCCCCAAGTTCATAGGTTTAAGTCCTAATCCCCAATGTGACAGTACTTGGAGATGGCACTTATAATTAGATAATAAGGTTAAATGAGGTCAGAAAGTTAATCCAATAGGACTGGTGTCCTTATAAGGAAAGGAAGAGACATCAGCGATTTCCCTCTTTCATTCTGCATGTGCACAGAAGAAAGGGTGTGCAAAGACAGAGAGAAGGTGGCTGTAGATAAGCCAGGGAGGGAGATGTCACCAGAAACCTACTCTTACAGCACCTCGATCTCAGACTGCCAGCCTGTACAACTGTGAGAAGATAAATGTATGTAGTTCAAGTCACCCAGTCTGTGGTATTTTGTTATGGCAGCTCTAGGTAACAGTAGACTCTGTTACTTTAGAAAGTACAGTGGGTTTCTGTTATTTTCAACAAGATCCTTAACAGAAAGAAACCCTAACAATTGAACTAGAGCATTATTTTTCAAACTTTGAGTCACAACCAGCAGTAGGCTGTCAAATCAATTTAACAGATAGCACCAAATTTAAAATAATTGAATAGAATATAATAGATGAGAACATATTGTAATGCATCACCTCTAGTAAGATTAAGTACTGCTTCCTGAGAACTTTGTGTGTGTGTGTGTGTGTGTGTGTGTGTGTGTGTGTATGTGTGTGTATATTTGTGTGTGGTTGTTTCTGTGTGCATATGTATATACATACTGGACTAAATGTAAAATATATTTTGGAACATGGGAAATGGTTGAATAAATTTAAAAAATATTATTCTAGAGCATATTACAATATTCTAATTGTTCATTTTTCCTGTCATGACAGATTGAAGAATTTAGAGCCTCACTGAAATATGGATTAAAAAATCATAATTGTGGGATGATTTTCAAAAATTTGATATTAAGAGGGAATTAAGACTATGGTTCATCATGAGTTGTATTGAAAACTTAGATTGTGTGATTTTTATTATGTAAAAATTTGTGTTTTAAAGTTTTATGTAGCATGCTGAATTTCTCTCTGGCATCAAGGGCTTTGAAGATAGGAAGAGAGGAAAATAGGAGAGTGTGTGAAGTTAAAGAGGAAATCAACAACTAATATTTGTACTGTGTTATTCAATTTGCAAGTTGCTTTCAATTTCACTTGATCACTTCATTTAATCTTCAAAAGAAACTTGTGAATATTCAATCTTTATGAATGAGAAAACTAAAGCTCAGAGGTTGTACTTTCTCCAAACTTGTATTTAACATATATAGAAATCAGAAGTGACTTAGCCAGATTTCAAACCAAGGTTACTTGAATCTTCAACAAATAATTCCTGTCTTTGGACTTCAAGATTTGTTCTTTCCATTATCATGTTAAATAACTAAAATAACAAACCAGTTATTTATTTACGACAATCTCTTCTCTGAGTTAATCTGTAGCAACTCAGAATATAATTGAATTAAAAATTTCAATGTTATTACTTTGTTATATGTCCCTCAACATTTTACCTCAAAATTTAGTTATATCTGGAAGTCCAGGTGGATTTATTCTACAGGGGATTTATTATAATAAGGCCGTGGAGTCTCTTAGAAAGTGATTTACTTAAAGTGCAGAGATAATCAAGGTATACAAACTTGATCCTAAGAAAATAAATTTATGTTGGAGGGAAATGGGGATTCTGACTATAATACCAAATGTGTCACTGAAGGTTTTGCTTTCTCCCAACCCATTTAGACCCATGTCTGAGTTCCACAGGGAAGGGGTTGCATTGATGGGTTCATTAAAGTCAATGACACTTCAAAATCTTTGCCTTGCTGTCGATAACATGGAACAACAGCCTCCAACATTTTTGGTGCCAGGGATCAGTTTCTTGGAAGACAGTTTTTCCATGGACGAGGGCAGGGGCATGGTTTGGGGATGATTGAAGCACATTACATTTATTGTGCTCTTTATTTCTATTATTACATTGTAACATATAATAATTACACAACTCAGCATAATATAGAATCAGTGGGCGCTCTGAACTTCATTACCTGCAGCTACACAGTTCCATCTAGGGGTGATGGGAGACAGTGACAGATCATCAGGCATTGGATTCTCATAAGGAGTGTACAGCCTAGACCCCTCACATGTGCAGTTCACAATAGGGTTCACATTTATGAGAATCTAATGCCACTGCTGATCTGATGGGAGGCAAAGCTTAGGTGGTAATGTGAGCCATGGGGAGCAGCTGTAAATACAGATGAAGCTTCATGTGCTCCACCTGCTGCTCACCTCCTGCTCTGCAGCCCAGTTGCTAACAGGCCACAGACCAGTACTGGGGGTTGGGGACCCCTGATGTAGACAACAGATAGACTCTAGATAGTAGTGAAGGAACCCATTTTTTAATTGGAGTAATTCCTGGAACACTGATCAGGCATAATAGCGTAAGAATACATAGGAAGTAAAAATAAAGTAGGAGAAAATGTAAAACATCAAGCTGTGGCCTGTAAGTTGAAGGTATTAACAACAACAAGGCTGCTGTTCCAGGTCAACAGCACCAGCAATTAAATAGGAGACATCACTGCACAGCTAGAGTGGACAGGGTGAAAAAGATGGGTGCCACATATGTGGGGAGCATACATACACAGGCGACTTAGAAGTAGGACCCTTGTTTTATGCATGAAGTCATTTATTCAACAAACATTTGTGAACAAAGTATAGTATTTGGTATAGGAATATAATAACTAGATGTACATGACTCCCACGCTGAGGCAGACTAGAGTCTACTTAATAAGACAGAAAAATGAACAAGAAATATGACATTAGGGCTGTTTGTGGGTAATTGGTGGTTCAGGTACTAGATTGTTAGAATACCGTCAGAAGAGAATAGTTTATTACTGATACTGTGATACTGATACACTCTTCAGGTTGATTTGACCTGAGAAAAATTCATTACAAATTTATAAGTACCTTTATTGTAGTACTTACCACAGTCCTCATTTCATTATGGGGATTTCTGCAGAGGGTGTTTTTCCTTCGAGTTCAAAACTGTAGTTAAGGATAGAAAAAACATCATTTGTGTATTTTTGTATTTCCCACAGCAAGATGCTTAGAATCACTTAGTGCAAAGTGGGTTTGTTTAATTACACTGAATAAATGATGCTACACATTGTGAGAATAGTTTCAAGAGTCTGTTTGAGATTTGAAATTAACTTTATTATAGAGTCATATTTAATTATTTAATACCAGGTAAAAGAGAATTGCAGCAGAGGTAAAGAACCAGAACCCTTATCCTGGGCCGGTGTTGTGTAGTACATGACTCACAGACATAACACTTTTACCTTCCTTCTGAGAAGCAAATTTTGCCATCGTAGTTATAAAGAGGGACTGGTCTTAAATGAAATAATCAGAAAACACATGAACCCACGAGTTTAAGGTGGAGTTATCTGTGCTTTAGAAATGAGGAATTGAGGCCGGGCATGGTGGCTCATACCTGTAATCCCAGCACTTTGGGAGGCTGAGACGGGCGGATCATGAGGTCAGGAGATCGAGACCATCCTGGCTAACATGGTGAAACCCCGTCTCTACTAAAAATATAAAAAAATTAGCTGGGCGTGGTGGCGGGTGCCTGTAGTCCCAGCTACTTGGGAGGCTGAGGCAAGAGAATGGTGTGAAACCGGGAGTCGGAGCTTTCAGTGAGCCAAGATTGTGCCACTGCACTCCAGCCTGGGTGACAGAGCGAGACTCTGTCTCAAAAAAAAAAAAAAAAAATAGCAGGGCGCAGTGGCGGGCACCTGTACTCCCAGCTACTGGGGAGGCCGAGGCAGGTGAATGGCGTGAACCCGGGAGGCAGAGCTTGCAGTGAGCCGAGACTGAGCCACTGCACTCCAGCCTGGGCAACAGAGCGAGACTCCATCTCAAAGAAAAAAAAAAGGAATGAGGAATTGAAATTCCTGGTAAATAAGATATTGCCAAATGTTTAGAATACATGGAATAATAAAAAATAGCACCTAGAATAGTCTTTAGATTAGTCTACTAGTGCAATAGAAAAATGAGCTTTCCCTTTAAAATTTTTGGTCTGAAAATTGTTGGATGTATTTTGATTCGAATCATTACAGTAGGTATTACACTTCAGTGAACTATTTTATAATTTCTTTTTCTTTAGATTTACTTGTACCCCATAATTTTTCCCTTGAGAAAAATTTTGAATTATCTGGCAAAATTTATCATAGCTTAATTTTTCTAATTTCATTTGAAGCAATAATTTTCCTGAAAATTGGCCATTATTTCCCAAATACCTTGTCAAAAATTCTCTTTTATTTAAATTATTAGCTTTTTTGTGTTAAAAATGCTTTTTTTTTTAACTTCAGGCAGTTTCAGTTGTGTTTTACTGGGCTTTGATTTTCAAGCAATATACAATATATTAATATATTACACTAACAATATGTTATTGTTAATGTCGTGTTCTTAACCATGTGAGTAAATTAACTAATAAAATATTTACTTTGAAATTAAGTAAATACATAATATGATTGTTTTGACGACATGTTCTGCCATAAATCATACCAACCATACTCTTGGATAAATGTGAAATAAAAAATAGAAATCAGTACTAAGAAGATCTCTCAAAACTACACAACTACATGGAAATTAAACAAACTGCTCATGAATAACTTTGGGGTAAACAATAAAATTAAGGCACAAATCCAGAAATTCTTTAAAATTAATAAAACAAAGGTACAATATACCAGAATCTCTGGGACACAGCTATATTGATGTATGCAAAAAGTTTGGATTGATCAAATCAGGGTAATTGGAATATCCATCATTTCACACATTTATCACTTTTATGTGTGTATTTTGAACATTCCAAATCTTCTCTTCTAGTTATTTTGAAATATACAATACATTATTGCTAACTATAATCATCCCACTGTGCTATTGAACACTAGAATGTGTTTCTTTTATCCAACAATAATTTTGTACCCATTAACCAACCTTTATTCATCTCCCATCTTCTTTATCCTTTCTAGCCTCTGGCAATAACCATTCTACCATCTACCGTCATAAGATCAATGTTTTAAGATCCCACATATAAATGAGAACATGCAATATTTGACATTCTGTGTCTGGCTTCTTTCACTTAACATAATGTCCTCCTGGTTCATCTATATTGCTGCAAGTAATAGGATTTTATTATTTTTATGGCTGAATAATATTCCATTGTGTATATATACTACATTTTCTTCATCTACTCATCCATTGGTGGACATTTAAGCTGATTTCATATCTTGGCTATTGTGAACATGGGAGTGCAGGTGTCTCTTCCACATACTGATTTTCTTTCTTTGAGATTTATACCCAGCAGTGGGATTATTGGATGATACTGTATTTCTAGTTTTAGTTTCTTGAGAACCCTCTATAATAACTATACTAATTTTTATTCTGACTAACAGTGTATGGGAGTTTCCTTTTCCACACATGCTTACCAGTATTTAAATTTCTTTTATGATAGCCATTTTAACTGGAGTGAGATAGTATCTTGTGGTTTTTATTTGCATTTTTTTCCGACAGTTAGTGATGTTGAGCACTTTTTCGCCTATTGGCTATTTGTATTTCCTATTTCTAGAAATGTCTATTCAGGTTATTTTGTCATATTCAAATGAGATCATTTGGAGTTTTCTTTTGCTATTGATTTGAGTTTGTCATATATTCTGGTTCTAAATCCTTTGTCAGATAGGTAGTTTGCATATTTTCTCCCATTCTCTAGGTTGTCTCTTCACTCTGTTGATGTTTCCTTTACTGTGCAGAAGCTTTTTAGCTTGATATAATCCCATTTGTAAAGAATAATATGACTATTAAAATGTAACTACTCTTTAAAATACCTTCAAAGACACCTCATTTACTTCCTGGATAATGTTAAAATTTCTTAGTTGGGAATCTATGGCCTTGCAAAAATATTTATTTCTGTTCTATTTCCATGAATTTGATTTATAAATTTACTACATTTTTTAAGCATCTCCTATGTGCAATGCATTCTTGGCTTTCCTGTCCATAAGAAAATGTCAACATAACACATTCCACCCTCATGATTGGAAAATGCTGTGAGGGAAGATCAAATAAAGTGCTGTTGGATTTTAGAGGAACAGCTATTTATTTTAAGTTGGAAAGATTAAGGATGGTTTTAGGAAATTGGGGGTGTTTGGTCTGGACCTTATGAAAGTGTCAGATTAAAACTGACACAGTGTAGGAAAGAGTGGGTCACTTTAGGAGAGAATAATATTCAGCTTTCTTACTGAATCAACTGTCATTTCTCAAAGTATAATTCATATTCCACGCAACCTGACTTAGGGCATTAGCTGTTTCTCAAATGTATTTTAACTTCATAGGTTCTGTGCTCCTGTTTATTTTACCCTCTTCCTGTAATTTATTTTTTTCAGTACTTTTTTATTCTATAGAAGTATCTACCTCTTATCACTTCTGCAATTTCCCAACCTAGCTAGAATAGATATATTTTTTACTCTAATAGCAGCGTTCGTATCTCTTTTATGGCATTTTACTTCATATATGTTTTTTAATCCATTAAGATCAAGTCTTAATCTAACTATAGATTGTAAATATTGGGGCTTCATCTTTGTATTTCCTAATGTATCCAGTACAGTATCTTGTATGCAGTACATACTCAATAAACAGAATTTTATTTTAAATGGTTTACTCCCCAAACTATCAGAATGCTAGAATAGTTAGTTTCATCTCATACACAATGTCTGCCTTAAACATGGTGTCAAATGATTTAATACGACTGAAGAATACATGCAAAATTCTTCTTGGCCCAATTCTTTTCTACTAAACTGATACAATGCATTAAAACAACCATTGGGATTTATTGCCAAATCTAAGCATGATGATCAACTGTACAATGCTCTCAAACTATAACTGATGAAGAAGCTGTAATTGAAGTAATGCCACTCCAGTGGAATCATGTACTCTTTAGCAGGCTACATGACAAGGAAACTATAAAAGCTGGAGGATTTTCAGAGCCAGTGGTCTAGTATCTAGAATATATAAAGAAGTATTACAATGCACAACAAAAAGTCAAACAACCCAATTAGAACATTGGCAAAAAATGGAACAGATATTCCACCAAAAAGGTTGTACATATGGCCAATAAACATATGAAAAGATGGTCAATATCGTTAGTCATCAGGGAAATGAAAGTCCAAACCACAATGAAATAGCACTTCCACTTGAATGACTATCATAACAATTAAAAAACAGAAAATAAATGTTGTCAAATGTGTGGATAAATCATTGTTGGTGAGAATGTAAAATGGTGCAGCTTCTGTGAAAAACAGTTTGGCCATTCCTCTAAAAGGGAAACATTTAATTATCATATGACCCAGAAATTCCACTCCTAACTTTACATCCAAGAAAATTATAAACATATTGTTAATCAAAAACGTGTATATGAATGTTCATAGCGGTACCATTTACAGTAGCCAAAAAGTAGAAACAACCTAAGTGCTCATTAATTAATAAAGAGATAAATGTGGTAAATTCATACAATGAAATATTATTCATCTATAAAGAGGAATATTGCAAACATTATGCGAAGTAAAAGAAGCCAGACACAAAAGTCCAAATGTTGTATGATCCCCCTTACATGAAATGTCCGTAATAAGCAAATCCATAGATACTGAAAACATGTTAGTAGGACCCAGGGGCTGAGTCGAAGAGAGAAGTAACTGCTTAGTGAATATGTGGGGTTTTTTTGGTGTGATAAAAATGATGTAAAATTAGATCCTAGTGATGTTTGTGCGATATTTAAAATGTACTAAATGCAACTGAATCATACACTTTGAAGTGAATTTTATTTTATGCAAAATTTACCTCAATAAAGAAAATAAATTAAAAAAATCAAAAAATTTTGCCCTTTTACTTGGAAGAGGTATGGCATACTGAGACAAAGGTGTCCATCACATGGGATCTTGAAGCAATGTGCTGAATTTAAAGTTCCATGTGAATAACTCACCCAAAAGTGATCCCAAATGAGTACTTTCTCTTTGAGTGTCAGATTCAGATTCCTAATCTCTAAATATAATTAATCATAATAATAAACAATAGATACTGTATATCGAAATGGGTAAGCAATGTTATAATCAATGTAGTCAATATTTTATATTAATTAAATGAGATACTGCATGTAAAGAACATAGAAAAGCCCCTATCGGCAGTTCAAATAAAGATATTATTATTTTGTATATTATCTTAGTATTAATTAAAAATCTCAATTTTTTTTCTGAAGATACGTTTTTCATCTTAAGTTGTTCTCCACTTCAATCTGTGACATCACATTGGTAGGAGGGAAAATTACAAAAACATTGCCAAAAACTAATTCTAATTCTTCAATGATTTCTATACTTAACTATTAAGAAAATTGTTTTGTTTTACTCAGGCATGAAAGACCGTATTTTTGGAATAATCTTTTCATTAAAAACTATAAGAAGTTCAAATTGGTAAAGCATAATTCAATCTTTTTCTTTTTTTCTGCTTAAAATCAAGAACCTTGCACTTCTACAAAGTATCAGGCTACAGTTGAAAATTGTTATCCAAATAAACTAATAGAAATATTTTTATGAGGGATCTTCAAAAAGTTCACGGAAAATGCATAATATGAAAACACTATGCATGGATTTCAAAACGTTTTGCACCAAAATTAACTTGTACTAACTTGTTACAGAATGAGCAGAATCCAGTTTGAGACATTAAGAAGGTGAAGACATCTATTTGTAAAGGACCCTTATCAGAGCAACATGAATTCTGCTGAAATTGGAGTAAAAAGAAAAATCAAATTTATGGTGAAGGTTGAGGGGAAGAGTGGTGAAGCCATTGATGTTTTACAAAATGTTATGGGGACAATGCCCTAAATTAATTGGCAGTTTACAAATAAATAACTCATTTTAAGAAGAGATAAATGATATTGAAGATGAAGCTCAGAATGGCAGATCATCCACTTCAATTTGTGAGAAAAAAATTAATCTTGTTCCTGATCTAACTGAAGAGGACCCACGATTAACAGCACAAACAATAGTCAACACCATAGATATCACAATTGGTTCAGCTTACACAATTCTAACTAAAAATTTAAAATTGAGCAAAATTTCTACTTAATGGGTGCCAAAACTATTGTGGCCAGATCAGCTGCAGACGAAGGCAGAGCTCTCAATGGAAAGTTTAAACAAGTGGGATCAAGATTCTAAAGCATATTTTGGAAGAATTGTAACAGAAGATGAAACACGGCTTTACTAGAACAATTATGAAGACAAAACACTATCAAAGCAAAAGATACTAAGAGGTAGAAGTGGTCCAATCAAAGCAAAAGCAAACCAGTCAAGAGCAAAACTCATGGCAACAGTTGTGGAATGCTAGAGGCGTTTTGCTTGTTGACTTTCTGGAGGGTGGAAGAATAGTAACATCTGCTTATTATGAGAATGTTTTGTGGTTAGCCAAAGCTTTAGCAGAAAAAATCCCAAGAAAGTTTTACTCAAGAATCCCCTCTGCGATGGCAATGCTCCTGCTCATTCCTTTTATCAAGGACAATTTTGTGAGAGTCTCGATGGGAAATCATTAGGCTTCCAGCTTACAGTTCTGATTTAGCTACTTCTGACTTCTTTTTGTTCGTCAGGCTTGGGGGGCCCTGAAAGGAAATGGGGGTCCCTGAGGAAGCGGGGCTGAGGGGCATGCTGCCCACAGTGGGCAGGCTGAAGCTCCACCCAGCACAGGCCTGAGAGCGAGAGTGGGACTGTGATGTGCTCCCACCGCCCCAGCCGGGCTCTCGCCTGAGTGAGGGTGGCTTTTACCTGGGAGGGGGTCACACGGTCGAAGTTCTTCCCCAGCATCCTCCGCGTGTGCTTCCACGCGTGTGGGAGGTGTGGGAGGTCGGACTACAGGTGTGAGCTACCACGACCGGATTTTTTTTTTTTTTTTTTTTTTTAAGTAGAGACAAGGTACGGCTGTGTTTCACAGGCTGGTCTCAAACTCCGGGTCTCAAGCAACCCTCCACCTCTCCCAAAGTGCTGGGATTAAAGGCATGAGCCACTGCCCCCAACCTACAGTGGATTTTTTAAAAATTAGTTTCTTTTTACTTTACTATAAATAACTCAGATACTGATATATATATATCATATATATGATATATATTTATGATATATATGATATATATTTATGATATATATGATATATATATCATATATGATTATGATATATCATAAATATATATATAATATATATATATATATATATTTTTTTTTTAAAGACTGAGTCTCACTCTATCGCCAGGCTGGAGTGGAGTGGTGCAATCCTGGCTCACTGCAACCACCGCCTCCTGGTTTCAAGCGATTCTCCTGCCTCAGCCTCTGGAGTAGCTGGGATTACAGACACGACCCATCACGCCCGGCTAATTTTTGCATTTTTAGTAGACATGGGGTTTCACCATGTTGGCCAGGCTGGTCTCGAATCCTGACCTGGTGATCTGCCCGCCTTGGCCTCCCAAATTGCTGGGATGATAGGTGTGAGCCACTGTACCAGGCCCAGATACTGATTTTAATAAGAAAATATAATTGTTAATTATTTGAGCATTTTACATTTACTGCAGGACAAAGATCACAATACTAATATTAATAAATTTGGCTTCAAATGTCATTATATTAGTCAGTTTTCACACTGTTGATAAAGACATATCCAAGACTGGGTAAGTGATAGAGAAAAAAGAGGTTTAAGGACTTACAGTTCCACATGGCTGGGGAGGCCTTACAATCATGGCAAAAGGCAAGGAGGAGCAAGTTATGTCTTACATGGATGGCAGCAGGCCAAGAGAAAGCTTGTGCAGGAAAACTCCTTCTTATAAAACTATCAGGTCTTGTGAGACTTATTCACTACCATGAGAACATTTGGGGGAAACCACCCTCCTGATTCAATTATCTCCCTGTGGGTCCCTCTCTCAACATGTGGGAATTATTGGAGTACAATTCAAGATGAGATTTGGGTGGGGACACAGAGCCAAACCGTATTGGTCATTATACTTTTTTGAGAAAAATTGATTCACTGAATTTGTTTTGGCATTACTCTTGCTTTAAGCAGCACACTAGTAAGTTTTTTCAGCATGAGTGACAGGAATAATTTTCTAAAGAGAACTAGGGAATCATTGAATTTTCAAATACTGTTTAAATGACAGCATACAGAGAATGGTTAATAGTTGGCTAAAATTTTTCATTTTAAAAACATGTTTACTCGGGAAGTGTATCTGCTGAGCACGATTTAACTTTTAAGATTACAGTAACTGCTTATTGGAGTATAAAAATCTCTTCAATGATTTGTTTAATGGAACACTAGGGGAAAAAAATCAACAAATCACACATTTGAATTTTCAAGAAGTGCATTAGGCCATATATATATATATATATATATATATATATATATATATATATATATATATAAATTTTAACACTTGTTCTTAAATAAAGAAAAATTATTAGTCTTCAAAAAATTGACCTAGAGCTATTGTTTAATAAAAATAACACAATTTTATTAAAATATTTATTAAGATTTCCTTGAGGAATAAAACTTCAAGTCTTTTTTAATTGTGTAAAATAAGAAACATAAAGTTCAATTAGAATAAATATTTTAGGAAAGTAATTTTATATCTGGGTTCTTAATTTATGTGGGTATAAAATACAAAAGTAATTTTGAAAGATATATTGAGCTGCTTATATAAATCTGTAAATTTGAGTTTCTCAAAAGGTACAAGCTAAAGTCTAGGACCTGTTTGGGTCTTATGTCACATATTTTGGGACAAGCATCACATAGAAATGGAATAAAATGCAGTGTGTTTTAGAAGCACAGTTCATATTAATAATTTCATTAAATCTTTATGCTTTAAAATTGATGATCAAATCTTCACTTGAATTAAAGGTATTACATGTCCTTAGTTAAGTTTATCAAGAAAAAAATAAACATCATGATATTTTATTTGATAAGTTAGAAAAACACTGGCAAATCAGTTCCTAATCAAATAACTTGGTTGAAAAATTTTAGGAGGATAAGAGCAATTCTGTACTTGAAGCTTGATATATATTTTATTTTATTCATAACCTATAGGAGATTATCTGAGGGTAGGGAATTATGGTCTTATTTTCCAGTAAGAGTGATTAGGGTATCTCATATATTTTAAGACAGTGGTTACTTACATTTGATCTTTCTACTTGTTCTTGTTGATTTATTACACTATTGTAACCATGTATATATATGTATATTTAAGATATACAGTGGTATATTTAGTGTGTGTGTATAGTGTGTGTGTATATATATATATATATACACACACACTATATACTGTATTTTATATAAACATACTAAATACTTAGTATTTAGTATATATTTAGTATATTAATATACTTAGTCTATACTAAGTATATGTAGTACATCATACTAAGTATATTATACATAGTATATAATATTAGGTATATTTAATATATACTTACTACATTTACATATAGTATATATAGTATAGTATATGTATATATGTATACACTAAATATACCATCGTATATCTTAAATATACATAATAAAATTCATCTTGACAAAGACATTGATGAATGTATCCTACTCTTCTGAGATCATATTGCCTCTTACAGGATTTGTTGTTTCAATTATGTAGCATGCTCATATAATTCTCTATTGATTACTAAAATAAGATGCTCAGATGTTCTCTATGGTAAAATTGCCTAAAATACTTTCCTTGGTTTTAGGCAACTATGCCTGACCCTCATCCTATACCAAATAAATTAAATAATGGTAGATGGGGTCCAGGCATAGGTATTTTCTTCAAAAGCTTTCAACTGGGGCCATGTGCAACAGCTCACGCCTATAATCTTAGAGTACTTTGGAAGGCCGAGGCTGTTAGATTGCATGAGCTCAGGAGATCAAGGTTGGCCAGGGCAAAACCCCATCTCTACTAAAAATACAAAAATTAGCTAGGCGAGATGGCATACACCTGTATAGTAACAGCTACTTGGGGAGCTGAGGCAGGAGGATCACTTGAACCCGGGAGGTCGAGGCTGCAGTGACCTGAGATCACGCCACTACATTCCAGCCTGGGGGACAAAGTGAGACCCTGTCTCAAAAAATAAATAAAAAGAAAAAAAGAAATAGAAAAGACTTCAGGTGACTGCAATGTGCACCTAGGGTTAGGCTAAGCTTTTAAGTTTCCTTCCTATTTTTAGTAGGCTACTTGCTTCCATCTCATCTATGTGCCATCAGTCTAGAATACATGCTCTAGAATTCCCTCCCTCATGCCTTGATAAAACTTCCAATGGCCCTCTTTCCAGGACCAAGAGCTAATATCCTAAGAGAGAAATTCTGGAAATATGGAGGACAGAAGGAGACTACTTTCCTCTCTACTCCTAAGTTATGTATGTCTCTTGAGCTGAAAAATGTCTCTAGTTTTGTTAACTAAAAATCTCTGTCTCTCTGAATACTGGCCCATGATTCCTGCCCTTTTGTGTTTGGGTTAAATCCTGTGACTAGTTCTGGCAGAGTCATGAACAGAAGAGCTCCATGCAAATTCCAGATCAGAACATTTCATTGCTTGTGTGAGGCTCTGTGTAGCTCAAAAATCAAGACATGGTTCACACTCATCTTAAGTTCCAGAGTGAGGGAAATCAGAACTCCCAGCCAACCTGCTATAGAGATGTATTCTGAGAAAGATAGATGCATTTAAGCCCCTGATATTTTGAAGATGATTTTTAACACAGCATAATTTAGCCCATTGGGACTGAGGAATGAGGTTAAATAACTTCTCGGTCCTGTTGGCAGCTAGATAAAAGTGAAGCGTTGGGATCTGTAGGGTACCCGAGGAGATAAAGACCATGGGGCTTTTGCCTCCATAAGTCAGGCAAGTGTTTGGTGATTAGCATCAGAAACTATGGAACAAAATCTGGGAATATGCACATCTTTGTGATGAGCTTATCTCTCTAAAAATCTGTGAACACTCTGGAGGGCTGGAGGAGAATGTTAACTTCGGCTCTGTGAGTGTCTACCTTGTTTATCTTGTTTTCAAGTGGCTAAGGGGGTACTGAAAATGTGGGTTGAATTTTCTCTGTCTCTGATATAATATGAAAACAAGCTTCACTAGGTGTTTAAGTAGGGAACAAGTAGCTTAGTTCTATCTTAATGGCCAGTGGGAGTAGAAATTTACTTACGAAGGAAAATGAATAAATTATCATGGGACTTTTTATCTGCATTGTAGGTAGCTAGAAGACAACGGACTACGAAAAAGACTGTCAAAACCAATGTTACCATTAACTGGTCAGAATATGCAATAATACCTAGAAAATTTATCATTAATGTGTATGCTATGAGGTAGAAGAATAAACAGAAATTTCTAAATAAAACACTAAATCAATTCTAGCAGGTGAACTGCAGAGTGAACCTTGATGTACTATCTTTAGGTCAATGCTTAAAGATGACTATTTGGAAATGTCTAAAATAACTGCTAAATAGGGATGTAAAATAGAGGGAGATTTTGCGTGGAGAATTTAATAAACAAAATCTGAAACTACTTAACTAGTCAAGTTTCTAAGATTTGGAAATACGTATAAAAATGGGAGTAAAAATCTTCCCAGGATTTCATCTAGTAGTAAAAAGGGAAGAGATAAAGAGATAATTGTAAGTACTGTAAAGATTTCCTATTACTTGTATCAAGGAAGTAAAGACAAATAGACTCTTTTAATTAGAGGAATATATATTCTCATAAGGGAAATATTGAATAACATGTTTCTATAATGCAGGAGATCAGGGAACAAGAAACCACCCATATTGAGAATGGAAAATTAGAGTGAAACTTCTGGATTAACCAGGGGAAAATGCAACGAATAGTTCCTTTTTCTTAACAGCAAAAAATAACTTAAAAATCACTGTAAAACAAATATTAAATAATAAAAGATGGAGAGACTAAAAGAATTTGTTTTAGTAATTAAGCTAAATGTAAACAGATAAGATTTTCCTTTTGAAAATTAGGGACTGTAACAGTACGTTACAAAAAGAAAATCCAACTTTGTTCACTTTATGAGATATTCATTTAAAACACAGCGATAGGGAAAGGCTGACCATAAAGGGGTGAATAAAGGGATACCAGATAAATACAAACAAACTAAAGCAAAAGAGGAAACATCAGTATCAGACTGATTAGAAGAAACTTAATGTTAAAAACATTGAAAATCAATTGATAAAAAGGCAAGTTTAGGAAGAAGATATAGCTGCACATGTCTGCGTACTCCAAACAAAAAACAGTGGAACCAAATAAATCTAAAAACAGATAAATCTATGAAAGTTTTGTTATAATGACACCAATTGATGTAGCTATCTCACAAGTAGAAAGGCCTTGCAGACAAAATTAAGGAGTGAGGTGGAGAAATCAAGTACTACAGTCAATAATCATGATTTTAAATAGGTACCTATAAGTTTAAATGGAAAATACTCTTAAGGTTCAAAAAACATTTGTAGAATTGGTGCCAAAATAAAACTTAACAAGTGAAAATAATAGAGAAATTACAGATCACATAATCTAATCATGATCCAATACAATTAAATAATTAAAAAATGATCGCAAACATTGAAACTACTTAGATATTGAGAATCATAGTCTCTTGGAAAGGAAGTTTTAAAATTGGAAATCATAAACCATCTAGAAAGCAATGAAATAAAGAACACATTATACCATAGGCCAGCCCTGGAAAAACTCAGTAGAACATTTATAGTTTAAATGTCATCATATTTTTTTAAAAAAGAGATAAATAAAACCAAAACAGGTATATATAACACAAACTTGGGAGCAAAGAAGAGCAAATAAGACTTTTTAAAAGGATGAAAATAATAAAATAAAACTGAAATTAATGAACTTGAAAATAAAAATAGTTGAAAGGCTTATCCAAAAGGTGTGTATGTAAAAATACAGATGCAAATACTTTGTGAGTCAGATTGTAAAAAAGATGTAAAAGTACAAGACAGTGAGTGCTTAAGGATATATAATGGCAAAGAAGAAGAGATCTGGAGAATCATAAAAGAAGACTTTGTGCAACTCTGTGACAATATAATCAAAATATTAGAGAAAATGTTTTCTGTCAAAATATAACTTATCTAAATTGGCATATACAGACATTTTAAAATAGGCTGATCACCAAAGAAGATATTAGAAAGATGATTAAACCCATTAAAGCCAGATAGATTATTTCATAGATTAAATGACTGACTAAAAATACTAACTTTCACCACAGTGAGATACCACTTATTAGAGTGACTACTATAAAAATAGAAAAACCAAGTCTCCATAAGAAGGAAAAATTGGAACTTTTGTGCACTGTTAGTGAAAATGTAAAATGGTGCAACCCCTGTGGAAAACAGTATGGCAGTTCCTTAAAAAACTAGGAATAAAATTACTATATAATCCAGCAATTATACTTTGGGGTGTGTACCCCCAAAAGTTGAAAGCTGAAACTCAAACAGATATTTGCACACTCATGTTTAAAGCAGTATTGTTTGTAACAGGTAAAATGCAGAAGCAAACCAAGTGTCCATCGATTAATGACTGGATAAACAAAATGTGCCATATATGTGCAATGGAATATTCAGCTGTGTAAAGGAACTGAACCCTGATGCATGGTGCATCATGAATTAACCTTGAAAGTATAATGCTAAGTGAAAGAAACCAGTCACAAAATGTCCAATACTGTATGATTCCACTTATGTGAGTTTCCTAGAGTAGTCAAATTTATAGAGACAGAAAACAGAATGGTGATTGCCAAGCACTGAGAAAAGGAGGAGATGCAGAGTTATTGATTAATGAGTGCAGAGTTTCTGTTTGTGCTGATGAAAAAGTTCTGGAAAGAGACGATGGTGATAGCTGCACATGTGAATGTACTTAATGCTACTGAAACTGTACACTTAAAAATGATTAAGGTGATAAATTCTACATTACATGTGTTGTACACAAAGCATTTTACTCTCCCCTACTTCAGTAGGTGAATACACTCCTCCTACTTGGATTTGAGACTCAACGATATGAATATTTTGTCCAATGGGATATAAGCCAATATGCCATAAGTAGACACTTAAAAGTGCTTGTTTGATGAGATTTTCACTGTTATTTCTCTGCCATTGTCATGAGGAGAATGTTCTTGGGCTGGTCTCTGGTCCAGAAATAAGATTAGAGACATGGAGCAGATCAAAATTATTTACCTGATTAAACCTAGATCAATGAACCCTCAGACAATCTTCAGTTTTCTGAAAGTAAACGGTTTAACTCAGCCTTTGTGATATTAGCTAAAACTGATTAAGGCTCATTGCTGGATTTTGTTTATTATTTAAAGAGCAGATTTTTAAGAGTTACTTGATCTTTCCATACAGAGAAAACAAAATATTCTAAATTTTAAATAATTATTGGATCAAAGAAGAAAGCATAATAGAAATGAAAATATTATTTATATTTGAATGATAAAAAGAAAACATATCAAAAGCTGTGGAGCATTGTAAAAATGGTATTTGGAAATCTATAATCTTGAACATATATATTAGAAAGGCTGAAAAGTAATGAGATGCCTCCAAATTAAGAATTTTACTTATAAGAAAACAGAAAAATCACAAGAAGAGTAGAAAGAATGAAAAAATAAAAAGGAGAGGGTGATTGACAAAATAGAAAAAATATACTGTAAGTGGGACAATAAACAGAAATTTTGCTTTTTTGGAAAACCTAACTTAAAGTTTGATAAAACCCTGATAATTGAGGGAAAGTCACACAGGGAGACAGAATAATAGACAATATTACAAAGAAGCAATAACAAAGGATAAAAAATAATAATCACAACAATGTTATGACAACAAATATAAAAACAGAAAAACACAATTTAACACAAATAACTGGGAAAAAATGCAATAATATAAATATAAAATAATCAGTAGTTCAGTAAGGCTCAGATGATTTTACATGTCACTTATGTTTAAAGGAAGATACCACTCAGTGTGATCAATCTCTTCCAGAAAGTAGAAAATAGAATATGCTTTAATGCATTTTATGATTCCAATGTAACCACAATATAAAAACCAGATGAGTATAAAAAAGAAACAAATATATGTGTTAATAATTTTTGAAAATGGATATAAAATAAAGAGGTAATGTCAAACAGAATTTGGCAGTGTATTAAAATTTAAATACATTGTATATTGGTTATTGATGTAGAACAAACTACTCAAAAACTTTTTAACTTCTTTTTTTTCTATTGTTATTTTTATTTTATTTTATTTTATTTTATTATTATTATACTTTAAGTTTTAGGGTACATGTGCACAGTGTGCAGGTTAGTTACATATGTATACATGTGCCATGCTGGTGTGCTGCACCCATTAACTCGTCATTTAGCATTAGGTATATCTCCTAATGCTATCCCTCCCCCCTCCCCACACCCCACAACAGTGCCCAGAGTGTGATGTTCCCCTTCCTGTGTCCATGTGTTCTCATTGTTCAATTCCCACCTATGAGTGAGAACATGCAGTGTTTGGTTTTTTGTCCTTGAGATAGTTTACTGAGAATGATGATTTCCAATTTCATCCATGTCCCTACAAAGGACATGAACTCATCATGTTTTATGGCTGCATAGTATTCCATGGTGTATATGTGCCACATTTTCTTAATCCAGTCTATCATTGTTGGACATTTGGGTTGGCTCCAAGTCTTTGCTATTGCAAATAGTGCCGCAATAAACATACGTGTGCATGTGTCTTTGTAGTAGCATAATTTATAGTCCTTTGGGTATATACCCAGTAATGGGATGGCTGGGTCAAATGGTATTTCTAGTTCTAGATCCCTGAGGAATCGCTACACTGACTTCCACAATGGTTGAACTACTTTACAGTCCCACCAACAGTGTAAAAGTGTTCCTATTTCTCCACATCCTCTCCAGCACCTGTTGTTTCCTGACTTTTTAATGATCACCATTCTAACTGGTGTGAGATGGTATCTCATTGTGGTTTTGAATTGCATTTCTCTGATAGCCAGTGATGGTGAGCATTTTTTCATGTGTTTTTTGGCTGCATAAATGTCTTCTTTTGAGAAGTGTCTGTTCATATCCTTTGCCCACTTTTTAATGGGGTTGTTTGTTTTTTTCTTGTGAATTTGTTTGAGTTCATTGTAGATTCTGGATATTAGCCCTTTGTCAGATGAGTAGGTTGCGAAAATTTTCTCCCATTCTGCAGGTTGCCTGTTCACTCTGATGGTAGTTTCTTTTGCTGTGCAGAAGCTCTTTAGTTTAATTAGATCCCATTTGTCAATTTTGGCTTTTGTTGCCATTGCTTTTGGTGTTTTAGACATGAAGTCCTTGCCCATGCCTATGTCCTGAATGGTAATGACTAGGTTTTCTTCTAGGGTTTTCATGGTTTTAGGTCTAACGTTTAAGTCTTTAATCCATCTTGAATTAATTTTTGTATAAGGTGTAAGGAAGGGATCGAGTTTCAGCTTTCTGCATATTGCTAGCCAGTTTTCCCAGCACCATTTATTTAATAGGGAATCCTTTCCCCATTGCTTGTTTTTCTCAGGTT
The DNA here is from genome assembly GCF_000001405.40 of Homo sapiens. NCBI lineage: Eukaryota > Metazoa > Chordata > Mammalia > Primates > Hominidae > Homo > Homo sapiens. The sequence continues at coordinate 60,431,719 of NC_000018.10, forward strand.
TGTCAAAGATCAGATAGTTGTAGACATGCGGCATTATTTCTGAGGGCTCTGTTCTGTTGCATTGATCTATATCTCTGTTTTGGTACCAGTACCATGCTGTTTTGGCTACTGTAGCCTTGTAGTATAGTTTGAAGTCAGGTAGAGTGATGCCTCCAGCTTTGTTCTTTTGGCTCAGGATTGACTTGGTGATGCGGGCTCTTTTTTGGTTCCATATGTACTTGAAAGTAGTTTTTTCCAATTCTGTGAAGAAAGTCATTGGTAGCTTGATGGGGATGGCATTGAATCTATGAATTACCTTGGGCAGTATGGCCATTTTCACGATATTGATTCTTCCTACCCATGAGCATGGAATGTTCTTCCATCTGTTTGTATCCTCTTTTATTTCATTGAGCAGTGGTTTGTAGTTCTCCTTGAAGAGGTCCTTCACATCCCTTGTAAGTTGGATTCCTAGGTATTTTATTCTCTTTGAAGCAATTTTGAAGGACATGAACAGACACTACTCAAAAGAAGACATTTATGCAGCCAAAAAACACATGAAAAAATGCTCACCATCACTGACCATCAGAGAGATGCAAATCAAAACCACAATGAGATACCATCTCACACCAGTTAGAATGGCGATCATTAAAAAGTCAGGAAACAGGTGCTGGAGAGGATGTGGAGAAATAGGAACACTTTTACACTGTTGGTGGGACTGTAAACTAGTTCAACCATTGTGGAAGTAGGTGTGGCAATTCCTCAGGGATCTAGAACTAGAAATACCATTTGACCCAGCCATCCCATTACTGGGTATATACCCAAAGGACTATAAATCATGCTGCTATAAAGACACATGCACACGTATGTTTATTGTGGCACTATTCACAATAGCAAAGACTTGGAGCCAACACAAATGTCCAACAATGATAGACTGGATTAAGAAAGTGTGGCACATATACACCATGGAATACTATGCAGCCATAAAACATGATGAGTTCATGTCCTTTGTAGGGACATGGATTAAATTGGAAATCATCATTCTCAGTAAACTATCCCAAGAACAAAAAACCAAACACTGCATGTTCTCACTCATAGGTGGGAATTGAACAATGAGAACACATGGAAACAGGAAGGGGAACATCACACTCTGGGGACTGTTGTGGGGTGTGGGGAGGGGGGAGGGATAGCATTAGGAGATATACCTAATGCTAAATGACGAGTTAATGGGTGCAGCACACCAGCATGGCACACGTATACATATGTAACTAACCTGCACATTGTGCACATGTACCCTAAAACTTAAAGTATAATAATAGTAAAAAAATAAATAAATAAAAAAACATAAAAAAAACTCCATATCAAACAATGGAAATTTTCCAGTGTGAAGGAATTACAGCTTCCTATGAAAAGTATTGATTTTATTAACATAGTACTGGAATAAAAGTCCAAAGGTTACATAGTATGTGATGCAGTTTTATAAAGCTTTGAACTAAAAGCAAAACTAAACAATATAGTGTTTAGGGTTTAATAAATATTTGATAAACACCTTAAACTCCTTTTTAATAAAATCCTAAACAAAAATATTCACATAGTGTTTAGTCCTGGGGATAGGAAGAGAAATAGAATAAGGGAAAAGCTAATGGATGGACGTCACTATATGAAAGACAACAGTGTTTTCATAATGTACTGTTTCTTCAGTGATGGGTTTATAGGGTTCTGTTTCAATATTAAACTGTCTGTAACATATTTGTGTTGCATGCATTCGCTTGTATGTATCAAATATTACATAACAAAATTTTTGAGTACCAAGAGGAAACTTTAATTTATGAAGAGCTAAGAATCTAATAAAGTAATCTATGGGGCATTATACTGCCTTATATTCTATGAGTTATGTAAGGCTTTTTAACAGTAAACTTTACCAATCCCTATTATCACACTATGTGCTGACTTTAGATAATAACCTCTTTAAAATGCCATTAAAATATGTCTTGGGGATGTCGGAAAGTAGTTATGAATTTGTGAAATGTTTTTAACATTGAGTAAATGCAGGTATATTTCACAAGAGAGAGAGAAATAGCATTTATTCTGGATGGAGAGGAAAAGTATATCAGGAAATTCACTAAATTGAGGTTCAAAATTTCCATTTTCTTCTGACTTATGTGATGAAGTGCTTGAAGAAACCTGAGCAAATAACCACTAATACCAAGTTCTTTCTTAGTAATAATGATTCTTTCTTTGTAGTTATATGGCCAACTACCAAACAAATTTCTGAGATAGGCCTTGATTCTAGGATTCTTTTGATGCTTTAAATACGGATTTTAGATGTTCCAAGTCACGGGACTTTTTGAGCAGCCACTGCTCTAATACTTTTTCAATGCTAATTTTCACTTGATGCTGTGCTAGTCTGTAACTAAAATGATATAAATTGCTTTTCCTTCTAAACTGTAGTGCATGATGGAGTTTCAAAATTTATAGTCAATGCAGTGTTCATTGGTATACTCAATTAAAAAACTGCAACTTTTAAAAAGAAGAGCTACAGTAGACTTTGGGAACTCAAAGATATTGTTAATTATTTTTTCTAACAAATATTTATTGAATACCTGCCTTATTCCAGGAACTGTTCTGGCACTAAGAACATACAAATTTCTTCAACTCATAAAATTTTTAAACTTTTTGAGAGAAACTAGTTCCCCTACTCTTGCTGGGGAAAAAAAAAAAGTCCTGACAAATTGGGTGAGTGCTTTGCAACGCATACATTGCAATGCATACAGACCAAAGGTAGTTTTCAAGAATATATAAAGAGTTGCTACAAATAAACAAGAGAAGACTAATAATGCTTTAGATAAATGGATAAAAGACATAATGAGATAATTCATAGAAAATGAAACCTTAATATCCGATAAATATATGAAAAATATCCTCACAAGAAGATGGGTAAATGAAAATCAAAACTACATGAGACGTTGTTTTTACACACATCACATTGGCAAAGATTAAAATAAAATGTTTGTGACAGATGTTGGCTAGAAAGAGGAGAAATGGGAAATGCTGATGGAAGTGTAAAATGGTAACATGGCTCAAAATACTTTGAATAGCACTTTGCCAATATCTTTTCATTTATTTATTTATTTATGTATTTATTTTTTGAGGCGCAGTCTCACTCTGTTGCCCAGGCTGGAATGCAATGGTGCAATCTTGGCTCACAGCAACCTCTGCCTCCCGGTTCAAGTGATTCTCCTGCCTCAGCCTCCCAAGTAGCTGGGACTACAGGTGTGCCCCAGCACAACCGGCTAATTTTTCTATTTTTAGTAGAGATGGGGTTTCATCATGCTGGTCAGGCTGGTCTTGAACTCCTGAACTCAGGTGATCCACCCACCCTGACCTCCCAAAGTGCTGCCAATATCTTTTCAAGTTGAAGGTAAAAATAGACTTAAGTAAGGAGTTCCACATTTACAGACATATCCTGACTTACATGCATAAAAAGTCATATATCATCAGATGTTACAATAGAAACAAAAATCACTCTGAAACACTGAGATATGGACAAATATACAATAACGTCTTCCTTCAGTGGAATATTATACATCAACCAGTAGAAAAAATGAGGGCTAAATGTATTATCATGAATAAATCTCCAAAACCTAATGTTGAATGAAAAAGGATAAATCTCAGAAAACCTAATTTTGAATGAAAAATTATTGCAGAAAGATAAGTACAATGTGATATTATTTATGATGTGGAAAACAATTCAATGTACTTTTTAGCAATGTATATATTCATGGGAATGGTAAGTGTTCAATGCAGGATAGCAGTTCTGTGTGGGGAGGGAGTGGAATTGATCAGTGAGGCCCACATGTGGTAATACAGTCACATTTTCAGTACTTTTTTAATTAAGCTGGGCTAGGGGAATATGTTCATTATGTTATTCTCTATACATTCACATCTGTGAAATATCACTAAGAAAAGTTGAAAAAGTGGTGCTCAGATTATCTCTGTACTGATAGTATGTTTATATACCAGAAAACTCAAGAGTCTAGAAGGAAGCTCTTATAATTACAAAATTGGTAAGTTTGGCAAGGAATTGGATACACTTTATTCAACTCTAACAATAAATTTCTAGAAATAGAAATGGAATGAAAATGTTGGCCAGGCATGGTGGCTTACGCCTGTAATCCCTGCACTTTGGGAGGCCAAGACAGGAGCATTGCTTGAAACCAGGAGTTTGGACCAGCCTCAGCAACGGAGTGAGACCTGATCTCCGCAAAAAAATTTTAAAAAATTATTTGAGAAGTTGAGGTGGGAGAATTGCTTGAGCCCAGGAATTTGAGACCAGGCTAGAAAACATAGCAATACTGTGTCTCTACAAAAAGTTAAAAAATTAGCTGAGTGTGCTAGTGCACACCTGTGGTCCCACCTACTCAGGTAATTATGGTGAAAGGATCGATTGAGGCCAGGAGGTAGAGGCTGCAGCGAGCCATGTTTATGCCGCTGTGCTCCAGCTTGAGTGACAGAGTAAGACCCTGTCTCAAACAAACTCTAGAAAGAAAATGTCTATTCCCAATAGCAAAAAGCAAAACAAAACGAAAAACAAACAAAAAACTGGAAAAGTGTAAGAAGGGATTTAACAAGACAAAATCAGTTTTATGAAGCTACTAAATTGGATGGATGAATACAAAATATTGTCTGAACAAAGGTAAAGGCATCGTATGTTCTTTAATGAAAGGTTTTTTTTAAAAAAAATATTAATACTCCAAAATAAAGATATGAAATAATGTAATAATGTAATTGGGATTCTAATAAGAATCTCAATGTATTTTTTCACTGGAAAAATTAACTTTCATTTCATAATAATAAATGCTTTGAAATATCCAAGAAAATTCAGGAAACAAAGTGGTGCGTGTATTCCATTTTAAATGAAAGATCACAGTATAAAACCAGTGCAATTAGAATCTTTCTGGTCTTGGTCTTTGAGTAGACAAACTGAGTACAGGAAAGAATAAAGAACATGTAAGGATGGAAAATTAATATATGTAAAAATGATGGTTCAATTTATTAACATTAAAATGTTTTAAGCCATTAAATGATGCTGATGCAGCTGGCTAGCCTTCTGGAATAATAAAAGAGCACACCTGGTTATATCACATATAAAAATAAATTCTGGATGAAGTAAAGTCTTAATTGTTAAAAAAAAAAAAATAGAAAATATATGACATAAAAGGTACCATCTGTGGGTGAAAGACACCTTCTTTCTCCAAAGTAGCAATCTGGATGCTTTTAAGCAAAATTACATATATTTGAATTCCATAAGATTTTAAAAATAATCTTGGGTATGGCAATGGAATATGTAATCTAAATCAACCAAGAAACAAGAGATTTAGAAAAACAAAATAACAAAAACATACAAATAGTTATTGCAAAATGGAAAGAAACAAATTCAGATACCCAGTAAAAAATGTGCAAATAAGGTGAGAAGGCAATTGGTGGAAGGGCAACTATGAAAAGCCAAGGATGCTCGAATTCTCTAGCAGTCAGCAAATGACTAATTAATTTGACAAATCAACTATTCTAAGATGACTTGAAGAAGCTTGTGTGGAATGTCTCCTGTTTGCCCTCCAGATCCTGTCTATACCCTTCTCCAGCATGCCCTGTGCACTGGCAGCCTTATCTGTGCTGGTAGCTTCTCTGAGTCCACCATTCTCTGACTTCCAAGTGGGTTTCTCCAGTAAGAGGCAGCAGCAGCAGGTTGTAGGGAGGTGGAAAGTGGGATTGGGTAATTGTTTTCCAGCTCCCTCCACAAAACGTTAGGTTCTTGTCACAGGACCTTCTCTGATCTCCCCTTGCTTCTTTACCCCTAGAGGTGGTAAGACCACCTTGTTCTAACCAGCTTTGGTGATGATCTCTTGTGGGTTCCCATTCCTCCTGCCAACATCTCTGGAAATGTCCCTTTATTACATTTTTCTCAAATTACTCACCTCAAATTTGATAGTGGCAACTTCTTCCTGCGAGGCCCTTCACAGATGCATAGCTATAACACCTGTTGGTGGTATGAAGCTAAGAGAAAGGTTTTCTTTTAACTGACTGGATGAAAAAGTAAAATGTTGTGATCTTTGGAAGCATCTAGCAACATCTATTATAGTTAAAAATAACCATCATATCTATAAACCTGTTTCTGAAATCCTATTTCACAGATAGCTTAAAAAGCACATGTTGATAAATATGTAAGTACAAGGATGTTTGTTGTAGCATTATTCTTAGTTCTCCACTTGGATACAGTAAATATCCATCGGTAGTATGGGAACAGCTGAAAATAATTGGCCTATGAACACACTATGACAGTAATGCAAGCCTTACAAAAAAGTCATGCCCTCTTTATCCTCCTCTCCCTAGTACCTTTCCCAGCCAGTAGTAACCATCATTCTACTCTCTATTTCCATGATGGTTAGTGGATATAAAAATGCAGTTAGATATAAGGATTAAGATCTACTGTTAGATAGCACAATAGGTCAACTGTAGCTAATAATGATTTATTTATTTCAAAATAACTAAAACAGTGGGATTGGAACATTTCTAACACAAGGAAATTATAAACACTTTAGGTAATGGATACCCCAATTATCCTGGTTACACATGATTGCCCTTATTACACATTATATGTCTGTATCAAAATATCATATATACCACATACATATGTACAACTATTACATATCTATAATTTAAAAAATTGTTAAAAATTAAGAATGTTATGGCGCTATAGCAGTTGACTTAGTTGAGAGCAATCTTCATGAGTTATTGCTAAGTGAGAAAAAAGCATGCAAAAAAGTGTATACACTGGGATGCAGTATTTCACAAAAATGTATATTGCAACAAAAATCACTGTGTGTGTAAATATATATGAATGTTTCTATGATTTTCTGATCACGAAGAAAAATTTGGATGACTAAATGTTAGATATGACAAGATTAAATGGAGGGGCAGGGATTTATGTGAGTGGAGGAGAGAGGTGAGGGAGAGGATAAAAACAAAAACGGTAGAAAAAACACACTTGCCTCTTAATATGCATTTGTTTATAAATATTTGATGATAGAACCTAGGCACATTATTTTTAAGACTCCCCAGGTAATTCAAACGTGTAGCCAAGTTGGAGAATCACTGCTCTCGAAGAATAAATAATTGGAAGATCTTTTGTCTATGTTTCCCAACTTGAATGTATTTCAATATTCTTTCCCAAAAATGTCCATTTTGTTGTTTTGCATTGAAAATCAAAAACTCAAATGACAATTATGTTTCTATATTTGATGTGAAAGAAGTAAATTCTAAATAAAACAAATTACATTGTTTGCATAAAATATAGATTTCTTATATAAAATTATTTATAAATGCATGTTTTAAATGTACATATATTTGTATACCAAGAAAGTTCCCTGAAAATTTCAGTGACTTAAATTTCCTTTCTGATTACTGGCCTAGCATTCCAGACTGACTTTAGTCTTAATTTATGATGTCAGTCTTCACTTATTTGTTACCTTGTTCAATCCTTGGTTGGATTAAACTTCTTCATGTTTCTTAAACAAGAAATTTCCATGTTTTCTTGCTTTGGAATATTTACTCTTACTTTTACTGGATTCCACAACTTCATTTATCCAAATCTTTCCTAATGATTCCATCTAAAATCAAATATCATTGCTTTTATTATGTCTTCCCTAATTAAGCTAGCTTTAAAATTTAATGAATGCCTACTATGTTCCAGATGTTGTGCTAGATGCTAACCTTCTACTATTTTATGGTATCCTGTTTAATTTTCCACAAGGCATGAGTTATTTGCAATATTACTTAAAATACTGAGAAGTCACCATGTTAGCAGAGCCTTGGCTTAAACTCATTTGTACAATCCTCAAATTCAAAACACTTTGTAATAAGAACAGTCAGTCATGATCTGTCAAGCTTCTGAGTACCCATTGAAGTTTGTATTCAGTTTATGGCACTATATATATATATATGTGTGTGTGTGTGTCTGTGTGTGTGTGTATGTGTATATATGAGATAAGGGTATGTATATATGTTACAAATTGATATATATATAGTTAAAATATATGCTGTATGTGTGTAAATATATAGTGTGCATGTTTATGTGTGCATAATTGTGTGTGTGTGCCTATGTATATACTCCTCACTCCTCATTTGATGTATTTGATGAGGGACAGGTGGTAGAGTATAATTCTTTAAATCTCAGTGTCTAGAACAGTGCGTTGAACACACACAGATAATTTCAAAATGATGAAGTGAAATAGAACAAATAATTTATAATAAACCACACAAAGTTATCTGATCCAAAAACCAATGGAAAGAGATTTATTTTTACAAGTAAGAAAATTAAATATGGTCACTATTGGGCAAACAAAGGTTTTTTAAACCTTTTTCATCATCTGTGTTGGTTTTTCCTTATTTTATTGGCCTGAACACTACATTACACAGTTAAGCATATTTTGCATTCTTTTACCTGATTAGAACTATCTTAATGCTGGGCTTAAAATAACAGTGCACCTATGTTAAGTCATATAACCTTTTTTTTTTTTAACAAACAAATAACCACATTCTGCTAAAATTCTCTTCATTTCACTGACAGTGTAGTGGATTGGTTTAAGTCACTATTTCTGGAAGCAGAACACCTAACTTCAAATCCCAGCTTTCCCATTGACTATGTGAACTTGAGCTAGTTACTTAATGCCAATGTGTGTTAGTCTCTCTGTATGTAAAACTGTAAAAACAATAGTACCTACCTCATGTCTACATTATGAGGATTAAAAAATGAATTAAGTTTATTAAGTTTTGTAAAGGACTCAGAATAGTGTCTTGCACATGATAAACTGTTTTAGTAAATCAATCTAATTTTACCAGGTTTTATAGCTATTCAGTTTTTATTCTTAACTATAAAATTTCATAGTTCGATTTGTGACTATAACAAAAGAGTGCATCCATTGGACTTTTAAGCAGTGGAATTACTTAAAAGTCTGTGTTAGTTTCCTAGAGCTTCCATAACAAATAACCAAAAACTGAGTGGCTTAAAACAACAGAAATTATTACCTCCCAATCTGGAGGCCAGGTGTCCAGAATCAAGATGCCATCAGTGCTACGCTCTCTCACAAGACTCTAAGACAAAATCTGTTCCTTGTCTTTCTCTTAGCTTCTGGTGTTGCTGACAATCTTTGGTGTTCCTTGACTCTAAGACACATCCTTCTAATCTCTGTCCCCATTGTTGAATGACAATCTTCCTGTGTGTTTCTGTGTTTATGTCTCTGTTTTGCTTTTTCTTTCTTTAAATTTTTCTTCAGCTTTTAAGTTCTGGGGTATATGTGCAGGATGTGCAGGTTTCTTACATAGGTAAACGTGTGTCATGGTGGTTCGCTGCAGAGATTAACCCATCACCCAGGTATTAAGCCCACATCCCTTAACTATTCTTCCTGGTGCTCTCCCTCAACCCACCCCCACTGACAGGCCCCAGTGTAAGTTGTTCCCCCCATGTGTCCATGTGTTCTCATCATTCAGCTACCACTTATAAGGTAACATGTGGTATTTCGTTTTCTGTTCCTGCATTAGTCTGCTGTGGATAATGGCCTCCAACTTCATCCATGTGCCTGCGAAGGGCATGATTTTGTTCCTTTTATGTCTGCATAGTATTCCGTGGTGTATATGTACCACATTTTCTCTATCCAGTCTACCACTGATGGGCATTTGTATTGATTCCATGTCCTTGCTATTGTAGCAATGCTGCAATGAACACACATGTGCATGTATCTTTATAATGGAATGATTTATATTCCTTTGGGTATATACTCAGTAATGGCATTGCTGGGTCAAATGGTATTTCTGCCTCTAGGTCTGTGAGAAATCATCACACAGTCTTCCACAGTGGTTGAAATAATTTACATTCCCACCAACAGTATAAAAATGTTCCTTTTTCTCCACATCCTCGCCACCATCTGTTGTTTCTTGACTTTTTAATAATTGCCATTCTGACTGGTGTGAGATGATACCTCATTATGGTTTTGATTTGCATTTCTCTAATGATCAGTGATGTTGAGCTTTTTTTCATATGTTTGTTGGCAACATGAATGTCTTCTTTGAGAAGTGTCTGTTCATGTCATTTGCCCACTTTTTATTGGGGTTGTTTGTTTTGTTCTTGTAAATTTGTTTAAGTTCCTTGTAGACACTGGATATTCAACCTTTGTCAGATGGATAGATTGCAAAAAAATTTTCCCCTTCTGTAGATTGTGTGTTTACTTTGATGATAGTTTCTTTTGCTGTGTAGAAGCTCTTTAGTTGAATTAGATCTCATTTGCCAATTTTTGCTTTCGTTGCTATTTCTTCTGGAGTTTTCATCACGAAATCTTCGCCCATGAATATGTCCTGAATGATATTGCCTATATTTTCTTCTAGGGTTTTTATAGTTTTAGGTTTTACATTTAAGTCATTAATCCAGCTGTATAAGCTGAAAGGAAGGAGTCCAATTTCAATTTTCTGCATATGGCTAGCCAGTTTTCCGAGCACCATTTATTAAATAGAGAATCCTTTCTCCATTGCTTGTTTTTTATCAGGTTTGTTGAAGATCAGATGATTGTAGGTGTGTGGTCTTATTTCTGAGTTCTCTATCCTGTTCATTGGTCTATGTGTCTGTTTTTGTACCAGTACCATGCTGTTTTGATTACTGCAGCCTTGTAGAATAGCTTGAAGTTGAAAGCATGATGCCTCCAGCTTGGTTCTTTTTGCCTAGGATTGTCTTGGCTATTTGGGCTCTTTTTTCGTTCTATGTGAATTTTAAAATAGCTTCTTCTAATTCTGTGAAGAATGTCAATGGTAGCTTAATGGGAATAGCAATAAATCTGTAAATTATTTTGGGCAGTATGGCCATTTACACGATACTGATTCTTCCTATCCATGAGCATGGAATGTTTCTTCATTTGTTTTTGTCCTCTATGATTTCCTTGAGAAGTGACTTGTAGTTCTCCTTGAAGAGGTCCTTCACTTACTTTGCTAGCTGTATTCCTAGCTATTTTATTCTCCTTGCAGCAATTGTGAATGAGAGTTCATTCATGATTTGGCTCTCTGCTTGTCTGTTGTTGGTATATAGAAATGCTTGTGATTTTGCACATTGATTTTGTATACTGAGACTTTGCTGAAGTTGCTTATCAACTTAAGAAGCTTTTGGTCTGAGATGGTGCGGTTTTCTAGATATAGGATCATGTCATCTGCAAACAAAGACAATTCAGCTTCCTCTTATCCTATTTGAATACCTTTATTTCTTTCTTTTGTCTACCTGCCTTGGCCCAAACTTCCAATACTGTGTTGAATAGGAGTGGTAAGAGAGGGCATCCTTGTCTTATGGGGAATGCTTCCAGATTTTGCCCATTCAGTATGATATTGGCTGTGGGTGTTTTTTTGTTTTTGTTTGTTTGTTTTGTTTGTTTGCTTGTTTTGTTTTTTGAGACGGAGTCTCGCTCTTGTTGCCCAGTCTGGAGTGCAATGCAACCTCCACTTCCTGGGTTCAAGCGATTTTTCTGCCTCAGCCTCCAGAGTAGCTGGGATTACAGATGCACGCCACCACGCCCTGCTAATTTTGTTTGTATTTTTAGTAGAGATGGTGTTTCGCCATGTTGGCCAGGCTGGTCTCAAACTCCTAACCTCAGGCAATCCACCCTCCTTGGCCTCCCAAAGTGCTGGGATTACAGGATTGAGCCACCACGCCCGGCCGTTTTTTTTTTTTTAAATTGTTTCTTCAATACCTAGTTTATAGTTAATTGTTTCTTCAATACCTAGTTTATTGTAGTTTTTATCAGGAAGGGATGTTGAATTTTATTGAAGGCCTTTTCTGCATCTATTGAGATAATCATGTGGCTTTTGTCTTTAGTTCTATGTATGTGGTGAATTACATTTGTTGATGTGTATATGTTGAACCGGTTTTGCATCCCAGGGCTGAAGACTACTTGATCCTGGTGGATAAGCTTTTTGATGTGCTGCTGAATTCAGTTTGCCAGTATTTTATTGAGAATTTTTGCATCAATGTTCATCTGGAATATTGGCCTGAAGTTTTCATTTTTGTTGTTGTATCTCTGCTAAGTTTTGGTATCAAAATGATGCTGGCTTCATAAAATGAGTTAGGGAAGAGTCCCTCCTTTTTAATTGTTTGGAATAGTTTGAGTAAAAATGGTTCCAGCTCTTTGTATCTCTGGTAGAATTCAGCTGTAAATCTGTCGGGTCCTGGGCTTTTTTTGGTTGGTAGGCTATTTATTACTGCCTCAATTTCAGAACTTGTTATTGTTCTATTCAGGGATTTAATTTATTCCTGGTTCAGTCTTGGGAGGGTGTATGTGTCCAGGAATTTATCAGTTTCTTCTAGATTTTCTCGTTTATGTACATAGAAGCATTTATAGTATTCTCTAATGGTCATTTGTATTTCTGTGGGGTCATTGGTGATATCCCCCTTATCATTTCTGATTGTGTCTATTTGGTTCTTCTCTTTTTTTCTGATTTATTAGTCTAGCTAGCAATCTATTTTATTTCATTTTTCAAAAAAGACAGCTGCTAGATTTGTTGATTTTTTGAAGACAAAATTTAAAAAATTTTGATGTTTTGGTCTCTACCTCCTTCAGCTCCTCTGTGATCTTGTTTTTTTTTTTTCTTGTCTTCTGCTAGCTTTGGGGCTTGTTTGCTCTTGGTTCTCTAGTTATTTTTGTTGTGATGTTAGGATGTCGAATTGAGATATTTCTAGCTTTTTAATGTGGGCATTTAGCGCTATAAATTTCCGTCTTAACACTGATTTAGCTGCATCCCAGGGAGTCAGGTATATTGTCTCTTTGTTCTCATCAGTTTCAAAGAACTTCTTGATTTCTGCCTTAATTTCATTATTTAACAAGGAGTCATTCAGGAGCAAGTTGTCCATTTTCCATGTAGTTGTGTGGTTTTGAGTGAGTTTGTTAATCTTGAGTTCTAATTTATTGCATTGTAGTCTGAGAGATTGTTATGATTTCAGTTCTTTTGCATTTGCTGAGGAGTGTTTTACTTCTAATTATGTGATCAGTTTTGGAGTAAGTGCCATGTGGCAATGAGAAGAATGTATATCCTGGGTGGAGAGTTCTGTAGATATCTTTCAGGTCTGTTTGATCCAGAGCTGAGTTCAGGTACTGAATATCTTTGTTAATTTTCTCTCTCAATGATCTGTCTAATATTGTCAGTGGGCCGTTAAAGAATTCCACTGTTACATGTAGGAGTCTAAGTCTCTTTGTAGGTGTCTAAGAACTTGCTTTATGAATCTAGGTGCTCCTTGTATTGGGTGCATATTTATCTAGGATAGTTAGCTCTTCTTGTTGATTTGAACCCTTTACCATTATGTAATGCCCTTCTTTGTCTTTTTTGATCTTTGTCGGTTTAAAGTCTGTTTTATGGGAAACTAGGATTATGACCCCTACTTTTTTCTGTTTTCCATTTGCTTGGTAAATTTTCCTCCATTCCTTTATTTTGAGCCTATGTGTGTCTTTTGATGTGAGATGGGTCTTCTGAAGACAGCATTCTAATGGGGCTTGACTCTTTATCCAGTTTGCCATTCTGTGTCTTTTAATCAGGGCATTTAGCCCATTTACATTTAAGGTTATTATTATGTAAGAATTTGATCCTGCCATCATTGTGCTAGCTGGTTAATTTTCAGACTTGTTTATGTGATTACTTCATAGTGTCATTGGTCTGTGTACTTTAGTGTGCTTTTGCAGTGGCTGGTAAGTGTTTTTACTTTCCATATTTTGTGGTTCTTTCAGGAGTTCTTACAAGGCAGGCCTGGTGGTGACATATTCCCTTGGCATTTGTTTATCTGAAAAGGATCTCATTTTTCCTTTGCTTATGAAGCTTAGTTTGGCCAGATATGAAATTCTGGGTTGGGATTTCTTTTTCTGAAGAATGTTGAATACCTAATCTCTTCTGGCTTATAGAGTTTCCACTGAGAGGTCTGCTGTTAGTCTGATGGACTTACCTTTGTAGGAGACCTGGCCTTTTTCTCTGGCTGCCCTTACATTTTTTCTTTCATTTCAACCTTGGAGAATCTGATGATTATATGTCTTGGGGTTGGTCTTCTCATGGAGTATCTTACTGGGGTTCTTTTTATTTCCTGAATTTGAATGTTGGCCTGTGTTGCTAAGTTGGGGTAGTTCTCCTGGATGATATCCTGAAGTATGTTTTCCAACTTGGTTTCATTCCCCCTGTGTTTTTCAGGTACTCCAATCAGTTATATGTTCAGTCTTTTTACATAATCCCATATTTCTCAGAGATTTTGTTCATTCCTCTTCATTCTTTTTTCTCTATTCTTGTCTGCCTGTCTTACTTCAGAAAGATAGTCTTCAGGCTCTGAGATTCTTTCCTCTGCTTGTTCTATTTGGCTATATTGATACTTGTAATTGCATTGTGAAGTTCTCGTGTTGTATTTTTCAGCTCTATCAGGTCAGTTATGTTTCTCTCTTAACTGGCTATTCTGGTTATCAGCTCCTGTAATGTTTTATCATGATTCTTAGCTTCTTTGCATTGGATTAGAACATGCTCCTTTAGTTCAGTGAATTTCATTATTACCCACCTTCGGAAGACTACTTCTGTCGATTTATCCATCTCAGCCTCAGCCCAGTTTTGTGCCCTTGCTGGAAAGATGTTGTGGTCATTTGGAGGAGAAGAGGCACTCCGGCTTTTTGAGTTTTCACTATTTTTGCATTGATTCTTTCTCATCTTTGTAGGCTTAGCTATCTTTGATCTTTGGGGTTGCTGACCTTTGAATGGGGTTTTTGTGGGGTCTTTTCAGTTGATGTTGTTGCTGCTTTCTGTTTTTTTATAATTATTTATTATTATGTTTTTTTAACAGGTCACTCTTCCGTAGGGCTTCTGTAGTTTGCTGTTGGTCACTTCAGACCCTAGTCACCTTGGTCTAGGAAGGTGTGAATCACCAGTGAAGGCTGTGAAACAACGAAGATGGAAGCCTGCTCCTTCCTCTGGGAGCTCTATCCCAAGGGGGCATCAACCTGGTGCCAGCTGGAATGCTCCTGTAAGAGGTGTCTGGAGACCCCTTTTAGGAGGTCTTATAGAGTCAGGAAGAATAGAATCAAGGACTCGCTTAAAGAAGCAGTCTGGCTGCCCCTTGGCAGAGGAGGTGCCCTGCACTGGCTGTCCAGCCTCTCCAGAAACAGCCGCCTAGCAAGACTAAGTCAGCTGAACCACAGAAACAGCAGCTGCCGCTCCCCGCAGGGACTCTATTCCAGGGAGAGATCATAGCTCTGTTCATATAACCCTGGCTGGAGTTGCTGAAATTCCCATAGGGAGGCCCCACCCAGTGAGGAGGGATGGATCAAGTTCCCACTTAAAGAAACAGGCTGGCCACAATCAGGCATAGCAGCTGTGGTAGGTTGTGGGGAATTCCTTTTGGTCCCAGGTGCCTACAGGCTAGAGTGGCTGACTCCAGCTGCCGATATGGTAACTGCCCCTCCTTCCTGGAACTCAGTCCCTCTCAGGCGCTGTCACCAGCCTGCCACTGCTTGCTGGGTAGAATTCTAAGCCAGTGGGTCTTGTGAGGCCCCATGGGAGTGGAGTCCAACAGGAAGATGCCTCCCTGTATTGAGCCCCCTTTTTAGGGGAATGCCTGGGACCTCTTCCTTGCCGGAATTCCCAGGACTGGAGAATGCAAAACTCCTGGATTTTCCTCCATGCCCGAGTGAACAAGCGGCTGCTCCACCAAGACTCCACAAAGCTCTATGCTTTGGACCAAGGCCCTGGTGACCTGGGCTCAGGAGAGGATATCCTGATACACAGGTTGCAAAGATCCATAGGGAAGGCGTGGCTTCCTGGGCAGGGTGGCACAAAGACTCACCACCACCCTTGGCTGTGTGTGGGGACTCCATGGCTTCCTGATGCTCCCAGGTAAGCCATCACCCCACCCTGTTTTTCCTCAGTCTCTGTGGGTCAAGCCGTCTGCCTACTTAGTCCCAGTGTGAGAATCTGGATACCTCAGTCAAAGGTACAGTGTACACTCACTGTTTTGTGAAAGCGGCAGACTACAGCTGCTTCTAATTAGCCATCCCCTCCCCTGTTATATTTTTCTTATTAGGACACCAGTCATGTTGGATGAGGTCCTACTCTAATTGGGTATGACCCTTTCTTAACTTGATTACATCTTTAAAGACCCTATTTCTAAATAAGTTCACTGTGTTAGTATGGGGCTGGGTAATTTATAGAGACAATGTGTTTATTTTCCTCATGGTTCTGTAGAGTATATAGGAATCCTGGTGCAAGCATCTCCTTCTAGTGAGGCCTCAGGAAGCTTATATTCAGCAGAAGGGAAAGGGAAGTAGTGTATCACGTGGCAAGAAAGGAAGTAAGAGGGAGAGTGGGGAAGCACTACAGTCTTTTAAAGATCTTACATCAGCTCTGAGAGAGAATTCACTCATTACCAAGGGAGTGGTGCTGAGCTATTCATAAAGGATCCACCCCTGTGATCCAATCACCTCCCACCAGGTCCCACCCTCAATATTGGTGGTTACTTTTCAACATGAGATTTGAAGGGGACAAACATCCAAACCATATCACTCCACCCCAGCTCCCTAAATTTCATATCTTTCTCACATTGGAAAATACAAACATGCCTTCCCAATAGTCCCTAAAAGTCTTAACTTGTTCCAGCATCAAGTCCAAAGTACTAATTCTCACCTGAGACACATCTCCTTCCATGTATAAGCCTGTAAAATAAAAAAAAAACAAATTATTTACTTCCAAGATACAATTAGTTGTGTAGGCGTTGGCTAGATATTCCCATTCCAAAAGGAAGAAATTGGCCAAAAGAAAGGGGCAACATGTCCCATGTGAGTCTGAAACCCAGACTAGTATAGGGCAGTGATGCCCCAGGCCTGGCTCACAAAACCATTCTTTTCTCCCAGGCCTCTGGGCCTGTGATGGGAGGGGCAGCCTGGAAAATTTCTGAAATGACTTTGAAGCCTTTTTCCCATTGTTTTGGAGAGTAACACCTGGCTCCCTTTTAGTCATGCAAATCTGCCTAGCAAGTTATTTTTCTGCAGCCTGCTTATATTCCTCTCCTGAAAAAGCATTTTCTTTCTCTGCCACATAGCCAAGATGCAAATTTTCCAAACTTTTATATTATGCTTCCCTATTAATTATAAATTCTAACATTGAGTCATTTCTGTGCTCCCACCTCTGATTGTAGGTTGTTAGATGCAGCCACATCAATTTTTGAACACTTTGCTGCTTAGAAATTTCTTCTACCAGATGCTTTAAGTCATCACTCTTACGTTCAACCCTCCACAGATCCCTAGGACATGTACACGTGTCCAAGCTGTTTGCTAGGACATAAACATGTGACCTTTACTCCAGTTCCCAATAACTTCCCAATTTCCATCTGAGACTTCAGCCTGGACTTCAGTCTCCACATCTCTATCAGCATTTTGGTCACAACCATTTAACCAGTGTCTAAGAAGTTCTAAGATTTCCCTTGTCTTCCTGTCTTCTTCTGAGCCCTTCAAACTCTTCCAGTCTCTGCCCATTACCCAGTTCCAAAGTTGCTTCCACATATTCAGTTATGTTTCTATCAACATCCCACTACTAGGTATCAATATTCTGTTAGTTTGTTCTTGTATTGTTATAAAGAAACACCTGAAGTTGACTAATTTATAAAGAAAAGATGTTTATTTTGGTTCAGAGTTCTGCAGGCTGTACAAGAATTGTGGTGCCAGCATCTGCTTCTTGTGATGGCCTCACGGAGCTTCCAATCATGGTAGAAAGTGAAGGGGAGCAGCGTATCACGTGGCAAGAGAGGGAGTAAGAGAGAGAGGAAGGATGTCTCTAACAGCCAGATCTCGTGTGAACTCAGAGTGAGAATTCAGTCATTACCAAGGGTATGGCACTAAGCTATTCATGAAGGATCCTTCCCGTGATCTAACACATCCCCCTAGGCCCCACCTTCAACACTGGAGGACACATTTTAACATGAGATTTGGAGGGGAAAAACATCAAAAGCATCTCAGTCATATAAACAGGAAATGAAGGTTGGGGCTCCAACATGTCTTTTTTGGGGGCACACGATTCATCCCGCAACAAAGGCCTTTCATTTAATTTTTTTATTTGGTTGACAGTAATTATTTTAATCCAGTAATCCTTGTCATACTGTCTGTCAGCCTTCAGTAATTTGAATAGCCCATATTGAATCTAGTTGCTCAGAGATAAAGCAAAGAGGTTCTAAAAATAGTTATAACTGGTTCTTGGATATTGATTTTGGTCTATTGAGTTATTGTCATAACACTTTCATTTCTAATGTAAGTAGTCTGATTTGATTTGAGACATCAGTAAGGAATAACGCTGATTACACCAACATGGTAGATAAAAGATTTTGGTAGAAAATCTAACAATTATTTGTTAAACATGTTAAGTATTAAATACCACCCTTATTCAACCTTAACACTAAACAATTTCATTTTCTATGTTATTTCTTCTGGAATTTTTTCCTGAACAATTAACTAAAATGTATCTTAGGTTATCATGAGACTGATTTTTGTTTTGATTTCTTAATATAGCTAGAATCCAATGCATGTATGTCTATCACCAGGTTACTAGAACTCAGAATTTGAATGTGGTCAATAGATTTGTTTGAATGTTGTGTTACAGAAAACGTAAAGTGCTTGATGTAGAATAGGGGTAATATTTAAAATACATTCACCATGCATTTATCAAGGGCTTATTGTCTGCTAATCACTGTGCCAAGTTTTGGAGACATAAATATGCTAAGGCAAAAATCCCTTCTCTCAAGAAACTCACTGTCTGTGGAAGATAGAACTATGTAAACAGGTGTGTAACACTGTAATAAATATCATAGTAGGAAAATAGAATCAGTTACGAGTTCACACATTTCCTTTTGGAACGTGAGCCTGCTACCTCTTTTGTTTGTTTGTTTGTTTTACAGCCCACATACTCAGAGGTAAGAATGGCTTTCATATTTTAATTGTTTAAAAGAATTCAAAAGAAGAATAATAGTTTATGACAAGTGAAACTGATATGAAGCTAACATTTCAATGTTCATAAATAAAATTTTATTGGGACACAGTTCTTCCCATTCTTGGTGTATTATCTATGGCTTTTTTCATGCTATATTTAGATAGTAGAATACTTACGACAGAGATGCTATGGTCCTTGAAGCCTAAAATGCTTATTATTTAGCCCTTTATAAATAAATTTATCAACCCTTGTATAAGGTGCTTTTGGAATAATGAAGAAAGGGTGACTATTATTTTTTGAAAAACTAACAGTGACTTTTGACTATGAAGAAATTTGCATTTAACTTTTATTCACTTGAAAGTGCTGAGAGGAAAACTCAAGAAAAACTACAAGGCTGTTTATTGATAAGTGGATCCTGAAATTTACCAGTTTATGGAGCAGCCAGAGTTAAGTAGTACCCAGGAAAGGATCAGGTGTGAATAAGACATACATTATTTGTCCTGGGACCTTTCAAGTTTAATCTGAGAGATACTGTGTTAATTTTAATTTTTCATATGCCCCATCTTCTTACTAATCTTTCTTTCTATCTAACACCTATGATTTATAGAGAATTATTTGAAAATAACTCTCCATTCCTGAGGCTATTGTGTTTCAGTCCACTAGAACCTTCCAGCAAATCAACTGGAACCTCGAGAAAGGCCTATAAACTCCACTTTCCTACCATTACCAGGGAGGCAGTGCAGATTTGGGTTTTTAGAAAAGCCAACCTTAAATCCTTTCTATTGAGGCTAATTGATCAATAATTAGTCACCACAGTTACTAATGGTTTAATGTAAACAGTTTTTTAATTTAAAATTTTCTGATATTTCAGTTCAATAATTGAGAATTCATCCAGAATGGTTCATCTGAATGTACAAAAAGAGTCACTTAGAAAAGGAATAACTTTCCTTATCCTTCTCCTGGACTGAACTAATTTTTTCTGCATAAAATGTCTATTGTTTCTTTCTCTATTTCACAAAAGTAGCTTTATTTTTATGAAACTTTCCTCTTTTCCCTTTTCTTTTTCTTTTATTTTCGAATAGAACAAAGCAGAAAGTGAAAATTTTCTCTTGGATTTGATTTGGCAATGGAAAAGATTTTCTTGTAGGCATAAAATGAATGACAGAAAGATAACATTTTGATATCTCTGAGATAATGCTGGGTGATGTTAACTGTAATTTAAATTTACTTCCCGGCTCGCCTTGGGTTAGAATATCACTTTCAGATCACTAAATACTAAGGATGTAAAGATGGTTATATAAGTTACAATTGTATGTTACATCAATTGTACATTTCTTCAAAGATCATTCAAGGTTCTTTTCATTGTTTTGAGACATTTTCTAAGTATTCCCAGGTTGGAGGGCAAAGGAATTATATAAATTTAGCTTCTTTATACTGTCAGGCTATAGTACTCACACTTATCTGATCTCTTGAAACTCAAAGTAGACATTTTAAAGTGTCTATCATTGATATATTCCATATGTGTTTGATATCGTAGGTCAACTGTATTTTATTTTTTATATTTAGGCAAAATATTCTCTTTAAATAGCAGTAGTTATACCTGCAGTGTAGAACTTTTTAAAATCTATATCTGTTATATTAGTATAATTCTATTGTGAATTTTTTCATACTACAAACAGAGAAAACAGTTCTCAAAGAAATAGAAATTATTAAAAAATGAAAAATACAGATCATAAGCCTAGTATTACACTTTTCCATGTATTTTATTCATTGTCATATGCTTATTATCACTGCAATTCTACTTAAGAGTTGAGTAAAGTGGATACTAATTTTCCCGGGCAGGTCTATTTTTGGAGCACAAATATAATGCTGCTATAATTTGATGATGACTAGTGTTCACACTGTGAATGCATCTGAAGTCACATTCTGCAGAATACCAGATACCTATGACTCATAAAATGGGTGAGCTTTTCCCAGAAGTTCACAGATCAGTTAAAAGAATCTTTGTAAGATATTTAATTAAAGGACAGATACATATATAATCTCTCCCTTCTTATTCCTTATCTGCAAGAACATAGATACAGAGTATTTTTAGTTATCTTCAATAATTATAAGAGTTAATCAAAACTTTAATTTTTCTGACAATACATAATTATGCAGTATTTCAAATTTTAGCTCTAAGGCAACTAGAAAATTTTCCAGAAATATTTTTGGATTAGGAGTGTATGTGTGTGTGTGTGCGCGCGTGTGTGTGTGTGTATATATATTTATTTATTTATTTATTTATATAATATATGATACATTTAACATTTGATAAAAATACCGAGTGAAATTAACACAACTATTTTTATATATCTCAAAGGCAAACACATTAACTAGTACATTATTTCACTCAGGATTTATTTCTTTTATGTATATGAGACTGCTTAGTTTAACCTATCTGTAAGTACAAATGGATTGTCTCAGTATTGCATAGCCAATGGTTATGATTTTGGGCTTATGTTTGCCCTAAAACCATAAGAATAATTAATTAAATATATGTATACTATTTTGCGTTAAGAAATTATTTTAGATCAAGTTGTACTATAATCCTAGAAGTGGGTTTTTATCTTTACATGCAATAGTACATATCTCACATAGGAAAGAGTAATTGAGCTCTGCCTTCGTCCTACTTAATAACCCAAACTGGACCCCATTTCTCCAACTCCAGTAAGTTTCATATTCCCTGGCAAAGCAGATTAAATCAAGGTGATAATGAAGAAGAAGAAGAAGAAGCTAATAGTGGGAAGCAGAAGCATTGCATAATCAGTTATACCATACTGTGGTCGTCATTCTTCAGGTGCACTTTTTGAAACTGACTAGTAGGCTCCAGAGAACTTTTGAACTTCAAATAATCATTTGTGATTGTGTGTCACAAACCTGTATCAACTACAAGCACAAACATGCACATCAATAGCAGTGCATATTAAGTAAAAATTTTAAATTCAGAAAATAGTACTGGGAAGAAAACAAGAAAGTTAACCTTGGGCCTATAGCAAGAAGTGGCCTGTGCAAGTGTGTCTATTGATAATTGGAGTGGGACATGGTTTTTAAAGTCTTAGTTGAAAATTTCTAAAAATTTTTAAGATAAGGTGCTTTTAGAATTTTTCAAATATCACTTATTTTACCCATCTATCTTGTAAAAAAGTTTTTTTTTTCATTTACCTCCCAAATTGGTCATAATACAGAAATTGGGTATGGTTTAAATGATATTAATTTTGCTTATTAAAATGTATGCAAATATGCTACGAGAAGTTAACTTCTCTTTTTTTAAATTATTATTATACTTTTAAGTTTTAGGGTACATGTGCACAATGTGCAGGTTAGTTACATATGTATACATGTGCCATGCTGGTGTGCTGCACCCATTAACTCGTCATTTAGCATTAGGTATATCTCCTAATGCTATCCCTCCCCCCTCCCCACACCCCACAACAGTCCCCAGAGTGTGATGTTCCCCTTCCTGTGTCCATGTGTTCTCATTGTTCAATTCCCATATATGAGTGAGAACATGCAGTGTTTGTTTTTTTGTCCTTGTGATAGTTTACTGAGAATGATGATTTCCAATTTCATCCATGTCCCTACAAAGGACATGAACTCATCATGTTTTATGGCTGCATAGTATTCCATGGTGTATATGTGCCACATTTTCTTAATCCAGTCTATCATTGTTGGACATTTAGGTTGTTTCCAAGTCTTTGCTATTGTGAATAGTGCCGCAATAAACATACGTGTGCATGTGTCTTTATAGCAGCATGATTTACAGTCCTTTGGGTATATACCCAGTAATGGGATGGCTGGGTCAAATGGTATTTCTAGTTCTAGATCCCTGAGGAATCGCCACACTGACTTCCACAATGGTTGAACTAGTTTACAGTCCCACCAGCAGTGTAAAAGTGTTCCTATTTCTCCACATCCTCTCCAGCACCTGTTGTTTCCTGACTTTTTAATGATCACCATTCTAACTGGTGTGAGATGGTATCTCATTGTGGTTTTGATTTGCATTTCTCTGATGGCCAGTGATGATGAGCATTTTTTCATGTGTTTTTTGGCTGCATACATGTCTTCTTTTGAGAAGTGTCTGTTCATGTCATTTGCCCACTTTTTGATGGGGTTGTTTGTTTTTTTCTTGTGAATTTGTTTGAGCTCATTGTAGATTCTGGATATTAGCCCTTTGTCAGATGAGTAGGTTGCGAAAATTTTCTCCCATTTTGTAGGTTGCCTGTTCACTCTGATGGTAGTTTCTTTTGCTGTGCAGAAGCTCTTTAGTTTAATTAGATCCCGTTTGTCAATTTTGGCTTTTGTTGCCATTGCTTTTGGTGTTTTAGACATGAAGTCCTTGCCCATGCCTATGTCCTGAATGGTAATGCCTAGGTTTTCTTCTAGGGTTTTTATGGTTTTAGTGTAAGTTTAAGTTTAAAGTTAAGTTTAGCTTAAGTTTTTTTTTTAATTATTACTATACTTTAAGTTTTAGGGTACCTGTGCACAATGTGCAGGTTAGTTACATATGTATACATGTGCCATGCTGGTGTGCTGCACCCATTAACTCGTAATTTAGCATTAGGTATATCTCCTAATGCTATCCCTCCCTCCTCCCCCCACCCCACAACAGTTTAAGTCTTTAATCCATCTTGAATTAATTTTTGTATAAGGTGTAAGGAAGGGATCCAGTTTCAGCTTTCTACATATGGCTAGCCAGTTTTCCCAGCACCATTTATTAAATAGGGAATCCTTTCCCCATTGCTTGTTTTACTCAGGTTTGTCAAAGATCAGATAGTTGTAGATATGTGGCATTATTTCTGAGGGCTCTGTTCTGTTCCATTGATCTATATCTCTGTTTTGGTATCAATACCATGCTGTTTTGGTTACTGTAGCCTTGTAGTATAGTTTGAAGTCAGGTAGCGTGAAGCCTCCAGCTTTGTTCTTTTGGCTTAGGATTGACTTGGCAATGTGGGCTCTTTTTTGGTTCCATATGAACTTTAAAGTAGTTTTTTTCGAATTCTGTGAAGAAAGTCATTGGTAGCTTGATGGGGATGGCATTGAATCTATAAATTACCTTGGGCAGTATGGCATTTTCACGATATTGATTCTTCCTACCCATGAGCATGGAATGTTCTTCCATCTGTTTGTATCCTCTTTTATTTCATTGAGCAGTGGTTTGTAGTTCTCCTTGAAGAGGTCCTTCATGTCCCTTGTAAGTTGGATCCTAGGTATTTTATTGTCTTTGTAGCTTCTCTTTCAAAGTATGTCAATCATACTTCAATAAATTTGTGTACATTACTTTCAAAAGCTATTATGTTGAAGAGGTTTGCATACTTTTCAATTTTTATGAACATTATTTAATTGAGAAAGAGTAGTTGAATGGCCAAAAATGTGAAACTTGTATTTAATATAAAGTTCTTAAGAAGATGAGAAGGCACAGGGTTTAGAAAACTTACACAGTGATAGTATCTAATTTGGAGGTAAAGCCCGTCTTTTGATATAACAAGAAAACAAAGATGGGCTATATTAGGATTTATGTAGATTTACAGGTGGATTTGGGAAGTTAAGGAAGATCTGACCCTTTGTCTTCTCTGTTCTCAGTGGAATAGAAAGAGATTGTGTTAGTCCATTTTCATGCTGCTGATAAAGACACACCCAAGACTGGGCAACTTACAAAAGGAAGAGTTTTAATGGGCTTAGAGTTCCACATGGCTGGGGAGACCTCACAGTCATGGTGGAAGATGAGGAGGAGCAAGTCACATCTTATGTGGATAGTGGCAGGCAAAAAGATAGCTTGTGCAGGGAAACTCACCCTTTTTTGTTTTATGTTTTTTGACATGGAGTCTCACTCTGTCATCCAGGCTGGGATGCAGTGGCACAATCTTGGCTTACTGCAACCTCCGCCCCCCGGGTTCAAGTGATTTTCCTGCCTCAGGCTCCTGAGTAGCTGGGACTACAGGTATGCACCACCACACCTGGCTAATTTTTGTATTTTTAGTAGAGATGAGGTTTCACCAAGTTGGCCAGGCTGGTCTTGTACTCCTAACCTCAGATGATCTGCCTGCCTCGGCCTCCCAAAGTGCTGGGATTACAGGCATGAACCACTGCACCCGGCCCCTGGTCAATGTTTTAATTGCAGGCTTATCTTCTGCCAGATACCCTAAGTCATCTCTCTCAAGTTCAAAGTTCCACAAATCTCTAGGGCAAATCTAGGGCAAATCTCAGGGGCAAAATGCCTCCAGTCTCTTGATTCACCTTAGTTCCACTTCCCAACAAGTTCGTTATCTCTATCTGAGACCACCTCAGCCAGGGTTTCATTGTCCATATCATTATCAGCATTTTTGACAAAGCCATTCAACAAGTCTCTAGGAAGTTCCAAATTTTCCCATATTTTTCTGTCTTCTTCTGAGCCCTCCAAACTGTTCCAACCTCTGCCTTTTACCCAGTTCCAAAGTTGCTTCCACATTTTTGGATATGCTACAGCAGCGCCCCTCTACCTGGTACCAATTTACTGTATTAGTCCATTTTCATGCTACTGATAAAGACACACCTGAGACTTGGCAATGTGCAAAAGAAAGAGATTTAATGGAACTTACAGTTCCACGTGGCTGGGGAGGCATCACAATCATGGTGGAAGGCAAGGAGGAGCAAGTCAAATCTTACGTGGATGGTGGCAGGCAAAAAGAGAGCTCGTGCAGGGAAACTCCCATTTTTTAAACCATCAGACCATGTGAGACTTATTCACTATCAAGAGAACAGCACGGGAAAGATCTGCTGCCATGATTCAATTTACTCCCACTGGTTCTGTCCCACAACACGTGGAAATTCAAGATGAGACTTGGGTAGGGACACAGCTAAACCATATCAGGGATGTTGAGTTAAAATAGGAGTTGTAAGTCAAGGGAGCACACATTGAATAGAAAACGTGTTATATTAAAAACTGAGCCAAATTCGAAGGTCTATTTGGGGTAGGTGATTATGAAAGCCTTCATATATAACTACTTTAAATGTTGCTCCATTTCTCAATTGCATGTGTGGAATATCCATCAATGGATGGAGTTTTGACCTATAAAAATAATTGAAATAAAGAAGGTTGCAAGGGATATTGTTTCAAAAGTTTCAACGTATGATACATCACAGAGCTTCACAGATAGGAGAAAGTAAAGGGCTCATAAACTGAGTGAAAGTAAGGGGTCAGTGGAATAGGGCCTTGATGTTAAGCAATAGTCAGAATATGTAGCTGAAGAAGCAACTAGAAGGAGAAGAAGTTGTGGTCATAATCTGGGGTGTTTGGATTAGTGATGTTGGACGTGGAGCAATTTTGTAAAATAATTTGGTCAGGCTATGTTGTCATTAAAGAGTAAAGAAGAAGAAAGAAGATCATTAGAGATGAGAACAATAAAGTACTAAGAAGTAGGCTATTGTGTGGGCATTCATATTGAGTCACTTAAGGTAATGACAGAACTTGGGACAGAGAGGAAAATTTTGAGCCACCAGTCACTTCTTAAAACGATCAGGGGGTGCAAACATGAAGATGGTGGATGACAACAACAGAGTGGACAGTGGTAAAGACAAAGTGAGCAGGATTTTTTTGTAAGGCAGTTTTAGTGAATTATCTGTTTATGAGTTGTGGTGATTTATCTGGCAAAATAAAATAAAGAATACAAATCTTATCTCCTGATCTTGAGGCACAAGTTTATGACTTGACCAAATTTTAGGGGAACTGTGATTTTAGATTCAATTAAGACAAGTATAAGGAACAATCTCAGAAAGACTGAGGATGTTTGTGGAGTTAGCTGATAACGGAACTGTATATGCCAAGGCACAGTGAAAAATGTTCCAGGGAAATGGCCAAGTTAGGAGCAAAACTTACGTAGAACTTATTGAGGATAAAGGTATGGCAAAGATCTGGTAGGCCAGGGATTTTGAATATAGGTGTCAATTGATGAAATTTGTGAAGCTATGTGTGGTAGTCTAAAAATAAATTGCTTTAAAGAGGGTGGGCTTCAACCTTGGACTAGGTTTAGATAAGAGGCATTTTGGGTGCTAACTTTAAGGACAGTCACTCTCAGAGTCATGCACACACAGGATTGCCTCTTGAATTACACTGAGAGGGTTCCTTTTTAAAAGTTACGCCCTTGACTTCACTTTTGCTTCACCCTTGTCCTGGTGTCTCCAGAATAATCATCTTACTATGCCTGTGGCTGGAATACTATTTATCCCAGGGGTTGCAGCCTCTGCACATGAATGCATGCTACATTATGAGCAAGTAAGCTACTATATTTCTTTTCTGTCATGTGCCATTGATTAATTTTGTGCCAGAAATGTATTTTTTGGCTTCTGTAGACTCATAGGTTAGTGTAATTTTCTGTCCTTACTCATCAAAAAGTTTGTGATGAAGCTGATTCTTCCCAATGATCTTTAAAATAGCTTTGTCAAGTTCTAAGAGCAATACTCTTGAGGGTATTGGTTGGAATCATAATTAATTTATAAGCAACTCTGCAGAAAATTTTTATTGTGCCAAGTTTTCTCATCAGACAAAATTGTTTTGTCTTCCACTTAGGTGGATGTTTTTATGCCTGTAGTAAAATGTAGTAATATGCTTTATATGGGTCCTGAGCATTTCTATTTAAATTGAATTCTAGACATTTTATATACTTTTTGCTTGTATTAGAGAATATCTCTATATTTTGCACTTTTTGCTAGTATATGAACAAGTATTATTGACGCTTAATTGTACAATTTCCCATTAATACACATCTATATTAATGATTCAATTGATTTTCTTGCATTTTCTATATAGACAGTAATTTACATATAAAATGATAATTTCTATCACTTTCTTCTCAATATTTGTATCAGATATGTAATTTCATTTACTTTTTACCATTACCAAATGTCAGTAAAATGCTAAATAGTAATGGCAATAGAATTCATCCTTGTTTTTTCTTGGTTTTACATGAAAACTTCTACTTACCTAAGTTATGTGTATCTGCATCTTAATTTCTTTAACGGTAAAATGAAGATAATAATGGTACCTAATACACATGCTTATATGAGGATTAAATGAGATAATTACATATTCATTGGTAAAATGTGTGTCTTGACCTGCTTGGAATCCAAATAGTAGAGATATTTCTAGTATAAAACAAAGATTCAAAGATATAAAACGTATGCTGGAAAAGATCAGAATCTTGAAGAACAGATTCAGGAGAGCTAACATACTGTGGTAGACAGGCTCTATAGTCACCACCATGATTCTTGCTTGCTGGTGTTCATGTCTTTTTGTAAATCTATCACCTTGAATGTGAGTGGGACCTTTGACTTGTTTCCAAGCAATAGAATATAGCAAAGGTGACAGGATGTACGTGATTTTGTGTATGTGATAATGTTAAGACTGCAACCTGTCTTGCTAGGAGACTCTTATCCATTGCTGGCTTCTAAAAATAAGCTATCCTATTGTGAGCAGCCATATAGATAAATCCATATAGCAAATAGCTGAGGAAGACTTCAGTCTGAAAATCCATTAGGAACACTGCCAAAAACCACATGATCTTGAAAGGAAGTTCTTCTTCAGTTAAGCCTCTAAGAAAACTGCACTCCTGGTCAATTTCTTTTCTTTTCTTTTTTTTTTTTTTTTTTTTTTGAGACAGAGTCTCACTCTGTCTCCCAGGCTGTAGTGCAGTGGCACGATCTCGGCTCACTGCAAGCTCCGCCTCCCGGGTTCACACCATCCTCCTGCCTCAGCCTCCCGAGTAGCTGAGACTACAGGTGCCCGCCACCACGCCTGGGTAATGTTTTGTAATTTTAGTAGAGATGGGGTTTCACCGTGTTAGCCAGGATGGTCTCAATCTCCTGACCTCGTGATCCGCCCGCCTCAGCCTCCCAAAGTGCTGGGATTACAGGCGTGAACGACTGCACCCTGCCCCTGGTCAATGTTTTAATTGCAGGCTTATGAGGCCCTGGAGAACAGGATCTCGCTAAGCTATGTTCTGATTTATTTCCCACAGAAACTGTGTGCTAACAAATGTATAATTCTTTAAGCTGCTAATTTTATGGAAATGTAACACAGCAGTAGAAGACTAAAACACATGTGAAAAATAGGAATTCCAGAGAAGAAAAACAAAGAGGAGGAATAATGAAAATAACATTGTTACTAGAAAAATATTTTCCTGAACTGCAATGTTGAGTTAGCAGATGAAAAGGACTCATTGAGTTTTAGCACATTCTATGACAAATTTTTATGGTGAAATCTTGAAATACAAAGAAAACAGGGACATGAAAAACCTCCATGAAAAAAGGAGTAAGTTACTTACAAAATAAAATGATTAAGACTGCCACCATGTTTCTAATCTTTAACATTAGAAAATGGTAGAACAAAACCCTACTGACTCCTGAGGCAAATAGACTGGAACTTGAGACTCCTACATTCAAACACTTTAGAGTAAGAGAAAGACATCTGTAGAAGCACAATTTGGAGAGAATACAATTAAACCATTCAAGAGGAAGAGGACCTTAACAAACAACAATGGATCCAAAAAATGAACACAACAGGAAGGAAAATGCAAAGAAGTGGAAAGGAAATATTTATTAGTAAAGGAAATATGTATTAGAATATATTTTACATATTAAGTTAATTTAACTCCAGTAGATAACGGTAGATTAACTAGGAATGCCTAAGTGTTTCTTCAGGCCTCTTGAAATAGAACACCCCAGAAGAGGTTAATCCACTGCCTGTATCCCAACTCACCAGAGGAGTTTTTAGAACAGTTTAAAATGTGAAGAAAAAGAGTTCAAAAATGTATGAATTCAAGCTGGGCACAGTGGCTCATGTCTCTAATTCCAGCAATTTGGGAGGCTGAAGCAGACTGTGTAACATGGTGAAACCCCATGTCTACAAAAAATACCAAAAAAATTAGCCGGGCATGGTGACATGTGCCTGTAGTCCCAGCTACTCAGGAGGCTGATGTGGGAGGATCCCTTGAGCTCAGGAGGTCGAGGCTGCCATAAGCAGAGCGATGGGGCTAGATGCTGTCTTAAAAGTATATAAAGTCAGCCGTAAAATATTTATATATTAATCACAGTTTTATTTGATTTGCTCAAAATGTAACAATTGAAATTATAGAGAACTATGAAAATAGAGTCACATGCTCCAAACTTCTACCTACCAAAGAAAATATCTTAATATACGAACACATACATTTATGCCTGTGTGGATTTGCACATACAAATTCCTACATATGAATTATAGTAATTTATGCCTCTAAAGCTACTACATATCACAAACATATTTTATACACACAAATGCACACATACAGAGATACAATTATCTTATATCCTTAAAGTATGTTCTATGTGAAAACAAGGCAACCCGATCTGAAATATCTATTTAATAGGTTTTTAAATATTATTTCATCTTCAGCAATAAATGATAAAATCACTCTGGCCAAATTGGTAGCTATTAGCCGCTACTAAGGGCCGCTTGGGGTTCCTCAGATCACCTACCTTAGATGCCTCTGCATAATCTAGCAGATCCCTGGTTGTACATTTGCTTTTAAGGGTCAATGTGACAAGACTACAATTAAATGTTATGTATTTTTCCATTGGCATTTAATAGTAAAATCTTTTGTGTTTAATGTCTGTGTTTTTATTAATTTTTTGCTGACATAAGTTCTAGATTCAACCGTAATAAAGATTAACTTATTAGAGTTAGTTATAGGTTAATATTAGGGCTAAAAAAGGATTTAGAAGCCATGTAGCCAAACATTCTCATTTTACAGATGAGAAAACTGAGTCAGAGATAGTCGACAGTAATTACATACAAAAGTCCACATAGGAACTAGAGGCCCAAAAAAAAAAAAAAAAAAAAAAAGGCTCAACCATGAGCTTCTAACTCTCAGTTCAATGTTATTTTCCATTATTCAAATTAGTATGTAATAATCAATGAAGAATTAGTAAACAAAATTATAAAAAAGTAAAATTTATGAGATGTCAAATGAACTCAAAGCCAAAATTTCCTTTAAATAATTGTAGAGTGCCAAATCAAGTCATGTCTTAGGCATTCAGGCGAAGTGTTTCTAAACTGCGTTCAAAAGATTCATTTGAAATGCTTATTAAATCCACAGATTTGGGGGGCCTAAATGAACACATTAAATCAGAGTTTCCATGAAAAACTTGATATTTCGTGACTGATAATCTGCATATTTAGTCAATGCCCCAGCTTGTTCCTATCATCAGATAAATTTGAAAACCCTGTGATAGACAGCAGCTATAGCCAAATAATAGCGTATTTTGGTAGCAATGAAGCGAAGGAGGATCTATGTTCATAGCTTTGCCATTGAGAGCAGGTAGATTTGATGAGATTGAGTGATCAGTCACATTGCCCACAACATTAGGAGAGGCAGAATCACTGTATTCTTTTCATTATAAATTACTTTTCCATTATTTGTGTTGTGATTTCTTGACAATCCTATAACCACAATGAACTCTAAGGAAGGTATTATTTAAAAATTTTTGTAGGCTAATGGTTGCTTAATAGAAGTAAACAAGATTGATGAACTCAAGAATCAACTCATTGGAAGTACTATTTCCTTAAGAATAATCTGTTAAATATTCTTTACTTGAAAACAAAACATTGAGGAGAAAAATCATTTTTAATAAGGTAAAAGTAAGCATGCTTTAGAACTCCCCAGACAAGCAAATAAAGGAAATTTCAAGAAAAGAGTGTCAAAACAAATTTTTAAAAAAAGTTTTAGTTTGGCTGTTGACCCAGAGTTCATAATTTTTTTGTTGTTGTTTTTTTTACTGCTGTCATCTGTATGCCCTCTGAAGTTTATACATAATTTCTTTGTAACATGCACAGGGGCATTTTTTCCTACATGTAGGAAAAACTCCACCTCAAAGGAGGTCATACCCCCAAATGGCTAAGAAATATTACAATACAGGGGAAAAATTAACATAGTGCAGAAAAAAGTTCTAAGTAAAGGATAATGTTTTAGAAATGCAGTTAAATCCATTCAAACTATTGTTTGTGAAACATGTTCCAATATATTGACATTTCTTTCCTTAATGATGCATGTCAGAAACCTGCAGTTCTAAGCTGACTTGTATTCTCATTACCTGAGAGCAATTGCTGTTGTCAAATACAGAATACATTGACGGTTAAGGAAAAAGAGAGCAATTTCTATTCATGTAAAGTATAAATTTATATGAATAAACATTACTATAATTAAATTTCACACATGGTTATAATAAATAACAGTTGGAAATCTCAGAGTAAATAACTAATTTTCTATTCTGTACACTCCTCAATGTATCACAAAAATCAGTTTTTTGATTTTAAAACTGCTTGGTCTATTTTGTCCAAGCTGGTTGCTTCTATAAACAACATTTACTAGACAATGAGGCAAATAGTTTCATAAAAAAGGAAGACAAAATATTTTAAAAAGCAAGGACATAGGTAAACTTCTACAATTTTCACACAAGGATAAAAATAAGTAAAATTGGATTTTCTTTCTGTTTTAATATGAATATAATATTGAGTAAATTATTGGTGTCTTAGTTCTCTACCACTCCCCCAGTTAGGAATCACTATCACAACTTGTGTGAACTTGTTCACAAAAGTGTAAAAGGAAATACAAATGTATTGTCATATTATAACACTTGCCTTAAAAATACAAATGTATATTATGACATATGACTATGAATCAGTGATTCTACTGGAAAAAAATTTATTTCTTAGCATCACTTTAGATTCCACTTTTTTTACTTCCCTGAAATTTAAGTAATATATCTTTCTCCTGTCACTAAAAATAAATATATTTTTTCAATAAATATTTATTGATGTTAATTATTATAAAGAAAAGAATAAACACAAACTTTTTCTTGACTCACAGGGACTCAGGGGAGAAAAAACATGGCTACTTCCTTCCTATATACCTACCACATTTTCTTTTCATGAAACATTTCTAATGCTACATGTAAGGTATATAATCACTGCTAATACTATATGAAAAGTACACAATCTGTTGAATTCAAAACTCAAACTGAATTGAATAAACTTTGCCACAAAATACATAGATACAAATCCATTTGGGAACCTGACTGAGAGAAAAATAGGACAATATTTTATTTAAAGAAAATATCCTTTTTAGTAAAGAATTTCTTTTTGTGGCCCAACAACAGATAATCTTTTATTCATTTATGTTTTATGAATGTGTACTTTGCTTCCAGCTCATTTTTAAAACATGGAATTCTTTGTTATGCTATAGTAAATGTAGATTGGGAAAGAATGATATTTACATGGAATTTAATGAGAAGTGGAATCCTACTGATACTCTAAATTGTAAAAATAAAACAGAAAGCTTAAGATATAAAATATTATCACTATTGAGGCCGGGCGTGGTGGCTCAAACCTGTAATCCCAGCAGTTTGGGAGGCCGAGGCAGGCGGATCATGAGGTCGGGAGTTAGAGACCAGCCTGACCAGGATGGTGAAACCCACTCTCTATTAAAAATACAAAAATTAGCCAGGCGTGGTGGCACACGCCTGTAATTCTAGCTACTCAGGAGGTTGAGGGAAGAGAATTGCTTGAGCCTGGGAGGCGGAGGTTGCAGTGAGCTGCGATTGTGCCACTGTACTCCAGCCTGGGTGACAGAGCAAGATTCTGTCTCAGGAAAAAAAAAAAAAAAGTATCATTATTGGTATCACTAAAGTTTATTTTCATGTAAATTAATATTATTCTTTCTCCAGAGATCTTCCCCCTACTTTGTCATTGTTAAACATTGTCCAGAAAATTTATTGTGTCTTATTAGTTCTAATAGGTTGCCCACAGTTTTTCTTGAATTTTCTATACAGACAATCATATTTTTGTGAATGAAAACAATATAATCTTTTCCAATCTTTATATAACTGTCTTGAACATCTAGTTTATTGTGGAATATTAAGAAATTCAGAGAGTACTTGTGTTTTCTTCCCAATCTTAAAGGGAATGTTCAATGTTTTACCATTAATATGCTTACTCATATTTTGTGATAGATTATTTTCCTCTACAGTAGTGATGCTAAGGAAGTTCTCTATTCGTAGTCTTCTCAGCATTGCTTTTACCTTTTTTTAAAATGAGAAATTTGGGATTAAAATTTTTGCTTTTTCCAGCCTCTGCCTTGAATCTACTGCAAGGCTATCTGCTTTCTCCCTCAATGCATTGACATGGTGTATTACATTAATTTGTTTTTAAAATATAATGTTTTCAGTTAATCATGATTATCTTTTTCTGTTTGTAATATATTATGTAAAATATTTGTGTCTGTTCTCAAAAATAAGTTGAATGACAATTACTTTTGTAATATTTTTGACTATGGATTTGTTATCAAGGTTCTGGTATCTTCTCTACAGAATCAATTTTTCCCCCCTTTTCAATTATATAGATTAGATTTTTTTAGATAAAAGTTATCTTATTAAGGTTTTGTAAACAGTGTCCTACAAAATTATCTGAATCTTGGGGCTTTTATCTAAGTAGATTTTTGACTAATTTATTTAATAATTTAAATGTATTTTTATATTTATTCTTGTGATAACTTTTGGCAAGTTATATTTTAAAAACATTCATTTAACAAATTTTTATCATTCCTGGACATAAATGTGTTGACTGCATTCTCATGGTTTTTTTTTATATTCAATTTTGTATTCCATCTTCCATCTTCCATCATTTTTTATATTCCATTTTATATTCCATCCTCCATTTTATATTCGTAGTTGCATTCCATTTTCTTTCTTCAAATTGCTACATATGTCTTTCTAATTTTCTGGAGCAAGTTCACTAGTGGTTTATTGTCTGTTAATTTTTTACAAAACAACTTGTACTTTGTTGATACTCGATTAGCATTTTTTCTTTTATTTTTATATTTAATTAGTATCTATTCTTATCTATATCATTTCCTTTATTTTCTTTTTTTTAACTTACATTTTTGTTTTTCTAACATCCTGAGCTGATTGCTTAGATGGGGGTTGGCAGACAATGGCCTGCGGGCCAAATCCAGCCCTCTGTCTGTTTTGTATGACTTGCAATGTTAAGAATGAATTTTGCATTTTTAAGGAGTTGAAAAACTAAAAGAATAACAGTTGTGACATATGAAAACTATTTGAAATTAAAATTTCAGCACTCATAATTAAAATTACATTGTAACACAGCCATGTCATCCATTTATCAACTTTGGCTGTTTTCATACCACAACAGCAGAGCTGAGTCATTACAATAGAGACTCCGTTTAGCATTCTCATTGCTTTGCACTGCTCTTCAGTGCGCTGTACACAGTGATGTAGCTGAAACATGACAGCATTTTGAGAAAATGTACAGTGTTATGTTGTAAAATTTTATTTTTGCATACCCATCATATCAAAATAAGTGAAGAAAACGTGGACATTGAATTTTGTGCATTTAAGGCACATTGGAGTGTGAATTATCTTAGTATTAAATTAGATGGAAATATATTGTGTTTTACTATTCATTGGTACTACAGCTGTGCTTAAAAATGCAATATACAGTAACATTACCAGACTAAGCACTTATCATATTACTAACTCACAGGAAAGCAGCCTTCCTGTGAGAACTGAAAAATTAAAACTTACAAAAGAAACATCTCATCATAGCAGAATTTATTCACAAAAGTAAAAAATAAAAATGTAGCTGAAAACAAGATTATTGGCTCATTTGTTAGCTGAGAAGGAAAACTGTTGCTGGTGGTGAGTTAATTAAATTAATTTTGATTGCATCAGCTGAATAAATATGTTCAGAGAAATTGAACTAGCTAATGACAATCTTTTGGCAAGAATAGTTTTTCACAGAGCTTAAAACATTGGGAGCAACAAGAATAATTAAAAAGCACAGCAGATAATTTGGAGTGATTTTTCTCGGCTCTTAATGATTTAGCAGATATACCGATATTGTTCTGCTGTTAATTTGAACTAATTGTTAAATTTAAAGTGACTGAAAAATTAGCTTCTATGAATAGTCTGCATGAAATAATTATAAAGGAATGTATTTTCAAAGAAGTTAAAAAAATGGATTTCAATACAACCTGAAGTGGAATCCGCTAAGAAGTGTTCAAACAGATGGTAGTAAAAACAGCTATGGAGCAGGAAAATGCTTAGCTGGACAAATTAAAAAGTGTGTAATATTGTAAGCTGCTGAAACACTGTGGCTATTAATTGCATTATTTATCAACAGATTTCCAGGCATAAATTTTTGAACTATAATGTATTATTAAACCAGTGTTGTCAATGGTGAATTTCCTTTCCTCTCAGGGACTTGATAGTTATCACTTTCACAAATTTTTATCAGAAATAGAAGCAGAATACCCTGACACGTCCTATCATGCCATGGTCGAATAGCTTAGCAGTAGGAAAGTTTTATTATGATATTATTTTGTTTTTAGCTTGGGCTTGAGATTAAATTTTTTTCTGCCTGCAAAAAATTTCCCTCAGTCTCTATCACCAAATACTGACTGGCTTTAGAAATTAGATTTTGCAACAGACTTAATTATCATAATTATCTTAGAAATTAGATTTTGCTACAGATTTAATGATCATAATTAGGTATCTTAATTATCTTAAGTACAGAATTAAGATCTCACATTCCCATACAAATTGGCAGTAGATATATTTTTTTAGCTCAAACTACAATTTCAGCAGCATTTTTCAGATTTTGATTTAGATGAAAAAGAAATGATCAGATTTTGACATCATTTTGTGTAGTGGAGAAGTTTCCACCAAATTGTTGATTGGAAGTGATTGATTTGCTATCTAATCAAATGCTGAAATGAAAATATCAGGAGAAGAACCTAATGAAATTTTATAAATTCCTTTTAAGTGATGAGTGTGCCGAATTAAAATCACATGCTAGTGGAGTGATATCAGTATGCTTTTCACACATAAGTATGTGTGAAAAGACATTTTCAAAGATGAAATACACAAAATCTCCTTATATATCACTCTATGATGAACATTTACAATTGATTGTGGAGATAGGAAACATAAAGGAGCTCAACTGATCAAAATGTTATGCCTCCCCAAAATAATTTCATTCTTCACAGTGGTAGACCTTATTACAAAACATCACACTCAATTATGATTATCATATTTTAAATTTTGTCAATTAAAATTTGTAGAAATTTGCTTCCTCTCGTTATGTAAGTACTTATATAATATCCTTGGTTTTTACCTCTTAGTCTATAATGATACAAAATATTTCCTCTTTGGCTCTTTACAAAAATGTTTGCTGATCCCATTATGTATATCTAATATACATAATAGATAATTTTAGGAACTTTTCTTTTAAAATTATCTCCCCTTTTCATTTCTGGCTGTGTTTCTACAGCTATTTTTTGTTGTTTACGGACATATTTTCTGGTTTCTTTGTATGCCTAGTAACTTTTATTTATATGCCAGATCTTCTGATTTTTGCATTTTGAAGTGCTGGTTTTTACTACAGTCTTTTAAAGATTGTTTGATTTCATTATGTAATGCAGTTCAGTTTGATTCATTAATGGCTTTTTTAAACCTATCATTTAGGTCAATGATAGCTTTCATTGTGGGCCTAATCTATTTTCCCTTCAGTGAGCTGTACACAGATTTCTTTCTACTCTGGCTGTGAACACAGATTATTTCCATCCCTGTGTGAGTTTCACAAATTGTCAGTCTTTTTTTTTTCCAGGTGGTTCTTTCTCCAGACTTCAAGGAGTTGTGCTCCATGATCTTCACAGATGCAGACTAGCACTGAACCAAAGACTTGAGAACCCTCTTTTGATGTTCTTTTGAGTTCTCTGTACAGCATTCTTTGCAGTTTCTCTGCTTCACAGACTTAAGCTGCCTTGGTTTCCTCGAACTCTAATTTCTGTTTCCTTAACTCACAAAGACCACAGGGCCCTGTTTCAGTTTTCTCACCCTGCTGTAGCTTGGAAACTGCCTCAAGACGTTTTGTTTTTATCGCTGGTGTCACAGTCTTGTCTGTCTGTTGTCCAGTGTCCAAAAAGATTGTTTTATATATTTTGACTAATATTCCAGTTGTGTATAGGAAAGGCAACTTCTGCAGCAGTCATCTCTTCATTTGCTGAAGCAGATATTTTTCATAGTTTCATTTTGACCGTAAAAAAAAAATCTCAGAATTCTTGGGCACTTGAAGTGTCCAAAAAATGTGATCTTATTTTTCTTCTGTTGAACCCCTAGGGGATTCAATAATTAGGATCTAGTTTTTATATTAATCTCTCAATTTGGCAGCTTTACCACCACTCAAACAGTGCAAACTTGCAGTTTCATTCATGAATGATGTGGTTCCAAATTGCTTTTTGTAATTTTTTTTTTCTTCTTCGTCAAAGAAAAGGAACAGCTTGCTTTCTTGTTTCTTCTCTGGGAAGATGGATGGTGTTTTTCTAATCCCTTTATCACATAGAAAGCAGCTTTTTATGGCACCATGCTTTATTCTATAGATTCAATCCAATCGTTTCTAACTCCAGTGGGAAAAGGCAATGCCTCTTTTCCTTAGGAGACTACTAAAACCCTTCCCCCAAAACTCTGATTGGGTCAGAACCTTTTAGATTTGTCCCTGGCTGCCATGTGCTGATGTGGCTTCATTTTTTAGCTTAATTTTCTCTAATCTTTTCTAGCCCGTGAGAATTTTGCTTTTTAAATTCCCTAGCCACTTTTATCTAATCTGAATTTTGTCTCATATTTTAAGTGTATTTGTTACTGTTGTTTATCCAGCATTTCTGTATGATTTACATGTATGAATGAATATATGTAGCTAGAGGAATCTTCCAACAACTAACTATGGGCTGTGAATAGATTACTTAGTACCTCTTTTTCTTTTTTGTAAAATGATGAGCTTATAATAGATGACATCTGAAGCCCTTCTGGTTTTTAGATTGTGTCTATGAAGTTAGCTTTTTTTTTTTTGAGTTTGCCTGTTCAAAATGACAGCAGTAACAATTTATCAATGAATATGTGTGTATATATATGTACTTAAATATGATTAAGTACAGATATATCATGCATGACCTCATTGGAACATGAAGCCAGACTTAATTGGATATTTGTCAGACAACAATTATGTAGCTACAGACTGTGAAGCAACAAATTGAATATAATGAATTATTTCAGGGAATCAAGTCCCAAAATTTTCACTTATATAAATGCTTCATATAATCAATTATTTTAAAAAACCAATAACAAATAACTCATGTGTAAGAATGAATTATTTGTAATAGCAAAATGTCCCAAAACACAGAAAATAAGTAATTTCCATGAAGTTGCCAGCAACTGTAATAGAACACATTTCTTAAGTCACAGTAAAATTGTCTTCTTTAATTCATGAACTTTTTTCTTCCATTAGAAAAGAAATGTAGTTATACCTGCTCAGTGAAAAAGAACCTGTGAAATAACAAGAATTTCTTACTTTCAGTGGTAGCATTAAGGTTAGTGAAGTGTAGAATTTGAGTACATGAAGCATTGGGCTGTGATGCTAAAATTTTTTAAATCTGATTTTACACACAACAAAGAGGGATAAAATTAAATTGAACAGGTAAATACGGATGCAGGCTCTCTGCACTCTGTACAAAGTCAACTAACATGGTACGGGGTGGATCAATTGTAAGTTCTTTAATAATGGGCAGTTCACTATTTGTTTTCATACGAATCTGAAGGTATTTTCAAGCATGCTTTGTAAAGCAAAAGTAAAAGAAGATTTCAGCTTGCACACTGGAAAAAAAAAGTGGAGTTGAGTCAACCATTGATGAGAAGGGATGAATGACACAGTTAAATGAAGGTACAACATGCAATAGAGCAGTCCTTCCTTGCCAATGTGTTTGTACATTGTTTACCATAAAGGAACCAGTTTCTTGCTTTGAAGAAATTCATGATCTCAGGAGGTCAGTGAGAACAATGAGCATGTCTCTGTGATCTCCTTATGTGAAGTCATTACCAAAGTTACATGAACATAGTGCATCATGGTGGATGGGAGCAAAGTCTTCCTTAAAAACCTCTCTTTACTTACTTGGTAGAAGAATATGAGTATTTTACCTTGTCCCTGAGTTAGCACTTCCCAGACATGCCTGACTTGAGACACAATATGCTAGATATGTGTATTTTGGCAGAGGTATTGACAATGACCTAATGTCTGTTTTCAGACAAGGAAGCTCTCATTGAACTATTTTGTGGGTTAAACACAATTAGACATCTGAGTGTTTCGCAAAAGTAGCAATGAGAAGCACAGTATTACCTAGGTTTTCATTGAATACATATATAATAATATCATGATTTTTAATTATTGCCTCCTCCCTAAACACAGAATAGTAGTGAGAGCTGTCCATATTGTAATCACAGCAGCACTGGTTTATGGCACTTTTACAAATGTTTGGTATGGCAGAATCGCATGGTGGACTACATTTCAGAAGTATTATAATCTAACCTTTCACAAACTACAATATCCTTATTAGGTGGTAATGGATCATTAACTACTATTGGATCCTTGTTTCAGGAAATTAATTGCTATACCAATTTCCTGATTAATTGTTTAGACACTTCTAAGTTTCTAAGTCAAGTTTCTTACCTTGAAATGAAATAAGTCTCCTAAATTATTTTTCTCAGTTCCATCCTCTGGAGCCAGAATATACCTAAGCCCTTGTTTTTCATGAGAACCCTTTAAGTACTATAACTGAAAATCGCAATTATGTTCCTCTTATCTCCAGGATAAAGAGCACACATACATACACAGCACACCCATACATTCTAGACCACAGTACCAGTCTTTAGAAAAATATTGCATTTAATTTGTTCTGGACCTACTAATATCACTGTTTCTGATCCATGTGGAGTATAATGAAATACTAAATCCATTAATCTGGACACTTGGTATCTATCTACTCAATAAAAAAATGTGTCAGACCATTGATTTCTTGAGTCAGAAATCATATCTTTTTCATGTAGGTCTCAAATGTGCTCTATAATAGATATTGCATAAATTAAAAATGATTTCCTGTGAATTGCTGGCTTTTTACGAGCTCATATAAATTTTATGCCCACATAAATTTTATGTTGACATAAATTTGTGTTAATTAATACTGACAAGTTACTTTTTATGTTAGGTCACTGTTTGTTTCCATTGGTGACTGTAATCCACTCAAGACTATCATAGGGCAAACACATTTCCTGTCTTCTGTCGTTGTAAACAGCCTTACATAAAGTCTGCATCATCTGTAGATACAGCAGTTCCAGGAGTTCCAATGATGTAAGAGGGCTCACAACTTCTCTGTCTATCATTCTCTTAGGACTATTCCGAATGATAAAGTTAGTGGTCCTGATTTTTGTTTGTCATTCTTTAGCTATGTCCTATCTCACTGATTTTTCATCCCTCTGACAAAGTCTTTGCCTTCCCTGCAGCCTGCTGCAAACAAAAATATGACGAAAAGAGGCATTAAAACACATTTTAAAGAAAGATTTAGTTCCATAAAGAAGGCTGTTTTAGGTGTCATGGTCTTAAGTCAAGTTGACTGAGCTATAGCATCCAATTATTTAATTAAAACACTAAACTAGTTGTTGTTGCTGTGAAGGTCTTTTGCAGATATAGTTAACATCTACAATCAGTTGACTGTTAAGTTAAGGGCCTCATCCCTTTGCAGGTGGCCCTCATCTGCTCAGCTGAAGGTTTTATGAGCAAAAACTGAGGTCTCCCAAAGAAGAAGCTCTGCCTCAGGACTGCAACATTAATTTCTGCCTGAGTTTGTCTGGAGAACCCTGACTCATACAGAGGGTCTTAGTAGAGTTGTGGAAGAGAACTAGCCCATGCAGTTCTTGATCATGTGACTTTTGATTAGTTTTGTCTAGAAAAAGCTATTTAAATAGACTTTGATAATTTAAAAATAGCCTCATCATCACTTGTCATTAGAGAAATGCAAATCAAAATCACAGTGAGATACCATCTCACAACAGTCAGAATGGCGATTATTAAAAAGTCAGGAAACAACGGATGCTGACGAGGATGTGGAGAAATAGGAATGCTTTTGCCCTATTGGTGGGAGTGTAAATTATTTCAACCATTGTGGAAGACAGTGTGGTGATTCCTCAAGGATCTAGAACTAGAAATATCATTTGACCCAAGAATCTCATTACTGGGTATATACCCAAAGGATTATAAATCATTTTACTATAAAGACACATGCACACAAATGTTTGTTTATTGCATCACTATTTACAATAGTAAAGACTTGGAACCAACCCAAATGCCCATCAATGATAGACTGGATAAAGAAAATGTGGCACATATACACCATGGAATACTATGCAGTCATAAAAAAGAATGAGATCATGTCCTTTGCAGGGACATGGATGAAGCTGGAAGCCATCATTCTCAGTAAACTACCACAGAAACAGAAAACCAAACACCACATGTTCTCACTCATAAGTGGGAGCTGAATGATGAGAACACATGGACACAGGGAGGGGAACATCACACACCAAGGCTTGTTGGGTGTGGGGGACAAGGGGAGGGAGAGCGTTAGGACAAATACCTAATGAATGTGGGGCTTAAAAACTAGATGACAGGTTGATAGGCGCAGCAAACCATTATGGCACATGTATAACTATGTAAGAAACCTGCACGTTCTGCACATGTATCCCAGAACTTAACATAAAATTAAAATTAAAACAAACCAGCCTGTGATATTTATAAATGTATGTTAACAAAAAACTCCAGCGCATGAAAGCTCCTAGCAGCTTTATTCATAACAGCTCCAAGCTGGAAACAACCTAGATGTCTTTCAAGGGAGGGATGGTTAAACAAACGGTGGTGCATCCCTACAGTGGGAATACAACTCAGCAATGAACAGTGGTGGGCTATTCATACACACAGCCACTGGATGAATCTCCAGGAAACTATGCTGAGTGAAAAAACTTAGTTCCAAAAGGTGTATATGATACCATTTATAAAGCATCCTTGAAACAATGATATTAAATAAATGGAAAGTACATTAATGGTTGCCAAGTGT
The DNA here is from genome assembly GCF_000001405.40 of Homo sapiens. NCBI lineage: Eukaryota > Metazoa > Chordata > Mammalia > Primates > Hominidae > Homo > Homo sapiens. Next base: position 60,474,765 of record NC_000018.10, read on the forward strand.
TGAGGCAAAAATGATGCAGTGGGAGAAGGGAAGTAGGTGTGGCTATGTAATAGCTATAGGAAGAAACCTCGTGGTAATGAAAATGCTCTGTAAATGGACTGTATTAATGTCAATATCCTGGTTGATATATTGCGCTATAGTTATGCAAGATGTTACCACTGTGGAAAAAGTAAGTGAAAGAAATATGGGGCCTTTCTGTAGTATTTTTAACAAGTGTATGTAAATCTGTAATTATGTTAAAAATATTTTTAAAAACCAGCAGCTTGTGTGTACAGGTAACATAAGAGAGATTAAGATAAGGTATTTTATATCATAAAAAGGATCCTAAGTATGGAGCCAGGAAACCTTAGGGCTAGTTCAGATTTTTCCAAAATCCAGTTATCGGCATAGTACAGAGTGCACTGTACTAGAGACAGAAGATCTAGGTTCTGAGCCTTGGTCCTCAATTTATTAGCTGCAAACCTTAGGTCAAGGCACACCACCACTCGGAATCTCAGTTCTCATGGAATCAGAGAGCTTTCCCGTCTTGTTTCCTGAGGTAAGGATCAAAGAAGTAAAAATATAAAGATGTAAACCATGAATATTACATACGAAAGGGATTCTTAGGTGACTGCATAATGACTCAGTTTGGATTTTAATACCGAGGCCATATTGAATAACTTCTGCTGCACTGGGATATTTACACTTTTGTAATGACAATGAGATGTTGAAAACAATTCTACTGGTCTAAAGAAGTAAAGACTGAAATGTGTCAAGATTGGGAAATCAGGACACACAGGAGGCAGTCGAGAAGATGATGCTGTAAGACATCCCCTCTTAATTATTAGATTCTCTCATTGAGGTCTAGTCGAGCTTGGACATGCTGTAGTTCACAAATTCAGTAGATCCCAGGCAACATCAAGAAAGGACTTAATTTGGAATTTAAAAGAAATAAAGTTAAGAAATAATTATAATAGGAACAGTAGTGATTATATAAAATGAAAAATAAAAGTTAAAAATGATTATGATAAAACACATTGCTACATATTTAAATATTAAGTCAAAAAAGAAAATGACATTTAAATTTATTGATACATAATATTTGTACATATATATGGGGTATATGTGATATTTTGCTACATGCATACAATGTGTAATGATCAAATCACTTTGAGTATTTATCATTTCTATGTGTTTGAAACATTCCAATCTTCTTTTATAGCTTCATTGAAATATACAATACGTTGTTAACTATAGTCACCCTACTTTGCTATTGATCATTAACGCTTATTCCTTCTATATAATTCTATGTTTGTACCCATTAACCAGCTTCTCTTTCCTCCCTTCCCACCCACCCACACATTCTTCCCAGCCTGTGATGTGTATTGTTCTACTCTCTACCTGCATGAGATCATCTTTTCTAGCTCCAACATAAGGGTGAGAACATAACGATATTTGTCTTCCTGGGCCTGAGTTATTTCACTTAACCTAATGACCTCCAGTTCCATCCATGTTGCTGCAAATGACATAATTTCATTTTTTATGGCTGAATAATACTCCATTGTGTGTATATATTCATTTCCTTTATTCATTTCTTTATTCGTTTTATTTATTAATTCACATTTTCCTTATTCATTCATCCATTGATGAACACTTAGGTTGAGCCCATATCTTTGTTGTTGTGAATAGTGCTGCAATAAACATGGAAGTGCAGGTATCCCTTGAATATACCAATTTCCTTTTCTTTGGATATATATCCAGTAGTGAGACTGCTGGATCTTATGGTGATTCTATTTTCAGCTTTTTGAGAATTCTCCGTACTGTTTTCCGTAACAGCTGTACTAATTTGCATTCCCACCAACAGTGTATAAAAGTTTTCTTTTCCCTGTATCCTTGCCTGCATCTGTAATTTTTTTGTCTTTTTAGTAATAGCCATTCTAAGTTGATATCTCATTGTGGTTTTGATTTGTATTTACCTGATGATTAATGTTATTGAGCATTTTTAATATATGTGTTTGTATGTCTTCTTTTGAAAAATATTCATGTCTTTTACCCATTTTTTAATGAGGTTATTTGCTGTTGAGTTGTTTGAGTTCCTTGTAGATTCCAGACATTATTCCCTTATTTGATGAATAGTTTGCACATATTTTTTCCCATTCAGCAGGTTATCTCTTCACTCTGTTGATTATTACCTTTACTGTATACAAGCTTTTTTGTTTAATATAGTATCATTTGTTTATTTTTATTTTTATTTCCTATGCTTTTGAGGTCTTAGCCATAAAATATTTGCCTGGACCAATGTCCTGAAACGTTTTCCATTTTCTTCTAGTAGTTTTGAAGCTTCAGGTCTTACATTTAAGTCTTTAATTCATTTTGTGTAAATGGTGAGAGATAGGAGAGCTAGTTTCATTCGTCTGCATATGGATATCAACTTTTTCCAGCACCATTAATTGAAAAGGGTGTCATTTCCGCAATGTATGTTTTTGGTGCCTTTGTAGAAGATCAGTTGGCTGTAAACACATGGACTTACTTCTGGGCTTTCTGTTATATTCCATGAGTCTATCTGCCTGTTTTTGTGCCAATATTATGCTGTTTTGGTTATTATAGCTTTGGAATATATTTGAAGTCAGGGAGGGTGATACCTTCAGCTTTTCTCTTTTTGCTCAGGATTGTTTTGGCTATTCAGGTTCTTTTTGGATTTGGTAAAAATTTTAAGATGTTTTTTCTCTCTCTTTGAAAAATGGCATTGGTATTTTAATATGGGTGGTATTCAATCTGAATATTGCTTTAGACAGCATGGTTATTTTAATGATATTAATTCTTCTGACCCAGGAGCATAGAATATCGTTCTATTTGTTGATGTCCTCTTCAATTTCTTTCATTAGTGTTTTGTAGCTTTCTTTGTATAAGACTTTCACATTTTTGGTTAAATTTGTTCCTAGGTATGTTTGTTTGTAGTGATTATAAATGGGATTGCCTTCTTAATTCTTTTTTCAGCAGTTTGTTATTAGTGCACAGAAACACTACTGATTTTTGTATGTTGACTTTTTTATCCTGAAATTTTGAAATTTTTTTTCAGATCTAAAGGTTTTTGATGAAGTTTTTAAAGTTTTCTAAATATAAGCTTACATCATTTGAAAATAGGGATAATTTGATTTCCTCTCTTTCAATTTGGATGTCTTTTATTTCTTTCTTTGGCCTGATTGCTCTGGTTGGAACTTTCCAGTACTATGTTGAATAGGAGTGGTGGGAGTGGCCATCCTTGTCTTGTGCCAAAGACTGAAAAGGCTGTCACCTGTTTTTTTGTTGTTGGTTTTTTGAAGCTGGAAGGAAAGTTTAAAGATTTTAATTCAAAATATTTTTCTAAACGTACAAATATATATTTAAGTGTCTTCAAATTCCTTTTGAACTAACAAAAGTAGTGGATTGTTAACTTATTTGATTTTAAGGCGAGAACCGTTCATTTCCTGGTACCTATTTTAACCTGCAGGCAATCTGGAAGTGGAACTTGTCCATTCCTTCCTAAGACAGTACATTTATATGGCTTTTGATACAACAGGCTCAGAAATGCCCTTCTCATTTTCACATTTGTAACTTTGTTTAGATGAAGACGGTACATATATATTTATTTGGGGCCAAATAAAATTATCAGGAAAATTTTTTTTCTCATATTAATTTATCTCAGAGATGAATTAAATATTTTTTGTACTACTGAAAGGGCATAAAATATGCATATTTGATAACTTTATGTAAGAGTTAATTGAGAAATCAGAAAGCCTTGAATTTGTTTTGCATTTAAACTATCCCTTGAAGCCCTATGAAGACACTATTTGGAAAAGTATTGCACTAACATTCAGACTCCTTTCAAAGACAAATTTTATCATAAAATAATAATAGACTGGGAGCCTGGTAAACCTGACGGGCAAAGTGCAAAGCTTCTATGTTAAATTATGCTTCCCAGGCCCAAGCTGGGGTGTGGTAGTTCTGGAAGGAGAAAAGAAAGACACAAGAGAAGGAAGGGAGAGTGCCATTCTGATTTGTCTTAGGACTGGACATGATTAGTGACGTAGAGAGGAGACACAATTTTATTTTAGTTTACTTTACAAAAGATACAAGTCACCAAAAACTGAGAAAGACTTTAGTATTAATCTATTTTGTGTTACTACAAAGGAATATCTGAGACTGGGTAATTTATAAAGAAAGGTGGCTTATTTGGCTCATAGTTCTGTTGACTGTACACACAGCACCAGCATCTGCTTGGCTTCTTATGAGGCCCAGGAAGCTTTTACTGATGCCTGAAAGCAAAAGGGGAGCAGGCTTGTGACAGGGCAAAAGGAGAGGGAGCAAGAGAGAGAGGAAGGAGGTTCCAGTCTCTCTAACAACAGGATCTTGCGTGAACTCATTACCATGGGAAGAGCACCACTTCATTCATGAAGAGTCTGCCCCCATGACCCCAACACCTCCCACCTGGCCTCATCCCCAACACTGGGGGTCACATTTCAACATAAGATTTGTAGGGGACAAAATCCAAATTGTATCAGCTTCTTCTCTGGAATGGCTTATAGAGGTATTTTCCAAGCCTAACAGAGTAAATGAAAGCATTCTCTGAGTCTCACCACAGGTAATAGAAAATGTGATTTACAACTCAGCCACTTCAGGAAGCACCTAGGAATTCAGGAATTATTAATTTAGCAACATTTTTGTTTTTACATATTATAGAAGTGAATTATCTAAGTTATGTAGTCATGTTTTATTAATCATTTTTATGCCCAAGGATCCAAGCAGGAGTCAACTATATCAAATCTGCGGTTTACTATATTTTTGCAGGTATCGCATCAGAAGATTTATCTACAAAATATGCATGAATAAAGAGAGGAAATTCTTGAATACACAGAGATTGAAGACAGGAAAAATCTGAGCCAGATATTGGTAAGATAAGAGGATTTGTACTTTATTGAGGATCTAGCCTGAGTTAAATAGTGTGTTTGAATGAAAATATCATGTCTCTGTCTTTGGTTAGCTGATAAACTGATAAGTAACATTCAGAAATCTACTGTTCTATTTCTAGTTACCCTGCTGTCTTACCAACAGGAGTTGATTTTACCACTGTTCTATTTCTATAGTTGCTCTGATACCTTACCAACAGGAGTTAATTTTATCACTGAGTACATTTTGACTCAACGTAAATTCTCAAGACTTGTAAGCTACATTAAATACAGATATAAATGTAGTGGTGCTTTATTCATAGAAAGATGTAATTCTTATCTCTGTGTAACATCTTCCTCTTTCTAGGCAAACTCAGGGCAAATAAAAGGAAACAAACTTTGCACAGCTAGGAGAAACTATGATACCAAGAGTGAGTAAACACTGAAAATAATATTTTTACAAAGGAATTTGAATAAATTCACAGATATTAGGTCCTATTGGGTTATTAGAAGAAAGTATTTTAGTACACTCTTTTCTTTTTTCTTTCTTTCTTTTTTTTTTTTTTTTTTTTTTGAGACGGAATCTCGCTCTGTTCCCCACGCTGAAGTGCAGGGGCGCAATCTCAGCTCACTGCAACATCTGCCTGCCGGGCTCAAGCAATTCTCTGCCTCAGCCTCCCGAGTAGTTGGGATTACAGGCGCGCACCACCATGCCGGGCTAATTTTTGTATTTTTAAATAGAGACAGGGTTTCTCCATCTTGGCCAAGCTGGTCTTTAACTCCCACTCTTTTCTATTTTACTTTGATCTCAGAAAAGCAATTTTTGCTGTACTTTAATCTTTAGATGATTCATTCTAAATCTCAGAGAATGAAAATGTTGATAAAAGATAAACTACCAGCCATATTTACTTTCTTAAAACAATATCTTGTAAATGGGTATTTTTAATTTCTGAAAAAAATAATTCTTTTGAAACCACGTAGAAAAGACACTTTGTTTATTATAGGTCATTATGAAAAATCTATTTATTAGAGACACCAGTTTTAACGAATCAAAGACACATAAAGATATAACTATGTACTGAAACTTTTGATGTTTAAATTACAAAAGTAAGATAAGAAGGCATTTTTTTAACAAAAAGTATGTTGTTATATACAAACATAATAGTTAAAGCTAAAGCTACTTCTTCTTTTACCTAGAGATAACTTCTGCTCTAAGTGTGGTGTGTTTCATTTCAGAGCTCAGTAAGCACATATTTTGATGAATTTACACATGGAAATTTTTTTCAGTAGATTTAGGGGCACACATAGTTTTGGGTACCTTGATGAATTGCATTGTGGTAAAGTCTGGACTTTTTAAGTATACCCATCACCTGAATAGTATACATTGTATCCAATAAATACCTGTTCATCACTCACTCCCTTCCCATCCTCCTTCCTTCTGAGTCTCCAATGTTCATGATACTACCTGTGTATGCCCCTGCATACCCATAGCTTATCCCCCACTAATAAGTGAGAACATGTGGTATTTGATTTTCTGCTTCTGAGTTACTTCACTTAGGATAATGGCCTCCAGTTCCATCCAAGTTGCTACAAAAGATATTGTTTTGTTCTTTTCTTATGGATCAGTAGTATCCCATTGTATATCACATTTTCTTTATCCACTCATCAGTTGATGGGCACTTAGATTGATTCCATATCTTTGCAATTGTGATTTGTGCTGTGATAAACATATGCATGCAGGTGTCTTTTTGATAAAATCACTTCATTTTCTTTAGGTGAATACCCAGTAGTGGGATTGCTTTATTGAATGGTAGATCAACTTTTAGATCTTTGAGAAATCTCCATGCTGTTTTCCATAGAGATTGTGCTAGTTTACATTCCCACCAACAGTGTATACGGGTGCACTTTTTACTGTATGCGTACCAATATCTACAGTTTTTTGACTTTTTAATAATGGCCACTCTGACTGGGGGAGGATGATATCTCATTGTGGTTGTATATGCATTTCTCTGATGATTATTGATGTTAAACATTTTTTTCATCAGTTTGTTGGTCATTTGTATAGCATCTTTTAAAAAAATGTCTGTTCATGTCATCTGCCCACTTTTTAATGAGATTATTCCTTTTTTCTTGCTGATTTGAGTTCCTTGTATAGGTTGGTGCAAAAGTAACTGTGGTTTTTGGCATTACTTTCGATGGAAAAGCCCCAGTAACTTTTGCACCACACTACCAGATTGTGGATATTAATCCTTGGTTGGATGTATAGTTTGCAGATATTTTCTCTAAATCTGTAGGTTGTCCATTTACTCTGTTGATTCTTTCTTTTGCTGTGTGGAAGCCTTTTAGTTTAATTAAGCCTCATTTATTTATTTTTGTTTTTGTTACATTTGCTTTGGGGTCTTAATCATAAATTTCTTGCCTAGGCCAATGTTCAAAAACATTTTTCCTAGGTTTTCTTCTGAAATTTCTACGGTTTTAGGTCTTAGTTTAAATCTTTAATCAATCCTGAGTTAATTTTTATACATACACATAGAAATATTTTGTATGTGTACGTTGTGTGTGCTTGAACAAAATGATATTATATTGTAGGTGTTATTCAGTGACTTGCTTTTTATTAAAAAGTATATTGGTGTTTTCTCCACATTGATAAATAGAATTAACTCATTTAAAAAATTGCAGCATAATTGGGATGGCTAATAATTACATAATTGCAAAAAATTGCAGTAGTTCATGAAATGAAAATGCTAAAACTTTAATGTTTACTCTTCTTTTGAGATCTTTTAAAGCATACGTAGGCTGGGTGAGGTGGCTCATTCCTGTAATCCCAGCACTTTGGGAGGCCCAGCCAGATGGATCACTTGAGGCCAGGAGTTGGAGACCAGCCTGGCCAACATGGTGAAACTCTGTCTTTACTAAAAAATACAAAAATTAGCTCTGCATAGTGGTGCACATCTGTAATTCTGGCTACTTGGGAGGCTGAGGCATGAGAATCACTTGAACCTAGGAGACAGAGGTTGCGTTGAGCCGAGATAATGCCACTGCACTCCAGCCTGGGTGACAGAGTGAGACTCTGTCTCAAAAAAAAAAAAAAAAAAAAAGAAAAAGAAAAAAAAGTAAAAGCATATGTATTCATTGATGATAATTTAGGATGGAACCATATTTTCAAAAGCAACTTACCACTGACTATTGATTTTTCACTTCTTCAAAGGGTGTATTTGACAAGTCAACAATAAGCTGTACTTTCTAAAGTATTACCATATATGTGGCAAAACAAAAACAAAATTAAAATGTTTCCAGTAATTAATGATTAAAGTTGGGAGTAACTTTTCTGTAGAGTAAAACAAACAAAACTTTTAGGATCTTAAAACTATGCTGTTACCACTTAAGGAGAAAACAGGAAAAAAATTTATACAACCACTTAACTTGTAATCTCTCTTTCAAAATCCAATCTTCTTAGAGTACAAATAAATTAGCTATTTGCCAGGAGACTAAAATTACACCCAAAAGCAGAGAGTGATTGGGCTGCCTGTTATTTTGTGCAATTTCATCTGAATAGCAGAACAGAGTGGCCTCTGAAGCTGCCCCAGGGCTGGTCATCTATGAAAAGTAATGTCAGAGATACATTTCTTTTTATCTGTTTTGAGAATACTCACATCCTTTCTGTCTCTATCTCTCTCTGTCTCTCTCTGTCTGTCTCTTTCTCTCCCCTTCTCAGTAACACTTTTGACTATAAGCTTTCTTCTATTAGTCACAGAGGAAATATTTCAAAGGAGAAGATTTTGGTAAATTTTCTAGTTAGTTGTTAAAAAAGATAGTTATTTAGAAATGTGCTGGCCATCCCTTAGAAAATTATTTAACCATTCATTCTGTTAGCTCAATTCTACTAAGTTTTAATTTTTTGGAATAAGAGTAGCCAACATTAAATTAGTGCTGTGTGCCAGTTGTTGTCACAGTAATCCCTTCAATGAAGTCATAATATTATTCCCAAATTATAGACTAAATAAGTGAAATCCAGCTTGGTTAAATGGCTTGTTGAAGACTGCACAGCTAATAAGCAATAGAGCTAGAATTTAAAGTCATATTGTATTGTCTCAGACCCCACACACTCAATCTTTCCATTTTATTAATTATATTGGTTAAGACTAATTAACTGAGTTATGGTTTCATAGAAACATTCCTTGGAAATATAGATGCATACATTTGTAAATGTTTTCTACATGAGAGGGCAGTTTGATACAGAGCTAAATTTTTATGAAGATAAAATGAAGGGCATCAATAAGGCAAAATAACCACAAACAAAATAAAAGTAGTAATCTTAAATGCTTACCCCTATTTTATTCTACTCCCAAAGGGAACAACACCATATTTTATATCATTCAAATTTCTGATATCTGTGTAGAACACAGAAAAAAAAATCTGTAAGCAAACAACTAATAAAAGTAGTATGGTCATTTTCAAACAAAATTTAGATTGATATGCTTAAAATCAACTATGCTTTTTTGATAGATAGTATCAATTATAAGAACTAAAAATAAGATCCTCTTTAAAGTTCTGAAAGTAAATATGATTCTATTTCTCTCCATTATTTTCTTTAGGATCTCAGGTATATATTGAAATCTACTGTAAGCAGTCAATTTTCTCTGTAGCTTTTAAAATATTACCTTTGATTTAGAAATATGAATTATTACTTCAACAGTGTGATTCAAACATGGACTTCTCAATTTTCAAATCTCCTCTTTTCTTGTAACCAAAATATACTCATTTCTGCAATTATATTTGGGTCAGGCTCTTAAATAAAGAATTTCAGCCCTCCAGCAGAATGACTATCACCTGAGATGCTACTGCAACCCTTGCTGGAGTGCCATGACAATCCAGCTACCCCAGCCAGAGAGCCTCCCACCAATGGTACCCTGGGCACCAGCACTGGAGCACCTATGCCAGTGGCCCCTCCATCATCCCCTATGGAGGGCTGTTGCTAGTGGTTAGGGAAAACCTCAAACCCTCCAGCCCAGATGGGGCTTGACTTCAAATGACCGAAGAGCAAAGCCACTGACCCATTCCCAGTCCCCTAGGGTTAAAGCAGACAGCCCAGGAGTCCAGAGCTGAGCCTTGCCCCTTGAAACCATCCAGCAATGAAGCTGTTCACCTATCTCTAACTTGCACCACAGTCAAAGCCTCAAGGTCAATGAAGAGCATAAAAACAAAAAACCCCATCCAAAGGACAGCTACTTCAAAGGATAAAGAATCATCAGCCCACACAGATGAAAAACAAAAACAGTGCAAGAAATCTGGCAACTCTAAAGCCAGTGTGTCAACTTAGCTCTAAACCACCACACTTGCTTCTTAGCAATGGATCATAACCAATGTGAAATGCAGCAATATCAGACATAGAATTCAGAATCTTGAGATACAAGAGAAGGATGAAGCCCAATCCAAGGAAAACAGTAAAATGATCCAAGAGTTGAAAGACGACACAATCATTTTAAGAAAGAAAGAAATGGAACCTCTGGAAATGAAAAATTCACTACAGGAATTTCAAAATGCAGTTGTAAGTATTAACTACAGAATAAACCAAGCTAAGGAAAGGATCTCAGCGCTTGAAGACCACTCCTTTGAAGCAACACAGGCAGAGAAAAATTTAAAAAATTCAAAATGAACAAAACCTCTCAGAAAGATGAGATTATATAAAGGGACCAAGTCTATGACTCATTGACATTCCAGACACTGAAGGAGGGAGAGCAAGTAGCTTGAAAAGCATGTTTAAGGATATAGTCCACAAAAATTTTCCCAATCTTGCTAGAGAGGTCAACCACATGCAAATTTGGGAAATTCAGAGAACACCTTTGTGTCACTACACAGGACAAAATGCTGTGGAGAAAACGGAATACATATACACTGTTGGTATGAAGAAATTTGTTCAGCCACTGTGGAAAGTAGTGTGGATATTTCTCAAAGACCTTGAAATGAAACTACCATTCAACCCAGTAGTTCCACTATCAGGTATATACTGAAATTAAAATAAATATTTCTACCTGAAAGACACATGCAATAGTGATATGGTTTGGCTCTGTGTCCCCACCCAAATCTCATCTTGAATGTAATCCCCATAATCTTTATGTGTGAAGGCCAGGACCTGATAGGAGGTGATTGGATCATGGTGGTGGTTTACCCCATGCTGTTCTTGTGATAGTGAGTGGGTTCTCAGGAGATCTGACGGTTTTCTAGGAGGCTCTTCTCCCTTTGCTCCTTTGCTCTCCCTCACCTGCTGCCATGTAAGATGTGCCTTTGCTTCACTCTCACCTGCCATGATTTTAAATTTTCTGAGCACCCCCCCACCACCAGCCATGCAGAACTGTGAGTCAATTAAACCTCTTTCCTTTATATATTCTGCAGTCTTGGCTATGTCTTTATAGCAGTGTGAGAATGGACTAATACAACTAGTATGTTCATTGCAGCACTGTTTATGATACTGAAGACATGGAGTCAACCAAGATGTTCATTAATGGTGGGCTGGATGAAGAAAATGTGGTGTATATAAATGATGGAATAGCACACAGCCATAAAAAGGAATGAAAGCGTGTCCATTGCAACAATGTGAATTAACACTGGAAGAGAAAACCAAATATTGCATATTCTTACTTATATGTGTGAGATAAACATTGAATACATGTGGACACAAAGAAGGGAACATGTGGACACTGGGGACTACTTGAAGGGGGAATGTGGGGAGGGGAGTGTGGGGAGGGGAGCATGGGTTGGATACCTCTTGGGTACTATGCTCACTATCTTGGTGATAGGATCATTAGTACACCAAGCCTTACTGACATGCAATATACCCATGTAACGAACGTACACATGAACCCTCTGGATGTAAAAATTTTTTTAATTAAAAATAATGTATAACATCAGTGGATCTTTCTCATTCCCCTGAAATGTTATACTAAAAAGTTACTACTTTTTAAAAGTGCCTGGACTCCCCTGTGAAAGGTGTATTAGAAGGGTATTTTCACATTATAATTCTTATATTTGGCAGCATATTTCCTTCCCTTCTTAGATCTATGTATCATGTTTAGTTGGTTGTTAGATTTTTCACAACATAAATAAAATGAAGCTATTAAAGAATTTCAATGTGTTATTATTCTGTGAGTACATATTAAAAACAACTCTAAACTTCAAAAGTCATCAATCTTTTTAAAAACTATACATTAAATCTAAGTTTTAAATGGAAATAATTGGTTATTTGGGTTAAATAAATTGGCCTAATTTTATTTGTTAAAATGGATTCACTCAGGGTTTTATAATTATTTAATTATTATTCCACAAAATCAATAGATTTCCAATTCTGTAAAGAAAAGTCAACATCAGCTTGAGGATTATTACTCAGGATCATCACTTACTGCTCTGAATATCTTTTTCTACAGTTCAATCAACCAGACTAGGAATCCTTGCCTCTTCAAAGATAACATTAAATCTTACTCTAGTCCATAGATTTGACTTTTCTAGTTTGTCTTCATATTGTATGATTTTGAGTTTTTATCAATAAACTTAAATTTGTCTTGGCTTAGGTGGGTTAGGTGCCCTTGGGTGTCTTGAGTATAGGAGCCCCACAAAGGCAATTAAGTGGTAGCCACTTGACCTTTACCACGGTCAGTTCAGATATACCAAACTGCTCAGTGATAATACTGGGCTGAATATAAGCTCCTATTCTAAAATCATGGAAGACATGGGAAAATAATCAAATTAGTAAGAAAAAGCAGAAGCCATTAACTACAGAATTAATTCTCTCAAGAACTTCAGATAATTAGATTACTGATTATAAAACAATTCATATTTAGGATAATAGGAAGTGTCAAGGAAATAAAAATATTAGAAAAATGATAAAAAGGAGAAAAGGAAATAGGCAAATTTGAAAAGAATTAAGCATAATTTTTGGAAATAAAGCCCTTTAAAAATATAATGGATGAATTAACATATTGTTTAAATAATTGAAGGAAAAATGAGTGAACTAAAAATTATATCTAATGAAGTCACTCAGAATATAGTACATAAGGGCATCTACTCTATAAGCACTGAGACAAAGGGAGATAGAGAGTGAAAGGTGAAAATATGAAAAAGAAGTCAAAGGGAAATGAAGTATAGAATAAAAATATCCAATTAGAGTTCCCAGGGAATGGGATGTAAAGAATGAGTAAGAATTAATAATTGAAGAGAAGGTAATAAAAATTTTTCTAGAGGTGTTAAAAGACAAATTTTTTATTCAAAATTGTTAAAAAGTGCAAGATTTTCAGAATAAGTCAAACCTAGACAAATTATGTTAAACATGTGCATAAATAAATTCAAAGCAACCAGAAAGAAAACAGCGATTGCCCAAAACAAACGAAAACCCACAAACCACACCAAACCGAATGAAAACAAAAACAATATCAATTGGCTTGAGAGCTGTTAAAAAGCAAAATTACAGGCCAGAAACCTTTCTGTTTCTATTAATATATGTTGCCACAGAGGATATCAATAAGAAAAAGTAAGATTCCTTTTTAAAAAGGGACAAGAAGGAAGATTTAAGAGGAAACTCATAGGAAAGGTTGTGAGAATAGTAAATACATGCAAAAATGACAATGAGTTGACATTTTGTACCCATAAGTCAGTGGGTATGTCTGACTATACCACGTGTTGAGGAGTGTATGGGGCAAGTGGAATTCTCATATACTTTAATGGCAGTGCAGATTCACACAAACACATAATAAGCAATTTTTTTGATAGCTGGAAGGTTGAAGATCTTAATACCTTTTTGGCTCATCCATTCTACTGAAAATATACTTCCAATTATTATTGTTAGAGCACTGGAAATTAGGAGACTTCAGTTTTAGAGGTGTTGAAATATTTTTTAAAAATTGCATTTTAGAATGGATGAAATACATAGAAGAAGTTTTCACACATGTGGAAAAAATTATATACTAGAATGTTCACAGTGATACTGTTTCTACTAGGGAATATCTAGAAATGACCAGTGTCAATCAGCAGGAACATGGAACAATAAATTAGGGCGTGGTAATAGAGTGAAGTGCCATATTCGGTGAAATGAACAAACGAAAGGTACTAAATCACACAAACACAATATTGAATAAAAATAAATCAGCTATATGAGGATCTACATGGTAAGATATTTTTATATATAATTTTAAATGACATAAAGCAATACTGCTTATTATTGCATTTATATATAATAAATATGTACAGTTGCATTACCAAAATCAAGACTCTGGTCGTGAGTGATGGAAATGCTACCAGAGATTAACTCCAAGGTCTTTATTATATTTGTACAGCTTTATCTTTCAAGGTTTATGGTAGGTACACAATTGTTAGTTAACAATATTGTTTTTAGATTTTACATGTCTGATATATTTCATAATGTAGCATTATTTAAATGCAATCTGGTACAACCATTTTTTTAATAAAAACTAAGGAAAATTTATTCCATTCTCTTCAATACAGACAGTTCCTCACCTACAGTGTTTCAACTTTAAATTTTTTGACTTTAGAATGGCGCAAAATCAATAAACATTCAGTAGAAAACATAGTGTTGAAGTGCAGGCTAGCTTTTCCTGGGCTAGCAATGTGTAGTAGGATACTCTCTCGCCATGCTGGGCAGCTGCAAGGAGCTACAGCTTCCAATCAGAGACATGATCAAGATCATACAAGTACTCTACTGTGTACCATGTTGCCAGATGACTATCCAATTGTAGACTAATGAAAGTGTTCTGAGAACATTTTCGTAGGTTAGGTGTATTAAGTGCAATTTCAACTGAATGATATTTTCAACTTGCAGTGAGTTTATTGGCACAGAACCTAACCCCATTAAAAATCGAGAAACACTTGTACTTTAACCCCATGACATGGTGACAGGAGGTTGGGGGGATGTCGAAGGGGCAATGAAAGGGTTTGATGAAACAGGGTCCCAAAATATTATTCTGAAATGAATGTGACTCAGGTATTCTCTAAAGCCACAAAGGGCTATCTGCTTAAATTACAGAAGGAGGTCCTTATTTCATATTGTAAATAGATTTCACTGGACTGTTAATCACAAATGGGGTGTTCTAATTTTTCATGCTATTTAGCAGAGAGCGGTGAGAACGTTCCCGTGTAACTATTAGTCATTTGTTTAATTCAGGAATAACTATGAATTTTTAAGTTAATAAGGACTCTACTTAGCTTTGATCTCTTGAGCTTTTATCTTGAGACCTAATTATAATTATTATTACATTAGTAAGAAGCCACTTCTGTTATTCATAGATCATAGTGAAATATGTGCTTTATTTAAAATATCACTCTTATCAGGCAGATAAAGGGATTTTGTTACATTTTATTTCATAATCGCTCAGACTAAGAAGAGACCACTCTTTATATAAAAGCAAAGAATGTTGATGAACAGCAAAGGTTTTACTTATTTGTTTTAGTCCTAAATTAATAGACTCAGAATATCACATATTTTATGTGTGCATTTTCTATCATTTTCTGTTGCATTTAGTCTTTATATATACAAAATTATGCATAAAATAAAAATAGAATTTTTTTCTAATAATGACAATGGATTTCTGTAATTAAAAATGACATTTCCTTCTCCTAAGCCAGTAATTATTTAGAAATTTTAATATACAGATGAATAACTCTAACTGTTCTACCTGTAAGAGGAAATAAAAGGTTGGAATTTCATTAGTTTGACACAGTAAAGTGATGTAGCACTGATTCCTATTTACCTCCTTTCCAAACTGATCACTTGTAAAAGTTGGTACTTCTTTATTAAGATTCAAAAGTTGCATGGCTGGGCTCTGAGACTCACTCCTGTAATCCTAGCACTTTGGGAAGCCGAGGCAGGCAGATCACTTGAGCTTAGGAGTTCAAGACCAGCCTGGACAACATGGCAAAACGCTGTCTTTACCAAAAATACAAAAACTAGCTGGGCATGATGATGTACATCTGTGGTCCCAGCTATTTGGGAGCCTGAGGCCTGAGAATCGCTTGAGCCTGGGCGGTAGAGGTTGTAGTAAGCTTGGGCAACAGAGCAAGACCCCATCTAAAAAAGAAAAAAAAAAGATTCAAAAGTTGCAGTTTGTCATCCCTCTCAAAACTGGTCTTCCACTCATCTCATATAGGTTCCAAGAAAGATCTACACTTCTCAGTGGTTCCTCTTATTTATAAAGGATATCCAGGATTGTACAGCTAAGGAAAGCCTTGATAAAAACTACTTCCCTCATAATCACTAAAATATTTTAAATGGCAATGGGTAAACCACAGGGCATCTTGATTTTCTAAACCAGACAGAGCCAGGGACCAAAATGGCTTGAATCTACAGTGTGGAACAATCTTTGGCAAATTCAGCTTGTTCCTGTAACCTAATCTCTCCTGCACATGTTTGCAGGTTAATCTTCTTTAAATACCACTTCTGTTAGGCCATTTCTCTGGCTAAACACCACCTGCCTCTTCAGCTGGAATGATGTATATTTCAGTTTAAATTCTGGGTATTACAATATGGAAACAAAATATCACACATATGTTTCAAAATGCTGCAAGGATCTGAATACTGGGTAATACATTGGGATATTGTTGAAACTCTAACCCTGTGTCATTAGTAAAGAAAACAAAGATGCTGCTGCTTTTTTTTTTTTTTTTTTTTTGAGACAGAGTCTCACTCTGTTGCCTAAGCTGGAGTGCAGTGGCACAATCTTGGCTCACTGCAACCTCTGTCTCTCAGGTTCAAGCAATTCTCTGCCTCAGCTTCCTGAGTAGCTGGGATCACAGGCCACCACGCCCGGCTATTTTTTTTGTAATTTTAGTAGAAATGGGGTTTCACCCTCTTGGCCAGGCTGGTCTTGAACTCCTGACCTCGTGATCCACCCTCCTCAGCCTCCCAAAGTGCTGGGATTACAGGCTTGAGCCACTGCCCCCAGCCCAAAGATGCTGCTTTTAAGATCTAAAAAATATCAGCAACAGCAACAGCAGACAATACCTCAGGCAGAAAGGAGAGAGAAAATATTATGGATTTAAGAGATCAACAGACCAGAAGAAGAAGGTAGAATGGCCCAGGAAATTTTCAGAAAATGCTGATGGTATGGAAGCAAAACCTCTTTCTCCCCACACTTGATGAATACCACTACCAAAAAAAAAACAAAAGCAAAAGCCAAAAAAAAAAAAAGCTATCCTTAATGAAATGTCAACGAACCACAAAAGCAGTAGTTGAAACTCCTGTAGGTTCTTGGAGAAATTGAATAATGAGGAGGTTCAGGCTACTGCAGGCTCTCCCCAGTGCTCATCTTCTTCTGTTACCTTCTGTCTGCTCCTGTATCCTGGGCCTTCCCTGGTGTATCTTATGCTTTGGAAGAAAGGGAAGCCAATAGAGAAGCAACAGCAGGGTTTGTTTCTCACGAAAATAACAATTTTCTTATTAGTAATAACAGTAGTGATAATAGCCAACATTTATAGAATGTGTAAGCCAGAATACAAACTCTGGTACTTGAGTTTCAGCCTCAAGACCCTTTCTTTACCACTATATTTTCTGGTGGCAATATTTTGTTGCACTACCTCAAATTGTGGTCCACAGATTCTGACTGGCAAGCCAATTTTGTCTCTTATAACACATTTGCAAGCTTAGCATTTGCTCTCTTTTTCTCACCTCCCAAGTTTAGATGAGAAAGAAAAAGCAAACAGATCTTTAAGGAGTCTGTGATACTTACGATCAAGTACTTGTGATTATTTCTGAGTGAGAATGCCTTTTGCACAGTAATTCCAAATTGGGGATTAAAAGACTTATACTTTAATCTTGCTTATGCATTTCATAAGCTACGTGATGCAGAGTAAGTCACTTGGTTTAGAATTGGCATTTTTAAAACAGCTAGAGGTGATACTTTAATGAATACGTACATACATATTGTTATTTGAAACAGAAGTGAATGCATGTATTTTTTGGGGGTACATGGTTTGATATGGTCATTTTAACAATATTGATTCTACCCATCCATGAGCATGGGATGTGTTTTTATTTGTTTGTGTTATCTATGACTTATTTATCTTTCTGAAAGATGATTCAAATATATACAGATGTGTGTTTGTGTGTGTGCGTGTGTGTGTCTGTATTCCACTTTTAGAAATGTATACCAAAAACATCTGACAAGTGCACTGAGATTCACATCTGAGGTTGTCTATTATAAAGCTAGCCACAAGGATAGAAGTCTTCACTCCCTTGGCTTCCATGCAATCACCAACAACGAACACAGTGCCTGGCATAACTGAATAAACATTGGGGTCTTTTGTTGAATATTTTATTAAAGTGAAACTGTCCTTGCAGGGTTAACATGAATTACGTGCCAGGTTCTGGACAGAAGTATGGTTATAATTAAGCATTAATCAGGCCGTATTTTGACCCACTTTCTTGTAACCTAAACTCAATAGCATTAGATACTGACCATTTACATCTCCACTGTTCCTACAGGTAGGTTCTCTAATGTTAGAGCTATAATGCTTTTGTTTAAGAGTTGCTTAAGATGTTTTTCAGATCTTGAATTTCAGGGGGAGGGCTGATACCAACCAGTCTGAAGACCCCTGCCGAGGAATCGAATCAGCATGAGAATGCAGCTTTTTCATCTCCCATTCCATGACCTCCCCTGCACTCTTTGATCAATCCAGGATCCCAACACCTCAGCTTACTCCAGGCGCCTAGAAATCTCTAGCTCCAAACTCCTAAGGGAGATGAATTGTAGGTTTCCTCCCACTTCCTGGTTCAGTGGCCTTACAATTAAAACTCTTTCTCTGCTGCAACCTTCGTGTTGACATGTTGACTTACCACACATCAGGCAATGGACCTATTACGGTCACAAAAGAACAATATATGTCATTTGTAACTCCTTAAATAATAAGCGTATTTAAATAATCATGGTAAATCTATTTAAATAAAATAGAAGGCAGGTGTTTAAAAATGATGTATATTTCTATTTACTAGCAAAGAAAGTGCTCATTAGATACAGTTATAGTTAAACAATAAAGCAACTGGTAAAACAGCACATATAGTATAAGACCTGCCTTGTAAAGAATATATCCATGTTCTAAGAATGTATGTGTTGGATATGGTATGGTAAAGTTGGTGCAGCCACAGGAGGAGACAAGAGTGAGACTTTGAGGTAAGAAGTGTATTACAATGAGAGGCACCAGAGAGAGGAATCACTAAATACCACTCAGGACCACAGAGGAAAGCACCAATGTGGTCAGAAGAGAGAGCAACAAGAGGAAAGTCTAGGCCGGAGGCTTATCTGGAGTTTCTGTGGGAAAGGCAAGGCTGGTCAGAGTGCACAGTTTAAGACTGGTTGCTTTGAATAATTCTGGTGGGCTTTGGGATGTAGGAGCAGTCTCTGGTTGCCTAGTACCTGGTCCTGGGATAACAGCAGGGGAAACATTGGCTTGGTGTGTGAGAATTCAATAAGGCAGTGATTTGGGATGGGTTGGTTTGCATAGGAAAGACATGCTTCAGCTGTGCCCTTTAGTGTCTCTAAGAACTCACTAGCCCTGGGTAGGGCAGCTTCTCCCTCGGCTGAGAGGCTACAAGCACCAGAGCATCAAGAATACAGAAAATAAGAAAATATAGCTACTACCATTGGCTCCCTGATAAATGGAAGCCACACAGACAGATATAAAAATCTGAGAAAACAGAGCAGAAATATAGATATCACTATATCTACATTTGTATCCAAAGCTTTAATTATAGAAATCCCCAAATATTAATGGTAACTATCAATGAAGGTGGGATTAAGCATCATTTTTTTAGACTGCTAACATTCATTGAATATTATTATTTTACCTGGTAATTTGATAATCACCTCTCATTTAGCCCTCTCAACAACCATATTTGATAGGCTCTGTTATTATTTGTATAATAGTGAGAAAAATAAGGCTAAAAGAGATTAAGTGACTTTTTACAAGTCACACACAGCTAGCGAAGTTCACAGCAGGGGTTCTACAGTCAGTCAGATTCCAAAGAGTATTTTGTTAATGAACAAATTACATTATGTTTTCTGAACTGCACACTTGATGATGTGTTACTTTTTTAAATAAAAGGAAATACTTGTAGGCATATATTTGAAAAATTGCATGTGTAATTAGCCTATTCTCACATTGCAATAAATACATGAGGCTGGGTAATTTATAAAGAGAAGAAGTTTAATTGGCTCACAGTTTCATAGGCTGTACAGGAAGCATGGCTGGGGAGACCTCAGGAAACCTACAATCATGGTAGAAGACGAAGGAGAAGCAGGCACATTCTACATGGCTGGAGCAGGAGGAAGAGAACGAAAGGGAAGGTGCTTACACTTTTAAACAACCAGATATCATGAGAACTCACTATCATGAAAACAGGAAGAGGGAAATCCATCCATGATTTATTCACCTCCCACCAGGCCCCCTCTCTAAAACTGGAGATTACAATTTGACATGAGATTTGAGTGGGGACACAAATCCAAACCATATCAGTACACAAATATGTATAAATAATATATAAACATACATGCAAACACAAACGTGTGTGTGTATATATGTATGTATGTGAGTATATATGTATTATGTATGTGTGTGTGTAAGAACAATAAATTAATGTCTTAAAAGTTCTCAGCACAAGTGATATAAAGTATAAACATGGGCAAGAGAATAGGATATAAGGATAATAAAGTGGATATTGTCCACACTTCCTTACTTGCTCTCTTTATGTAAGTGTGTATATGTGTGTGTCTATAACAGGTTTTTTTCCTAACAGTTGTATGTGTGTTTGGAAGTTTTTAAAATAGATTTTTCAAGGCTATTTTATGTACACTTTTTTTGGTTAGTATTTTGGTGATTTTTAGTTAAAGAAAAACAATGTTTTCCAAGGGCAAAAAAAAGAACTGAAGTTCGGAAGGAAGCTGGATGTGGACTTCTTACAAGCTCTTGCTCCAAAACCTGGAAACGAGGAAAGAGGGCCCTCCCGGGAAACCTGAGAAACATTGGCACAGCAGAGGGAATCCTTTGGTGGGGTGGGCGGAGATGCCAGCCCACTTGTGTGACTGTATTGTTTTGAGTGGGCTCTAAGGCAATTTCTGTGTGCCACTCCATTGACTTAATTAACATTATTAATCTTGGAGGGCATTAAATTAATGAATGATACAAGGGCCAAAAGAGTGATTTATTCCCTTGGATTCTGAATCACAATCAGGAGATAGTCTTTATCTGGTGCAACCATAGTTTCATTCTTCATGGAGCGGATTTGAAGGAAGGTAAGGTCATTCTAGGGATCGATTTCATTCATGGTACTCTGTGCCTTCCAGGTGAAGTTGTGCGTGAGGCTGGCATACTGTGTGGTGGTGGGATTGCCCACGGTACTTTTGATGGGAATACCTTTAAGGAGTAAAACAACTGGATCACTAGGGCTGTTGTTGGGTTCTAGACGGCAACTGTGTGCACGCCAGGATCCCACGAGGCCTGGCTCTATATCTATATCTTCCTGAGTGTGGTAGCATTAGCTACTCATTTGTTATAATTTGTCCCCCATGGGGGTGATGGCTGAGTAGGAGCCAGTCACTTCTGTGTTCACTACGATGAATCCCTGCACTCCCTTCTGGGTGTGAAGTCATTTCAGGTGTCTCCTTCACCTCTGCCATTTTGGTAGCTCCATGTCACCAACACTCAGCCCAGTCCCATGCCTTTCTGCTACAGTAGTTTTTGAATAACAGACAAGGGAGCAGACTTCTATTGGATCAGTGACAACTTGGTGCTTTCAACAACAATCAGATACAAGACAGATAAAGTGCTGTTTAACAGCAGCTGAGCTTCAAGTATCTCCTACATTAAAGAATCAAAGAAAGGGCATCTAATTATTGAAGTAGCTTGCAGATGTTACAAAAAAAATTGAAGCATATATTTAGTTTCTAAGCAGATGAAAAGAAAGCTTTGAGAAAAACTCATCTTGTGCAACATTGTCCTGATGTAATATTCATGTTATTTGAAATGATGTTGTCCCCATTCATTCAGAATGGCATTTTAGTACCACTGAAAGCCAGTAGTAGTACTTGCTGTAAAATGACTACACTGAGAAAAGACAAGGCAAGTTTTCCAACTTTGGAAAACAGGAATTTACACATCCACACAAAGTTTGACATTTGCTAACAAACTTTTTCCTACTTCTTAAAGTATCTGAAACATCAAATTTGAGCTAACTTCAAAGCCAGCAAGGGGGAATTCAGTGATGTCAGTAGGAAATCCCTTCATTGATTCACGCGAGCACACTTTCCATTTGCATTCAAAAAACAGGAATCACAAATCTGGCTGGGAAAACTGTTTTGTGACCTACTAGATCTCTCTGACTTTCATTCCCAAACTCCTCACTGTGATTTCTCAGTTTTTTTCAGAACTGCCTTAGCTGTCTCTTGACTACCTTATCAGAATAAGAAATT
This sequence comes from Homo sapiens, assembly GCF_000001405.40. Classification (NCBI taxonomy): domain Eukaryota; kingdom Metazoa; phylum Chordata; class Mammalia; order Primates; family Hominidae; genus Homo; species Homo sapiens. Next base: position 60,497,131 of record NC_000018.10, read on the forward strand.
AATTTTCAAAATTCTCAGTTCTCTTGTCCAGGTTTCTAGATGCTTCTCAACTCAAATAGAATCACAGATGTTTCTGTGTGTGGTAATGCCCATTCTTGGTTCATGAGAGTCAGAATGATACATAATAATGTACCAGTGTCTTGGACTTGTAAAGTCTTATGAGATAATAGTATAGCATTTTGGATGAATGTAGTAAGTAAACCAAAGTTCTGAAAAGTTAAATGCTACTATTGATGTTTATTTTGGTTGAGTATTGTGCTAAGGAGTGAATATGGATGAGCTCCTTACGTCCAACAAAGTCCTGCGTAGCATTTTTTATACATATTTAAATATGAATTCACTGAAACTTCAGCAGGTTTAAATACTTCAAAAGGGAAATTTAATAATTAGTGAGTCAAGGTTCAAAATGCAGTGGTTCTGTGCAAGAGCATTGGCTGTAGAAAGAACTTGGTGTATAGGAAAAGACTACTTTCTCACTGTAATCCTAAGCAAATTGTTTACCTTCTAATTCTTAAGTTTCATCATTTTTAAAACGGGTGCAAAGCATGATAGTATTTACTTCACATGGCTTTGTGAGAATTAAATGTGTTTATATGTGTACAGTAATTAGTATAGGGCTAGCATAGAAAGATACCTTCATATATAGTAGCTCTTATTATCACTATCTATAAGCTACAGCAGCAGCCACAGCAGCATTATTATAATACTCTCTCCAATGTTTAGAAATGCTATATGATATTTAGAAAATTAAAGAAATAAAAATCTATGGTAAGACAGGCAGTATGGACAGCCAGTGAATACTTAATTGAGAGAGAGTTGACTACTCTTCTTATTTTATCTAGAGTAAAGGGAAATTCAGAAACTAGAATATTGGATAGACCTGAAGCCCTCCATTCTGTTGCTGATCATAGCATACAATCTTTTGTAAGAAACTATTTAGTGTATCTACCAAGCCTTGAATTTAAAAATGTTAAGGACAAATGAGTATTAGAAGTATAGGCCAAGATGCAATCTGCATAAGACCAATGGATTTGCTGATATTTCATAGATTCCCCAATGGATAAAAGGAAAGAACAGAAACCTTTAATTTGTATTTTATTAATATTTTACTTCTCCATCAAGAAACTTCTTCAGGTGTCAAGGAAAATTCCACTAGATGGAGTTAAACAAGGAAGACTTTGTTCAAGACTGTTGAAATAAAGAAGAGAGATTTAACTCAATTCTGCTGAAATAGAAGGCAGGAGGATTTTTAAATGCTGGGGTGAGCTAATAGAAAAGTAGTGAAGTGTGGGCCGGGCGCAGTGGCTCATGCCTGTAATCCCAGCACTTTGGGAGGCCGAGGCGGGCGGATCACGAGGTCAGAAGATCGAGACCATCCTGCCCAACATGGTGAAACCCCATCTCTACTAAAAATGCAAAAATTACCTGGGCATGACAGTGCACGCCTGTAGTCCCAGGTGCTCAAGAGGCTGAGGCAAGAGAATCGCTTGAACCTGGGAGGCGGAGGTTGCAGTGAGCCGAGATCGCGCTGCTGCACTCCAGCCTGGCAACAGAGCAAGACTCCATCTTTAAAAAAAAAAAAAAAAAAGAAAAAAGAAAAAAAAGTAGTGAAATGTGTAAGCGGGAGGTTGGTCAATGAGGCGGCGACCTGTATTTGCTAGGCTCCTACCCTTCCACAGAAACTGGAAGGTAGAAGCTCTTTCTTGATTGCATTACACTTGAAAGAGATGGCTCTTAGGTATTTGAGAAAGACATTTTTTGGGTGTTTAAAGTGGTAAGAGACCGAGAGGAGCTTTACTTTTTCAAGTGTCAGTGAAAGAATTAATAATGGAAAGTTTTCTGAAGTAAATACTCTAAGAAAAAGATAGGTCAGGGACCTAGAGTCAGGATAAAACTTGTCTAAAGCTGTCAACCTGAGGGGAACACAAAGGCAATCTTGGTCACAGGCAAAGAGGGGGAAACAAACACTGATAAGGAGAAGTTAGAGACCAAAATAGGAGCAGGATTTTAAGAAAGGATATTATTGCTCCAAACAAATGTAAAAATCATGTCCTAGATAGATTATACTGGATAATTATTGACATATTTTGCGTATGAGCTTTCCTAACTTTTGTCAGTGGTTTCTACTGAGCTACTGAGAATAAGAAAAGAATCCAGACAAAGCAACTTTGAAAATATAATTTTAGGCCGGGCACTGTGACTCTTACCTGTAATCCTAGCACTTTGGGAGGCTGAGGTAGGTGGACCACCTGAGGTCGGGAGTTTGAGACCAGCCTGGCCAACATGGTGAAATCTCATCTCTACTAAAAATACAAAAATTAGCCCGGCATGGTGGTGCATGCCTGTAATCTCAGCTACTTGGGAGGCTGAGGTGACAGAACCCGGGAGGTGGAGGTTGCAGTGAGCAGAGATCACGCCACTGCATTCAGCCTGGGCAACAGAGTGAGATTCCATCTCAGAAAAAAAAAAGAAATATGATTTATTAAGGTAAATATCATTTGTAAAAACAATGGTGTCATTTTAAACTCAAGGTTAATATATTTATAGGTCTGAAAATTATTATATCCATAACCCAATTTATAATCTTTCCAAACCCCACGACTTACTCCTCTCCCATGCTTTCCGAGCTCAAGCAACTCTACCATTTAGATCCCACACTTAGGAAGCCGACATTATGCATCTCTTTCTGTCATATGTCATATCCAATATATCGAACATCCTTAATGCTTACCTTTCATACATATCTATGATGTCACCATTTCTACTGTTACCATTCTGCACCCTGGTGCTGTCATCTCTTGCCTGCATTGTTGAAATATTCTCCCATCTGGCCTTTCTGTTTCTTCCCATGCTGTGTTCTTACACAACAACCAAGGTATCCCTTTAAAATGTAAGTTAGATCTTGTTTCTCTTCTGCTCAAAAACAACCCAATGGCTGCCCTTTGCCTTCAGATCAATTGCCAAATTTGTTATGGTAGCTGATCAGGCTCACTCATCACTTTTCTGACTTCAGCATTCATTCACCACTCTTCCTTTGGCTCACTCTCTGAAATTCACAGGGATGCTAGGTTGGATCAGGGCCTTTCACTCACTGTTGCTTCTTCTTCAATGTTCCTCATCTAAATATCTGCATGCCAGGATTCTTCACCTCTTTCAGTTTCCTCTTCGAATATCAGATTATCAGTCAGACTTTATCCAACTAGCAACCTGTTTTTGTACTCTGTTTATCTCCAATGTACCTACCATTTTTTGATATACTTCATTCTGTCTGTCTGTCTGCCTATCTATCTATCTATCTATCTATCTATCTATCTATCTATCTATTCTTTTCACCCATCCATCCATCCATCCAACTATTCATCCATCCCTGAGTGAGGAAGTAATGTCCATGGTGGAAGAGTCTTTTGCTTTGTTCACTCATGTATCCCTAACATAGGCAAACAGATATTTACCTATATCTGGCAAATAATGAGCAAATCAATGAATGGTAATTCAATGTTCTTTCAGTTTTCATAAAAACTTTCATACATGCTTGGTAACCTGGAAATCATTTCAGGGGCTGAGCATTAGAAGATAGTTTCCATCAGGCTTATGTATGTGTGAGTGTGCACTTTGAAATAAAACCATTAGAAACTTTGGTGGCTTCAGGACTATGTACATCTGGATAATTTTGCAGGGCTGTGAGAGGGGGTAACAAAACCAGCGTTGTTGTAAGTATAAGCTCTGAAAATAGAAGCAGACTTCAGAAGTATGAAACTTCATTTTTAATATTGCATCCTTTATTATTATTTTTGTATGTTGTAGCAGGAGACTTAGTGCTATTGCAGAAAGAAGTCCGTAAATCATCATTTGTTTTGGAGAACTTCTATAACATATTGCGTGGTGTCCTGGCTAGAAAATGTATTTGGAAAAGTTGGCATTTGTTACATCAATGAACATAGCCTGAGTATGCAGCAGCCCTGTACCCAGTTTTACTACTGAGGAAACAGCTGCTAGTGCCTGGAAGCTAAGGAAGGGAAGAGCTACCAAAGAGGCATGAGATCATAACACCTTTTTACAGGCATGATTACTTGGAAATGGTGAAAGGGGAAGTACATACAGTTTTACTTTTATAACTTAAACTTAAATATGCTATAGCATTTGTTTTTTATTATCACAGAAAGTCTTTTATTTGTTTATTTTGAAATTTATTTGATGACTATCTTCTCCATTCATATAAACATTGAATAACAGTGAAGTCATACAATCAGGAAGTGATTTTGCAACAAGTAAATTATTCGAAATTCCGTTTTGTTACCTCTATTCTTATTATCTACTTTTATTTCATTCATGGAACCTTTGGTTAAAATATATGATGGGCACTGCCAAGACAGTGAAGGTATAATTCGAAAGAGCTCACAGAGAGATTGGCAAGGATGATCATTCATGGATTTATTTCTTCCCGTAGGTAACACAGGATCTTTTAGTAAAGTACAAAAGAAAGTTATTTCTTATTGTGTATTAATAACTTTCACAAAGTATTTGTGACAGCATACACAAGGACACACACGTTAAAACATAACTATTAACAGAAACAGAATCAGGGTGAGGGTAGAAAATAAAGTTTTGGAAAATAAACACAAATATGCTGCTCTAAAGGTTATATGGCTGCTTCAGTGAGCTTCAAATTTATTTTTAAAGCAATAAAGACACTGTTATGTAAGCAATTCTGATTATCAGGGAAGAAAACACCTACCAGTTCATCGGATGCTGTAAATTATATTGAAAGTACTCTGAGTCACTGAAACCTTTGGCTGAGTGTTAAATTGACAAGATAGCATGCATGGTGCAGGGACATTTTGGAATTAACAACTGGAAGGTTTTGTCATTCATCTGGCACCTAAGCCAGGACATCTTCTGCATATCACAAATGCATTCTGCTATTTTCCTTAATAAGTATGATAATAGCATAACAATGCCAATAACAAAGTCAATAGTTCTTTCACAGAACTTAGTATTTGAATGCATTGTTCTAAGCACTTCACTTTTTAAAAATGTATTAAATTTCTTCAATAAGTATTTTTAGATTTCCCATTTTATAGATAAGAAAACCGAGGCACAGAGTAATTGAGTACCTTGTAAGAGAGAGATTACTCAGCTAGAAAATGACAGAGCTGAGTGATATGTTAATATGTATTGCATCTATAACTTCATAAAGCTACCCTCTAAAGTTACCCGTCATAAAGCTACCCTCCTAAAAATGCTTGACTTTTAAAGAGTGGAGAATAAAATAGGAGATGAAAATGTATATTATTGTTAATGTTATTTTATTTTATTTACTACTTTGTAGAAGAAAATCTGAGGGAAGAAAAGTAAAGTGTAGGCCACCAGAAAGCTCAGCTGGTTAAAGCAACATCCCCAAAACTGATATCTCAATTAGGGGATCTATATTTGTTTGGACCAGTAGGATTTGTTTTATTTTCCAAACTGCCCAGGAAGGGGATTGTATAGAGCTGGTAGATACCAATGTGAATTGGGCTATCACGATTAAATAAGATGTCACTCAAACCGCAGACTTCTCTATAAGAAAACAGCATTTTTCTTATCTCTAAAGCAGCACATCTGATGACATTAGGTGACTAGTAGGTCTGAGCAATAGTGCTAAGACGGTGGACTTTATGGAAATTAGAATCTGGGATGAGCTAATGTACTCGTACCAGAATATGAGGATCATTCTATTAGCTAGCTTCCAGGTGGCTCTTTAAAATTAAGTGAGACCCATAATAAAAAGCATTGAGCTTTTTGCTTCATTATATCAATAGACTTGTTCCTCTTAGAGAAATGAGGTTGTGGGTCACTTCATTTATCACTCTACCGCCAAACAGATTGTAAAAATTATACCTAATGCCTTACATTTACTTCTAAATTCTTATTTTTTTATCTTTTAACACTCTTCTATTTAGAATACATGTGTTTATGGAATATAATATCACTACTAAATACTCATGATTTTTCTTCCTATCCCATAATTTAAAAATTTTTTTTAAAGTAGTAATATCTGGTAAGAAATTTTTTAAACTATGCATTTTTAGCTAAATCCTTTATCCTTGATTTTACTTAGCAGAAACAAGATATAGTGCAATGAATTATAAAGTATAAAATGGATAAAGTAAATTGGAGGAGAAAGAAGCAGCAAACATGCTGTGGTAAGTGACGTTGCTGTAATCGAGCACAGAGCTTAGCTCTTATCTTCCTGTAGCTAAGGCAGAAATGGAAATGTAATTACTTACAGAACTTATCTTCTTGCTTCCATAGCAACCTATGTATATTTCTAGCACTGGATTTATTGCATTGTTTTAAAATTAACTTTCTTAGAGTCTGTATCCCACTAAATTGATTTCCTTGAAGTTAGAGACACTGCTTGCACAAAATAGTTTCTCATAAAACCCCACATTTCCCCCACCCCCAAACTAAGATTTATTGACTTGGGAGAAATAATCCACATTTCTTGGACAATATAGATTTTCTATTTATTAAATATAAGGGGAATTGTCTTGATTGGGATCCTATGAAAGGTCCATTGGATGATTACATCAGACAGTTTCAACAACAGTTTTATCACAAGTGCAAAAGTGAAATCCAAACGTGTGTTTTCATGATGAAGTCTGATATAATTTGAGGCTGTAACATGGGTGCACCTGTTAGTGTAGTGATCTTATAAGGAAAATACTCAGGTGCTGTATACACACAGGCTGCTGATTATCTCAGTTAATTTGAAGCTGAAACACTACACCTAAAATCATGGATTATGGATTTGCAATTGTGTTCCATGGACCCTGAGAATTCTGGAGAGTCTCAGAATCTACTAAGGAGTAAGAAAGAGGTGAAAGCCTTTAATGCTCTGGATCACAAATCATTTTTTAACCATAGTAAGTGTTTAACCTGACTTACATGTTGTTTCAGTATAAACTCACCTAGAAAAAAAAACTGCATTGCTAAACAAAGAAATCAATAAGCATTGGAAATCGCAGACCTAGATGATTAGGTGAATATGTTGTGCCTTGGACTCAAGATGCCCAAACCTGACTGGTCATTTGATTCACCTGGGGTTCTTTTCATAGGCACAGATATGAGGATAATACTCCTTATTCTGATCTATTAAGTGTGAGTCTGAGCGCAGATAACTGCACCTCAAAAAAAAAACAAAAACAAAAACACCTCTTTAGGGATTCTGATACTTTCTCAGTGTAGGAATGCACTGGTTTGATTTCCTAATTAAAGTTTATTTCTGGTAAAGTTCTTCAGTGAGAGCCTGGATGGTATGCATTAATATCTTTCTAAAATATGACATATATAGGGTGTTTGGTGTTAATTCTCAGGGATGAAAAAAATGTGCTTTTACCCATATGAAGATCATTTCCAAAAGACAAATTGCATATGAAACACTATCAACTGCCGCTTGAATAAGTGAAACGAGTAGAGTAAGTTATGATTATTTTTCTCATGACAAAGTTGTTCACTTGCCTATATTGAAATAAGATAAAACATCAGTTGGCATGCATTTAGTCTGAAAAAATGTAAATCAGCAAAATAAAAGAAGGCAGTAAAATTTCACTAAAAGTGGAAAGGATTTTAATCTATAATGTGATGTTTATTTTTGACCTAATATAGTACAGTATTTGTCATTACTCTGCGTAATTAAAAGTCCCAAGAAAATATTTTAAATGCATTGGCACCACACTTCTGTTCTCAACAAAGTCTAACCCAGGGGTCAGTGGGTGAGATCATATCCAAACACTCCCGACGTTGATATGCATGGCAGATGTGAGCATCTGTTGTGAGAAGCAAATGTAGGTTGGCAGATGTACATTGTTTTTTTTTTTTTTTTTTATTATTATACTCTAAGTTTTAGGGTACATGTGCACATTGTGCAGGTTAGTTACATATGTATACATGTGCCATGCTGGTGCGCTGCACCCACTAACGTGTCATCTAGCATTAGGTATATCTCCCAATGCTATCCCTCCTCCCTCCCCCGACCCCACCACAGTCCCCAGAGTGTGATATTCCCCTTCCTGTGTCCATGTGATCTCATTGTTCAATTCCCACCTATGAGTGAGAATATGCGGTGTTTGGTTTTTTGTTCTTGCGATAGTTTACTGAGAATGATGCAGATGTACATTGTTTTATAAAGGCATGTAGGAAATTAAAAATTGAAGAATGTAATCCTCTGACTCCTGGGAGCCCAATGATTGCATGTCAATGGTCTGTAATGAATTACCTGAAAACATAGAGTTAATGTCGTAGTAACATTTTATTATATAATTATGGTTTACATATATTGAGCTCTTACCTTATGACAAACACTGTGTTAAATGCTTTACATATACTCTACTCTTAATACCCATAATTACCCTGTGACATAGATGTATTATTCTCCCAATTTAATAATAAAAAAGTTGCCCTTTGTAGAAGCTAACAAATAGCAAGGTTCAGATTTGAATGCATGAAGTGACTTATTAACTCTTTCATCAACTCATGGGCAAAAACCAAACAACTGAGTTGAAACTTTGAACACAGCTATGATTAGAAAATATACATGAACATGCCGAAAACATTGTAGGTGCCAGTAAAATAATACTAAGTGCAATAACAGTAACGAGAGAAATTTGTTGTACTTTTTTAAAAGGATAATTCTGCAATATCTATGTAATACTGAGCATTTCAATAGTTCATGAAGTGTTCTTGCAATTTAATTGACTAAGGGTTTTTTCAAGAACTTTGGAGAAATAAACAGACTTTCTCATCCTGAAAAACCTTTTGATGTTAAGTTTCTTTAAAATAAACTTAAAATTAATGGTTTGTTTTTAGCTTTTGATCTTAAATTTAAAAATGACTTTGGAATAAAGGTAGGACAACTTAGAGTGCACAACACATGATCAGTTGAATCTAATCTGTTTTTTAAATTGTTCTTCTAATAAAGGGAGAACTAATTTAATCATTCAAAGTGGCCCAAATTAGTGTTGAGATAACTTTAATCTTTAATAGATTGAGATAAATGCACTGATGAAGAAATAACACAATGTATAAGTATAAAACCATTTATAAAGTAGGCATTAGACACTGCATATACAGAGAATTTATCTGATCAAGTAAATCAGCAAGTGAATAGTAATAAACAATTTAGCTTATAGTAAATGTTTAATAAATATTTGTTGAGTACTGGCTTAATTATTTTACAAACATGACTCAGATGTTAATTTCAAATTTTTCTCTACAAGAGTCATTCTGTCAACATAATACTGTTACTCTTTTGAGTCATGATACTATAATAAATATGGGAAATAATTAGAAATTGTTAGTGTAGAACAATCGAAAAAAGTAAAGGGATAGAAAATAGAGACCATTAGACTTAAAAGGAGTTAAGTATATTTGGCCTGTTTGAAGGTCAAATGTCATATGCTCTAAACATAAAGAGTTCACACCAGGAGGAAAAGGTGGACAATTTATATATTGTTAAAGAGTACAGTACAGGGGTGGGTAAGTAGGGTAGGAAAGATTAAGAAGTAGCAGCTACCTGTACATCACTGCTCATAAGAGCCCTGCAAATGATGAAGTTATAGGATTAGTTATAGGATTCCCTGACTTTACTACCTTCCTAAGTAATGTGGAATCATTAGAGAGTCGTTCAGCATATGATGTTTCAATTGCCTCTTATTTACGCCACTGTTGAAGTAAGGATTCCTGCCATAGGGTTCTGGGGATTATCCAACACATGACATCCAACACCGGTCAGATGAGGCCAACAGCAGTTTATTAGTTACAGATGTTCACAGCCTGGGGAGGAGGACATGGCAAGCTATACAGGCCACATTGGGGTTACATTTGGGTACAGACAGCACAACGAAGGGCTCTGGGAAGCAGACTTTGAGGTATTCAAAGAGTGGGGTGATCCCTGGTTTCCCAGGAGGATGTAATTGGCTTGTTTAAATAATTCCATGGGCTGGCAGAGAACTGAAATCTGCTACTCTGGAATAAAGCAGGAACTGCCCTGGTGCCTTTGATAAGGAGGGTAGTTAGGGGACCTCATTCTTGGGAGCAGAGTCAGGAGGAGAACTTGTGTTTAGGCCGTTGGAGACCCTCCCAATTTCAGCACATATCAAGATAGCACATATTAAGGGGCCTTGAATTTAGGACTCACACCACATGATGATATAAAACATTGCCAAAAACTGAACATTTTATTTCACAAAGGCCTAATAAAGTTAAAATACAAAGTAGCCCTCAGTTGGTTAGAAAACAGTTCTTTTCCTTGGAGTAGAGGTGAGGTGAAGGGGAATACAATTTCCTTTGGGGTAAAGAAAAGACCATTTTCTTTTGGTCCTCTATCCTCAATAAACACACAGACAGTGCCTGGGCCTTGCAGAAGTGTGTTGGTGAACAGACAGGCAAGAAATATCTTCTAATATTTTCCTTGACTGCTATGTCATCCTCTTTGTTCTCATAGAAAAGTTATCCCATCTGGAAGAATGACAGCAAGAATTCTTCATTATTTTTGTTGTGGAGTTTAGACAATAGCTGAAGGTCCAATTTCAGCAAAACAGAGAAGGAAGAGGAAATAATCTCTAGTTCTCTTCCACATCCTATCTCTGGGCCCCTTTGACATGTTAGCCCCTTCTTAAATTATTTTCCCCCACATTTTCTTACTTTGCCTGTCTAGAAGAACTGTCTTTAATCAGATGATTATCTTTCACCCAAATAAAGATTCATTTTTCATGCTCATCAAAACTTGCAATATTCTCAGAGTCAGTATTTTCTACTTATGTGCTATGATGTATGGGAATTTAGATTTTGAAAACATAGATACCAAACTGATATCAGATCTATTAACTGTGCAACCTTAAGAAACTTTCTTCATTTCTCTGGACGTGAGAGATTTCGTTTGTTAAAATAATTAATCAGATCGTGATCTCTGAGGTACCTTTTAGTTCTTTCATCTTGTGCTTCTGGATCTTATTGACAGAAGCCTGAACCTCAGGCCTGATTGGTGCCTGTTCTACAAGAGCAAGCCTAAGAGGCTTCCTTCCTGAGATGAGCCTGAGTCCAGTTTTGAAGTCCCTGTGTCTGGTGGGCATGTCTGCCTCTGCTGACTACTTGAGCCCCATCTCGGGTTTCATTCCTGATTTTCCTCTCTGTCTTTGATGGACATCTGGCTTTAGTTTTCTTCTGGAATCATTCCCTACCTTCCCCCAATTAAATAATAATTATCTTGCCTGCTGGCTCAGGTTTTCAATCCAGGAGTTTAATTGGAGCCTGTGTCAGGAAAAGCAACTGTATTAAGTTCAAGTAGTTGCTATGAGGAACGTCTCTAATTAAGCCTTGTAAGAATTAAAAGATTGTAAACTGGATATCATTTGAACTCGCACCACAAAGCTGATTGTCTGCTTTGCTCACTAATAAATTCATTTGTACTGGCACTCATTGTGGTAAACCAATATTCTCTTTCTTTTTATTTTATTTTTCACAATTACCATTCCTAAAAGATGCCACTAAAAAGTCTTTCTTGGACATAATAAGTCAATCTTTGGTGTCTCTATCACTGGTTGCTGAATTTTACTCGCCTTTGCTTCAAAGAAGGTGATTTTAAAGGGGCTTGAACTTCTAAAGGAACCAGTCTTATCTGCTGTCTTTTTATTTCATATTGATCTAGAAAGGAACCTCAGCAAGGAAAAAAACTAGATGTGATTAAATCATGGGAAGCAATTCTTTGAAAGGACTATTCTTGATAAGTTGTTGAGATTTAATTGTATGTCTATTAAATATTAGATCATTATATTGGCATATTGCAATCATTAATTGGATGTAACTAATTTGATTTAAGATCTAACATCATTATTTTTATTATTTAATAACTCGATAAAGATTTAATAAAATGAATATAACGACAAAGTGATTGAATAATCATTTTAGCCACAAATTAAGCCCTTAGTGGAAAATTAATCTTTGGCCTCTAATTTACTGTAACATTGGTCTTTAAAATTTAAAACTAAGGAAAAAAGCTAAGTAGTCATTTTCAAGGGCAATAAAAAGTTTTGTAAATACAGACCATTCTTCTAATTAGTACAACTTACAACTTTCTGTTCTAAGAGGAACACCTAAGCAGCATTACATGAGCAGCTTGAGCACTTGTTAAGCCGTTTCAGGTGAGCCACAGTCAGGGTGTATTATCAGCTCTAAAATCATGGACAGGATTTCATATTAGATCATTTTTGTTTGCCTATCAGACACTGGATTGGCTGGTGAAAAAAATACATATATGTTTATTTCAGAACTCTTCAGAATAATACAATTCATGCTTTTCAGGACTTGACTATCCCCAAGGTAGTTTTGAAGTTCATTGCTTGTCTGCATTCCGTTGTGGTAGCCTCCTGAAGTCGTAAGAGCTTCCTGCTCTCCACTTTTCCTAGACTCCTGAGTACAGAATATACACCACCACCGTTACCAGACACCAGCCCAGTAATACAGAGTACAAGCTCTGCATTTGAACAGATGGGCATGAATTCTGCCTTCTCTATTTACCAACTCTATGCCTTTGGGAATGCCACCTGGTCTCTCTGAGTTCCAGTTATCTCATTACAAAACAGGGATAATAATACATAGCTTCATCATAAGGTTGTTGTGTATTTCAAATAAGATAAAATACAGTGTCTAGTATGTTTCCAGGCTTCTAAAAATGATAGCTAACACTATTTTATTCTTGGAAATTCTGACAATAGTACTCGACATGGAAAACTCAGTCTAATTATCCTGTATCATGAGAACGATCCTAGCCTGCTGTGAAGCAATAATCTGAGCATGAAACCCAGCAGAGTTGATCATCATTGCTAGATGATTTTCTTTCTTATTAGAAATTCTATCCCTAGATCACCGGGGAGGCCTCTACGACAAAATCTGTGAAAGTGACTCATAATTTTGTTTGATTTTGAAAATGGTCAAGTGAAATTTATAAGGAAACGCAAAGAAATTTAAAAATACAATCATGTTTACTTCCTTGATCTTTTAAATGTTTTATTATAATTTTCAAACTATATTGTTGACAACAAAACAAACTATGTCTTATATAGAGAGTTCTTATTAAACTGCTGTTTTTCTAAATAGTACACTCATTAATACAATATTAGGAGAGTGAAGAAATTCATAATAATAATTATCATTCACTTCCACTCACGCACACCTTGAGAAGAGACATTTCCTTATTAGAATACTTTTTAAACTGTGTTATGGAATAGAGTCATTTCTGAAAAGTTTGCTGTTTTTCCTTTAAATGCTACCGTGCCAGGCCTGACGCCAACATATAACTATTTTCTACAGTTGATTTATATGCAAGTAAGAGTTAGGAGTCTTGAGCAAAAGATACTAAATTTTCTCCTCATCTCCTTTTCAGTTTCTGATGGCCTTGAAATGTACTTCTGTATTAGCTAATCCAAATTCATTAAAAACATTCATTCTCACATAGAAAAAAAATAAATTCTGTGGGGAATAGAATTTACAATAAACTGTCTTTAAAATGTTTATTTATAAAATTCATAAGATGATGACCTAGTGCAATAAAATGCACTGACAACTCAGGTTATCCCAGATGCGTCCTTTGTTTTATCTTTTCCTCGTGGTAGAAGATTGTATTTTTAAACTAAATATTAGAGCACATGAGCAGATATTGAATTTTTTTGGTATAATCTCAGTATGAGAGATGTGCTGGTAAGCATAATTTGGATGCAGAAATATTGATATCTCTATTATATTTATAGAATATATGGTTACAGAATAAATGCTATATAAATTTTTTGACCAGGCGCGGTGGCTCATGCCTGTAATCCCAGCACTTTGGGAGGCCGAGGTGGGTGATCATGAGGTCAAGCGATCGAGACCATCCTGGCCAACATGGTGACACCCTGTCTCTACTAAAAATACAATTAGCCGGGCATGGTGGCGTGCACCTGTAATCCCAGCTACTCGGGAGGCTGAAGCAGGAGAATCATTTGAAATCGGAAGGCAGAGGTTCCAGTGACCTGAGACTGCACCACTACACTCCAGCCTAGGCAACAAGAGCAAAACTCCATCTCAAAATAAATAAATAAAATTTTTGTATGAAGATTGTCCCAGAAAATTCGGGACATATTTATTGCCATTTCTGTTGTAGGTCATACAAATTTCATGCTCATGTGGATATCCTTTATGTATACATTCTTTGTCCTTTTGAAATGTAGGTACTTGTTTTTTACAGAAAGTCGATACAATCAGTGGCTGATAGAGCAGTGCTGAAGATCATAAATTTTCAGTAGGTGCTAATATCCACGCATAATGTATTTCAAATGAAATATCTTTTTATATAACTTCAAGTCACATATATGACTAAATTGTATATTTATATGGTTACCATATACAAATTACATATGTGATTAATATATGCATATACACATTTACATATAATTTAGTTTTAAAAGTAAAACAAAGAATAAGTATTAGAAAGCTTCAGGTAGCTGATACTTTTCATACTTGTTTATTATATAATTTCATAAAATGCTCTCTATAGATTCAAAATACTAATTTGATTTGTGTTCAGTAGTCACCAAAACAGAATTACTGGAATAAATATTAGAGAATGATATCACTCAATTATGGCCAGCACATAGGGAAATCATTGTCATCAGCTGTTGGTCAAAGTGTAGATAAAGTACAACTTTTTTTCAAAAGCAATTTAGCAGTATGTATCAAGAGCTTTAAATGGATGCACTGCTTGTGGTTACTTCTTAAAAATATATTCCAACAAAGCACATAGTTGGATTAGGCAGAGTGTTGTATCCAAGGTTGCTCAAAACAGTATTGCACTAATGAAAATGTGAAAAAGATTAGAAAATATTTGAATGCCTGAATAAAGTATAATAGAGTAATTCAAGGAAATACTTTTGGCAATTTAAAGTATGAAGTAGATGCATATCACTGATATAAAAATGCTCATTCTAAATTTTAAGATAAAACGGTTGCAAAGAGTTGGCATAGCATGCTCCCATTTAAAAATATTATCATAGTATTATTAATACAGGAAGCGACAATTATTTCTTTGTGATGGGGTTGGCTACAGAGGATGGTGAGAGTTAAGTGTAATGAGAAATACTCTAAACCTATATTAGACAATACATCTCTCCATCAATAATGATCAATCTCACTTTAAATTCACAGTTCCTCCCTCAAATAGTTTCTGCAATCTTATTTAAGTTCCCCAACTCACTCTCCCACTTTTCTATACTGCCTCTCTCTCATCAAACCTTCACTAGGTCCTTTTTCTTTTCCCCACACTCTGCTGATAACCTTCTTAATTCACTAGAAAATGTAAGCAATTGGAAAAGGGCTTCCATCTGCTTCATCTTCCAAATCCACCCTCCTTACCTGCATCTGTACCCATATGCTCTGCCCTGCCTTGTATTTCTTTCTTTTCTTTTCTTTTCTTTTTTTTAAGACGGAGTTTTACTCTTGTTGCCCAGGCTGGAGTGCAATGGCACACAATCTTGGCTCACCTCAAGCTCCGCCTCCCGGGTTCAAGCACTTCTCCTGCCTCAGCCCCCTGAGTAGCTGGTATTTCAATGGATAAACTGTGTGTGCTGCTATCCAAGACCAGCCTCCTCCTGGGTCTACTTTGTAGTTGTCTTCTCTTTCTCATCAATATCAATTTTTCCATCAGGATCTCAACCTGCAGTTTATTGATTGCACATCACCTCACAGCTACTGTTCCACTTCTCTGTCACTCTTGACTACAAAACATCTTCAAATTGTCATCTATCTCATTGTCTCTTATTCTTATTTTCCTATATGCTCTGGAATTCCCCTCAATCAGGCTTTTATCACTATAGCTATTCTTGTCAAGGTCACCAGTGACTGTCCTCCTCCCTCATGGTCATTTTTCAGTCCTCCTCTTTCTCTCTTAGTCGTAGTTTATACCTAGATCATTTCTTCTCGAACCACTTTCGTCGTTTGACCTCCAGTGCACCATTGTCTTTGAGTTCCTTCCTACTTCGCTGACTGCTCCTTTTCCGGCACTGTTACTGAATCCTCCTCATCTCCCTTCCCTTTAAATTTTGTAATTCTATTAGGATCAGTCCTCGTTTTTTCTTTCCTTCTCTGGCTATAATTACTCTTAGGTGATCTCACTCATATGATATTTAATATATATTTCATTGTGTTTTTCACCTCAGCTTCTCACTGACCTCAGACTAACAAGTCTCACCCCCACCCTACCCTCACACCCACGCATTCCACATCTTGTCCTCATGTGATCTTTCCCACCCCAATACACGTAAACTCCAACTAATCTGTTGCTTCAGCTAAAAAAAAAAAAAAAAACTGGAATCACATTTGGCCTGTCACTTTCTCTTACATCATCTCACATCTCTCACATCCTCTGAAATCTCACACCTTCTCTTACAGCTCAAATCCAGAAGGAAATCCTGTTGGCTCTGTCCTAACAATATTTCCATCATCTAACCTCTTCTCAACACCTTTGCCATCACCCAAGTCTGAGTGCCACCATCTCTCATGACATCTGGATTATTGTTCATCACAGAGATAATCATCACTGGTGGTTTTACTTCTACCTTTGCCACCTATAGTATTTCTGTAACATAGCACTCAGTTGGGTCCCTTTAAAACACACAGCAGCACATCTCATTTCTCCAGTTCAATGTCTCTAATGGCTCTGTCTCTCTCAAGGTGAAAGACAAAACGCTTGAAATGGCCTATAAGGTTCTATGCAATCCAGCTTCTCTTACCTCACTGAATTCAGCTCTTCCTACTCACCGCCTGGCTCCCTCAACTCCACTTACCTTGAACTTCTTACTGTTCTTTAAACACATCAAGTAAATCTAAACCTCAGGGATTTTCCTCTTCTAGAACTCTCTCACCCAACTCATTCCATATAATTTATTTTCTCACTTCATTTTGGTCTCTGCTGTAATTCATCTGATTAGAAAGAGCTGCCTTTACCACACTATTTGAAATAGCCCTGCTCTCCTTCCATCACTGTCCTCCTTATCTCACCAAAACTTCAGAGCTTGTCATCACCTGACATAGTTTATACTATTTATTTATTGTCTATTTTCAACTAGAATGAAAGCTACATGAGAGCTTTGGCAGGTTTTGGTCATTGCTACATGTCCCATTTTGAAATTGTAAGCTGCTTCTCCACAACTGGGGCCAGATCACCTGGAGTTTGGCCTATGACTCAAACCAACAACTCCTTGCAGATAAGCTCAGCCAGAACCCACCAACAGAACCTCTCAGCCAAAGGTGATCCTGGGCCTTGTCCTTTGCTGGCTGGGCCATCAACTTTCCCCCCTCGCCAAGGCTCGGGCCCATATCCTCTTCAGGGGGATGTCCTCTTTCCAATCCTCATACTCAGACCATGGGTATTAAAGTTTTTAAGTAAGTGTTTTTAAAAATTTACCTAGACTATTTATAGAAATGTGGTAGGTACTTAGTAACAATTTACAAACAAATTTGACTAATATTATTAGAACATTGGGAGAATCACATGCAAACACACAAACATAACAATTAAGCTATAATAACTAAAGGTCTGGAAAATATCTAGAAGACAAACTGGGCAATAAACGTGAAGTTTCATAGGGTATTTTGAGTAGAGGGTCATGTTTAGAAGATCCTAGATGTGGCCAGGCACAGTGGCTCACGCCTGTAATCCCAGTACTTCGGGAGGCCGAGGCAGGTGGGTCACCTGAGGTCAGGAACTCAAGAACAGCCTGGCCAACATGGTGCAACCCTGTCTCTATTAGAAATACAAAAATTAGCCAGCCGTGGTGGCACGCACCTGTAATCCCAGCTACTCAGGAGGCTGAGGCAGGAGAATCGCCTCAATCCGGGAGGTGGATGTTGGCCTGGGTGACAGAGTGAGACTCTATCTCAAAAAACAAAAGAAGGAGAAGACCCCTAGATGTGCCACAGCTTTCCAATAACTAGAGTCTATAAATGCAAAGATACTTTTGGAAGAAAATCTAGAAACAGAGTCATAAATGTAACTTTAATGTGAAACAAGCAAACTTTGACATTTTGTGTACAACTCACTGTTGTCATCTTGGTAATATTTATGGTAGTTTTTGACCACAGAATCAACCTAGTACATTATGAAAAAGCTTTTAATAAGTACATTTTGCTTTGAGAAATCATACTTATGGATGAGTTTAGCTTTGAGCTATGATGAATGTGAAGGTTCTACGATCTGTGTTGTCAGATGACTGGCACTTTCATTTGGGCGAAAAGTACAAACTTTAAAAAATTCAAACAACTGTTGCTTGAATCGGCACATCAGTTTGAAGTGCCCAAATCACTTGCAGTAATATGTAAAGAATGCCAACTTAGGCCGGGCACGGTGGCTCACACCTGTAATCCCAGCACTTCAGGAGGCCGAGGTGGGAGGATCACGAGGTCAGGAGATCGAGACCATCCTGGCTAACACGGTGAAACCCTGTCTCTACTAAAAATACAAAAAATTAGCAGGGCGTGGTGGCGGTGCCTGTAGTCCCAGCTACTCAGGAGGCTGAGGCAGGAGAATGGCGTGAACCCGGGAGGCGGAGTTTGCAGTGAGCCGAGATTGCGCCACTGCATTCCAGCCTGGGTGACAGAGCGAGACTCCGTCTCAAAAAAAAAAAAAAAAAAAAAATGCCAACTTAAATATGAAACTAGAGTTGTTAAGAAGATATGATTAAGTGGAAATTTATTGTCATCATCACAAGCTAAAATACATGTGAGATGGTAAAATAGAGAAGGTTTGTGCATCATCTACGACATCTGAGTTTTAATTGTACACATTGGCAACTAGGAAACTATGTCTAATTTGTATGGAAAGGCTTTATTTTTAGTTTTATTATTTTATTTTCTTGCTCATTAATGTTTCAGAAGAAAATCTGGAAAATCTGTGGGTGGTTTCATTTGAATTAAAATCCCATATTCTTGATTATTAAGATAGACCACCTTCTTTTTTATTCTTTGAAACTTTATCCTGATGCCTTTTGTGTTAGTCTGTTGTCACACTGCTAATAAAGACATACTGAGACTGGGTAATTTATAAAGGAAGAGGGTTAACTGACCCACAGTTCCTCATGGCTGGGGACGCCTCATAATCATGGCAGAAGGTGGAACTTGTCTTGCATGGTGGCAGGCAAAGAGAAAAAGAGAGCATGTGCAGGAGAACTCCCTTTATAAAACCATGAGATCCTGTAAGACTTATTCACTTTCACAAGAAAAGCATGGGAAAGACCTGCCCCCATGATTCAGTTACCACGCACTGGGTGCCTCCATGACACTTGGGAATTATGGGAGCTACAATTCAAGATGAGATTTGGGTGGGGACACAGCAAAACCATATCACCTTTTTAAGTAAATTCCTGGTGAAACTACTAATGATTATTCTTGAGGGGACATCAGAACTGTGTTCAGTTAATTGCTGAGAATCAACTAGGTCTGTGATCTTCTGCAACTTATTTATGGTTAGTGAAATTAAGTTACTATACGTGCAAAACATGTATGATACAACTGTTGGAGCGTTGTTTTTCACATGCTAAGTGAGATCATGTTAGTAACAATTAAATGAAATTATTTTGCTTGAGTTTACAGTGATACAGTACATAAATTATAGTAAGTTTTAAATAAAAGGGTTAATTCATTTTCCTCAACATCTCTTATGAAACTAAAGAGTCTAAGGCTTATCTGATACTTAATTTTTGTCCTGATGAGTTTCAATAATTTTGTTCCTTCTTGTGCTTTTATTTTAAATTAAGAATCTACAAATTGAGTCCCCATTTAAGATGGAACTTGTTTTGCCATTTCCAACTTACTATGAAATGTTTATAAAAATCACAAGAGTTCCAAGGAAACTTTTATTTTTACAATGATGGAATAAGTGGTGTTGGATTAGCCCTCTTGCCATAATTTAAAGAAAAAAAAACAGGCAAGTTGTATGAGGTACTAGTTTACAGGCTTTGGACAATAGGCAAAGCAAGACTGTTATACGTTATTAAAGAGAAACTCACCAAGTGAATCCCAGGGTCAATGTATAGCTCTCTGTGTGGGCAATTTCTTGACTCTAGTATAAGGAGCTAGAGCTGAAACAGAATGCTCTCTCTGAGCTTCTAGAAATCAGATTGCAGGGTTTCTGAAGCAGCTGGAATCTACAAGATAGGATTCCAGAGAAGAGGAATCTGCACAGAGGAGAGGATGCAGAAGGCTTTGTGTGTATTAACCTGTCAGTCATGAGTTCTATCTGAAAGCTGGGCAGTGTGTATTCAGAGACTATGAGAGGCACACCAGAGAATGATTACTAAAGGGGTAGATGGGAGTAGAGATGCTAGAAGGTAAGTAGTGCTGAGAGATGATAAAGTTTGAACCAGCCAGAGTGAAATGACTTTGTTAACTCCTGCAGACATCAGACTGTGACAATAGAAAGGTCACTCTTAAAATAAAAAAATCAAATTGTGAAAAAATGGAGAGAGAATTTGGAAGGTGAGTTTTAGTAAGTGAGACTGGCTGGGAAAATACTTTGGGCTTTCCACAGATTTGTCCTAATGAGACCTAAACACAAGCATACAGAAATTTAAAGTAATCACCTAGTAAATAAATGCCTGTTGGAACTAAAATCAAAACCCATCAGAGAAAGTTAACACGATTCAGACTGTCTATACCATATCTTCCATAATGTTCAGTATGTAATCAATACCTGTTACAAATGCAAATAAAAAGAAATATTTGACCTGAGTCAAGGAAAAACGCCATTCATGGAAACTGAATCCAAGATGGCCAGTATACGTATGTTGAAAGATTTCAAGGAAAAAATATGGTTATAATGAGAGAATAAAGTAAATCTCAGCAGAGAAACAAACACCATGCAAATGAAAAATCTGGACTAAAAATGTAATAACAAATTTAAAACTCACTGCACATAGTTATCAGTGTATTCAAGATGGCGGAAGAAAAGAACAGAGAACTTGAAAAGACATCAGTAGGAAGTGTCCTATCTGAAGAATGGAAAAAAAAAATGACAAGTGAAGAGACCCTCAAGTACCTTTGCAGAAAACTGTAGGAAAATATCACTTGATCTAACATTAGTGTAATTGTGGTTCCAAAAAGATAAGAGAGTTGAGAATGGCACAAAAATAAAAATGAAGGGGGATGTATGGCCAAAAATTTTACCAGTTTGATTGAAAATATTAATATAGACATATAAAAGCTAAGCAAACCTCAAGAAGGAAAATACCAAACAAAAGTAAATCATTCTACAAAATAGACACAGACACTTGTATGTTCCTTGCAGTACTATTCACAATAGCAAAGTCACGGAATCAACCTAAATGCCCATCAATGGCAGGTTGGATAAAGAAAATGTGGTAGATATACACCATGGGATCCTACACAGCCATAAAAAAGAATAAAATCACATCCTTTGGAGCAATGTGGATGCAGCTGGAGGCCACTATCCTAAGTAAATTATATTAGTTTGCATTTCAAGAATGGAATACCTGAGGCTAGGTAATTTATTAAAAAAAAGGTTTATTTGACTCACAAAGACATTTCTATATGGTGAAATGAATCAGACCATTGATTGCTGGGGCTAAGGGTGGGGTACACACAGAATTTTTCTGAGGTGATGAAAATGTTTCAGCCAGGTGCTGGTGGCTCACACCTGTAATCCCAACAATGTGTGAGACTGAGGCAGGAGGCTCGCTTGAGGCCAGGAGTTTGAGACCAGCCTGGGCAACACAGCAAGACCCTGTTTCTATAATAGAAATTAAAATATATATACATACATATTTATATATATGTATGTGTATGTGTGTGTGTGTCTGTGTATATATATATATATTTTTTTTTCTTTGAGACTGGGTCTTGTTAAGTTGTGAACAGAACTAGAAGATTTTTGCATGCAACATTAGTTTTACTTGAAAGAATGACTGACAAATTGCTTGAGGCCAGGAGTTTGAGACCAGCCTGGGCAACACAGCAAGACCCTGTCTCTATAATAGAAATTTAAAAAAATATATATATATGTGTGTGTGTGTGTATGTGTGTGTGTGTGTGTGTGTGTTTTTCTTCAAGACCGGGTCTTATTAAGTTGTGAACAGAGCTGGAAGATTTTTGTATGCAACTTTAGTTTTACTTGAAAGAATGACTGACAATTTAGGGTTATTTAGTTTTGAGTATTTGGCAGACATTTTATTGTAAATGAACAGAGTGAGTCTGCAACTGAAGGAAAATAACGGTAACCAAATTGAAGTTTTGAGCAAAGACTAAAATTTTTGTAAAGTTTTATCTGCCATCTTTAGCTTGACCACTTCCTAATACTTAAAGGTTTTTTTTTCTAATGACAACAGTGGTGATATTAATGAAAGTGATTTTTTATATTATGTAATAAAGTGCATTAACATTTGCAGATCTGCATAGCTCAGTAAACCAATAGTTTCCAAATGACTAATGCATGTTAAAAAGTCAAACATGCGTAAGATCCATTCAAGGCACATGATAGACCGGTGGATTTTTATATAACTATGAAAAATTCTTTCATATGGTTTCAGATTGAACATTGCAAATAACCTTAAAATAAGTTTATCATTTGTCAAGTTTTGAGCAGTATCAAAGAAAACTATTCGCAGTTATCTAAATGGGGTTATTAAATACTGCTATCAGCCATCATCACCATCTGCTGGCTCATTGGCATCAAAGACTTGTATGCCAAGGTCTTTGGGTCCGTCAGTATGCCCAACCTCACCTGGGGCCTCTTTCGTGGGCTCTCCAGCCGGGAAATCCATCAACAGCTGGCTGATAAAAAGGGCCTCTACATTGTGGCCCTCTGCCTGGAGTGGTTGCCTACCCCTGGGGGCCCTTGAGAAATGATCCAGAGCTGGATGATTAGGTTCCAGACATCAATCTGGACTAGGAAGAAGTGAAGGCTGTGCAGCGAATGAAGTGCTCTGTATGGTCCAGTTTAAAGAGAGTTGCCAGGTAACCTCTCTGACCTTGTGCAGCCAGTGCCTGGTGCTACCCAACACCTAGGAGAAATTCAGATCCCTCACATCTTGGGGTGTTACCTTGTTTTCTGTTTGTTCGAGGAAACTTTAACCTTTAAACTGTTTAGAAATAAATAATCATAGCTTTCGTTTATTGAGCACATGGTATATGCCAATCAATGTGATAGGATCTTTACGTACATTTTTTCAGTTCAAGACTACTTTAAATATTCATCCGAACTAGCAAAAGTAAATGAATTAGTGAGACGGTGCTAATAATCTGACCCAATTCATAATAATATGCACAATGATAATTGCTATAATTATAGTGAATATATATTAACTCAGTCTTCCAAAGTCAATACGATTAGTCTCATTTTACAGAGCAGGTAAAGAATTTGACTACCTTGAGGAAGTGACAAACTGTTTTCCACAGTGGAAACAGGAGCTTGAAGGCTACAAATGGGAATGTTAAATGGTGTATTAATTGTACACCATGGTAATTTTGACTTGTACTTTCCTGACGGCTAATGATGTTGAGCATTTTCTCATGTGCTTATTGGCCATTTGTATGCTTTTGGAGAAATGTCTACTCAGTGCCTTTGTCCATTTAATAAGTTATTTTTGTTATTGAGTTCCTTATATTTTCTTTTATATACATATATATTTTTTAATTATACTTTAAGTTCTATGGTACATGTGTACAACATGCAGGTTTGTTACATATGTATACATGTGCCATGTTGGTGTGCTGCACCCATTAACTCGTCATTTACATTAGGTATATCTCCTAATGCTATCCCTCCCCCCACCCCAAAACAGGCCCCAGTGTGTGATGTTCCCCTTCCTGTGTCCAAGTGTCTCATTGTTCAATTCCCACCTATGAGTGAGAACATGCGGTGTTTGGTTTTTTGTCCTTGTGATAGTTTGCTGAGAATGATGGTTTCCAGCTGCATCCACGTCCCTACAAAGGACATGAACTCATTATTTTTTATGGCTGCATAGTATTCCCTGGTGTATATGTGCCACATTTTCTTAATCCAGTCTATCATTATTGGACATTTGGCTTGGTTCCAAGTCTTTGTTATTGTGAATAGTGCTGCAATAAACATACGTGTGCATGTGTCTTTATAGCAGCATGATTTATAATCCTCTGGGTATATACCCAGTAATGGGATTGCTGGGTCAAATGGTATTTCTAGTTCTAGATCCCTGAGGAATCACACACTGTCTTCCACAATGGTTGAACTAGTTTACAGTCCCACCAACAGTGTAAAAGTGTTTCTATTTCTCCACATCCTCTCCAGCACCTGTTGTTTCCTGACTTTTTAATGATTGCCATTCTAACTGGTTTGAGATGGTAACTCATTGTGGTTTTGATTTGCATTTCTCTGATGGCCAGTGATGATGAGCATTTTTTCATGTGTTTTTTGGCTGCAAAAATGTCTTCTTTTGAGAAGTGTCTGTTCATATCCTTCGCCCACTTTTTGATGGGGTTGTTTGTTTTTTTCTTGTAAATTTGTTTGAGTTCATTGTAGATTCTGGATATTAGCCCTTTGTCAGATGAGTAGGTTGCAAAAATTTTCTCCCATTTTGTAGGTTGCCTGTTCACTCTGATGGTAGTTTCTTTTGCTGTGAAGAAGCTCTTTAGTTTAATTAGATCCCATTTGTCAATTTTGGCTTTTGTTGCCATTGCTTTCGGTGTTTTAGACATGAAGTCCTTGCCCATGCCTATGTCTTGAATGGTATTGCCTAGGTTTCCTTCTGGGGTTTTTATGGTTTTAGGTCTAACATGTAAGTCTTTAATCCATCTTGAATTAATTTTTTTATAAGGTGTAAGGACGGGATCCAGTTTCAGCTTTCTACATATGGCTAGCCAGTTTTCCCAGCACCATTTATTAAATAGGGAATCCTTTCCCCATTGCTTGTTTTTGTCAGGTTTGTGAAAGATCAGATGGTTGTAGGTGTGTGGTATTATTTCTGAGGGCTCTGTTCTGTTCCATTGGTCTATATCTCTGTTTTGGTACCAGTACCATGCTGTTTTGGTTACTGTAGCCTTGTAGTATAGTTTGAATTCAGGTAGGGTGATGCCTCCAGCTTTGTTCTTTTGGCTTAGGATTGACTTGGCGATGCGGGCTCTTTTTTGGTTCCATATGAACTTTAAAGTAGTTTTTTCCAATTCTGTGAAGAAAGTCATTGGTAGCTTGATGGGGATGGCATTGAATCTATAAATTACCTTGGGCAGTATGGCCATTTTCACGATATTGATCTTCCTATCCATGAGCATGGAATGTTCTTCCATTTGTTTGTGTCCTCCTTTATTTCACTGAGCAGTGGTTTGTAGTTCTCCTTGAAGAGGTCCTTCACATCCCTTGTAAGTTGGATTCCTAGGTATTTTATTCTCTTTGAAGCAATTGTGAATGGGAGTTCACTCATGATTTGGCTCTCTGTTTCTCTGTTATTGGTGCATAAGAATGCTTGTGATTTTTGCACATTGATTTTGTATCCTGAGACCTTGCTGAAGTTGCTTATCAGCTTAAGGAGATTTTGGGCTGAGACAATGGGGTTTTCTAGATATGCAATCATGTCATCTGCAAACAGGGACAATTTGACTTCCTCTTTTCTAATTGAATACCCTTTATTTCTTTCTCCTGCCTGATTGCCCTGGCCAGAATTTCCAACACTATTTTGAATAAGAGTGGTGAGAGAGGGCATCCCTGTCTTGTGCCAGTTTTCAAAGGGAATGCTTCCAGTTTTTGCCCATTCAGTATGATATTGGCTGTGGGTTTGTCATAAATAGCTCTTATTATTTTGAGATACGTCCCATCAACACCTAATTTATTGCGAGTTTTTAGCATGAATGGCTGTTGAATTTTGTCAAAGGCCTTTTCTGCATCTATTGAGATAATCATGTGGTTTTTGTCTTTGGTTATGTTTATATGCTGGATTACGTTTATTGATTTGCGTATGTTGAACCAGCCTTGCATCCCAGGGATGAAGCCCACTTGATCATGGTGGATAAGCTTTTTGATGTGCTGCTGGATTCGGTTTGCCAGTATTTTATTGAGGATTTTTGCATCGATGTTCATCAGGGATATTGGTCTGAAATTCTCTTTTTTCGTTGTGTCTTTTGCAGGCTTTGGTATCAGGATGATGCTGGCCTCATAAAATGAGTTAGGGAGGATTCCCGCTTTTTCTATTGATTGGAATAGTTTCAGAAGGAATGGTACCAGCTCCTCCTTGTACCTCTGGTAGAATTTGGCTGTGAATCCTTCTGGCCCCGGACTTTTTTTGGTTGGTAAGCTATTAATTATTGCCTCAATTTCAGAGCCTGTTATTGGTCTATTCAGAGATTCAACTTCTTCCTGGTTTAGTCTTGGGAGGGTGTATGTGTCGAGGAATTTATCCATTTCTTCTAGATTTTCTAGTTTATTTGCATAGAGGTGTTTATATTATTCTCGGATGGTAGTTTGTATTTCTGTGGGATCGGTGGTGATATCCCCTTTATCATTTTTTATTGTGTCTATTTGATTCTTCTCTCTTTTCTTCTTTATTAGTCTTGCTAGTGGTCTATCAATTTTGTTGATCTTTCAAAAAACCGGCTTCTGGATTCATTGATTTTTTGAAGGGTTTTTTGTGTCCCTATTGCCTTCAGTTCTCAGATACATGATTTACAAAATTTTTTTATTCATTCTATGGGATACATTTTTTTAAATTTCTTTGAATACTTTTTCTGCCCCGTCCACATCCTCTTTGTGGGACACTGAATGAGACAAATGTTAAATCTTTTATTATAGCTCCACGAGTACCTGAGGTGGCTCTGTTTTTTTTTTTTCCCGTCTGTTTTCTCTCTGTTGCTCAGTTTGGGTAATTCCTATTGTTTTATTTTCAGGATAACTGGTGATTTCCCCTTTCCTTTCCAGTCTCCTCTTGAACCATTCACGCAACATTTTAATTTTGGCTATTGTATACTTCAGTTAAAATTTCCATTTGACTGTTTTTTATATCTCCTGTTTCTTTACCAAGGTTTTCTATTTGTTGAGACTTTCTTTCTTTTTTTTTTAATGGCTTCAAGAGTGCTTATAATTGCTTGCTGAAGCATTTTTATGGTAGCTGCTTTAAAATCCTTGTTGTAGGGTGGGCATGGTGGCTCATGTCTGTAATCTCAGCACTTTGCAAGGTGGAGGCAGGAGAATTGCTTGAGCCTGGGAATTTGAGACCAGCCTCAGCAACAAAGTGAGACCTCACCTCTACAAAAAATAAATTCTAAAATTGAAATAAATAAATAAATACTCCTATCTGTTCTAACTATATATTTGCATGAAACCACATTATTTTCATGTTGTAACAGATTGATTGCAAAATTAAATATAGAACCCAGATATCTTTTCCAAAGCTAGACATTAAATATGTTTGCAAAATTATGAAGCAATGACATTCTTCTCACTATTTTAAGTATTTTTTCAATAACAATGTTATTTGTATAATATGGATGTTATGCAATGTAACATGGGCATGTAATGAAAGTATTATTTTAAATGACAATTATTTTAAGAATTCCTCAGTATTAATTTCTATTAAGTATACATATATAAAAATAAAACTCACATAGATAAAAGGTCTTTGGGCTCTTTAACATTTTTGAGCTTTTAAGGTGTTAATGAGACAGAAACTTTTGTGAACTGCTAGTAAATGAATTCTTGGAATTGATACCATTTATTATGACTGAATGCCGAACTCAAAATTTATATCCAAGCTCAAAACAATCTGTGGAAGTCTATGTGAATGTTTTCATGACACATAATAAAAATATCAAGTTTTCAGAGAAGATAAAAAAATACAATGACAGTGCTCAGGAATGGAATAAATGTGGCATAGATAGCAAGAAAAGTGATTTAAAAACACCACCTCTGTTTAAATCAAGTGAGTAGGTACACATTAAAATGATAATAAATGGTAAGCTTCATCTGTTACACTATTAAAAAAATGTTGACTGTATAGCACTGCAAACTTTAGTCAATGAGAAAAGGCAATAAAACATAAATTTTATTTCATTTTTCTTTTACAAATGAAAAGGTGTTAAGAACTGAAGTTTTCAACTTTTCATACCTTAATACTCTTTGGCAGTTACTCTTGCACTTTAATTGGCAAATGAACAATACTAAGATTTATTAACCTCAAATTCTTAAAGAGTTTTGGTTTAGAAGGATGAAGCTAGATACATTTCTGCATTTTAAAATGCAAACCTCAATTTTTTTTTAATTAGGCTTGAACTATTTCAAAGGAAAAGAGGGTAAAAAAAGATATTGAAAAATAGTTTTTGGTTTCCTCTGGTTTTTCTTTTTCTTTCTTTTTTAAAAATATGTTTACAATAATTCAATTTTGCAGTGAAAATGCCGATGGCTATGGACAGAGTGGCTCAGTATTGACCTTTTCTAAGTTATTATCTATATTTCTTACAATTATCTGAACAGAAAGACTCTAACCTTCTTTGGACATGCACTTCAGCCAGTATAATCCTCAGTACAGCAGTAACACAGGCTGTCCTTTGAATACAGAGCAGTTGACTTTGTTGCAGATCACTTATTTCCCTTCTGGATCAAGAGCACTATGGTACCTTGGACACTTCACAGTGTAGTTCTTCACAAAGCACGACTGGCGTATGGACTCGTCCTTGACTGTCACTTGCTGTTTCCCAGCCATAACAGAGCCACTATTAAAGCTGCAGCAGTGTTTCCCACACTAGACTTGGTATTTTGCCTGGATATACTAATCTGCCTGCATATCACCATATCACACTTTGCAGCCAGTCCTATGGGGTTTCTCATGGCCACAATATACTTTACCATTCCATACATTTTCACTATTTCAGAATAAATAACAATGAAGATTTCCTAGCAGTTGTTATAAATGAAACAAACTTGGTGCCACAATTTGTTATGCCCCACCGCCTCAGCATGGATTACAACATGGCCTTTCTTTACACTCTCTTTTTGGCAAATTCAGGGCTACTGACTTATTCTGAGATTTGTGAATTTATTCTCCTTGTCCTCACTGCAGTGAGTTTATATATATATATATATATATATATATATATATATATATATATATATATATATATATAAAATCTACATGAAAAGTTCAGAAACTTATTCCAAGATATATTTATGAGAAGAGTTTTAATTTAGAGGGTAAAAGTGAAACTGCCAGAAAGAAAACACAGACATGGGCACAAATAAACACAGACTGGTTGCAGAGAAAGAGGTATCTGTGTTTCTCCAATTGGGAATGAACAAAACTAATATGCAAACACAAAGATGCAAAAGATGGAAAGCTTTTGTGAGATGTGCTGTGACTTACAACGTCTGTGTTTCATCAAGTTAGGATGCAACAGAAAGGATCCAATAGAAAGATATTTTCAGTTATTGAAAGACTCAGTACACTCCTATCAACTTCTTAAAATAATGACAGGAGCAAACAACACTCACGGATATAGGGAAAATGCAAATATAGTTATCGATGTACACGTAGGCATAACTATAGATAAAGATATGTACAACAGCTACCTGGGAGATGAAAAGCTTAATGCTAGGCAGTAGTTTTTTGAAAAAGCTGATACCGTAAAAGACAAAGAATAGAAAATAAGAATTTCATTTTTTATCAAAATTTACCAAATTAAAAGACATTAAAACATTTTTGTTAAAAGGCAAAGGTTTTTAGCATCAAATAACAATATCCAGATATTTGTATGTTTATGAAGAAACATTCCTGAAATAAAATGCTACAGAAGGTAAACACGAAACATACCTTAGTAATGTTAAGATGTTATTAGAAGAAACTGGGTTTGGGGTATGTGGCAACTCTCTGTACACTCCTTGCAATTTTTCTGTATATCTAAAACTGTTCTAAAATTAAAAGTTTATTAATAAAACGCAATTCTACCTGACATACTGCTTTGCAACTTGCTGTTGTTTTGAATAAAAATGCGCTGCGGAATGTTTTCCACGTTAACACATTGATTTATTTCCTTATTTGTAATACTTACAGAGTAATTCATTTTGTGATAGAGCAAGATTTATTAAACAAGCCTTTTTTGAATTTTATAGAATCTGAAACAATGCTGTGATAAAATATCTTGCACAAGCTGTTTTCTGCTCTGGTAGTTTGGAAGGATATTCATCAAAATGTCAGCAGTCGTTATGATGGAAAAGTGAATGTATTCTTCGTTTTTATGTGTGTAATTTTATGTAGTTTCTCAGGTTTTGCTTTTAAAATGTATTATTTCTATAATCGGAAGCACTATGATCTATGTTTTTCTTAGTCCTATATAAATATGACTTATTTTGTTTATGAAGTGAAATATATTAATAAAATAATTTTTATTAATATATTTCAGGGGAAAGGTTTTAATTTTGAGGGTAAAAATGGAACTGCCAGAAAGAAAACAGAGACACACACAGACATAGGCACACATAAACACAGACTGCTTGCAAAGAAAGAGGCATCAGTCTTTCTCATTGCATTTGATGTGATGTGCAATGAATCTTATGTAGGACTAAAGTATTTAGGCCTTGCAATGTGCAATGTTTTGTAGGACATTGCACATTGCGAGGATAGTACAAAGGGTTCCCATATATCCCAAACCCAGTTTCTTCTTCTAATAACATCTTACATTACTAAGATATGTTTTATGTTTTCTTTCTGTGGCATTTTGTTTGAGGAATGCTTCTTGGTAAACATTTTATCTTAAAGGTAAAATAGGCAAGTACTTTGGTCCCATATAACATTGCACATTGCATCAAATGTATTTGTTACAATGATTGGAAGATGATCTAAACTTGGGAATCACTACTGGTTTTCTGCTTTAGCTTTGCGTTTCCATGTAGTGCAAGCTGGCAAATAATAAACAACTGGGAGGAGGAGCCAAATAACATATTTCAAAGGGTCAATTTAATACATATTTTATGGAAGTTTTCTTTCAATTGCTAAAAATCCTTGATTAAATTTGATGACATCTTAAGTCACTTATATAAAACATTTATAAAATCCTTCAAGCTGATCATAAAGATCAAATTTAATCACATCAATAGCAGCACATTCAGCTATTTAAATATCCTATATGTAATGTGTAGCTTTAAATACTGTTATTAAGTTGGAATAAATATGAAATAACTTAGTATTCTATAAAAAATTCGGAGTGAGTAAAATAAATTTAATGAAATCACATCGAAATAATTAAAAATACTAATAAAATGCTGGGAAATAAGTAAATGAAAATGCTGGTTCTTGAAAATGTCCTTGCATTGCACAATCCTTTGGTGAGGACAATTAAGACAAAAAGATAGTGAATACAAATTCAAGCACTAAACAAAGAATATTACCAAACTATGGAGCATCTCTCATGGTTAATGAATACTAATGAGAATATCTTGGTAAATTTGATAAGTTTTAAAGATAGCTTAAATTACCAAAATAGGCTGAAAAAGTAAAAAGTGATTTGAGTGGAAGTTCTATGTTTCAAATTTGAGCAGGCTGCCTGTAAAAAGCTGGGCTTAGAGAGTCTAATATGTGGCTTTTCACAGGTTTCATCTGCTCTGTACTACATAGCAGGCATTTTAGATTGTAAAAGTGGAATACTTGCCTTTTTTCTTTCTTTGCCATTAAAGTAACATAGCACTAATTTCCAAGATGAAAAAGACATTGTTATGCATTGAGTTGTTTCTCCAAAAACAGGTGTTGAAGTTCTAGTCCCCAGTACCTCAGAATGCAATTTATTTGGATATAAAGTAATTGCAGATAAAATTAATTAAATTAAGAGAATGTCATACTGCAGTAGGTTAGTGCCTTAGTCCAATGTAACGTGTGTCTTTAGAATAAAAGGAAAATGTTGGGAGGCCAAGGTGAGTGGATCACTTGAGGTCAGGAGTTCGAGACCAGCCTGGCCAACATGGTGAGACCCCGTCTCTAGTAAAAATACAAAAAATTAGCCTGGCGTGATGGCGGGTACCTGTAATCCCAGCTACTTGGGAGGTTGAGACAGGAGGATCGCTCGAACCCGGGAGGCGGAAGTTTCAGTGAGCCGAGATCGCACCACTGCACTCTAGCCTGGGCACACAGCAAGACTCCATCTCAAAAAAAAAAAAAAAAAAAAAAAAAAAAAAAAAGAAGAAGAATAAAAGGAAAAGGAAAATGATGTGAAGACAGATACACGGGGGAATGTCTTGTGAAGATGGTGGAAGATATTGGAGTTATGTAGCCACAAACCAAGGAATGCCAAAGATTGCTGATGATGCTGGAGGCTAAGAGAAAGGCATCCCCCACAGCCTTGAGAGACCACGGTCCTGCAACACCTCAGTTTCAAACTTCCAGCCTTCAGAACTGTGCGACAATGAACTTCTGTTGTTTTAAGACACTCAGTTAGTGGTACTTTGTTATGGTGTTCCAGGAAACTAATACTGACATCATTAAGAAGAAAATTTTGAACCAATTTTGTGTATCAATATAATTCCAAAAATAAAACTGATAAATCTATCAGTGTATTAAAAGGATAATAACATATACAAGTATTGTGCCCACAGAAATATAAATTTAATATTAGTAAATGTATTCGTATAATTTTTCACAGCCATGGATCAGGGAAAAATGTCTGCTTCATTCACTAAAGCTGAGAAGGGCTAAGCCTCAGAGTCTGCTGTCAACATCCTCAGTGCCACCGTCTTGCAGGGATGGGGTCAGGGAGCAATCCAACAGTTGTTCCCATAGTTCCCAACTCCTTATAGATGTCCACCTGCAAGGCTTGGCATTCTGAGAAGACTGAAGATTCAGCAAAAGTACAAGAAATTACTATGGAGGGAAAAAGAGGGTCTAAATCTCACAGGAATCCCAAATCACAGATTAATAATACTTAGAACATCTGAAATAGTAGCTGAAAAGGAAAGACTCAGGAAGCAACTTAGAAAAATTGTCCAGCCTTTGCTAGAGAACAATGCAGTATTACCTAATGTTGGTCAGAAGAACACTTCACCATTGAGCAGCTTCAGCCAGAAGAGCAATGTAGCAAAATGGGTAAACTCCATTACCATTCAAAAAACAAAAAATGAAAGAAACATCAAGTCGCAAAGCACGAGCAAAATGTGAATAAGTAGAAGCTAAGCATGCTGCTAAGAAACAAGAACGTGAGAGGATAAAATGAAAGAGAAAAGCTCAAAGGCTCCTAAGCAAAGAAAATGCAAGTGTTCCAAATATTGAGCAAAAAGACAAGAAAGGGCCAACCAAACTTGAACTTATACATGGAGTATCTTCTTCATAAAATACATAAAAATAAATCAGAAATTTTGCTCTTAAAGGATTAAAATATCTGCTCTCTATTGAATTATTTTGTATAAGTAATGTGCCTCCTAACAATTAACTAAACTTGTCAACATAAACTATATTGCTTAGCTATATTAAATATAAAATGTCCAAATATTTTTGCTTTTGTGAAAGAAAATTTTTTCTTTTTATTACAGAGTCTCACACTGTTGCACAGGCTAGACTGCAGTGGCATGATCATAGCTCACTGCATCCTCGAGCTCTGAGACTCAAGGGGGATCCTCCTACCCTAGCCTCCTGAGTACTTAGGACTACAGGCTGGTGCCACCATACCAGCTGGCTATTTTTTAAATTTTATTTTTTTGTAGAGACAGGGTCTCACTTTGTTGCTCAGACTGGTCTCTAACTCCTGGCCTCAAGCAATTTTTCCACCTTGGAGTCCCCAAGTTTTGGGATTACAGGCGTGAGCCCAGCACCCAGCCAGAAAATTTTCTACATAGGCTTTATATAATATGATTTTTCTGTTATTTATTTGCTTAAGGAAGCCTTGCCTGAAGAACTAAAAGAACCTTCTTCTAGTTGAGAGACAAGCTCAAGTACATAACACTTTTGTATTATAGAAAATTCAAATGAAATGAAATGTTTTGAAAATCAGGTTGCAGAGCTTTCAATAAAGAATTTTAATGAATTTTTTTCAGTACAGTAATCAGCTGTTATGCTTTTAAAATTCATTTTAATGACAGGGAAGGCAAAGACTCCCATGTTAGTTTATTTATTTTGAATTAGGTATATGTTGCAGGGAAATATGGACTTTCCAGAAACCTGAGAGCAGAATACCTAGATGCTGAAACTCCCTTCAGCTCCTCATATAATGATGTAGTGGTGTTCATATAGCAGGGTTTGGCAGAGTCAGATTGGAAGTTCACAGCTTGTTAGCCTAAGCACATAGCTTGTTAGTGTTGAAATATATGAGTTAACAAAAATATATTGTGTAGAATTTACATAGGATGGCCTGTGCTCATGTGGGTATATGTGGGTGTGTATATGAACTGAGAGTAAACAAAGTAACACTGAGAGAAATAAAATAAGTCATAAAAATGAGAGACTTCTCTAAAACATTTAATTTGTAATTACAAAACAATTCGATGTTTTACATGTGCATGCACCCTGGATCAGTAATAGATCAGAGACAGTAAAAAGGACAAAATATGTAATTTGCGCCTCTCCCTCCTCCCCACTTTTTTTTTTTTTCTGCAGAGAGGTCTTATTATATCTGATTCCTGATTCCACACATGCTCACATGAAAAGTGCGGTCAAGTAATGAGGCTACATGGCAATCTGGTTTAACACTTAACACTTAACGCCCAATGCTTGTTTGGGTTTAGACTCTGCACTACGTACCTTACAAATATCATTGGTTTAATCTTCACAAAAACCCATTTTAAAGATGTAAAAGCTGAAAGCACAGCGTTGTCGTCCACAAAGTTATCCAATTAGAGAGTGTTTTTTTTTTTAATACAAAGCGCTCACAAATTTTGAAAGAAATAGTAATAAAAAATTACCTTTTTAAAGTATCTGTAGGAAGATGTATCTAGCACAGAAATATTTTGGGGTGTGTGTGCCAGTTCTCAATTTGTTGACTTTCAGCTCCAGAAATACCTTCATACCCTTACTCTGTAAAAAAGGACAGACATACTTTTAGTGTTTCTCCTTTACAGTGAGAACAATATTAAGCTTTCTTAGGAGAAGGCGCTGGAGGAAATTTGCAGGAGGAAGAAGCTTCTCTTGCTGGTACCAACAACAGTACACTTGGTCTGCAGTGTGGGTGGGAAGGTGTCTGGAGTGGCTGTGCCCCAGGTTGCGATCCCTTAGTGACCTTGAAGTCCTCATCCAGACTGGTGGGCATCTTCCTATAACCCTCAACATACATGCTATACCTAATACCCCCACTTTCTCTGGACATGTGTGCATTCAGCCATGAGCTGAGGCTCACCCAAACCTTGGAAGCTTACGCTCTGCCTCACCAGCTATTGCAGACCAGCTCAGTCTTGGGCAAAGCAGTGACCCTTGGTGTCTTCCCGTGGGTTGCAACTGTACCTTCACAAGGAAGTCTGATCCTTAACAATAGGAAGAGGGACTCTTTTCAAGATGTTTCTTCCTTGGGTATCCTTCCTCAGCCGTTGCATATTATATAGAATTCTATTGTATTTCATAATTACTGTTTTATTATAGTGTAATAATTCTTTACATTTAATGTTCTTTGTTTAAATCATTATGTGGTTTCGCTACACTGATAAAACCCAGACTGATACTTGTGGATGCCTTGTTTTTGATATAACATTCAATGGACTCTCTGATAACCACTGGGCTGCTTCACCTTCACCACAGGCTTTTAATGTTATATACAAAAGTGACCACAAAGAACACAAATTATTCCAAGTTATGTTTTAGCTTAACTCTTGAGGTTTATTTTCTTCTCTCCCCTGAATTGTTCAATCAGCTCTAATTCCATACCTTTCCCAGATATTAGGAATCTCAATATCAATTTCCTAATATTTCTAACCCTGTATATTGTGTTCAGGATCCCTGGGGGAGACACAAAGCTGTCCAGTGAGGGCTCTTGTAGGAGTAGGGCTTCTACTACTTTCTGGCAGGGTGGCATTTCAGTATTTTCATAACCTATTTGAATAGGTCATAACATTTTAGAATGTTGAATATAAGCCCTGATTATTATCCGTACTGTCCCTGTGGGGAAATACGTGAATTTTGAATAAGCAGCAGGAAAGAAACTAAGGTTTAAATTTGTTCAGATACACCTCCAATAAGTCGTCAAAGATATACCAGAGAGCCTAATGAGCAGCAAATTAATGAAAATAAAACAACTGTCCAGATGAACAAAATCTTTTGTTACTGCCATTTTTAATTACAAGACATTGATATTTTCTAAAATTTAATCTTTATACATTTTCTGAAAAACCAACATGTTTTCCAGTATAAGATTATTAACTATCTTACAAGAACACAGCAAACCCTGACCTATACAACTATGTCCTTCATTTATTCTTCAGTAATCCATGAACAGCAAGTGCTTAGCAAATAGAACTCAGGCATCTTAAGAGAAGGGAAAACTATTTTCTTATATAAGCTATAGATGTATTTCTGTTGCCTATTAGAAGAAAACTGGTTCTTAGGAAAGTCATCGATGATTTGCCACAATTAATTCCAAAATTTCCTTGTTGAAAGCAGGAAAGTAGAAAATAATTGATTGTATTAACAAGAATAAGAATCACAATCATCCATTTTTATATCAAATCAAATTATGAAAGTCAGAAAGCTGACTCATAGGAAGAAACTCATCAATGACACACACCTCTCTAGCCAAGGAAAACATCCATTTCATTTCTTTCAATATTCCTATATTGCCATTTGATGAAACTGAAGATTCTTGTCAGTTAAAAAAAAAAAAAAAAGCAAACATTCGATTTGTGAGGTTTTCACTATGTACTTCAGTTGAGGTGAGCTAAAGACCACTTTGTTACTAACATAAAGCTAACAATAAATCATTTACCCGGAAATAAGGTGTGCATTTCAAATAACATCATCATATACATTGTTTCACAAATCAAGGTTCTTAGTAGTAGATGTAAATGTCAGCAGGCAGCCAGCAATGGGCGTGTTTTCGAAATAGCTGATTACTTTTAATGCCCTGCACTGTTAACTCATACACACTATTTCCTGGAATTGTGTAAATGTTATCTATTTATTTGTTGTCTTGTGACTGTGGTTTTGTGAGGGGTCATCCCATGTTGTTCCCTGAAATTCTTAGAGCTATCAGTCTCACCACATTACAGAGATAAAACATTTCTGTTACTTCTTATCCTACTGCTTTATCCAAGTGTATTACCAAAGGGTGATGTGCTCCATTTCTGACCGTATCCACTTCTATCAGCCATTAACCACAGGTAAGTGGTTAGATTCTTACAGTAATCCCATTTACTCACTTTATAGATTTTTAGGTCCCTGCAAACATCAAAAAGTTTCCTGTATAACAATAATTGTAGGGTCTATAGAGGCAAAGCTTTTTAGTTATTAATGACTTCACAGAGTCATCAGTTTCCTTAACTTTTTAGGGTGCTCCTACTTTAAGGGTAAGTAGTTTTGACATTCACAGTGGCTTGATTCACAGACAGAATAAATGTCTGACTTCATATGAGTCAGAAACTCTGACCACCCATTTTTATGCATATAACCATTTATTTACCATGACATCACTGCTGGACAAGGACATTGGAAATATGATCCCCTTTAAGAATGTGGGCATTATAGTGCTTTGCGATAAAGCAAACTGGGGTTTTAATCCAAGCTCTCCCATTTTCTACCCATGTGAGTCTCATCTTCTTTGAACCTCATCTTTAAAGTAAAGAAAATGGCACCACTCTTGCAGAGCTCTTTTGAAAGTTAAATCATGTGGCATGTAAAATATATGTTCCTTGCAGCAGTGACAAGAAATTAGGCCAAGTCTATGGGCATGAGGAACAATGTCTCTGTCTGATCCCTGTAGCAGCTAAAACTTAGTCTGTCACCACAAGCCTGTCCTACACTGGCTAATAAAAATTACTTAGCATATTATAATATTTACTTAGCATATTATAATAATTCCTGTATAATATAATAATAATTATAATAATTACTATAACATTATTAGGAAGAATAGAGATAGGATATTGAGTTCCTAATATGGGCCACACATTGTCCAAGCCCTTTTCTATTAAGTGTGCACTTGGAATGAACTTCCATGACTTTGCTGTATAGCAGCAGTGTTGATAGCTGATATAATTTACTGTCAAGTGAATCTAAGCTGCTTGTGAAGAAGACCTACAATCATTTCTCATATTCTCAGGGGACTGGTTCCAGGACTTCCCACAGATACCAAGATCCGTGGATGCTCAAGTCCCTTATATTAAAATGGTCTAGTTTTTGCATACAACCTATGCACATTCTCTCCTATACTTTAAATAATCTCTAGATTATTTATGGTACCTACTAAAATGTAAATGCTATGTAACTAGTTGTTACACTATATTTTTATTTGTAGTTTAATTATTTTGTTATTTCTGTTTATTGTTTTTCAAATATTTTCAATTTGCAGTTGGTTGCATCATGGATCCAGAATCTGCAGATACAGAGGCCAACTGTCCTTTTCATTTCCCTATGTTCTTCAGCTTACCTTCACATGGTAGATGCCCAGGAAAGACCCTGAAACTTATGAAAGGTAGCAAGATTTCAAGCTATGTTCTCCTCTCCTCTAGAGCACCTTGTAAATACAGAAGACAGGTGTGATGCAAACAGACATGACAATGTCAGGGGTGTTGATAGCCACAGGTAAAGTGAGAGTGAACCCCAATGACACTACTGTCTCCTCATATTTGGGGAACTTCTTCATTTTCCACTCATCTTTTTTGCCCTTGACTATCACATTTATGTAATAGGCATATATTCAAATACAACGAGTATTATGCTGTGTCAGTTAAAGCAGAATGGTTTAATTTGGGATGAGAATAAATCTAAATAACTATACATTTTTCAGTTAGGCATAGGAAGGTATACAGATGTGCATTTTTTTTCATACTGAAATGTGTCTCCTTGTTTCTAATAAAAAAGAGATAATTCTAAGAAGGTGAAACCCTTTTCATTGTATGATTTTTACTGTTATTATTTTTTAAAAATCATGATTTAGTTTTTTAATAGTTTTATATGTGCTTATTAAAAGGTGAAAGAATAAACGTCGATGGCTCCAGAGAGACTTAGAAGTGAGCTGAAGGGAATCCTCTCCCATTACAAATAATAAAATGTTGAATAAAATGTAAAAACAAATACTTAAAATATATAGCTGAGTTGTAAAGCAAAAACAAAACAAAACAAAACCAGAAAAACACAAAACTTTGAGTGCTGGAAATGTATAAGACCCTGATCCAGAACAGGAGGCTGGAGCTAATGATGTAATCCCAGAAAGTGAAAATAAGAGGAAACAGGAATGGAAGCAAACCCTAAAAGTTTGGAGCAAAGGTTCTGACCCCCAGAGGGGTCTTTGACCTAATAAGTGTAGGAACTGAATCCAAGAACTCTAAATAAAGTTGCATAGCTAAGACTTTGAGGTGGTGCCTATTCTGTGAAAATAAAACTAGAAAAATACCTTCCAACTAGCCTGGAGAAGCTGAAAAGAGAGTTTGCATTCTGCCTGAGGTACAGGCTCACATTGAGGACAGGGGTGCCTTTAAAATAGAAAATTTCAAAAAATGGGGCACGTATAAGTGGCTTTGAAATTCGTATCATGTTCGCGGTATAGGAAATCAAACTGAAAGAAGAAACATGAAAAATTGATCCCTTCTGAAAGCTATGAGGTCTGGTAGTAGAAACAAACAGAAAACTGTGCTATAAGACATACTCCTCAAATTCAGGACACATGAGATTCTCATCTGGAAAAAAAATTTCACAAAATATGAGGTCAACATGGAAAAATAAGGACATGACAAAATGAATCACCATGAAAGTGTGTAGAAGATGCACAAACATGAAGAATTTGCGATTCATGTGCTAGAGAATAAAATCTTAAATAGACTATAATTCAGAATCTTAAGAATATTAATAGCTTAAAAATACCATAAAATAAAATATAGGTCCACTTAAGAAAGAAACTTAGTATTTCCTCAGCATTCTTAGATTGTGACAGAGAACGTTTTGCTAAACATAGCCTCATAATTCAAAATTATAAAATAATCCAGCAAGCATGAGTCAGCAGAAACTAAAAATATTACAATTTGAACTCTTAAGAACTTTAGATAATGTAAGTTCTTATGGATTATAAAAGACATTTTATGTTTTTAAATGTAATAGAAGGTAGAACATAAAATATGAGAAGACAACAAAATACAATTAAAAAGAAGACCAATGCAATGACCAGATTAAATGTTTGAATTGTGTCACCCAAAAGATAGGAGTAAATTTGACATAGCTCAATAAATCAATAAAATGACTAGCTTTCAGCATAAATACTTAAAATAAAAGTGAAACGTATTGGAAGTAAAAGGAACACTGAAAACATAAGGAATGCAGAGCTAAAGTAGTGCTTATTGGTAAATTTATAGCTGTAAACATCTACATTAAAAAGAAGAAGGCTTAAAATCAATAACCAAACCTTTCGCCATTAGCTAGAAAAATAAGAGCAAATTAAAACTGAAGCTAAGAGAAGGAAGACAATACTATTGACTAGAAGAGACATAAGTGAAATCGAGATTAAGACACAATAGGGAAAGTAAATAAACCAACAACTCAACAACATTGATAGATCTTAGGTAGCCTGACAAAGAAAAACAAAAAGATGCTTAAATTACTAAAATCAGGAATAAAATGAATATCACAACAGAACTTACATATAAAAAAAATTTATATTAGTTGAGTGTGGTGACATACTCCTGTAGTCCCAACTACTTGGGAGCCTGGGAGGCTGAGGTGGTAGGATTACTTGAGTCCAGGAGATGGAGGGAGCAGTGAGCTATAGTCATGCAACTACACTCCAGCCTGGGTGAGTTAGACTGTTTCAAATTTTTTAAAAAACTGGAAAAAAAAATAACATAAACAATTGTATACCAACAAATCTAATAAAATAGGCAAAATGAACGAATGCCTAGAAGGACGTAAGCTACCAAAACTGATCTCCCCCCAGATATTAAATTTAAACAGATCTATAGCATATATAGACATTTAATTGGTTATCAGAAATATAAAAATTCATGCTGGATTTTTTTTTTTTCAGAAGTTGGCAGATTCTAAAATCCACATGGAAAAACAAAGGATCCAGAAGAACAAACAAAAAACACTGATAAAGAAGAACAAAACTGGAAGTCTTATACATCCTGCTTTTCAACTTCACTGCAAAGCTACAGTAATGAAGGCAGCCTGCTACTGGCATAAGAAGAGACACATAGATCAATGAAGTAAAATTGACAGCTCAGAAATGAACCCTTACATGTATAGTTAATTGATTTTCAACAAGAATGCTTAGACTATTAAATGAAGTAAAATGGTCTTTTCTTCAACAAATAATGCCAGGACAACTGAATATTCATGCTAAAGAATCAAGTTGGATCCTTATCTCTCACTGTTACCAAAATCAACTCAAAATGAATAATAAACCCATGTGTAGGAACTGATACTCTTGGAATAAAACTTTGAAGTAATGTTTGTGATTTTGAGTTAGTTTTCTTAGATATGACACTAAAATCAGGATATAAATTGTACTTCATCAAAACTTAAAACTTTTATGCTTCAAAGAACACCAGCAAGAAAGTCAAAAGGTAACTCACAGAATGTCAGAAAATATGTGCAAATGACATATCTAATAAGGGACTGAAATCCAAAATGCATAAAGAACTATCACAACTCAGTTACAAAAAGACAACCCAATTTTTAAAATGAGCAAAAGATTTGAATGATCATTTCTTCAAGGAGATATACAATTCAACAATAAGTACTGAAAAGTTGCTCAAGTCAATTAGTCATTAGGTAGATGCAAATCTATGCCACAAACAGCGCTTTCTACTTGCTAGGATGACTACAATGAAAAGACAGTAACAAGTCTTGGCAAAGATGTGGAGAAATTGGATCAGCACATTGCTGACGGGATTGTAAAACAGGGCCATGACTTTGGAAAACAGTTTAACAATTCCTCCAAATATTAAACATGTAGTTATCTTTATAACCCAGCAATTGCACTTCAATATGTATGTGCCCAAGAGAAAGGAAAACATATGTCTACACAAAAGCTTGTACAAGAATGTTCATAGCAGCAGTATTCATACTAGTCAAGAAAGTATAAAGAAATCAAAATGTGGTATATCCATACATAGGAAGTTATATAGCAATAAAATGGAATGAAGTGTTAATATTTGCTATAACACAGACGAACTTGGAAAACATTACACTAAATAACTGAAGCTAGTGATGAAAGGCCAGATACTACATGATCTCATTTATATAAAATATTCAGAATAGGCAAATCCATAAAGACAGAAAGAAAGATTAGTATTTGCTAAGGGCTGGGAGTTGGAGTAGGGAGAATGATGAGTGATTGCTAGTGTATATAGGTTTTTTTGGTGTAGTGGTAATAAAAATGTCCTCTATTGGATACTGGTAATAATTGCATAACACTAAATATTCTAAAAAGCACTAAATTGGTTTTCAGAGGGCATAAAGGGGAGGCAGAAGCAGAGGAAGAGAGAGACAGAGAGAATGAAGGAGAGGGAAGGGATGGACCTTAAAAAAATACAGAGAGAAATGACAGGACATCTAAAACTAATGACAACTAGAATGACAGCTGACTTCACATCAGCAGGAATAAAAAAATCACCTATGAAAAAAATATATATGTATATGTATATGATAGAGATGCTACTGTAAAAAATAAAATAGGGAAAGGATGGATTGTTTTTTAAAAATTACTGTTCCATTACCTAGCTATATACGTGATTTGAAACTTAAAACTAGATCCCTGCTCACAACATAGAGAACGTTTAAAGACTAAAATTTGAAAAGCAAATTTTTAAAATTTAAAATTGTAACATATATTATATATAATTAAAATGTTATTTTCCATATAAACTTTATATACATTATATGTTGTGTGTGTGCATATAAAATCATGAAGCGAATATGTAAAAAATAAAACATCTGGGTAATAAGTACCTGATTGCCTCATTGTTCTCTGTACTTTTACTGTGTTTGAAATCTTTTCTAATTCAAAATAAATATGTAAAACCTTCTTTTGAACATCAAAAAAATGAAAAATGTCACATGCTTCTGGTATTATTAACAATTAATGAAGCATAGGTTGCCCTTTCAATAAGTTTAGCATACATTTAAGGAAGATTTTTTTGTTTTTGTTTTATTCCCCAGGTCCGAAAAGTTAGTTTACAAATTAAATGAATTGATTCAAAGTAAGTTTGTTGTCCTAAGATACGCTTAAAAGACTGGAAACCAATTATCATTAAAATGACAATGTCTAAAATAGCATTTACCTGTTCCTTTACACATATATGATTTCTTTTCAAATTTACCCCTCACTAAATGTGTGGCTAAGGACTTATGAAGATCATCATGTTACATTTTATATCCACTAGAAAATTTACTTCTTTTTAGGATGAATATATGGGCATTATAAAAATGAAATTTGCAATTATAAATAGAAGTTATCACTACTATTTACCAAGTATTATTTATTAGTAATTAAATAACCAATATACTAATACTGAAAGATTTCTAAAAGTTACAGTCCATAGCAACTAGAACAGTAAATAGCATGTAATAATTAGTAACTAATTTTTTATTGGTAAATGAGTAAATGAACACATATGGGAATACTATTTCGTTTCATTTTCAGGATAATCTTTAAAGAAGGTTTTAATCTCTGGGAGATTAATGAAGTTTTTCTAATTTACCCAAGTTCACACTAAGCCATTGTATCTTTTGCAGTTACCTCTTAAACCATCCTCCAATCCAAAGACAAGCGTTCCCTTCCCCAAGCTGCAAGGGTGGCTGTGGATAGGTCAGCAGTAAAATCCCTGATTGGGCTGTTTTTCTAGTGGGTAGAGATACTGGACCTCCAAAGGTTACTGGAATCGGGTTCTCCCATTTATTTCCTGTGAACCTGTGATAGAGGAATTTGGGGA
Organism: Homo sapiens; assembly: GCF_000001405.40. Lineage (NCBI taxonomy): Eukaryota > Metazoa > Chordata > Mammalia > Primates > Hominidae > Homo > Homo sapiens. The sequence goes on from NC_000018.10 coordinate 60,541,208, forward strand.
TTTTCCCTTTGGAGAGAGTATACACTGATTTCTGTATTCTGTTTTCTCAATTAGTGGAAAACAAAACACCAGAGTTTCTATGTTTCCATTTGCTATTGTTTCATGGGATATATCTCCCTCAGGAACTCATGATGTTAAGTTCATGGAGTCAAGTGGGCCCTGTGATTTCAGACAATGACCTCTCTCAAGATTTTTATGAATCTCAAGTTAAGTGTTACTCTGTTAAATGACAGTCAATTGAGTAATGAAACTTTCAGGCATCTTTAATTTCAGAGAATTTTATTAGATTAGGCAATTGTTCTAACTCTTCATATTTTATATCATGTGTAAAGTAAAACTATAAGCCATCAATTTCACTTATTTTGGGTTGTGATTCATCTAATGAGGAAAGAACAAATTTGAGAAACCGTTTAATTTTACTATGCAAAGTTGTTTTAAATATGCAAATAGAAGATCATTTCATACAATGCCAAGGGATATAAATTGGAATTTTTGAAAAATAAAAGATCAGAATCCCTAAAAGCTCAGGAAAATAATTTTGCCATATGTGTTTCATTTTAACCAAAGACAAGGATGGATTGAGCAGCAATGAAGGGCTTTGTATCATTCACCATTCATAAGAAGAGCTCTGTATCATTCACCATTCATAAGAAAAGCTCTACATGATTCACAGGCATCATTATTCTTTCTCTTTGGCAAAGGGAGAAACAAATGCTCACAAAGTCTAAATAGCTTTTTCATATATCAGAGTAATTAAAAGGAAAAATCAAACTAACACAATGTTCTCTTGTGTTGCAAGCTGGAATTCTCATCAAATTGATTCACTTTTTTTAACACCATATTTAAATATTTTTTAATTTTTTTCTTTTATTATACTTTAAGTTTTAGGGTACATGTGCACAACGTGCAGGTTAGTTACATATGTATACATGTGCCATGTTGGTGTGCTGCCTGTGTTATCTCTGACTCCAAGGAACTTATCATAAATTGTCAATTTTATTATCTCTTTCTCCTGCTCAAAACATTCAATGACTCTCTCATTCATTTTAGCATTCAAGTCAAGGCTATCTACAGACTGACCACAACTTATATATTGAGACTAATCTCCCACTAATTGATTTCTGTTTGTTTTCTTGTATATTGTATTCAGTTTTATCTTCCTAAATGGTGTACCCTAGGATACTTTACTGTTTTTTTTTTGCTTCTACTACATTATCAAGAATAACTTAGGACTAGAAATCTTGACTCCTTTCTATTTTAGTTTTATAATTTGCAAAATGAAATTGATATTTGCGTTTCTGACACGTTATTGAAATCAAATGAGGCAATGTGTAGGAAAGTTCTTGAGAAAGAAGAAAGCACTTTTGAACTGTAAATTATAAGTATTGGCTGTCATTCAAATCCTAGTGTAAACCCTCCTTGTTTGAATAGTTTTTCTTGTTCATTTTAGGCCATAGTGATGACAATAACGATTAATACTTTGAGACCAATTACTACAGGCCAGACACATTTCAACTGCTTCACATATTTTCATGTATTTAACCTTCACAACAGTCTTTAGAAGTAGTTTATATTCTCACCCCCAATTTAAAGTTGAAGAAACCGAGTCACAAAGAGGTCAATAACTTCCCTGAGGTCATTGACATATCTGCTAAATGATGGAAGAGTAATTCAAATCCTTGCCATCTGATATGGTTTGGCTGTGTTTCCACCCAAAGCTCATCCTGAATTTAAGCTCTTTTAATTCCCACGTGTTGTAGGAGGGACCCAGTGGGAGGTAATTGAATCCTGGGGGCAGGTGTTTCCCTTGCTGTTCTCGTGATGATGAATAAGTCTCACGAGATCTGATGGTTTTATAAGGTGGAGTTTCTATGCCAAGCTCTTTTTGCCTGCAGCCATCCATGCGAGACGTGACTTGTTCTTCATTGCCTTCCCCCATGATTGTGAGGCCTCCCCACCCATGTGGAACTGTGAGTCCATTAAATCTCTTTCCTGTATAAATTGCCCAGTCTCGGGTATGTCTTTATTAGCAGTGTGAAAACGGACTAATACACCATCTAACTTGAATGCCTTATTCAGAATTGTAATGTCAGTGTAATCTGTGTTACTCTTGCTTGCACTTAAACACATGATATAACTACGAATGCTGCTACTACTATTGTTTATCTCCATAAGTGTATAAATTCTTTGAGAAGAAAATCACACTTCTGTTTATTTTATATAACCTATATGGCAGTATGTAGTATATCTTCATTGATTACTTTATAAATATAACCAAATCAGGGAAAGATCCTATCTGAGGTTGAGTTTCCTGGGAAATGGGTTATAAAACAGAAATGTAAGTGTGGGAAGGTTATGGGAGATCACTTTGGGGAATAAAGTCTGTGAAGGAGTAAAGGAAGGAGAACTGGGTGGAGGGAGAATATTAACTGCAACAAAACTGCATTAACTGGTCACAACAAAAGCCACAGCAAATGCCAAGGAGGAATCAGAGTTGTCCCAACTGAGGCAACAGGATACTACTTTGTATCCTTGTTTCTATCAGTCATTATATATGGGTTTTCTTTCACCCCTAATCTCAGGAAGTGAGTGACCTTAAGGCAGGTCTGGCTGGCTAAAATGACTCAGCTGTAAGCCATTAGCTGCAAACACTCCTAGCAGCTGGGAGGTGGCGTGCCACACCGTTCTCTCCAGTTGATATCTTGTACCACTCAAATCCACTTAGGTTGTATGATAAGGTTACACCATCTATAGAAATAGTTTGTCTAGAACTATTATATATATAGATATAGTTTGTTGGTCTCATTTCCTGGGAAACTTACAAAGAGTTATAGTGGTACGTTCTGCAACTCCAAGTACTGAAGCAGAACTCATCAACTCCTTCCATTCTAGATTCCTTTCACGCACAGCAGGCATCTCTGTTTACCTGGTGCAGCAGCCTAGATCCTCATTAGGTCTCTGAAACCCTGTTCACAAAGCCCTTATCACACTGTGGCTGCTGAACTTGTCCATTTACCATCATAATCCACCAAGGGAGTAGAAAGAGATAACCCACTGGATCACCTGGATGCTAAGTGTATTCTTCCCTTTTCCCATTTTACCTCCTCCTGATGATCAGTTGCCAGGATGGTGAATCCTTTCTTTGTTTCTGGGTTTTATGGCATAAGAAGCCTGAAGTAATCAGAAAGCAGCTGCAGTTTAATGGTTATCTTGCTGTGTGCCTTGATTAAAGCAGTTTCTCTTTGGGAACTAGGAACTTTGAGCCTACACAGACCAAGCTGTGAGGTGGGAAGCAGAAAATCCCTAGTGGTTCTGAGAGTGATAGTAACTGGGCCCCTAATATCCCATGCTTCCTGAACTCATGTATTCTATGTATTGGTGACATGGTACTGTAGGAGGGTTGCTGGATTTTGCTGGACACTTTCTCCTGAAGGATGGTGATCTGTCCTCACGGGGTATAACTCCTAGCTGCCCCTCTGCGGGCCTCCACCAGATTTTTCCATTGCTCCATTAGGCTGGGAGCAAGTAGGCAATGCACGTAGGCAATGAGAACTTAGATCCAATGGTTGCATGCTACTGCGCCTCCTTTGCTAGATAAAGTGAGTTATTCAGCCTGAGACAATGTTATGTGGAATCCTGTGTTAACAACAACAAAATCATCTCTGAGAGTGGTGCTGATAAAGGCACTGTCGTCAGAAAAGGAAAGCCATACCTGGCATATCTCTCTCTCCTGGCGTATATGTCTCTCCCTGCTCCTTTGAGGGTTGTAGTCACCCAAACTAATCTATTTGACACTAAGATATTTTTAAAAATATATCTCTTATAATTCTAGCAATCTAATAAGGGAAATAGTCATTAAAATTAAAAATTACAAGACATTGGGATTGATAAACTAAGTTCGCTTAAGAAAGAATTGATCTCTTGTGTTTGAGGATTTAGAAAAGTGGAGTTACATGAGATGGACATTTTAATTGGTCAGTATGTTCCTGATGAAGTGAACATTGATGTTAGGAAAATGAAGTGTCATTACTGAAGGTCCTGAAATGTAAACATGCTGAATGCAGTGCATGAATTCACTGAATTGATGTGTGTGTGTGTGTGTGTGTGTGTGTGTGTGTGTGTGTGTGTGTGTATGCCCAATCCAAGTTAGTCCCCAATAGTCTCCAATCTCATTTTCACTCTGAAACATTCTGGTTAAAAAATCCCTAGTACTGCTTAGAACTGAGTAGGTCATTAAGAAAAGTGATGTCTAATTATTGTTCCCCCAGTTGAAAATATTGCATTCTTAAGATGGAAAATATGGTTTGTGGGAATTTTGGTAATAAGAGGTTGCCAGAAAAGTGAAGCTCACTGAAATATAATTTTCTTATTTGATTCATGCAGGTTTATATTCTATGATTACGAAATCATTTCATGCTAAATTTAGTTTTGAGCCTAAGTTTTGTTTTCTAATATTTTGTAGAACTTGGATTTTGAAGATTCCATAATGATTGTAAATGCTGAATGCAATATTTTATCATGATTATCCACCTCAGGAAAATATAATTATGTCTCTGGAAACTCTAATTAGTATGTAAAATAGATTTAACAAAAAAGAAAAAGAAGGGCAAAGAATAGAAATCACCTCTTTTGTGCAGTTTCTTAGTTTGAATGAGACAAGCAGTTTTTTTGTCTTATGCCAAAAAATGGATTTATAATTTTCATTAGAATCATAAAGTGTTAAGTATATTTAATTAATGGAAATATGTGATAGAAAATATCCAGAAAAAAACTGCGGAATTTCAAATAATACAAATACATTGTTTAAGATTAAATATACAATAATCTTTAGAATACATAAATTTAACTTTAAATGGCAACATTTCAATAAACAAAGAGAAGGTAAGTAGCCATTTTTTTTCATTTATTTTACAATTCAACGTACATGCACTTAAGTAAAAATATTTAAAAATATAAAAATCAGATAATGCTTGGTTTATAACATTTTGTTATCAAAATTAAATTTTATAAATAAAATGTTATAATTTTCACATGTGGACTTTTCCTTAATTTCTAAAATTATACATGTAGGTTATGTTGTTTTTGTAGTTTAACCAATATTGAAATCTATAAAAAGAGTATTCTCTCTATAATTTCACCTCCTTGGAATTTGCTGTTTGATTTCTAAATAAACAATTTCTTCTATTTTCATTAAAATGCACTCATTTTCAGTCTGGCGTGTGGGCTCACACCTGTAATCCCAGCACTTTGGGAGGCCAAGGAGGGCGGATCACCTGAGGTCAGGAGTTAGAGACCAGTCTGGCCAACATGGTGAAACCCCGTCTTTACTAAAATACAAAAATTGCCTGGGTGTAGTAGTGGGCGCCTGTAATCCTAGCTACTCGGGAGGCTGAGGCACAAGAATCACTTGAACCCAGGAAGCAGAGGTTGCAGTGAGGCGAGATCATGCCACTGCACTCCAGCCTGTACCACAGAGCGAGACTTTGTCTCAGAAAGGAAAAAAAAAAAGCACTTATTTTCTTTTGTATTTCCTTTCTGTTTTCAAAGATATCTCTTACTCGAAATGCTTAGAGTACAACTTTTTTTTTGTCTTTCATATCGCTAATATTAACGAGAGTGATGTACATGGTGTATTTTTAAATGATTCCTTTTTAAAAATTATGTAATATTAAATGATAATTGAGCTACCACTAATTATGTAACCAATTTCACTTGCTGGATGAGGAGGTGTTTCTCATTTCTTGCCACTAGAAACATTTGTAACAGATGCCCTATAGATTTTGCACAGTGGAAAGGCATTATGTCCCTAGATATTTTTAACTGCAAATATTCTTTAGAGTACAAAGAAACAGAAAGAATGCGTAAGCCCAGTTTGAACTATAAAAACCAGGCAGGAGCAACAACAATCTCTCATGGAATCCAAGAATAAAAAATCTGTAGAATAGAAATAACTATAGTAATTGTATACATTTTGAGTGCTGATAGATACTATGCTATTTCCCAAAAACTGTAAAAATGAACAACAATGCGTAAGAAAAATCTAGTTACTTGGGAACAGAAAATGTGGCATGAAAAAGAGTAACAGGAAATGGCACTAAGTTTTATCACACGTATACTATGTACCAGTTACTTTCACTTAAATGAACAAGTTTAGTGTTCACAATGACCTTGGAGTTTATTCTCAGGAGGATGATACAGTCCACATTTTGGAGATGAGATAACTGCTCTAGGAAAGTTTTAAATTATTTCACAGGCCATGAGTAGTAGAAATGAGTTCTAACTCATTTCTGTCTGACTCTTAAGGCTTCCTCTTCCAAGGATTGATTCTGAGTTACTATTTGTAAAGGCTAATAAGGCTATATTTAAGATTTATAGTTTTACATTAAATGGGATGACCATACATCTTGCATGTCCAGGACAGTTCTGGTTTATGCCTGTCATAGTTTTTAATAGTGTCCCTTTCATTCTCAAAGTGTTTAAATAAAAGGTGAAATATTTGTCTTACTTAAAGAGGACCTTCCCAGGTAAATTTCCAGGGTACGAGGCCACTTACCTGATGAGAGAAGAGACTGTCACCAGGTGTGATCACAGAGGAAGAGTAAGGGGTGCCAAAAACAGAAATGTACGAATTCTGTTCCTGTTCCACTTTACTAAGTGTGTCTATTTCCTCCTGGGCTTGTGCCTTTGATTGGGAAGGGATTTTTTTTTTTTTTCCATTTTTTAGACGGAGTCTCACTCTGTCGCCAGGCTGGAGTGCAGTGGCTCAATGGCGTGATCTCGGCTCACTGCACCCTCTGACTCCCTGGTTCAAGCGATTCTCCTGCCTCAGCCTCCCGAGTAGCTGGGACTACAGGCAAGTGCCACCACGCCCAGCTAATTTTTGTATTTTCAGTAGAGACGGGGTTTCACCATGTTGGCCAGGATAGTCTTGATCTCCTGACCTCGTGATCCGCCGGCCTCGGTCTCCCAAGGGAAGGGATTTTACCTAAGCCTGAGATAAAGAAAAACTGGTCTGGGTTCTGGGGCTTTTGGACTTAGCCTACATGAGTGTAGCTCTCAGGTGTCTGGCAAGAGGTTGACACATCCTCACAAATAACTGTAGAGGATGATAGAACATGCTCTGTGGGAGAAATAAAAGAGAAATGATTGATTTCAGTGGAGCAAGAGAGAAGCTGTAGTTTATAGGTACCAGATGACTGGGAGCGATTGGGAATTTGTGCTGAATATTAATAGTTTGGTAGAATTTTGACTTGAGAAGGAACAGAGTTAAGAACACTCATCTCATTCAAAGGAGGACACTAGATTTCAAATATCTGCATCAAAAAATGAGTATTATGAACAAATTGAGGCCAATACATGCCATCCCCAGAATGGAAAAATGTATATCACCAAACTCTTTATAAATCTCGCCTACTGATTGTGTTAATAATTTGTTTTTTATACAGTTTTTATTATTTTCTAGTTGACAAATAAAAATTATATATATTATTTACAACATGTTTAAAAATATAAATACATTGTGAAATGGCTAAATCAAGCTAATTAACATATGCGTTACTGCACATGCCTATCATTTTTCACCTTAAAAAGGCATAGAAGCAGATAATGGAATGGTGGTTATCAGTGGCTTCAAAAAGAGAGGGGAGTGCCGGGCGCAGGCCTCACGCCTGTAATCTGAGCACTTCGGGAGGCCGAGGCAGGCAGATCAAGAGGTCAAGAGATCAAGACTATCCTGGCCAACATGGTGAAACCCATCTCTACTAAAAATACAAACATTAGCTGGGCGTGGTGACATGCTCCTGTAATCCCAGCTACTCGGGAGGCTGAGGCAGGAGAATCGCTTGAACCTGGGAGGCGGAGGTTGCAGTGAGCCGAGATCGCGCCACTGCACTTCAGCCTGGGAGACAGAGTGAGACTGTCTCAAAAAAAAAAAAAAAAAAAAAAAGAGGGGAGATTTGAATGTGTTGATCAAAGGGTACAAAATTTCAGACGGGAGGAATAAATTCAAAAGTCCTGTTGTACAACATGGTGACTGTAGCAATAATAACATATTTCATTCTTAAAAATTTCTAAGGAAGTGGATTTCAGGTTTTCTCATGACAAAATAATTTTATTATTTCACTATCCTGTTAAAAAAAATCCCTTTAAAAGTGATAATCTGATTTTCCTAAAATACACTGTAAGAGGAAAAAACAGTGTTTTGAATATCAAATTGTCAAAAAACACTTGATTTTTCTAGTCTAGTAAACAAAGTGAAAGCAACTGATTCTACTGAGTTAATTTCTTGAATTTCATCATCTGTAAGCTTCTTACACAGGATTGTAAATACAATAGCGCCCTCTATGGCTCATTCTCTGTGCAGAATTCCAGCATTTGAAACGAAGAAGGCAAAATTGTTCTTAGATTTATGACTGTTCTCAAAATAAAAAAGTAGTTATATAATCTTTTAATCTAAATTATGTAAATCTGAATATGTAATACTTTTAAAATAAATATATTTTCTGGTCTCCTAAGAAAATGAATGTCATAAATAGGGTCCTGGAAAAATTTTAAGGTGTATACATTACATTTAAATATTATTTAGATATTTCCAAAACTGCATTTGAATTACAAAAACAATTGGAGTTCTCTTCTTTAAAAATGTAATCTCTAAAGTTTGTCATGTGCTTAGAACTAATGGAACTAGATTTTCAGAAAGGTTCCTCTGATATTAAAATCTTTCTCTCTGAAACCAAGTCACTCTCCAGTTGCCAGCTGCTATTAGTACTCATTACTTAATATCTTAATCTATTTAGAAATACCATTCTTTTCTGGATGATTTCTCCTAGTAAAAGTGACATAGCTGTTTCATTTGACAGACTCCATTTTTTTAACAACAAATGTACTTCAAATATTTTGATTTTAAAGGATTTTGATGTGTGATTAAGAGACATGTTAAGCAAAACCAATTCAGTTAGTTCCGAACTTGGTGAATTTTCATTGTGGCCGAATCTATATGTATCAACAGTTTCCATTAGATGTGAGACTTTTTTCTCAGCTTTAGAGACATTGTTTTCATAGCAAAACCTTCAATTCTTACAGAAGCAGTTCAGAGGCGTAAATGAATTTAGGAAAACAAAAAGAGATAATGGATTCACTCCAGATTATTATTATTAAGTGCTTAATATATATCACTGCTTCTCTGGGAACTGGAGCCACAGAAGTGAATAAGCTTAGAACATCATAGCTCTCATGGGGAGGTGAGAGGGGGGTGTCCAGACAATCAACAGATCAAGAATGAAATTGATTTTGTACTTTCCAATACTTTTGAGTGTCCTGAGGAGTTCAAACATAGTGGCATGACAGAGAATGATGGGGTTAGGATAGTTGGGAGTAGGCACTTTAGATTGGATGCTGTTAGAAGACAATTCTGAGATGAGGAGATAGAAATACTCAGTGTTACATCAGGACTATTAGTGTGGAATTATTTCAGTATAATTTTTGTTATTCTCTGCTCCACAGGATAAAAGCCAGGAAGCAGTGGACACCGATATGAGGAAAACTTAAGATTATAAATGGTTGTTATTTTTAATATTTTACCATTGGATTTAACATTTAATAATTCTTTGGAGACATATAGATTTTAAAAAGGAAAGAAAAAAACAAATGCCAACATTTACTGCCTTTTTTTTTTTTTTTTTTTTTTGACATGGAGTCTCTCACTCTGTCTCCAAGGCTGGAGTGCAGTGGTGTGATCTCGGCTCACTGTAACCTCCGACTCCCAGGTTCAAGTGATTCTCCTGTGTCAACCTCCAGAGTAGCTGGGACTACAGGTGCATGCCACTATGCCCAGCTAATTTTTGTATTTTTAGTAGACACAGGGTTTCACCATATGGGTCAAGCTGGTCTTGAACTCCTGACCTTGTGATGTGCCCACATTGGCCTCCCAAAGTGCTGGGATTACAGGCGTGAGCCATGGCACCCGGTCTCATTTACTGCTTTTTGAAGAGTTGAACTAATTAAATACTCTGAAAGTGAAAGTATCAGATTTCTCCCATTGGAATCTAATATAACATGACTCTCAAAATTTTTTAAAGTATAAATCTAACCCTGAATACTTATTCTTTTGTCCATGAAAGATTATCAAATATTTTATTTACCTTGTACATATAAATTAATAAAAGTAAAGATACAATATGTGAAACCACATACATATTTAACAAAAGCAAGTGCAGACTATTACTGTGGAGAAAATGGAAGCAATGTGAGCCTATGGTTTGCTTGGTTTCCTGCTTAGAGGTGATCTGAATTGCAGACATAGGAAGAAAGCACTTAAACATTGCTCAGAAACTTCACTAAATAAAAGAGAAGGAAATTAGTGTTTGGGGAAGCTGAGGTAGCTAGAAATCTTGACAAGGAGTCTCACGATAGAGTGAGGTGCTCAGCAGAAAAAAAAAATAAAGAAATCTGCATAAATTCTCTGGGAGTAGTAGGCCATACATACGTAACTTGAAACTGCACCAGGATAGACAAAGAACTCACACAGGGTAGAGAAATATTTGAGGTCCCACCAGCTGAAGTGGAGAATACATAGTGATCATTTAGTATTTAGTTATAGTGTTGATTATATTTAGAACGATGGCTACTCTAAACCTGCCCTACCAAAGCTTTAAAAACAGATCCCAAAGGCATCAAACTAATACACAAGTAGATTAATGATCCAAAAAAACAAAACCAGACATTCCGTAAAGAAAACAAAAATGTAATATTCAGAACATCTTGGATCCAATTATTACTGGACATCCTAGGAAACAGAAAAATATAACTCAGGCCGGGCGTGGTGGCTCATGCCTGTAATACCAGCACTTTGGGAGGCCCAGGTGGGTAGATCACAAGGTCAGGAGTTCAAGACCAGCCTGACCAACATGGTGACACCCCATCTCTACTAAAAATACAAAAATTAGCTGGGTGTGGTGGCACGCCTGTAGTCCCAGCTACTCAGGAGGCTGAGGCAGGAGAATCGCTTGAACCCGGGAGGCGGAGGTTGCAGTGAGCTGAGATCACACCACTGCACTCCAGCCAGGGTGAAAGAGCAAGACTCCGTCTCAAAAAAATAAATAAATAAAATAAATAAATATAAATAAATAAAAAATATATAAATAAATATTTTTAAAATATATATTGTATATATTATATTCTCTCTCTCTCTATATATATATACACACACACACACACAACCCAAAGCTGAAAGAAAAACAGGTCAATAGAAATAGACCCAGAAATGAAAGATATGCATATGTGTCTATTAAGGGAGCTATTTAAGTAATTCAAGTATTTTAAGAAAAGAGTGAATGATGATGACAATGGCAGTGGCTGCTGCCATCATGACAGCTGCAACAGGAAAGCGCGGCTGGGGCTGCACACTCCATGGAGCCATTGGGAGCCCTGCCCCTTCTGAGTTGGGACAGGAGCTCCCCTGCCAATGCAGCTGCCCAAACTGCAGCTGCAGACCCAGGCTTCCTTCTCTATGCAGCAAGCAGGAGCCCTGCCTTCCTGGGTGGGGCCACAGCCGCCCAAATTACAGCTGTGGATCTGAGCCTCCCTGTGCTCTTGGGGGAGCTGGGAACAGGCAGGATCTGCCTTCCTGGGTGCAGCTGCAGCCATGGCATCCTCAGCTGCAGACCTGGGCCTCTTGCTCCAGGAAGCAGGCAGGAGCTGGGGACAAGTGGGAGCCCTGCATCTTCCAAGGTGGCCGGGTAGGAGCTCCTGGGTGGAGCTGCGGCTGTCCTCCCCGGTGCAGGACCCTGGCATCTCTGCAGCCTGCACCTTCGGGCACCCCAGTAAGGCCCTTGCTGTCCCTGCAGGCTTACATATCGGATCCTACTATCTGGCCTCTCTCCACTCCCAGCATCCTCTCCGATTTCGGAGTGGGGTTGGGGCTAAGCCCCGGGGCCATGAATGGCAACAGGTGGCAGACAGAGTCCTGGGCAGAAGGGGGCAGAGTCCCCAGTACGGCCCCACCCTTAGGCCAGGGAGGGCCTGAAGACTGGGGCTGGGCTTCCAGTCCCAAGGACTGGAGTGGGAACTCATGGTACCTCTTCTGGACCCACTTATGGCTGCCCATGGATCAATCTGCACACACTTCCTCCCTTCTGAGGTGCATAAAGGCCCTGGGCTCAGCCAGAGCAGGGCAGAGGATGGCCAGAGGATAAGGAGAGCAGAGGATAGAGAGACTGTTGGAGTACCCTCTCCCCTGATAGCTGGAGGAGATGGAATGTGCAGCTGCAGAGAATAGTACCCTCTCTGCTGACAGCAGCAGCTGCAGTGGAGAGCTTCAGAGACCTGCAGCGACATCTGAATTACTTGCCTGTAGAGAGGAGCCACCCTCTCCAGGGCCTCCTCCCTGCTGAGAGCTGAACACTCAAGAGGAGAACCTGCCTACAGAGAGGAGCTACCCACTCCTCTGAGCCATTCTAAGACTAAATAAAACTCTTCTTCTTCACCCTTCACTTGTCTGTGTACGTCATTCTTCCTGGACACAGGACAAGAACTCAGGCAAAGGCACTGTGGCCACAGAGGTTTCCAGCTAGAAAAATTGACACCCTAGTGATCCTATAACAATGAGTAGAAAAATGAAAGCTATATGGATCAACTGAAATTTTTGGAAGCAGAAGTGCAATATTTAAAATAAAATTTTTATTGACTAGAATGACAGCAAAACAGAAGCCAAAGGAAAAAAACATCAGTGACATTGAATAAATGAACCACAGGGAGGAATAAAAGACTGAAAAATGATGAGTCTCAGTGAATCGTGGGAGTACTTTAAGTGTTCTTTAACAAGTGTGATTGCATTCAAATAATAACGATATGGTACAACAGATAAAATGTTTGAAGAAATAATAACTGAATGCAATAAATCCACACAAGAAGTTTGATGACCCCCTAGCAAGAATACCCAAACACACACACATGAATAAAGCACAAGGCACATCATCAGTGTACTGAAACTAATGATAAAGAAAATATCTTGAAAGTAACAAGAGGAAAATTAAGACATATTTTATACAAAAGAAAAATAAAAGAATGACAGTGATGTCTCAGAAAATATGAATGTATGGCAACACCATCTTTAAAGTGCAGAAGAAAAACAGTTGTCAACTTATAATTCTATATTTCACAAAAATCTCTATCAAAATGAAGAGGAAATAAAGACTTCCTAGACTTTAACAAAAGGTTTAAAAAAAACTGAATTTTACAAATGTTTAGGCAGAAGCAAATTAATATCAGATAAAAGTTTAGATTTACACATGGAATTAGGAAAACTGAGAATAGTACGCATCTAAAAACTAAATGATTTTCTCATTTTCCTGTTGCTTTTAAAAAACAATTGACTGTTAAAGCAAAAATAATAATAAAATACTTTTAGATTTTTTAACCTAAGCAGAAATAATGAGTCTAACATTAAAGTCTAAAGGAGCTACAATAAAGATCAAATTAAATTCAAAGAAAGTCAAAGGAAATAAATAGGAAAAAAGTAGAAATCAATGAAATAGAAAACACAGAACAGCAGAGAAAATCAAAGAAGTCAGTGGCTGATTATTTGGAATACTCAATAAAATTAATAAACCTATGGCAAGCCTGGGATAAAGACAAAAATAAATATGCAGATTTCAAAAAAAAGGAAAAATGGAGAAATTATAGATTTTACAGATATGAAAGGAATGGTAAGAAAACATCATGTAAAATTATGACAGTAAATGTGACAACTTAGATGAGATGAAAAATTTTTTTGAAATGTAAAAATTATTGTTATCAGGCAGGTGCAATGGATTACACCTGTAATCCTAACACTCTGAAAGGCCATAGCAGGAGGAACACTTGAGCCCAGGAGTTTCAGACCAGCCAGGGCAACATAGTGAAACCTTGTTGACAGTGGTGGCAGCCCGTCTGGATCAGCTGCTGCGGGGATGCCAGCTGCAGTGGGGGAGGTGTGGCTGGGGCTTTGTGCTCTGTGGAGCCAGAAGGAGCTGGGGACAGGTGGGAGCCCAGCCCCCTAACAAGTTGGTGTGGAAGGAGCCCTGCGCTCCTGGGTGCAGCTGCAGTCACCCAGCTGCAGCTCCAGACCTGGGCATACCTGCACTCTTGGGGGCCTGGGAAGACCCCCTATCCTCACAAGCTCAGAAGTGTCTGCTGCTGCTCTCTACCTTCTCTCCACTCCTGGCAGTCACTCCAATTTCAGAGCAAAATTGTGGCTGAGGCTGGGCATTGTCACAACCTGGCTGGGTATGTGCATGCTTGTGGCATTGCTGACACACCAGCCCCCACCACTGTCTCATCCCCTCCAAACTTTGGGTACTGAGGAGTGTGGGATGTAGTCTGGTTGTGGGGACAGCCTGGCAAGGGCCTGTAGGTGCCCTTCGGTACAAACAGCCTGGATTCCGTGGATGGCATGTTGATATCAGGAGGCAGACAGTTCCTGGGCAGAAAGGGGCAGGTCCCCAGTGAAACCTCAACTTCAAGCCAGGGGTGGCCTGAAGCCTGGGGGCCTGGCTGCAAGTTCTGGGTAGAGTCCACAGCTGGAGTGAGAACTTATGGTGCTTTTTCCGGACCCGCCCATGGACCAATCAGCATGCACTTCCTCCTTTCTGAGCTCATAAAAAGTGCTGGACTCAGCCAGACTCACACAGACTTTGCACTACCAGCTACAGGAAGGAGCTACCCACTTCACGTCTCGTCAGCTCATTGGGATGACCTGCCTATGGAAAGGAGCTACCCACTCAGGGTCTCCTCCTTGCTGAGAGCTGTACACTGTTTTATCTGACCTGCCTTTGGATAGGAGCTATCCACTCTAAGTCTCCTGATAGCTGTTCTGTTGCACAATAAAGCTGTTCTCCACCTTGCTCATCCTCCAGTTGTTCACATACCGCATTCTTCCTGGATGCAGGACAAGAACTCAGGACCTACCGAATGGAAAGACTGAAAGAGCTGTAACAAAAATGGCTGAAATACCCACCCCACTCACAACGTTGTGGGCACTGAGAAGAACAGACTAGAGAAAGAAGAGAGAGAATAGAGAAAGAGAAGAGCTGCAGCCCTTTGGGGTGCACAGACCTAGGAGCTCCCTGAGCTAGGGCTGTGACACCTTCTTTGGAGCCCTGCAGTTTCTGGAATCTCCAAGCTTTTGGGCACCACTCCATTCCCCAGTGCCCACAGTGTAAGCTGCTTGCAGTACACCTGGTCCAGCCAGAAGCTTGCAAGGAGCTGGTGCCTATGCCAGCACCTGAAGCTGCCTGTCCCACCGCAGCTGGCACACCTGGCTGTGCACAGTGGCTAGACTCTGTGCTTGCTCTCACACCCCTTAGTGCTCTGCACCTGGCTAACCCTTGACAGGCATGGGATCTGGGCTGGTAGCACAAGCTGAGTGCAGCCTGCTGGGCCAAGTGGGCAGAAGGAGCCCAGCAGGCCTGAGCAAAACTCAAGCAAAGGTGCCACTGGCCACAGAGGTTTTGAGCTGGAAAAGTGACATTATAATGATACTGTGACACCGTCTCTAAAAAAAAAATAAAAAAATTAGTCAAGCATGGTGGCACATGCCTATAATCCCAGCTACTTGGGATGGTGAAGCAGAAGAGGATCACTTCAGTCCAGGAGTTTGAGTCTGCAGTGAGTGAGCTGATTGTGCCACTGCACTCCAGCCTGGGCAACAGAGTGAGATCCTGACTCAAAAAAAAAAAAAAAAAAAAAGAAAAGAAATTACTAAGGTATCAATATTTACTTCAGGAGGCATAGAATATCTGAATAGCCCTGTATCTAATAAAGAAATTTTATTGTAAGAAAATTCTAAGCTTTAGTGGTTTCACCCATGAATTCTAACAAACATGGGAGAATGAAATAATGCCAGTGTGACATACCTTTCTCAGAAAGTAAAAGAGAAGGAATGAACACTAACTGATTGTATGAGGCCAAAATTACCCAGACACACAGTAGACAAAGATATTTGAAAAAAAGTAAACAACAGACCAAGATCAAACATGAAGAGTGATGCTGACATTATTATGAATATACTTAAAAATTACATACAATAAAATATCAAAAAGGTAATACCACGGACAAGTGAATTTTATCCTAAAATGCAGTCAGTTTAACTGAAAATCAATGTAATTCATTAAATTAATAAAAATCCACATGATCATCTCAGTAGGAAA
This sequence comes from Homo sapiens, assembly GCF_000001405.40. NCBI lineage: Eukaryota > Metazoa > Chordata > Mammalia > Primates > Hominidae > Homo > Homo sapiens. The sequence goes on from NC_000018.10 coordinate 60,557,392, forward strand.
AAATATTATTTGACAAAATGTAATGCACATTCATGTTAATAACTCCCAGAAGCTAGGAAGAGAATATTTGCTATCTGCTAAAACTAAATTATAAACATATCTACAGCTAACATTTTACTTAATGATCAAAAATAAATGCTTTCTACTTAAGAAAGAATGCAAGAGTATTGTAACATAACACTTCTTTAATATGTTACCACAAATTTGGTATGTAAAACAATACAAATCCATTATTTTACAGTCCAGGAAATCAGAAGTCTAAAATGGGTCTGGGGGTGGTGCTCCTTCCGAAGGCTCTTGGGGAGAGTCTGTTGAGTTGCCTTTTTCAGTTCTTAAATTCTGTCTGCATCCTGTGGTGCATGACCCCTTACTTCATTTTCAAAGAGCAGCATAGCACCTTCTGCTTCTCTGACCTCCTGTCTCTCTCTTATAGGGAACCTTATGATTAAATCAGGCCCACTTGGATAATCCAGGATAAATCTCCTATCTCAGAATCCTTAACTTGATCATACCTGCAAAGTCTCTTTTGAATATAAGACATGTTGTTCACAGGATTTAGGGATTAGACTGTGAACATCTCTGGGGGCAATTTTTTATCTTACCAGAGCATGGATGTTCAATCTTACCACTTCTCAATATTGCTCTGAATTCCCTAGCCTTTGCAAAAAAGTGAGAAATTAAAAGAAACAAAATGCATTTATGTCTGTTTGTACATGATATAATTGTGAGCAGAGAACAGCCTGAGAGATCGATGAAAAAGCTACATAGTGGCAGGATGCACTATTTATGCATAAAAATAAATTATATTTTTATGTATTCAGAATATACAACCAAAAATTGAAATTGAGAAACAATAGTCTTTTCAATAGTGTAAATTATCGACTCTTCAGAAATAAATTTAACAGAATATGTACAAGTCCTTTACATAGAAGACTACAAAGTTTTGCTGAAGCAAGATAAAGATCTAAATAAATTGAGAGCAATACCATGTTCTTAGATTCCAAAACATGTAATTATCCCCAAATTATATATTTAACTCAATTCCAATAAAAACCCTAGAAAACTTTCTTGTAAAAATTGACAACCTATTTGTAAAATTAATGAGGAATTTGTAAAAAAAATTAATAACAAATTTGTAATAGCCAAAGAAATTTTGACATAAAAGAATCACTATCTGATTACCTTCCTAAATGGCTCTATTAATTAAACTATGTGTTTATATAAGAATAGATAATTAATAAAATATAAATCTAATACATGTACAGAAATGAGTACAGAAATAAATAATCATATATATGGTCAATTGATTGTCAATAAAATTGCCTAGATAATTCAATGAACAAACTTTTTTTAAAAGCTATGTTAAAATAACTTGATATCCATATTCACAAAGTGAACCTCAGCTTTTGTCTTGAAATAGATACAAAAATAAATGTAATCTATAAAAAGTAAATGATATACCTAAATGTAAGAACAAAAAAATCCGAGATTTCTAAATGAAAACAGAAGAAAACATCTTTATGACTGTAAAGCAATGATTCCTAGATGATACACACGAGTCAAAGCTGTAAAGGAGAAAGTGAATTAATCGAACTTCTTCAAAATTTAAAACTTTTGATTTTGTTAGGCAATGATAAGAATATAAAAAGGCAAGCCCAGACTGGGAGAAAATATTTGCAAATCACACATCTAACAAAGGATTTGTATGTAGAGCATATAAATATTCTTATAATCTTATATTAAGACAACATAAAACCCAATAAATAAAAAATAGACAAATGATTTGAACACACTTCAGAAAAGAAGTATGTTTTAACCAAAATCTGACACCACAGCATAGGTTAAACTAGACTAATTAAGTTAAGAAACAGAACTTGCAAGATTTATTATTCTTGCTTTAACTTTCTAATATTTCTTAGCTTCAAAATATTTTTTTATTTTTTTAAATAACATTTGAATGTAAAAACCAAATTGAAATTATTTGCTGTTGACCACACCTATTCAGTGATAATGTTGTTAGGAAGATTATATTGCTCATCTGTAGTCATGGTGCTTGAAATCAGAAAATTTCTAAGTAAAAGCAAATGGCCATTTACGAATACAGTCTGCAAAGTTATAGTACACAATGCTCATGCTTTACATTCTAACCCAAGAGAAACCTAAATTAAGCACCAGCATTTTAAATATATGTAGAAATTGAAGGCTTATAAAAATAGAATTGCAATCCTTTCATAAAAGCCAATAATTTATTCTATAGCTTTCTAAGATGATAAGAAAATTGTAACTATTCTCCAAAATAACTATAATCCATCATGTAGAAATGGAAAGTTTCAAAGAAAAGGTTGACCCAATATTTTCATCTTTGTAGAAAGAATGAAGTTATTTGGGTATCACAGAAACTAATGAGAAGGCAGATTCTGGTTCAAGAGAAAATGATTTATCATTTGATATCAATATTTCAGAATGGATACTCTATCTTTGATGGAATAATTAAATGAGATTCGATGTCATGACAAAATGTGTTCCCAACTTATTTATGTTAAAATAATTGCTAGAAAATTTTAAGTTGAAAACTTGCTGCATTGATGCAAGTGATCTAGCCAAATTATTCAAGGTTTCTCTGTTATCTTCTTTTGTTTAATTTCTTTTTTGGAGAGCAGACTTCAAAAGGTAATGGATTATAAAGGTAATTATAATTACAGAATAACAATGTCAATTATATCTTTCAACTGGAAGACACTCTATTTCCCTTCTATTTGTTAAATTTTACAAAAGAACAAACTTGTATAGCTCAAACAATACTTGAATGAACAGTAATTGAATTTCATGCCCCATCAGCCAGTCAAATTTAAGAATATTCCCCATTATTGTCACAGAGGACAAAGCATGGATTTCATTATATTCAACACAGAACAATGTCCTTTGGAGCTGCTGACCTTCTGAGCTTTGAGAGACTGAAAAAGGACAAATGCCTTTTACAATAAGTAAATCTTCTGATGTTTCATCTAACAAAAGCTGCTGGTAGAATTAAATCCGCCCCCCACCCCCGCCAGCATTCATCCTTCCCACACATAACACTAAAAACTAAAGGTAAATACCTGTATATTTCCAGCATTAACAGTAATATGCAGGTAAAACAGTAATGCTTTAACTCAACTCCTGTACCTTCCAGATATATATGTGTGGGCATGTGTGGGTGTGTGTGTGTGTGTGTGTGTGTGTGTGTGTGTGTGAGAGAGAGAGAGAGACAGAGACAGAGAGAGAGTGGTGAGAGGTCACATTAGCTTTAGTCCTCTTCTTCTGGGTTCACATAATAAGGGAAATACTTGCTTAGCCCTGACAAAGCCTGCTGGAGCAGAGGGCAGGAGCAAGTCAAGGTCAGAGAGCCATGAAGCCTCAGGAAGTGGGGAGCACTGACTGGAATTTACAGCCTGGATCCCTGTAGATAAAAGAAACCAATTTTAGTGACTATGCTCAAGGGAGTATTGCAAATGTCATGCCTCCCATGTTTAGCGAAGTTTCTGTAATTGAGCACTTACTTGTAAGACAGTAGGTGCAGCAGGCATGGTGGTCTTTAGGTTAGATGAATGCAGATAGCTCCAATCCACATTCTCACTACCACATCTCCATCTCAGTGCTCCAACAAGCTGTAGTCTCCATGATTTCCTCATAACTAAGAATTTCAAAGCTTTATACCCTTAGACCTATAGTCTCCTTTGCTTGGGATGCTTTCCCCAGTCTTTACAAGATAGCTTCAAAACCTAGTTAATTGTTTGTTCTTATAAAAGCACAAGTAAGTGCTCCCAAAAACAGAACTGGTCATTCTCTCTCTGTGCCCTTATGTATACTGTATATTTAATTTGTCCAGTGAAATCTCTGCATCAAGATACAACTTACTTCAAGACTGTTTTGAAAAGGAAATCTTTTCATTCTGATAGAGGCAATTTAAGTCTTAATTAGGTGTCATTTATAAAGTATTTCACACTGAGACCTTTCCAAACAAACAAAAAAATCATTTAAAATTTACTTTGTAGACTAAACTCTCAAGGACTTTGCAAAAAAACCCACTGTTCTTTGTAGTTTTGATTTCTCATATATGCAAATAGTTGTACAATTATGTAGCATTTGTTGTTGTTGCCCGGTTGATTGCTTTAGACTCCAATTATCATTCTATATTCGTATCCTCTCCTCTCAGAATCTGGAATCTATTGCTGCTGTGCCTTATGGTATTTATCTTGGATGTGTATTGTGTTTTTCCAAAATGCTTATAGCTAAGTACATATATTTCTTTTATTTGAAGACTTTGTTTTGTAAAACATTTCTCTCAGATATCACCTATGTTCCCTAGGTCTTTGCATTCTTTTAAGATTTTAAAGGTAGCTATGTTTGTTACCAACTGCGAAGGGCCTAGCTTTGTTATGAACATATCTATTTAAAAGGAATGAATTTTTGAAGTCATATAAGAAGCTTGATGCTGTTTATTTTGTCCATGCTGAAAAGTTAGAAGAAACAAATATTTGTAAGACTGACAAAGCCAACATATAGGGAAAGAAAACAATATAAATGTTTTGAGGACATTATTAGTTGAACACTCTCCTGAGATTTACTTTTAGAAAGCTTATTCACATCAATCAGAAGTCAGAAATTTCAATTAAGGAAATGTGGAAAGCAGATTTTATTCATTCATAATTTTTTATTTGGATTTTAGTATATTTAAATGTAACAACAAGTACCAAAATACTGCTATTTATTGATCATTTTAATTATTATTGAAAGATATTTATTTTGAAGTCTGGTGGAAGATATGATAAGTCCTGAGGGCAATTAAAGATAGAAAGTATAAAATATGATATAAAGAAATGATGAAATGGATGTGTCTTTGTAAAACAGAGGCACATTTTCAGTTATATAACAAATTAAGCTCATTAATGTATCACCACATATATGTTACCTGTTAATTAGCTGTTATTTTTATACCATAATTAAAATCCCCCAAATAGATAATATACCTATTTCCCACCATATATGGGCATAGAGAAGAAAGTACTATTTAATTTGATGTGAAATGCTGTCTTTAGGAAATTATTGTAAATGTAAGCATGAATATAGGATAAGCACTAAGGTGCTCTTTCTAGTAAAACTGAGATGTCTTGGATGAGGGAAGTCCCTTAGATCTGCTGATAAATGTGTCTCTTAAGTAGCTGCAGGAGAGGCTAATGGCTCCCCTAGACTCTTAGCTTACCCTCCAGTTTCAGTGAGGCCCATGTTCAAGATACCTGGTTCAAGTGTGGAAGTGATGTCTGCCACCTCAGGCACCAGCATGAGACCCCTACGTGTTCACTCATTCCTCCTCTTCCCTTTCTGCAGCATTGTGGGGCCTGCATGCCAAAGGCAGTGGGTTCACAAGTTGGACTGAATTTGGATCACTAATTCATTTTGGAGGAAAGTTGCCCAGGAGGCTGCCAAAATTCCCCCCACTGCATGCCTTTTTTTGAGTCAGGGTCTTGCTCTGTCACCCAGGCTGGAGTGGTATGGTGCAATTATAGATCACTGTGGCCTCAAAATCGTGGGCTTAAAAATCCCTCCCACATCTGCAACCCATCCTCTATGTCTCCCAACTGTCCTACTCCTGCCCCAGTAGCTGAGACTGCAGGTGAGCCCCCGCATACCTAGTTGGTTTAAATTTTTTCTTTTGTAGAGATGAGTCTCCCTAAATTGCCCAGGTTGGTCTTGAAATCCTGGGCTCTAGTGATCCCTCCACCTCAGCCTCCCAAAGTGTTGGGATTACAGGCCTGAATCACTGCACCTGGCCTTCACTGAGTTTTGGTGACAGTGAGAAATAAACCTCTGTTTTGTTAAGCTACTGAGATTTTCGGGGTGTGTTGCAGTGGCTAAATTTATTAGCCTGACTAAAAAGGAAAGTTTTGACATGTGTCTAAGATTCACAAGCTCCTATAAATATATGTGCTGTTTTTGACGTGTTTCTTTCCCCTTTTAATTTTTGGAAGAGAAAAAACAAAACCATTGGCTGGCATGTTCTTTGATCTAACTAGACCTATCTTTTCCCATTCTTCTAGAGAGAACCTAGCGAAAGAATTGCATCTATTTACGCAATTCTGACAACCCAATTCTGGCTTACTTGTGAAAGATGATTGAATGAACTCTCTATGGATACTCGTTGTCACACTTGAATAGGGCACTCTATGGAGCCCAGTTTGTGGCCTTCAGAGGAGCTTTTGGGGTCAGTCACTCTTCAGCATCATTAGAGAAGGCTCACAGTATTCTCCAGGGCATCAAGCTTTCTCTTGCTGAGACTGCATAGAGACCCCCGATCCCCACAGCTCTTCTGTAGGCACCACCTCAAAAGCACCACAGAGTTTTGATTTTTGTAAAAGGACATCTATTTATGTATCTGCCTTCAGATACATAAATTTGAGGTTCTGCCAAAGAATTTGCATTATCCTTAGGGATCTCTTTGGGTAAAGCGTCATAACGCTAGGATGAGGCCTGTTATTTATACCTGATCTCATTTTTTGGCAAGTCAGATTAATAGCATAAGAGAAGATTTCCATGACCTCCAAAAGCCAGGCCAGCTGCAGTCTATCATTAAATTAGAGATAAAAGTCTGTATAATCTCAAAATATAAAAACAGACATTTTAGGCCGGGCGCAGTGGCTCACGCCTGTAATCCCAGCACTTTGGGAGGCCAAGGCAGGTGGATCACAAGGTCAGGAGATCGAGACCATCCTGGCTAACACAGTGAAACCACGTCTCTACTAAAAATACAAAAAAAATTAGCTGAGTGTGGTGCCAGGTGCCTGTAGTCCCAGCTACTAGGGAGGTTGAGGCAGGAGAATGCTGTGAACTTGGGAGGTGGAGCTTGCAGTGAGTCGAGATGGCACCACTGCACTCCAGCCTAGATGACAGAGCGAGACTCCATCTCAAAAAAACCAAACCAAAACAAAAAAAAAAAACCAGACATTTTATTCTTATTTAGGCCAATATGGAATACTTTTCTTTTTTTATTGACTTTTAGAGAAAAGGCTGTGAGGCCTTATGTATACAACAGGGAACATGCGAAGATAAGCCTTATAAAGTATATCCCGTTTCAAAGGATAACTTCTGAGATTTCATACATTTTGACCAATGGAATCCTCAGAATAATAGGATCCTTCCAGTACAGAGCTATGTATGTATGTATGTATCTATCTACCTACCTACCTATCACATATCTTTTTAATATATCTATATTTTTCTTAAACTCAGGACTTCATAGATTCAATAATTTGTTGAAGAAGATTTCAGGTAATTCTCACTTGGGAACATCCCAATTTTCTTTCATGAACAACTAAGGATAGCCATTAATCAACATGCATTCTTTTTAATTTGAACTCACCAAGTTTCCTGCCCTGCTGCAATAGGGACCCTAGAACAGGTTTTTTGAGCAAATACATAAGCAACAAAATAAAACTGAATGTGCCCTAAATCCAGGCTCAACGACCATTCTTAAATTATCCGATATCTGTGGGAAAAAACTCCTTGCCTGTGGTTCAGGGGGAAAAAAAATGTTAGTGCCTGGCTTTATAAAGGAAGTGCAGTGCTTTTTCTTTTAACCAAAAGTGCTCTTTCTATGTTATATTTATTTCTACAGGAGGGGAATTCCACACTCTGGCATCTTTAACTCCTCTCAGCTACTGAAAAATTCACTTACTTCTTGGAGTCCAAACTTTGAAATAAAGCATAGCATAGTACCTCCTGAGGAAAAGCATTAAAATTAAAAATACCCCCTGTAGCTGCTGACAGTAGCATCTTTTCGAGAGTACAAATTAAATATCTCAGAATAAAAGCCCATAAATCTATAATATTACTGCACTTATGAAAAGATGTAGTACTAGGGATATATGGTCTAGAAGAAGACATAAACTCACCAAAATGACCAAGATTTAAAACACTAACATGCAATCATTCATGAGCTAATAAATATGAAGACTGAATTTGAAAAAACACAGTTTCAGATGAATGGAGACTAAAAAGATGTAACAACCAAAGGCAAGATGTATGATATATAGAGATATAGATATATATTAATTTGTATGTTAGAAGGGTGATAGTGAGTTTATTGACAAAATTTGAATAAGGTCTATACCCTTGATCATGATACTTGATCATTGGTAATACGCTGATTTTGATAATTTGGTGTGGATTGTATAGCACACGCTGAAGAATTTAGGGCTAAAAGGGGATTATATCTGAAATTCACGTTCAAGTGGTTCAAAAAATAATATGAATAACGTATAAAAGTTACTTTCTATTACATACATATATAGTATGAAGGTAAATATGAGCTAAAGAATTATAGAGCAAACATATTAAAATGTAAACATTTAGGGAATCTGAGTGAAAGGAATATTATAAATCTTTGCACTATCTTTCTAACTTTTCTGTTCATCTAAAAGCATGTTAAAATAAAAAGGTAAAAAGAGTAGAAAATTCAGCAAAGCTGTAATTGTGCTCTCAAAGTAACTGTTACTGATGGTTTCAAGAATGTGAAATATAATATGGTATGAAGGGATACTAGAAAACAACTGACACAGGACTAAAATGTTTATGCTTATCTACATAGTGTTCTGGGTTGAAGATAAAAATAATTGAAAAGGAATGTCACAGAATATAGAGTTTAAGGAATACTGCTGTCCATTCTCAAATCTTTTATTATGTTCCCATGAAATATTTTCACAATTATTTCCTAACAACATACATCATTTCTATAATAAAATAACAGAAAATAAGGGAACTAATATCTAACTAGCTATATTTGTTAAGCCTTGTTTTATCAAGCTCATATTGTCCTTAAAAATTTATAATGTGCCAAGCACTATGCTAGGTGGAACATATTAAGTGAAATGTTGAAAAATAGATGAAAATCAGAAAAAAGTCAAATAGTTTTGTTAGTTAAAAAATCCTCTGATGCAAAACCTAAACATTTGTTTATTAATTATTTAATCTAAGAGATATTTATTTATTACCTTAAGCTTTCTAGAGACCAGTAGAAACTGACAGACAACTAATAAATGATCACATCATAATGAAAACAACTACTTGTCTAAATACTTAAATATGTTGGCACAAAAATCCGAGGAATTGCATAGAAAGGAAAATGAATTCAGTCTTCAATGGCTATGGAAAGTGGCAAAGAATAATGATATATAATTTATGACTTGAAAGATGAGTAGCAATTAGCTAAGTAAAGGGATAGGGAGAAGGAGATTCTAAACAAAAGGATTCCATGTTAAATGGACCATAGACCAGAGAACATAACTACATCTTGAAATTGAATTAAACAAAGTCACCTTGATCATAGACCATGAAGGTTGGAGAAAGAGAAGTGCCAGCTTAGTGGCATAGGCAAATCCAGGAAGGGTTTTGTATTCCATACTCAATAATTTGGACCTTATCTTGAATGCCTTGGAGAACCACTGAAGGATTTTTGGCAAGATGGTTTTAAAGTCAGACTTATGCTTCAAACTGGTTACTATGGATACAGTGTCTCTCTATAAAGAATGGTGTCAGAAGAACATGTTGTGAGGTTATGTAAGAGATGAAGATGGCCTAACCCAAAAGAATGGGAATAGTAATTAAGAGAAGTATAAAAATAGAATTATCAAAGAGGATAAATAAAAAAGGCCTAAATGGTTAATTGATGGGAGACATTTGAGAAAAGGAGGAATAAGGGTTTATCATTTGGGAAAGTGATGTCATATCGGGGTAGGAACACAGGAAGAAGAGCAGGAAGGGAGGATGAACAATGATTTAAATTTATTTATTTAGAATATTAGTTTTTTATATAAAGTCTGAAGCCCAGCAACTTGAACTCGAAATATAACTTTCAAATCATGTGCATGGAGAGCAAAGTGAGAATGGAAGAGCGTCAGTGGTTGAACACAAAGTAAAAGAATATGGAAGAAACATAGACTAGTAGAGTTGGAGATTGTATAACTCAAGAGGTAGGAAGAACACTAAGAGAGCATGGTACTATTTAAAAAATAAAAGCAAAACAAGGAAGTGTTTCAGGATGAGGACGTGGTCAACAGGATCAAACTCTGGAAGTAAGAAAGAAAAGTTTTTTAATAGACTGATGAGGGTAAAATCCAAGTTGACTATGAGCTGAGTAATTGATTAAAAGTGGAGAAAACACGTGTAGAACTACACACAAGTCAAGCAGATTGACTCTTTAGGAGAGGAAGGAAATTGTGTGATAAAAAAGAGGCATGTAGGTTCAAAAGATGGAATAATTTCTGAAGATGAAAAAGACTTAAATTTCTATAAAGGCTGATGAACTCTGTATTAGTTTGTAAGGGCTTCCATACAAAGAACCAGACTCAGCTTAAACAATAGAAATCTATTTCATCACAGTTCTGGAGGCTTGAAGTCCAAGGTCAGATTATTGGCAAGGTTGTTTCTTTTGAGACCTGTCTCCTTGGCTTGCAGATTATCATCTTCTCCCTGTGTCTTCACATAGTCTTCCCTCTGTGTGTGTCTGTGTCCTAATTTCCTCTCATGATAAAGACAGCAGATATATTTCATTAGTGCCTACCCTAATGACCTCATTTCACCTCAACTACCTCTTTAAAGGTACCCATCTCCAAATTTGGTCACATTCTAAGATACTGAGAGATAGGACTTCAATATATGATTTTGGCAGGGACACAATTCAACCCATACCAAACTCTGTTGGTGCACTCTTTCCTTTAAAGAGGAAGAAGTGGAAGTTATAGGAAAAAGAAGGAAAGTGTGAGGGAATGAGGTCCTCATTTCACATGAGGATGAAATGAGACTGAGAAGAGGATCAGCCACAGAGGAGTGATATTGCTTTTGGTAATAGGAGGGCTTTAAACCCAGATAGATGCAGATGTGTCTAAGCTTAGAGAGAAATTTGTCTGATGGCTTCTATCTTTGTGGGACGATGAAGTGTGGTAGTTGTTAGGGTGGAGTTTTAAGGATGATTCACTGAATGGAAGAAGCCAGAAAACCGCAAAAAGGAAGTTGAGAATATTGTCAAGGGAGTGTCTGAAGTAACGACCATCAAACCTATGCTGGGTAGAGAAGGGACTAAGATAGGAAGAAGTTAATGGGAAAAAATTAATACAGGTGTCATGTCTCTAGAGGTCTCAAGATTTAGGACTGATTAACTTGAAAAATATAAACCTAAGAGATGATGATTGTTTTTTAAGTATTAGTTAAATTTGTCAGTTTTTTATCTTCCCCTAATATCATTTAACTCTCTACATAAGAAAGTTGTTTATTCTCTTCTAGAGGCCTATACAATCACCTAGTACATTCTATCACACAGGTGAAGTTAATTTGTAGCATAAAACAAATATACTCACCATCGATGATGTGTTGTATGATGTTTCCCTTGGGATTAAGAATATACTACTTATCTTGAAGGAATAGAACTGGGGGCTAAAGTGCCCATGACTACTGATTAGAGAATTGCTGCTAAAAATTGATAGATTGTGGAGTGAACCTAGAAGTGGAGGGCAGAAAAGAATAATGCTGGGAGAAATGTGTGGAAAAGAAAAAGTGACAGAGTAGGCGAAGTCTTATGTACAAAGGCACCAAAGTAAACAAATTGAGAACTAAAAAGAGTGATCACAATTACGATAATGTCTGTTTTAAATCTGCTTCATGTGTTTAAAAATGTTTATCATTCCCTGTAGCATAAATTAGTACTGAACTGTTATGCAAGTCTTTTAAAAAGTTGTATCTTTTAAAGCAGAAAATAACTGGTGAATTTATTATTATTTTTTAGGAAATCAAGTCTTTGTTTTCCAAAAGTATTACAGCTAATATTACAGTAATATGGTACAAAAATCACATTGGTTATCCATCACTCCTACCACTTGCACCTATTGCTCACTCGTGCTGTTGTAAATTCAGGTTGAGATATAAATTCAGAAGCTCTGCCTGTCTAGGAATGTAGAATCTCCTTTCACCCACTGATTTAGCAACTCAGATCCTGCTCTTATGGACTCATAATTTAAAAAAAGTAAGCTATTTTCTTGATTTAAACAACAGAATGAATTAAATTGTACGAGATCATGCTTACTCTAGAGCCTTCCCATCCCAAAAAGTTTTCCTGTCATATTTTACACCTTCCTTCAAATTTCTTTTTTCTTGTCTTTTCTCTGATACCTTTCCTCAGTCTTCCTGAAATTTAAGGGTTCTTTGAATTTGACTGCTGATATGAACATAATCAATTGATTACTACTAGTGGAACTGCTGATAGGAGCATACTCAGTTGACATCTTTATTTGCATGCAATCTTTCCCTTCACTGGTTACCTCGACTAATTGTCTTTCTTTTTTGCTTATTAAAAATTGAAAAGTCAAATGAATTAATTTGCACTGCTTCTTAAAACAAATGCAGTTTTCTTCAAGTCTTTGCTACTAGTTCTTTTTATAAAAAAGGAACACAACAACCCACACTTCACCTACAAAATAAGGCTTGCTTCTGCCATTCTCAGGAAACATTTTCTTTCTAATTTTATCTTCCATTTTATTTGAGTTGTCCTCTCTACTGCCATCATGTTATTATACTCATTGTATTATTCAATATGCACAATAAATTGTTACCAATTCCATCCCTGAAATACATATATCTATCAGATAAACATGATACATTCAGACTGAACCCATTCTCCACATTTTGCCTCATAACTGTAAGCTTTCTTTTGCATTTTTTTCTTATTTAATTTTTTTTCTCAAAGCATATGAAAAATGCCTGTTTACTACTGGTTGAGATGGTGTTTTCTTTACTCAAACACATAATTAAGCACATGATTACCCAGTTCTCATCACTTCTGTAAAATGTCTGAGTGTAAGAAGTATTATTTGATTTGGTATCTTAATAATATTATTAGCATTATTTAGTCCAGCCCAGGCTGGAATGCATTAGCTACTCATGGGCCTGATTATTGTGCAATACAGCCTGAGACTCCTGGGCTCAAGCTGTACTCCTGCTTCAGCCTCCTGAGTAGCTGGGATTATAGTTCTCTACCGCACCTGGCTAATATCTTAATTTTTGATGGTTAGATGCCATTCATTTATTTGTTTAACAAATATTATTTTTAGGGAAGAGCATGGAAAATAGCCTGGACTGGGGACCTATTCTCTATTCCTTATCTCTTTTCTTAAAGTGTTCAATTTTTATCATCAATAAAGATGATTTCTGAGAGACTGGCCTCCTAGAATTTCCATATTTTAGTAGAGAATACAAATTTTAGAATCAAGTTTCCTAATTTTCTTCTATAAGTCCTGTTGAGATATTGATAAGAAATAGCAAAAGCTCAGATTTTTGGCATCCTTATGATATTGATTTTCCATTCATTGATGCATTATATGTGACTTTTACATAGGTTTTCTTAAACATTTTTCAGTCAAATTTCACACTTTTTCTCCTACAGGTCTTGCATATTGTTTTTAGATATTTTAAAATATGATAGTGATGTAATGTCTAGCATCTTTGCTGAAACCAGACTTTCAGTTCAAAGCTGATACATGTACTGATCACAAAAATTTTAATTACTTTGTCACTTAAAAAATTCTCCTTATGATCCACTATGTGAGTTGCTATAGGTTTTTGAGGTATGCAGTTTATCTACTTAAAGTCATTCCTTTGGGTATATACCCAGTAATCCTTTGGGTATATACCCAGTAATGGGATGGCTGGGTCAAATGGTATTTCTAGTTCTAGATCCCTGAGGAAGCGCCACACTGACTTCCACAATGGTTGAACTAGTTTACAATCCCACCAACAGTATAAAAATGTTCCTATTTCTCCTTCTCCTCTCCAGCACCTGTTGTTTCATGCCTTTTTAATGATCGCCTTCTAACTGGTGTGAGATGGTATCTCATTGTGGTTTTGATTTGCATTTTTCTGATGGCCAGTGATGATGAGCATTTTTTCATGTGTCTTTTGGCTGCATAAATGTCTTCTTTTGAGAAGTGTCTGTTCATATCCTTTGCCCACTTGTTGATGGGGTTGTTTGATTTATACCCAAAGGATTATAAATCATGCTGCTATAAAGACACATGCACACGTATGTTTATTGTGGCACTATTCACAATAGCAAAGACCTGGAACCAACCCAAATGTCCAACAATGATAGACTGGATTAAGAAAATGTGGCACATATACACCATGGAATACTATGCAGCCATAAAAAATGATGAGTTCATGTCCTTTGTAGGGACATGGATGAAGCTGGAAACCATCATTCTCAGCAAACTATCACAAGGACAAAAAACCAAACACCACATGTTCTCACTCATAGGTGGGAATTGAACAATGAGAACACATGGACACAGGAAGGGGAACATCACACACGGGGGCCTGTTGTGGGGTGGGGGTTGGGGGAGGGATAGCATTAGGAGATATACCTAATGTTAAATGATGTTAATGGGTGCAGCACACCAACATGGCACATGTATAAATATGTAACTAACCTGCACGTTGTGTACATGTACCCTAAAACTTAAAATATAATTCAAAAAATAAAGTCATTCCTTTGCTTTGCTCAACGGTTTATTATTAATGGGTATTAAATATTGTCAGCTATTTTTATCCATTGAAAATTATATGACATTTATATTTTACTCTGTTAATATGATAATAATATCTGAGGATTTTTAAAAAAGAGAAGCCAAAATATTTTCCCTATTTTAAACAAGTCAGATAATTATGTGTTAATTATATATTGTCATATTACATGTCTTTTAGTGAGATTGGTTTATAGTTTTTAATCCATTTGAGTCCTTGGTTTGGTGTTGGTATCAAAGTTAGAGTTGTGATAAGATAAATTCAACATTGTTCCTCCATCATGTAGGCTGTAAAGTAACTTGTTTAAAATTAGCGTTCCTTGACTTTTTTTCCCTTGTGTTTTAGTAGTTTGTCAGTAAAACCCTATTCTCCAAGTATTTTTCGTAGTTACATATCTAATGTATCATTTTAGTTATTTAATACTTGTAACTCATTCAAGCTTGTGTTCTTGTCAAGACAATTTCATTTAATTTTTATGTGTAAATTGCCCATCTTACATAAATTGTCAAATTCATTGGCACAAGGTCATCGTAATATTGTAGGATTATTTCTAATCACTGTTGACTAGTTGCGAGTTCTTTTATTTTACATTTTTAATTTTATTAATATACTTGTTTATATTTGAAATTTTGAAGTAGCTGAAATCTTTTTCTTTATACGTGATTTCATAGATTTCAACCATATTATACCCTTTCCAAATTAAAACAACTTTAAAGATTTTTTCCTGTTGAGGAGGGAGAACAAGATGATGAGATAGAGGGCTCCACTGATCATCCCTGCTGCAAAGACACCATTTAACATCTACCCAGAAAAGAATCACCTTCAGAAGAGCCAAAAATAGGTGAACACTCAAAGTTCCTGGTTTTAACTTCATATCACTGAAAGAGACATCAAAGAGATAGTAAAGAGAGTCCCGAATCACTAATGCCACCCCTTTTCCACCCCTAGCACAGCAAAGGAATCAATCAACAGAGTGAAGAGACAACCCACAGAATGGGAAAGAATATTTGCAAACTACCCATCTGACAAGGGATTAGTAACCAGAATATATAAGGATCTCAAACAACTCTATAATAAAAACTCTAATAATTTGATCAAAAATGGGCAAAAGATTTGAATAGACACTTATCAAAAGAAGACGCATAGATGGCAAATAGGCATATGAAAAGTGCTCAACATCACTGATCATCAGAGAGATGCAAATCAAAGCTGCACTAAGATATCATCTCATTTTATCTTACCCCAGTTTAAATGGCTCACATCCAAAAGACAGGCAATAAAAAATGCTAATGAGGATGTGGAGAAAAGGGAATCCTCATACGCTGTTGGTGGGATGCAAATTAGTACAACCACTATGGAGAATAGTTTGGAAATTCCTCAGAAAACTAAAAATAGAGCTACCATATGATCCAGCTATCCTACTGCTGGGTATATACCCAAAAGAAAGGAAATCAGAGCCGGGTGCAGGGGCTCACGCCTGTGATCCCAGCACTTTGGGAGGCCGAGGCGGGCAGATCACGAGGTCAGGAGATGGAGACCATCCTCACTAACACGGTGAAACCCCGGCTCTACTAAAAATACAAAAAATTAGCCGGGCGTTGTGGCAGGTGCCTGTAGTCCCAGCTACTCCGGAGGCTGAGGCAGGAGAATGATGTGAGCCCGGGAAGCGGAGCTTGCAGTGAGTGGAGATCGCGCCACTGCACTCCAGCCTGGGCGACAGAGCACGACTCTGTCTCAAAAAAAAAGAAGAAAAAAAAAGGAAATCAGTATATTGAAGAAATATCTGCACTCCCGTGTTTGTTTCAGCACTGTTAAAAATAGCTAAGATTTGGAAGCAACCTAAGTGTCCATCAATAGATGAATGGGTAAAGAACATGTGGTACATATACATAATGGAGTAAGAGAACAAAAAGAATGAGGTCCTGTTATTTGCAACAACATGATGGAATTGGAGATTGTTATGTTATGTTAATGATAATGGAAATCATTACGTTAAGTGAAATAAGCTAGGCACAGAATGACCAACATCGTATGTTCTCGTTTGTGGGACATAAAAATCACAACAATTGAACTCACGGACAGAGAGAGTAGAAGGATGGATACCAGGGGGTAGGAAGGGTAGTGGGGAGCTGCGGGCATGGGGCAGGAGGTGGGGATGGTAAATGTGTACAAAATTAGAAATAATGAATAAGACCTACTATTCGATAGTACAACAGGGTGACTGTAGTCAATAAAAATTGTGCATTTTTAAAAAACCAGGAGTATAATTAGATTGTTTGAAACATAAAGGATAATTCTTGAGGAAATGGATACCCTTTTCTCCACAATGTGATTATTACACATTGCATGCCTGTATCAAAGCATCTCATGTACCCCACAAATATTTACACTTACTATGTACCCACAAAATTAAAAATTAAAATATTTAATAAAAAACAACTTTAAAGATTCAGTGGTAGTTCTGCTTTAAGTTAGGATACAGAAGGTCATGCAAAAATGTTGCTTCCACATTAAAAAAGACCTAATAAACTGAAAAAAGTTTCATTTTTCCTTTGAAGAAATGAGAAAACTATGAAAACACACAGACACACATACAGACAAACATACACACAAGTCAAAAAAAAACCCCTAAATTTTGGAGAGAAGCACATTCTCCTTATGTGAGCAAATACAAAGACAGTTTAGGTAATTTCAAGGGTATGAGTTCAGACAGGTTAGAGGCCTATTACAGGGAGAGATAATTTGCTGGTTTGAAGAGACATGAGCCAAACTTTAACAATTCTGTAGGCTTGAGAGAATCCAGACAAGTCCCAAATACAAAACTAATCTTCCTTATCAGAAATTTGTTAAGTAAAGAGCAACTATTTAACCAAATATTGACCAGTTATTTCACCAAATTAACTTGAATTCTACTACAACTATTATTATTAAAGAATTCAAATATAAAGCTTTCCTAAAGATTCCCAGATACTGAAAAAATAACATCTCTTTTAATATCATCACTATTAGTGATGGCAGCAGCGGCCTGAGTCAGCTTTCAGCAGGAGAGGCATGGCGGGGGCTGCATGCTCTGCGGAGCTGAGGTGTTTAGACCATGGGGGCAGATCTCATGAATGGCTTGGGCTATCCCCTTGGTGATCAGAGAGTTACTGCTCTGAGTTCACACAAGAACTGGTCATTTAAGTGTTTGTGGCACCACCTCCCGGCTTCGTTTCTGCTTTCGCCATGTGACACGTCTGTCCCAACTTTGCATTCTGCCATGATTGTAAGCTTCCTGAGGCCTCCCCAGCAGCCCAGTAGATGTCAGCACCATGTTCCCCATAAAGCTGGCAGAACTGTGAGATAATTAAATCTCTTTTCTTTATAAATTACCCACTGTTAGGTATTTACAGCAATTCAAGAACGGCCTGAAACAGTACCATTATGAATCAGGCACTGTGCTGAGGCAGAATTAAATATAAAAATAATAATAAACAAATGAAGATACCTGCCCCTACCTTGAAGGGAATTTATACCCAGGAATGGGCATCACATGTTCAAACACACAATTACAGTGGGTGGAACTTCATAATACAAAGCATTCTAGTAGTGTATGGAAATACAGTGTGCTCTACTGGATGGGCTGGGCAAGGCTGCCTGGTGGGAAATATAAATGGGAATTGAGGCAGAGGTCAGATTTTGAAAGGCCACCTGTGCTCGAATAAGGCGGTAAGCAGGTCTTATCCTGTTAATAAGGAAGCTAGAGGCATATGTGTTTGAGAAGGATTACTGGATCATCAATATGGAGAAAAGCTGGAGGAGAGAGGAAAGGGAGTTAGGGAAGTCCAGGTAATTTCTTGTTAGAAAGTCAGTATGTACCCTATATAGGGTACACGTCTTCTCTTTTAAAAATAAAAAAAAAAATAGTTTTACCAAATTTCCTTTTACCTTCTCTGACTTGTAGGCTACAATGTTAGTATTTAGCTCTATAGTAAGAAGAGAATGGCTGTTGATTCCCATATCATGACACAAAAAGCCTAGTGTTTCATCATTAACTGTTATTGGAAAAAGAGTCAATAGAATGCTGTTTTATTTTTTTTTTCCTGACACGGTTTCAGAAAACTTTCTGAAGAATCTTCTCTTTGGTGGACAATAGGAGACAAATTTGAACTGAGGAATCAGTAATATATACCAGCAACCTGGAAGCAAAACTAAATTGTAATAAACAGCAACAAAATGTCAGCCTTAAGAAAGAATAATTTTAGGGGCCGTTAAATGAGTATATTTTGGGGAGAGGTAGTTAAAATATAACCTACAAAATAATATATTTTGTGAGGTTTTTTTACTTTCAATTTTTTCTTTATCTTTAATGTATATTTTACTATTAATAGACAACATCCCTAAGCTTCATTTGTAATATTTTCTGTATATTTCACCTTAGCTTTTCTCATAGTGCTTAAGAAATTCTTATTACAAATTTGACACATATTGCTGCACTTGCCTCAATATTTCAATAGAAAGAGAATTCTCTTAGGCTGTATATTGTGAAGTTAGCTCTTGCCTCAATATTTCAATAGAAAGAAAATTCTCGTAGACTATGTATTGTGAAGTTAGCTCTATACAGTTAATAATATAATCTATAATAACCTTTCCATTAGAGAGAAATTTTCCCCTCCGAGTTCATTATCTATGAATTAGGTCTTGCACTGTTGGTAGAATAAAGCATGTTATTCTGCTCTAAAGTTGTAGCTTGACTTTTCAGAACTGTTTAGTGACTCTGTGGCCAAACATACACGGCATCTAACCTTTAAGCAGGACATTTGAAGAACTGGATTCTTGCTACAATTGCAGAAAAACTCAGCTGAAGCAGTGGTGAAACCAAATGTATGAAAATTGTAAGAGAACAGTAACTCTGAAAGAGAGTAATTGCTCTTTTTGAAAGTTGGGTGAGTGCAAGGTTGGTCCAGTCAGTTCTCAAGGAGAAAAAAGAGATGAGGCTTGTGTAAAATTTATTACCAAATTACGTAGAAGGAAAGAGCTGACTAGACTCAGTGGACTGTCAAGAGTACTACTAAATGCAGAGTACCATGACAAAATAAGTATTGTCGGTTCTCATTATCTATTGGGTACACTGTACAATTATATTATTAACAGATAATACCCCTAAGTTTTATTTTTAATATTTTCTGAATATTTTTCCTTAGCTTTGTCTATAGTGCTTAAGAAAATTCCTCTACCATTTTTCTTCAGATTTTCACTCACTGGAATAAAACTTGAAGTATTGCTAAAAATGTAAAGTTTTATCCAGGCAGAAATAATTTTAAAAGGAATGACATGAAATTCTGAAATTAAAATCATACATTCTAAATATTTCAAGTAAATTCATTTTTATTCTTCAATTTATATCATCTCTGAATATTTATATCTCATATGGAATATATCACAAGATATTTAAAAAGTGAAAAGAAATCTGTAGTCTTGTATTTGGGGCTGAAAGCAAATGATAATTTGCTATACATTCTAAGTAAAAAAAATCTCATATACATTGTAAATTATAGATTAGGTTGATCTATATTTATAACCAGACTAACTTTCAGAATTCTTTAGCATTGAAGGATACTGGAGAGAAGAAACAGAAACAACAGAAGGAGCAAAAAAAAAAAAAAAAGGAAAGGAAACTTACTGCTATGCTAACATGCTATATGCCTAGCACTGTTCTAGCCCTTAAAATATGTTTTTGTGGTTTTTTTTTTTTTTTTGCAACAACTGTGCCAGAAAATACCATTATTCTCAGTTTACATATGTAGAATCTGAGTCTCAGAATTAAGTACCTTTTGAAGGCCATCTCTTAATTTTAAAAGTGCGTTCAAGATTTCAGTCCAAATTAGTCTAGACCCATTCACATTTGCATTATATCACCAGTTTGGGGGAGGGGAAATTCACTGTGGGCTAGATGAAGCAAGCCAGGTAAAACTCATCAAAACAGCATGACATAGTAATCCCCTCCAACTGCTTATTTGAAGAGCAGAGATTCTTACTGTCAGAGATTCAATTCTGAGACTGAATTAATTCTTGTCTTTATTTTGAATGAGTCTTAACACATTATGTGCTAGGCATATGCTACGGGTCAGAAATACAGAATAAAACAAGTGCCTTTCCCAATCCTGAAAAAAAAAAATCATATTTTTGTTGGAGGTATCACTTGGTATATACTTACTAGTTACCATAACTCATTGTGATCATAATGGTTTGAAGTTCTCTTTGGGAGGGCAGGGAAGGTAAAATTAACTCAGAGAGAGGTAGGGAAATGTCACAAATGTGTGAGAAGAGTATAACTGTTTCTGAAGTGTGAGTAAGTTGGTTGGGTAAGAAAAAGAGAAAAATGTATTCCAGACACTGGGAATAACCTGAACCAGGATATACAGAAAAATATTTAACTGTTTAAACATGACTGATATCTGCTTTAAATGGGGAATAATTTTTTAATGATTTTTTTACCCAGAAATAAGTAATTAATCCTTATGAGGCCTTTACATACTGTAAATAAAAATAATTTCTTAAATGATTCAATTTTAAATAATTTGCCAGGTATGGTGGCTCATGCCTGTAATCCCACCACTTTGAGAGGCTGAGGCAGGCAGATCACGAGGTCAAGAGACCGAAACCATTCTGGCCAACATGGTGAAACTCCATCTCTACTAAAAATAAAAAATTAGCTGGGCATGGTCGCACGCGCCTGTATTCCCAGTTACTTGGGAGGCTAAGGCAGAAGAATCACTTGAACCTGGGAGGCGGAGGTTGAAGTGAGCTGAGATCATGCCACTACACTCCAGCCTGGCAACAGTAAAAAGAATTAAACACAGCAGGAAGGGAAAATTTATAAAATTGGCAGATATATACACTAGACTGGAACACTAACCTAGAAAAAAAATCAAGCTGATGACTTTTCTGCTACAATAAGTTATGATTTTATCCTGTGCATATTTATGTATTCTATGTTATAAAATATAATCTGTTTTTTAAAATTTCTCTTTCCTAAAGAAAATATAGTTACTAATTCATTTATAGCACAGTTCCTTAAACTGTATTTTAATTACTATTGTATGTTTTCTGATAAAACTTGGATGGCAACAAAAAGCCATAATTAGTCTAAAAGCAATATGTAGGGTGGAAACTTCTAGACTACATGATTGCATGAGGTATGGGTAATCAAGAGAAAATCAAGGCAAATGTAAACATCACCATTTCACTGATTAATGTGTTTCTGGTTTACAGCAGCAGCAAGGAACTCTACATATTTTATGTTGTTTAAGATTTTGAAAAAAATAAAAAAGCTAATCACTCTGTTTTTGCAAATCTATAGCTTGTGAAGAGGAAAATAACCATTCCACTCTGAATAAAATCCAAGTTGAGTTCTCTTCTGAATTTCCAATTGCTACTTTCTGTGAAAGTGAAAATTGGCACAGGAAGTCTGACAACTTTGTCAACAGGATAGTATCAAAGTACAAATTTTTTCCCATGGGAGGTTGAAAAAGATGAGACAGAAGGATGATAGCAGGATGAAGAATGGCTTTAAAAAATACACACACACACACACACACACACACACACACACACACACACACACAGACATATATATATATAACTTCTCTCTATATACTCTCTCTATATACATATATGCCATCTCTATATGTATGTATATATATGTCTGTGTGTGTATGTATATATATGTATGTAGAGAGAAAGGTGTAATATATGTATTTATATGTGTATGTGTGTGTATATGTGTATATATAGAGAGGTGTATACATATATATGTATGTGTATATATGTGTATGTGTGTATCTCTATAGGTTGGAAATAAATAGTCATGGTACTAATTATGGTAGAATGATTGACAGCAATTTTATGGATCAGATATCTCAGTTCCTGAGAGCTGCAATACAGCATAAAAGAAACAGGAACACACGATGAATTCCACTTTAATTTTTCCCAAAGACAGTGACATATAATTCTTCAAAAATTTAAGAAGAAAATTAAGTATTCAAATTGTAATAACAAACTGTATCCTTTAACCTAGACTTGAGAACAGATTATTTGCTCTTATAATTTTCTTTTCTTTTCACCATGTAATACATCTAATTAATCGAAGTCATTTTTCCATTTAATTATTCTGTTACAGATGCCATCTCAATTTCATTTAATGTTATTCGCAGTAATCAGGAAAATGTTCCATCACAACTTTTAAAATTATGTCTGAGTTAAATCCTGACTCTCATAAATCAATTTGTTTGTGATAAGAGTCTACGGAACTCAGAATAGATAACAACGTTTCCTTCAGGACCATCTTCAGCCTGTTCCCACCTTACTCATATCCTTTAATGGTGGAGACCAGGATAGACTCCAAAGACTTTAATATTCTTGGTTCTGACGTCACTGGGAGCCTTATTTTTCCACTGGTAAATTAGACTGACTATGATCCACTTTATATAGTTAATAATAATGTCACTGTCAACTGTTTTTTCTGTATATCAGCCACAAAGAAGGAATGTCCATTTGGAGAGGCAATCAGGTTTTGTCCAGTTGCCAAAGAATGGAGCAGGGGAGCTCATGATCTAAAGCCACCTTCTCTCTGGGCAATGGGAGGGATGGGAGTTTTGAAGGGTTGCTGCTGGGCAAGGAAGGTCTGTACGCAAGTTTCAGATGCAGAAGCACAGTTCATGAGCATACTTCTTCATACATCTCGTGTACACAAAATAGCCATCTTCTCTTAGGGGAGGGTTTTTTAGTATTATAATGACATGTTAATGATGGAAAGGTAACTGGAGGTCACCTGCTCAGGTCTAGACTCCCTCTGTAATCCAGCATAGGGTCACAAGGCTGCTTTGTGGCATCTGGGCCATCTGGCTACCTTAAGCAGCTGTGCTTATGGATTAAGAGAAGAATAAAGAGAAACTGTTAAAGATGGGGCCATCCTGGTGACAAAATATTGACAGCACTTTAAACTTGCCTATTCAATGGTATTGAATTAATCCCTCCTATGAATTATTGACCCAAATAGCTTACAGAAATATACATTTGAAAATCAAAATCCTTTGGCCATTGAGGAAATGAAGGAATTGTTCTTAATTCTTTTCTTGCACTGAACTTGTATTAAGTACAAGAAGTTTAAATAACTGGGTAATATATAATTTTTTTGTTTTTGCTTTTTGCTTTGTAGCATAAATTAAAATTTAAGAGTAGAGTTGACAGTTACATATCTGTGCGTTCTGCATCTGTGGATTCAACAAACTGAAAATATCTGAAAAAATAACAAAAAGATAATACAGCAATAAAAATAACACAAATAAAAATGAAGTATAACAATTATTTACATAATATTACATTGCATTAGGTATTATCTGTAATCTAAAGACGATTTAAAAAATATATGGGAAGATGTGCATAGGTTATGTGCAAATACTATGGCCATCTTATTTATTTTTATTTTTTATTATACTTTAAGTTCTGGGATACATGTGCAGAACATGCAGGTTTGTTACATAGATATGTATGTGCCATGGTGGTATGCTGTACCCATTAACCTGTCATCTACATTAGGTATTTCTCCAAATGCTATCCCTCCCTACATCCCCACCCCCCGACAGGCCCCAGGGTGTGATGTTCCCCTCCCTGTGTCTGTGTGTTCTCATTGTTCAAATCCCACTTATGAGTAAGAACATGTGGTGTGTAGTTTTCTGTTCCTGTGTTTGCTGAGAATGGTGGTTTCCAGCTTCATCCATGTCCCTGCAAAGGACACGAACTCATCCTTTTTTATGGCTGCATAGTATTCCATGGTGTATTTGTACCACATTTTCTTTATCTAGTCTATCATTGATGGGCATTTGAGTTGTTCCAAGTGTTTGCTATTGTGAACAGTGCTGCAATAAACATACATGTGCATGTGTCTTTATAGTAGAATGATTTATAATCTTTTGGGTATATACCCAGTAATGGGATTGCTGGGTCAAATAGTATTTCTGGTTCTAGATCCTTGAGGAATCGCCACACTGTCTTCCACAATGGTTGAACTAATTTACACTCCCACCAACAGTGCATTCCTATTTCTCCACATCCTCTCCAGTGTCTGTTGTTTCCTGCCTCTTTAATGATCGCCATTCTAACTGGCGTGAGATTATATCTCATTGTGGTTTTGATTTGCATTTCTCTAATGACCAGTGATGATGAGCTTTTTTTCAAATGTTTGTCGGCTGCATAAATGTCTTCTTTTGAGAAGTGTCTGTTCACATCCTTTGCCCACTTTTTGATGTGTTTTTTTTTTTTTTTCTCCTTCTTGTAAGTTTAAGTTCCTTGTAGATTCTGGATATTAGCCCTTTGTCAGATGGATAGATTGCAAAAATTTTCTTCCATTCTGTAGGTTGCCTGTTCACTCTGATGATAGTTCCTTTTGCTGTGCAAAAGCTCTTTAGTTTAATGAGAGCCCATTTGTCAATTTTGGCTTTTGTTGCCATTGCTTTTTGTGTTTTAGTCATGAAGTCTTTGCTCATGGCTATGTCCTGAATGGTATTGCCTATGTTTTCTTCTAGGACTTTTTTGGATTTATGTCTTACATTGAAGTCTTTAATCCTTCTTGAGTTGATTTGTGTATAAGGTGTAAGAAGGGGTCCAGTTTCAGTTTTCTGCATATGGCTAGCCAGTTTTCCCAACACCATTTATTAAATAGGGAATCCTTTCCCCATTGCTTGTTTTTGTCAGGTTTGTCAAAGATCAGATGGTTGTAGATGTGTGGCATTATTTCTGAGGCCTCTGTTCTGTTTCATTGGTCTATATATCTGTTTTGGTACCAGTACCATGCTGTTCTGGTTACTGTAGGCTTGTGGTATGGTTTGAAGTCAGGTAGCGTGATGCCTCCAGCTTTGTTCTTTTTTCTTAGGATTGTCTTGGTTATATGGAATCTTTTTTGCTTCCACATGAAATTTAAAGTATTTTTTCTAATTCTGTGAAGAAAGTCAAATGGCCATCTTATATAAGGGGCTTGAACTTTCTCAAATTTTGGTGTCCTGAGAGTCATAGAACCAATACCCCCTGGATACCAAGGGAGGGCTGTATGTGGACTGATATCTCAACTAACATACAATTTGTCCTATATGCAGACTGAGACTGTGGAATTTACCTTTTCACAATCAGTCCACAGCAGTCCCAATATGAGGGTTTAATCTTAGGGAAATAGTTTCTGACTCAGTTTCTTGGCCTCACATTCCTGTTTATTTGTTTAAGAAGAGTAATTTTTAAAATATATCCCACTTTAAACATATGGGAAAATATAGACTATTATAGACAATATCTGCATATACACTACCAATCTTAATGCTGATCATGTTTGTTTAATGCCTTTTGCAATTTTGATATAATGTATTTGATACATAAAAAAGAATATATTTAACACAAATGTAAGTTAAGAAGCAAAATATAAAACAAACACCCACACATCCAGCCTACCCATATTCTCTTACCTTGTCCCATCCACCTGCTTCAGATCTCTCTTTCTTTTTCTAAGAAATAAAATATTTCCTATTTAGTTGATACTGACTATGAGCTTCTCAGCATCCGTCATCCTTCCTTTTTCACTCTCTAGAATTTGTTGTTTATAATTCCCATAGCACACACACACACAAAAAGAAAACCACTTAGAAACAAATGCAGGAAACTGTGAATGTATACTTATTTTGCATTAGATTTATTCAGTGGATACTTGGAATTACAATTGATTAATTTTATCTATATGAGATGAACATATCAGTATTATTTATTTCATTCTCTGTAGATGGTGTGTGGATAATGCTATACTTACATATATTTACACAATTTCCATTTATGCTCCTATAAATATTCTTATATAGTTGCACACAAATGTTGATGTTTCTCTAAGACAGAAGTTCTTAGACTGCATACTGAAATCACTTGGGAAGTAGTGTTAAAAAATTCTGGTGCTGGTATCTCTCCCCTGCTCTGGAAATTCTAACTTAATAGTTCTACAGAATGGCTCGGGCATCAGCATTATTTTAAAGTTCCCCAAGTGAATTTAGTTTGATTTAGAATTATTAAGATATACCTAAAAAGAGAATTACTAAGTCATAGATTATGTGTATAAACATTTTCAAGTTTATGATGTATTGTTATAATGTTCCTCCAAATGGGTATATCATTTTACAATTCTAGCAGAAGTGCATAAAATTCCCTTTTCTGTCTTTGCTTGTCAACACTTGGTATTGCCAGGTTTTGAAATTTCTACCAATTTGATTAGAATGGTTTCTCTGTTTTCACTTGCCCTTTGCCAGATCATTAATGAGAATGAGTAATTTTACACTTTTATTGGCCATTAGATTTTTTGTTCTGTGGATTATCTCAATATAATTAATAAAAGTTATAATAAAATATACCTTTTTTCTTTTATACTGAAGTCTTAAACCAATTCTGTTTTATCTGTGTGTTGCATAAAAGATCAAACTTTAAAAATATTTCTATGTAAATGACTGTCACAGCATCATATTACTAAGTGGTCGATTTTTTCTCTACTGACATGCAGTGTCACTTCAATGGTGAATCAAGTTTTCACATAGGTGTAATTCTAAGCTCCTTGTCCTGTTCCATTGGTTTGTGTGTCTCTGCAACAGTATGCACTTCTATAATGGTAATTTTCTTATAAATATTTATTTCAGGATAAATCCCCTTGGGTTTTTGCTCTTCAACATTATCTTGGCCATAGTTGATCTTTCATTTTGAACATTTTAAAATCAGCTGGTCAAATTACAGTTGTGATAATAATTGTAATAAATTTGTAGATGAATTCAAGAAGGCTTGCTATCATGAAATTAAATCATCCTATGTGGGTGGTGAATCATTCTATTTATTTAGATCTTTTCTTATGGCTTTCAATAAATTTTAATCATATTCTGTTTAGAGTAATTGAATCATTTCATTAGTTTTCTTCTTAAGTAGCAGTAGTTTTTTGTTATTATAAATAATATCATTTTTAAAAATTATATATTTTAAGTTATTTGTGGCACATTGGAACATAATTGATTCCTATAGATTGATTTAAACCCAATAAAATTATTGGAACCTCTTATTAGCGCTAATAGTTTTTCAGTATATTTGATTTTATTTTCCAGATAGACAATGGTAATGTCTGTGAGTAGTAAGCATTTTATAACTTATTTTGTCTTACTATGTACTCTAGGACCAGAAGAAAATTATGAACAAAAACAGTGATAAAATAAATCCTAGAAATGTACCTACAATTTTCTTTTTGCCTAAAATCTGCTTTTCTGTTACTAATTTAACTACACCAGCTTACTTATGATTGTCCTCCCTAGCTTTCCATCTCCTTACTTTTACTTTCAATATTTGGTATTCTTATGTTCTAGGTATGTATCTTGTTAATAACACATCTGGATTTTGCTTTTTATTCAATTTAATCAAATTGGATAAACCATTAACTGTTTTTTTAAAAGAGAGCTTCATTAGGTAGAATTTCTATACCATAAAACTCACCCATTTTACGTGTATAATTCATGAGTACAGTGAATTTGCAGAATTGAGTAACTTCCACAAAATCTAGTCTTAGCATATTTTCATTTCCCCTAAAAAATCCTTTTCAGTTATTATGGATAGTGCTGCAATAAACACTATATATCTTTATGTAGACATAAGCCTTCTTTTCTTTCAGGCAAATGCCTATGAGTGCTATTGCCAGGTCTTATGGTAAATTTATGTCTAACTTTTTAAGAAACTATAAACCATTTTTTCAAAGTGTCTGCTCTGTGTTACATTTCTACTAGCAATATATGAGGGTTTCTGTTTCTCTACCTTCTCACCAACATTTGTTATTGTCTGTCTTTTTAATTATAGCTATTCAAGTACTTGTGAAGTAATATGGCTTGTGGTTTCAATTTCAACTTCTATAATGACTAATTAGTTGAACATCTTTTTATGTGTTTATTCACCATTCATGTATCTTTAGAGAAATATCTATTCAAATATTTTCTTTATGTTTTAAATTTTGTTTGTCTTACTGAGTTGTAAGTATTCTTTATACTTTCAAATGTTATTTGTATATGACAGAATTTGCAAATATTTCAAATAAGTAGGATTTTGAAATTTTAATATTGTCTTTGTAAGTGCCAAGTTTTAAATTTTTAACTGAAATTAAACAGTGTTTTTCTTTTATGTATTGTACTTTTGATGTTACATGTCTAAGAGCTTTGGCCTAACTGAAGGTCACTGTGGTTTCTAATCATTGCCTTTGATTAGATGAATTAGTCCACCTGTTTTGTTTTGTTTTGTTTTGTTTTGCTTTGTTCTGTCAGATTGTTTGTTAGACCTTTCTTTTATCTTTTTTGGTCTTTAGTTTCACTATGTCAGGAGTGAAGGGATTCATGAGTTGAAAAAAAATGTTTATAATAATAGTAAGAGAATGTCTTTTGCTGTTCTCTCATGAGAGGACAGTGGAGAGTTTTCTGAGGTCATATGACTGTGATATGTCAACAGATTGAAGGCAGAACAGTGGTGAGAATCTACATACCTTCTCTTAAGCCATATATTAAAGAGTGCAAAAATGGAAAACAATATCACCCTTTTCAATAGTTTTGGAAAATGTAGTTACTTTTTATATAAATGTGTTGCTTGTGTTAACATGGAAGGGGCTTATTGGTGCTTTTTTCAATAAGAGTAAAATAGTACTAAAACCAAAAAGCTTGAGAACTGCTGTACCATATTACTTTTAGAAAATTGTGAGTTTTGCTTGCTTCTTGGTTTATTTAAATCCTGCTTATGACTAGATTTCCTTTGTTATGAGAACTCATACTCACTTCCTTTCCGCAATGACAGCCATGATCTCTTGTCATATTTTGTTTTCACCTTTCTCTTTATTTTACTCTTCTAGTTAAATTCCTTGATACATTTAAAATTTCACATTTTACCTTCTATACCTCTTTATTTTGCAGTTGTAGTTTTTATTTCTGTGTCTCTGTAATACCTTTTCTGAGTGAATTCATCAGACCTATTTTGAGATAATTTATCATTTGCTAAACTGTATTGAATAGATTGTTGAATTTTTCCACTTGATTTTCAATGACTGTAGATTCATTTCTGGTTATTCTGGTTATCTGGTTATTTTTGGTAGTGTTTAATCATTTTAGTTCCTTTTCAAAAATATTTAATAATTTAATTATTAAATTTCTTAAGAGATAATCATTTTATACATTGTATAATATTTATATATAAGCATATATTTATATACATATATATTATACATATATACATATATATGTTTATTATATATTATATGTTTATTATATATTATATATTATGATATATTTATATATTTATAATATATAATGTGTATTTATATAATATATAAAATATGTTATATAAAAATCTAATATATAAATATATGTAATATGTATTTATAATCTATATTTATATATATATTTATATATTGTAGAATAATATCACTCATGTTGGACTGTTTCCCCATATATTTTGCAATTTGAGACCGGGACTCATCTTCCATGAAGCTTAATTTGGGAATACCGCAATGGCTCTGATTAGGCTATCTCCATCTTGAGGAGTTTTGCATTTGCCTCTGCCAAGTCCTTTTCAGTTATATCTCTGTCTAGGGGATATTATTATATAGATTTTTTTTTGGATTGCTTTTACAGTCGTGTGAATTCAAACCGTAAACCAAAATAATCCAAGCCTGTGGTTCTGGAACTCTCAGAGAAGACACTTTCTTTTCTCTTACCAAGAGCCCATGCTGAAAAAAGATAAGCTGTTGTCTTCCAAAGTTTGGGGGCAAATAATTTCTAGTTCATCTTTTTATTGAGAGTAAAGGCTTCTAAGGGTCTCAGGCTTAGAAGTTGGTGTCCATTTCAACTTGTTATCTCAGCAAGACTCTATCCCTACCAGTATGTTAACACCCAAGCTGTTGGTTTCTCAGATGAGCAAAGACCACTTCCTCTAAACTTCCTTTCCAATAACATCACAGCTAAGTCATGTCCTTATCACTATTTTTTTCAGATCTGCAAAGACTTCCCCAGTTTTTTGAAAAAACTCATCAGACTCCACCAACCATACTCATATAAGGCTTATACTTAAAGGCAAAGTATATGGTGCGATAAGAAAAAGAGAATGCAGGCAAACACTGGAA
This sequence comes from Homo sapiens, assembly GCF_000001405.40. NCBI lineage: Eukaryota > Metazoa > Chordata > Mammalia > Primates > Hominidae > Homo > Homo sapiens. The sequence continues at coordinate 60,588,182 of NC_000018.10, forward strand.
GCCCTAGATACCCACGCACAAAGCCCACGAAGGCTCAGTCACATACACAAATTACACTGTGTCTTCAGGTTGAACCACAAGGATTTTTGTGAGGAGTCATGGCTTTCTGGGAGTTCGAAGAGAAACTTTCAAAGAGGCCTTTCAAGTAATCAAGCCAGGCTTCTCAACTCTGTTTGGCCAATTGCTAAGTACGGTTAAAGAGGCTGACCCTGGAAGTCATGAAGGAACCTTAAACAGGACGTCTTAAAGAATGCAGCTCAAATTCCATTACCCTGATTTTGGCTCAGAGTAAAAAATCAAATACTCAGTCTTCTCCAGAAATAAAGATAGATCTTTTCCATTTATTCTGTAAATTTGTCTCCACAGGCTGTCTATTTTGACTCCTGGAAGTTTCTCTTATTTTCATGTCAGCTATACAACGAAAGGTACAAATTTGGTATTTTATCCAGAACTTTAGGTAGTTTTTAATAGTGGACTTTCCAAGTTATGTAGATATTACTCACATCAGAAGCCACTATTATTTTTAACAATAGGGATAACACAATTCATTAGATTTACCACAATTGCACTGGGCTGAAACCCTTCTTTAAATCTGGACTCATTATTGTGAATCTTATCTATCTTTTCAGGTTATTTGATTATATTCCTTATACTTGAAGCAACTGACTGGGTTACTAAATGAAGGGACTGTTGACCACTATACCTGTTTTAGTTGATTTCTTGTTATTGAAACCTGCCTGAACTGAGCCTAAGGCCCCCACCCCCTCCTTTCTTTTTGTCCTTGTAACTACCCCAGCCCCTTGAGTTCTACTTCTTCTTGGCCCAGGAATCTCTTCCTTCCCATAGGCCACAACTGCTGTTATCCGATTCTACCTTGACCTCAAATCTGCATAGTTTATAACAAGGACTTTAAACATTAAACATTAAATGAGAGGAAAAAGCATATTTTGATTCAATTCCTTTTCCTGTATGAAACAAATGTTATTTTCAGCCATTTATCTTGTTGGGAATTAAAAATCTTACTGAAAAACAGAGACCTCTCCATGTCCATATAGAAATAAAACTCATTATTACTGAATTAGCAAAACAGAATACACACATCTAGGTAGCCCACAGGAGACAACAGAGCCAGGATAAAATTCTGCACAATTTATATAGCAAAGTGAGAACAAAGTTCACTGAAGAATTTGAACAGCTATTTGTTTAGTTAATTGAGCTCCTTCAAAAGAATAATAATACTTCTTATCTCCCTCCAAAACCAATGGTTCCACCTTGAGATGGGCTCCTACTTTAACTCTGAGGATGTAGTTTTACATTTCAAGAGGGTATGAGACCAATGACCTTGGAGAAATCTACACTGTAAACATGGAGTCTGGGCTATTCTATTCCTTGAAGAGACTGATCTATGTTCCATGGTTTAGAGAAAGGATTCAAGCCAATTATGTTTTCAAGGAGATATTTTGAAGGAGGGAAGAAGAGAGAGCTGCTTCCTTTTCCTCTATAGGCAAAACCAATTATTTTTAAAGATTAATTTATCCTTTCAATTTCATACATGACAGAAATAATTTATACAATGCTGCTTTACTGATTTTGTCTAAAATTGCCATTTTAAGGAATAATTGAAAATATATGACAAAATTATATGGAAAATTACAACTTCCAAATGATTGGACATCAAACTGAATCACACCATTTTAATTATTGTCTAATTATTTTCACTTTCTGCCTTTTTAAAATCTTGAAATAAACAATGTCCAAAAATAATTTAATTTTTGACTTTTAAATAAACCAGAATAGAAAAATGCCACCTATATTTCTACATTATCTCCATAATTATGTTAACAATTGCTAAATATATGTGTAGAATAATTAACTACTTTTAGCATATTAGATTTTTATGATGTTTAAATTTTTGTCTTTTCTTTTAAAATTAGCATTCAAATCTATATATAGACATTGAGATGCCTATGACATATTATTTAGTGCAACTATAGTAATTCTGTTCTGTTTCCTATCATTATAAAAACTATTATTAAAAATGGCTTTTTGGTAGCATAGAGATGGTTGGTATGACCCTTTAACTTCTAAAAATTTGCCTCTCTGATTCCTTACTTCATAATCTGTTGTCAGATAAATACAAATAAATTTAAATTTCTGTTCTCTTAGGGTATAGGTACTTGTAAATCATCTTTTCACTTCAACCTTAAAGGTATAATATTGCTATTACTCTGATAAATTCCTTGTTCAAACAAAAATATTCAGAGTCTTTGCCTCATTTAAATTATTGTATAATCATATTGAAGCGGAGACAGGCTGACTGTGGTGGTATTGCTCTGAAGGACTCTAAAATTTGGAAATTCTGGGTCTTGTCTTAGAACTGGAACTCTTTTAGTTGGTCTATACAATTCAATGTCCGTTATCTTCAAAGAGTAGGTTAGATCCAGTTGTGTTTCTTCTACTTACTTATGCTTGCATAGGATGCTTAGCTGTGGATCCATAGCTTCCTGTCACAGTCTAGAGAGAAGTGGACATTAACACTGCATCAGAGGACAGTCATAGCCACTCTAAAAGAAGGAATAGGTAGGACATGCAATCATCTGAACATGACCAGAGGTGAGAAACACATTCTCTATTTATAAGAGTTAATGATTATTTCCTCTAAAGACTCTGACATTTCCTGAAAAAGATTCCTCTCTTTATACTTTAAAATTAACTAATGGCTAGTATCAAGTGATAGTTAGGGACTAGGCATGAGGAAGGAAGGTGGAGCTCTCTGAATGGACAGTTATCCCAATGAAGGGGCCCTGCACCTGAGGACTGGAGCAGAGAATTAATATGTCTTACATTACTTAACAAAAACTTTCACTCCCATTATTATATACGAGCCTCGTGATTACATTGTGAAGTAGAAAACAGCCCATTTCACAGATTGGAAAGTCCCCTATAGGTTAAAGTGACATGTCTAAGAATACATAAGCAGTTGGTGTAGTGTTGGTACTTTCTCTCCTCCCTCCCTCCCTTTCTCCCTTCCCTCCTTCTTTGCTTTTAAAACAATAAGTTGGAGTCTATTTTCTTTACATCAAAGTAGAATATGAAAATGTAATATTGTCAAAATATTTGGCCATTTTCAGTTTTCTTTTATATCTTTTATTCTTATTTTCATTCTATATATAGTTAAGTTCATTATAATTTTCTATACACGAATAAACTTTCAAATTACTGTAACATTTTCAAATCTTTTTCTCATTATTGGAGGAAATGAAAATTTTTATGAGATAAAATTATAATTAAGCATGATGATTAGCTTTGATCCAGAAAATAAAATAGCATAGAACTATTGCCTAAGTGAAGTTTTTAAATAAAAATTTTCCACATTTGATTAAGTAAAACATCTCGTCCCTTGAGCTCTGTATGACTTTTATAAATATCCAAAATGATTTTCTTTATAATTTTATCAGGAACTTTTTGGTGTTCATTGATTCTTTCAATAATTAGCTATGCATATGTACATATATGAATATATATATATTTTCTATTATATACCAAACATATGCACATATATGTATGTATAATCTGTTATCTGCCAAGCAGTGATTTTGAGTGATAAGGCCACAGCAATAATTTAAGTCTCAGCCCTCAAAGAACTTAGACCTTTTGGGGGAGAAAAATAATTTACACTTAAATGTAGAATATTTTCAGGGCAATGCTGTGCAGTGACAACCAAAAAGAGCAAGTTACAGCCCTGCTGTAACTTAAAACATAATAGGCATTTAGATAATCTCACAAGTTTGCACAATATTTGCTGCAGGCATGTTGATTGATTAATCTTAAAGGAACCTGCAATGTAGCCCAGTACCCTCTTTTAATAGTAGTTAACATCATTATGTGCCTCTTCTTATTCTATCCTCTATAAACCTGCAACCCTGAGAATTTTGCAACATAAATCTGATGATGTCAATTCCATGATAGTTTCTTATTTCCTGTAGCAGTCTTCTCAAGGTTCTCTACCAAAGTACTTCTGGAGAGAGAAAAAGATGCAATGGAGGATTTGATAACCAAGGCTTAGATGACCATTTAGGATTTCAGAAGTACTTACATCTTCTATTTTGTCATAATTAGTCCAGTTGATTTAGACTCTATTCATAAGATGCTTGCTTTAAGATAATATGTTTATTTATAATTATATAAGAAGAAAGTCTTATTAATATCTCATTGATTAGCGGGTAACGAGCTGGTGCATTTTGCCTATTGATTTTAGAATATATAATTAAGGAGAGTTGACATTGTATTTTAATTTAGCATCTAGTTTAATCTTTATTCTCACATTTTGCATTCTGATATTTTATTATTCTTTGATTAATACCACGATTCAGTACATTTCATGATAAAGATGTATGTGATATAGTGCTCCTTCCAAACATCAAGATTTTACTTCATATCTTCTTTTCTCTTTTCAGCTTTAGAGAAAAAACTTTCAAGTTAATTTAAATTCTATAGCATAGCAGGATTGTTTCGCTTGTAAATGGCATAATTTCAATTTTAATTAGCTTAGTAATAATAATAAAAAGAAATAAGCGGTGTTGAGAGGATGTTGGAAGGATAGTTCACAGAACAGAGGGAAACATTCCAGAAAAAATGTCCATTCTCAAGTTCCTTAGCAATCAGAACCAGGAATCGATTGGATCTTTTCTCTGATCCTCAGCTTCACTCACTCCACAGACTTCATGTGGCAGGAGACACAATACCAGCAGTCTGGGGTGGTCAGACAATTGTAGCTTAGTGAAGTAAAAAGGTTTCAGTACGTGTCCCAGTTTAAAAAATTCTGGATGGTATATATCAATCCTGGATGAATGACAATGATCACTGGGCTTATGATTGGCCAGGTCTGGAATGGCCAGTTCAGGACCTATGTGTTTGATCCATTACAGGCACCCAATAAATGTCCTTTGATAAATTAATACATCAATGTAAGAATCACTAACTTGGTGTGGTTTGTAGGATTGTTACCTAGAAAAATAGGAGTTCATTCGCCCAGTGAGTAATAGGCAACTCTCCACGAGAACGCAGGTTTGATCAATACTTTTATTGCTTGCCACAGATAAAGAGAGCCCTGGGAATATTCTCCAAACCCGTATCTCCCTGAGGAAAAGTGACACAAGGGTTCCATGGGGCGATGGAGAGGGGAAAGGGCGAGTCATTGCATGTAGAGAAGGGGTCCCAGTTGCACAATGCAGTGTGTCTTGCCAGCACATGCATCACATGTTATGGTAATGAAGCTATAGCTCATCCTGGGTTGGAGATCTCAGCATGGTACTGAGGAACGTTCACTCATGTTTGTCTGTATAAGTTTCTGGGCTCTGTGAGGAGCTGATTTCAATCAACTGCGTGACCACATTCCAGGCAGGGTTTGGGAAAAAAAACAAGCTGCAAAGCTGGAAAACAGGCTGACTGCTCAAGTTGATTTTATTCCTATAATCCCTGCAGACCCTCCCTGTCTGCTTATAGGATTAGACAGAAACATAATTACAAAGAAGGAATTCAGTTAGGAAGCTATTGAGATATTGTTGGCAACTTATGAATGAGGTAAAGACATCATTAATATTGACTCTAAAAAGTGAACATTGATGTGGCAGATGTTGTAGATGTCTCACCTCTTAATTGCTTGGTCCACAGTGGCGTTCACCTACAATAAGATCCTGTATAATGAAAGCATCTCACTCTAAGTACCATGGACTCTGCTTTTTTGATGGGGGTACATTCTTGTGAGCCAAATTTGTGATCAATACACCCCTGAAAGCCAGGGATTGAATATGCCCAGGGTGGGTAACCTTCAGTTTATGAGGAAGAGTAGGCAGTAGGTCAACAAGGGACAATGCAAAGGTTTGTTCTTCATGTTTCCTTTGAGCATCATCAACAGGAATGGGTCCCAGTTCTCCACAGTATCAATTGTTTATTGGGTTTTGTTCCATCTCATTTTCCCTACTCCCTCACTTCTACTTCCTGGGATTACCTTTCAAATAAACTACCTGCATTCAAGTCTTTGTCTCAGGGTCTGGTTTGGGGAAACCCAAACTAGTCCTCATGATGATGAGGGGAATGAGTTGTCATTAATAGATGTGAGGAAGATACGAGAATAAACATGTTAGAAGGCCTGCAACTTTTTGTTAGAATATAATTAAAAGTATCTGTCGTCACAAATTTCACCAACATAATTTTTATGATTTTAAATTTACAGCAAAAAACATTACCAGTGAATATTAAAGCATTTTTTAGGGTGGCACATGCCCTTTCATTACTCATTTCATCCTTTTAGAGTAGAGAGATTAATATCACTCACTATAAAAAAAATAGGCAGAGGAAATGGGAGTGATTTTAAAGGATTTCGCTTGAAACACTACTGAAGTTTCATTCTGGGTCTCACTGCTAATAGCTTATTTCTTCATATAATGCAATATTTGGTAATTAGGGCTATAGAATGTAGACTTATGTATTTTCTTTTCCAATAGGAAATAAGGTACTTAAGTTCTTATGTAATAATAATACAAAATATGAATATGGTATCCTTGGTTCCTAGCTTTCCTCAGGTAAAGTTTATTTTTGGGTTTCCTCACCAGGATACTTGAGTTGAGCTGACAGAACTTGCTTGGGTCATTTGAGTCACTTTGGTTAACCAAAAATAGTCATCTGTTAAATTATCAGCTTTGCACCACATCAATATGAACAAAGCCAAGTACAGTGCTAGTTTACTTCAAGGAACTTATAATGTAGTTAATGAGATAGAATGTATATTAAAAAACAGGCTGAGAGAGGTGGCTCATGCTTGTAATCCCAGCACATTGGGAGGCCAAGGTGGCAAGATTGCTTGAGGCCAGGAGTTCAAGACCAGCCTGGGCAACATGATAACACTTTGTCTCTACAAAAAAATAAATAAATAAACAAGAAAAGATTGTAAGATATTTGACAACCACCCACCCCCCTCAAAAAACTTAAGATTTTCTATGCCAATACTGAGGAAATAGAAAATATTTAATCTTATGATATTAGGGATTATTTAAGGAAGCCTTGTAGGAATAAGTAGTACTTCAAATAATAAAAGACTATTTGGGGGAGTCATGCACACTGTGTAAATAGTAAAATAAAGAAACAATCTTTAATCTACTTTTAATCACCCTTTAATTCAATAAAAGGTAAACTTTCACAAAGAAATACATATATTTTGGCCATATATACAAGACCATGTCATCTTGTATATGTACATCACACAGGAGGCTCAGCGAGTGACAGTTAATAGGGGAATAGACCTGCGTCCTCACTCCCATCTAAACTAGAGAGATGAAAAATAAATGTGCCATAATCCCCTTTCTTCTGGTTAATCATCATCATGTCCAAGAGTTTTAAAGTTTTGGATGTGTAAACATGAATCAAGCTAATATCTCATTTTCAAATGATGTTCAATTATGTAAATCTCCATCTTTCATCTTTGCTTATTAGTAGAGTAGCAGTGGCCAGTGATTATAAGAAAAGGGCATTTTTTTTTGACTTTTAATATGTCATGTATTAATATTTATGGAGCAACTTTTTTGCATAATACACCTACTGCCTTCTACAAAAGACCAAATAGATAAATAATTCAGGAAATATTTATGAGTTTATTCATTTATTCTGCAAGCCTTACTTATCTGTAGATCAATTAATGTGCAAATTAAATATTCATCAGCCAATTTGTGGTATTGAGTTATTTTGTGATATTCAGATGTTTTTTTTTCCTTTTTATGTTCAATGATGATTATTTGAGATTCAAATGCAGACACTAGGCAGAGTTGTTATATCTGTATATTATTAAAAAATGAATAATAAGACTCCATAAGAAAAAAAAATTAACTTACTGTTTCCTTTTAAATAAGAATATCATTAAAATTTCCATTTTAGAATACTTTTACATCTACAATAGTTATATTAGGAAGGCAGCACTTTATAAGCAGTAGTTTTAAAACTTTCTGGTTTTAGGAACCCTTTACCTCATAACAATTATTGAAGATCTGAAAGAATTTTGCTTTATGTGAGTCACATCTAACAATTTCGGCTATGTTAGAAATATTACAAATTACAACTGATAATTTAAAAAATAATTTATGTATTTATTTAAAATTGACCGGGTGCAGTGGCTCACTCCTGTAATCTCAGCACTTTGGGAGTCTGCAGCAGGTGAAGCACCTGAGGTCAGGAGTTCGAGACCAGCCTGGCCAACATGGCAAAACTCCGTCTCTACTAAAAATACAAAAATTAGCTGGGTGTGGTGGTGTGCACATGTAGTCCCAGCTACTTGGGAGGCCGAGGCAGGAGAATTGCTCGAACCATGGAGGTGGAGGTTGCATTGAGCTGAGATCATGCCACTGCACTCCAGCCTGGGTGACATACATAAATACTATGGTTTTATAAAATATTTCCTAAAACAAAAATAAAAATAGAAAGGTAACAGTGTTGTACATTGGTAAATTTGGCTTAATATAAGATTTTTGCATGTTTGGCTTAATGGAAAACATTTGAATTTTTATATCTGCTTTTGGGTTCTGTATGTTTCAAAATGTTGTGTCAGTGGAAGCATCTAAAGAATAAAACAATCCAATTAAAATATGGGTAAAAGAAGACATTTTCTCAAAAGAAGACATACATGTGGCCAACAGGTGTATATAAATAAAAAGCTCAGAATTACTAATTATCAGAAAAATGCAAATTAAAGCCACAATGAGATACCATCTCACCCCAGTTAAAATGGCTTTTATCAAAAATACAGGGAATAACAGATGCTGGTGAGGATGTATGGAGTTTTGGAAAACGCCATACAAAAACTAAAAGACTAAAAACAGAACTACCATATGATTCGTTTTAGTCCAAAAACTAAAAACAAGACTGCCATATGATTCAGCAATTCTGCTAATGAATATAAACCCCAAAGAAAGGAAATCAGTATATTGAAGGATACCTGCACTTTCATGTTTATAGCAGCACTATTCACAATAGCCAAAACATGGCATCAAACTGAGTGTCCCTCAATGGATGAATGAACAAAGAAAATGTGGTATATATAAACGATGGAGTATTATTCATGCATAAAACATCCTATCATTTGTAGCAACATGAATGGAATTAGTGGTCATTAAGTTAAATGAATTAAGCCAAGTATAAAAAGCCAAATATCACATGTTCTCACTCATATGTGGGAGCTAAAAACATGGATCTCATGAAGATAGAGAGTGGATTGGTGCAAACTGGAGACCAGCAAGGGTAGAGGGGAGGGGAGGATAAAGAAACATTTATTAATAGTTTAAAAAATACATATGGTTTGATAGAAATAAGACCTAGTGTTTGAGTTTACAATAATCTATTTTATATCTCAAAATACCTAGAAGAAAATAATTTGAATGTTTTCATGATAAAGAAAAGACATATTTAAGGTGATAAATATCCCAATTATGCTGATTTAATCTTTACAAATTATGTGAATATATCACATGTACTCCAAAAGTATGTACATCTATTATGTATCAAAAATAAGGAAAATCCAGCTGGAACACTTGTGTAACTGGAAAAGGCAGGCATATTTCAATAGTCTTTTAATATAATTGTGGTTATTTTTCTTTGATACATGCAAAAAATTAGAAGTGGCAGTTTGTTAACAGTTAATTGAAGTGTGGAATTTGAAAGTATATCACTGAACTTTTTGTTCTCTTTTATATTAAAATTCATTGGTTCATCTGCACTTTGAAATGCATGACTTGTAATATGCATTGGTCATTTGGAAAATATTGGTTTAATGACTAATGGAGATCTTCTAGTATTACTGTTTATGTCAAAGAAAATATTTATTGGGAAGCTGTCAAGCTCACAATAGCAGAATGAAATTTCCTAAATTTGCTTGAAAGTTCAAATTTTATAATCAAATATCAATTATTTCCCTTATATTGAAAGATTCACTTTGTTCATTTCTGAACAAACAAAAACAAAAAACAGTCTGCCAAACACACAAATCTAGATGTTCACAGTTTTTTTTTGCTTTGTTTTTGTTTTGAGGTAAAGGTGGTGTTCCATGAAAAAGTGGCTAGTTTAGCTTACATCTCTAACAAGTGGATGAGTGCTTTCCCTCAAGTCAACCTATCTTTCTCCTTCAGTACGCAACTCTTATGTTTTATCCTTACTTCCAATTTCATGGCACAGAATATTAAACTTTTATTAATGTGTATGATACAAAACTGAAATGATACAAAATCAATCATTTACATTTCTCAAATTTCAAAGTTTTATTTTTATTTTTCTCTTTCTGCATTAAATCAAATTAGTCTATGGTTAGTTACCCAATGTTACTTTTAAGCAACATGTTAAATAAAGGTTTATTTTAAATTCATGAAGAATCCAATGATATCAATAATATTACTTAAAATAATGAAATACAGCAGTTACATTTAGTGATTTTTATAGACAATATGACATGAATATTTTTCTATGAGAAATTATTTCAAATTTCTAAATAACATGTAAGTAAAAGAAAAATGGGTCCATTTCCTCAACATTAATACCCTTGAATAGTGTCTAACCTGAAGAATAATGAAAGACCAGTATAAGTGACATTTGATAAAATAGAATAAAAGGTTCTAAAAATAATAATGTCTTCTTCATTTGAAAACAATTTCCAAGATAATTTCAATTGTAATATGAGCAGGCATATAAAATTTTTTCCACAATTATTTAAATGGCCATTTGGTGGATTTCATTGTTTAAATTCTCTTGAATTTTACTCTGAAAGGGAAATGTTAAAGCATCTACATAGCCTAATGCATGTGTATGTATCTTTTTCATCTTTTGCCTATTACATTTCTAAGAACTAAAATATTACCTTTTGCGTTGTAATTATGTTTCTAAATTAAAACAATAGTTAATTGCACTTGGGATGCTAATCTGTAACTCAACATATTAGTTCTTTATATATTCTTTGCTCATAAATCTTTCCACAGATGAATAATATATTGTTTAACTGTATTTTGGGCTTTAACATATATTGTCACTTAGGCACTTAAGTGATTCTGACATGCCATGTTTTAATTTCTAAGAAATTTTTCTTATTCTGCTTATTTGCTTTGGCTAAGGTTCTTGTTTTGTGGATATTTGATCACCTCTTGTTTCTTTGGAAATACTACGAGTTATTTTTGTGTTTTCTCTCTTTCTTTTCTATTTAAAGCATGTTCTCAGTTTCTTATTTGATTACTTAAGACCCACTTCCCTACTGGCTGGTAATCATTGATTGTGTTGTATGTTCATTGTGAAAGTTTTGAATGTGAGAGTGAGAATGCCAATTAGAGAAATTAGTTACAGGCACCTGGTGAGTTTTTCCAGTGAAGCATCTTGAAACATTTTCTCTCAGCTCTTTTATTTGTGATGAGGAGGCCTCTTATATTCTCTTGCTTTTGGGTCCTTTGGAGGTTCCTGAGGAAAGAGGAAAGGTATGTTTGCTAGTGGTTTTGGAATCATATCAGTGGAAAGAATTAGACTGCAGTATGAATTACACTTAATTCCTCAGTTTGTAGCCCCTTGCTTCACCCTTGCTTTTAATATGCTTTGTCACTTTAACATCTCCCAAGTTCACTTCCTAAAGGCATAAAACTTCAGTATTCTGTAGGAATTGGGAACGCAGAGGTAGAGAGTGGAAGAGAATGGTGATTGCTTGATTATACAAGGAGGAGAATCTTGGGGTTCAATCTTTATCTACCAATATTCAATCAATCATCCGTTTTCTATATCACACCATACCCTCACTTTCTGCACTATCTGGTGCTTCCGCTTATACCTTTCCAGAGTTATTCCAGGCAGTTGTTTTATGTCTCTACAGATCTGTATGGAGATTATGCATCACCCTCTTAAATCACTTACCATTCTTCCATTTTCTATTTTGCAATCTTTTTAATGTTATCTAAAGTGAATTTTCCATTAAATATAATTATGATAGGATTTTGAAAGGTAAGATGGGAAATGCATGCTGATAATTAGATGTATGTCTGGAAATTGCCATCATTCACTTATCAACCCACCACAGACTGGCTTCTGCTCTTAATAATTTACTGAAACTTTTTCTGGCAAATACAACCAATACTCGCCATCCTACCAAATCCAACAGGCATTCCTCATTCTTATCTCTTCATATTGTTGGTTTTCTTTGATGTATCTGAAGAGAAAGATAATACAGTTAGTTACCTTTTGGTTTGGGGCTTCAAATGATGAATTGTTTTATAAAAACTGAAAATAAGAAAAAATAATCTGATAATTTTATCCATACTTTTATCATTTCTAACATTGTTAATTCTTTTACGTAGAGCAAAGTTTAAGAAGAATCTATTTTATTGTTTTGAGTTGGCCCAGATAACATTCTTTAATGTCTCCTGTAGTGCTACTTAGAAATTCACTATTGTTTGTGATGTAAAATGTAATACAGAATTCTAGTTTTCAGTGGTTTTCTTTAAATAAACTTTTAAAGCACTTTAAAAATTCTTATAACTTTAGTCCTCTGTACATTTTTTTTCTGACTGTTGTAAATTTTTTAAAACTTTTATTTGCTTTCAGCAAGTTGATACATACATTCTGGTGTGGTTTTTCATCTGTTTATCCACCTTGGGATTTGATGAACTTTCTGGGATCTGTGGGTTTATAGTTTTAATCAAATTTGAGGTTAAGCCACTATTTCTTCAAATAGTTTTCTTTTTCCTCTTCTTCTGGAAGTTAACTTAAACATACATGAAACTCTATTATTTTACTTCATATAACTATGCTCTGACCATATTTTTTCTCCCTTTAGTTTAGTTTAGGTAGTCTTCAATGTTTAATGCATTTCAAATTCATTAGTCTTATCTTTTTCCTTTTCTGTAACCTCTAAATTTCTATTAGATCAATCTGGTAAATTTTTCATTTTATAAGTTTTATTTGTTCAGCCAGCCCTAGAAATTCAATTTAGTTTAGTTTTATTGTTCCCATATCTCTTTATATTATATTTATGTTTTCCTTAAATCTTTGAATATATTTGTAGTACATGTTTTCAAAATTCCTTCTGCTAATTCCATCAACTTTGTTATTTCTGGTTGTTTCTACTTACCAATTTTCTTTTCCTGGTTGTGGGTTACATTGTTCCACTTCTTTGCATATTTTAAATTTTTTATTGGATGCCGGACGTTGTGAATTTTATGTTGCTTTGTATATAGATGTCATCCTTCAGAGTATCAGTTTTGCTTAGGTAGGCAGTTCACATTATCCTTGCAACTCTTGACTTTTAAGCATTGTTAGTCCTAGAGTAGCCTTTATTCTAGAACTAATTTTGGCCTAATTCTAACTTGCAGCCTTTCTGGCTCTTCCTGAGAGCTCTACTGAATGTCCCATGTGTTCAAATTGGTCTCTCCATTCTCCTACTTCAAAACTGGGATGGATCTCAACCATGTGAGCTCTGGGTATTGTTCAGCTTACTTAGTAAGTCTTATTTCCTCTATACATATTCATTGCCTAACCTCATGAAATCTCTAAGCACTTACAGGTTGGTGTTCAGTGAACAGCCATATATTTTATTACATGTTTTTAAAGAAATGAAATCTTAAAAAAAATATATAGAAGTAAATTCTCCCTTTACCACTACCATTCTTGAATACTCCCGTATTAGTAATAGATAATTTGGTGTATTCATTCCAGTTCTTTTTGTCTCTAAGTTACTCACTACATATTGTTCACTGAATGTACTGTGTGTGTGTATGTGTACTTTTTCATAAAAATGGGATTTTCTTTTCTTTTCTTTTCTTTTCTTTTTTTTTAAGACGGAGTCTCGCTCTGTCGCCCAGGCTGGAGTGCAGTGGTGTGATCTCGGCTCACTGCAAGCTCTGCCTCCCGGGTTCACGCCATTCTCCTGCCTCAGCCTCCCGAGTAGCTGGGATTATAGGCGCCTGCCACCACGCCCGGCTAATTTTTGTATTTTTAGTAGAGACGGGGTTTCACCATGTTAGCCAGGATGGTCTCGATCTCTGACCTCGTGATCCACCTGCCTCGGCCTCCCAAAGTGATGGGATTACAGGTGTGACCCACTGCACCCAACCAAAAATGGGATTTTCTTACACATACCCTAGGATATATTACATTTTAAAGTACTGGGATGTCTTTTTCTGACTCTACATAGCTATGTGCTTCTACAATAAATAAAATAGTACGCCATATTTTATTTAAGTGTTTTTCAGTGGATGGATATTTTAGATTATTTTCACTCTCTTCACAATGACAAGTAACACAGTTTTTTAATTTAGATTTGTCAAAGCAAAATTATAGGATCAAGGGAGAATTTTAATTTAAAATAAGAAAATACTCTTTAAAAAGGCCATACCAGTTTATATTCTTGTGAAGGTTTAGGAGTTGCTTTTTAAAAAACCACTACCAACTCTGTAACATGTTTTGTTTGACCAATTTAACTGGCAAAAAATTTGCCTAATGGAGATTTTAATTTTTTTCTTCCAGTTCTTGTTGCAATCTTCAAAGTAAATCTTAGTGATTTGGGTAGGCTGGGAGGTACTGATTAAACACAAATTATATGACCTGATATATCCTGCTAAACCTTAATTCCTAAAATACAAAGAAAGTTGATTGGTTTTACTATCCATTCCAAATATATTTCATTCAGAGTTATGGATTAAGTTGTTTCCTTGTAACAGTTATCTGTAGCGAATTGGATACTGTTTTCCTGTCTTCTTGGTTTACATGCCTAGGATCACATGACATTTGCCTTGGTTGCCATCAGCCAATTACCACAGATGCTCTAGGTATGGTTCAGTTCAGATTAAACTAAACCTGAAAAATCATTTTGCTTTACATACTGATATTTTATGTTCAAGTAAAAACCATACGTTACCTGAAAATAATTTAAAATACTCATAAAATGACTAGAGTTTATTTAGAAAGCCACTAGGTGGGACGGCAGAATTAGTATGTTACGTTGTTTCAGCAAAATGGAGGGATTAAGGTTGGGTGATCTGGTTTTCGGTTTGGGGTAAAAATTCTGCCCTGATAGTTGTGAGTTGCACTTTGTAGAATGAAGTTCCTACACTTTCTGTGAATTAGTTTCTACACTGTAGATACGTGGTACAAATTATATATCAGAATAATGTGAATGTGATTTACAAAAACTAAAACATAACAAAACTATTTTTTCACTTTCAAGATCAATAAAATAAAGATGTATTCTAGACACAAACCCCACAAAGAACAACATAGTTTTGATGTTATTATATGATTGTGATATTTTTTCTTTCAATATAAGTAAACAGAAAGCTTACAAATTCTTACAAAAAATTACAATGAGATGAACAATGAAAATAATCACATGAATATAAAAACCAGACATTCCCACAAAGCCTGCACGATTTTCTCTGTACTTTGTGTGCTTCATTATATTGTTAAAAGCAATTCCCCAAAGATGAAAAAAATTCTTCCAGAGGAGATCAGTGACTTAAGAAAACAGATGAAGTCAAACCTCACAAAGTAAACATATATCAATAAGACTTCTGAGTGTTTATTAAGTTGCTGTTTATGTTTTTTAGTTGTTACTTTTTCTGTCTTCACATGTATCTTTTGAACTCAGATAATCAAAAATTATGTGGAAAGAAAGCCTAGTAAATATGGCTTACGTGAAAGAATAACTTAGTTCTTTTTTAGACTTTACAGTATAACTAAGCAACCTGTAAATGTGTAAAGAATTGAATGATATTAGGCACCGTGAAAGTGTAAAAGGAATTGAATGACATTTTTTTTTTTCATTTCCTTAAAGCTCATGCAATCTAAGAGCTAGCGTATCAACACAGGAAAAGCAAAAAAATAAATAAAACATTAGATAACAATTGTCAAAATCTGATATATTGGATAACGTTCAAATTTCAAACATCCTTTATATTACGGTAGAAATACTTTTTTTTTCAACTTACTAGTTAACAAATGTATAAAAGTAGAAACATAAATTTTTGTGTCTCCCTTTTCTTGTCTGAAAAATAGTGCTACAAGAGTATCCACAAGTGACGTGGACTGCTAGTTTTTCCAATATCCATTTCTTCAATTTTGTGTTGGTAGCACATCCTTGCCCTTATTCTCTTCCTCCTTGCCTATAAACAAAGGAAGGAAGATGTCCATCGAGCATGAGACTGTGATTTCTATCCTAGCCTCCTACCTTAAGCCTTAGGCTAATTTCTCTTATCCCCCTTTTCCCCCATTTCTTACTCTGGAATTCAGATACAGTGCTAGTGAGCTAGCGGATAAAAAGTGGATGAAGGCTATACCCTTGACCTGTGCTGTCTAGTACAGTGGCCACTGGCCACATCGGGCTCTTGAGCGCTTGAAATTGGCTGGTGTGACTGAATAAAATAATTTTTAATTGTATTTGGTTTTAATTACTTTAAATTTAAAAACAAATAATTTAGTTATTAAAAAATTGTATGTTGAAACAATTTGTGTGTATTAACATTTTCCAAACAAAATTTTTGTGAAACCTAAATATGACCAAGTATTTCCAATGAAATTTAGCATCCTAATTGTGAGGTAATACATATTTAAAATGATCACATTTTGGACCTATTAGGTTAAATTAAATATATCCCTAATGTTAATTTAATCTGTTTATTTTTACTTTTGAAAAATGTGATTAATAGAAAAATTAAAAATTACACATTTAGTTCACTTATATTTCTATCAGACAGCATTGATCTAAGGAATGGCAAGAAAGAAGGTACCCAGAGCTCTGCCTGACCTCATGGAGCACAACAGTGTGATAGCCCTTAGCCACCTACCAGTCCAGACTTCTATACAGAAGAGAAATAAATCTTAACATTGACTTAAGTCCCTATTATTTTGGTTTCTATTAAAACATCTGTTCACTATTTTAACTACTAAACTACTTCATTAAGTTGTTGAGAGTATTAAATGAGTTATTGCTTATTAAAATATTAAAGTATTAGAGTATTAAATAAATTATTGCTTATAATAATTTATAATAATTTATTTATTATTTGAGTATTAAATAATTAGTATTAGAGTATTAAATAAATATTAGTATTAGAGTATTAAATAAATTATTGCTTATGATTATTTATAATTATTTATTTATAATTTATTATTTAGTTATAACTTATAATTATTTATAAAATATTAAAGTATTAGCATATTAAATAAGTTATTGCTTATCAAGAGTTTAAAATAGAGCATGCTACATACTAAGGGCTCAATGCCCGTAAATTATTTTCCTTCTTATTCTCTGAATTGAAATGTGGTTCTCTTACCCATAATTCCATATTACTTTATAAGTTTACATTATATCGTGCCATCATAATTTTATGCACTTAAATTGGAATTCACTTGAAGGAATTTTGCCAGCTAGCATGTGTCTCTATCTCTAGTCTCTGTGAATCTCTTAGGTAAACACAGAATTCCTGCACAAAGGTTTACTGAGACACTTAGTTAATACTTTCAACTATCATCCCATTACCATTGTTTCCATAACCATAAGAAAACCACAGTCATGTCATTCCTCCATAGCTCAAACTTTCTCTGGTTTTCTATTGCTCTAAGGATGAATACCAAACACACTCACGTATCTTTTCCACCTCATAGGATGATTTCTTCCTTTTGGTTTTCTGGGCTGTAAAGGATGAATACCAAACACACTCACGTATCCTTCCCACCCGGTAGGATGATTTCTTCCTTTTGGTTTTCTGGGCTGTACCATATACTGTAGCTTTCTCTTATTTGTTCAGTTGATCTCTCAAGACCTTATGCATTTCTTTTATTTTTCCTTGAGCATGTTTCTCTTTCCGCATCCTCTAGATAAATGCCAATTACCACGTCATATCAACCTCTTTAGAGAGCCTTAGATGGCCCTCCGGATTGCCTTAACTCCTCTGCTAAATGCTTTTAGAACACCACGTTTACACCCTCCCTAACCATCCTGTCCCATGTCTCTACTAGAATCAACGGTTATAATCTTATAAATGTAGCACCTTTCACATTATTAAAATATTTTTTTCTATTCACTACTCTCTTTTCTACCAAATGGTACTTCCTTGAGGACAATACTGAATGAACATTTTGTAACTCCTTTGAACATCAAGGCAGAATGTCTAATAAATTCATTAGACTAGCAGGTAAGCTCTACAAAAATTGACAGATACTTGGTGTGATAATTCAGAAGAAAATAAATATCACTTCATCTCAGTGGTAGAGATAAAGAAGTATTTATGGAGTTACTAAGATATCACTTGAACCCTATAAGACGGAAGTCAGATTCGTGGTTAAGAGAAGACTTTAGAACCAGACTATCTGGAATTGAATCATAGATTTGCCACTTATTAGCTGTGTGATCCATGACAAGCTATAAGATCTCCCTGTGCCTTAAGTTTGTCATTTGTAAAATGGACAGAGGAAATGGCAGTAAATCTTACAAGACTATGAGGAGAATTAAATGAGCAAATATGAATCTAGCTTAGAAGAGTGCTTCGTGTATAATAAGTTCTCAGTAAATATATGTTATATATGGGCTTTGGATTAGAAAAAAGAGGGAAGTTATTTAAAGTAGAAGAAAATACACAAAATATCATAAAGGGAAGTAAGAAAAGGTACAGTGTGCAAGAGAGTGGGTGGTCCTACTTTTGAGACACAGACATTCTGTAGATGAGTGGTGGGAGGTAGGGCAAGAAAAGGGTCAACTTAAAGACTATAATATAGTAGATGGGAAATTATTAAAAGTTTTTGGTCAGAATGGTAGCATCATCAAAACTGTTTTTTGTTTGTTTATTTTGCTTTTGTTTTGTCTGTCAGTATTGCCAGAGAAAAGATGATAATATACGGAAAAGATTGTAACAAACACTTTAGAGCTATTATCTCCTTTGATAGCACATATCCATGAGTAGATATTATTACCATGTCCATTGTATTGATGGAGAAACTGAGGTAAAAGAAGACATGATACAGAACGAGACAATAGTAATACCTAATTCATACACCTTCTTTCAGATTTCAACATATGGAGAATTTTTAACACTGTATGAAACACAGAAAGGGGGCAATGAAAGAAATACATAAGAAAAAGAAGAAACACCAACCAAAAAGAAATCTATAGGTTTTATTATTATCAACCCT
The DNA here is from genome assembly GCF_000001405.40 of Homo sapiens. NCBI lineage: Eukaryota > Metazoa > Chordata > Mammalia > Primates > Hominidae > Homo > Homo sapiens. The sequence continues at coordinate 60,607,370 of NC_000018.10, forward strand.
AAGAGAAAAGTATTACTCTCTTTTATTTTTTTTAGTTCTATCTAATGTAGCATAATGTAAGAAAGCACTTATGTGCTTTGCAGAGAAAATTTTTGAGTGGTCTCAATTTCAATTTATATGTGTGCTAAAAATGTGTAAAATTAGGCTAAAGTAAAAATCCAAAAAAAACTACTTTCCCTTTGAGCCTTGAGAGGGTTAGTTTCATGCTCAGCATGTCTATAAACAAAGGTCTAATTGCCAAGTGCTAGGACATAAAGGGAAATAAGTGGAATAATAGCTAAAGAGACTTTATGGCTCAAAATCCATTTCCTTTGAAGTGGGATTATTTGAGTCATTTTGAAGCTAGGTTGCTGGTGGTTATAATGTTGGGGGGCAAGGAACAGGTAAGGATGAGAATAGAGGGGAGAAGGAGGAAACCTTGCAGGATAGAATCCTATCAGTGCCTAGGAGAGTGGAGGGTTAACTCACAGGTAGTACATACACTAGAATAACATGGGTGGGTTTAGTAACAGAGATGAGTAGATGTCCAGGAGTCATGAGGCTGAGCTCCTCTTTTCTGAATGAAGATAATGGGATAATCCTTCAAAAGAGACATGGTGACACTATTAGAGCAAAGAAGTAGGTCATTGAAGAAAAGAGAACATAGTTGTGGACATGGAGCTTTTATTCCGTGTTTTCCTAGTTCTATCCATTTCCACAGTCATGGATCAACTCCACAGAAAGCAGGAAGAAAGCAAAGGAGGAAGTGGTTTTTGAAATCATCAAATACAGTGGGGTTTTTTGGGTTTGTTTTCTGTTAGAGGCTCTAGTGAACTCCTTAATAAAAAAGAAAAAAAAGTTGTAACAACTGGCCCAAATCATGTTTGAAAGTTGTCAACAGACTTTTACAATTTACAATGTTTTTCTATCATTATTAGAGTGAATTAAGAGTTACTTAATCTGCTTATAAATTGTACCTAAATGCCTAGGGTAGAGACTAACATATTTTCAGAAGTTTTTATTATGTGAATTATCAATATTTTCATGTTCCTTTAGGAACATATGTAAAACTTATTTAATAAATACAAATAATGTTGACCTGCACATTACTCAACAGAGATAAGCTGATACTTGATAAATTCTTGAAAAAATAGACACCTGGTAATGGGGCTCAAAGGGATAATCATTATGGATTATTTTAAATATTAGAGTTTTAATACAAAAGTAAAAAGTAATTCTTGTGTTACAAGGATTTGGCTCATGCTATTAATAGTCCCATGCATTTTTTTAAATTTCTACTCTAGAATGTTACATAACTAACACAATCTTGCAGATAAAAGTTGTAATTGTCTAAAGGAAGTTGAAGCCCATTCCTTTTTTTTTTAACATTATATTTTTAAAAAGCACTAAAGCAAGTAATGTTTAAATACAAATACATTACAACCATTGGTCAATTCTCTAATGAAATAAAAGCATTGAATCCTCACCCATTTTACAAATAATAGAATTATTCCTGTGACCTCAAGGAAAAGACTTTAAAAGAGTCTGTATTACAAATTACAGCAGTAAAAAATCTTCAATGGTTGAGTTATTTTTCATTGCAAGAAAACATTCTCTGGCTCCAGATATTTTCTTAAAGCAGACAGCAATTTTCTCACTGCACATAGATTTCAAGAAATGTGGATATAGCCTGGCAAGTAAGTTGAAATTTTGTAAGAAGACATGGAAATTACTAGTAGGTGAGAGAGTACACTTTTATAAAAACTTTGAGTAATATTTGCAACTTGTTAAAAACTGAAGACTGTAAAATGACAGTCTTTCTAATTTTATATAATTATTATTAAAATATTTTGACAGAAGTATATTAACAATCTTCATATTACTTGTGCACTTAACTATTTTGTTATTAAATATAAAGTTTAACATAGTTTTATATTGTAAATTCAATATGTAGTGGGGCTATTAGTGGAGTGTAATTCTTACGCCAATATACAAAATTTGTTGGCTTCTACATAATTTATATACAAACTTTCTGCAATATTGCTTCATGTAAAGGGTTTTTAAAAAAATTTCACTTGTGAATTTGTTTCCATTGACTATTTAAAAGAAGTGACACTCTTAGTCACTTCAGAATTTATTTTATTGTTTATAGCAGGGAAATGTAAAACTACCCGTATCTTCTAGAAAAAAAATACGTAGAATTAACCTAATATATGTCAATAGGGTCAATGTGTAATATGAAAATTTATTTTTAAATATATTTCATGATGCATAAATCATCTCGTTACTGTAATCTGTACAATTTATGCACAATTTCTTAATATACTGGATTTGTATTCTTTATTAAAATACTATAATAAAAAATTTCATTTAGAATGAATAAACATTTCAAGGTGCTTAAACATTGTATCAGTTTCAAAAATTAAACCAAGTTAATCTTGCTATAGTCTTAACAAATGCAATATTTGGAAAGGAAAATAGTTCATTTTATTTAAGAAAAATCTCATTAAACCTGGAAACAATACTACAAGCTTATGATAATCAAAAGTACAAAATGTAGTCATACATCATTTTCTAGCTACCTTATATTTTCTACATATAGCTATGGGTAATTACTTTGATTTCAGGAACCATAGTTTGTACTTCCTTTCCCCTACTACATTTCCCAGAAAACTAAAAGACACTTAAGAATGACGTGTTTGAGTGGAGGTTTGGCTCAATATTTTTATTAAAGAGAATTTTAGAACTTAATATTTTAAACTATTAATTTGCAGTGGCCCTTGGATTTAATCTGATCTACCTATAAATCCAAAATCTACCATTTATTGCTATTCCTGTTAACAATAGTAGTGCCTACATCCTAACTAACTGTATGTTATGAGGATTGAATAATACATATGAAATGGTTAGAAACGTGCCTGAGCCATAGTAAGTGCTCAAAAAGTTGTTCCTATTATCTAACTTCTTCATCTATTTTGTTATTTGCATAAAAAATCCTTTAAAGGTTATTGTGAGGATCAAAATGTGTGCAAGGCACTTGGGGCCCACTTAAGATACAGTAGATATTGTCATAAGCAGCTAAGTGTTAATATAATAATCTCATTCTGTAGTAGGCATTGTAATTTATGGATAACATTTTTTCATTATTATATTCCTAATCATATGCTCTAAACTGATACAAAACTAACAATAAATGTATCATTTGTTCTTTGTATTATTTTCATAAAATTGAATTTTCTCTCCAGTTCATATCTATCTTCCAGAGATTACATGAGAAAGGAAATAGGAGTCGCAATTATTATGGATTTGTTAGAAACATCTATTTGATAACAGATAAGGGAGGAAATACATATTATCAACACATTTTAGTAAGCCCAAAATATTAACTTTTTAACTTAGATAAGAACCAGATGGGAAAAATGTCTATCTGTACTTTTCAATCAACTGAGAAAGACGAGAAAAAAGAAGCTCACACTGGGAATGTAATGACTAATTTATCAAATGCTTATGCTTCAGGTACAAATGTCATTAACAAATGTATCCCTTTGTTATTTTTCATACATAAATCTCATGTGCTTTACATGTTTATCAAAGCAATTACAATGTTCTTTTTTTTAATTTTATTATTATACTTTAAGTTTTAGAGTACATGTGCACAACGTGCAGGTTTGTTCCATATGTATACATGTGCCATGCTGGTGTGCTGCACCCATAAACTCGTCATTTAGCTTTGGGTATATCTCCTAATGCTATCCCTTCCCCCCCGCCAACCCCACAACAGTCCCCGGTGTGTGATGTTCCCCTTCCTGTGTCCATGTGTTCTCATTGTTCAATTCCCACCTATGAGTGAGAACATGCGGTGTTTGGTTTTTTGTCCTTGCGATAGTTTGCTGAGAATGATGGTTTCCAGCTTCATCCATGTCCCTACAAAGGACATGAACTCATCATTTTTTATGGCCGCATAGTATTCCATGGTGTATATGTGCCACATTTTCTTAATCCAGTCTATCATTGTTGGACATTTGGGTTGGTTCCAGGTCTTTGCTATTGTGAATAGTGCCACAATAAACATACGTGTGCATGTGTCTTTATAGCAATGTTCTTTAAGATCTGACCATTTAATTTACTTTTAGAAGTAGAATGACCAGATCATTTTGTGGCAGTACAATCAAATAAAATACATCTCTAGGAGGTCTTGAAGGGACACCTGCTCCAATGGCATTAATTTTAAATGGTTAATTTTTGGTGAAAAATAAAGGTTGTCCAATGGGACATTGAATGAAGATGGTTGATAAGATTTGGGAAAATGCTACTTGACTTGCTATTTGACATGGCACTTTAATATCTTTAGTTGACAATGATGACAATTCTATCTATCTCTTGGAAATTTTCTTTGCCATTTAGCTACTGACTTTGTAGTTTATCTCTTTTCTCTAGATTTGTTGCTATGCAAAGATGACAAAGACTTAACAAAATATTTTCTGCTGCAAGTGGTAGATATTCTTCTACAGTATGCAAAAACACCTTTGATGGTAAGAGTGAAATATTGGACTTCCATCATCCTCATCAACTACTTGAAGGTTTGGTTGGGTTTACCTTAGAACTGCCTGACCACCCTGAATCTCTGGAACAGTTACTTGCTGATTGCACAGATACCTTAAAATACAGTGTTAAAACAGGTGATTTTTCAGATTGATGTTTTTGAACTGTAAATTGGATGAATAGCTTTGAGTTTACATTTGTATTGAAAAATGATCATAGTTTTATTTATTCTTATTTAAAATATTTAGCTTTGTTTTTTTCAAATTGGATTATCATCTAAAAATTGTTTTCAGTTTAACAAAATTATTTTAAAATTAAAATTCTAAAAATAAAAGAAAGTAAATAAAATGGTTTTGATTCAGGAAATTACATTTTAATGGCAAGTAAATGTATAATTTTTATCAGTTTTCATTTATTTTTATAATATTCAATATTGATGCCAAATTAATTATCCTTTGTACCAGTAAAATACATAGCATCAAAATTACCACATATACATATCTTATATTTCTGAAATTGTGTTTTTTGATTAAATTAGCTTTACTGTAACTAGATTCTTTTTTTTTGTTTTTTCTTGAGATTGAGTTTCCCTCTTGTTGCCCAGGCTGGAGTGCAATGACGCGATCTTGGCTCACTGCAACCTCCACCTCCCAGGTTCAAGCGATTCTCCTGCTTCAGCCTCCCAAGTAGCTGGGATTACAGGCACCCACCACCATGCCAGGCTAATGTTTTGTATTTTTAGTAGATACACAGTTTCACCGTGTCGGCCAGGCTAGTCTCCAACTCCTGACCTCAGGTGATCCACCCTCCTCGGCCTCCCAAAGTGCTGGGATTACAAGTGTGAGTCACCACACCAGGTTACTGTAACTAGGTTCTTAGCCATTTAAAGTGATCATACTTTCAGGGGCAAGTGATGTTTGAATAGGGTCTATGGAACCCTTTTTCTAAAATCTTAAACCTACTAAATAGTGTGTTGGAATGAACATAGTCTTTGAAAAAAAGGACCAACAAAGTGGCTCTAAATACATTATCTCTACTTGGGCTTATTAATTTTTTATTACATTATCTTGAAAAATATTTATGTATAATTTTAATAATTAGAAATCGCTTGTGAATGGATACTTTACGTTTGATAAATATCAAATATACGGACATTGTTATGACATATTTCTTACACCCCAGCACTTTAAATATCACTAATATTTTATTTTCAGACCAAACTGATCTGCCATGCTAATGCACAAAGATGATTTACATTTGAGAATGCTCATTGCTGCCTGTATTTTAATAACAGAAAACAAAGGATGCTTGTCTTTAAATTTATCTTAAATAAACAGAGAATATCCTTTGAAACAAATACTATGCAATATTACCGTTTAAAGTTTTAGAGAAGTCATGGGGAATTTCTCATAGGATATTGATCATTATAAAAAGGTATGCCACAAAATAATATATTCAGTATCTCAGTTATATTTAATTATATTGTTAATTCCATGTGTGTATGCATACACAATATGTAGGTGTCTCTACCTACCTATTTATAATAAACACATTTGTAAACTATCTGTATCATTTTAGGATATCTTTGTAAATATCATTTGTAGAATGTATTTATTATAAATAGGTAGTTGAATAGATAAGTAGGCAGGTTGTCTCCTATATATGCATAAAAATCACTATTCTCTATGTATAGTTTGTATTTTATGTATTTCTAAAACATGTATATTTATAACTAGAAAACCATTTTTAAACAAAATAAAAAGAAAGCTTTTATAAGATTAGAAAAAAAAACCCTGTTGTAGACTCAAATTTAACTGTATAAAGTAAATGTGAAATTAAAATAAATTTATCTTAGAAATAAAAATAGCAAATGGTATTTCTGAAAAATAGTGGGGCAATTGGGAAGCATTTCTGACTTACATAAATTAAATTCCTTTTTTTTCCTTTAGCGTTGCAAATGTAGGGTAAATCTGTAGACCCACCCTCCACTTTTCCATTTCCATTTCTGTACATCTGAAGTGCAGAGAGAAAAAATAAAGATGCTAAGAAAATGATAAGTAAATAACAGAAAGGAACACTTTGCTAACACAGCTCACAACTTCCAGACATTGCATTTCATCCAACTTAGTAAGTACGTATTGAGTTCCTGTTTGTTAAGAACCCACACAGGTGCTCTAGGAGAGGACACTGTTGAAATACGGATAATGTAACATACTAGAGGAAAAAAGAGAGGGACTCACAAAGAGCTGTGACACAAATCATCTGTAAAATATGTCATGAAAGAAGTGCAAAAGATAATCTATTTAGGGGATAAGAAGGGGAAGATTAATTTTTATTTACTTATTTATTTGAGACAGGGTCTTGCTTTGTTACCCAGGCTGGAGTGCAGTAGGGTGATCACGGCTCACTGCAGCTTTGACCTCCCACACTCAAGCGATCCTCCCACCTCAGCCTCCCAAGTAGCTGGGAGCATAGGCACACATCACCCACCCGGCTAATTTTTGTATGATTTGTAGAGACAGGAGTCTCACTATGTTGCACAGGCTGGTCTCAAACTCCTGAGATCAAGAGATCTGCCCCCCTCGGCCCCCTGCCCTGTGGAAAAACTGAGGTTTGTTTTAATTGTTTAGTTATCACTGAGATTTTAATGATGCATAGCCCATGATAGTAATTAGTATTTTGTAGACATGAAATGCAAATAAAAATAGCCTATTTAGCTTACTGTTATTTTTAATTTTTATTTTTGCTTAATAATGGCTCTTTAGTTAAACCTGGATAGGGCAATACTGTATTTCCAGACAATATGATTTGTTTTGTATGTTGTATAAATTATTATACAAAATAAATTTATAAATTATATTCCAAAGTGCTGGGATTGTAGGCATAAGCCAGGATCCCAGGGAAGATTACTTTAAACTAAGTTGGATATTGTGGGAGTCCATTTGTCTTGCTATAAAGGAATACCTACATCTAATAATTACTTATAAAGAAAAGAGTTTTATTTGGCTCACATTTCTGCAGGCTGTACAAGAAACACGCCAGCCTCTGCTTCCAGTGAGGGCTTCAGGGAGCTTTTACTCATGGCAGAAGGCCAAGGGAAGCCAGTGTGCCACATAGTGAGAGAATGAGCAAGAGAATGAGGAGGGCAGGTGCAAACCTTTTTAAAAGTCAGATCTCCCAGTAACTAATAGAACCAGAACTCATTCATTACAGCAGAGATGTCACCAAGCCATTCATGAGGCATTTGCCCCTATGACCCAAACAGCTCCCATTAGACCCCATCTCCAGCATTGGGGATCACATTTCAACACGAAATCTGGAGGGCACAAATACCCAAACTATATCAAGTATAGAGTGTTCAATTTGACAACTAATAAAGATTACTTACTAATATAAATCTTCAAAAATCATTGTAAAAGAATCTAATATTATGCCCCCCAAAACATATAAACAGCTTTTCAGTGAAAATTATTTAATGTTTTAGATGGCTTCTTCCCACTTTGCCTAACTGGTCCATTGAAGTAGTTGTACACACCCCCATCCTTGACCTTCCTTCCTTAGATGCAGGAACTTTCTCACCCTTGAGCATATTGAGATCTGTTTCAGCTTGCTCCTTTTCCAAATCTTTTTGTCTGGCAATGCTTAAATTTAGATCTTACCTTAAAAATCACTTCCTCCAAGAAGACTTCTCTGGAGATTTCCTCGGCCCACTCCCCTGGCTACTTTCACTCCCCTAAGAATGGACTTACCACACCCACTGTTTTCCTATGTAGCACTTTTTACAATTGTAATCAAACACATTTGTGTCATTATCTGTTTAATGTCTTTCTTTGCGACCAGCCTGTAAAATCCACATGATAGCAACTATGCCCATCTGGTTTACCACCATATCGTCAATACTTAGGAATGTCTCTGTATAGGATAGTGCCTCAATAATGTTTACTGAATAACATAATTTAAATGTGCTCAATACATGAGTACTTGGTAGGTGAAAAACTATTATCAAATTTCAGTATTTTTTAACTCTAGTTTTTATTTTGGCCTATTGCAATTTTGTTTTTGTCTCCAGGACATCCTCGCTATTTTAACCAGCTGTCCAGTGGGTTAGATATGACTGGACTTGCAGGGGAATGGTTGACAGCCACTGCAAATACCAACCTGTGAGTATCCCTCTATACCTAAGAAATGTGAGATTATTAGACACACGTAAGCAAGAGTGAAGATTTAGGTAGTGGAAGTTCCATTTTGCTGGATATGAGGCTTGCTGTGTCAAAAACAAAATAGTTGAGACTTGGGAGAAATGCAAAGAAGCTGCTATGTGTTTCCTGTGTGACATGTGTGAAGTTTACCTGGTTGTCGAAATTCTCCGGCAATGTTCAGGGCCTGAATTTGCTTGATTAGCCTCAGATGTTAGGGTGTGGACTGGGAGTCAAGTTCTAGGAGTGGAATCATTTCAACACTATTCAAAACAGCCCACAGTACATAGTTTAAAATACACACACATAGAGGCCAGGCACGGTGCCTCACACCTGTAATCCTAGCACTTTGAGAGGCCAAGGGCGGTGGATCATTTGAGGTCAGGAGTTCGAGACCAGCCTGGCCAACATGGTGAAACCCCGTCTCTATTAAAAACACAAAAATTAGCTGGGTATGGTGGTGTACCCCTATAATTCCAGCTACTCTGGAGGCTGAGGCACAAGAATCGCTTGAACCTGGGAGACGGAGGTTGCAGTGACCCGAGATTGCACCACTGCACTCCAGCTTGGGAGACAGAGGGAGGCTCCATCTCAAAACCAACCAACCAAACAAACAAACAAAAACAAAAAAAAAAGCACACACACATATATATGAATATAAATTAGAACCTCAGTGGTATTGAGTAATAATATTGTAATATTATTACTCAAAGGAAAGCTTATAGCCTTGAATTCCAGCTTTTGCTTTCTGAAGAAATTTTGCTTTCTGAAGAGCTGACTCTAATTGCACAGTGTGACACAGAGGGAGAGTTCCCATCATGGTCACCTCTGAATCCTTTTCCCTGGGTCCCACATTATTCTTGTCTTGTGCTATCTTCTTGCTTTACAGCTGTTATTATTGAAAACATAATAACTCTAAGTTGTTTTTTGGCGTGTTTCCTCAAAGTACAATCCTTATACAAAGGATATTTATCAATCAATTTCTAGAAAAGGCCTTTTCTACCCATTTAATGTTCTGCAAAACATCGTCTGCAACTCCAGATATATGTCTTTTTAACTTGTCTCTTAAAGAATATATAGGGTTTTTTTTTCTTAATAACTGGGCATTTTCTGATCCTAAACTATGTTGTGTGTTCTGAAGGGATGGGAGTTGCTTTCAAAATTCCTCCAGGTGGGAAAGAAATTTTCAGGTATTGCCCAAAACAATGGAAGTCATGGTGATTTCTTTGTAGAACTAATATACTCAATCTGGAATAAGCAATTTAGAATATATAAAAGGTAACCATTTCTTGCATAGTCTAATATAGAATTAAAAAGTATATGATCTTGTTAACACATGACTTTACTTTGTCTCTTCCGTGTAATATAAGTCACAGCTGAATTTATCTATATGTATTATAGGTTTACATATGAAATAGCCCCAGTTTTTACTGTCATGGAGACAATTCTTCTCAAGAAAATGTATGAAATTATTGGCTGGGAAGAAACAAGCAGATGGAATATTTTCACCTGGTAAGAAAAAGCAACTTTCTGTAAGCTAAATAAAATACCTATCGGGAGACACTCAAAATGTGTTCCAACTAACATTGTTATTTTTGACAGACATTCATAAGCCATTGCATTATCATCGCAAATAAAATTTCCAGAAATCTAAAAGTGGGAATTTCATTCTTTGACCTTTCACCAATTTCATGGAAGGATAATTTTAAAATAACAGTGATTTAGCACCTCATTAGTTTCAGAAACTGTCAAATTGTTATTATTTCAATAAACATTTATCAGGATTGAAATTAGCTTAATGGTCATTATTTCCCTTCCATAGGTGGCAGTATATCAAGCCTTTATGGTATTTTAGTAGCTCACTATAAACAATATCCAGAGATAAAAACAAAAGGCATGACTGCACTTCCATGCATTGTATTATTTGTTTCTGAGCAAGTAAGTATCAAGTATAGGTTCTTTTCAACTTTTAAGAATCATGAAAGATAACCTGATAAAATAAAGACTAAGAATATTGGCATTATGCTTATATCAAATATGTTCAGGTAATCTCTGAGTCTGGATCTACATTTTGATATTGAAAAGGAAAAAAACAACTTTCCAGTAAATATAGGCTCTATAGGTAAGCAATACAAATAATTCAGGATTAAAATTTAATTTCAGCATGACAAACAGAAAACAAATGTTTTATATAAATATAAAACATTCTGCTAACTTTACCAAAATAATTATTGTAAAAATTTCAAAGATTTAATAGTTATTTTTCACATTGAATAAAAAGAAAAAGAATGTAATTACTGTTTCATCTTTCCGGTTAGGACCAAAGGAATCAGTTAAAAGAAAACTATATTTTTTATAGACTAGATCCTCAGCCAAACTCTTCTGATACTGACAATATCTCCACTGATATCTCCTTTACGTTTAGTATTCCACTCTCGTGCATAGCATCAAAACTTTTTAAACCTGTAATCCGATTGCTTTCTTCTTATCTATCATGGCAACATGTATGATCTTAAAATGTAGTAGCAGTCCAAGTTTGAGAGTTCTACCTAAAAGTACCTAGAAACGAAGAGTTTTTATTGAAATATTCCTGTTTTTGCAGTGCACTCCCTTTGCCAAACTCAAATTGGCATTACACATCTATATAGTAAGTCCTCACTTAACGTCATAGGTTCTTAGAAACTGTGACTTTAAGAGAAGCAATATACAATAGATTCTTGAATTACATCAGTTGCTTTATTATAATGTCAAAGAGAAAAAAATATTGGTTTCGTTAGACATCTTTTCAGCTAAAGTCAATTTCCAAGAACCTATGGCTACATTAAGTAAGTACTTACTATATATTATCAAGTTGGAAACTACTACTTTATATTCAATGCAATGTATTACAGAATTTTATAGAACTTAACATGCTTGTTTACAAATGCAATTTTCGTTATTTGAAATATAATTTGAAAATATTTATAACGAGTAAATAAGCTGAAATTCCATATGTTGATCTTTAAGAAATCAGTTTTTTATTTAATCTCTGTATTCTTTATTGAAATAGAAATATGGTTAAGGTTTTAATTTCTGTATTTTTTAATCTCATATATCTGGTCTTTTCCTAGCGATTAAAAATAATCCGGGCCAAGTTTATCTTTAGAGCTGCTATCACCTCTGTCTTGCTGGACAAAGTAAACTAGCAGGCAAGAGATCAAAGTGGGTGTCAAAGTCTGAATTAAGAATTACAGGCACTGTAATATTCAGTACATTCATAAGACCTCATGCCTTAAAAAAAAAAAAAAATCTCAAATGGGCTGGGCATGGTGGCTCACACCTGTAATCCTCGCATTTTGGAAGGCCGAAGCTGGTGGATTGCCTGAGCTCAGGAGTTCCAAACCAGCCTGAGCAACACGGTGAAACCCCATTCCTACTAAAACACAAAAAATTAGCCGGTCGTGTCATCGTGTGCTTGTAGTCCCAGCTACTCCGGAGGCTGAGGCAGGAGAATTGCTTGAACCCGGGAGGCAGAGGTTGCAGTGACCCTAGATCATGCCACTGCACTCCACCCTAGGCAACAGACCGAGAATCTGTCTTTAAAAAAAAAAAAAAAAAAAAAAAAATCTGAAATACAGGAGCTAGAGCTGTCCAGAGCAGAAAAAGATTTTCCTGGAGGAAACTGTCACTAACTTTATAAATGATGTGGCTTCATGTGTATGCAGGGAACTAAAATATTCAAGCTCCCACCCAAGCTTGTAAAGAGTTCTATTCTGTGACAGTGCCTTCTGGAAAGAGGTGCTACAACATTCTAGATCCAAACAAATGTCAAGATGGGGGCCTGGAAATATGCCTTGATACCTGTGTGCATATATATCCACAGACCCATTCAAAGCTATGCATATATGCCCCAAGTGCACTTGTGTGTAAATGGGGATTTCATGTAGGAGAAGTAATGTCTTTTCTTTTCTTATTTTTGCCCAAGGGTCATTACTCAATAAAAATAGCTGCAACAATTTTGGGTATTGGAATTGATAATGTAATTGAAGTAAAGTGTGATGAAAGGTATGTTTCTTAATACATTCTCAAAGTTTTATTATTACTCTGCTTCATAGATTGAGATTTCATTTGCCTGTGGTTCCATTTTTTGGCAAGAATCCTCTCCCAGATTCATTTTATTTATATTTTAAAGGTAAGTCATTATGAAAGAAGCACCAAAATTATTTACCCTATTGTTGACATTTATTTACTAACTATGGCCTTATGAAAATTCTATTGCCATATATTTGTTCCCTATTTTATATTTATGAAATACATTAAATTATCAACATAGTGATGTTTGGAAATTAAAAATTCAACCATGTTAGAGTACAAGGTGAAAATATCTTTATATTTTCTTTGGATCCCATTCTTCAGAAATAAGCAATATTATAAACTTTATACATATTCTGGATATAATTTTTATTAATATAAAACTTATTCATACATCAATTCTGTGTTATGTTCTGTAATTTGCTTTATTTCCTTTGGCTTTATGGTATAGCTTCGAAATCTTGTGAATTCACACAGACTTTTTTTTTTAAGTTACATCAGTTTCCAATTTTATAAATGCAGCAAAGTTTTACAAGTCCTATTTAAAAAGACATTTATAAGTTTTCCCTTTGATTTTAGTACTTAAGAGCAGTGCTTAAGTGAATGTAATAAACGTATTTGAGTTTAATAAACACATTTGAGTTGCCTTGAATATCTCTCATATGAATGCCTCTAGGTTCAAATTATGTGTGAATTTATAACTCAATACAAATTTTCCATTTGCCCTTTAAACATTTTTAGTTAATTATATTCTTACTGAAATGTAACATTAAAATATTATCAATATTTTTATACTTAGAAAATCTGACAGAAATGATGTTTATTGTTGTTCAGAACAATAGAAATCTTTTAATATGCTGACCTGCCAATTGTATATTACTGTGAATTGACTGTACATGTCCTTTGCCTATTTTTTAAGTGGTAGTTTATTACTTCTTATTGCCTTATAAGAAACATTTATATATTATGAAATTCTGAAATATATAAATATAAAATATCTTGCAAATATGTTTTATAAGTTTATTATCCAGTAAGCTTTATCACAGGTTGTTTGTCCCTACACGTTTCCTGAGAATTACCACTCTAAAGATATTTTACATCATTTCTACTATTATTAATAGGATTTTTCTACTATTTATTTTCAATAATTGGTATTAAGAAATTAAGCCATAATTTACTTATGTAACTTGCTCAACATTCTCATTTTTATAAACAACTTTAGGTATTCTAGGTATACAAAGATATGTATTCCAATTAGGTTTCTTATTTTATTATCTGTCTCTTTTTTTTCAAAAGAAAATAGAATATTGAAGATAGTGAGCATTATTATCTTGGTACTGACTTTAATTAAAATGTTGCCAATGAGTTACCTCTAAGGCTGCTGGGCAGTTAGTCTCATAGCTGAACGGAGTAGAAAAATATTGGCTTTAATTTATTTCATGGAAACATGCTGTGAAGAAATGTGAGGCCACCTTAATTATGCCACCCACATCCCCCCTCAAATTTGAACGCCTGATATTTTTAATCTTGATATCAAGAGGTCTTAATAACTAAAGTTTTAAGGGCCAGGCGCGGTTGCTCACGCCTGTAATCCCAGCACTTTGGGAGGCCAAGGAGAATGGATCATGAGGTCAGGAGATCGAGACCATCCTGGCTAACATGATGAAACCCTGTCTCTACTAAAAATACCAAAAATTAGCCGGGCGTGGTGGCGGGCGCCTGTAGTCCCAGCTACTCCGAAGGCTGTGACAGGAGAATGGCATGAACCCGGGAGGCGGAGCTTGCAGGGAGCCGAGATCGTGCCACTGCACTCCAGCCTGGGCGACGGGGCGAGACTCTGTCTCTAAATAAATAAATAAACAAATAAATAAAGTTTAATTACTTTAAATAAGAAAATAAGGAAGGAAAAAAAAAAGCATGATCGAAAGAGAGTTTATTATTTTGTATCTTCCTTACAATGATCAGAATCTTCTGATTAGTAAGTGTGCAGATTTTAAGGTGACCGAATAGTAGATGAAGCACTCTCTAACTTAAACGTGGCTTAAATTAATTGAACATTTATTACTTATTCATACACTTATAAATGTCTTTAGGAGACACTAAAAACTAATTGTTTTAAAATCTTGCACAACACTTCTTATTCCAATTGGTAGAATTTGTATGTTTATATACTTATAATAAATCAATGTGTATTTGCATTTTTGAGGGGAAAGATGATTCCAGCTGAGTTAGAGAAAAATATATTACAAGCTAAAAAAAAAGGTATGTTCTACGGTTCTATATTTAACATGTAAATATCTTTATATACTTTACGTATGTTTATTAGTGAAAAATAATTGATAAGAAAATTGCTGAAAAAATAGAATAAACACAAAATGTGGGAAATTTCTTATAAAACTGAAGTGGTGTAATTAAGTAGCATTGCAGTATTTCTAATATTATTGGTTCTGTTACATATGAAAGGCAAATTTATCAGGGTCTTTCCTGTATAATGGAATTTGGCCATTTCTATGTTTGTGGTATTACTTTCTTTAAAATAAGTTTAAACAGAAATAACAATAGATAAAATTGAAAGGGAAAGGTATAAATCCACCTTACAGTTATGTTACTATCTCTAGTGATTATGTACCTCAGAATATTTGAAATCATTAGCTATTCAATATCCCTAATCAAAGTTATCCAGATTTCTGATATCCAGAAGTGTAATGGGTACCAGTGTTGTATATAGTTCCTGTGGACTTCATGAGATTGTAAGAATGATTCCGCTTTTTCATCACCAGGGCCAAACTCCATTCTGTGTCTGTGCCACAGCCGGAAGCACAGTGTACGGAGCCTTCGACCCTCTCCCTGACATCGCTGATATTTGTGAGAAGCACAAACTCTGGATGCATGTGGATGTAAGTCATCTCCTTTAGTCTGGCTTATAATACCTCTTTTTTAAAAAAAAATCCTACAATCCTTAAAGATTCCTAACAGGCATTTCAGGCAAGTCAAAAATTTCTCTGTACCTAGATTTTATAATGAATAAATACAGAAAATACAGATAAAGAATAATCTTATTTACATCTTTTTTTTCTTTTCTTTCTTTTTTTTTTTTTTTTGACAGAGACTCACCCTATCACCCAGACTGGAGTGTAGTGGCACGATCTCAGCTCACTGCAACCTCTGCCTTCCGGTTTAAGCCATTCTCGTGCCTCAGCCTCCTGAGTATCTGGGCTTGCAAGCATGAGCCACCATGCCCGGCCCACACCTGGCTTTTTTTTTTTTTTTTTTTTGTATTTTTAGTAGAGACAGTGTTTTACCGTGTTGGCCAGGCTGGTCTTGAACTCCTGACCTCAAGTGATCTGCCCACCTCAGCCTCCCAAAGAGTTGGGATTATAAGCATGAGTCACCGCACCTGCCTACCTAAGTTTATTTTTAAATAGACTTAATACATCATGAAAAGGGCTAAAAATACACCAAATTATATTTAAAAGCCTAAATCTCTATTAATATTCAACCCCAAATTTAGAATATCAATGTTAAAGTCAAACATGATTTGAAATTGAAATAAGACTTAGCCCATTACTCTAATATACATTTCTTTATTAATATCAAAGAAATAATAACTTTTCGATGCTATTAATTTAGTACAATAACTTTTAAGAAAAATTTCTTTGACTTTGATTAGAGTTGAATAAAATTAAAGTTGTAGCATACAATGGAGATTTTAATTTTTCTGTAGTATAGCCTAATTTGATGCCAACTTTTAAAATCTGTCTTTGGAAATTATACAGAAAGTGCCTTCTTGAATTTATTAGGAACTTAAGACTTCACCGTGTCATGAACAGACAATGAAAATTCATGGTAGGAAATTTTTTTAATGCATTGTTTTTTTTTAAGTAGAATAATTATAGCCAGCTCGATAATTATCTAGCATAATAATTAAATCTTCATCATGTTTTAAAATAAATTTAACATAGGAAAAGTAGTCAGTGTAATTAAAAAATAAGTAATTAGTATAAGACCACATGTTCTTTGTATTTGTTGTAGGCAGCTTGGGGAGGTGGACTGCTGCTATCCAGAAACTATTCCTATAAACTCAGTGGTATTGAAAGGTAAGACCTGGGGCATTGCTTGTGAAAGCAGAAGAACCCATTTAGACTCCTTTTCCAGTGACTGTGAGTGCTAACCAGAGCTGTTTTATCACCTATGGCCAAGTCTGTGACCTGGAATCCACACAAACTAATGGGTGTCCCTCTTCAGTGCTCTGCTATCTTGATCCGGGAAAAAGTAAATGATTTCTGTTTTTAATTACTGACATAATAGATGGTTAACAATGACTAGCCTTATTGTGAATGTTTTATATTAACAAAAATATGACCTCACTGAATGAAACATACTGCAGCACAATTTGCCCTTTGGAGGAGAACAAGTTGATCTTTAAGTAGCAGTCATTTGACAAAATCAAATGAGTATAGTGCATAGGTAGTAAACCAGCTACCCGTGGGTGAAAAGATGTGGTATGAGATGAAAGACAGTGAGAGGATCTATAGAAAACCTGATTATTTATAACCCAGTTATTAAAAACATAATGACCAGCCGGGCGCAGTGGCTCACACCTGTAATCTCTGCATTTTGGGATGCTGAGGCAGGCAGATCACTTGAGCCCAGAAATTCAAGACCAGCCTAGGCAACTTGGTGAAACCCCATCTCCACCCAAAATACAAAAAAATTAGCCTGACATGTTGGTGGGTTTGTGTGGTCCCAGTTAGTTGGGAGGCTGAGGTGGAAGGATGGCTTGAGCCCAGGAGGAGGTTGCAATGAGCTAAGATCGTGCCACTGCACCCCAGCCCAGGTGACAGAGTGAGACCCTGTCTCAAAAAACAAAACAAAACAAAACATAATGGCCATAGATATATGAAAAAAAGTGCAACATCATTAATCATCAGGAAAATGCAAATTAAAACTTCAGTAAGATATAACCTCACAACTGTTAGGATGCCTATTATACAAAAAAAAAAACAAAAAAAAAACAAAGATGAGCACTGGTGACAACATGGAAAAAATGGAACCCTTGTACACTTTTGATGGCAGTGTAAATTAGTGAAAAGAGTATGGGTAAAAAGTATGAAGATTTCTCAAAAAACTAAAAATAGAACTAATATACAATCCTGCAATCTCACTACTGGCTATATATTTAAAGGACAGGAAATGAAATGAGAATGCCTAAGAGATAGCTATACTCCCATGCTAACCGTGGCATTATTCCCAATAGTCACATTATGGAATCAGTCTAAGTGTCCATTCATGGATGAATGGATAAAGAAAATGAGGTGTATATACTCAAGGGAATACTATTTGTCCATTTAAAAAAAAAGGAAATCCTACCATTTGTGACCACATGGATGAATCTGGAAGTCGTTATGTTAAGTAAAATAAGCCAAATAAGTTAAGTAAAATAAGCAAAATAAGACACAAAAAGGACAAATACCTCATGATCTCACTCATAAGTAAAATCTAAAAACATTGATCTTACAGAACTAGAGGGCAGAATGGTGTCTACCAGGGGCTGAAGCAGTTGGGGGAGGGAGTTCAAGGGGAAGTTGATCAAAGGATACAAAATGTCAGTTAGATAAGAGGAATAAGTTCAGGAGATCTATTGTAGGACCTGGTGACTACAGTTAATAACAACATATTGTATTCTTGAAAATTGTTAAAAGAGTGGATGTTACATGATCTCACCACAAAAGTGAAAACTATATGAGGCAATGCATATGTTAATAAACTAGATATAGTCATTCCACAATGCATATATATATCATATATATACACATTCCACAATGCCTATGTAGGAAATGCATGTTAATTAACTGTATTTAGTCATTCCACAATGCCTAGTGTGTGTACAACATGCATATATGCAATACTTCATACATATATACCAAAACATCAAGTTGTACACACAATAAATAAAATTTTGTCAATTTACAAATAAAATGAAATAATAATTTTAAAAAGCCACCAAGCAAAATATCTCTTAGGAATAAAATTTGGCCCACTGGCCAATTTGTAATCTTAGAGTATAGAGCCAATAATAGGGCATATTTTCATGTGGATGACAATGAGTAACTGTAATATATTTTTGGCACAAAAAAAACATAAATGTGGCCAGGTGCGGTAGCTCACACCTGTAATCCCAGCACTTTGAGAGGCTGAGGAGGGTGGATTATGAGGTCAGGAGTTTGAGACCAGCCTGGCCAATATGGTGAAAACCCATGTCTACTAAAAATACAAAAAAATTAGCCCAGTGTGGTGGTGTGTGCCTGCAGTCTCAACTACTCAGGAGGCTGAGGCAGGAGAATCGCTTGAACCTGGGAGGTGGGGGTTGCAGTGAGCCAAGATAATGCCACTGCACTCCAGCCTGGGCAACAGGGTGAGACTTCATCTCAAAAAAAAAAAAAAAAAGAAAAAAAAAGCATAAATGTATGTATGGTATGACATTATTTTCTTTTTACATGTGTATTTATTTTATTTCCCTTCGTAGTAAATGTGACAGTATACAAGGACTTGAGCTCATTATCTCCTCCAAGTAGAAATACAATTATAAAGTTTGCATATTCTTTATTGAGTTGTCAAGTTGCAAACACATTTTACCTAACTTTCATTTCTACCTTTGGGGACATCATTTTCTATTTTCTCTTACTTGCAAGCAATCCAGAGGTTTTGGGTATAAAAATAATCTGTCTTCCTACTATAGCCTTCCTGCCTACTCTTTGAGTACTTAATGCTCACTTCATCTTCCCTAGTTCTGAGGGAATCTTTATTCATTTTCTCATACCTAGTGCATTATCAGCTCTGCTGACTGGAACTGTTAACATTATCTCTGCTTCAGCTCCTGCTAAGTTGGCTGCATGGCAGCAATATCCCATCCACAAAATGGCAGATGCTCAAAGCCTGCAGGTTAGCAGACTGATCCTTCTTCAGCATTGGTATGTGTCCAGAACCTTGACATTATTGTTTGGCCGTATTTTTTTTTCATTTGAGAAGTTTTCAAATTTGTCTCCAACCCCCACCTTGCTAACAGGTCTCTATTTAACTTTCAGATTTCAGATACCTTTCTTTTTATGGCTCAAATACAAATTTTCTGCAGTCTTCTCTGATTTCTTAGCCCACCATGAGTATGTTGAAGTAATACATTTTATTCTACATAAGTACCTATCATGAGTTTTCAAATAAATTGTTTTTTATATTTTGTCTAGTACTTTACCTTTTCCTAAAGATAGATGGATGGTCAATGGAAGTACAGCAGAATTCCCAAACCAATAAGCATTTATTATGTTTAAGGTCATTTCTGGAAAACAAGTCTATCTTGGTGCAGCCTTGAATTAAGAGGAACGTTCTATTCTTATCTATTAACCATTTGAATGTCCAGGGCTGCAGATAGACAATTTTAATTCATGCCTTAATGAGTAGAACAAATTGAGTATATCAATATTTAATGAACATATTTTTCAATGCTGACAAGGAATTGACTATAAGGAAGTGAATATATACATTTTTGTATAATTGTACATAAAATATATTTAAACTGATTTTAAATATTCTTCATTTTTACACTCAAGGGAATGAAAATACCATATGTTTTTCAAACAAAATGCTAGCCACATCAATTTCATTTATTCAGAAGAAGCTTTTCATAATGCAAAATATAAACTCATTAAGTAGCTTCTCTTTGTCGCTAAGATGGGGATTGAAATCCTTGACATTGCACAAAGGCCCAGGAGGTGTAGTCTGTGGCTTTCTCTGAACTCTTACTTCCTCTTGTGTTTCCTATTGTTTTATTCATATCCATTGGCTTCCTTTTAGTTCCAAAAAGATGTAGTGCAGCTGTCTCCATTATGATCTCAGTACATCTTTCTCCTTCCACCTGTCATGGTCTGACTCAACTTTCACTCCCACAGCTCTCTCCCCCAGCATATTTCTTGCTAAACTGCTGAATTCAAAAATGTTTTTTTACTCAGAAACCTTCCTTGACTTCCAGGCTACATGGAATCTTTGACCCTTAGGCCAGAATATTCTATAGCACCATGAAAACTCTTTCATAACATTTATCATGGGTATAATTTGACACTCATATCTGTGACATTGTGTTTAGTGCCCAGCCCCGCCCTTACCTACCCAGCCTCCTGCCACTCAGACTATAAGTTCTATGAAGGCAGAGTCTCTCTACCCTTTTTCTCACCACAAATCCACCGTCTCAGCACCATGTATGACAAGTGCTATAAATATATGCTGCTTAATGACTAAGTGTAGCTCAATCATCACACCAGATAAAGCTCATCTTTTTTTTTTTTTATACTTTACGTTCTACAGTACATGTGCACAACGTGCAGGTTTGTTACATATGTATACATGTGCCATGTTGGTGTGCTGCACCCATTAACTCTTCATTTACATTAGGTATATCTCCTAATGCTATCCCTCCCTCCTCCTCCCACCCCACAACAGGCCCTGGTGTGTGATGTCCCCTTTCCTGTGTCCATGTGTTCTCATTGTTCAATTCCCACCTATGAGTGAGAACATGTGATGTTTGGTTTTTTGTCCTTGCCATAGTTTGCTGAGAATGATGGTTTCCAGCTTCATCCATGTCCCTACAAAGGACATGAACTCATCATTTTTTATGGCTGCATAGTATTCCATGGTGTATATGTGCCACATTTTCTTAATCCAGTCTATCATTGTTGGACATTTGGGCTGGTTCCAAGTCTTTGCTATTGTGAATAGTGCCGAAATAAACATACGTGTGCATGTGTCTTTATAGCAGCATGATTTATAATCCTTTGGGTATATACCCAGTAATGGGATGGCTGGGTCAAATGGTATTTCTAGTTCTAGATCCCTGAGGAATCGCCACACTGACTTCCACAATGATTGAACTAGTTTACAGTCCCACCAACAGTGTAAAAATGTTCCTATTTCTCCACATCCTCTCCAGCACCGGTTGTTTCTTGACTTTTTAATGATCGCCATTCTAACTGGTGTGAGATGGTATCTCATTGTGGTTTTGATTTGCATTTCTCTGATGACCTGTGATGATGAGCATTTTTTCATGTGTCTTTTGGCTGCATACATGTCTTCTTTTGAGAAGTGTTTGTTCATATCCTTCGCCCACTTTTTGATGGGGTTGTTTGTTTTTTTTCTTGTAAATTTGTTTGAGTTCATTGTAGATTCTGGATATTAGCCCTTTGTCAGTTGAGTAGATTGCAAAAATTTTCTCCCATTCTGTAGGTTGCCTGCTGACTCTGATGGTAGTTTCTTTTGCTGTGCAGAAACTCATCTTGATGATACTGTTTTAAAGTGTTTACAATAGTCTCTAGGCCTGCTCTAACAAAAGATTAAAAAGGGGGTTCAAAAGAGCCTAAGAAGAAAATATTTACATGTGTAAATAGGACACCCAAAATACAGATTCATAAACTATTTTCATTTTTGAGTTATAATTTCTATTCTATTTCCCTGAAATACTTCAACACTGACCGTCACATTGTGGTCCTTCCTATAGATCCACAAGCCTAGCCTGAAACAGAGTGTGAGTTATCTTCCTTAGGATGTTGTGTTTCCACAAACCTCAAGTCAAACTGCCCTTTTTTCAGCTCCCAAATTCATCATTGTATAGATATATGTTCTTGAAAATTACTTAACATGTTAATATTCTCAGTTTCTTCAATCTATAAAAATGTTGTCATTATAGTACCTACACCATCAGTTTTCCATGAGGATCAAATGATGTAATGTGAAATGGAAAGCATATAGCAAACACATAAATACATATAATGTTATTTACCTCTTGTACAAATAGTTCTGCTTAATTAACATTTAAATTATACCCCATCAATGCACATAAATTTAGGTTTTGATGTGCTGAAGCAACATACATACTGAGAAAACATTTCTGTCTCAATGATGGGTAACATGTCCTTTTCTAGTGATTATTTCTTAATCTTCCAAAGGAAAGCTTCTTGAAGTCTTTAACACTGAGGAGGAATGTTTTCCACATTTTTCATATGAGACAAAAGGCTAGAAAAGACAAAATTAAACGAATGGATTAAATGTATGGATTATTTTATTCTTCATCTACTATGGTCATCAGAGCTGTTTATTTGGCATCTACATCGTTGGTTCACAGGATAGTTTAGTTAAAGTGGACTAGGCAGTCAGTTCTCATTAACATTATTAAATGACAGTCACATAATTTCAAAAGAGCAGCAAGACTTCAAGGCATTTAAGAAAAGTTTTAAAAAATAGACAAGTATTCACCAAATTGTACCATATTCTAGATAAATCCAAAAAACTGAATATGGTCATTTATTTTCAAAAAAGGATATATTTCTACATTAAATATGCAAAATTCTACTTAAATTTGCATTCAAAGTGGAAATAGTTAAGTGAAATAAATAATTGTGGTTTCTTATTGAAATGTATATGACTTACATGTTAGATATGTTTTTCCTTTTTTAGGGCCTTCTAGATGCATGTAATCAGATGCAAGCTGAATATCTTTTCCAGTCAGGTAAACTCTACAATGTTGACTTTGACACGGCGGATAAAACTATTCAGTGTGGCCGACATGTTGATATCTTCAAGCAGTGGTTAATGTGGAAAGCAAAGGTAGGAATTTGTCATCTTTTACTCATTCTACTTTTTATTGGAGTAGAAAAGAAAGGGGGTAAGGGTCATATTAATATGCGTATTTGGAATAAAACACCAAAATTTTAAAGTTTTAGGGCTATAATAATGTGGTTTTTAACAAGAGCAAATTTAACTAATCAATCGAATGATTTTCATTATTTATTTGGGATTTTGACATTTTACAACCACGAGATAGCAGAGAATATATGAAACTCAGGTGTGTTCCTAAGATGAGAACCTCTCAATGTCGTCAGGCGCCAAACAGATGTGTAAGTGTCCGAAATGCACAGGTTGTTAAGAAAAGAGGGAATAATGAAACTGGAGACTATAGGACCAGTCTGACTCATTCACATTTAAATTACTCTGTAGCAATGCACCATCTATATTGATGAAGTTTAACAGTTTACTCATGATTTGTTGAGCACTATTTAACCAGGCGGCAGTCTAGGTGCTGGCGAATGCAGTGAGCAAAGAAACCAAATTTCCTTTTCTCATGTCAGTGACATTTGGGAGGGTTGTGGAGGATTTGGGTGCTATAGACAATAATCAATAAGTTAGCTAGAAATGATATCTAAAAAAACTAAGGGAGCTTAGAGAATATAGAGTGATGACAGGTCATGCATTAAAAACAAGGACTGTGGATATTGTTTTCAGTGTTACGTAAAATCAGTAAATGGTTTTGATCCAAGGAGAGACAGAATCAGATGTATGTTTTAAAGGGAATTGTTTTGGCTTCTTATGATAAATGCACGGCAGGGAAGAGAAGAGAAACAATATGATTAGTTAGGAGGTCCTTCCAGTGGTCTGGGCAAGACATGACAGTGGATTGGCCTAAAGTGGTAGCAGTGAAACTAGTGAAAAGTAGTTGGATCCTAGAGTAGTTCTAAGGTAAAATAAATAGGACTTACTAATGGATTGGATGTAGGGTATAAGAAGGAGGGAGTGAAAGAACATTCCAACCATTTTGATCTGAGCAACTAGGAGAAAAGAGTTATATCCTGAATTTAAGAATGTGATGGAAAGAACTGATTTTTATCATTGAAATATCATTTTTTTAAGTTAAGACTGACAGATAATAAAGTGAAGATTTTGAATAGTGAATTGAGGTTCAATTTGGAAGTTGTGGAAGATAATATACATTTAAAAAGTGTTTACATGTAGATAGTATTTGAAGTCATGGGACTGACTGTAGGTAGAAACAAGAGAAGGCAGGGAAATGAAACTTAAAACATGGAAATCAGGGAGAAGCAGAAAAGATCCAACCAGGGACACTCTGAAGTGTAGCCAAGTATATAGAAGGATAACTAAGAAGGTGAGGTGTCAGTCAGGCGCCGTGGCTTATGCCTGTAATCCCAGCACTTTGGGAGGCCAAGGCAGGCAGATCACCTGAGGTCAAGAGATTGAGACCATCCTGGCCAACATGGTGAAACCCCATCTCTACTAAAAATACAAAAATTAGCTGGGTGTGGTGGCGCAAGCCTGTAATCCCAGCAATTTGGGAGGCTGAAGCAGGAGAATCGCTTGAAACCTGAAGGCAGAGGTTGCAGTGAGCCAAGATCGTGCCACTGCACTCCAGCCTGGCAATAGAGCGAAACTCCATCAAGAAAAGAAAAGATGGGGAGGTGTCACCAAATCCATGGGAAGAAAGAATTTCAGAAAACAAAGAATGATACTGTATCAAACTCTGTGTATTGCTTGACTAAAATGAGAACTGGAAATTGAAAAATAAATACTTCATTGTGGTTCAGTAAGAACAGTTGTGTGAGAATAGAAAGTAAGGAAATGAAAAGAGCAAATGTAGAAAAGTGCTTTGAGGAGATTGACTATAAAGGGCGAGAGAGACACAGTGGTAGCTGGAGGGAAATTCACATCCAAAGGAATTTTTGTTTTTGTTGTTATAGATGAGCTTTGTTATAGCATACAAATATACTTTTTGTCATAGTCTAATAGATGGAAAATATCATTATGCAAGAAGAAAGTGAAAAAGTGGAATGGGTACTTTGTTGTAGGCAAAAGGTGAGCAAGTGACGTAGTTTACAATTAGATGGGCTTATCCTATCTAGAGTCAGGTGCAATCCATCTGTTGTATTATGTTGGTGCAAAAGAAATTTCAGTTTTTGCTATTATTTTTAATTGTTTTTTACCATTAAAAATGGCAGAAACCACAGTTACTTTTGCACCTACCTAATAACTAGAGGAAAGACTGTATACAAATAGGCAGAATGGTAGACTTGGTTCTACAATGTTATTTGCTGAGTTTTCCTATTTTGTTAAAGAGCAAGAAACAAGATCATCTACTGAAATTGTGAGGAGTGAAGGGAAACTGGAGATTTAGTGAGTCGAATGAAAAATTATCTATGCAATGGAGGATTGGCCAGGAAACTCTAGTCAGACTGTGGAGAGGTGCTGAAGGTCTAGTTGAGATTTGTGGTTGTAACTTTACATTAACACCAAGTCTCCAAGTTGCTTTTCCCCATCTGTATTCACCTGCCCAATACAAAAACGGAGTAGCCAGAATATTGATTTAATAAGGCTAGGAGACAGTCAATTAGTGACCTTCCATTGGTACTTAAACCGATTTACACAACTCTACCTTTTTCTATTAACACTTTCAACATATGTAACTTTGACTAAGTATAAACATAGACTCAAATTTAATATTCTCTAGTCCTAATGAACATAATAGTATGATGTTATATTTAAAATAAGTAAGCTTAGGTGTCTTTGACTCTTCATTACCTCTAATAGCAGGGGAAATTTGAGAAATATCACAAGAATATTGTAATATGCAAAAAACCTAAACAAGTAATTTAAATTCTTTCAGATTCAGGCTCCTCATTTGTGCAATTACGTTGTACCTACCTCTTTATACAGATATAATACAGTTTAAATAAAATATTACATATAAACTTAATTATATTGCTATAATTCACCATATAATCCAAGAGTTATCATTGTTACAAGTTAATTTAAATTAAGATAAAATACAATTTTTTATATTATTGAGCTTGGAGCATCTTGAAACTTTTTTATGACACAGTTTAGCTTCACAAGTTTTATAAATTTTAGCTTTAAAAGCTGAAAAAAACAAATCAACATAATGAAAGTATGCATGGTTTTCATTCGTAAATGCTAAGAGAAAACAACCCAGAATTTAAACAGGAAATCCTTTCAGAAACTGCACCAAATCTACCAGAGACAAGAGGTGACAGTAAATACTGAGTCAAAATTACTAACAATGATTTTAATGGTATTAAAATTTATTATGTAATGTTATTTTTAAAGGACAATAGAGAAAAGAATATGAAAGGAGACATTTATGAAAATCATCAGAATGTGGTCAAATGTCCAGCATAATTATTTTCTTACAATTATAGGATCAATATGAAGACAGTCATTGCATATTCATGTCTCACACCTATTATGTAAAAGCTTATGGTGGAATCAAGAATTCAATCATAATTATCTATGATTATGGTCATTGTCATATGATATGAGTCATATGAAAATGGCCAAAGTCACAGACTGACCTTTTAACTCATCTCACATTTTATGATTTTGGTCACAAGGAAAATATAAATGACTAAGTAAAGGAATATAATTTAAATTCTGCAGAAGATTTTTTGGCTCTTGAATTTTTAAGAACTGTTCCAAATATAAGCTACTTCCATTGCCAGTGTGTTTACCTTTATTCAATCTGTGGTTATTTAGGTCCTAGTTATTTGCATCCAATATTTAGATGATTCCATTAATTTTTAGAACTCTATGAATCCCAAATTATAGTTCCATTATTTTCCTAAATACCTCTCAAGAAAACTGCCACCTATCTAACTGCAAATTGCAAGTGGTTTCTCAGGTCAAAATTCTAACTGAGGTGACAAGAATATTTGGCAGTCCCACCATTACCATGTACTCTATGAAATTTCAGGAATAAAAAAATGTTAGAAACATAAAAACGTGTTAGTACCTTTTTAGGCCTGTTTTTCACCTTTATTAATAGAAAGTGATAATGGGTCAAGCTACCTGAAGTCAATATTGAATCTCAGATGTGAATACTTATTTATTGCCTGAAAGATCAATCTACTTCAGGGTCAGAGTCTGAAGATACAGTTTCTCCAAATATTATACAACAAAAATTATGTGTTCTGCACCCTCCTCTTGCCCATTATTTATGTTTAACTGAAATAACCGACAAGATTTTATAAAGCTATTTCTTTCACCCCCTTCCTAGTCCTCTATAGAAAGATGGACATTAGGTTCTGTTTTATTTTGTTTTATTACATTTTGTATATATGTATGTGTGTGTTTCACCCCCTTCCTAGTCTTCTATAGAAAGATGGACATTAGGTTCTGTTTTGTTTTATTACGTTTTGTATATATGTATGTGTGTGTTTCACCCCCTTCCTAGTCTTCTATAGAAAGATGGACATTAGGTTCTGTTTTGTTTTATTACATTTTGTTTATATGGATGCGTGTTATTACATTAACATAAAATGTATTTCTTACTGTGGGTTGTTTCAAGAAGTTCAAATGTCACCCTTTTATTGCATACACTAATAGATGAACTATATGATCCTTTAGATAATTGTATAAATATAACTTCTTTTAAAAAATATTTTGATAAGTGTTGAACATTTGTTCAAGGTTGAACCTCAAGACAAGTATTTAGGTATATACACTGTTATCAAAGGTTTGACATGAACTAAAAGCATCTTTGATATATTATTAGCCCTACTGTTTAATTTGAAGTCATTTCTTTTGTTAGAAATTTGGTATTCCAAAAGCGAAGACAATGCTTTTCATAGAAATCATCTATCAAGAGCCTATTATGTAGCCAACGTTCTGATACAGATATCTATATGATCAGTAACACAGGATTACACTTAGCAATTATATAAACTTTGAAGTTTCATAGATAATTTTTACTATTCTAAGATATGCATTCTGTAAGTTCTTTTCCTGAAGATTTTTTAAATGGACAATTTGGAATTTTGGGTAAACTTAAAAGACTTTAAACCTCAAATTTTTGCACCCATGCAGCCTTGTGTAAATTTCAGACACTGATAATCCCAATGTTTCTCAACCCACTTCTGTACAGATTGTATTTTGTAAATATTTTTATAAAGTTTTTCAACTTTGTAAGAGGTCACCAGTTCTCCTATTTAATAGTTTAGCTGCTAATCAAAGCATGCAGCTTGACTTAGCTTAAATAACAGTGTATATACCTAAATACTTGTCTTGAGGTTCAACCTTGAACAAATGTTCAACACTTACCAAAATATTTTTTAAAAGAAGTGCTATTTATACAATTATCTAAAGGATCATATAGTTCATCTATTAGTGTATTCAATAAAAGGGTGACATTTGAACTTTTTAAAACAACCCACAGTAAGAAATACATTTTATGTTAATGTACTAACACACATCCATATATACAAAATGTAATAAAACAAATTTTAGGGGGGAAAAACCCTTGTAATGTATGAAACTAATAAATTCCATTCTACTCTATTTTAGAGAGCTGTCACCTGGGTCACAGTTTGGCCTTTTACAAAATTGACTTAACTGATGTATTTTTAATATCCATACTTTTGAAAATTTTAGCCTTAAAATAAACATGAAGCTTTTTAGATCAGAGAAAGATAAATTATTTACTTACAGAATATCTTAGCATAGACACTCACACTCTATTTTCCCCTTGGGACACCACCATGAGGGCATCTTAGCCTACAGGTACAAAGGAGATTTATACTATCCTGCAGGAAACCCTAAAATTGTGAAACTGGAATCTTATGTAGGAGCTGGTACATGGAGGTGGGGCCTATGAAATCTTGTACTCTGGAATTCAAACAAACAAATACTCTTTCGGGGGAGGAGGGAAAGGTCTCTACCTCATTCTAAGACAGAATGAAAATATTTGACTCCTGGGGAGATAGCAAAGGTTTAATTACCCCTTCAGTGGGAACAGACAGCATATGCCTCCACCACAAAGGGGATCAGCAGTAACAGAATGTGAAAAACAAATTGGTATGGAAAAAAAGGAGACATCTTCTATTTTTAAGTTCCAAGGCTTGTTCATTATTCACTATTCCTTTAGCCCAGGTTGTCAGTAATTTTGCTCAGAGAGCCCTAATCATGCAGGAACATGAAGTATTTTTCTTATATTGACTGAATTACTTTTAGGTTTTCTTTCATGGGTTGTCCCATATCAAGTGGCATAACAAAGAAAAGCCCTAAAGAAAGTGTGAAATTATGTATAGCCATGTGCTGAGGACTTTGTCCAGTATACACTATCCTCTTTGTGAATCACAAGGTATTTTTCTCTGTTGTCAGTATCAAGGTGTCAGTATCCAGAACAATTAGTTTAAGTGGATATGAAATTCTTAGTACAAAACGCAAATAGAATAATACGGTCTGTAAAATGAATCACAGAGGCAAATTATTGGTCCTTTTTCAGTTGGTGTGCAATACCTTGGCACTCATTTTCTCTTCTAACTTTATTCATTGACTACTTTTTTGTAAATTTATAATCATCTTGCTCAGATATATGTATTTCTAAAAAACACTGTAATATATATATATATGTGTATGTATATGTGTGTATGTGTGTGTGTGTGTGTGTGTGTGTGTGTGTGTGTGTGTATATATATATATATATATATATATATATATATATATATATATACTGGTAACTCACTTTGAATACTTTTGGTAATAAGGTTTGAAAACATTAATACATTAACTCACCAAAATGGACCTAGCACTTATTGAACATCTATTGCACTAGGACCTTTACGTGTGTTATCTCGCTTTTGTTTTCCAATAGTTCTGTTGGATACGTATTGTAATTGCCCAGCAGGGTCTTCTTTCTTGCTTGCTTCACAGATAAAACCAATGCACTCAGACAGTGGTATTGCAGTAGAGAAAGAGTTTAATAATTGCGGGGCCAGCAAAGTGGAAGGATGGAAGTTTATTTCTCAAAACAGCCTCCCTGAAAACTCTGAAGCTAGGGGTTTTCAAGTATAATTTGGTAGGCAGAGGGCTAGAGAATGGGGAAAGTTGATTGGTCAAGTCAGGGATGATGTCACAGGAGATCAAAGCTGTATTCTTGTGCTGAGTCATTTCCTGGGTGGGGGGGTCCCAAGACCAGATGAGCTGGTTTCTTGGTATGGTTTATCAGCACAGGTGATCCTAGCTGGTCCATCAGAATGCAGGGTCTAAAAAATACCTGAAGCACAAATCTTAGGGTTTACAATAGTGATGTGATCTTTAGGAGTAATTGCAGAGGCTAAAAATCTTGTGTCCTCTGTCTATATGACTCCTAAACTATAATTCTAACCTTGTGACTAATTTGTTAGTTTTAGAAAGGTTGATTCAGTTCTTGAGCAAGGACAAGGTTAGTTTTGGGAAGGGACTGTTATCATTTTTGTTTTGAAGTTAAACTATAAACTTTATCCCATAGTTAGCTTGGCCTACACTGAGGAAGGAACTAGGGCAGCTTGGAGGTTAGAAGCAAAATGGAGTCAGGTTAAATTTTTCTCACAGTTATAATTTTTGCAAAGGCAGTTTCAGTACTATTATGTCTATTAAGTAGATACAGAAACAGTAGCTTACTGATGGATGGAGAGAACTAACTCTAAGCAATAGAGTTTTAGATGAGACCTGGCTACTCATCTATAGCCAACACGTACGTTTCTTTCCACAAGTTCTTGTTGGCTGTCTTGATACAATTCATAGCACTATAAGAATGGCAAAAAGTGCACACAGAATAGTGATAAGAAATCAGGTTCATCTTTTTTTGTTTGCATGCGGAGAATATGGCATAAAAATGATGCATCTGTAGATATTACAGATGCAGGGCTATTTCAGGAATAGGTGACAAAAACTCAGTATAGTGGAAGGTTTTTTTGCTCAAAAGTAACATTCCTACATGGTGCAAATCAGGTTCAGGTAAAAATCTGTGTTGAGCTTGAAAGAAAGGAGTTGACTTGAAAGTTTGTTATCATAATTTATAATTATTAAATATTTAAATATTTTTATGTGAGCCACCATTAGTACTCTTGCCAAAATAATGGGCATTAAGAGAAAATCTAGAAATATAAATAAAAAATTCTATTTTGTTATCATTTGCTTTAATTACACAATGAATACTTTGTTTTTTGCAAGAGGAGCCATGATTAATAAAATTTAGATTTCTTATAAATGTAATTAATTATATAAAGTACTGTGACATTATAAAAATCAGAGAAAAAATAGACATATAAGATTCCACAAACATTACTTACGTATGCAAAAATAAATATAATGCAAAAGCCTACTTTGAGATGAATTTGTTACATGAATTGGACAGGTCCTGGAATCATAAAATGAATCTGGCCATCAGAATGCTACAGAAAGCTTAATTGTCCAAGAGCCTCATCTGCTCTTCTAAAATCCACCATTGCATTTACTTTGAGTCTGTGCTTCCGAAAGGTTGTTCCAGGCAGTGACTGAATTGGCAAGGATTCCAAGGCAGTCCTCATTCCTAGGAGACAGGAGAGTCTTCTGAAAGCTGACTTGGCATAAAGATACCTGTGGCCTTTCTAAATCTTCCTCAGACTTTATGGTAGTCATGGATGCTGCTCCCTAACCTCCCTTTAACTTAGAGCCAGACTTCTTCACTGTCTGATGCCTCTCCCAGTCTAATCGGCTCTCTCTCCTCTGTCTTTCACACAGGGACTTCCACCAATACAATTCTTGAGGATTTTTAATCCCATCTTGGCATCTGCTTTTGGGAGGACCTGGTCTAACAGAATTTCTTAAAGTTTAGACTAAAGTTGCCATTGTCTTTGCTATTTAATCTTTGTAGACATTTTTTCAAGAAACTTAAAAATGCATTTACTATATAGACAGACACATGGCATAATATTTTTATTGTCATTTCAACATGCATGAATGTTACCAAAAGATTCTACAGAAAAAAATTCCGGAGAGTGATATGCTCTATGGCAACGACTTCAGTGGTTCTTAGCCTCATTTCTTCAGAATTAAGAGTCAGAATATTCTTTTTCAATAATATCAATTAACTTTTCTATAAGTTTGTTTTGATTTATTTTTAACTACCAGTAGTTTCCCCTGAACTAATTGCCCTCAGGAAAAAAAATACCTGGCATAATGTCAAATGATAAAGTGGTTGTCTCAAGAAATTAGTTCATTGACATTTAATCCTACCTATTCATAGGCATTTCAGTGACTAACAGTGCCTTTGCCAAGCCAATGTTTGTTTGCAATTGTGAGCTGCCAGGTTTGATCATACGTTCTTACAATCAAAACTTATATTTTGATTTGTACATATATACATAGTTTAATCATTTAAATAAATAGATAAATTAATGTATATATGTCCCTATTTCCTAGGGAGAAAAATAAGACATTAAAAAAGAATACAGAGTGCTAGGGATGATGAGTATTTATAATGTTAAATAGAAGGATCATCACCAATAAAAGGTGATATTTGAATAAAAATCTCAAAAAAGTGAAGAGGAGGTCATGCTGCATTTAGGAGAAGCATAGCTAAAAGGAAACACAATTTAAAAACTTTGAGACAGAGCCTGCCTACTTTGCATAATGCACAACAGGAGATCTATGTGGCCAGAGTGGAGTGAGTATGGTTAATACAGAGAAGTAACACAAGTAAGAATGGATATAAAAGGGTTCCTTGACTATTAGTGTTTCCTAGAACATTACAGCTTTCTTCCTGCATTGGAAACAAGTCCTAGTTTAAACAGAAAGTGTGGCCTTTTGGGACTCCCAGCATCCTCACTTACAGTATTGTATGTTGTAGATGCAACACGCTTACATTGTACTGACATCGAGTGTGACTGGGCTCCTGTGTATCATGAGTCCACTGGAATACTATGCTTATGGTGCATTTCAAATGCTATGTATAAATGAGGTGTTAAAACATGGTAGACATTTATGTTGCATGTATATCCTTAGCTTATGTGCATGCTTCATTGTCCCATTGGACTTTGCTTACAAAACACAAGCCCAAAATAAAACTTTAAAGAATTTCAGGACTGTGACAGCACATCATTCAACTAATATGAAACCCTTTTGAGTACGGGAGCCCTGTGCGACTACACAGCTTGTACACCCATAAAGTAAACCTTGGTCACAAAGATGGTTTAATTACTGAGAATACACTGAAGTACCACCTCATAGGACTGGAAAGTCTCCACACTACATAAGCCTAAAGTAAATGTGAATGGCATGGCCTCAACATGGGCAATCGATGCCTAGGCAGAAGCAGAAAGATCAGTTAGGAAGCAGTTTCAATAATGAAGGAGAGAGTGACTGGGCTGACATAGTGACAGTGAATATATTAAGAAATATCAAATTCTAATTAGATTTTGAAGGTATATTTGCCCATTCTTATGGTGCTAATAAAAACATACCCAGGACTGGGTAATTTATAAAGGAAAGAGGTTTAACTGACTCACAGTTCAGCATGGCAGGGGAGGCCCATGAAACGTACAATCATGGTGGAAGGGGAAGCAAATATGTCCTTCTTCACATGGCGGTAGCAAGGAGAAGTGC
This sequence comes from Homo sapiens, assembly GCF_000001405.40. Lineage (NCBI taxonomy): Eukaryota > Metazoa > Chordata > Mammalia > Primates > Hominidae > Homo > Homo sapiens. The sequence goes on from NC_000018.10 coordinate 60,641,404, forward strand.
CAAGTGAAGGGGGGAAAAGCCCCTTAGGAAACCATCAGATCTCGTGAGAGCTCACTATCATGAGAACAGCATGGGGGTAACCACCCCCATGATTCAGTTACCTCCTACTGGGTCCTTTCCATGACACATGGGGATTATGGGAGCTACAATTCAAGATGAGATTTGGGTGGGGAAACAGCCAAACCATATCAAAAGGTAAGCCCAGGGAAATTTGCCACAATATTAGGTGTGGAGTGTGAGAAAAAGAGGAGCGTCCTGGGTGAGAACAACTGCAATCTTTTGGGCCTCAGGAACTTGAAAATAGAATTTACATGTTTTGAGATTGAGAAGACTGGTAGAAACAAGTTGCATATAGAAACATTAGGATTTCAGTTTTGAACATGTCATTTAAGATATTATTAGTTATCAAAGTGGAGATTTGAACAGGCAGTTGAATATATGAGTCTGAGTTTCACAGATACTAAAGCACATTAAATAAAACTGAGGAACATCTTGAAGGTAATTTAAAGTATCTTACTTAAATTGAGCCTTTGATTTGATTTATTTTAAATTTACAGGGAACCCTTGGCTTTGAGGAACAAATCAACAAATATATGGAACTTGCAAAATACTTCTATAAGGTTTTAAAGAAAAAAGATAACTTTAAGCTTGTGTTTGATGCAGAGGTAAGGAGGACTCTTAGCTTTTTATTTATGTAATTTTTGAGATAATTCAATGGATCTCTATTTTCTTTTCTGAGTATTTTTATCTGAATCTGTTACTTATCTCATGTGTTGGGAGAACCTTATAGGTATACTTAATTATTGTAAGCATTTTATTTTACCTAAGCTCATATAAGTTAGGTTTTAAAACATTTTTAATTTAAGTTCCTTTTCTTATAAGCAAAGAGTCCAAAAGACTAAGTTAATGAGTACCTTCAATTTTTACATTTTTAAAACAATGAAACTGTTTGCTTTTAACTGCGTCTCTGGCATCTCTGACACTAAATAGGATGTAATTTAATTGTTCTTAGTTTTTTTTTTTTTTGTATCTTAGAGTAGGCAATTGCATTTCCAGACAGTAGATAATATAAGAGAAGGTAGGCTTTAAATTATAATAATCTTTGGTACATTGTTATCAAGTCACTAAGCTGATATTAATGAAAGATTTGAGAATTTTGCTAGCATTACATTGTATATCAATCTTTAAGGCTCAATAAACCTTCTACTGGCACTCATTAAATCATTCTAATAAGAGTAACTATTAAGAAACAAAGGTGCCTTGTTTATCTTCTAAATTGTCTCCGTCTCTCTCTGTTATTATCTTAATATTTGCTTATTGCTCTGCTTTTAAGTGAAAACTAAACTTTTCTTTGTTTTTAATACTACGCACAATCTGACAGTTTAACTTCGTCTCTGAAATAAGCTTTGATAGCTGACTTAAGTTCCCTTCCATCCTTTGTCTATGTGAATGACACTCAGTCATCTAAGCCAGAAACCTTGAAATTCATCTTGAAAGCCTGACATTCGTCATCATGCTGATCAATTCTTTCCCTTGAAGCTTTTGGAAATGGAAACACTCCTATCTACACTACAGCTATGCCTTCAGTGAAGTCCTTTTCATTCTCTCCTGAATTATGAGAACATTCTATTTACTAATATTCTCCTATCTTCAATCATACTTCCCTCGAATCAATTATCTTTCAACTTGAGTGATCTTTCTCAAATACAAAACTGATGCTACCATTATTTGTTTAAAATAGTTGACGTCATGGTCATGGCATGGATGAATGGAAGTTTGAAGGAATTTGTAAACCAAAATATGGGGAAGATGATAACATAGATATGAAAATCCTCAAGAATTATGACTCAAGAGTTTATTGGAGAAACAAGCAGATCCCGTGCCAGACTAGGCCCTCTCTGAGGAAAGTAGCTACTTCTTTTATCTCTGAATCCAGGCCCTGACATGTACTAAGCACAGAAAGAAACCTTTATTTAAATACATAAACATTAAGTGAGATAAATTAAAGTACTTCTGAAATAATGAAGTCACTAAAGAATTAAGTGGAGTTTTTATGGATACTTGTAAAATATTTTTCTTTGATTTAGCCTGAGTTCACTAATGTCTGCTTCTGGTATTTCCCAGCAAGGCTTAAACATATTCCAAAAGGTTTTGAAAGAGATCAAGAACTCCGAAAGGTAAAGGTTTTTTTTTCTTTTTAATTTTTAGTGTGTGGTATTTTTAATTCTAATTTTAATATTGACTTTTAATGGGTCTATTTAGTTTGGTTAGTGGATTGGTGGTCATATGATTCCAAGCTACTGGTTTAATAATTATATGGGGCTCACTGAGAACTCAACCCATTAGTCATTTTGAAATTAATCCATTCATTGGTTACATATTGAAAAAATATTTCAATGCCTAATATGCAATCAGCTGAAATTCATACGCTTTGGTTAATTTATTCATTAGTTAATATTTCCCAGGTATACCAGTAGGAGTTGAAAGTTAAAAAATGAATAGACAGAATCCTTGTCCTCAGTTGGCTTGAAAAGTTAGTGGGAGAGAATAAAAAATATAAATAACTACAATTCCAAAGAAAAATAGAAGAGATACTTAAATAAATGTTATCAATTTTAAAATATTTATCATAAATTATCTGAGCAAGAATCTGAGAGATATTTTATAATAGTTCCATTAACAATACTGAAAAGAATTAAAATGAATGTCATACAATGAGAATATTTCATCTTTATCTTCATAATTAAAGTGGACATTATCACCACTATATGCCATTTATCCATATATTTATTTTTATTTATTATTTTTTGAGAAAGTCTCTCTCTGTCGCCGAGGCTGGAGTGCAGTGGCGTGATCTCGGCTCACTGCAACCTCCACCTCCCGGGTTCACTCCATTCTCCTGCCTCAGCCTCATGAGTAGCTGGGACTACAGGCACCCACCAACATGCCTGGCTAATTTTTTGTATCTTTTAGTAGAGACTGGGTTTCACTGTGTTAGCCAGGATGGTCTCAATCTCCTGACCTTGTGATCCACCCGCCTTGGCCTCCCAAACCGCTGGGATTATGGGCATGAGCCACCATGCCTGGCCCTATCCATATATTTAATATGAGCTTTTGCCTAAACTTAATCATGTATCATAATATTTATTTTATAATATTACCACCCCTTTCTGAATTATGCTGATAGTTCAACCACGTATTTTACATAATTTGAGTTGCCCTAAAGTAAGTTGAACAAAAATTGTCTGACATTAATGTTTAAGGCCTTCAACTTTTTCTATCATCATTAGTAAATTTCACTGGGCTTGTAACAGAAAATGTAGTTTTCTGTTTTCCTTCTTGCTTTTCACAGTAGTCTTATTTAAGTATGTTATGGTTTGAGGCAAGGACTAAGTGAAGCTCTTATTTTTTTTTTCTAAGCATATAAATGTCACCTTCCATGAGGGTAGCTACCACCAACTGAGTTAGTCAGAAACAAGAAGGCTTCTAGAGGTACACCCAAACCACTCAACCTCTTAGAGTTCTACACATGTTCCTGACTGGAGGGCAAGCCAAGACTATTAAACAATTTCCCACAGTATTGCAGATAATAAAAAATACCCAATATAGTATTGTTATATTGAATAAAATATTAATTAGAGAAGGACACGAAATAAAAATCCTGACTATTGAATGAAAGAATTGAATTGTATGTGTGTGTGTGTGTGTGTATATATATGAGATTGTATTGTGTGTGTATATATATATAATTGTTTGTGTGTATATATTTACATATGCGTAAATATATATATATAAATGTATATTTGCTTCTGCACTGCCATCAGACAGTCTTATAGGAAAGTTAAATATGGATAGCATTTGTAGCATTTAAAGGTAAATTGTTTGCAGAAATAGACCATGAATAAGTGCAGATTGAGTAGTTATAGAACGCCATCTTTGGCTTTTCTGAGTGTTCGTGTCACTTTGCCCTGTAACAGTAGCCAAAGTTGCTTTAATGTGCTCTAACGCCACCTGCATGATGCCATTTTAGGAGCTGAACAAGATACTTAAACAGAGCTTGTCTCTGTGAAATTTACAAAGAAACTATATTTGCTGCAAAATAGTGACCTTGTAGAAAAACTCAAGATATACAATAATGAATGATTCAAATAATGCAAATAATACTAAAACATGATACTATTTTTCCATTCTCTATTTCATTTTATCTCTTTCCCAGGTACGTCTATTTGAATCGCCATATAAATACAAGGAAATGGCACATGCCTTTCTTTAATGCAGTCTAGCAAATTTATATTACTTTATGCTTGGTAATTGTAAATCATGGGGTAATGAGAGCTGCAATATGAATATAGAATTTGCTGCTTTTTTGTACTAAGCTACTTCTTAAAAATTATCCCTGATGGTCTTAAATTGCCTACAATTTACTTGAAGCTAATGATAGTTATGTAGCCATCTGGAATAAGGAAGAATAGTTACTTGTAAAACTTCTTTATAATAATATTTACACTTACACACAGATTGCTCCAAAGATTAAAGCACAGATGATGATGGAAGGCACAATCATGATAAGCTACCAGCCATGTGGAGACAAAGTAAATATTTTGCGAATGGTTTTTTTCTAATCCTGCCTCAAGACAGAAAGATGTTGACTATCTTATTGATGAAATTGAAAGGCTTGGGAAGGATTTATGATACTTCAATGTGAACTTGGATATCCCATGTAAACATCAACTTAATTCTATTCCTAAGGATAATAAGAAAGGAATATTGAAACTGTTATAAAAATGTTATGAATAAGAACTTTTAATTTTTATTCTATGCTATGTAAGATGAAAGGTAAGATGAAAGGTAATCCAGCTTATACACACGTACACACACACAGTTTGTTTAAATACTTAGCATCTGTTAAATGTTAGGTACGTTCTTAGTGTGCTTAGGATACATAAGAGACAAAAAATTTCTCCTCTTGTGAAGAGAAATTCCATTGTGGACATTTAATACCTTAACATGTATTTTATGTCTTTGAATTAACTGAATAAAGACTTCCTGTATTGAAATCAGTTTCAGTATCCTCTTGTAGTATTTCATCTCTGTCAAGAATAAAATATATAACATGTTTCTCTTTTTTAAACAATTACGATGTATAAATCTGTATATTTTGGAGCAGAGAGAGGGAAGGGAATAGCTGGGCTGACATATTTGCCTTTTGATCCTTGCATATTTATTTGGAAGTGACCATAGCTTGTATCAAGCTCCTAATTTAACTCATTTTTTTCCGCAACATCATTTTAATGTCCCTAAAGATCAACTGTAGTGACACCCTTTTGTAATTATCCAAAAATACACAAACCGTAGCTAACATTACATGAACACTTCTCGTGTATCACATGGTTTGCTACCTTGCTAACCTAACTTGCGTGGTCTCATTTAATTCTTGATTGACATTATGATTTAAATGATTTATTGTCTCCATTTCATGAATGTGAAGATTAAGGCTTAAAGTTTAAATAATGTGTCTAACGTCATGCTGTTGATGAGTAATACAATCAAAATCTGAAGCTAGCTAGGTTTCTTCTCAACTGTGGATAGCAAAAAATCTGCCAAATGCTTTGCTGAAATTCATGGACAGCTTTGCTCAATAAATTCTAGCGGATCCTTTATAAAACTACAGGTCCTTTAATGGCAATGAATATTTTTGCTATTTTCACTTTGATGAAAATGAATAATTGGGTTTTAAACCTTCTAAGTTTAAACTGCTGGTAAGCTTCATTATGAAACTCCTACTTAAATGTTTGTTGATAATCTGATTAACAGCCATTTTCCAGTTCAAAATTACCTTGACATAATTCATTTTATTTTAGCTGATTATTTTTCTAAAGAATATATAGTCACAATTCCATGCTCATGGGTAGGAAGAATCAATATCATGAAAATGGCAATACTGCCCAAGGTAATTTATAGATTCAATGCCATCCCCATCAAGCAACCAATGACTCTTTTCACAGAATCAGAAAAAACTATTTTAAAGTTCATATGGAACCAAAAAAGAGCCCACATTGCCAAGTCAATCCTAAGCCAAAAGAACAAAGCTGGAGGCATCATGCTACCTGACTGACTTCAAACTATACTAACTACAAGGCTACAGTAACCAAAACAGCATGGTACTGGTACCAAAACAGAGATATAGACCAATGGAACAGAACAGAGCCCTCAGAAATAATGCCACACATCTGCAACCATCTGATCTTTGACAAATCTGACAAAAACAAGAAATGAGGAAACGATTCCCTATTTAATAAATGGTGCTGGGTAAACTGGCTAGCCATATGTAGAAAGCTGAAACTGGATCCCTTCCTTACATCTTATACAAAAATTAATTCAAGATGGATTAAAGACTTAAATGTTAGACCTAAAACCATAAAAACCCTAGAAGAAAACCTAGGCATTACCATTCAGGACATAGGCATGGGCAAGGACTTCATGTCTAAAACACCAAAAGCAATGGCAACAAAAGCCAAAATTGACAAATGGGATCTAATTAAACTAAAGAGCTTCTGCACAGCAAAAAAAAAAAAAAAAAACTACCATCAGAGTGAACAGGCAACCTACAGAATGGGAGAAAATTTTCGTAACCTACTCATCTGACAAAGGGCTAATATCCAGAATCTACAATGAACTCAAACAAATTTACAAGAAAAAAACAAACAACCCCATCAACAAGTGGGCGAAGGCTATGAACAGACACTTCTCAAAAGAAGGCATTTATACAGCCAAAAAACACATGAAAAAATGCTCATCATCACATGCTATCAGAGAAATGCAAATCAAAACCACAATGAGATACCATCTCACACCAGTTAGAATGGCAATCATTAAAAAGTCTGGAAACAACTAGTGCTGGAGAGGATGTGGAGAAATAGGAACATTTTTACACTGTTGGTGGGACTGTAAACTAGTTCAATCATTGTGGAAGTCAGTGTGGCGATTCCTCAGGGATCTAGAACTAGAAATACCATTTGACCCAGCCATCCCATTACTGGGTATATACCCAAAGGATTATAAAACATGCTGCTATAAAGACACATCCACACGTATGTTTATTGCATCACTATTCACAATAGCAAAGACTTGGAACCAACCCAAATGTCCAACAATGATAGACTGGATTAAGAAAATGTGGCACATATACACCATGGAATACTATGCAGCCATAAAAAATGATGAGTTCATGTCCTTTGTAGGGACATGGATGAAGCTGGAAACCATCATTCTGAGCAAACTATGGCAAGGACAAAAAACCAAACACCTCATGTTCTCACTCATAGGTGGGAATTGAACAATGAGAACACATGGACACAGGAAGGGGAACATCACACACCAGGGCCTGTTGTGGGGTGGGAGGAGGGAGGGATAGCATTAGGAGATATACCTAATGTTAAATGAAGAGTTAATGGGTGCAGCACACCAGCATGGCACATGTATACATATGTAACAAACCTGCACGTTGTGCACATGTACCCTAAAACTTAAAGTATAATAAAAAAGTGAAGATGTACACAAAAATACAAAAAAGACAAAAAAATATAACAAAGAGGTTAAGAACACAAATTCTGGAATCAGCCTTCCTGGGAATGAATCCTAGCTTTGCTCCTTACTAAGAATTTCTCTCTGTATTCACTTTCCCCATCACTATAATGAACAATAATGGCACTTCTTCACAGGTTGTATGAGAATTCAGTGAATTGGTTGATATATTTTAAGCTCTTAAAACAGTGTCTGGCATGTAGTAAGCCCACAGTACATGTTGGCATTATTAATATCGCAACTTGACAAACTGTGAACACACACTTTAAATGTGGTTTTTGTTTTGTTTTCGGTGGTACGGTTTTGAATTCACTGTTCTCTGTTTCAAAGCTCATGTGCTTTCTAGTTTGTCTTTCTGCTTTTCTGAGGGCAAACACTTGTGTTCGAGGCACAGTGGAGAACAAAGAGACAGCAGCTGGGCCTGGAAGGATGGTTAGACATTTGTTTGGTGACAATGTCAAGAAACGTAAGATCTGCAGCTCTTTAAACAAACAAAATGTAAAGATATTATGAATTTGTCACTTGAATGAAACATATTTAAAATAATTCAACAAAACTCAAAAAAGAGACATTTTAAAATTATACTTTGGTTCTATAATTTTGTTTCTAAAGTGTAAAGAATGTCAGTTCTCTGATAAAATGATCAGAGTTTATCAGAAAATGTGATATTAATCTAGGAGGAAGAGACATATTTTTGTCAAGTAAAGAAATTTTATAAGAATTTTAGCCATGAATTATTTTTGATTCACAGTCAAGTTGCCTGCCTGCATTAACATATCCTGTAAACTCAGTGTCTACGTTTCTAACAGAAAAAATAAAGGTCATTTTTTTGTGCATCCTACTCCCTGTATTTACCAATATAAAGATATATTTGGAGAAATCTGTGAGAGACTGGAAGATTTTGGAGACAGCAAGAAATACATTTGGATCAAAACAATGGATGTTACATTTGCTGAGCTGGGTCCTGTGTTCCCAGGCAGACCAAATCAACTTGGCTGCAGCAGAGAGCTCACAATACAAACAGTAATTGAACTGTTAGCTTTGAAATTTCCTCCTGGCAACCCTGAAATTCTGTTTGGGGCCATGTCACCACTGCTGTGCCTTGGTAGCATTTTATGACACGTTCAATCTTTCACAGATAGTACACTCAGCAGTTCCAAGTCTCAGTTCTCTTATTCTCGTCCCTCAAATCATTTAGAGGTAAATAGAAATGGAAGTAGAACTGTATCCAAATTATCCTTTGCTTTAGTCAAGAGCTGGGGGGACATAGTGCAGACTTTATGTTAATTTCTTTGCCCAGATCACACATCTCAGGGAAAAATTGACATAATTAACAGTGCAATAACCTCATTCAACATCGTTAACCTTAGCACATGCAGTCCACTTCAGTGATTTATGGATAACTTTGAAAATCAACATGATTCAGCCCCTTTCAAATCCTGTGGATTGATTATTGCACAATTACAGCAAGTACATTCAATAACTGTGTTATAAATTAAATTTTCCTTTAAACAGATGATTTACTGTGATAGTTCAACAGTGCTGAATTTTTGTTACAATAATTCTGTATTGAACAGTTAAATGCTACCAAGAAATAAGATGAAAATGTGTGAAAATGCCAATTATAGAAGGATATTTTATAGCTTTATTAAATATGGCCTATACTTCTTCTTGATTTCCAAAATGATTTATAGTTCTGTGATTTTGTCCCTCATAAAAGAGGCACAATTTTGCATCATTTTGCTTTTGATTTTATGCTTACCTTTCACCCTCTTAACTCCAAAGCCGTGAAAGGTCTTTAGACTCCTCATTGAGCAAGGAAGGACTCAGGCTAGGACCTAGAATACAGCAGGGAACAAGTGAAGCTGTATTACTTGTTGATCGATTCACACATTTACAAGACCTCACAAAAATGCACACAAATAAATGTGATCATGTCTAAGTAAGAGTAGCTTTAAGGGACCTGGCTAAATGTTATTACTTACTTGGTACATTTAGAACTTACTATAAAAATCACAGAAATTTAAGCTGTTTCTCCTTCTTTGGAAGAGTACATGTGTTATAGACTTAGGTAATCTAAAATTGGCACAGGAAAACTCTATGTCAAAGTATTGCAGGCATCATAACCAAAAGAACTAATGTTTATTTATTGTTTTCTTAATCCCCTCATAATTCTTTGTATAATATTGTCTTAATTCAAACAGAGGCTTGGGATTCAGACCTAACAAAGGCAATACTTGTTCAAATAAAGACTAAAGACTTAAAAGTATTTAAAAGCAATACAAAATCAAAATACAAAAATCAATTTTATGTCTAAACACTCGTAGTTAGCAATCAGAAAGTGAAATTAAGAATTGTTTTTCTATTTACGATAGCACCAAAACAATAAAATTAATTGCAATAAATTTAACAAAAGAAGTTCAAAACAGGCACACAATAAACTGCAAGCCGTCACTGAGAGAAATTAAAGACCTAAAGAAACAGAAATAAATCCATGTTCATTATCAGAAGACAAATTTCTTGAAAATTCTGTACTCCCCAAGTTAATCTACAGACAAAACAAGAGTTTCCATAAAAATCCCAGCTACATTTTTTAGGTAAAATTTGACGAGGATTTGAAAGTCATTTGACCAAACATTTCTCCAAAGAAGATACACAAGATAAGCACAGGAAAAGATGATCAATATCATTACCGTTAAGGAAATGTAAATCAAAACCACAATGAGATATCACTTCACACGCATTAGGATAACTAAAATAAAAAGACAAACAGTACCAAGTGTTTATGATAATGTAGAAGAAACTGGAACCCTCCTATATTTGGGGCAGATAAATACAATGGTGCAATGACTTTGAAAAATCAGTTGGCATTTCATCAAAATGTTAAACATAGTTGCCATATGACCCAGAAATTCCACTCTTAGGTATTCCACTTCCAAAATAAAAACTTAGGTCCACATGAAAACATGGACATGAATGTTTATATGAGCATTATTCATAATAGCCAAACAGTGGAAAAAAACAAATTTCCGTCAACTGATGAAAGAATAAGCAAAATGTGGTACAGTAATGTGGATTATACTTGGCAACAGAAAGGAATAGAATATTGATACATGTTACAACATGTATAAACCTTGAAAGCAATATGCTAAATGATAAAAGCCAAGCACAAAAGTTCACATCTTATATGATGTCCAAATATCCAGAATAGGCAAATCCATAAATACAGGAAGAGAATTAGTGTATTCAGGTGCTTGGGGTTAGGGGAGAATTCGGAATAGCTGCTAATAAGTACAGAGGTTCTTTTGGTGATGAAGAAAGTGCTGTAAAATTAGATAGTGATGATGGTTGCACAGCTCTCTGAATAAACTAGAAACAATAATTGTGCACTTTAAAAAGGTGAGTATTATAACAGTAAATTATACTGCAACACAACTGTTATTTAAGAAAAAAATTTTTTTTAAATTTTCTTATGAAAGAAAGTCCAATTTTGTACTTAGCTAAAATGGCAGTACAGAAAAAAGATCAAGTACTTAAAAGTATGTAAAAATGACAAAACAAATAAAAAAGCACTTTACCATGCCTATATATGAACACTAGCATACAGATTTCCTATTAACAAAAATGTTACCTTTTATAGGGTAATTAAGAAGTGGGTTTCCTGGGTCATATAATAAATACATGTTTAACTTTATAAAAAATTGCCAAACCATTTTACAGTGGCTGTACAATTTTAAATTCCCACAGCAAAGCATGAGTGTTCACATTGCTTTATATCTTTTCTGACACTTGGAATTTTTAGTCCTTTTTATTTCAGTTCTTCTAATACATGTAAGGTGGTATCCCGTTGTGGCTTTAATCTGAATTTATCTAATGGCCTTTTTAAAAATTTTTCAAGAACTAGAGAAGACTGAACATTTTTATTTATGGAATGTTGGGAACAATAGAAGGTTCTTAAGCAGATAATAGGATATAGCATATACATAGATGTCAAGACAAGTTTCAGTTTGTGCTTTCTTTAGCTCCCATTACAACCCATCTCTTTAATTAAAGTTTGCTGACACATCCCAGAATTTGGCATAATCCTTTCCAGTCTTGGCTCAAATAAAATAATCTGTGAAGATTTTAAGTGACTGAGCTGCTGGGATCAGTGCAGGATCTACTGACATGGGTTCTCCAGGGCTTTGCCATGCTTGATGTTTTTGCAAAGACTGCCATTGCAGAGGCAGGATTGGGAACACTAACTAGAATTCAGCAGGTCTGGAGTCCAAGAGGGTCTCCAAAATAGTCACTACCTAAGCCAATGCAAACTCCTCCTGCCTCCAACCACCGTGACAACTGAACACTGGGTAACCTACATAAAGTCTCCTTCTCTGTTAAGAGGGATGCCTATGTGTTCTTATAGCCCTTCATTCATTGCCTGAATTGTCACTCATATGCATGCTACATAATTGTATAAATAATTCTAAATGAGTTGAAAAATAGAATATGAATTGTATTTAATTTGCCAAATGCTTGATGAAATTAAGCAGAAATGCAACTTTGATGGTGTTTTCTTTACTCCTTTACAAAATGGAAGGAAGAAAATCTTATTTTCAGGTGATCTGACACCAATAGAGAAATAAGAACCATCATAAAGACCTCATCATGGCCATAATTTATAATTTCTGTAACCTCAAATTATCAGAATTTCTACTTCCAAGCAGAACCATATCTTACCCAACACAGAGCTGCTTTGTCCATGCATACCATGACCATAAACATGGACATATTGTGCTTTGGGAGGCTGAGGCAGGAGGACTGCTTGAGGCCAGGAGTTTGAGACCAACCTGAGCAACATAATGATATCCTGTCTCCACAAAAAGTAATAATAGTTAAAAAAACAAAAAAAGTCTCAGCCCTCAGCCACTGGAGACACTGAGACAGAAGGATTACTTGAGCCCAGAAATTTGAGTTTACAATGAGCTTTGATTACACCACAGAACTCCAGCCTGGGTGACAGAGGTAACTTGTCTCAAAAAAAAAAAAAAAAAGGAGATATTCCATGTTAACCACTGCCATCTCCTTTCCTATTATCAATTATCATAGATTATCCAGACATAATATTTTATTAAGTATGAAATTTCATAGTCAGAAATTTGTGTTGCACGATGTAATTTGTTTAACCTTCTTATATTTTAACTTTCTTTGGTATCTTATTTTTTACATTAGCAAATAATGTAAGCTTGAAAATTTAAAGTATTTTTGCCTCTTCCAAGTAAAAACTAATTATCCTAGGATTCTACATCCATTTTCGTTCTTCTTTTCATATTTATTCTGAGGGTAATCTCATTAGAGGTAGAAATAATATTTAATAACACTGCTATGGGGGGCAGTAGAAAGCAAATAATTCAGGCTCTGCTCTTTCTGCATAACCTGAACCCCTCTGTTTTGTATTGGCAGGTAATGTGAATGCCTTCACTTGGATGTGCCTCCTATTACTGAAGAACCCCTCATGATGTGTCCTTGTGTCATTCAGCACTTCCACAGACCTCTTTGGAAGTCTCAGCTGCTTTCCCCGCACCACACTAGGGGTGCTGGTTTTAAAACCAAGATTTAAAACATAACAAAATACACAACAGCTTTGGTTTTTGGGCCCTCCCCTAGGCCAGTTGGGACTTTTCTGTTCTCTCCATTCGCCATTCTGCCTTCAGTTTTATCCTAGTTTGTGATGGAGGAATGGATAAGGTATTGGGTGATTCTTCTGTGTCTGAGCTTTACTCATTTTCAATCCCTTTTACAGCCCATCCTCTGGCCCAGAAGAGGTTTGTTTCTGCCCTTTTTTATCACATGACCTAACTTTATTTCAGACTTTTTGGTCCATACTATCAATTCTATACCCTGAGTACTCCAGACTTCTCTGAACTGTATAATTACTGCCAATTGAAAGTGCTTTGACTGAATTCATGGTATCCCATTGCAAGACTTCCCATAAAGCTACACTAATCAAGCAAAAGGATACTTTCAAAAGGATAGGCACTTAGATCACTAGAGAAGAATATAGTCTAGAAATAAACCTACGCAAGTATAGTAAATTAATTTTTGACAAAGATGCAAAGATAGATATATTAATTGAGAAATAAGAGGTACCCAAAAAGGGATCTTGATCCATATCTCACAATGTGTGCAAAAACAAACTCAAACGAGTCATAAATCTAAGTGAAAAATAAAAGATTATAAAACTTTTAGAAGAAAATCTAGAAAAAAGACTCTAGGTCAGACAAAAAAAAATTATTAGTAGAATCTCCCCCAGATTTAGGCCTCATAACAATTAAAAACTTCAGCTCTGTGAAAACACTGTTAGAAAAAAAAGAAAAAAGTAAGAAAACACTGTCAGAATGAGAAGACAAGCCACTTACTGGAGAAAATATTTTGCAAATACTGTTTTTGACAAAAACTTGTATACAGATTATGTAAGAACTTTCAAAACTCAACAATAAGAAAAGAAGCAACCTGATGTTTAAAAATAAGCAAAAGATTTTGGCCTGATTCATCCAAGATGACATATGGATAGGAATAAGGTTATGAAAATATGCTTATTTTTAACAGATTCATCAAAGAAGACATATGGATGGCAATAAAAGTATGAAAATATGCTCAACATATTTATTAATTAGCTCAAAACATTAAAACCACTGCATAGTTAGTAGAATAAAAAATAAATTGGCAATACTAAGAACTGACAAGAATGCAGACCAATTGTAACTCTCACATGCTGCTGGTGGGAGTGCAAAATAGTGCAGCTCTATTGGAAAGCAGTTCGAACTTTTCTTATAAAGTTAAGCATATACTTACTATATGACCCAGAAATCCCATTTTTTTGATATTTAGCTAATTAGAATAAACAGCTCTGTTTATGTAAATCCTGCACACAAATGTTAGTTTATCACAGCTTTATTTCTCATCACAGAAAACCTGGAAACAACCCAAATATTCTTCAACCAGTAAAAGGATAAACAAATTATGGTACATATGCCATTGTATACTCTCAGCAGGACATACTATTGATTCCTGGAACAACATGGATGACTCTCAAATGCATTTTGCTAAGTGAAAGAATTAGATGTGAACAATTACATACTGTCTGATTATATTATATGAAATTCTGGAAAAGGCAAAGTTATAGGGACAGGTATCAGATAAGTGGATTCCGGGGGCTAGGGGTCGAGGGTAAACGGCTGTATCTAAAGGGGCAGCCTGAAGAAATTTGGGGGTTGATGGAACTATTCTGTATCAGGACTGGGGCAACAGATACATTACTCTATGTCTTTGTCAAAGCCCATAGAACTGTACTCCACAAAGTAAATTTCACTGTTTTAATTTTTAAAATTAAATAAAAAACACGTTGGAAAATTCAAAGAAGTGACTACTTTGTCCTAGGCTGCACTGTCCCTCTCTCTGAAGTAATATAATGACTTAATTCATTGGTTAGAGGGTTAACTATAGACACCAAAATTTACAAAATAACGTATACCGGTGAATATTTCAAATATATTATCCTGTTGCAATGTTACTGAAGTGTGGGGATTCTCCATGCTTATAGTGCATTTCTGTAATTTTATATTGCCTCAGCATCGATTTTAAATATAAGTTTCACTTTCTCATGCCAGAGGCAGGACTTCTCCATCCTTGACAATTTCTAGTTCTCCACCACCTCCCAGTTCCTCAGTGTGACTGATACAGATATCTGCCTTACACAACTGCCTCCTGGTGACCACTTCCCTATGGGACAGGAAGATACAACCTCACTGACCCCCATGCTCAGCAAGGGTTGCACAGATACGCCACAGTGACCACGTCTCAGTCACAGCATGACTCCGGAGAACTCATGCCTGCTTGTTATAAACCCACCAATTAGAAGTCCCTGAGGGAAACCTGCTTGGGTAATGCCCAGGACCCCAATAAAGGCTTTAGCCCATAGGACCCACGCTCTTTCTCTTTTACTTTCCACCTGGTGGTTCAGCAGGCATGTCCCTGATGGCCCTCCCTGCGCTCCATTGGTCCTACGAGTTATGCAGTCCTTTACTTTCTGGTAGCTGTAAATAATAAGCTGCTTCTGTTATTTTAAGTGTTCTGTTGAGTTGCCTCTTCGTGTCTCACCTGACTGACATAAAGAGAACCTAACTTCTTTCCTGGTTAGGGCTCTCCTGGAGAGTGGATATTTTGGTAGGAATAAACTGGACATAGATCAGACAAGACCCACGAAGATCCCTGCCAGTGTATACAAGTTTCCTTTGAGAAGAGCACCTGGTCACAGGTCACACACATAGGCATCGGGCCACGTGCTTGGATAACAAGTATCCAGTGAAAGGCATACTGGAAGCATCCATGACCAAATCCCTGGAGCCCCATCAAGGCAGGGATAGAGATCATAGCCACTCTCCAGAGACAGAGACCCCAACATCAAATTAGAGGAAAATACAGTTGTTATAGTTATTACACCATACGTTTTCATTGTCATGGCTTATAACATAAACAGACTTTATGTTTACCATGTACCATAGGTAGAAACTCCAAGATGACTAACATGTTAGAATCCAAAAATTCATGATAGATTTCTCCAGAAAGTTCTCCAAGAATGGGGTTTAGATGCTGTTTCCATTGTGTTCAAGGCATAGCTGTTTGTAATTACTTATATTGCTGAGCATGAACTTTACAATGATCTATTGATATACAGATATTCCATCACAGTAGAATCATTAATGATAAAATATATGGAAAGCAATAAATGAAGCTGCTCATTAGACATAAATGAAGGAGAGAGAGTAAGAGAAAAGTGGTTTTACAGATATGACGAAAAGTGTCCGATAGTTTACAAACAAGAGCCACATGGAAAATTTCACATCTGTTTTGGCAGAAGATCTTGAAGTATGAAAATAACTGAGTTACAAAAATCTAGGAGAAATTAGTGTCAGTAGGATCCCATTTCATGGACTTCTGACTGATTCTTCTCAGGGAAGGGAAAATAGACAAGCTCATATCGGTGCCTCTTTCCTTAATTTCAAATGACTGGTCAATCATTGGGCCTTCTATGGTTGTTGCCATGACAACAAAAAAGTAGAAAGAGAGAAACTAATAACCATGGCTTTTAAGAAACACAATTACATATTTTGTAATAAGATGAACCTAACAGAAAATGGCAGTGCAACATGTTGCTCCAAAAGACTCAATTTGAGTACGCCTTTAAAGTAAGTTGTCTTTCTAACCATCCCATCAAGTGTTATGATATCAAACCCTAGTGAACAACTTGCCCTTGATCCAATGATCCTCCTAGGCTCTTGTTTCTTTGGGCTACAAAAATTCCTACCATGTTCTTCACTGAGAAGCTACTGTCATGCTCAGTACACAATTATTACCAGTTTGATGGTTTTGTTTACCTAAAGCAGAAGAGAAAGCTCTTGCTCAGTTGGCTTTTGGAGACAGTCATCTGAGCTATGACTCCTGTCTTTACATATATATTCCCACTACTGGTTTAGACCACTCATAAGAATTTCTTCCCAAATCATAATTCCTCTTTTAATATTTTTCTTATATTCCACTCTACAATGACAGAGACTATTTCTGGAATTTCACTTTGTAACTAGTGCCAATAACATGACCATCAAAAATATAATTCACATATGTTCACTGATAGTACTGAATACATTGCATTGAAATGATATGCTTGGCTATCTGCTTCTCTCACGAGACAATAATTGCTTCTGGGTTGGGGATGGTGTTTTACTCTATTTCTGGTAATAACAGGAGTATAGTGATGCCTAGTATATCCATGAATATCATGTGCTCAGTTATATAAAGGTAATGCTTCAAGGTTTGATAATAATATAGGATGATAAAATTTAGAATTGTAGAGAATAGTTATTCTCTGTATTTCTTTATACAACAGGTGACATTTCTCATCTCCTGTTCATGGTAAAGAAGATAAATGGTAAAGAATGTGTGATAGTCTAATACAAAGAACATACAGTACATAAACTACACTTATAGCATAATTACATGTAATCAGAGGCAAATTGTGGTTCTTTCATTAATTGGCTATGGCCCTAAAGAAGTCATGTAATATACTGAATTCCACGGTTTTAAGTGGGTGTATAATTAGGAAGCAAAACCAGAATTTTAAAATATAATGACTTTGACTACCTTTAACACATTATGGTGCCAAGGTTTTAATGACATTCTCCTCAATCATTTAGCAGTTTTCTGCTGTACTCAATTAGACAAAGATTACTTGGCTGAGGCTCAGTGCTTTGGGTGTTCTGACCTTGATTTCCTGTTGGTAGTTCTTTAACTCTGGGTCATGATACTTGTATGTTGGTCAAGTCCAGTGTTTTTTTTCCGGAGCAATTGTTAAAAGTACAAATGCATGGACTCCCCAAAGACAAACTAAGTCAGAATTTTTAAGAGTGTGATCATAATATTATTTTTTAAAGTATTGCTACTGGATTAAAAATGCACTTAAAGTTGAATCACTGGTTTATATGCCAATAAAGTTAAATAGAAAAGTCTGACCTCCTTGAGCTCTATCCCCAGAATAGCCATCAAGGAATCGGCTACTTTCTAGAGACAATAAATTTAGTTTTACATATACATATACATATATGGGTGTGTGTGTGTGTGTGTGTCTTCACTATTTTAGTAAATGTTATGTTGTGAAAATTAAATATAATAATCAAATTATATAGACTTAAGCTTTAATGGATATTTCAATGAAAAGCTCCTTCCATATTATAATTTTGTAGATAAATGCAAATTAAAGTAGTTTAACATAAATATAAATGAAGAATTAAAATGCAAATGCAATAATATATAAGTAAACATTTTCAAAGAATGTACATATTTAGATCAAAAGAAGTCACCATACTACACATTTATTGGATACAACATTTTGTTTTTCCACAACAACTGATGAAAGATTAAATATTTACTTTGAGCTTAAGTAAAGTATCCAAATGACCAAAAGAGGTTTTTGTCTGGGCGATGAATATGTTAACACTATGATCTATGAAATTTGGATACAGGTTTTAGATAGAAAATATATGCTGTTGAAGAAAGCCATCTAATGTCTAGAGAAGCAATTACAGATGATCTCTGACTTATGAAGTTTCTGCTTATAATTTTTTGACTCTATGATAATACAAAAATAATACAAATTCAGAAAAAAACAAACTTCAAATTTTGAATTTTGTTCTTTTGCTGTGCTAGCGATATGCAATGCCATCCTTTTGTTCAATGCTGGAAAACAAGCCCACAGCTCCCAGTCAGCTCCGCAATCAGGAGGGTCAATAATCAATACTCTGCTGGGTACTGTGTTGCCAGATGATTTTGCCCGATTATAGGCTAATATAAGCACTCTGAGCACTTTTAAGGTAGACTAGGCAGCGCTGTGATGTTCAGTAGGCTAGGTATATTAAATGTATTTTCCAATTATGATATTTTCAATTTACTATGGATTTATTGGGATACAACCCCATTGTTAAGTAGAGGAATGTATTATTTCATTCTCATGCTGCTAATAAAGACATAACCGAGACTGGGTAATTTATAAAGGAAAGAGGTTTAATTGACTCAGTTCATCATGGTGGGGGAGGCCTCAAGAAACTTACAATCATGGTGGAAGAGGAAGCAAACACGTCCTTCTTCACATGGTGGCAGCAAGAAGTGCAGAGCGAAAGGGAGAAAAGCCCCTTATAGAACCATCAGATCTCATGAGAACTCATTCACAATCATGAGAACAGCAACATGGGAGTAACCGCTCCGGTGATTCAATTACCTCCCGCTGCCAGATCCCTCCCAGGACACATGGGGAGTATGGGAACCACAATTCAAGATGAGATTTGGGTGTGGACATAGCCAAACCATATCGAGGAACATCTGTATTCATTCCTGAATGAAAATTGCTGAATCTGTTTTAATCATATCTCTCCCTGAGCAAAAAGAAACATGCAATTTAGAACTATAGAATGCAATCATTTCTCAGTATGTGAGGAAGATTGATTCCAGGACACCCATGAACAACAAAATCTGAGGTTGCTCAGGTTCCTTATATAAAGTGGTGTTGTATTTGCATACAACCTATATACATTCTTTTGTATACTTTAAATAAGCTCAAGAGTACTTATGATACCTAAAACAATGTAAATGTTACATAAATAGTTGTTATACTCTGTTGTTTTTTTTGTTGTTGTTGTTTTATTTTTCATTTAAAAAAATGTTTTCATTCCATGGTTGGTTGAATCTGAGGATGCTTTGCAGATACAGAGGGCCAACTATATAAGCAAAAATCATTTTAAGGATACTTAAAGATCTAATGTAAATGACTTATATTTTAGTTAAAGAGCTTATTTTATTTCTCCATAGCCCATGGATGGCATCAACTAAATTGAGAAAACATAAAGCCAGCTACATAAAAGAACCAACAAGAGATTGATCTATTTGAGTTCAGAGAAAGAATAAGAAACTGGTAACAGCCCCTTCTCTCTAGAACTCCATTCAATGGGTAAACTTGGGGTTGAGTTTTCTCTCCCTCTCCATGGACAAGGAAAACAACCAAAGAGTTAATAAGTTTTCCTAGACCAGGACTCAGCTGTAAGGGAATCAACTTTCTTGTCTGAGAAGAGCTGAAGAAGTGGTGTGAGGTTTTCTGAGATTACCTAACAGAACATTATTTGGTGATAGTTACACTAAAAGCCAAGACTTTACCACTATACAATATATCCATGTAACAAAACTGACCATGTACCCCTTAAGATTATACAAATAAAATTTTTAAAAAGAAAAAAACTTGTAACAATTTAATATTGTGCCTTGATAAAAGAAATACTTGTATGAAATTTTTGACTTCCAAAAATATACGACTTCTATGTTGCTGACATAAGTTTAATATTAAATTTATATTACTATTTAAGAAATTGAAATCCTCTTACCAAATTGAGTATTTCCCAGATAATCTGAATAACTAAAACAAACCTCTAGGAAAATGATCCATAAAACCATAGAAGTACAAGTTAGCCCCTGCAATGAAAAGGTGCCTCAAATACAGATTCTAAAGATATTTAAAGTTATTTTATTTTATTTTTAAATTTTATTTTATTTTATTTTTTTGAGACGAAGTTTCTCTCTTTTTGCCCAGGCTGGAGTGCAATGGTGCCATCTCGGCTCACCGCAAACTCTGCCTCCCAGGTTCAAGCGATTCTCCTGCCTCAGCCTCCTGAGTAACTGGGATTACAGACATGTGCCACCTCGCCGGGCTAATTTTGTATTTTTTAGTAGAGACAGGGTTTCTCCATGTTGGTCGGGCTGGTCTCGAATTCCCGACCTCAGATGATCCGCCCGCCTCAGCGTCCCAAAGTGCTGGGATTACAGGCATGAGTCACTGCGCCCGGCTATGATTTTTTATATTATAATAAAATTCAAAGAAAAAAACGGATGCCAGTAATTTTTAAAAGTATCTTACCATAATTTTCTCAAGAAGAAAAGAAAATTAGAAGAAAGTAAAAAACGTGGTGCTGGACCAGCCAGCTCGGACCCAAGGTGGCGGGGGTCCAGCCAGACGGCCCCTCATGCCAGCGAGGTCTCCGGTGCCCCTCTGGTCAGCGGGGCCCCAGCAGGGGAGGAGCTGCGAGACCACACGGGACACCGGGGTGGGACCCAGCCCGCGCCAGTGGCTCGGAGCAGGGGCAGGGACCTGGCAGCACCGGGCCAGAGCTGCCTCCACCCCCAGCAGTCGCGGACTCCGGGCGCTCCAGACCTGGGGTGGTGGTGAGGTTAGTTAATTGAATGAGCGATGGTGGCCGAGTTGCAAGCAAACGGGTTTCATCATCTTAAACGGTTTTGAATGAATGAAGCCATATTTGCTTAAAAAGACGGACAGCCCATCGTATAAACTATAGAGTTTGTGGACAGATTTATATTGGGTTCATAGTGGCGTCATGCGTGCAGACTCCTGAGAGTTCCCCAGGTTCTTAGAGGACTACTTTGCCTTTTGATCTGAGAGTTGCAAAGTTCCATAAAGAATGGCCCGTGTGGATAAGCAGAAGTTAAGAGACAGCGAGTGCACCGAATTTGTGAAAGTATCCTCCCCCAGGTCATGAACGGCCCCCTGCACTCCACCACCCCCCCGGGTGGCACTGCTGGACTGCGCAACTGCACCGTGGAGATGCCCATCCCAAAGGACCTGGCCACCATGGCCTTCTGTGATACGCACTCCACGCAGGAGATCCACGAGAAGATTTTACATGAAGCCCTGGGCGCCATGAGGTATCACACCATCACCCTCGCCAGGGCGGACCTGGAGAAGTTCAAGGCCCTGGGAGTGATCGTGCGCATAGGCAGTGGCTACGACAATGTGAACATCAAGGCTGCCTGCGAGCTTGAGATTGCTGTGTGCAACATCCCGTCCGCAGCTGTGGAAGAGACAGCCAACTCAACCATCTGCCACATCCTCAGTCTGTACCGGAGGAACACGTGGCTGTGCCAGGCATGGCCAGAAGGCACGTGTGTTACAGCATGGGGCAGATCCGAGAGGTGGCCTTGGGAGGGGCTCACATCGGTGGGGAGACGCAGGGGCCTCATCGGCTTTGGTAGCACGGGGCAAGCGGTTCCAGTTCGAGCCGAGGCCTTTGGATTCAGCGTCATATTTTATGATCCTTACTTGCAGGATGGGATAGAGCGGTCCCTGGGCGTGCAGAGGGTCTACACCCTGCAGGATTTGCTGTGTCAAAGTGACTGCATCTCTTTGCACTGCAAGCTCAACAAACATAACCACCACCACATCAATGACTATGACTATAAACTAGATGAGTCAGGGAGCATTCCTTGTGAACGCAGCCCGTGGTGCCCTGGTGGACGAGAAAGCCTTAGCACAGGCCCTCAATAATGGCAAGATAAGAGGGCAGCTCTCGACGTGCCCCAGTCAGAGCTCTTTAGCTTTGCTCAGGGTTCCTTGAAGGATGCCCGGAATCTCATCTGCACTCCTCACGCTGCCCCCCATCCAGGTGTCCCTGGAGATGAGGGAGGCGGCTGCCACCGAGATCCGACGAACCATCACAGGTTGCATCCCAGAAAGCTTAAGAAACTGTGTGAACAAGGAATTCTTTGTCACATCAGCTCCTTGGTCAGTAATAGACCAGCAAGCAATTCATCCCGAGCTTAATGGTGCCACATACAGATATCTGCCAGGCTTCGTGTGCGTGGCTCCAGGAGGACTTCCCGCAGCCACAGAAGGGATCATCCCTGGAGGCATCCCAGTGACTCACAACCTCCCCACAGTGGCACATCCCTCCCAAGCTCCCTCTCCCAACCAGCCCACAAAACACGGGGACAATCCAGAGCACCCCAACGAACAAAGCAGAGAATGCCGGAAGGTAATCATTCAGATACACTTGCGGCCAAGAGACAGTGAAAAATTGATGAACTCAGAGAAAACGAATCTGACGGTCTTTTTAGCTGATTCTGGACATATGCATTATTGATGTTGCAGTGTTAAAACTACAAGAGGTAGAAAATTGGATGTCGTCTGCTTACAGAAGCGCTGAAAGACTAGGATGTGATTTATTGACGACCTACTTCTGTCATTATGTGTTAAGTTTTTCACCTTAATCACCAAGAATGAATGGCGCTTTTTCCTTCATCAGTCCTTTGGCCACAGCAGGTCCTGAACACCCTGCTCTAGAATGTTGCATCAAGAGTTCAAACATCAAAATACAAAATACTAAGAGGAAATCTCCATTGGTCTACAGGGGCTGGTTACCGCTTTTTGCTAAGAGGAAGATCACATGACTACAAAATGGGGAGAAAACTGTTTGCCTGTGGTAGACACTTGCACGCATAGGATTGAAGACAGTACAGGCTTCCGTACAGAGAAGTCTCTCACACCTGAACTGCATACTGAGCAGGCAAGTTGGTTTAAGTTCAGTAAAACCTTCTGATGATGCGAAAAAAAGTATTAAGTTTCACAAGCTGTTTGCACTCAGATATACTTTCTCAGTTTCAGATCTTCTGCTATTTTACTGAGTGGAAAGTCTTGAGCTAAAAGGGTTCAAGAAGAATAATGTTGCATTTCCTTATGCCTCAGGAAACACTTTTTATGGAAACTTGTCAGATTGTCTATAAACAAACCCACTTTTTTTAAACATTAATAAAACCTTCTTTTCTTCACGTGGTATTTTACAGAAGAACACTTCAGAGATATTAGATGTGATTGATTTTAACAAATCCTATTAGATTTGTATCAACTAGTTACATGCTCGATTCATAGTCCTTTGTGAATCATTGTCTTTTTATTTAAAAAGATGGCCTATTTTGAGCCTCTGTATAGGTACATTCCTATTTTAGTGACAAAAGAAAAACTTTAAAATTGTTCCAAACAGAAAAATAATGGCTATCAGAAGTATGTTTTGTTTTAGTGTGAGTTACCATTACTATACTTGTTTATTTTAAAGGTGGACATTTAGCATTCAGTGTAGTTTTCAATAAAAAATAACAGAAGTTGATTAAGTAACTTTATTGCCCTGCCAAGAGGAACATATATCAGGTCCTGGTGGTTTTACAGATGGGTTTTACACACCCTGAAGGAAGAGATAATCCCAACTTGATAGAAACTATACTTTAAAACAGCATGTAAAAAAAGAAATCTTACAATCCATTTTACGTATCTATTCTGTTTCAATAAACCCAGAATAAGGCCAGGCACGGTGGCTCACGCCTTTAATTCCAGCACTTTGGGAGGCCAAGGTGGGTGGATCACCCGAGGTCAGGAGTTTGAGACCAGCCTGACCAACGTGGTGAAACCCCATTTCTACTGAAAAAAAAAAATACAAAAGTTAGCAAGGCGTGGTGGCAGGTGCCCGTAGTCCCAGCTACTTGGGAGGCTGAGACGGGAGAATTGCTTGAACCCCAGAGATGGAGGTTGCAGTAAGCCGAGATGGCACCACTGCACTGCAGCCTTGGTGACAGAGTGAGACTACATCAAAAAAATAAAATAAAATAAAAATAAAAACAGTAATATAAAATTATATTTAATACCACACTCCTGTGTGGACATTGAGGCATATAATTCAAATCATAGTTAGCAGATTATGCTCAACTAAAACAAGACTCAATATCTACAATAGAGTGTTCCTTTAATCAACCTAGAAATTCAAAGCAATTTCAATCAAATTATCAACAGGTGTTTTTAGTTTACTTTTTGAAACTTTACAATTTGATTTCAAACTTCTTACAAAGGAGCTACCAGAAATAGTCAAGTCATTTTGAAGTATAAAGAAGAATAACTTGCCCTATAGAATAATAAAATTTACCATAAAACTCAAGTAATCCAGATACTGGGATATTGGCACAATAGTAGATCAATAAATCTCTAGATGACTAGAACTGAAAGTGAGAATTCACATATACGTAATAAAAAAGTAAAAATGTGGACAGGCAAGATACACATTAGTTTTAGGATTAACAATTTCCTTCTTGAGAAGGAGGGTGAGTAATGAGTAAATATTTCAAAGGATATTTTTAAGAGCATATGGAATGTTATATTTAAGTAATCTTAAGTAAATATGAAAAAATTAAGGATTATTTATCTGCATGATGGGTGAATGGATATTTGTTAAATATTTTCTTCATGATATTGAAATATTTCACAATACAAACAAATTGAAAACTCATTTACTACACTAGTAGTAACAGAACTTGAATTTTAGACTCTCCTTGGCCTTCAAGTATCTCTGTAAACTTCACTGTCTAAATATTACTTTTATCATTTATAAAATACAGCTGTCAGAATAGATCTGTAGTTTAAAGCCATAGTCCATGCCCTAAACCACAAATGACAATGTTCCTGTTTGTTCCAACCTATGTAATTTCCAGGAATTTCAATGGGCCTTGACTTTTAGCTGTATTTATCAGTCAGCCTTTATTTGTCGAATAAGTAACTACAGTTCTTAACTCCCCTTGCTTATTCCTCCAAGAAGAAGGCAATTATCATGCCATCTTCAATGTAATGCACTAACTGGTCCTTAATGGTTATCATTTCCAAGTTTATCCTCATCTAATTATGACAACATGCCCATATCTTCACATATCCCTTTGGGAAAACAGCAAATGTATACTGGGTTCCATTCAAAACATTGCAAACAGAGCCTGGCTAGACTGCAATTCTGTATGGAAAGGAAAGCATTAGCTAGGCCTGTAGAGACATGCCAGTCCCTGGTTGATTCTCTCACCCTTCCTGTACAGTCTTTTCTATATACGATACAGCTGAAGCAAATGAAGATACCATCTTGTTTAATCCTCTACTCTTAACTTCCAGAATGTCTGCTTTGCATAATGACCAAATAGGACTATTAAAGGGGAATTTAGTAGGAAATAATACTCCTACTATAACCATTCTCTTAACCAGAGGAGTGATCTCTTGCTACCCTCCAGATAAGTTGTTACTTAGCATGATCAATTAAAACTAGGAAAAGAACAGGCTTAGACAATATCCCTGATGTAAAGAATAAAGACAACATGACCATTCACTCATTTATATCCATTCCAGTATGGCATTTTAGTAAAGCTGCTGAGACTTCAGGGTAATCACTCCAGTTATCTGTAATGCAACCCAATTTGGAAGTCAACCCATTCTTTAATCTCCTCATATACAACATTTCCATAAGCTCCTTTCATCATTGGGCCTTTCATAGCACCATCCTTATTCCCCCATGGATTACTGTACCTTGAGCTGTACCATACCTTGCAGAATTAAAGTGCTTTGCATACCACTCACTTTCCACTTCACTCAAATTGTTACTTAAGACCCAGGATTTTCCACCAGGGATTGGACAACTGGGTGAGCAGATCATGGGCTCTCAATCCTTTACAGATTCTATTACTTTAATTGAGGGTAAAATCAGCCCTGGTTCAAATATTTTTTTCATTCTAAACCTCAATCCTTATAAATTAACTTGAATTCCTCAAGGCCTTGGAGTATAAGGAGAATGGATCATGTCGTCTCCATTTAAGGGTGCTGAGTTTTTTTCTGGCAGGCACTCAGTTACTGGGGTTACATTTGAGCTTGTCAGGTTTGGTTTTATTCTTTACTATGGTAATCAATTTCAGTTTCTAACTTAATCCTTAGGCCTACATCCTTATTTTGGAGCTTGATCCTTAGCTTTAAAACCTGTCCTTTGTGGAGTCTAAATAGAATGTCCAAGGTGCTCAACCGGGCTGCTTCACTCTTCCTGGGCAGGGAGTCACGGTCCCTGGGAGCCTCACAGCAATAGCTTACTGTTAAGCCTCACAGGATCTCTTCCAGCACACCCACAACCCAGCCCAGGAGACCTGCTGAGAATCCACACTAAGACTTCCCCAGTCTCCCTCTGTGCAACTGCCTCTTCTCTGATATACCGGTTTCCCAAATCCCAGCTGCTTCAGCAGTCAGTACTTCAACTGTGTCATCTCAGTTCAGCAAGACCCCACTGACTTGAGCTGCACCTCCTGGCAACGTGCCCCGAAAGTGCCCAGGCAGAAAGGGTGATCAATGCGGTTCATACACCGTTTTCTCTTAAAGAGCATGGTTTTGCACTGCCTTTTGTTCAATGCAAGAAAACCATTGCCTCGTATGTTGTCCGGTTTTATAGTCCCTCGTGACGGGAGGGCAAGAACAGTACCTGTCACTCTGTCAGGCTAGAGGTGGACATCTGACTGTCTTTTTCCAGTGTGATTTTTTTTAAATAGCCCAAATTCAGTATATTTTCATGAAAGTGCCAGTAGATGTCAGCAAAAGGCAAGGCAGTGATACATGAATTTTGTAGTTGATGCCAAAACTTCAATTAGCAAAGTCAGAGTTCAGTCAAACATGTCAATTTTCTAAATGTAGTGACTCTACCTATAATTCTGTTTGTGGGGTGGTGGGTGGGGTTGGATAGTTGGAAGTGAAAAGAAGAATCTGATCTGCCAGATTAACAACTGACCTGCAAGTCATCAGTTGCTCTGACCTGTCGTACCGGGCCCTGAGAATTCAAACCCAGAGGACTATTCACAGAAAAAAAAAATGCTAAGCAGTGATTTATTTAGTTCCATCTTGAAGGGGAGAGTACCCTATTACACCAGATTTCTGAATAAGGTGGTGACCTGCAGGTGTGCCCCCAAGACTGACTAAACCTTAGAGAGGCATATTCCTGTCTCTAGCCTGACTTTCTTTTGCTTACATTTAATTTATGAAACATGTGAGTTCTTTTTCTGCCCCTTTGAGATATAAATCTTTTAAAAATTTTCTTGCCAGTTTTATATTGCAGGACTTTCTCAAGAACTTGGGACCATTCCTTTGAAATGTAATCATAAGGGAAGATAGCTCCTTCATCTCCCAGTTTCTGTCAGAGGAGAGAAGCCTAACTTCAGTGGACACCAAGTTGTAAAACTACCTTCTGCCATGAAGGTATGGAAATGTTTATTTTTCATTTGAGTAACGCCAATTAGCAAACATAGATGCCCTATAATCTTCCTACTCCACCTCTTAAAGAGTCTCCAGCCCTTTGTTTCAGCAGAAGTGAGCTCAAACTGAGTTTGGACTTTCTCTTGTATTGCCATAGCCTTGAATAGTCTTTCTTTACCTGTTTGTGCAACTTTGGCTCCAGCATACCAAACTGGATTTATTTAAAAATCTTTAAGTTATCCTTTGCAAAAAAAGTGTGGTATTCAGCATACTTAATATGCAGGCATTCAAGATAGGCTCTGAGTTTTTGAATGTGAAGTATTTGTGTGTGTGATAATCTATGAATTCCTTGTTCCTGCAAAACATTTCTGTGACTATAATGATTGATCAAATCAGTTAATATGCTAAAAGCTACTAAATTGTACACTTCAAATGGTAAATTGTACTATAATTCACACAATGGGTGGGTTCATCCACCCAATTACCACATCCAATGAAGATTTAACAAGAATTTATTACTTGCAATAAGTAAGGAGGACATGGAAATAATTCCCCAAAGCAGTACCTCTCCAAACAAAGGTGGAAGCTGGGCTTTTACTGGGCTAATAGCTGAATCATTGCATGTAGAAGTCAGTAAAGACAGTGCAGGTGCAGTGATTATGCTTCTACTTATGTCCTGTGGATAGAAATGGTAAATAAGCTCCTCCTTGGGCTGGGTTTTTAATATGGTAATGAGGAGGATTCATCAAAAGTTTATCTCCTACTTAGGCATCTCTGAATCCAACTGGTTTTTGTTTTGCTGAGGTTGGGCTTCTTCCTAGGAATTTTACAATATGATATGTGAATTATATCTCAGTGAATCTGTCTTGCCTGTAACCCCAGCACTTTGAGAGGCCAAGGTGGGTGCATCACGAGGTCAAGAGATCAAGACCATCCTGACCAACATGGTGAAACCCCGTCTCTACTAAAAATACAAAAATTAGCTGGGCGTGATGGTGCATGCCTATGGTCCCAGCTACTCTGGTGGTTGAATCAGGAGAATCACTTGAACCCGGGAGGTGGAGGTTGCAGTGAGCCAAGATCGCACCACTGCACTCCAGCCTGGCGACAGAGTGAGACCCCATCTCAAAAAAAATAAAAAATAAATAAAGAATCGTAGAAAGTGTAGAGTCCTGGTAAAACAAGTAAGCAACAAAAAGGAAGTGGAACCAGGTGGGGAACAATTGTTCTGAGAGATGGCTAACACAAACAACTTGCTGGCACAACATCCTGTTCCCAAATATCTCACTCCACATACAGCCTCAGCAGCAGCAACTGATCTGCATGTAACCCTTCCAGCATGACCCTATAAAACTTCCCTCCAGCCCCTGTCTCCTTGCGGACAGCCCCTTCTCTACTGTGCTGCCCATTGCACTCTCACAACATATTTTGGTACTTTCTCTAATAAACCTGCCTTTCTTTACACACAACAGTCTTGGTAAATACTTTTACTGCCCACAATGCTGGCCCCTGCCAGTTGTATCGGAAACATGAAGCGTTTAAGGAGTATGGTGATTGTTAGCTAAACTAAAGCCTAAAAAAGGCAAGGTAGGAATTTTTTTAGTGGTAATAAAATTCACAGTTTGTGTTGTTATTTCACATATTAAAGGATTCCTTTGTCTTTTAGATGTTTCAAATGCTTTCAAAACATTGTTTAGATAATTACACAACTCATGAAACAGTGGTTTGTGAAAATTAAAAATGACTAAAATTAAGTTAGTTGATTATGCATGCTAAGGAAGTTTGCTTACTAAGCAATTCTTTAAAGTACATTGTGTTTTTAAAAACTGAAAAAAAGTCATAACTTTAGTAGCTTCTCAACAGTATACTTGAACTCCCCAGAACCACTGATCAACTTGAGCAAAAATTATATTTTCTTCTTAATAATTGCTAGATGTATGTGGCTTTAAAATGTATCTTTGCTAAAAGCTACGGACATTTCATTGACTCCATGCTGTGAAGCAGTGTTATTGTACACTGTGAGTCTAGTTGTAGAAATCATTTGTTATACACAAGATTTTATAATAACTACCTTATAATACAGCATTCTTTCATGTGTAATAAAGCCAAAATTAGTTATTTTCTTATAAAGTATTTGTTAAAAACAACTGGAAGAAAGCAAAAGTGTGCAGTGAGTCTGTCATATGTGAAATTGCTCTTAAATTTTTACTTTGAAATCGAAGTTTTAATGGTTATATATTAATTTATTCACTAAACCCTGTGTACAGCAGAAGCTATTGTGTTACTATTTTACTTTGAACTGAATAGTATTCTAAAATGATTTGACCACCTTAACCATGTCACACTTACGCCATAAAATGAATCTGGATGAATTTATTATATTCGTTTTTCTAATTGTAAGTAAAGACAATACTCTTGTGATTTTTTACAAATACAAATATATATATATACACACACACACACACACATACATATGTGTGTATGTATATACATGCATAAATACACAGTGTATATAAATATATATGCATATATATCCAGATATACATTTAAATATAAACATATGTATGTACCTTAACTTAGATACATCTTTCTATGACCACTTTTTGTAGACTCATTTGTTTGTTACCTAATCATCATGAATAAAATGTGGCTAAATTGTTCTTAAGAAAGTTTTCTGTTTAAAATCTTTAAAAAATAATTATTAATGTTTTGTTACAGAATGCT
The DNA here is from genome assembly GCF_000001405.40 of Homo sapiens. Lineage (NCBI taxonomy): Eukaryota > Metazoa > Chordata > Mammalia > Primates > Hominidae > Homo > Homo sapiens. Next base: position 60,672,158 of record NC_000018.10, read on the forward strand.
TAAGTATAAAGACTCTAGATATAAAACCGCTAATCCATAGAAAATATATACCTATCTTAAATATAAAACTTTAAGATTTTAATATCTTCCAATAAATACCTAAGCAGTTCATGAAATCATACTTGAAAACAATATGAATTTAAGAACATGATATTTCCTTAAATCAGTTACAATGATGTAACCATCTATTTAAATAAATAAAACCAAAATATTCTCTTTTCATCCATACTGAGTTCTATTCTCAGGGTCACAAAACTGACAAATTGACTTTGAGAACTGTGTTGAACAAGCTAGTGGACAATTACTACATAAAGAGGACAATTGATTCTGTTTGGATGAAAATGACAGTTCTACCAGTCATTTTGTACAAATAGTAAAAGAATGTTTGTGAGAATAAAAATATTAACTACAACTTGATATAGGCTATTCTTTAAATTTCCAATAGTCAATTCCATATAACCAGCTATTAAAAGCTGTGTTCATTTAATGTCTCAAGTGCTGTAAAACATATTAAAATTTCAAAAGTGCATTTTATTGAAATAAAATATTGTATTAGAGAAAAAATTTAAAAAAACAATGTGTTGATATTGTGTAAGGCAGTTGATGTTTTAAGAGCAGGTGGTAGGTTACTCTCTAAATAAAAGGAGAAAATTCTGCTACTTCATATACATTGCAAATCTAGGTTTAATCAACTTCCACAAAACCACTTTACCTTATGTATTAACATATGAAATATGTACATTATATATGAAAGTAAGTTTATTATTTAGATTAACATAAAAAATAAAAAAATAAGAAATGTGATGTAGGTTTAAATGCTTGTAGGTTTCTAATAATAGCTTGAAGATAAGCCATGAAAATAACGGCTAGGTTGTATTCAAAATTCTGATTGATATTTAGGTTGAAATGATAATTAAAAAATAGTTTAGCACTCTCCCACTCAATTGTGTCAAGATTAAATTTACTCCAAAGTTGGGCATTGTTTCCAGCCACTCTGCCTGTTGGCATTTATTCAGAATGATGGTAAGCTGACTGCTGACTATTGGCATATCTAAAAACCATGAAAACTCAAACACTCCAAATGCAACATTAACGTATGTGGTATATGTATAATTTTCTGTCATTTGACACATAAGCTTAAAAAGTTTGTATGATTACCTCAGTTTCAACTAAATTTAGGACTTAGTTTGACCCACAAATTATCCAACATTCTTATAATCAGTGATCTCTACTCCCATTCCACCAACTCTCTCAGAGTCTCTTTGGTCTGTGGTGCTCACCTTTTTGTTCATTAAAGCCCTTACAGAGAGAGCCATGCATAAACATCCTATCATCCAACCCTTCTCAAAGCCTTTCTAGAGATCCTTCCAGTTGGCATCAGGAGACTGTGGCTATCATGGACTCTACCCATTCTTACTATTACTAGTGTGTTTGAACAGTAGATATTTCTTTCATTCTTTGGTTAGCTTCCATTCATTAGTTCATTTTTCATTTATCAGAGTGAGGAGCAAATTTGGTTTTCTTCTTCAGATTTGTTAATTATCTGAACCTTATATATAGTTCTTGCATCTGAAACACATTTTCTTCTCTGGCATTCTCCAGGTCAATACGTACACTTTCATTAATTATCTGCATATATACTGGACAAAGCTTTAAATGAGGTACAATCTGTTTTCCATATTTTGCCCTGAGAAAATGGCAACCTCTACCTTAATTACAGGTAATTTTTTTTTGCAATCTTTTGTGTCTGTTAAATAGATCTGAACTTAACTTCTACAAATTCTCAAATTTTTCCACATTTATTTTTCCCATGAAGGAGGCAAATTTAACTTTTCAAAAAGCATTTTCCTACATCTAAATAAATTAAAAGAATATCATCTCTGACAGTCCTTGAAATTCCTGTGATGAGTAGAGGAAATTTTATGAAATTCACTGGTGTAGAGCTGAACACCTGCTTCGAAAAGGAGTGGGAATTAAACAGTTGGAACACATGGACACAGGGAGGGGAACATCACACACTGAGGCCTACCATGGGGTAAGAGGCAAGCGGAGGGAGAGCATTAGGACAAATACCTAATGCAAGTGGGGCTTAAAACCTAGATGATGGGTTGATAGGTGCAGCAAACCACCATGGCACATGTAAACCTATGTGATAAACCTGCACATTCTGCACGCGTATCCGAGAACTTAAAGTAAAATAAAAAATAAAAATAAAAAAGGGGATTCAGTTTACTTCATACTAACATATGTTCCTTGCACATCACTTTGCTTAAATTTCTCTGATATCTGTAGCAGAGCATCTGAAAATAATCTGTAGTAATAGCATTTTGACATTGCAGCCTCCGTGGACCTGCATGCACAGGAGACTATGACTTGCTTTTATATCTCATATTATTGCCTTTTCTACATGAATGGTACAAGTTTTTTGAATATTTCACTTAAAAGTGCTCACAAATATATTTCCTAGCTCTGTCTTCCTAGAAACAATGATAGCTTAATAGCACAAGGTATACCTAGTACTCAAAGCTTGATTTTAAATACCAGTCTCCAATAAAAGGAACGATGAATGCTTAGAGAAATGGCTGGTTTTAGGGCTTGAAGAGGAAATGTACAATACAAGCCTGGAACAACTTGTGATGACAGAAAACCCGGAAGTAAGACCCAAAACAAACAAAAAATTAATAAGGGAAGAAAGCATGTCAAAAGGGCACAGGATCCAATAATCCACTGGAAGGACTTCCCAATGGCCAAAGCTGAGACAGTCTGGGTAACAAAATAAACATTGGTAGTATTAGATTATAACCTGTAAAATAAGATAAACCCCCATGAGTCCCTTCTGATATAAGTGAATAATTAAATGGGGAAAAAGGACTTTACTTACATTAGAAAAAATGAGGGAACTATAAAGTCATCATTAAACAAACACCAAAATAATAGTTGTTGCAGGTAACAACAATGGATACTAAAATTAGTGGACAAAAGTATGATGAAAAACAGGATATTTCGTGGTCTCAAAGTATTTCTCATGTGTTACTTTGCTGTGAAGAAACCTGGCAGATGCCACCTTAGTGATGGGATCAAAGTTAATATTGCAGCAATAGGACATATCAACAATATAATATGATTCACTGGAAAGGTATATTCTCGTTGCTGTGGTATTCCTGCCAAATGTTTATAACCTCAATCTTATCATGAGAAAACATCAGGCAAACCCAAATTGGGAAGCACTTAATAACCGAGTAGTATTCTCCAAACAAACCAAGGACATGAAAAACAACAGAAGACTGAATGCCTGTCCAGTATTGGAGGAGAGCAAGAAGATACCCACGTGCAATGATCCTGCATTGAAAAAGTACAAAAAATGGACATTATGAGGAAAGTGGTAAAATACAAATAAGGTATATAGATTATTTTATATCAATACTAATTACATAATTTCAATAATTACACTATAGTTATGTAAGATGTTAGCATTAGGGGAAGCATGATGATATATACAGGAGAACTCTCCATACTATTTTTGCAAATTATCTATTAAAATTTTATAAATAAAAATTACATTTTCTAAATAAAAATTTTAAAATAACATGCCACAGGATGTATAGTTATGCAATGTATTCATGAGTTTTTTGATGCTTATGTTTAGAAATACTTTATACTCTAGTGTTCTAAACCAACGATCAGCAAACTGCTTTGTGTAAAGGGCAATTAGTAAATATTTTAGGCTTTGAGGCCCACAAGTTCTCTGTCTCAAATATTCCAGCGTGCTGTTGTAATATGAGAACAGTCATAGAACATATGTAAACAAATGGATATGGCTGTGTTCCAATAAAACTGTATTTACCAAACAGGTAGTAAGCTGGATTTGGCCCAAGGGCCAGAGTTTGCCAACTTGTTTTCTAGACTAAGGTCAGACCATATCACCTGGGTAAAGTTTATTAGAGTTGTCCCAAAGTTGTATGAACATTTCTTCTCCTATACCCAAGGCTACCAATTAACAGGTAACCAGTATTATTGATTTTTAAATGTAAAAGAGAAAATATAATTCGTGCCTTAATATGGTTAACTAATGAGTTTTCTAATATTTCCGACTGGTTTGCTAGCTTCCTGCTTTATATGATGCTATTTAATACCCTGTTTTCCACACTCAAATTACACTGTTCAACAGTGTCATCCCCTATGTTCTTCCACAGTAATATTAAATAATACAGAAGACATAAATTGGGTTTTGGTTGTTTACCCTAGGACGAGTATAAAATATGACACTTTTAATCATATTTTAATATTGTCATAGCAAGAACAATTTGGTTCGTGTTGCTTTTCCTTCCAGGAAAATGAAATAAAAAAAGTATATCAATTACTTATGAGAGAATTTATTTAGGGTTTCTAAAGATATAATAAGAATATCTAATTTTTATTTTATTAACTGCTTTGAATAATGGTTTACAATATCTGAGAAGACTCATGTTTGTACTATACAGGTGTAAATCTATTTAAAGCCATTCAGACAGTACTAGAGAGCATATAACATATGTAAGACTCCCAGAAACAAACCCTGAGAACAGTATTTGAGTTTATATGGAAGGTGAAAGGAACACCTGTAAGGAGGTGGGAGGAGTAAGACAAGAAAGGGCAGGTGGCGGGTAAAGGGTGTCTTGACAAGCCAGCTGGACCTGTGGGTGAACAGCGCTTAAACCCTCTGGGATTCTAGGAAAGTCAGCAGTCATTAGTTGAAGGCTTCTCTGGAGGATGTTAATTCTTCAGCACCTCTGGTCTGCTGTGCACGCAAGGAACCAGGCTCTGACAGCAGATAAAACCCTCAGGCAAAGAAATGTAAGTGCTGGCCACAAGGAGTCAGGCTAGGGTATGCCGAAGAGAAGATTAGGAGGGGGCTTAGGTGGAGCATCAACGGCACCTACTGCAGTATATTTAACTGAAGAGCCCACACCAGCTTCTGATGCCTAGAAAAAGTTCCTCTTTTTTTTTTTTTTTTTTTTTGACAGAGTCTTGCTTTGTCACACAGGCTAGAGTGCAGTGGAGCAATCTCAGCTCACTGCAACCTCTACCTCCCAAGTTCAAGCCATTCTCATGCCTCAGCCTCCCGAGTAGCTAAGATTACAGGTGCGCACCACAATTCCCAGCTAATTTTTGTATTTTTAGTAGAGCTAGATTTTTGCTATGTTGGCCAGGCTGGTGCCAAACTCCTGGCCCCAAGTGATCCACCCGCCTTGTCCTCCCAGAGTGCTGGGATTATAGGTATGAGCCACTGTGCCCAGTTGATGCTTAAAAAAATTCTAATGCTATTTTTCTTACTCTTCTGTAGCAGAGTAGAAAGCAAGTTTGTTTAACAGAATATTTGGATTTTCTTTTTTTTAAGTTCTGCAAAAGCTGATCACATAACAGCAATGTATTTCCCATCTGACATGACGTTGCTTCACCGCTTGCAGCTTATCTCCAAAGCTTCATTCCTCTGTCTTTTCTTGGTAAAGAATGTTGTTGTTGGGGAAGGACTGTCCAAATAAATGGTGAAGCTATGCTTTCAGGTCAGCAACATGCTGCAGAGTCCCTCTGAGTGGTCCAGCAAATAGCACATTCTGTGAGCATCAGGGTGTTGGCAGAGTTGGGGGTCATTGTATCAAGGCTGGGCTCTGAACCTGAACTCATGAGCCCTGCCTTCTCAAGCTCATCAGGATTTGCTTTGTTAGTTATTTGGGAGATTACAGTTTGCTTTGGAAGTTGTAAAATATCTTTAGAATGCATTGGTTTCTCTAAGTCCAATTTATTTCTGCAACATATTTTATCTGAGACTACACCAGGGAGAAACATAAATTAAAAGCTACTCAATTTGTGCCATTAGCCTGAAAGAATAATAGAAGAGACAACCTCTTCTTTGTCTTGGAAAATAAGTTAGCATACTTGTTTGACTACTAAAGGTGGGATTTCCAGATGTGTAATTTAGTTTAGATAGGTTGAAATAAAAGGTACATTTTCCTCTGAAATAAAGTAAAAGAGGCTGTAGTGTGGTGCTCTGTTCATGCCTCTAGAGATGGGAGAGCAGAAGATAAAGGGAAGGGAAAAGGAAGGGTCTAGGGAGCTAGGAAAACCAGTAACTTATGAGAAGGCTGCATCCTACTGAAGAAGTTATCAACTGAATTCCTGTGGTGGGCACTGGTCAATGAATTTACAGGAATTGCAATATGTTACCTTAAATTTAAAAATCATTCTACTCTGTAATGCAACTATTCAAAATACTTCCAATTAAAGTCTGGTAAAAACAAAACTTTGGTTAGCGGAATCTGGGGCAGGGAAAGAGGAGAAAGTAATCATTATTATATAAGAGACCAGCAGCACAGCACACAATATTTAGTAACCAGAATGTCTAACTACATTGTGGATTCTAATCAACTTCCTCCCAATAAGACATTCTGCTGCAGGGACATCCATCCCACTTTGTGGGGTTTGCAAACTTCTAAGAAACAAACCACTTAATAAGAGTGTCAAACATTGAGTAAGGCAACTGACCTAGACTCTCTCTCTCTTTTTTTTTTTTTTTTTTGGTCAATGTTGTTAAAATAAAGAAGTTTGGAAAGAACAGAAGGCTTCTCTTTATTACTTCTTCACAGCAGGTAAACAGCCTCCAAAAATTGCTTTGAGGCAATTAAGCAGGCAAAGGTTTTTATAAGGTTTTGAGGATGGAATCCCTGTGACAGTCCCAGGTAACCAAGTAGCAGAGACAATGAGTATAAGACCCAGAGAAAATTCCAAATTCCCAAACATTCTGGACTGAACATTTCCAAACAGGATATGGTAACTATGAGAAAATAAAATGAAATAAAAGATAAGAAAAAGTATTCCCTGTCACTTCTCTGATAAATATATGAATAGTTATTTCTCAGTAACTTGGCATTAACTTAGGGCCAAATAGAACACTCCAGCTAAGAGACCTAGGTAAAAATTTTTGAGATCCCGGGGACTCAAGATAGTCCAGGAACATATAGTCTTTCAATGGCAAGAAAGAAAATAAATATGCATAAACTGTTCATCCTAGACTAAGAAACATAAAGATTAAATACAATGTGCAAATTTTAATTGGAAATAAAAGAATCCAACTAAAAGAGATATTTTGGGAGGCAATTAGGGCAACTTTTTAAAAATTTATTTTAAATGGACATATTAAAGATTGTAGATATCATGTACAATATGATGTTTTAAAATATATATACATTGCGGAGTGGCTCAATACAGCTAGTTAAGGTATGCGTTACCTTGCATAGTTTTTCGTTTTTTGTGGTGTGAACACTTAGACTCTGCTTTTTCTCCCCACAATTTTCAAAGAATACAATGCATTGTTATGAACTATATTATGTTGTACAATAGCTCTCTTGAATTTACTCCTATCTAACTGAAATTTTGTCTCCTTTGACTAACATCCCCTTACCTCCATCCCACCCCCAACCCCTGAGAACCACCATTCTACTCTTGTTACCGGAAAGGGGTACTGATCCAGACCCCAGGAGAGGGTTCTTGGACCTCGCACAAGAAAGAATTTGAGGCAAATCCATAGAGTGAAGGCAAATTTAATAAGAAAGTAAAGGAATAAAGAATGGTTATTCCGTTGGCACAGCCTCCCTGAGGGCTGCTGGTTGCCCATTTTATGGTTATTTCTTGATTATACGCTAAACAAAGGGTGAATTATTTATGCCTTCCCGTTTTAGACCATATAGGTAAGTTCCTGACATTGCCATGGCATTCGCTAACTGTCATGACACTTGTGGGACTGTAGCAGTGAGGACGACCAGCAGTCACTGTCATCGCTGTCTTGGTTTTGGTGGGTTTTAGTTGGTTTCTTTACTACAAACTGTTTTACCAGCAAGGTCTTTATGAGCTGTATCTGGTGTCGACCTCCTAGTTGATCCTGCTACTTAGAATGCCTACCCATTTGGGAATGCAGCCCAGTAGGTCTCAGACTTATTTTACCCAGCCCCTACTCAAGATGGAGTTGCTCTGATTCACACGCCTGTGACAGGTTGTACTTGTAGGAGTTCAGCTGTTTTAGATTCCACGTATTAATGAGATAATGCAGTATGTGTCTTTCTGTGCCTGGCTTATTTTGCTTAAGATAATGTCCTCCAGGTTTATCCATGCCATTGCACTATCACCTACTGGAGGGCCAAAATCCAAAACACTGATAACACCAAGTCCTGGCAAGGATGTGGAACGACAAGGCCTCTCATTCACTGCTGGCGGGGATACAAAATGATACAGTCATTTAGAAGACAGTTTGGCATTTTTTTTTCTTACAGAAAGAAAATATATTTTTACCATATGACCCCGCAATTACGCTTTTTGGTATTTACCCAAATGAGTTGAAACAAAACCTGAAAACAGATGTTTACAGCAGCTTTATTTATAATTGCCAACATTTGAAAGTAACCAAAATGTCCTTTACTAGGTAAATGGATAAATATACTGTATTACATCCAGACAGTGGAATAATATTCAGCACTAAAAAAGTAAGTTATCAAGTCACAAAAAGACATGCAGGAAACTAAAGTAAAAAACACAATCTGAGAAAAGTACATACTGCATGATTCCAACTATGACATTCTGGAAAAGACAAAACTATGTATATAATAAAAGGATCAGTGGTTGCCAGGTATCAGTGGGGAAGGAGAGAGAGATGAATAGGCCAAGCACAGGGAATGTTTAGGACAGTGAACCTATACTGTATGATACTATAATGGTAGATAAATGTCATTATAGTTTTGTCAAAACTCATAGAATATATAACACCAAGAGTGAAACCTATGTAAACTATGGACTGGGTGATATTGACTTGTTAATGTAGTTCTATCAATTGTAACAAATGTATCAATCTTGCATAGGATATGGATAGTGGGGAAGACTGTGCATGTGTGAGCACAGGGAGTATATAGGAACTCACTATTTTCCACTCAATTTTGCTGTGAACATAAAACTGCTTTAAAAAAATAAAATATCTAAAAAAAAACAAACCAAAACAAAATACAGCTAACATCATACTTAATCATAAAACTGAATGCTTTTTCCCTAAGATGGGGAACTAGGCAACGATCTTTTCTCACTACTGTTGTTCACTATCATACTGCAAATCCAAGGTAGAACAATAAGACAAGAAAAGGAAATAAAAGGCATACTGATTTACAACTTCCTTTCTTCCTTTGTTTGCAAACTAAACGTGCATATAGAAAATCCTAACGAATTGATAAAAGCAACAACAGCAAACAAAAGACAAACTCCTGGAGATGCTAAGTGATTATAGCAGGTTTGCAGCATACAATCTTACTATATGAAAGCCTATATAAAATCTTACTATATAAGAGATAATTTACTATATAAAAGGTAATTACACGAAATGTCAATGTTATCAAGGCCTCAATGGTTTGACTTTGCTAATGTTTAGGTTCTGTATACCAGTAAAAAGTCTTGGGATTAGAAATGAAAAACACGATCTTCTTTACATTAGCACAATAAAGTAATACTTAGGTACAAATGTAACAAAAGTATACAAGATCTATGTGAGGAAAAATAAAAAATTGTGATGAAAGAAAGAATATCTAATTAAATGAGGAGATACTCTACTTTAATGCATAGAAATAGTCAACATTAAGATGTTAGTTCTCCCTAATTTGATCTACAGATTCAATGCAATTCCAATAAAAATTCCAGCAAACTATTTTGTGGATATCAAAACCTGATGATAATGTTTATATGAAAAGATAAAAGACACATAATAGCCAACACAGTACTGAAGAAAAGCAACGAGTTGAAAGAGAGGCACTCAAAAAAGGTTTATGCTGTAAATCCTACAGTAACCACTAAAAATTAAAAAAGACATATAACTAATAGCCATTGGTGGAATTTTAAAAACAGCCCACAACCCTCAATTAAGAAAATAGAAGCAAAAATGTATAGGAGATAGAACACATGAAGCAAATAGAAAATACTACTTAAGATGGTCATTTTAAAGCCAACCATATGGATAATTACATGAAATGTCAATGTTCTCAAGGAGTCAATTGAAAGTAAGAGAATATGATGCTGGAATAAACAGATGTGACAATTTTAAGTTGAAAGTTAAAAAAAAGGAAAGGGTGAGAAAATGATAAAGGAGTCAATTCATCAAGAAAATATCACTTTCCTATGTGTATTCTCCTTCAATAAAAGTAATAAAATTTAAAAAGGAATTAAATCTACATACAACCAGAGGTTAAGACTTCAATTTTCTCTCAGTAATTTATACCAGAAATGGAGAGAATGGATAGAATATCGACAAGAATAAAGACCGAAAAACCATACAATCAATTTGATGTACTTGACAACAGAGGTGTCCTCCATGCCAAAAGAACAGACATAGGTAGCAAATATGCATATGAAAAGACTGTCACTATCATTAGTCATTAGAAAAATGCAAATCAAACCATAATGAAGAACTGCTACACACTTACTAGAATAACTAAAAATAAAAACTGACAATATCAAGTGCTGCTGAAGATGTGAAGCAACAGGAACTCTCAGAGATTGCTAGTAGTAATGAAAGTAGAGCAATCACTTTGGCAAACAGTTGCACAGGATTTTTCTATTTTGTTTGTTTGTTTCTGTTTGTTTGTTTGTTTGTTTGTTTGTTTTGGGATGGAGTCTTACTCTGTAGCCCAAGCTGGAGTGCAATGCCACTATCAGGGCTCACTGCAGCCTCTACTTCCTAGGCTCAAGTGGTCCTCCCACCTCAGCCCCTGAAAGAAGCTGTAACTACAGGTGCATGCCATCATTCCCAGCTAATTTTTTTTTAATTTTACTGGAGACAAGTTCTCACTGTGTTGCCCAGGCTGGTCTCAAACTCCTGAGCTCAAGTGATCCTCCAATTTCAGCCTCCCAAAGCGTTGGGATTATAGATGTGATCCACCGCACCCAACCCTTCCATTTGAAAATATCAAACATGATATGTTAGTCAATTTTCAAACTGCTATAAAGAACTTCCTGGAGACTGAGTTTATAAGTACAGAAAAGAGGTTTAATTGACTCACAGTTCCACATAGCTGAGGAGACCTCAGGAAACTTACAATCATGGTTGAAGGTGAAGGGGAAGAAGCACCTTCTTCACAAGGCAGCAGGAGAGAGAAGCAAGCAAGAGCAGGGGAAACTGCCTAACAAAACCATCAGATCTCACGAGAACTCACTCACTATCACAATAATAGCATGGGGGAAACTGCTCCCATGATCCAATCACCTCCCTCCCTTGACACCTGAGGATTACAATTTGAAATGAGATTTGGGTGTGTACACAGAGCCAAACCATATCATATGATTTAGCAATCCTACATCTAGATATCTACCTAAGTCAAATAAAAATGTATGTCCACAACAAGCATATATGGAAAAGTTTATAGCAGTTTCATTTATAACAGTCCCTAACTGAAAATAAACGTCAAGTTTTGACTGGACAAATAAATTGTGAGATATTCATACAGTGGAATACTATTCAACAATAAAAATAGCATACCACAGATACATGTAGCAATATGAATAAATCTGTTAAGAATTATCATAAGTGAAAGAAGCCAGACACAAAAGGCTACATATCGTCTAATTCTGTTTGTGTGACATTTTAGAAAAGCCAAATGATAAAAACACAAAAAAGTAGAAATGGTTACCAGATCCTGCAAGTTGAGGGAAGGGGATTGACTACAAGAGGCACAAGGAAAATTTTGGGATGATGGAAATATTTTATTTCTCATTTGTAATTGTGGTTACATAGTTGTATATAATTGCTAAAACAGATAGAAACGTACATTTAAAGAGTGAATTGTACAGTGGTGAATTATATCTCAACAAATCTAAATTTAAGAAGTTATTGAAGAAAAATTCTATGAAGAAAGGTATCCTTTGCTGAAATGTCACTGTAGAGTTTAAGGGATGACACATGGTGACCTAGCTGGGGTAGTATGTTTGCCCTTCTAGAGAGCAGTTAGATACACAACTCGAGGGATGAAGTAGAGTCCACCATGTGGGTTTCACTGACTGACTTAAATAGTGTCAAATGCCTTGCTTAAGCCAGAACAAATAATTGTTTCCCACTCTTCCTTTTATCGTTTTTTATTTTAACAAGATTTTATGTTTTCTCTAGAGTACCCTCCTACTGTCTTAAAAATTTTCTAGTATATCCGAAGGAAATTCAAATCTGACTTGGCAATGTCTTTGTTTATAGACAAAGACATTTCATTTGGTTTCACATATACACACTTTGTGTATATGTAACACACCTTGTGTACATGTAACACATTTTGTATATATACAACTAAATGAAATAGAAATCATTTTCTGTTTCTGTGAAAATTTCAAAGTAATCAGGAGACCATGGATTTTGGTGTGCCATTTAGCCAAAATTCTAATAAATAAAATATTATTTAAAGGGTTGATAAGCGGAGAGAATTAGCTTCTGTAAAGTACCTCATTGGTTTCTATCAAAAGAATCTGACTTCTCATTTAAAAATGAGAATATTAGTACACTCCTTGCAGTGTTCTCTTGTAAGAATATTAACTGATATTATATATATAAATTATCTGAGGCTCAGACAAATTAAGCAATTTTCTTAAATTTATCCTGAATAAATGACAGATGAGGGCCATTTTACTAATCATTAGTAGACCTTGTTAGCTGTATGTGGAAAAGTGTTGGATAGCATGACTCTTAGAACTAAATTTTATAGCTTCAATAGCATAAGTTACTTTACTGTGACTTCACAAAATACAATTAACAATCCTTTTACAATTTTCCTAATATAAAACACACACACAGACCTTCCTTGCATTTATTTAATTGTTCCACTAGATGGCATTATGAGTCCACAGGGTGTCAAATACACTTTTGTAAGAGTTCTAAAACATCGACATCTTTTATCTATGGCGAGTTAAGTAAACTTAGGCCTTAACTGCATTTGTTCCCATATATGTTGATATTTCTTTTACCATTCTCAAGCGAAATATTACTGAAAAAATGCAACATGTTAAGTTGTTTTAACCACATTACCTTGGGTGTGGCATGGTGAGACTCCACAGGGATCCAGAAAGAGAAACAAATTTTACAGTTGTGTCACACCCAGCTTCCTGGGAGAGCACAGCCAGCCACCCCAGGCCACTCCGGAGAGGTGCTGGGTTGGCCCCAAGGCAGGGGCAGGAAGGGGTTGCGGGCAAGAGCTGTTATTATGGTTTCTGCCAGAGGCAAGGGCAAGGCAGGACAGGCAGGTTTCAGGCTGGCTAATTTAAATAATTCAGTGCGCTGGGGCATAGGGCCTGTCCCCTGACATCTGGAACCTGGCCATGAGAAGACAAGGGAGGTCGGCTGCTCAAGAAAGGAACCGACTCGTTTCTAGCCAGGACCTCAAAACTGAGTCAAGACCACACAAAACAACCAACCAACAAAAGACAAAAGAACAACAACAAAAACCCTATATTGTGTAGATATTATTTATGTTTTGTGTCAAGACTGTTCATATTTCATACAAATGAAGGTCACTCAGAGCTTTCTATCTTATTGGAAATTGAGTCTCTTTCCATTCATCCCTAAATATTCATGAAGGAATTGTGACAGAGACTACAAAGCCACTTTTGTCAAGCAGTATTTTGGGACTGAGAACGGTACGTCTGGGTAGTTTCTGTTCCTAGGTGTTGGATTTGTACCTCTTGAGTGTGGACCATTTTCCTCTGTGTCTTATCTTTCTTGTGAAGAAAATTAAAAGGCTCAACTAGATAGTGAAGATTTACTCCTTTAAGTCATGATATTTGATGCATGAAACTTTAAAGAAGAGCCTGGAAAAATGGCGGGCAAATATACCCATCATGGCATAGCTAGCAGAAATGATTTGATTATGTAATATATCATAAAAAACAAATATTGTGGATCCTGATAGTGAAATGATTAAAAAGTCAGAGGGCAAAGGGACATAAAAATTCAAATGAAGAGATAAGAAGTTCAGGTAAAGAGGAGAACATATATTAAAACTTGAAATTTGAAGCCCCAGAAGCAATAGCCAAAGTCTATATCAATACCCCCAGGACTTCCAAAATCAGAAAGGGACCCAACTCCGATGCAGAAGTAAATCCTCTGACAAACAGTTCTACTCTGGGAGCTCTCCATTTGAGAGGTCCTGAAGTGGGGCATTCACACTTTTTCCACCCATGAATTTGGCCGGGCAAGATCTCAGTGATGGTGACCAGAGAAGCTGTTTCCACAGCAGCCCTCAGGAATAGCACTGGTGGATTTGTCTGTGGCAAGGAGCGAGGCATATCAGCCAGACAGGCTAATTGGTGAATCCAATATGAATAGAAAAGGAAGGCTAGAAAGAGTATTTTAGAGATAGTATTATACTGGGAGATACCAGGGAAACCGGGGAAGCATTATCACAACTTACAAATAGAAAGGTGATACAGAAGCAGCAAGATAAGCCCAAGCAGAATAAATTGCTTGACCAGGTTCAGGAGTAAACTAAAGGCATGAGGAAATATATTACAAAATGCAAAATGCTAAGCTTTACTACCATTGTTACTGTAACATTCATGTTCCTTCTTTTTTTGTTTTCAACAAAAATGAAATCAAACTTTATTTTTCTCTAAATTAAACTTTCCACATTTAACAGGTAGAATAATTCATTTGGCGATAAATTGAGTAGATTTGTATTTTTTGTATTTCAACATTTATTTACAGCACACCTAAGCTTTCAAATTATGCTGACAGTTTTGAAACTCTCATTTTGTTAACACCTCTCTTATTTTTTATATTGAATCTAAACTTCACTTTTCCCTGACTGTCTACCCTTATTTACCTCTAGTAAAATTATTATATTTTATCATAAATATATGTTTCTATGACTAAGCTCTCCACTAGGTTATCAACTCCTAATATACTGTTTTCTTTATCATTTTTGTTCCCCAAGGCCTGGGCACATTCCATGGCATACACTGGGTAATTGACATACGTTAAATGAATGAATGAAATTCATGTTTCGATATTCTAGGTGAAGAATTGGGAATTGGATAAAATATTTACATAGACTTATCATTGGGAAAAATATGACCCTGGCCATTACGATACCCTGTCCCAGAGTTTTATAACTGATTTTTATTAGGAAAAAAATGAACAGGAAAAGAATAGCCAAGAATAAGTAGTTTAAAATATCAAAAAGTAGAGTTTCCTTTTATTTAACAGAAGAGTGAAATCATTACACTGAGATTAGAGTAGAATTAATTGTCTTGTGAAACATAAACGTAAGAGAAATTTTACCGGAGTGCCCAAATCTCCCAGGAGTGAAAGACATGCAAAGAACATATAGAGAAGAATTCATTGATAGCCTCTTTTTGTACATTTACTTTTAAGTGTAGATTTCTATTTTATTTCTACTATTTTCTCATCTTCACTTTTTAGTTTTGTTTCACAATTTACAGTTAAATATGAAAAATATAAAGTCATCTATCATATAAAATAGGTTACTATTATTGCATTTATAGATTTTGCTTCTGGTGGAGATTTTTTATTTCGTTATCTTCAATTAATAATGAATGAAGGGCTTCAAGGAGATTAGGGATGGATGTTCCAGAGGTTGCACACGTATTGCAAATAGACAGCCGAAGTCCTTCCCCTCTGTATCTTATCCTAAGGAGAGATAGAACACACTGTTCTGAAAATAAACAATTGAGCTCATGATTTGGAACTCACTGGCAAAGAAGAAACAGCATGAGGCTAGTGATGGAAAGGAAGAGAAAAAGGCTGGTTTATCAATGAGCGTATTTTAAAATAATAAATGACATATCAAGGGTATCTGTCACTTGGGAAATCCAAGAAAGAGTAAGATGGATTGTTTGTATTTCTAATTCATGTCATAAGTTCCATGGATTTCTTATAACACCTATGGCAATATTTTATTCTTCATTCAGTATATGTCAAATGTCTGTTTTTCTCATTCCTTTAGATTTGGATATTTCTGTGCTAGCAGGTCTTTCCTCCACTCTGAGGCCAAGAACAAATTATAGATGCATCTTTTAAAGAACAATAGTTCTGGTGTTGCAGAGAAATTACTTTTGCAACTTCCACCATAAATTTTCTCTTAAAACACTATCTACAGTGTGAAATTGAGTAGACATGTGATGGAGCTCAACCCATTTATTTCTCCCCTCAAAAAATCATTAAGTTTTAGTCCCATTGAAAGCTGTACTGATATTAAAGAATGCATTATATTCCTTTAAATTGCTTCCTTACCTACACATTATCCTGGTACAAAAGCAGCTCACAATATTTCACATTTTGAGCTGATACCTCTGAACACAGGGCCACACACACACACGCACACATACACAACTTTATTATTAAGATATAATAGCAACGTAAAATGGAACAAATGTGGTTTACAGTTTGGTTTTGGGGGTTACAATAACTAATTTTTATGGTCAGATATGCTATTGGCAGTTGGGTTTTTGTGTGTTACTCTATTTGGTATTAATTTTCAAACAAAAGTGTTTACTATATTATAATTTATTTTGCCTTATAAAATTATCTTAATTATGCAGAAAATATTAGTACTATGGTTCACTTTTAATTAGCATATTCTAAGAAGAGAATTTAATCCAAGGGATATAAAGATATTGATTATCTGCCTCCTATGCAACCGGGTCATGTATAATGTAGAGGCTGTTTGCATTAACATAAATTTCTAGCAAGAGCATTGAAATCTGTCACTATTACTGATTTTTGCTGTGAAGCCAATGCCCATTGATTTGAGCAGAAAAAATATTGGGAGGAATTTAGCACTTGCTTGCTATGACTTGTAGTCAATATCTGACCTATTGAATAGACATGCATAATATTGCACTTAATGCAGACCCATCAAAGTACATGCAAGAAGATACAGTGGATGAGCATATTCAAAGTGGCTTGTAGCCACCTATCTTTGATGGTTATTTTCTGATGGATTTCCAGGAAGGCTGAATAGAAATTGTGCATAGGTGTGGGGCTGTATTGTAGAGTATATTTAGCAAAAGCTGTGGCATATGAGACAGTACTGTGTAAGTTGCTGGAATTTGTTAGAAAATTTCCAGGACACTAAGAGAATTAGAGTATAAGGGACTCTCTGGATTTCCACACACAACAATAGAAGTAATGACAATTATAAGAGGTTCTGAAAATATGACTAAGTTTGAAAATTCAACTGACATAGATCTGAAAGCTTATATTCTATGGCCTTGGAACTAACTGACATTTTTGGTATGCCATTATTTTGTGTTTTTAATTCTTTAAATATTACAGGCCTTCTCCCAGTTATCACCTGCTTGATGCCCTGAACCTGCCTAAAAATCAGGCCCCAAACCTGATTTTACAACCTCCAGTGATTCTGCACAGGAGAGAGAAGAAAAACACACATTTCATATTTAAGAAAAGCACCTAAGGGTGATTCCAGGGCAATGAGCGGACTTCAACTCTTACGGCTTTATTTACGTTGCACCTATGATTTTCTTGTTTCTTGAGGACAATGTTAATTAAGAAGGAAAATTGGCTGATCTTGAGTAAGTCTTTCTCTCCCAAGATTCACATCACTAATTTGTACAATAGTCTTGATTTAAATAGTCTGTAAAGTTCTATTAAGTTATACTATGTTGTATAACCCCTACTTAATATTATTAGTAGTTCAATATATTTAATCATGAATTAGGATTTTCAGGCTTATGGGTGCAGACAGTTTAGTATCTGTGAAGCATTTAGGTACCTGGTTGATACACATTTGAGTTTGGTCTGAATCTTAATGCATCATGTTCTCAAATATTAAAGACTATTGAATTTGGTTGTTCTTGGATGATCTTCACTCTGTATATCCCAAATGTAATAGTCATCCTTTTAAAAATGACCTTTGATTTTATTTGTTTGTTTTTGTTCACAAAATGTGAAGGCATTGATGAAAACTCTGTCTGTGGAGTTAGGCAGCCTTCTTTCATACCCAATTCCACCACTTCGTGACTGTGAATTTTGGCAAGTCACTCAATTTTTCTAAGGGTATTTTCTCATCTGTTGAAACAGGAAAATTAAAAAATTATGAAGTTTAAAATTTTTACATATTAAGTGCACCACATTTTAAGTGTGAGCTGTTTGTCAATAATAATTTTATTGCTATCTTTACTATTGTTATTACCTCATTTCACCAAATTGTGATTCAACACTAGAAGTTGGCTGTAAGTCTTACAATTTGATATATGTATATATTTTTTAACTCTGAGGTACGTTCATGTTCCAAATTATTCTGCCTTATTTTCTGTGCAAATTTTCTGAAATTTACACAGAGTATTGAAATGAGCATGTCTTCATAAGTGCATCAGAGCAAAACAAAAAAGACCTAGAGAAAGACTACAGTTTTACGTGAGCCAGAGAATAATATAGGATGTATTCATTTTCTATTGCTGCATTACCACAAATTTAGGAACTTAAAACCACCACCATTTACCATCTTACAGCTTCTGCAGGTCAAGTCCAGGCACAGCAAAGATAAGGCCTCTGCTTAGGATTTTACAGAGTCTCTCTCTCTGTCGTCTAGGCTGGAGTGCAGTGGTGCGATATCGGCTAACTGCAACCTCCGTCTCCTGAGTTCAAGCGATTCTCCTGCTTCAGCCTCCTAAGTAGCTGGGACTACAGGCATGTGCCACCATGTCTGGCTAATTTTTGTAGTTTTAGTAGAAACAGGGTTTCACCATATTGGCCAGGCTGGTCTTGAACTCTTGACCTCAGGTGATCCGCCCAGCTCCGCCTCCCAAAGTGCTGGTATTACAGGCATGAGCCACTGTGCCCAGCCTGCTTAGGATTTTAAAAGCTGAAATCAAGGTTTTGGCTAGGGCTGTGTTCTGTTCTGGAATTCAGTGTTTTCTCCCAAGCTCTTTCAGATTGTTGACTGAATTTAGTTCCTTGTGGTGCAGAACTAATGTACCTGGGTTTTTTGTTTGTTTGTTTTGCTGGCTATGAGCAGGATGGCCAGTAGAAAGACTCAAGGACACCCCTGTAGTGTCATCCAGAAGCAGTTCACAACATCATTGTCTGCTTTCTTCCAGGCCAGCAGGAGTGTCTGCTGCTGCATCTTGTATCTTTTAAGGGCTCACCTGATTAGGTCTCATCCAAGATAATTTATCTTTTGAGAACTCAAAGCCAACAGATTAGGAACTTTAAAGTTATCTGAAAAGTCTATTTTGCCATATTACATACTATCATCAAGGGATTAAATTTCCATCATATTTACAGCTTCTATTTGCACTCAGGGGAGAGGATTATATGGATAGCAGGCAACTTGGGGGCTATCTTAGAGTTCCGCCTACCGGAATTTTGCTTGAGTGACAAAGGCATTAATAAAAGTTTAATATTGGCTCTACTAGTCAGTAATCTTTTCATGGAAACAAACTATCATATGCAAGACATTGAAATAAATCTAATTTAGGAGTATGAAAGAGATCAAAATCTATAACGGTGTACAGAGCAAACAAAGGCTTGAAATGCAAGTGGACGAAAAATGACGGAAGAAGAACAGAAGTGAGACTGCCCTGCTTGGTGACAGGCTTAAGGAAAAGTGAGGTTCAAACACGAGGTGGAGTCAGTCTATAGGGAGTCCTTTTGCCCCAGCAAGAAAATATGAATTCCACAAATTTGTATCAGAGAAATGTAGTTGTGTTTCCTACAGACTCTTAAGCACAGAAAGGGAATATTTGCAAATAAAAATATTTGTTAAGATATATAAGGAGAAGCTCATTGGATAATTTGTGTTTTTTTTTCCTCCAAAATGAGGTAATAACCTCAGAAGAAAATATTAATTCAAAATATTTGTTATTAAATGGTTTAAACATTTATCTAACCTCAGAGGATGAGAGAAAAAAATAAGTTTAGAAATGTTAGATGAAAGGATAAAATAGGCCAATTTGATTACATGTACATAAGCGTTCTCCATGACACTCATGTTTGATAAACACAGTAAATATGAATAAAACATAGATGGTTAATTGTATGTGAGCTCATTATGTAGTAAATAAATGATAGTGGTTTTTTTTTAAGTTAGTGTAAAATGCCTTAAGGGGGCATAATTTGAACATATCTACTATTTTCTGAATGTTTATCATATGTCAGTGGGCTCAGTGCTTTAGACGTATTACCTACATTTTAATGTTTAGTTGATATTAGTGTCTCAGTTTTATGAGTAAGGAAACTGATTTGAAGAGGTTAAGTGCCTCAGGTCACAAGACCAGTGAGTGAGAGCCCCTAGAGGAAGCTGAAACTAGACCTGACTTGAAAGCCTCCTCCTCTACCGGCCTGCCCCGATTAAAGGGTGGTTAAGAAAGAGGATTCAGCCGAGACACACATACATAAGGTAAGATGCTTAGTCTTCTTATTAATAAAATAATTTTAAATGAGATATTATTTTCATTTATCAAATTATAAATAATTTTTTTCTGAACTCTAATTGGTATATTTCTCCACTTGATTGGTCCTCAAATGACAGCAGATTCAGCAACATACCTCGTTTAATACCCTTGGTTTATGTTTTGAAAACATTGGTACATTATCAAATAATAGAATTTCTAAAACCTGGTATCCTCTTTAGTTTTGTCTAATTTTCTCTGATGACTAAGAAATCTGAGAACATTTTCCTAAAACGATTTACAGACATCATTCTTGGATCAGTACTAAACAGAGTAGGATATGAAAGTTGTTGATTGGGCCGGGCGCGGTGGCTTACGCCTGTAATCCCAGCACTTTGGGAGGCCGAGGCCGGTGGAGCACGAGGTCAGGAGATCAAGGCCATCCTGGCTAACATGGTGAAACCCCGTCTCTATTAAAAACACAAAAAAGTGAGCTGGGGGTGGTGGCGGGCGCCTGTAGTCCCAGCTACTCAGGAGGCTGAGGCAGGAGAATGGCCTGAACCCGGGAGGCGGAGCTTGCAGTGAGCCGAGATCGCACCACTGCACTCCAGCCTGGGCGACAGAGCGAGACTGTCTCGAAACAACAACAACAACAACAAGAACAAAAAAGAAAGTTGTTGATTGTCCAGTTACTCTAATGACAGGAGAGTAAAAACTTCAGATTTTCAGGACACATTCATTATTTGGGACATGGTGCTAGGAAATGCTGGTAGGAGAGTAAGGAAATGCTGGTAGGAGAGTAAGGAAATGATTGAGAGAAAAGGATCAATAACAATGACATGCTAAGCCAGCTACAACTTGAGAACTCTGGAGGCAGAGTAGAACATGTGCCTCTGAGTTAGCCTGCCCAAGGGGCAAAGGAACTGGGATATATATCACCAATTTCCGTTAGTCATGGCGTGAGACCTGTTCCTATGGGATGTTAATTCTCTGATGCGTTGAAAAGCCTAGCAAAGACGTTCCACAGGATCTGGACACCAAAGAGAATGCCTCTATGACTATTCAGTGAGTGACATGTACACCAACAATAGCGTTAAAGGATGTGGGTGGAGATCTGACTCATATTTTTAACAATGTTTCTTTACTATTTGGTTTTAGGTTGCTTCTGTATTATGACTAGTTAAATTACAGTATGTATAGAATGACAAATCAAGCTTTATAAAGCTACCATATTAGTGTATCTATGGATTATATATTAAAATGTAAATGTTTATTACATAAAAATTTTAATGTACAATGTGGATGGTATATGCACATTACATACATAAAGGGTTTGCAACTATGGTAAAATCCACATAGGAAAATCAAGGAAGAAAATACAGCAAAAATTCATCTTTTTTTAGAGTATCACATTTCCTTTTACTTTTCAGTACTTTACTTCTTATATTTCCTTAAATATGCAGGTACTGCTTTTACATTAAAAATGAAAAAAAATTAAACTCTTAATTTTCAGGGCTATTTTAGAAGTAGAGTATAAATACACAGTTTGATACACACGGTAATTATTTCCTTAGTGACAAGCTCTGATGACTGTCTTCTGCAGCCTGCTGCATAGCATTTACAGGTCTGAGGAAGAGTACAGAAGTCCATGTATAATGGCTCTAAATATTCAAAAGTTATAAATCAAGCATTCAAGCCATTAAGTATAACATGTTTGTTGATTGAATACTTATGGATCCAAGAAATTTTACACAGTCACGATGACATAAAAATTTAATATTTGTTAATAAAAGCAAAAATAAAAAAATAACAAGGAGCCAGAAAAGGGAAATTACATTTTGGATGGCAACTTTTATGAACATTGTATCTATCCGGATGTCACTAATGAACACCAGCTAATATAAGACACTGTGTGAGAACTTATAAGATATCTTTGCCAACCTTTAGTCGGCATCTGTGTCTCTTGGAGCTATCCTGTTGGAAGTATTGAGTCTCTATTAACATTAAGTGCTGGAGTGAGAGATCAAGTAGACTGTACAAAACTGTAACGTGTTTTTTAATCCAACAATTGGCCCTAGGAATTTGCATTGAAACCTTTATCAAGACAGTGAGTCTGTTTAACTTCTTTGGGAAAAAATGCTCCATGGTTTGCTTAGTTAGTTATTTAAAGAAATCTATGTTTTTAATATGTAAGCAAACTTTAGGTTGTATAAACACACTCATACAAATATATACATACATACATGCACATATTCTATTTCTACTGTATGATCAGATTATATAGAGAGTTAGATAGATGGATGGATAAAATATCCAAGTCCCAAATTTTAGCCAAGAATAGATATATTATTACTATTATGCTACTGACCTGTGGACTGTCTCATCTGTCCATCCCTGCCAGACACAAGAGGGTCCTGATTCCCTCAAGCTAATAAAAAGCCCATCCTCTGTTTAACCCAACATGCAATAATCATTCTGAGCAGGCTCACGTCTTCTTCCATCTGGGTATAAAATTTGATAATTGCTCATTTTCTTATTTTTGTGAGAGAGAAAGCCACTTCAAAGAACCATGTGAAGGGAAGTAGGGCATAAGCCATTCTGGATGCTGACCATTTGGCAGCACTTCTATCCCGGGCTATGGAGCATGTATCCCTGAATATCAGGGTGCTTGTCATTGCTTTCCCAAATGCTGCACATTGCTAGACACAGAGTTTCACCAATGACATTGGATCAGAAATGTCCCTTTCTGCACCTTATTAGCTTTATTTTTTCAAGACGAGTTGTATAATGAGAAGTTATTTTAAAGCGGCATTTAAAAAGAATGTGAATGCATTGTAAACAGAATTTCCTACAGAATAATTGTGCAAACATTGTAATTATCTAAAACACAGAAAAAAACCCAGCAACCATTAACAGGTCTCAATCTTTTGATATTAAATAGATGGACAGGACCTAAATAGCATTAGAAATAATAAAACACTTTCATGGTTGCCATAACATTTTTTGTTGTATCAATATTTCAAAATTCAAAAAAAGATTACAAGAATCAAAATAACAAATTATGAAAAATTAAGCTTAAAAAATATGAAGGGAATTATTGTATGTCCACAAGGATGGAAATTAAAACGTGGATCAGCCTACATATTTTTCACATGACATTATTTGTTCTCTGGGCTTTATACATCATCAAAATCAGAGTAAATGTAGTCACAAATATTTCTGATCATTGGCAATGATTGCTTTAGAGTTTCTGATTTTCTTGTTTTCATTTTAAGCAAATAAAAAGAATTTATTCTATTTCTTAAAATTTAAAGTTGTTCTCAACTATATCTCCTCTATACTGTTTGCAACAAAATATTTAGTCTCTTTATCAAATATGCAAACGTTTGTTTTAATTTAATGTGGTGGCTCTAATTCAATTAAGTGATCCCTGTAAGGGCAAATCAATTCTGATGCCTCCCCATTTCTTATTATTTTTGATCTCAATATGTACTATAAGGCAAGTCTTTTAAAACCTGAGGTGCAATCATTCCGTAGGTAATTTAAATTGCATATATTATTCAGGTCACAGTAGATGATTACAATTTTGAACATCACAAGACACTTTGAGATGCTGATGGAGTCTCTATAGATCTATAAAGATCTATGGATAATTCCCCTTGATAATGTACAATAAATGACAAAAATGATATACACAATTTCAGGGGAACTGTGCCCTTTTAACTGAGTTCACGGACTTCAATTAAGAAACTCTAGTTTATTTTTCTCCTCTGTGTGTAGTGAATGGAAATAAGCAAACAGCAAAAACAAGTGAGATATTAAGTTAGAATGGTGATAATGACTTCAACTGCCTGCACCTCCTCTTTGGCAAAATGAGGGGATTGAATGAGATGATCTTGGAATCTATTCCACCTCTGACATTCTGTAATTACATGTAATGATTACAATGATAATGACAATAATTTATCTAAAAATAAATCTTCATACTGTGCTCTTAAGCCATGGGGGTATTACAAGGTGCCTAAGAGCCATCATGGGAGAGTGAAGGGTGCTAATCAGTAAGCTGGATTTAAGACTGCTCAGACCCTACAGAGAGCAGGTCTTCTTGGATTTCTTTTATATATTAGGCATCTGCATGTGAATTCATTTAAAGAATATGGATATATGTATCTATGATATGGTTTGGATATTTGTCTCCTCCCAATCTCACGATGAAATGTGATTCCCGAAGTTGGAGTGGGGCCTCGATAACTGGATCATGGGGATGGATTTCTCATGAATGGTTTTGCACCATCCCCGGGGTGATGAGTTCCCGTGAACCACACTCTGTTCACATGAGATCTGGTTGTTTAAAAGAGTGTGACACTTCCTCCCGGCACTCTCTTGCTCCTACTCTCACCATGTGATGTGCCTGCTCCTACTTTGCCTTCCACCATGATTGTCAGCTTCCTGAGGCCCTCATCAGAAGCAGATGCGGGCAGAATGTTTCCTGTAAAATCTGCAAAACCATAAGCCAATTAAACCTCTTTTCTTTAAAAATTAGTCAGCCGCAGGTATTTCTTTATAGAAATGCAAAAACAGCCTAACACAATATATAGACATATATATGTATATATGTGTGCACATATATACACACACACATATGTATCTGTTTATATATGTATATAAAACTATAGACCAGCACTTTCAAATATAATTTTTTGTATTATTGGAAATGTTTCATAATATGTTCTATATAATATGATGACCACTAGCCACACGTGATTATTGTATCCTTGAAATGTGGCAAGATTGAGGAACTGAATTTTTAGTTTTATTTAATTTTAATTTAAATAGCCATTTGTGCACTTGGGGCTAGTTTCTAAGATGTTGGATAGGACAACTATAGAAATGTTTGAGCTAGATAAACTGTCTGCAATTTTTCATTATTAGCAATCTTTAAGTATTAGCTAATGACTAATTAAAATAATTGTTTTAGAGATCATTCAAACACCAAAGGAAAAGACCGAGTTAGTAACATCTGTGGCCCTCAGCTTCAGTGAAGCAAGAACAATAATTACTATCTCACTGCATTGCTGTGAGATTAAAGAAAAGAACATGTATCAAGTTTCTATCACAGTGCCTAGCCTATGTAACCGATCTTCAACAAAGGTTACTTCACCTGTATCTGTAGTTATATGACTTGTAATTGAGGTCATGTTTAATTCATCTTTTAGAAGTTACAGGTAAAATAGGCCTTTAACTAGTATTGAGGATAGAATTAAAAAAATAATATAAATGCTGTCAAACTAGAGTTTTACTTCTTCAAATGTGATCTTTAATTTAGTGGCTAACTGTCCACATATATCCCCACACTGTGGGAGCAAGGGGATGGAGGGTAAGATTTGACACTAGAGCTTAATATAAATGATGCAGATTTGAATCTTGCAAAGATAGCTATTGCCACTAGCAAGAACAGTACCATCAACTCCAAACTGTGCCTTGATTGACACTGAGTCCCTAAAATACTGTGCAAGTGCTTATGTGAACATGCAATCCCTTCCATGATTTTACTTCTTCTCCAGTAGCAATATATCAACTACTGTAGAGACACGTTGATTTATCAGGAAGAGAGTTCATTTGAACAGCATTGTGATAGCCGTTGTCCAGAATTAATTCTAGTAGCATGCTCCCTCCTTGTCGCTATATAGTCAAAAACTGTTTTTCTTGGCAAATATCTCAGTAAGGGACAAAGAAAGGAGATTCTGTTTTCTATCGGATAATACATTTAGTGCTCTAAGCAGGCCCTGACACACAAATATGAAACTTGAACACATGTCTCCATGTTATGTATATTTTCCACTTATTCTTGACTCGAAATTCCAATTCACAGATTTCCACCCAAAACGTGCTTAGGAGACAGTAGTTCTTCAAAAGTTTTAGTCCAGAAAATCTATTCTCCATTCCATGAAAAAGCTGAGTTTCAATGTAGTTGAAAATCAGAAGCCTAAAATATAATTTTGTGTTAAAGTAGTTATATAATTCTTTCCCTTGTAAGGAGTGTTTTTTTAAATATTTCTTTGGATAATTCCAAAACTGTCGTGCTAACTCCTGCTGTGGGACTCTTTTTGAAGCCCGACAGCACAAAACAAATTTGTTCGATGAGTCTCAATAGACTCACAGGACATTTTACTAACTCAAAAAAGAAATATTTGTATACTGTGCTTTTTGGAGGTCTAATAAAGGTCTAGACTTATTTTATCACTAAAGATAGATTAGTAATGAGAAGCTTATTTACAGATACAGACCCTCATTGACATTTGGGAAGGTGTGTCTAAGCAGAGAGCTCTGATTGACTTCAAGATGCAAAATGGACGCACAGCGAGTTACTGAATTATAAACCTCACCTCCTTCACTAAAATGAGTTTTATGTAAACATCTCCAGCACCTGCTGGAGAGGCCTGACCTTCAGGGAACCTGACTATCTAATTCTGATGGCCTACAAAACTACATAATGCAAAGCCCTTTGCTTGTTCTAAAAATAGTGAGTATAATTAGTCTTGCAAATCAATGTTTCCACTCATCAGGATGACAAAATAACTTGTTAAATAGCATGACTGATTTACATATCCAAGAGTCAACAAAAGCTTCGTCTACTATTTATTTGATTATATCTTTTCAGGAGAAAAAAAATGCAATTCATTGGCCAGCTGCCACCCTCTAAAATATGGGAGGTAATTAGAACCATACTGTTGTCATGTTTTTATAGCAAAATAGTGTGCTTTCAGAGAAGATACACCATTATCCTATCCAGAGCTGCTTTACTCATAATTATTATATTTATGCTTATAGATAAAAATAATTTTTAAGTGAGTACATTGAAAATAAATTTCACTAGTAATGTTTTGTGATTAACTTAACAAAGTTTTTAAAAATAAAAATATTATGTATAAAATGTATATACGGAAATACTTTATTTTTTTTTCTAATAAAGGACAAAAATAAAATGTTCTTTTTTTAACACAGTAATACTATTGACACATCCTTAACTCGTTCTTTTCAAGTGATATGAAACTACACTATTTAAAAGATTTTGGCTGGGCGTGGTGGTTCACACCTGTAATCCCAGCACTTTCAGAGGCTAAGGCGGGTGGATCACCTGAGGTCAGGACTTCAAGACCAACCTGGCTAACATGCAGAAACCTCATCTCTATTAAAAATACAAAAATCATGGTGGCACATGCTTGTAGTTCCAGCTGTTCTGGAGGCTAAGGCAGGAGAATCACTTGAACCTGAGAGGCAGAGGTTGCAGTGAGCCAAGATCGCGCCACTGCACTCCAATCTGGGTGACAGGGCGAGACTCCACAAAAAAAAAAAAAAAAAATTTTTTTTTCTTCACTGACACTGGAATTGCACCATTATTAAAATATTTTGAAGAATAGCAGAAAAAATATACTGAACTTATGGGAAAACATAAAACAAACATAGAGAAGGCTTAACTTCGTAGTCTATATATTTGTCTGTTTTTTCAAACATCATATCATTTTCTGTTGACTGAAATCTTGCGAATAGTAATTCTTCCTCAATCAACTGCTTTCCCAGAAGAAATATGTTGCATGCCTTTTAAAGTATGGCAATTTTTAAAATTATAATTATATACATTTATTTACCAAGGAATTGGAACTTCAAATCATTGACACCAGTGATTTTTTCCTTGTGGAACTTGGGAAAGCAAGTTCATTATAGGAAATTAGATTTGGTAGCATGACCTTAGAATCAAGAATGACAATTTTCTGGCTTCGAGTTAAAATAGCATCATAACATTTTAAATGAGTGCTATTTAAAATAAAAAATGTGAATTCAATTACATTTAAATTACATTTAAAATCAATAAATACTTGTTGAATAAATGCATGCGCACTGGCCTGTATTTCAGATACTGTACTAAGGACTGAAAAGCCAGTAATAAGACCGAAATGGTCATTTCCCTTACAAAGCTTACAAGGAAGAGATGACCAAAAATTCGTAAATCATTTACTATGTGTGGAACAGGGTAGCTTGAAAATAGCTAGTATGAAGAGCTGGGTTTGTCCAGAAGTCCTCTGGATTTTCTCTGAAGATATTAAATATAACCTGAAGCCTGAAGAATGAATAGAAGTTGAAGAAAGAGAGTTATTTTATTCTTCCTTTTCTTGGTTTAGTGGATTATCTCAAATGTTTAACATTAAATGTTAAATTATGTTATCTATGGGTTAAATTACTATTTAGCTTGCTTAATACTAATAGCTTAGTATTAAGCCTCCTGAGTAGCTGGGAGTATAGGTACTTATTCTTGCACCACTATGACCTGCTGATTTTTGTATTTTTTGTAGAGATGGGGTTTCATCATGTTGCTGAGGCTGGTCTCAAACTCCTGGATTCAGTTGATTGGCCCACCTTAGCCTCCCAAAATGCTAGGATTACAGGCATGAGCCACCGCTCCTGGTCAAACATGTGATTAATATTTGAAGTTTGATATACATTTTTTTTAACATAGTCTTGTTCTGTCACCCAGGCTATAGTGCAGTGGCGCGATCTCAGCTCACTGAAAGCTCCGCCTCCCAGGTTGGAGCGATTCTCCTGCCTCAGACACCCCATTAGCTGGGATTACAGGCACGCACCACCACAACTGGTTAATTTTTGCATTTTTAGTAAAGACGGGGTTTCGCCATGTTGGCCAGGCTTTTCTCAAACTCCTGGCCTCATGTGCTTGGCCCGCCTCAGACTCCCAAAGTGGTGGGATTACAGGTGTGAGCCACCGCGCCCAGCCTGATATGCTTTCTAAACAGAATGTGTATTGCACAAAGTTTTCACTAATTTTAAGTATCTGTAGAAAAAGGAAAGGAAAAGAAACATTTAAAAGGTAAATATCTACAGCAAGCCTATCCTAGGAACTATAGAATCAAGATAAAATAGTACAATAACAAATATTATTATTTTCATAAACATATATGTATTTACATGTAATTTATGTAGATTATAAATTATAAAATTAATGTATTATAGAATACGAATATTATTTCTATTTTAAAGAATCAGGGAAATTAAATAATTTTACATAGATCTCATAGCTAGGAACTGGAGTAAACAGGACCAAGGAAATGAAGACCCATCACATCATCCGTTTCTACTTAAGCAGTCATCTACCTGGATGGAATTATCACTATATACATGGTTCCCTATTAAGTTTAATAAGAAATAACAAATAAGTTACAAATCTATTCTGTACATTGTTTTATTTATTATGATTGTCCTTATTTTACAAATATTTAATGTAGTTTGTCAACAATTAAAAAGCACATATTGCAAGCTAAGACAGGAGCCCACAATTTAGAGAGAGAGTCAGACGCATAATGAATAGATACATGGTTCAGCAAAAACTTTTGTGCTTATAATCTCATTTGATCCTGAAAAAAAATAAGTTAAATAGGAGAGGTATTGTTATTGCATTAATTTTAAAAGGAAAAGTTACCTGATTCCCCTTCTAAGAATTTTGTAAATTATAGAAGTGAACTATATGGCCATAGGTTGTAGGATATCACAAAGTTCAACAAAAAACACTTGAATTAAGTTAAAAAATCAGAATGAGTTACATACTCTTAGTTAAAAATAGAATAAAGTAGTGAGAATTTTATTTAAAAATTCTATCGAGATAATGATTGCTAATGCAGCCTCTCCCAATTCCCCACCAAAGAAACAATTAAGAAACGGAAAAGAGATGAACATTAATCTAAGAGTGGCAATTAGTGATCACCAACATCTGGAGCTGGAGGAGAAATTCATTAATTATAATGTGTGGATCCCAATTAGCCATCATAATCAAAAGTTATCATTCATTCATTCATTTATTATTAAATGTTTACTGTAAGCCAGATATTTTGTTTTTTCTTGAAAGAAAGGTAGAACTATGATTCAGGTTTTTATCTCTACTCTTCTGCCTTTGGCTTACAAAAACATAGTGTCTATGTGAAGCAGAAAACTGGGCAGTTTGTCCTTCTTTCTGAGATGGTCAATAGTAACAGAGTCATATTCAACTTCCCAGAGACTGCAGCAATCTAAAAACAGAAGGGCAAAAACTGTAGTTATTGTTATGTGTCCACATGCATTGTAGTGGCAGGGGAGAAATGGGCACTAATCTCAACATGGAAGTCAAAATACAGAAGTGAGTGAAAGCAGAAGAAAGAGCTTAGCATTCTTCATTTTGTTTTTATTCTCTACTATTTCATATCATGACAAAAACATGCAATTAAATAGGAGATAATATTTCTGTCCAGCAAAGTTTAAGAAAGTATATGCTTGCTAGTCTAATTTGGCCTTGTGATGTATTACGAATCTGGGCTGCAGAATCTCTCTCTACTATTTAGAAATACAGATTAGACCAAGTGCGCAACCATCCTTCTTTCTGTTATAAAATGCTTGCTCAATTCTAGCAACATTCAAGTGGACATGAGCGGGGAAAAGGAGAATGTATACACCTTGATTGTACAACATCTCAACAGATTGATATTTCCTCTAGAATAAGTAAACATGTAAAAATGCCCTGGTGTTCTGCTGCTGCTTAGGATGCAGAAAGCTTCAAAAGAATATTACTTTCAAACTAACAACAGTGAAAGAAAAAGCCAGATAATCTTCAAAATCATAACTTTTTATTGAACCCATGAGAGAGCTAACGTTACAAGTCAACGAAGTAAACTGAATTTGAGAGAGAGAGAGAGACAATCCTCTCCGGTGAGAAATGGGACAAAGGAAACTTTTGTTTCACGTGAGACAGAGAATAGATGTAGACGCCATACCAACAAGTAAGGGAAAAAAAAATGACTGAAATTGTAACACATTTTGAAAGAACAAATGTGGGCTGGCAAGTCAGGTTAGAATAGCTAGAATCCCCAGAAAAAGGGAGGGTTAATATCCTCTTCCTATCTGTCTTGCACAGGGCACCTGTAGATGCTCATGAGGGAGCGTAGGGGCATGAATGGAGCCTGAAGAGGCCTCCTTTGGTGGCACAGATATGCAGGGGTGATCAGCTGCTGCTTAGGCGCAGACATTGCGTGTTTTTTTCTGGTTTCTTCTAAAAACTTTATTGTTTTATCTTTTATATTTGCATCTGCATTCCATTTATAATTGATTTATATGTACAGTTTGAGGGAGAGGTCAAGGATATTTTCTATGTACATATCCAATTGATTTAACAGCATTTATCGAAAAGATTATAATTTCCTTATTTCTCTGCAGTTTTTATGAAAACTCAGCTTGGGGCGGGGCGCGGTGGCTCACGCCTGTAATCCCAGCACTTTGGGAGGCCGAGGCGGGCGGATCACGAGGTCAGGAGATCGAGACCATCCTGGCTAACACGGTGAAACCCCGTCTCTACCAAAAATACAAAAAATTAGCCGGGCGTGGTGGCGGGCACCTGCAGTCCCAGCTACTCCGGAGGCTCAGGCAGGAGAAAGGCGTGAACCCAGGAGGCGGAGCTTGCAGTGAGCAGAGATCAATCACGCAACTACACTCCAGCCAGGGCAACAGAGCGAGACTCCGACTCAAACAAACAAACAAACAAACAAACAAACAAAAACTCAGCTTGGGGTAAAGGGCCAAATCTTTCTTTGGGCTAGGCTAATCTTTTAATATACAGTTCTACATAGCATTATTAAATTAGGTTCCTCAAAATGTGTGCCACATAGACATACGTATTTATTTTTCCCATCTTTTTGTGTATGCTGATTCAGTGATCTACAGTAAACAAACAAACAAAAAAATCTGCTGCCGAAATATAGTAAGTTGACATAATGACTTCCTGATTTTTTAAATAATTTACTGTTTAGTTCTCTTTTTCATTTTATTTTTCTACAGTGGTATCAAGTTATCAATTAACAAAATTAAATCAAGACAGTGCTAGTGAACATTTAAGGGAAATGTTGTAGTACGAATGAGAAATAATCCGTGGAATTTATTCGGATGTGTCTTTTAAAATTTGAATAGCCAAGCAAGGATATTAATTATGTTTACTGCTTTTTCCATTTGCATTCAAAGTATTATTCATGTCAATTACACAAGCATGCACTTTAAATATATACAAATCTTAGAAAAGATAATGTTTTATATGGATGCCATTATCACTTATATTTCTTAATTGTTATACCCAAAGTTATTGGTAATTATTTTGGAATTTGATATCTAATCTATCAATCACAAAGCACATTTTTCCAACTGTGAGTGCTTCCCTATGATTTGCATTTTATTTTATACTCTTTAATCTGTGAAAAAAATTGAAATGAGAAATGACCAGATAACCAGATAAGAGTCTGTATCAAAGATGAGGGGATTTTGTTAGGATATTAAACAAAACCATTTCTAGTTAGTTTTTTCCAAATATGCTGACCTACTCATGTTTGTAAATGTATATCTCATTTGAATATAATATCATTCACAGCTCATAAGCATGAATATAACTTGGTGAATTAACAGTCAAGTTATTCTTTTCCTCCTAAGAATAATAATTTCTTTACTTAATGAAAATATTAGAAATACTTCCTACGTTAGATGATAAACCTAAAGGGTGACAGATTATGACTAGCTGAAAAGGTTACTGAAAAGTCCATCAAAGGCAAGATTAGGATTTGAATTGAATGAATTTTGGAAGGGAATAGAGTCCTAGTATACCTAGAACTGGAGATGGGTAATATCTTTAGAATGCTTGGAGAATACATCTGGACTAGAAGCTGAAACCGATACACATGTTAATTCAAGCTAGGGTCTGGGGTAATTCAACCTGCTTTTTAAAATTTTAATTTTGTAAAAATTCTACACCTAGCCTGTCCTTGTAAGAACAACCTTCACCCTCTTAAGTTGTAACAGTATGAATACAGAACTAGCAGACATTTAAAGGTTTTACCACTGAAGCAAAAATTTCCTTTGACTAAATAATCTAGAAAGTAGCATTTTGGAAAATAAACTCCATTATCTAAACACTACAGAATTTTAATATTTTTTAACAACAACAACATACTGATCAATACAAGATTGGTTAGATAAAAGCCTTGTGTACTAAGCAGTAGGGAGGCTGCCCCTACAACATTTGAAAGTATAAAATTTGGTGCTCATCTTCATAGTAATACAAATTCCCATTCTGCTTTAAAAAAGCACCAAGGAACCATCTTTACTAAAGCATGGATGTTGGAATATTGCTTGAATAAAAGAAGCCATAATGTGGCATTTATAAAGGTTATGTCTATTTCAGAATTCTCATTGTAATGGTATTTATTGCTATTGATGTTGATTTGCATCTATTATATCTCTATCTGCAGAGGGTGATGTTCTTGGTAACATAAAAATAAATCAATTAATGAATCTGAGTCCCCTGGTAGGTGTTCATCTGAGACCAATAATTCTAACATTAACAGACGTGGAAAGGATTACTTGAACACAAGCAAACATACAACACCATCAAAACCTCATTAATTTGGTCATAACCTTCAGAATGTATTATTATTTGAATTACTGTTTAGTTTTGATAAATCTTCATAAAGTGTATAGACTAAATACTTGAGAGAATATTGTATTTACAAGCCCTTTAGACACACTCATTTACCTAAATGGTGTTGCACTTAACAATAGCTAATCCACAATAATTTTTATTTTTATTAAAGTTCTGGGATATATGTGCAGAACATGCAGGTTTGTTACATAGATATACACATGCCATAGTGGTTTGCTGTACCCATTAACCCAACATCTACATTAGGTATTTCTCCTAATGCTATCCCTCCTCTAAGCCCCCACCCCCTGACAGGCCCCATTGTGTGATGTTCCCCTCCCTGTATCCACGTGTTCTCATTGTTCAACTCCTACTTATGAGTGAGAACATGAGGTGTTTGGTTTTCTGTTCCTGTGTTAGTTTGCTGAGAATGATGGTTTCCGGCTTCATCCATGTCCCTGTAAAGGATGTGAACTCATCCTTTTTTATGGGTGCATAGTATTCTATGGTGTATATGTGCCACATTTTCTTTGTCCAGTCTATCATCGATGGGCATTTGGGGTAGATCCAAGTCTTTGCTATTGTGAACAGTGCTGCAATAAACATACGTGTGCATGTGTCTTTTTTTTTTTTTTTTTTTTGAGACAGAGTCTCACACTGTTGCCAGGCTACAGTGCAGTGGTGCAATCTCGGCTCACTGCAACCTCCACCTCCCAGGTTCAAGCGATCCTCCTCCCTGAACCTCTCAAGTAGCTGGGACTACAGGCACGCACCACCATGCTTAGCTCATTTTTCGTATTTTTAATACTGATGGGGTTTCACCACGTTGGCCAGGTTGGTCTCAATCTCTTGACCTCGTGATCCACCCGCTGTGGACTCCCAAAGTGCTGGGATTACAGGCCTGAGCCACCACACCCGACCGCATGTGTCTTTATAATAGAGTGATTTATAATCCTTTGGTTATATACCCAAGTAATGGCATTGCTGGCTCAAATGGTATTTCTGGTTCTTGATCCTTGAGGAATCACCACACTGTCTTCCACAATGGTTGAACTAATTTACACTCCCACCAACAGTGTAAAAGTGTTCCTATTTCTCCACATCCTCTCCAGCATCCGTTGTTTCCTGACTTTTTAATGATTGCCATTCTAAAAACCACAATAATTTTTACATGAGAAATTGTATCTTTTTTTCTTCTTCTTTGAAAATGCCCAAAGTTCTTCAATATTTAAATAACTATCCCTAATTTAATGATATCTCCTTGAACATATCTTACTTCAATCCTCTTTTACAAGGGACAACATTTTGAACTTTATTTTAGTTTTGATATTGGTTCTACAAGGAATTATGCACAATCATTTGGGAGCTTGTCCAAGGTAGAAGAATTAAGGGATTTGGGACAGGGAGGCAACAAGAAGCAAAGATAGTTACAGTGAATAATTACCTCCTAAAAAGTAACCAGAATACTTCAATGAATTGTTTATTAAAACTACAAAAAACAAGAGAGTTATCTAATACTTTCCCTCCCTCATCTGAGATTTTTCCCTGGGGGCATTATCTCTCTTAGCAACGAGTAATACATGAATGTAGCCTGAAAAAAGTCCTCTCCAGGTCTTTAGTGAAGGAGGAATTTGAACGCAAAAAGTGAAGATTTGTGGCTCACAATTTAGGTTAGACTCTATCACACAATCAGCATATAAAGAAGTCAAACACACCTAGACCTATCCATGGTATCTACGGCTGAAATCCAGATTAGATCTAGTAGATGTGAATGGCTCAAAGTGTTTCTACTATGGTCCAACCATTGTACCTCTCAGATTCTCTCATGATTTACAGTTACCTAGACTTCATAGTGGTTGTTATATGTAATCCTTACAAAAGAACAGTACAGGAGGAATAAACTATAGTCTCCATTGCTAAAATTGGGCCCAAGATTATAGTAGGATTGCATCATCTTCCTCTATGACCACCAATTCTAGAGTGCCCCCACCTTCAGCCAGCACTTAAAGTTGTCCAGTATACAACCAAACTAATAAAAGTGAGAAGAAACAGTATAATGTACTGCAGTTGGAAGAGAAAATGTAGGTAATCAAAACTACCCTTGAGATGACCAAGCTCTTATCTCAAGGTTAAAATTGTTAAAATTAAGAAATAAAGATTTTAATGGGGTAATTACAAATACATTCAAGGACATAAAGAAGAAAGCATTCATAATAAGTGAATATATAGGGAATAATATCAGGAAAAATTAAAACTACATAACTAAAATTCTAGAGTTAGAATGTGTAATTCTGAAGTAGGATGTTCACTGGATGGATTTAGGATCAGATTGAGGATAAAAGATAGAAATCATTCATTTTAAAAAACAGAAAGGAAAAATATTTAAAAAAAATGAATGAGGCTAAGTGATCTGTGACATAGTATTGAGTAACATAATGTATATGTAACTGAACTCTTAGGAAAAGAGGAAAAAGCAAGTGTGGCAGAAAATATATTTAAAAGAATAAAGCTGCCAGGTCTCCCAAATTTGTAAAACAATATTAAGTTAAAGACCCAAGAAGTTGAGAAAGCTCCATAAATTATGAGCCTCACTTTTGTCATTACTACTTCTGTATTAAACAGTTATATACTGAAGGTACTTAAACAATTAAAATATGTTATATTTACCCATATAGCTACCATTTCCACTGTTCTTCATTACTTTGTGTAAACCAATATTTCCACTGGTGTCTTTTTGTACTTCCTGGAGAAATTATTTTACATTTTTCTAGTGCAAGGCTTTTGGTGCAACTCTCGGCATTTTTATATCTAAAGAGTCTTTACTTCAATTTCGCTTTTGAAAAATATCTTTGCTGAGTACAGAATTTTAGTGTGGCTATTTTTTTTCTTTAAGTACTTTATGGATGGTGTACCACTGTTTCCTGGCTTCCACCATTTCCAATCAGAAGGCTGCTTTCATTGTCATCTTTGTTTCTTTGTAGATATGTGCCATTTTTAAAAAACTTATTTTTATCTCTTATCTTAAGCAATTTGATTATGATGTGACTTGGTATGCTTCCTTCATGTTTCTCATGTTTAGAGATATTCAGCTCCTTGGATATGTGGATTTATAACTTTTATCATACTTGGAAAAATAAATGTCTATAATCTCTTCAAATATACTTTCTCCTTCTTCCTTTTAAGTCTTCCAGTTACATATAAACTAGAGCACTTGAAGTTATCTTACAGTTAATTCATGCTCTTGATATAGCCAACCACCTGGGCTTCTCCATATTCTCTTTTCAAAGGAGGGTGACTGCCGTGCTCCTGATTTTCTCCTCCCTGGAAGGGATGCATTCTCCAGTTAGGGTACTTTAGCAATCAGCTCACATTATTTGTTTCTCTTCTCTTAGTGATCACTGTCCTTTGTCGCCCAAAGTTTACTGTCTTGAAATACCATTGTTTCCATATTTCCCTTTGTTTTTTAATTGCGTCACATGGAATGTTATGTACATTTTCTGTTATTCACTGAGCCAGAAGAGGAACTTGTCTTGTCAGTGCAGTTTTAGATGTTTGTGGGTGAATTTATATCTCATTGTAATTCCAATGTTCATTTTCTTGATAACAAATAATATTTAACACTTTTAGTGGTCATTTCTATGATATCTTTTGTGAAATGTCATTTTTGTCCTGTTATTATTTTTAATTATAGCTCCTGGATTACAGTGGACATCTACACTATAGCGGACTTAGGGTTTATATGTTATGACTACATCTTTGGATATAAGGTTAAAAGTGAATGTTATACCCAAACGTGCACAGGCAAACCCAATCATGTACAAATAAATGGGATGTGGCAGCCCATTCAAGAGAATTTGCCAAAGTCCATTCAACCTGGTATTTTTTTTTTTCACTGCTGACTAAATAGAGAGTGGAATCATGAATTGATGGTGAATTAAGGAGGAAGAACAGGTTTTAAGACATGGGGTGAAGAGATTAAAATTGGAATTCAGCTTCAGTCATATTGATTTGTAATAACTATTGAACTTTGAATATACATGCAAATGCTTGTCAACCAACTATGGGGCTACATCCTGATAAACCCATCCTAAGTCAAAAATATCATGAAGTGAAAATTCATATAATACCCCAACAAACCCATCATAAAGTCAGAAAGTTGGAAGCTGAACTGTTGTAAGTCATGAACTATTTGACATATATATATGTGTGTGTGTGTGTGTGTGTGTGTGTGTGTGTGTGTGCGCGTGTGTGTGTGTGTCTGTATGTGTGTGTGTATTGTATATTGAGTGGTAGATTTGGGAGCCATTGGCATTTTTAAGGTAATTAAAGCCATGCTGGTAGCTGCATCCACCAATGAGCAGAGCACATGTGAAATGAGAGGCAACTGGGTAGCTTGAAGACGCAGTTGGATCATGGTCACTTCTGATCTCCTCTGAAAGTCGTTAAAATTTCTTGTAAATTTTAAACTAGTTTCAGATTCTGTAAAACCAAACCAAATGCATATAATATAAAATACCTGTAAATGGTCAGATTCTCTAATTTTTTAGAACCCGGACAACTGTCCTCCAGATCTGTCACTATCCAAGGGATCCTAGGACAGCCAGTCACTAGATACTTCTCCCAGCCACTAAGCTGTGACTGGGGAGCTTTACTCTTTTCACATGCTTTTCTAATTATGCCTGAAAGCCCCACTACCTTGTTAGGGAGAGACATTCTAGCAAAAGCAGGGGCCATTATACACCTGAACATAGGAGAAGGAACACCCGTTTGTTGTACCCTGCTTGAGGAAGGAATTAATCCTAAAGTCTAGGCAACAGAAGTACAATATAGATGATCAAAGAATGCCCATCCTGTTCAAGTTAAACTAAAGGATTCCACCTCCTTTCCCTACCAAAGTCAGTACCCTCTCAGACCTGAGGCCCAACAAGGACTCTCAAAGATTGTTACGGACCTAAAAGCCAAAGACCTAGTAAAAGCATGCAATAGCCCCTGCAATACTCCAATTTTAGGAGTACAGAAACCCAGTGGATAGTAGAGATTAGTGCAAGATCTGAGGATTATCAATGAGGCTGTTGTTTGTCTATACCCAGCTGTACCTAGCCCTTATACTCTGCTTTCCCAAATACCAGAGGAAGCAGAGTGGTTTACAGTTCTGGACCTTAAGGATGCCTTTTTCTGCATCCCTGTACATCCTGACTCTCAATTCTCATTTGCCTTTAAAGATCCTTTGAACCCAACGTCTCAACTCACGTGGACTGTTTTACCCCAAGGGTTCAAGTATAGCCCCCATCTATTTGGCCAGGCATTAGCCCAAGACTTGAGCCAACTCTCATACCTGGACACTCTTGTCCTTTGGTACAGAGATGATTTAATTTTAGCCACCTGTTAAGAAACCTTGTGCCATCAAGCCACCCAAGCACTCTTAAATTTTCTCGCTACCTGTGGCTACAGGTTTCCAGATGAAAGGCTCAGCTCTGCTCACAGCACGTTAAATACTTAGGGCTAAAATTATCCAAAGACACCAAGGCCCTCAGTGAGGAACGTATCCAGCCTATACTGGCCTATCCTTATCCCAAAACCCTAAAGCAACTATGATGGTTCCTTGGCGTAACAGGTTTCTGCCGAATATGGATTCCCAGGTATGATGAAACAGCCAGACCATTATATACACTAATTAAAGAAACTCAGAAAGCCAATACCCATTTAGTAAGATGGACACCTGAAGCAGAAGTGGCTTTCCAGGCCCTAAAGAAGGCCCTAACCCAAGCCCCAGTGTTAAGCTTGCCAACGGGGCAAGACTTTTCTTTATATGTCACAGAAAAAAACAGGAATAGCTCTAGAAGTCCTTACACAGGTCCAAAGGACAAGCTTGCAACCCATGGCATACCTGAATAAGGAAATTGATGTAGTGGCAAAGGTTTGGCCTCATTGATTATGGGTAGTGACAGCAGTAGCAGTCTTAGTATCTGAAGCAGTTAAAATAATACAGGGAAGAGATCTTACTGTGTAGACATCTAATGATGTGAACGGCACACTCACTGCTAAAGGAGACTTGTGGCTGTCAGACAACTGTTTACTTAAATATCAGGCTCTATTACTTGAAGGTCCAGTGCTGTGACTGCGCACTTGTGCACCTCTTAACCCAGCCACATTTCTTACAGACAATGAAGAAAAGATAGAACATAACTGTCAACAAATAATTGCTCAAACCTATGCCGCTCAAGGGGACCTTTTAGAGGTTCCCTTGACTGATCCCAACCTCAACTTGTATACTGATGGAAGTTCCTTTGTAGAAAAAGGACTTCAAAAAGTGGGGTATGGCAGTGGTCAGTGATAATGGAATACTTGAAAGTAATCCCCTCACTCCAGGAACTACTGCTCAGCTGGCAGAACTAATAGCTCTCACTCAGGAACTAGAATTAGGAGAAGGGAAAAGGGTAAATATATATACAGCCTCTAAGTATGCTTGCCTAGTCCTTCATGCCCATGCAGCAATATGGAGAGAAAGGGAATTCCTAACTTCCAAGGGAACACCAGTCAAACATCAGGAAGCTATTAGGAGATTATAACTGCCTGTACAGAAACCTAAAGAGGTGACAGTCTTACACTGCCAGGGTCATCAGAAAGGAAAGGGAAGTAGAAAGGAACTGCCAAGTGGATATTGAAGTCAAAAGAGCACAAGGCAGGACCTTCCATTAGAAATGCTTATAGAAGGATGCCTAGTATAGGGTAATCCCCTCTGGGAAACCAAGCCCCAGTACTCAGCAGGAAAAATAGAATAGGAAACCTCACAAGGACATACTTTCCTCCCCTCCAGATGGCTAGCCACTGAGGAAGGAAAAATACTTTCACCTGCAGCTAACCAACAGAAATTACTTAAAACCCTTCACCAAACCTTCCACTTAGGCATTGATAGCACCCATCAGATGGCCAAATTATTATTTACTGGACCAGGCCTTTTCAAAACTATCAAGAAGATAGTCAGGGGCTGTGAAGTGTGCCAAAGAAATAATCCCCTGCACTGCAGGCCATACATTTCAATCCCTGTATCTTTAACCTCCTTGTTAAGTTTGTCTCTTCCAGAATCAAAACCGTAAAACTACAAATTGTTCTTCAAATGGAGCACCAGATGGAGTCCATGACTAAGATCCACCGTGGACCCCTGGACCGGCCTGCTAGCCCATGCTCCGATGTTAATGACATTGAAGGCACCCCTCCCGAGGAAATCTCAACTGCACAACCCCTACTATGCCCCAATTCAGCGGGAAGCAGTTAGAGCGGTCATCAGCCAACCTCCCCAACAGCACTTGGGTTTTCCTGTTG
Organism: Homo sapiens; assembly: GCF_000001405.40. Classification (NCBI taxonomy): domain Eukaryota; kingdom Metazoa; phylum Chordata; class Mammalia; order Primates; family Hominidae; genus Homo; species Homo sapiens. The sequence goes on from NC_000018.10 coordinate 60,713,382, forward strand.
AGAGGGGGGACTGAGAGACAGGACTAGCTGGATTTCCTAGGCCAACGAAGAATCCCTAAGCCTAGCTGGGAAGGTGACTGCATCCACCTCTAAACATGGGGCTTGCAACTTAGCTCACACCCGACCAATCAGAGAGCTCACTAAAATGCTAATTAGGCAAAAATAGGAGGTAAAGAAATAGCCAATCATCTATTGCCTGAGAGCACAGCGGGAGGGACAAGGATCGGGATATAAACCCAGGCATTCGAGCCGGCAACGGCAACCCCCTTTGGGTCCCCTCCCTTTGTATGGGCGCTCTGTTTTCACTCTATTTCACTCTATTAAATCTTGCAACTGAAAAAAAAAAAAAGAAAATATTTTCAAATTCAGATTAATTCTGGACAAGTTAGAGAGATAACTTCATTTATTCAATTTATATAAATTTTTTTCAAATAGTTTTACTTTGTACTGTAAGGTACTGGAATATAAACTAACTAGTAATAAATATTATCTAAAATAACAAACCAAAGAGAACCTTACTTACAAAGACTATAAAATTAGGGCTTTCATTTTCATCTAATAATGTAATAATGAACATATGATAATTTATTCATACTGATTAAAATAATCTCAAAATTGTAATTTAGTAAAATAGTAAATCCTATTTTTCCTCTGTAAAATGTTTAAACTCATAGCAAATGATCCAAACATCTGAAAGAAAGGTTATTTTACTCATCTTCAACTTGTAATTCTAGCAGACAACAACATTAACAAAAATGGTATTTCTAGAAGAATCTAAGTTCATAAGTTTGCATATCTCATGAGAAGATAGATTAAAGAAAGATCTGTGGCAATACCTGTTTCAGAAAGAATGGCATATTTAGATTTGGAGAACAAGCTTCAAAATGTGATTCAAACATCCATAAATTTTTGTCAAAAAATGTATTTCAAACATTTGTCTTTTTCTTGGTAAAATCAAACAAGATCTAAGAAAAATCAGAACTCTAAAAGTACAGAGGAAGTTGAAGTTGTACCTAGGAGAAATTATTAATCACCATTAGACACAGCTTTTGACAGAAAAAGTAAAATTATTAAAACTTTTATTGGACTCTTGTTCATACAATCAACTTATATTCAAAACATAATTCCAAAGTCACCCATGGAACTGTCAAGAGGATGTCTGTATATTTTGAAATTATAAAATATAGGTTATAAAATGAATATATATGAATATTCTTTTTGATACAATCAAAGGCAATTTTTGCTATAAATCTTTTGTGATTTTAGGAGGCAGTGAGAATTTGATATTTTAAGGCAATTACTAGAGAGACACTGAAATACAGCACTATCAGCAAAAGCAAATTTGAAAGATATTCTTACCTAAAGAGTCCTGGACACAAAAAGCTGCTTAATGCTTAATGGAAGTCTATTTTTTGGTTTTATACAGAAAGGAATGCTACTTTTACTGGTAAAATCAACTACAAAAGATGTTAAAAGACATAGCTCCTGATTCAAGAGAGTTTTTCTGTTATAATGTATGTACCTCCCAAAGTGCCTAGCCCATTTTAGATGGGACTCCTCATCGGTAAAGAATAGGTAAACCAAAGATCTCTTGTGAAGATTAAATGACATTAAGATATCATTATTTGAAGATTACATTTATAAGATATCAAGTTTTATGTGTCAATAAAATGAGGTTGCTCTGATTTGCAATGATTTTAGAAACCTCTACAAAAGAAGCACTTAGACAAACAACAGAAGTATGTCTAATAGAAATATGTCTGCTAAATACTTAATTTTAAATTTTCTAGTAGCCACATTACAAATTTTAAAAAAAGAAGTTTAAAAGTATAGTTTATTTAACCCAATACATCCAACATATGGTCGTTTCAAACAGTAATCAAGATACAAATTATTAATTTGATATTTTCCTTTGTTTGACAAGTTTTTGAAACCTGGTATATATATTATGCTTACTGAACATCTTAATTCACACTAGTCTTATTTCACGTTCTCAATAGCCATATATATCTAGTAGCTAAATAATGGATTGTGCAGACTTAGATATTGATAAATGTTAGTATTACCTGTCTTGTAGCAAGGACAATCTATCAATACAGTTCACAACAGGTTCATTATTCCATCCTTCCTGGCACTCCAATGTCTTTTCTCTTGCCCCTCCTCAGTCCTGCCCCTTGAAGTCCTCAATCATTGCACCATTATTTGTTCATAATCTACTACATTACAGACAATGTTCTCGTCATTGAAGAAACAACAGAAAACAATACAAATAAGTCCTCTGTCATCATCACCCTATATTCTACTGGCTACATCACTTTCTGTATCAATTAGTGATGGTCAGAGGTACAGAACCACTGTTAATGATATGGAATAAGGTATTGATTACAAAGATTAGGCCTTACTCAATGACGAGAACTAGTTAAGTGGCCTATGTAAATCAGCTGTTTCTGCATCTAGTGTTTGCCCTGAAGTCAGCAGAGCTTATAGTAAAGAAGGAAAGATGATATTAATTGGGGTAGATTTGATCATTACACATTGTATGCTTGTATCAAAATATCATCTTTAGCCCATAAATATGTGCAACTATTACATATCCACAAAAAGTGAAAATAAAAATTAAAAACTGAAATCAAGAAATTTACTTGAAACCTCATCTGCCTCTTGCTGGTATTAATCCTGATGCTGTGAGTGGTGGATAGACTAGCACCATCTGCTACAGAGCAATGAAGGGTACCTGGACCAAGACTCAGAATCTATGAAAAAAAAATATCAGGCAGGAGCTGGAGGAACTTTGGTCTGTCTGCTGCCCCATGTCCACAATACAAACACATCATCAGCAAATACCTGCATGAACAGTGGCAGTACCCATCTTATAACAATTTTTAGTATGTACCCGTGTTTGCCCCTTGACTTCTGCCTTCCAGTTCTGCACAAATTCCCCTTGTGGCCAGTTTCAACGCAGGATCATAAAGGAATGAAAATACAATGAAAAAGAATTTTAGCTTAGCTAATTTGACGTGGTAAAAATCCACCATAATATCTACCTCATGGGGTATTCCTGATATCCTCTTTACAAATATTGATATTTATTTTTCTCTATTTCATTTGATATGGTGTAATGAAAGTTTTGTCAAAGAAGCTTGACTATCTAATCAAAATGTCAGAAAAGTAAGCAGTTTGCAAAAACCAGGTTTACGTGTACTAATCTGCATATTTTTTAATACTACTTTACATGTCCAAGAATGCTGAAGTTAGTAATAGGGCTTCCTTTAAATTGACACACAGAAGAGGTGTTCCACTTACATGAATGATCTAGATATATTGAGGTTACCCCATTAAACTCATAAAAATTAATCTGTTTAGTGAAAGCATCATTATTTTAGTAGTCAATTCTGTGCTAAAGTCGTTGATGTCTCCAAAAGATCACAGTCATTTTCCATTGCCATTTAATAATGACAAGGTACTTTTGAAATTAAGTCAAAGATGGTGAAATTATTAACTTAAAAATTATTTCTATACAGCTGCTTAGAAAGTCACTGAAAAGAACAGGAAATAAGTAATACCTAAGCTGGCCAAGAAGCAATCCAAACACATTAGGAAATAATGCATTTACTGATCTCTACTTGTCTACAATACATAACAAATGAAAACATCTAAAACAAGAGCTATGCTCACTTAATTAAATTTACAATTTTTGTCATACATTGCAACTTGCTTTCTTAATATGCATTTTAACTATCTCAACCCAACTTTTAACAGTCCCTTTCTTTTCATTTCAACAGTGATAAATAATCAGTCTACAATTTTTGCTGCCGTCAATGTATCAACCTCTATGGATTTTTCCTTACTTATCTTCAAGTAAATCTTTGGCAGGCAAGGAAATTTGATTACTGTAATTCAGGGGAAACTTCTGTACATTCATGAATAGACCCCTAGTGACAATGCAAAGGACTTTTTATCTTCTTTCAAATCATGGGCTTTGTCACATCTATCTGGGTTGCTCAGATATATATTTCACTTAATTTGCTTTCTCTTTCTGTATTCAGAAAATGATATATTACCAGATTAATTAACTCAGAATAAGTTGGGGATTAATTTATGTATACATGTAGAATTTATGTTTAATTATATTGTCACTAGTGATTTTGCTAGTCTTGGTTTCTGTTGTTAACTACGACAATTCTAAATGCTTTTATTGCCTATCATAAAATAGCTATTTGGAACAAATTCCAATGATACCACTGGCAAAACTCTATGGAAAATTACTTCCAATTCAGTGTTTCATTTCTTATGCTTTCCTCTTATTTAATTCTTCCTGAAATGAATGTTTTTTTCACTTACAATCTGAGACATGATGAAATGTTAATAAGAGTTATTTCCTAAGATTACTGGAGACATTTCAATTTGAGTTACTTATTTGAAGGTGATATATTAATGACCTACATAAATACTTTTGATTTTTAACTACTGATGAAACTATATTGTATGAAATTAACTTAGTGCTGATAACATCATCTCCTGAATTCTGAAAAAGGGGATGCTAATTACAACTTTTCAATTCCTTTTGTTTAGTGATTTTTCACTTTTTATCTTCTTAAATTCATGTTTTATGACACTCCATTGCAATCAAATATAAGATGTTTTAGTTATAAAACATACTATTTATTGAGCATTTATGCTGTGGTTGTTACTACACATGAAATATCTTATGTCCTCTCAATTAATCAAGATAAGTAGTGGTATCTATCTCTCTTTTTATCTACATAGAAACTGAGGTTCAAAAAGTTATGTAACTTGCCCTAGATTACACAGCTGTATGAGTCATAGCAAGAAATTTAATCTAGCTCAGTTTGAATCCAGACTATGTGCTCTTTCCTCTCCAGCATATTGTGCTGTTTTTGTCAAAAAAGAAACTCAAGAGGATATACTACATATATTTTTATACAGATACAAAAAATAAATATGTGCCTCCAAATAACATGCACATGGGAACACTTATTATGAAAAAGAGGTATAACTGTTTGATTTATGTCAAAGAGTTTTGTGAAGTTGATATATGTGATCAGTTTTGTATTTCATAAAGAACTGTCTAAACAACAAGTTTCAAAATTATTTAGCAGCTAAGGTGGAATAAATGAGTGGAAAAGAACACAGCCTCTGCCTGTGTTTCTGATTTGGTAGTTAAGAGGAAATAAAGAGAGAAATATAAGACTTAGAATTTTTATGACTCTGAGAATTTTGACAATGAGAAATCATTGGAAAATTGATACTTTATTTATTTATTATTTTGCATCAGGGTCTTGCTCTGTTGCCCAGGATGGAGAACAGTGGCATAATCATGACTTACTATAGCTACAACCTCTTAGGCTCCAGTGATCCTCCTGCCTCAGCCTCCCATGTAGCTGGGACTACAGGCATGCATCACCATGCCTGGCTTACTTTTTTATTTTTTGTAGACATGAAATTTTGTTATGTTGCCCAAGCTGGTCTCAAACTCCTGGCTTCAAGGTATCTGCCTGCCCTGGCCTCCCAAAGTGCTGAAATTACAAGTGTGAGGTGCTATGCCTAGCCTGAAAAAAAGTATATTTATATACAGCAGAAAGTTTATTATTTATCTAATAATGATTCAAAAATATCAAAATGTTTTATTTAACCTACAGAATACTTTTATAAGATGTATTTTATACATGTAGTATCTTCTCATATCACTGGTGTACAGTTATTTTTTTCTGTTCTCTAATCTTTGGTAATACCACCTACAATTGAAAGTCATATATTTTGTTGATGTCTCCAGACAGATAAATTCAGAAGTGTCAATTTATTACTGACTTTTTAATCTTCCTTGCATTTTCTCCAAAACTCTTCCATTTTTGTTTTTATTAACTCAGAATTCTAAGTTTATCAGAATAATTTAAATTGGTTGCTAAGTCTTCTTTAAGTATTGAGGTACAGATGGAAATATCATGGAAGTTATTTGAATTTTCAAAATCCTTTTAGTGCTTTTAGGTAAAAACATATTGAATAATATATGCAATTAAAACAGACATACAATAAAAATTATTCCACATCTATTAGTTGCTAGAAACAGTAGGGTTTGATAATACAGGTATTTATACCATTGGCCAAGGTACAATGTGACAGTATATTGTGGGGTATAACAGATTAATGTACGACTTTGGGCAGATTATTTAACCTCTCTGTACCTCAGTTTTATCATCTACAAAATGAAAGTACTAATGTGATTTTCACTACATTGTGGTGAATATCGGAAGTCTTAGTCCTTGTAAAGTCCTGAGAATAGTGTCCAGTATTTAGTAAGGAAATGGTCCAGAGGCAATTTCTCAACCACAGTACAAAACTGGAACATAAATTAAGGCTGACAGTCTCTTTGAATTGCTGAGACAAAGATTGAATATAATATGTGAGACAGAATATTCCGTGAGAGGAATCTGCACAGGGAGAAATTTCCAGAGATCTCAATAAAGATATTTTCAAGCCTTTGGCTGAGTACTATTACGAATATGCATTAGAGGAAACTTCCTAAGATTGAGGAAAGAATCAAAGAAGAGTAGAATGAACAATTCATGCATCCCATACGGTGTTGAGAATAGTTGTGTTCTCACCAACCAGAATGGAAAGACCTCATAATACATGGCGCACTGAGTAGAGTCCTAAGAAGTGAATGACCTTAGTGGTGGAGCTAACGTGACGTTCAATTAATGCTAAATTCAACATTTACATAACACAACCACTTAAAATAATAAAACCAAATTTGGAATGTCAAAATGTAAAATTTACTGGGTTTGACATCCAATGTAAAATTATTAGGAATTCAAGAAAGGCATTCAAAGTTATAATGCGTAGTGAAGAGAACAACAAGAGAAATAAAACAAAAATGAAAAGTTGATGGAATTAGCAGACAAGAGTGTTTAAATAATTACTATAAATATGTTCACATGTGCAAAAGACAGGCAACACATTTAAGGATAAGAAGACAAGTTGAATATATAAAAGATGACTCAGATAAGACTGAACAAAGTAAAAATAAAATATTTTTAATGAAAAAAAAAACACCAGTATGAGTTGACAGCAGATTAATACCACAAAGAAAAAAAAATGACTGAACTTCAAGATAGTACCTGTATTAGTCTATTCTCATGCTGCTAATAAAGACATACTCAAGACTGGGTAATTTATAAAGGAAGGAGGTTTAATTGACTCACAGTTCCACATGGCTGGGGAAGTCTCAAAGTCATGAAGGAAAGGGAAAGAGGAGCAAAGTCATGTCTTACGTGGCAGCAGGCAAAAAGAGGAGATGTGCAGGGGAACTCCCCTTTATTGATTGTTTATAAAACAATCAATCTCATGAGACTAATTCACTATCATGAGAATAGCATGGGAAAAACCTGTCCCCATTATTCAATTACCTCCCACTGGGTCCCTTCCATGATATGTGGGGATTATTACAATTCAAGGTGAGATTCAAGTGGGGAGACAGATCCAAACCATATCATTCTGCCCCTGGCCCCTCCCAAATCTCATGTCCTCATATTTCAAAGCCAATCTTGCCTTCTCAATAATTCCTCAAAGTCTTAACTCATTTCAGAAGTAACTCAGAGGTCCACAGTCCAAAGTCTCATCTGAGACAAGCCAAGTCCCTTCCACCTATGAGCCTGTAAAATCAAAAGCAAGTTAGTTGCTTCCTAAATACAATGGGGATACAGGCATTGGGTAAATACACCCATTCTTAATGGGAGAAATTGGCCAAAACAAAGGGGCTACAGGCCCCATGCAAGTACAAAATCCAACGGGGCTTCCAAATCTTAAAAGTACTAAATGATCTCCTTTGACTCCATGTCTCACATGGAGGTCACGCTGATGCAAGAGGTGAGTTCCCATGGTCTTGGGCAGCTCCACCCCTGTGGCCTTGCAGGGTACAGCCTCCCTCCTGGCTGCTTTCACAGGCTGGCACTGGGTGTCTGCAGCTTTTCCAGGTGCACAGTGCAAGCTGTTGGTGGATCTACCGTTCCAGGGTCTGCAAGATGATGGCCCCCTTCTCACAGCTCCACTATGTAGTACTCCAGTGGGGACTCTGTATGGGGGCTCTAACCCCAATTTCCCTTTTGCACTGCCCTAGCAGAGGTTCTTTATGAGGGTCCCACCCCTACACAAACTTCTGCCTGCACATTTAGGCATTTCCATACATCCTCTGAAATCTAGGTGGAGGTTCCCAAATCTCAATTCTTGACTTCTGTGCACCCACAGGCTCAACACCACGTGAAAGCTGTCAAAGATTGGGCTTGCACCCTCTGAAGCCACTTTTCTCCCTCACTTCCGTGACTTCAGGATGGAGCTGGGGCCCATGTGAAAAAAGCAAGTGAGCAGGGGGAGAGTTCAGCAGTGGTAAATGGCAGCTGAGCAGGAGAGCGTGTATATGAAGTCAGAGACTGATAAAGTAGAGACAATTGAGTAATTAGTAAATATGTTAAGGATTATGAGACCAAGGTTTCTGAAATTGGAGAAGATATTTAGAAAAATGAAAATGGGAGAGCAGAAACAAACCTTGATGTGTTAGATTTGAAAGCATCAGTGTAAACTCATGGTTATCAAATATGTATAGATATAGAAAAAATGCCAATGGAAAACATATTTTTTGTGTGTGTTTGCATGTTTGTATGTGTGAGTATACATTGTGTGTGTGTGTGTGTGTGTGTGTGTGTGTGTGTGTGTATTTTTTTCCTGGCTTTGTTTATCAAGAGAGATTAGGAATAGCAACACTCCAGGAACAATGAGTACACCTAGTACCAAGAACTCGGTTTCTAAATACCATTCTCCCTGGAAAGGAAGCAGAGTTTCTTAGAGAAATGACTGATTCTAGGGATGTGTAGGCAAAATACAAGATCAGCCAGAAACATGTTAATGTGACATAAATTAAGGAAATGCTACAAAACTGATGGAAGCCTGTCAAAAAGAATATAACTCAACTTTAATGAACCATACTTTCCATGCCTGAGTAATATGAGCATCTAAGTTAATAATTTCCATGGATTTTATCACACTGAACATTTAGCAATATTTAGTAATCCATGAAATTATATGATATAAATAGATGAAGGGATGAATGAAGAAAAGTTCTTACAATAGAATGCTAATTAATAAAATGCTAATTAATGTAAAGGAAATTAGATAATTATAAAAATCACCATTCGGGAGCCATCATAACAATATCATTCTCAGGCAAGATTATTCACTGAACTAGGAGTTGAACTTTGATGAACAAGAAGGTGAAAATAGGACACATAATGATAAGTTTATATAATGCAGGACTATCTCTACATAGTTATTATACATAGAAAAATAGAAATCTTACCGTGAGGAAACTGACAGACACCTGTGAGTCAAGGAAAGACTAAGAGATGATTCTACAGATGAGTAAATAAGTATATATGGTAAGCATAGTGAAGCCAGGTTTCTCAAGTTAGAGAGGGCATTTACAAATATGAAAAAGAAGATATGAACCTTGAGGTTTTGGATCAGAACTGGTGGTGTCAGTGTGACGTCATGGCATTCAATCAATTGATCGATAACTAGATGGATAGCTAGATTGATAGATATAGAAAAACAGAAGGATGACAGAATGATTGATAGAGTAATAGATATTGAAGGAGTCTAAGGAGATATGACAATTAAGTGCAATGAATGATCCTGGAATTGGATTATTTTTCAAAAAATAGACATAATTGGAACAGTTGGCAAATAGGAATGGGATATTGGATGAAAGGAATATGGACTTTCTGAAAAGTAATAATTATCTCAAAATAAAGTTTTTAAAAATTATAAAAAATTTTACACAGGATAAATACTTTGTACGTTATAATTTGAAATAGGCCAATATATCCAACTTAGTGTGTCTTACAATACAGTTTTCTATTTTACTATGTAATTACATGTTCTAATTATACAACTAATTCCTGTAAGCATACTTATATAATTAAATGATATAATTACTGAGAGTAATTGCATAATTATTGTAATGACATAATTATAATAACTACTCAATTGCAAAACATTCAATGCACAAGTAAAACAACCAAATTAATTGCTTTAATGAAATAGCTCCCTAAAACTTATTTTGAATTTCAAACAAAATTTTTGTTTAGAGTTTAACCATAGCACATTCCTAAAACCATAAAATATGAATTTTATATATCTTTAGTTCTTTATATTTATCTACCATTTGAAAGATACAGACTTATTCAATCAAAATATTGTTCATTATTGTTATTAAATATTTGGAATGAATCAATTTTCTAAAATGTATAAATCTATTGTGTTCATTATTTTCTAACATTTATTTCTAAGTAATTGAATGGAAACATGGAGATGTTATGAAAGGAAACAATTTTGGTGATTTTTTCTTGGTAGTTCTTACCAAATAAATTTTCATGTAACTAAACTTTCTTAAATACTTTTTACTGATCTCAGGGCAAATAAGAAATCCTCAGCATTATGCAAAATAGATCAAACTTTTACACTGGATAATTCATTATATAAATGACCAAGATGAATGTTCTGAGAAGATTGCTCGACATGACATGCTGATTCTAAATTTTAAATTTTTGATTTGGATTAACATCTGAATGTGTATGTGACCCTCAAGTAACTGAATATTTTTTCACCTTTGTAAAACCAAAAATATGTCTTGTTTAGTTTGTCAGTGCCTTCCTTTGGGTAGCACTCCCTGAAAAGTGTTTTGTAGCGTTAGCATTGGGATAGCAAATGCTAAATATAGCCATAAAAATTCCAGCTTCCCCTTTTTATTTCTCTAGTATTTGTCTTTTTGTTTAATTTTTAGGGAAAAAATACTTTGTCTTTTTTACGTACATTTAGGACATTTGGGCAGAGGTATTTTTTTTTTCCCTTTGAGTCCAGAAAGCCTTTAGTTCTTAGCAAGTTCTTAGCAAGGAACAGGGTGGAGCAATCAGCGATATTTATTTGCATGAGAAATGGTTTGATACGAAAAAGAGACAGCTTTAGTATTCCTGACCTCAGAACACATGGACAACTGCTCTCTGCCAGTATTTGCATTTTGACAATTTAAAGAGTCATGACATCAAAACTTTTCTCTTCCTTATCGTAATGAGAGCCTTGAACTTCCATGATATTAGGCTTTAGTTTCAATTCTGAAAAAAACAATTACTTGTATGTAATTTTTTTAATTAAATGACTGTTATAATCTATATTAAAATTCCAGTCAAATTATTTGCTTGAAAGTTTGAAATTTGGGGTGAAATTTACATGTCATAAAATTAACCATTTCATTTCTAATTCAAAGAGCTTTGTATAATAAAGCCATACTAATGAACTCAATAGGAAAAGACTAATACTATTAAACAAAACTTAAATAATTCATTGTAGAAACTAGGCATAATACAGCAAGAAAAATAAATTCTAACTGCTGAAAATATGTTACTTTTTCTTATGCCAATGCATAGTTCTTAAATCATAGTGACAGTTTTTCCTCTCTTTTGTTGGAATACATGACAGCTATGCATATACCAGAACAGGTGCAAAAGATAAATGCTTTCCTATTAAAGCCAAGAATATCAGCATTCAATGTGCAATGGTGGGTTGACCGCCATCATTTTTGCTTAAGATATCTCCAGGAAAAGTTATTGCCAGATCTTATGACTACACTATCAACTTATTGTCATCTCAAATTATTATTCTTCAAAGGCAGTCAGCTGAGTTACACTTTATATACATATATATTTCAATAGCTTTTAAAATACAAGTGGTGTTTGGTTAATGGATGAATTGTGCAGGGGTGAAATCTGTGAGATTTTAGTGCACCCATCACCCAAGCAGTGTACATTGTTCCCAATATGTAGATTTTTTTGTCCCTCCCTCCCTTTCCACTCTCCCCTTTCTCAGTCTCCCAAGTTTATTCATCACTCTGTATGCCTTTGCATACCCATAGCTTAGCTCCTACTTATAAGTGAGAACATATGGTTTTTGGTTTAACATTCTTGAGTTACTTCATTTAGAAAAATGACCTCCAGCTCCATCTAAGTTGCTGCAAAACACATTATTTCATTCTTTTTTACACCTGAGTAGTAGTTCATGTGGTATATATATCACATTTTCTTTATGCACTCATCGGTCGACGGGCACTTGGGTTGATTCCCTATGCTTGCAATTGTGAATTGTGCTACAATAAACATATGCATGCAGGTATCTTTTTGATATATTGACTTCTTTTCCTTTCGATAGATACCCAGCTGTGGGATTGCTGAATCGAATGGTAGTCTACTTTTTAGTTATTTAAGAATTCTACATACTGTTGGGCCAGGCGCAGTGGCTCACGCCTGTAATCCCAGCACTTTGGGAGGCCAAGGCGGGCGGATCACAAGGTTAGGAGATCGAGACCATCCTGGCTAGCACGGTGAAATCCCGTCTCTTACTAAAAAAATACAAAAAATTAGCTGGCCGTGGTGGCGGGCGCCTGTAGTCCCAGCTACTCAGGAGGCTGAGGCAGGAGAATGGCGTGAACCCGGGAAGCAGAGCTTGCAGTGAGCCGAGATCACGCCACTGCACTCCAGCCTGGGCGATGGAGCGAGACACCATCTCAAAAACAAAATAAACCAAAAAAAAAAAAAAAAAAAAAAAAAGAATTCTACATACTGTTTTCCATAGAGGTTTTACTAATTTACATTGCCACTAGCAATGCACCAACATTCCCTTTTCACCACATCCATGCCAACATCTACTTTTTAATAATGGCTGTCCTGCAAAGTAAGACGGTATCTCATTGTATTATAGTTTTCATTTGCATTTCCCTAATGATTAGTGATGTTGAGCAGTTTTTCTTGTTTTTGGACATTTGTATATCTTCTTTTAAGAAATGTCTATTCACGTCATTTGCCCACTTTTTGATGGGATTTTTTTTTTTTGATGATTTGTTTCAGTTCCTTGTAGATTCTGGATATTAGTCCTTTGTCGGATGCATATTTACAAATATTTCTCCCACTCTGTGGGTTGTCTATTTCCTTTGATGATTATTTCTTTCCTGTGAAGAAGCTTTTTAGTTTAATTAGGTCCCATTTATTTATTTTTGTTTTTGTTGCATTTGCTTTGTGGGTCTTAGTCATGAATTCTTTGCCTAGGCCAAAGTCCAGAAGATTTTTTCCTAGGTAATATTCTAGAGTTTTTATTTTTTCAGGTCTTAAATTTAAGTCTTTAATTCATCTTGAGTTGATTTTTGTATAAATTGAAAGAGAGGGATCCAGTTTCATTCTTCCACATCTGGCTATTCAGTTTTCCCAGCACTATTTATTAAATAGGGTGTCCTTTCCCCAGTTTATGTTGTCATATGCTTTGTCCAAGATCAGGTTGTTGTAAATATTTGGCTTTATTTCTGGGTTCTCTATTTTGTTCCATTGGTCCATATGTCTACTTTTATACCAGTGCCATGCTGTTTTGGTAACTATAACCTTGTAGTATAAGTTGAAATTTGGCAATGTGATGCCTCCAGATTTGTTCTTTTTACTTAGGATTGCTTTGGTTATTTGCGCTCTTTTTTGGTTCCATATGAATTTTAGGATTTTTTTCCAATTCCATGGTAAATGATGTTGGTATTTTGATAAGAATTGCACTGAAACTGTAGATGGCTTTGGGCAGTATGGTAATTTTCACAATATTGATTCTTCCAATCCGTGAGCATAGGATGTGCTTCCATTTGTTTGTGTCTTCAATGATTTCTTTCAGCAATGTTTTAATTCTCTTTGTAGAGATCTTTCACCTTCTTGATTAAATCTATACCTAGGTATGGTATTTTTGTGCAGGTGTTGTAAAAGAGGTTGAATTCTTAATGTGATTCTCAGCTTGGTTTTTGTTGGTGTATAAAAGTGCTATGGATTTGACACATCGATTTTGTAACCCGAGACTTTAGGGGTGAATTTGTTTATCAAATCTAGGAGTCTTTTGGAAGTCTTTAGGATTTTCTAGATGTACACTCATATCATTGGTGAACAGCACTAGTTTGACTTTCTCTTTTCCAATTTATGCCTTTTATTTCCTTCTCTTGACTGGTTGCTCTAGCTAGGACTTCCAGTATTATGTTGAATAGGTGTGGTGAAAGTGCACATCCTTGTCTTGTTCCAGTTCTCAAAAGGAATACTTTCAATTTTTCCCCATTCAGTATGATGTTGGCTGTGGATTTGTTATACATGGCTTTCATTATTTTGAGTTAAGTCCCTTCTTACCTGTGGACTTATTATACGTGGTCTTCATTATTTTGAGGTAAGTCCTTTCTTTGTTGAGGCTTTTATAATAGAGGATGCTGGATTTCAATGAATATTTTTGCTGCATCTATTGAGATAATCATATTGTTTCTGTTTTAAATTCTGTTTATGCGATGCATCACACTTGTTTTCTTGTATATGTTCAACCATCCTTGCATTCCCAGGATGAAACCTAGTTGATCACTGTATATTATCTTTTTGATGTGCTGTTGGATTTGGTTAGCTAGTATTTTGTTGAGGGTTTTTGCATCCATCTTGAGAGATATTGATCTATAGTTTTCTTTTTTTGTTATGTCCTTTCCTGGTTTTGGTATCAGGTGATATTGACTTAATAGAATGAGTTAGGGAGATTTGTCTCTTTCTCCATCTTCTGGAATAATTTCAGCAAAATTGGTACTATTTTAACGTAAACTATTCAATGGCATTCAGTACATTTACAATGTTGTACCACTACCACCTCTACATCCAAAACATTTTCATCCCCCTTCAGAACAGTGCAGTACACACTAGGCAGTTATGCCTTGATCCCTTGGAAACTACTAATCTGCTTTCTGTTCTGTATACTTCATATAAATGGAATCAAACAATATATAACTTTATGTGTGGCTATTCACTTAGCATAACGTTTTCAAGGTTTGTCCATATTAGAGCTTGCATCAGTACTTCATTCCTTTTTATATTTGCAGGATATTCCACTGTTTTGCATATGATAAAATTTGCTTATCTTTTTATCTATGATGAACATTTTTTTCTATGTTTTGGCTATTGGAAATAGTTAACAGGGTTGATTTTTTAAAAATGTATATTAGGTCTCAACAATTTATAGATTTTTAAACATTTCTTCTATCAGTACAGTAGAGCCTATCTTCTAAATACAATGTCTTTTAGAAAACCTATTTTAATCTTGTAGGATGTTTTCATTTATTTTTTATAATGCAATATCTGTAGGACTTTCACAATTTATTTGTATAATACCTTATTTGTACTGTTAACAAAGTTGGACGAACACTGGACAGAAAAATCAGCAGTCTCTGTATTGATGCATTTGTAACATTCCGCTTCAATTCCAACAGTTAAAAAAATACATATTCACATCTTGTAAGGCTAGTCCATAACCACTACTCTTCCTTTTCATAACTTTCTTACATATTAGTCAGTCTTACCGGTTTACTTTTCCATAATAACTTTGAAATAAAGTTTTCATCCCTTTTTTAATTCTATCCCCAACCCCTCTTATGAAAAATATAGTTATTAACATTTTATAGATATCGCAATAAATTTATAGATAATTTTTAATCGGAAGTTTCATAGTATTGAATATTATAAAATCATACATGTTTATAAGTAAATACATAGCACAAATTTATTGTTAGGTTCACTGCTAGTTATTCTGTCATTTGGTTGCTCATATAAATAAGGTATTTTTGCTATCATATCTCTTAATTGGTTGTTTTTAAAGTGGAAATTTATTGTCTTCATATATCATGAAATCTAGCCAACTTAGAGAATTCCCCCATTGTTTTAATGTTAATTCTATAGGTATTAATGTTAATTAAATATTAATAATGAGTTGACCCATGGATTTTCCACAATACTTTTATCTTTTAACATTTACTGTTAATATTATTTAAAATAATATTTACATATTTTTCATATCGAGTCATTCTTAATTTAGAAATAAAATCTTCTTGGTCATGATGTGTTACTCTTATTATATGTGGGTAGATTCTGTTTGTATAATATTCTTAAGATTGGCCTGCATCTTTGTGTGTGTGCATTTTTCTGAAGTCATAAAACGTGGAATTTTTCCTAATTCTTTCATGCTCCATAACTTTTAAAAGCATTAGAATTGTAGGTTTCATAAAGGTTTTTTGTGAGAATTACTCCCACGAAATCATCAGGGTTTATTGCTTTTTTTTTTTTTTTTTTTTTTTAAGACGGAGTCTCACTCTGTTGCCCACTACAACCTCCACCTGCTGGGTTCAAGCGATTCTCCTGGCTCGGCCTCTGGAGTAGCTGGGATTACAGGTGCCCGCCACTACGTCCAGCTAATTTTTTGTATTTTTAGTAGAGATGGGGTTTCACCATGTTGGCCAGGCTGGTCTCGAACTCCTGACCTCGTGATTCACCGGCCTCGGCCTCCCAAAGTGCTGGGATTACAGGCGTGAGCCACCACGCCCCACCTATTGCATTATTTTTAGAGGGTATATAGTTCTTTGACACTTTCTCCAATTCTGCTATGAATATTCACTTTTTCTCTCTTCTGAAGTGAAGCTTATAAAAATACATTTTTCTAGAAAAAAATTTCATCATTTTTCAAAATTATTTTTACAGAGTTGAACAAAGAAATTTTTTTATTTTTATTCCTCTTTATTTGCAGTTATTTCAAAATATCATTCTAATTTTAAATATATTTTCTTGTGTTCTTATTTTTTCTCAATGAGCTTAGTTAATAGTCTATTTTGTCCTTTCCAGAGGACTTTGGATATAATTAGAATTCTAGTTGCTATTTTTTCTAATTTATTGATTCCTTTTTGTATGTCCATGAATCTGAGTAATGGATCCCAAATAGATCCATGTCTTAATCTCTAAATATATTAGGCAAAGAATTGAATAGTAAATATATTAGGCTCTAAATATATTAGGCTAAGCAATTAAATAGTAAATATATTAGGCTAAGCAAGTAAGAGGAATTAAGGTTACAGATAGAATTAAGGTTGCTGATCATCTAAAATAGGGTAATTTTCCTAGATTTTTCAGGTGGGCCCAGTCACAATGACCCATAAAAGTAGAAGAGAGAGGCATAGGAGAAGAGACAGAAGGTGATGTGACTAAAGAATAGTGGAAGAGGCTGGGCGTGGTGGCTCAAGCCTGTAATCCCAGCACTTCCGGAGGCAGAGGTGCGCAGATCACCTGAGGTTGGGAATTTGAGAGGAGCCTGGCCAACATGGTGAAACCTCATTTCTACTAAAACTAAAAAAAACAGCCAGACGCCGTGGCAGGCGCCTGTAATCTTAGCTACTCGGGAAGCTGAGGCAGGAGCATCACTTGAACTTGGGAGGCAGAGGTTGCAGTGAGCTGAGATTGTGCCATTGCTCTCCAGCCTGGGGAACAGAGGGAGACTCTGTCTCAAACAACAACAACAACAACAACAACAAACAAACAAACAAACAATAGTGGAAGAGATGTGATGGTGATTACCTTGAAGATAGTGGAAGGGGCTGTATTGCAAGGAATGTGGCAGCATCTGGGATCTGGAAGAACGAAGAAAATAAGATATGTCCTAGAGCCTCCAAAGAAACAAAAAGGCATCCCGCTGACACCTTGATTTCAGCCCAAGGGAACTGATTTTGCATGCTAACCATCAGAACTGTAAAAAATAAAATTCTATTATTTAAGCCATTACATTTATACAGCAGCAATATAGAACTAATCTATGTATTAATTCCATCTGCTTTCCTTAGAAAGCCTTTAAAATATTTTTCGAACTAATTAAATAGATGCTAATTATTGTATTATTTGTAATTTTTCTTTTCTAACATATGCCTTTAAAAACTTTACATTATCTTTCAGGGAAAGCCTTTGCTGTATTTCCAAAGTGTCTTGATATGTATTATTAATATGTATTACCAATATGTGTTACCAATACAGCATTATTTTTTAGATATTCTATCATTTTGATTTGGATTCCTCATTGCTTAAGAGAAGCAATGATTTCCATTGTTTAAAAGGAAAATATATTTTGTAATTTTTGAGGTGGTAGCATTTTCTTCCTTTCTGGTTTGGTTATTAAATTCTAATTTCTTATATTTTAAAAAAATTGATAAAATCTATTTCTAATTTGTTTTGCAATACTTGACATATTATTGGCAGTCTGTGTAACCACCAAGTCATAATCTATGTAGGACTGCATAACAAATTTTAAAGATATAGTGTGTGTATATACATATAGAGAGAATGGTAACATATATTTAGTTTTATATATACATTATATATATATCAACTTGATCTACATTATTTTATCTATTCTTCATTGTTCTCTGTAGGTCTTTATCTTTTATTTTTATTTTTTAAGAGCCAGAGTTTTGCTCTGTGGCCCAGGCTGGAGTGCGGTGGTGTGGTAATGGCTCACCGTAGCCTTGAACTCCTGGGCTCACGTGAACTTGCTCCCTCAGCCTCCCAAAGTGCTTGGTTTACAGACATGAGCCACCATGCTCAGCCCTATATCTTTACCTTTTTTGGTCTAGTTGTTCAGTAGGAGTCTGAAGCAACAGAATTAAAACATACAAATGTTGTGATCTTTATCAACATTTTATTTTCTGTTCAATCTTCTCACACAGATGGCACTTAGATTTATGAGTAGTTGAAATGTGCCTTTCACAATGTTGTTATATTGCAGGGAAGACAGAATTCTCAGATACTCAGGATTATCACGGCCCTTTGGCTACTGAAAAATATTTCTATATTTCTGAAAAATGTTTCTACTAGCCTACTGGCATTTATTCCTGAAGTCTACTGTTGGAACAGCTTGGGATCAGGCTCCGTACAATTTGGAAAGTGCATCTTTGCTCCACACTACTAAATTCTTTCTCTAGAATTCATCACTTACCCTGTCTGGACTGGCTTTGACTTACACCCTCAACCTCAGTCATTGCATCATTTCTTTGCCCAATGACAGTTATGCTGACTCTAAACCCAATCATCTCCACCTGATGAAGGACCTCTAGTGTAGTTTCACATTTGTAAGTATATTGTATAGTCTTCAGCTATTTCTTCAGCTAGTATACACAGAGTAATGTTAAAAATCAGAGGTCTTAGTATGAGAATGAAGCCTTTGTCTTCTTTCTTATTTTAATGTGAGTATACCTAACATACCTATGAAGCATGATGTTGGTTTTTGGTTTGCACAATTTGTCATGTTAAGAAAGTACCCATTAATTTTAACATGACTAAGAGAATAAACGGCTAAGAAAAAGCAGAGGGTAGAAGTGGGAGATGATCCTGACTTTACTAGAATATAATTGTACTATAATATCTGCTGGTGGTCAAATCTCATATCCTTTGTGGAAATAAATCCTCTTTCCACATTTTTTCTGTCTAATTCTGCTGCTCTACCAGAGGTCAAAATGGATCGAGGCCAGGAAGGGTTTCCAAACCTATACTTATCTGTGCTGTGATCTATACTAATTCCTCCAGGGCTCTAGGAAACCATTGTTTGATGCTGTCATATCCTATTTCTGTTGAATTTTACATCATTAATAAACCCAGCTACCAGAAAATTCAAATTGACCTATGAAGTTAGGTGATGTTTCCTAAATTGTTATGTTCAGATAGTCTGTGTTTAAAATTCAGATTTGAATTGCTGACTGCTAATTTAAAATGCCAGTTCTTAGCCTCATTTCGCATATACAAAATCATAATCTCCATGTATGAACTCCATGTATCCTCCTGTTTTTTAAAATGAAAAATAAAACAAAAGACCCATATGGTATTTAAGTACAAGACACATTGGAAAGCATTTGTTTAAATGGAATGATTTTATAAATGCTGCCTAATGAATCCTGTGTATGTATTTCCTAGAGCTATCCAGTGAAAGAAATTGTTCCGAAGATTCTAGAATCCCCTTTCCCATACAGAGACACTCATTTTCTCAACCATGATCTTCAGACAATAAAAAAAAAGAAATAAAAAAGACTAAACAAGGTGAAAGATAAGAGATATTGAGAATGTGCTCTTAACCCTACTAAAAAACTAAGTCACCATCGATCATGTAGGGATATATTTGGGATCATTTAACAGCTATCTGGCTTCCCACTATAACATATCTATTGTTGAATAAACACATAAGCTATTGTATTAAAATTATTATACTGGTTTTCACAGTATAAGCCTCAAAGAAACCATTCTAGTTGACATTTTTCTTCCATGACATAGAATTGTTTAGTATTTACAAAAAGAATCGTTAAAACCTGCCAACTTGCATCTTGACAATAAATTTTAAAACAAAATAAGCAATCATGTCAATGAGGCTTTTAATAACTGTTCATGATACAACAGAGCGTTTTAAATTATCATGAAGTAAGCACTTCATTTACATTTAACCAGGCGTGAATTGTATATTAATTAAACTGTCACAGTGAGAGATACATCATCATGTGTTAAAAACACAAACAGTTCTTAATTGGAATTCTTACACGGGCTTTAAAAGGGGACATAAAAATTGCATTTCAAGTTTGAATTGTTTTATCAAATGGGTGGTATAGTAGATTTAAAAGGCAAGATATTAAATCAGAACTTGACAAACCACCACCAAACCAGTCTGCTATCTGTTTTTGCAAATGAAATTTTACTGTAATATAGCTGCAGCCTTTCATTTGCACATTGTGTATGTCTGCTTTTACACCATGAGGCCAGAGTTGAACAGTTGCAACAGAGAGTGTCTGATCTGCAAAGACTAGAAAAATTGCTATTCAGTCCTCTTTAGGAAAAGTTTGCCATTCTCTGATTTAGATGGTTTCAGACCTTATTCTGATATATATATCTGTTCTTGGATAGTTTATTGAGCTTCTATTGCTTCTTAATGCAAAAAATGGGAATTAAATGAGCTAATATTTTTAAGTTCCTGGTAAATACAAGTTAATATTTTTAAGTTCCTGGTATATACAATATACTTATGCATTTTCTATAGCATTTCCTTATATATTATCTATAGCTACCTTTTTGTTTTTCAACTTACTTGATACTATTCAGATTTTTCCTACTGAAATTACCAAATATTATATAAATATTACACTTATACAATGAACCTGTATATGTTATATTTAGTAATTATTATATAATAGGCAATGACTTGGAGCCTAAGGATACAACTATGAACAAGAAAAGTGTAGTCCCTGTCTTAATGGAACTCATAGCCTAATAGAGGACAAAGACCATTTAAATAAGCAACTGCATCATCGCCTGTTAACTGACAGCAAAGACCGAGAACAGAAATGTGCAATAGGAGCACCAGGTAGTTGTGGCATTGTATTCATCTGCTAGGGCTTCCATCACAAAATACCACAGACTGAGTGGCTTTAAGCAACAGAAATGTATTTTCTCACAGGTATGGGGACCGGAAGTTTGAGATCGATGTGTTAGCAGAGTTAGTTCCTTTTGAAGACGGTGAGGAAAAGATCTACTTCAGGCCTCTTTCCTTGGCTTGTAGATGCCATCTTCTTTCTGTGTCTTCACATCATCTTCTCTTTGTATGTGGCTGTGTCCAAATTTTTACTTCTTAAAAGGACACTAGTCATATTGGATGAGGGATCCTTTAATAACTCCATTTTAACTTAAGCAAAAAAAAGACTGTAGGTCTGTAAAGACTCTACATTCGAATATGGTCATTCAAGGGGTAAAGGGAGGGTAATACTTCAGCATACGGAGTTTTGGAGGGACACAATTCAGCCCATACCATGGCACTATTGGGGATAAGGTAGAATTGCTCAAGGGAGTTATCCTGGAGGAGCTGAGGTGTGAGCTGGGATGCAAAGATGAATGGATGTTAACCCTTTGAAGGGGAAGGTGGTGCATTACCGGTGACTGTATGACAAGAGGTGGAGTTTAAAGACAGTATCTGACTCTCTAGGAAACTTCAGGATGTTTGGCAGTCATGGATTTTAGTTGGTGGGGTCCCTTGAGAGAATGCAAATCTTTGGGAGAGACAAGAAAAGAGTGACACTGACCATATTCTTCAAGTTCCAACTCATGTGCTGCTTGTTACTGGGACTTGGAAGATCTAAGTTCTATGCTTCCTTATCGATTCTGAGGATTTTTGTTAGATTAAAAAGTATCCTAAAAGATTTATTTTAAGAATTGTGCTTTCAGCATTGTATCTAAGAAAATGTTGTGTATCTCAAGTTCAAAAATATTTTCTTCCATATTTTTCCCTAGAAACTATGAAGTTTGGGGTTTGACATTTACATTTATGACCTATTTTGGTTTAATTTTTATATATGGCATGTGTATAGAGATCCATTATGTTGCATATAAATTTCAAGTTGTTGCTCCACTACTTGTAAAAAGATTATCTTTCTTCCTTGAATGGTCTTTGCATTTTTGTTAAAATCTATTGTCCATATATATGTGAGTCTATTTTTGGAAACTCTATTTTGATTCATTGATCCATATGTCTATCTTACACAAATATAAGACCACAAAGTTTATAGTAAGCCTTTAGGTCAGGTAATGTGAATTTTCCAACTTTGTTTTTAATTTTTCCGAATTATTTTAGCTCTTCTGATTTCTTGAGTTTTTAGTATAAATTTTAGAATCAGCATGTTGACTTCTACAAAAAAATTCTGCTAGGATTTTGATTAGGAATCTATTACATATATATTCCAATTTAAGAAGAATTGACATCTTAACAATATTACATCTTCCAATCCATGAACATAAAATGTATACTCACTTATTTTGGTCTTTTAAAATTAACGATTAAAGATTTTGTATTTTTTAGCCTACATGTCCTACTCTTATTGCACCATCTACATATCTAAGTAATTCTTATTTTGGTGTAAATTTAAATTGTACTAATCTGTAAATATCAATTTCTAATTGTTTATTACTAGTAAATAGAAATACAGCAGAATTTTGTATATTGATTTTTTATCCCACAAACTTGCTAAACCTCTTGGTCAATTACAGTAGGGTTTTTTGTTTTGTTTTGTTTTGTTTTTTCAGATTTCCCAGGATTTTTTATATAATCAGGTCAGCTGCAAACAGAGATAGAGCTATTTCTTCCTTTCAGATTTGTATGACTTTTATTTTTCTTGCCCTATTGCTCATAGCTTGAAATTAAATAGCAGTGATAAGATTTCACATCCTTTACTTGTTCCCAAATTTTGAGGGAAAGCATCTAGTCTATTACCAATATACATGATAGCTGTAATTTTTGTAGATGCCCTTTATCAGATTAAAGAGGTTTCCTTTTATTCTTAGGAAAAATATTGTTTATGAATGGATATGATTTTTTCACACTGAAATTATTTTTTTCTTACGAAAAAAGCTTGTTAATGTGAGTTATATTCTTAATTTTTGAATGTCAAACCTATTTTCTGGGTATTCCTTTTTATATATTGCCAGGTCTAATTTGCTTCTACTTGGTTGAAGATTTTTCTATCAATCTTAAAGAGAGATTATGGTCTGCCATTTTTCTTGTAATATCTTTTTATGGGTCTTGTTATTAGAGTAGTTCTGACTTTATAAAATAAGCCAGAAGTATAGTCTATTTTGGTGAATGTTTCACGTACAGTTTAAATATTGTGATTCCATTATTGATAGGTTGTGAATCATAGAAATATCACAGAGATCAATTTGGTTCACAGTGTTTTTTGGTTTTTTATGTCCTTCTTGATTTTATATCTATTTGTTCTATCAATTTCTGAGAGATTGATATTGGAATCTTCAATTATTGTTGTGGACTAATCTATTTCTTTTTTAGTTCTATCAGTTTTTGTCTTACTCATCTCTGCAAATAGAATTCACTGCCAGGTCTAAACATCCCAAAGCTATTTAACATATGTATTATAAAACCCTGCCTA
Source organism: Homo sapiens (assembly GCF_000001405.40). Taxonomy (NCBI): domain Eukaryota; kingdom Metazoa; phylum Chordata; class Mammalia; order Primates; family Hominidae; genus Homo; species Homo sapiens. The sequence goes on from NC_000018.10 coordinate 60,737,266, forward strand.
TACTTATGAAGCGTTTCCAAATACAATTTCAACAAAAGCCAAACTACTCAGATAGCATGGTTTTTCCTTTATAGGTTTTGGCATGTTCCTCAAATGACAGGGAAAACTCAAAGTTCTCTTTTCCAATGGACATACAGAATAAATTCTTTGAAAATAAACCTTCAGTAAATATGGACATATAATTGGCAACAGATCTAATATATTCATGTTTTGTGTTGTCTTAGTACTTTCTCTGATTTTATCATGATAAAAATTAACCACTGAGGAATATTGTAAAAGACTCTACAGTGAGGTAGAAAAAAATACATGTGTACCTTTACTGAGGAACATAACAATATATGTAAACATGAAGTGTTTTTCACATTCATTTAAACATTTCTAGTGGAAATAAACATGAAAACCCTTGGTATTTTAAAATCTTTTGGCTTTCACATCATGTCAGAGTTTGTTTTATTCAATGTCAGACCACTAAAAAGTGTGAAAATTACAGCTTTCTAAACCTGAGTTAATTTGACACAAAAATGATTTTACAAATGTTTTGTAATTATTTTATTCCATTACATGTTTATAAAAAGAGTGTAACTTAATGGAATACTATATAGCTAAAAAGAATTATGTAGCTATCATATTGCATGATTCTATTGTGCATAAGGTTATTAAAATATGAAATATTTCAATAGTAGTAGCATCAATATGCTGAACTCTACGCATTCACACTGTGCTATGCTTTTTAAAAAAATTCTTATTTTTCAAAGAATGTCAAAGATTTCAATCTGTGAATGCAGTTTGCCCTACTCTTCTTTGTTGCAAAGACAGAAGCATGAAAAATAGAAATATGAACTATAATCTACTGAAGAGATTGAAATATTTTGTATTCTAAACTAGTGTAGCTAGTGATTCATAACAGTAAGTAGGGATAGGTAAAAAGTCACATTTGAGACAAAATATTTGTGTGAAACTAGAAATTGCTTTCCCCATTTAGTCAATGACAAGAATTTCTGTATTTTTTAACTTATCTGGCCCTTTAGAAGATAGATGGTATAATTATTTGCTATGAAAATATCATATAACTCATACGTTAATAAAATAAACAAAGTAAGTTTAATAATAACCACTGCTTTTTCATCATTTTTTGAAAAAAAAGGATATACATTATTTTGTTATATCTTGCAGTGGTATTTACTAGATGTCTAAATGTCATAGTTGAAAAAATATGAATAAATTGAAAAAACTTAGCATAAATGTAAAGAGCATTAAGGAGATTATTGAACTGGTAGTCATATCTTTAAACGGATGGTCATGCCTGTTAGGATATCTCTTTTGGTACAGTCTTCATTGACATAAACTCTCAGAGTTAGATGGCTAGTTCTGCACACAATTAAACTATGCCTGGGTGTGTTTTATTTATAATCATCCAGCAAGAATGTGGTTGGTCATCAAATAGAACCTTTATTTTAATCACAAATATCCAAGACTATTCTAGAAAAGTAAGTGTTTAATGTCTCTTAGTGCTACATGGAGAACAAAAAATGATCAATTCTGGTTATTTTCCAGAAGTCAGAAAGTAGAAATTAGAGGGCTTTAGGGCAGCATGTACAAATAACAGGAAGGGACTAACATTGAGCAGCTACTGTGCTCATAAACACATACTATTTACGTGATATAATATCTTTGTGAAGAACCATCATCATGGACACAGTGAGGGGAACATCACACACCAGGGCCTGTCGGGGGGTCGGGGGCAAGGGGAAGGAGAGCATTAGGACAAAAACCTAATGCATGTGGGGCTTAAAACCTAGATGACGGGTTGATAGGTGCGGCAAACCACCATGGCACATGTATACCTATGAAACAAACCTGCACGTTCTGCACGTGTATGCCAGGACTTAAAGTAAAATAACAAATAAATAATAAAAATTTTAAAAAGGTAAATACGGATGGAAAGAAAAAAAATCCACCCACACACAAAAATAGAGAAGCGTGTTAGTGATGGCAGTGGCAGCCCATCTGGAGCAGCTGTTGCAAAGATGCTGGCTGCAGCGGGGGAGAGGCAGCTGGGGGTGCCATTGTCACAGAGCTGGCGGGAGCTAGGAACAGACGGGAGCCCAGTCCCCTTCTGAGTTGGTGAAGCAGGAGCTCTGGGCTCCCTAGCACAACTACAGCCACCCAGATGTGGCTGCAGACCCAAGCATCCCTGTGCTCTTGGGGGCCCGGGAAGCCCCCCTTCCCCTGCAGGCTCAGAAGTGCCTGCTCCCGCTGCCTGGCCTCTCTCCACTCCTAGCGCCCATTCCAATTTTGAAGCAAAGTTGTAGCCAAGCCTGTCCACTGACACAACCTGGCCAGATGTCCCTGCACTAGGAGCAGCACTGACACGCCACCCCCCTGCCACCTCAGCCCCCTCTGGACTTTGGGTGCTGACGAGCATGGGAGGGAAGCTGAGGGGGTGCTGAGGGCAGCTCAGCACAGGGCTGCAGGCACCCCTTGTCATGAACAGCCTAAATGCCATGAATGGTGGCAGGAGGCAGACAGGTTCCTGGGTGGAAAGGGGCAGATCTCCCAGTGAAGCCCCACATTCAAACCGGGAGGCGTGAGGCATGGGGGCCTGGCTGCCAGTTCCATGGACTAGAGTGAGAACTTAGACGATGCTTTTTCCAGGCTGCTGATGGCCACACATGGACCAGTCAGTATGAGACTGTCTACCTTCTGAAGCCCATAAAAACTGGAACTCAGCAAGAACCAGGCAATGTTGGGAAGCCCTGCCTGCAGAGAGGTGCTACCCACTCTGGGTATCTTCTCAGCTGACAGCTGAGCAGACAATGGGATGACCTGCCTGCAGAAAAGAGGTAACCACGTAGAGTCTCTTGAGAGCTGTGTTATATCTCAATAAAGCACCCCTTTGCCTTACTCACCCTCCAGCTCTCTGCATACCTCTCTCTTCCTGGACACAGGACAAGAACTCGTGACTCACCAAATGGCAGGACAGAAAGAGCTGTAACACAAATAGGTCTGAAACATGCCCACCTGCTTGCCATCTTGGGAGTGACAAGGAGGAGAGGAGAGAGAAGGAGAGAAGAGCTGTGGCCCTTCAAGGAGCCTAGACCTAGGAGCTCCCCAAGCCAGGGCTGTGACACCCCTCTTTGGGGTTCTGTCGTTCCTAGCATCTCCAAGCTTCTGGTTGCCACTGCGTTCCCTGGTGCCCACAATAGAAGCTGCGTGCAGTATGTCTGGCCCAGCTGCAGCCTCCCAGGAAGCCAAAGCCCGTGCCGGTTCCTGGAGCTGCCGGCCCCGCCACAGCCAGAGTGCCTGGCTGTGCACAGTGTTGGGACCCCAGGCTTGCTCACTCACACATCTCCCCTCTCCGCAACTGGTTCACCCTTGGCAGGTATGAGATCCAGGCTGGTAGTGTGAGCCAAGTGCAGCCTGCCAGGCTGAGTGGGCAGAACAAGCCCAGCAGGCCTGAACTAAACTCAGGCAATGGCACCGCTGGCCACAGAGGTTTCCGGCTGGCAATGCAACACCCCAAGAATCCTGTGTCATTAGTCCACGTGGTGCTATAACAAAATGCCTGTGACTGTGCAACTTACAAAGAACAGACATTCATTTCTCATTTCTGGAGGTTGGGAGTCTAAGACTATAATGTCAGCAAGTTTTACATCTAAGGGGGCCCAGTGTACACTTCCAAGATGGCACAGAGATGCTGCATCATCCTCTGAGAAGAGAAACCTGTGTCCCCACATGGCAGAGGGGATGGAAGGGGAAGACAATGCTTTCTTCCACTTGGAGCTCTTTTATAAGGGTGTTAATCCCACTCCTGAGGGCAGAACCCTTGTGACTTAAGCAACTCCCAAAAGTCACACCTCTTAAACTATTGCACTGGGGATTAAGTGTCAACATAAATTTTAGAGGGAACAGTATCATTCAAATAATAGCAAGGAGGAAATCAAATGAGGAAATGAAATAAACTGTTTAATATAACACAGATAGAACCTAGAAAAACTGGGACTTTAATCTCATTCTAATTACATCATTGTATCACTGAAGTAAAAACAAAATGATCTTCTGAAAAAATTCCAAGTACCATCATTAACCATGGACTTTTAATGACACCAGAGTTTGTTAAATATTGATGACTCTTTCCAAACACTGTATTTTCCATTCAAGCTAAAACAAGCTAGAAATGTTGAGTATCTTCCCTTAGATATTTTATATGAAGCTATTTACTGGCCCATCATATGTGCTACAAGGTTAATGTGCTTCTTGCCTAAGATCTAGACATTACCTAGTCTTGTGTGTAAATAGTGAAAAATGGAGAGGAGTGACCTAATTAGTGAATGTTTTCATTACAATCTATGATTTTGGTGTTTCTATGTTAAATGCTTAATCTGTATTCTAGGATATTCATCGTTAGATTGTTTTTAGTTAAAATGTCCCTTAAAAATTGATCTACATTGGAAAATAAGATCATTTACATATAAAATGCAAATTTATTTTAGCTAAGAGGGATTAAACCATTTGAAAATTATTACATTAGCATAATCTTTTTATCTTTTAAAAATTTTATGCCAAGGGTTTCGTGGTAAAACTGACACACACTTGCCTAATGCTGGTAACAGGACACATTGGAACAAACCTTTTGTAAATAAATTTGGTAAAAATCAAACAAGAAATTGATCATGCTTGTATTCAGTCATATGTAATCTGATATCTGACAAAAAGTGCAAGGCATATAAAAATCTATATAGATTGTATTGGCCATCCATTGTCACACTATCGAAAATATTTCTATAGTATTAAAGATTTATGCACTATTTTCAATACCTGATTAAGTAATCATGGATACAAATTTGAGATAATGCCATACAGTCATTAAATATGATAATTTCAAAGATTATAGAGTTTTGTCAGAAAACAATAACTGAAAGAAAAGAAATTTATGACCTCTAAGACTATAAAGTATGTGTTTAAGAAATGGAAAATATAAACTTCTGGTCCATTTAAAAAGATGAAATTGTGGGGCTTTTTTTCTTAGAAACATAGTTATTATTTTTAAAGCATAGCTTCTCAAACTTTAATGTGCACACAAATCACTTGTAGATCCTGCTATTATGCAGATTCTGATTTAGTAGATATAGGTAGGGTATGAAACTGGATTTTACAAGTTCCCAAGGACCAGACTTCCCACAGCAAGGGTCTAAATGCTATTTGTCACTTAAGTACAAATTAGGGAAAGGGAAATATATATACATATTTTTAGAATTTTTTATATATATACATTTATAAACTACATATACACACATTATATACAAATATGATGTGTATATATAGTATATATATATATTATATATAGAAAGAGATATATATAGATATAACACCAGAAAGACTCTGTTTAGTTTCCACTTGAAGAAAATTAGTTCTGGCCATAATCTTGGGACAAACGGAAAGTGAAGTAACCTCTCCCCAATTATGGCTGAAATATATGTTCTATCAAAAATTTTGCCTCTCTTGTTCTGCCCTTTGTTGCAAACCATAGAGAAGTTTTTGGTAGTGGTAGATGCTCAGCAGTGGTTGTCCAATCAATTAACAAAGAAATTAATTGATTTTCTTTGAATCTTAAACTTCCTCCTGCTACCCCAATAACTTGCTCACTTTAATCTGTGGTAGTCATCCTCTTGACCACCCACAACCCTGCATTTCTTTTGGCTATGCTAACTAATAAACTCTATTTTCATTTTTATTTTGTAGTTAAAACTATATTGGTGATAGTCCTAGTCCCTTTCTTGATTTTAGGTTTTGGCATAACCCTTGCAAGTGGAATTAGCACTAAAACTGGCTTTTACCTAATTGATACGCAGCTTTATTTTTAAGAGGGAGGGTAATCTCTCAGATTCCCTCTATTGTCTATAATGTTATCTGATCACCGAGACCTTGACATTCTTGTTCACTGCTATATTCCTAGCACATGAAATACTTACTTCTCCTACTTAGCATTCAATAAATAATCTTAGAATAGATGGATAAATAAATTAATATCCACACTGATTTTGCCATTGTTTAATTTTAAGTATTTTGTTTATCATGGGTTCATTAAATAGACCTTTATTCTTGATGGTTTTGTTTTGTTTTATCTGGTGTCTTCTTAAATATTGTACAAAGGCAATTGCCTCACTTCCTTTCCCCTGGTTCCAGCCCTGCATGTGCCAAAATGCAACATCTGCCATTGAAGTGTTGAATTCTGTTTTAAAAAGGATTTTTTTATGCTTTAATGATTCAAAATAGAAATATTTAATGGAATACATATTTATGTTAAGATTTTTAATAAGAATTGAGATTTTGATATGTCTGTTTGAACATGACACAATATGTCTGTTTGAACATGACACAACAAATGAGACAAATATGGAGATGAGAATAATAAATAATACATTTCTGCTTTGTGATGGTCAAATGCCACCATTTCATTTAAGTAGAGGACAAGGGCAGGTTCAAAAGAACTTCTGCCCAGCTAGAAGGCACTCTATTCGCATGGTAAGGGGATACGCTTCTCAGATTCCACACTGTATGCATAAACTTTCAAGAGTTCATTAACTGTCAGCGTGTGTAATGGCAAGACAAATTGTTTATTTTCACTGTTGTTTTCATGACAAAATCTTGGGAGGGGGCTGCTTAAATTTATTTGATGAACCTGAAAGTGTCAACTCTGTTTGGGTCTGAGGCATCTGAATTCCTTGAATTTCTTTAGTCATTGACCTTTTCTCCCCAATTTTCCTCACTCCTTTTACATTCTCTCTTTATCTGTGAAACAGTGGCTACAGGAACACACGAGATGAAAAATTAACAAAATTGCATACCATTTGATAATGCTTATGGTACTTTTGATCCCAACAGCTATGTCCTACACTCCACAGGTTGATTTTCTAGTCACATTATCCACCGTGGTGGACTGCCTATGTTATGTACAGGTTAGCGGATGAGTAGAAGGATGTTTTGATTACAAATCCTTAATCCTGATCCCAAAACTTTGCTACGGTTAGTAAAACTTTCAGATCTTTATATAATAACATTAGTAATTGAACAAACCTCCTGAGCTTTAAGAATCTTAGAAAAAAAAACCCATTAGGAGATTAGATACCATGCCTAATCCCTGTTTACTCATATAAATATACATCAAAGGTACACACAATTGTATGCAAATTCTTCTAGTGCTGGCATGGAAGCTGTCATGGAAAAATATTTTTTAAATGTAAAATCAAGAAAACTGTTCCTAGACTGTCAGTTATACACTATTTAGTATCAATTAGCAGGTTCCACATTATGCTTTCTAATGCCATTTAGCATACATTCGTACATAATGAAGAACATTACCTACAATTGTGAGTCATACCATTTAAAGTCTGCATACATTACATATTCCACACACTGAAAGTAAATGGAGATATGAATTCAGCATCAGGCTGGAGATTGAGATCAAATCCTATTTGGATATCATGACATAGGTCTCACACATGAATTTTTTTGACATTCTTTCATATTGCCCCAAAGACCTAGAGAAAAGTTCTCAATAAATTAGGGACCTCCTTAGAGAAACACACACCACCACCTTCCCCCATGCCTCCACCATACACATATGTAACTTGATGCCTATAACCTCCTCTATAGGTATAATCAATTCTTGTTATTTGTGACAGTTACACTCTATAAAGTCACTATAAACATTATCAGTGAATACTCAATATTGCCCCGGAAAAAATGCAAGGTTAGGTTACTGGGAGCCTGTGATCCCAACATCTTCATCAACTGTTCAATACTTGACTTGGTTTTATCGTTTACTGTTTAAAGATGCCATATATATATATATTTGATTTGTTAACATTGAACCCATGATCAACAACACCATAATTCATGGCTGAAGCTTATGTAACACATATTTTCTTTGTAAGGCACATCGCAGCCTGCTTGAGCTGAGGAGCACTAGTCAGCACTTTAGTACTATGCTTGGGGTCATTTTAAATAGAGAAACCATCAACAAAAAGCATGAAAATGAGAAAAGTGTAGAATAGATAGACCATGAACTGGAGGACATTTGTTTACAGTGTAAAAACTGAAATAAAAGGGCAGGAGGCTGACTTGTTTGACATCAGCTGGGAACACACAGGTCAGGAGACTCTATTATGCATGTCCAGGGAAAGTGCCATGAGTATTTTAGCAAGTAGACACATTTGCAAGTACATAATCTGTAATAATGAGGATCAACTAGGTATGTTTATATACATGTCCTTTTCAAATCATCATATTAACATATTCTACTTGGAGATCACCACTGTTAGTCCTTAGAGGATAATTATTCCCAACTACCCCCATAGGATGTCACAGAAAGGTGCCAAATCTACAAAATCCACAGAGGAAAGTCATCTTATTGAGGGAAGGAATCATATTAGCCTACCACAATATACTGATAGTAAACACTTATGTTTGCAGAGATATGAGTTGCATAAACAAAGCTGAAAAGGGACTTAAAATGATCTAATTATTTTTAGAAATAGGAATGAAGAAGCCCAAGGTCACCTAGTCAGTTACAGCAAAGTGAGGACCAGAATGCAGAACAACCCCCTTCTCTCAGTCCTTCTTTTGCAAAACTAACTAAACTTCCAAACTATGTTCTTTTGAACCACTGGGATTTTCATGTCAGCAATTAGCTACTCAGCAACATAAACATATTAATTTAGTGTCATGATAAATATATGTGTATTTCAAATCTGTATTAGTAATAACAGTGAGATATAAACACTGTATTCAGCTGGCTTAATTCTCTAATTCGGCATCCATTTGCAAATAAACAAACAACTTGCTAATAATAGCAAGTTTCTTTTTGACTTTTTTTTTAATTGGAGCACTGTAGCAAGCAAATTATTTACAAATGCAGGGATTATACTATCTGTATCTACCACATTGATACATTGAATATGATAATTATTCTTTACACAGAGGAATCATGTGAGCATATCAGAGCAAACAAACACAAGCTTGTATGACCTTACCCTTGGTTTTGTTTGGTCCCAGAAGCCAGATTCTTTGTGACTTTCAGCAGAGTTATTTGGGTAACATAATTTTTGAAAAGAGTATAAATAGTCAAGATTAATTGACCATATGAAGCAGGAACACTAAGAAATTATAAATCACCAAATCAATTTGGGCAAATATCCCCTCTTCAGACTTCTCTTGGCCCTCATTTGAATGAAAAATTAAACTATTTTTTCCTGTATTCCTTCCTATAATGAAACCCTCTTTTCATAAACCTTCACTGAAATTGGAAGCACAGAGCAATTCAAAAGAATATGGCAAAATATATCCCTCTGCTAACTAATCACAACAGCACTCCAAGCTGTACCCTTTGTTGTTCAAAGGAAATGACAGTAGGAAAATCTGTCCTTGCCTAGGGTTGTGCCAATATATATAAGGTCTCAATGCCAGCAGCTCCAATGAAAGCAATATGGACTCATTTCTTCTGACTTCCCTGCTACCCAGAGGACAAAATATCTGTTTCTTAAAATAGCCATGTCTCCAAATTGCATATCAACAGAACACTCTGCATTTTCATATCCCAAAATACTGTAACTCAATCAATAATCCAACTCTAAAATTCAGAGCATCTGTATAGCATTCCCTAAACTATCAAGCAATTATATCTCCTCCCTTTCAAAAATGTCTCTAAGTCACTTATTTACATAGCTTCTTCCTACTAAACAGACAGTAAAATTCATTAACACCCAAACAGGAAAAAATTGTAAAAGGCTCTTGACTCTATCTCTGCATAGATGTCATAATGTTGTTTCTAACCATTTGGGAGATTAAGTTTCACTTTCTCTCAGTGGTAAGGTCAGTTCCAGCTTCCACTTCTCACAATCAATTCAAGACCTCTGGTCAGCCCAAACAGCTTTGCCCAAATCATTAGCATTTAATATTTTAGCAGGAATATACTAGTACTATCACAGTGAATGTGGAAAAGAATGATCACATTTCCAATTTATTCCATTTCCAATTTATTTTCCATAGTCAAAAAGTAAAACTGGTAATTACCACTCTACTTCTCATGATTTTGCTTTTAAGGTTGTTTTTCTTTTTCCAGTAACAAATAACCTTCATCAGATTTATCAGGTGAAATTTAGCTGCTACATCCTTAATCTGTACAACAGAAATGGTAAACTTAACTTGCATCCTATTTGAGAAGAATTTTAAAAACACAATTAAACAAAGTAACTCATGCCAACTAAAGCTGCTTACATTTTCACAAAGTTTTCTGAAATCAGGAACTAGAGCTGCTTACATTTTCAGGTTTTGTGAAATTAGGAATCATGTAGGAACTGAGTTCAGAAACCCTCCATACCAAATAATACTAGCTTCTTTCCTAACTCATACTTTAAATTATTGAAATCTCTCAAACTCCCTATCTAGATAATACTTCTAGAAATATTATGATTTAAATATAACACATAATTTTTTTAATGAGCTCTTTTATTGTCTCAAATGGTATGCAGAGTAGGAGGAATCAATGCTTCTACTAAGAAGCACTCCAGTATGAATATATTAATATTTATGACTTTATGTCTTATGCAAAGGCATACAGGAGGAAAAAAGTCAATAAACTAAATTAAGTAATGATATTGCAAAGAGCTTATACTGAATGTAAGAAAGACTGATGGTCTATTATTAGTCCTCTAGGTCTGTTCTGTCAAGCATTTACCATCAACTTCCTTAAAATCATCAAAAAAACTATTTAACTAGTGAAGCTAAGTTTATCAGGCTTGCTTCAGTAAGGAAGCACCCTGTACCACTTGGACAGTCCTAATAGTTCTCAGAGAGGGGACAGCAAAAGAGGATATTTACAGGATTATAGACCTAAGATGAACTATTTTTAAGGTGGGTCTTTCAAGGCAATAATTGGTTGAGACTGGGCAGAGTTTATAACATACTGACTGTGTATTTTAGGTGCAGAAAAGTGTATATTGTGGTGTAAGGTATTTGTGTTGATAAGCAAGTTACTTTAGCTGGTTTAGTCTTAACTTCCTAGAATACATATTTCCCGGAGAAAGTATTTAAGTTCTCCACCCTAGTCCCAGGGTTGTTTAGCCAGGAACAGAAAACTACGTTAGTTCTCAGAATTCTTAGCACAGGGACAAAAAAAAAAAATACCAGTTCTAATTCTCAATTCTGCCTTTAAAACTCTTAGTCTTTAGCAAAATTTCTTCATCATATAGATTAAAAACAGCAACAACAGCAACTAGATGTTTAGCTAACTAAGCAATTTGATCAATGTCACACATACCAATTACCTTAGACATAATTCCTAATTCCCAATGCAGCCTTATTTCCATTACTTTTACACAGGAAAAATCGAGTTATATTCTAATTTTAATTAAAAGTTTAATCTAATTGTGACTAAAATATGGGTGGCAATAATAAAACTTAGGCTAGAAAACAAACATTCACTTGATTATTCAGTAGCTAAGGCTGTAATTTCTCATCCTGGGTATTTGTTAGGGATAACTTAAATAATTATTAAAAAGGATTTCAGAAAATTCTTCAAAAGTCCAAAATCTCAAAGAAAAAGTAAAATTATCAGAGTATGTGGTAATGTATGCACAGCTGAAAGAGTACCACAACAGTGAAGTTATCGGTGCATAGTATAATCTAGAAATGAAATTATCTAAGATAGACCCTAAATCCAGAGTCACCATTAGTCTCTAAAGCATGTAAGTGGGTATTAGAAATAGTCATCACCTGGCTGGGCGCGGTGACTCACGCCTGTAATACCAGCACTTTGGGAGGCAGAGGTGGGCGGATCATAAGGTCAGGAGTTTGAGACCAGCCTAACTAATGTGGTGAAACCCCGTCTCTACTAAAAATACAAAAATTAGCCGGGTGTGGTGATGCACATCTGTAATCCCAGCTATTCAGGAGGCTGAGGCAGGAGATACACTTGAACCTGGGAGGCAGAGGTTGCAGTGAGCCAAGATTGTGCCCTTGCACTCCAGCCTGGGCGACAGAGAGAGACTCCCTTTCAAAAAAAGAAAAAAAGAAATAGACATCACGTTTCGGTAGACTCAGTTCATCAAGTCTCTCAGTTTTAGAGTATAAAGATGGGCTGGAATTTAGGGTAGACAGTCTTGTATAAAACAGAATCTATGTAAGTTATGCATAATTTAAAGATGGGAATATATTCGGAGAAATTCATTATTAGATAATCTCATCATTGTGTGAACGTCCTAGCTTGTACCTACACAAAACCAGGTAGTATATACGTATGTTTGTATGTGGTTGCTCTACCTACATCAGGGATTCTCAGCCCTCTAAAGTTTACTTGTTGCAAAGAGTATTTGTCTGAGGAAAACATACAGATAGAATTACAACATACAGTTCAGCGTTCTTATGCTACTTTTGGGTTTCAAGTATGTTTTTAATTTCTATTTGTATGTATAGTAAACAGTGTTTGTAATAGATTTTTATTGGCTCTTATTTTATGTATTTAAATTGGCTTGCGAGTATATCATAAGACACACTATCCTGGATTCTAAAGATTATAAACCACAGTTGTTGTACCTGCTTTTCAGTTACTGGCCCCATGCCAGCTCTGTTACAAAACCATAGGAAAAGTGAATATTTAGAAACAAAGCTTTTAGAAGAAAAGTTAATGTACATTTTTTTGCTCCTTGGTGTCTAAAATCATAGAAAAATTCTGACACACCTGAAGTTAGTCATTTGCCTTTTATGAAGCAATCAAAATTCAAGATTCTATATATGTATATATCATTTGGATTTACATAATTTGTCTTTATGACAACTGTAAGTAAATTATAGGAGAATTCATCTTTAATGTTCCAGTATTGCTTATTATCATTTTATTAGTAATCTCCCAATATGTCATCATCATCCAGTCATTCAATATAAAAAAAATTTAAATAATATTTAGTCCAGTAACTAAAATAAAACTTATAGCATACTTAAAATTATAATCTCTTAGAGAGCAAATAATTTGTATTTCCTGGTTTCCAGAAGAGTAAAACAGCAACTTTACATGGAATCAATTATATAGCTACAGAGAATGCCATACGGTTTGGGGAGAACATTCAGTATTCTATGACAAACTGTTTCGATGTATCATTTATTTGGTTTCCTCTTTTATTTATAACAATAGGATTGTCCATCAACCAGTGACAAAACGTTATCACTACCTTTCAATTTACCTGTAAAGTGAATCACAGCTCAGATTGTGAGTATGACCTAAATAAATTGCTGCTTGGCTCTTTGGATATGAGGAGTGGCAATGCTAAATAATATCTCAGCAGGAGGTTCTTTGCCACAAGTGTACAGTCTGTCATTTCGATGGTTATTTGATTTTAGAAAACAGTTTCAAGACATCTCTGGAATCCAATTTAAGACATTTAACAGAGTTGCTTAGGATGATGGTTAACGCAACAGAGCTTTCCAAAGATTTTTGATTTAGAACTGCCACCAACTCTTTATTTGAATTGGCAAATTCCCACATTCTTCTTCACAATTTGCAGAAAGAAACTGAGAAAGATTAACACAGAGATTCTTGGTGGAAAAAAAAAAGTATACTTTTATTCCAGAGACAAAATGCATGTGTTTGTATGATGAAATAGTACATAAAAGATAAATGGTGAGCAAGACAAAATAGAGGGAAACATTTCATTTTACCTGTCTTGCTAATAAAATAAAATTTTTGGACAGAATACATAAATGACCTACTATAAGAATCTAAAGGAGAAAATGAGGCAGATTATCCAGTGACATCAGGACTTGAGTTACATCCAAGAGATGGGGTCCCTGGGCTTTTTATTGCCTCCTCTATATCTAAGCTCAAATGCTAGAGAAGCACACAGCCTGGAGACTAGCCAACCAGCACAGATTCCCACACACACCCCCAACACACACCAAAAAGGTAGCCACAAGGAAAACCTACTCTCTCTAGAAAAAAGACCTGGAAAAGGATAGCCAGTAGACTATCCTCTTCTGCCCTTTCTACTCTTAAGACAAACAACATGACAAAAGTTGTGCCCATCTCTTTTCCCAATGGGCACTAAATTGACAGAGCTATTCTCCACCTTCTCCTTCCTGCTGCAGTTACTAGGATGCAGCCATCCCCATAGAGCCTGTAGGTGGATCTCTGACTTCCAGTCCCCCTGACCTATAAAAGTGCAGGCCTCTTGCGCACAGGAACTGTGGATAGAATGATCACTTCCACTCCCTGCAGCAACAAAGACGTAGAGACTGTCTCCACAGTAGAGACTGTGGACAGAACTCTGACTGTGGCAACCCCACACCCAAGGCGATGTGGAGGAAAACGGGGTGGAGTCCTGTCTTCTGGGTAACACACAAGTGAAGCTGACCATGAGAGCACTCACAGCCTTAGTAAAGTAAATTGATGATTGAACCACAGCCCACACAAATGACCAGGACTTCTAAACCTAATAAGTTGACTACCTGCTCAAATGGAAGACTTAAGTAGGATCGAGTCTTAGAACACAATACTCAGAATGTCTAGGATATAGTTCAATATTGCGTGTCACAGGGAAAACCAAGACAATCTCAGCTTGTATGATAAATTGTAATCAACAGATGCCAATACTGAGAGCATATAAATGCGGGAATTTGTCAAACATTTTAAAGCAGTTATAAAATGCACTAATGGGCAGCTATAAACATTCTTGAAACACAAGTGAAAAATCAGAAAGTTACAGCAAAGGAATAGAAGATATAAAGAAGAATCAAGTAGAAGTTTTAGAACTGAACAATACAATAACCAAGAAAAAAAACAAACAATTCACTGGGTAAACTTAGCAGCAGAATGACTATGACAGAGAAAAGAAAGAGTGAACTTGAATATAGAAAAAGTAAAAATGACCCAATCTGAGCAACAAAAAGAGAATAAATTTTAAATAATTGTAACTGATAAAATGTGAAATAAATAATATATTATCACATATACATTAGATTGGCAAAATATAAGAAGCTTAACTAAGTGTTGGCAAGAGTATGAGCAACTGGGTCTCTAATAGGCGGCTGATGGAGGGTGAATAATTGCAGCCACTTTGGAAAACACTTGGCAATATCTGAGAGTGATAACATGTGCATGATCATAACATCCAGCATTTCTGATTGTTTCCTACAGAGATTCTGCCACATTTGCCTGGTGAAGTGTATTAACTTATTCATCGGAGGATTGTTTGTAAAAGTGAAAAATTTGAAGCATTGTTTACTTATTGAACAGATACATCTTAGAACATTTGAACATTACTTGAATACAGAGAAACTAAATTACTTATATTTCCATAAGAAACATTTTAAAATATTGAAAGTTGATTTAAAGGTGAATGAAAAAATCCAGATAAGACATACAAATGGCCAACAAACATATAAAAATGCTCAAAATCACTAATCATCAAGGAAATGCAAATCAAGAGATATTACCACATGCCTGTTAGAATGGTGTTTATCAAAACGACAAATGATAACAAGTGGTGAGAATGTAGAGAAAAGGGAATCATTGTACACTGTTGGTGGAATGTAAATTGATATAACCTTTATTAAAAATAGTATGGAGGTGCCTCAATAATTTAAAAAATAGAAATACCGTATAATCTAGCAGTCCTACTTCTAGGTGTATAGCTGGAGGAAATGGGACCAGTACCTCAAGGAGATAGCTGCATTCTTATGTTCACTGCAGCATTATTCTTAATAGCTAAGATATGATAAAAGAAGGAAATTTTGCCATTTGCAATGACACGGATGAACCTGGAGGACATTATGCTAAGTGAAATAAGCCAGACACAGAAAGACAAGTACTGCCTGATCTCGCTTCTATCTGGAATCTAAACAAATCGAACTCATAGAAGCAGAGAGTAGAATGGTGCTTACCAGGGGATAGGGAGTGTCGGGGGAGGTAAGATAATGTTGGTCAAAGGGTAGAAAGTTTCAATTATGAAGAATCAATAAGTTCTAGAGATCTAATGTACATCATGATGACTACAGCTAATAACATATTGTATATTTGAAGTTGGCTGAGTACATCCTAAGTATTCTCATCACACTTACCCACTCACCCCATCCCCTGCGAAGATAATTATGTGAGGTGATAGATATGTTAATTAGCTTGATTGTAGCAATCATTTCACAATATATGCATATATCAAAACATCACATTGTATACAGTAAATATATACAATTTTTATTTGTCAATTATACATCAATAAAGCTGGAAACAACATTTCAGAGTATGAAATGTTTATTCCTATTAACATAAATTTTGAAAAATAATATCACATATTCATGATAAATGTATAAAGATGTAGTAAAGTATACAAAATACTGATTAGTGGTTACTTTCTGATTAGCAATTACTTCTCAGCTGTAACGAAGCTGAGTATGTTTGAGAAGGATTCAAAAGTGCACTTTGAAAACTGTAATTTATTTCTTATTTTCAAAATCTTGAAGACAATACAACTAAAGTTAACATTTGTTGAATTTTGTCATCCATGACTATTTTTCATACCACTCCTTTACTTTCTTTACAGAGAGTTTAATACACAGTGTTTGAAATCGTTTATTAAAAAACAAACAAACAAAAAAAAACCCCTGCTCTCCAAGGTCCTACTCTAGCACGAGGAATAGAATCTAAGCCATGCAGTTCCAGGCTTTCTGTGTTCCTCAGCCTCACTTTAATTTCTCTCTAATGTGTACTCCTTGTTCTCATGCCATCAATATGTCTTCCATTTCATTAGAAATAGATTTATTTAATTTAGTTTCTTCATTTCCAAGTAACAGCGTCTGTATGTTATTTTCAGTAAGATGAAAACCCCAGCTAAAGGGAAACTGACGTCTATGAAGAAAGTAGCTTTACATACTTCCTCTTTCTACTTAAAGTATTTGTATTTAATAGATAATAAAATATTTTGTTGAGACACCATAATACATAATTATGTAGATATTTTTGGGAGACACTAAAGGGAAGTACAAATAAACAAGTTTAACCAATAAAATATTTTCAAAAAATATTTAAGATATAATGTCTAAATCATAAGATAATTAATATATATTATTTACTGATTTTATTACAGCTATGCATAGTGTGAAATAACTTAAAATGTAAGGCTTATGTGCACAAGACTGAATATACAAATGGACAAGGGTCTGATCACATATTAAAATAGATCCCGATCCACAATGTGCAACAACCAGTCCAGGAAGCCAAACCACAATCTCTCTAACAATCAGCCCCAAAGAGTCAGGACTTAATAACTTCTACTTCCGAGAATTTTAACTCTGTTTCCAATCTAGGACAAACCAGACAAAGCCAAATTTCCGGCCCTAATCACACAGAATGCCCCACTTTTACTTAGCTGACCTCCAGCTTTCCTATGTGAACAACATACAATCAGAGCATACCTAAAATCTTCCCTTTTTTCAGCTATAAAATATTTACCCTCTTCTGTCTGCCTTTGAGTCTGCAAAATGCAAATTGTGTTGTGTGACTCCCTTGCTATAGCAACCTCTGAATAAATAGACTTTGCTTGTTCTTATTTGGGTGGCGTTAATTTCTACACATGTATTATCAAATGTCTCTCAACATCCTTATATCTCTCTTTGGGGAAAATGAGGCAAAGGAAAGTGTATGTAACTTGCCAAAAGTAACACAAAATATTAGTTATTGAGCTATGATTTGAACCTAAAATGCATGGTTCCAGATCCTGTACACGCAATATAACGAATGATTTTATTACTCCATCTGATATAAAATTAGCTGTGACAGTCAGGAGAGGAAAGCCTGTGGTACAATGATGTACATACTCTAAAATTTCAGTAGTTTAACATAACAAAGAATTAGTCTTTGCTCACGTTCTGTAAACACTGTCTGTTGTTTAGAAGCTCTCCAGATTTTAAAATCTGAAACCAGGCTGATCATGGAGCCATCACAGGTGTCAGAGGAAAAGAAAAAGTGACGCCACTGCACATCAGTTGTTAAGGCTTCCGCTTGGAAGTAACAATCATCATATCTGCTTACGTCATCACTGGCCAAATCGTGTCATATATTTACCTACTTTTAAGGTGCAGAAAATACAATATTTCCATGTACTGGGGAAGAAGAATGATTGATTCAGCTACTGAACAAAATAATGGAAAAGTCTTTGCTTAAATCCTTTAACCATATTGTGTATGAAAAGTTATTTGACTCCTGTTCAAAGACAAGACCACTGCAATTATAAAAATGTACATAATCTCTCTTTCTGTAATTCTCACTGTACTTAAGCATCAATCATATGAGGGGATTTTCAGTAAAGTATATTTGAGTAGTTTAAAGAGGCACTCTAACTCTTCATTTACTAAATAAACCTATAAATATTATGTATAGCATATATTACACACGGTGTAATCATATATATTACATAATAATATCTAAATGCATATAAATAAATATACATTAATACTATAGAAATTTATTGCTATAGAATTGCTATAGAATAAATTTTTTTGTCTCCTCAAAATTAATTTGTTAAAGCCTAAGCCCCAATGTGATGGTATTAGGAGGTGGGGCCTTTGGGAGAAGATTTGGTGATGAGCGTGGAGCCCTTATGAATGGAATTACTGCCCTGATAAAAGAGACTCCAGAGAGCTCTCTACTCTCTTTCCATTAACAAAGGGTACAGTGAAAAATTTGGTGTCTACGAACCAAGATGTGGGCTCTCATCTGACACCAAATCTGCTGGTGACTTGATCTTAGACTTCCAGCCCCAGAACTGTAAGAAGTGAATTAATATTGTGTATAAGCCAAGCAGTCTGTGGTAGTCTGTTATAGCAGACTTTGAACTAAGACCATATAAACCTCCCAACAGGTGGTATTTGTGTACATATAACCTTACCTTGTCCCTGACTTAGTGACCTCTCATGTATCAGTATCATAGCTGGTAATGGAAACGGAATTATATTCTGGATGTTATTTAATCTTGAATTTTTTACCAAAATAAAACCATATATATATATATATATATATATAGGTATATATATATACACATATATATATACACATATATATACATATATATATACACTTTTTATATGTATACCAACATTTTCTTCTCTGTCGTCTTCTTCTGTGAAATGTGTTAATTTTTAAAAAATATATATATACATAAATTTATATTATTTATAATATATAAATATATATAATCTATATATAAAATATATATAAATAATATTTATATATCATATTGAAAATAAATATATATATTTTCAAATAAGTAACACATTACAGAAGAAGAAGAAGAGGAAGAAGAAGAAGGAGGAGAATAAAATATTGATAAGCAGCAAAAAAAGAAAAAATATTATGCATAATTATGCCACCCAGAAAAAAGAATTGTTAATATTGTCAGTCCACTGTGAAAACTAGAGTTACTTTTTTCCTCTGCATCAGCATAGAATTTGTCACACAGTAGGCCTTGAATAGATTTTGAGTAAACAAATATGCATATTCACACTTAAATATATTCACTTCAATAAAAATGGGAAGATAACTCTTTTAAACATTATTCCTCTTTAAAATTAATAAGTTTCAAAGTGTGTTACTAAAAATACACAATGAGATGTTTTTACAAATGAAAAGATAAGTCTTTAGACAAATTAATTTAGAATATTACATTACCAGTGTGAATATATGCAATGATTATTTACATACCAAATCTTCTAAAAAGTCCT
This sequence comes from Homo sapiens, assembly GCF_000001405.40. Taxonomy (NCBI): domain Eukaryota; kingdom Metazoa; phylum Chordata; class Mammalia; order Primates; family Hominidae; genus Homo; species Homo sapiens. The sequence goes on from NC_000018.10 coordinate 60,757,030, forward strand.
ATATTAAAGAAACCTACTTAATATTGGTTAACTCAGGATTTCCCAACCCTATTTGACCACAATTTTTTTTTTGCAAATGAGCTTAATTCTAGAAATATCAACGTTCTCCTTTTCTCTCACATTTCTATCATACAAATCATATACTACCCATGACTCTGAAATAGGTAGCTTAATGCCCTCTTTTGACCTCTTGTCCACTGCAGCCACTAATTATTAGATTAAATACAGGCTTCTGATCTAAAATGAGCAAATCAGAGACTGTCCAAAAAGATTAGAATTTGGACATAGTCGCTCACTTGGAAAACTTTGGAAAATCAAGTGGAAAAACTTGGGGACTGAGGCCAGTATTTAAAGACAACCATGATGAACAGTATGCAAGCAACAAGGAGAAGCAAAGTCAAAAAGATGGTTGACTATTTGGAGAGAGAGGTTATGTGATAACAACACAATTCTCCTGAGCCTGTTCACAATTTAATTCCAAAAATCACTCTCATATTTATATTAAACATGGTTTTTTGTTTATTTTTTTACCAGTCAACACAACCACTGTCATCATTCTAAATTAGTACATATTACACCTGTAAGTACGATAATTTATTTAAGCCACCTCATAATAACTTTTTAACACTCAGATATTTTCCAGTGTACCTTCTCATTCTGGACTAGTTCAGTTAAAAAAGACACTTGTCTTCAGAATACTTGTTTCTTATACCTCTGTGCCTCACCTATAGAGATGGGGCAGGTTTGAACTTTTCTACCTTCTTGGTTACAGTTCTTCCTACGTTAATGTAGCAAGCCTCAGGCACTAGTTGTCATGAGGAAAAAGGGAGTCTCTTCTTTACTTATGGATGTACCTGTATTATCTGAGACTGCCAGGCTTAGTTCTGATATGCTAAAGAGTTTAGAAAATCCCCACTCTCTTGACAAAGCCAGGTTTTCAAGTTTATTTTCCTGCTGCCAATTTAAACAAACAAACAAAAAATCTCATTTGACAGTCAAAGCTGAAAAATGACTTCCTTGTTTTATAGAGTAATCACGCAACACAGAGAACTATTTCTTCAAAGAGGGTAGAGAGTAAGGAGAAGGACGTCTCTAGAACAACAATATTTACAGGATATGGAAACATATCTGAAGGATTTTGATTATTATCTCTATCACATGTAATATATTATAGTTTTGAAGCAATATATGTAGATGAAAGCACAAAATAAGTATGAAAAAATGAAAGAAAAAATGAGAAAATATAAAATGTCAAGGAAAAGCAGGCAAACCACCAAAATAAGAAAATATTTTAAATGGAGGCATAACTTGTATTAAAATAAAATAAAGCTCTGCAAGGGAAATAATGTACAGAAGCCTATCGTGTTGGCAAAGATCTAAATATTTAACAAATGCTGACACACAACTTGATTGTTGATATCCAAGTGTTTCTTTAAATTCAGAAATAAATAAATAATGGATCCTGATATTCTTTATACCAGAATAGAGATGTAAGTCCAATTATTTTGTCAACTTGAACATCTTTACAGATAGATGCCAAGAAAGGCTTTTAAAGTAAGGAACACAACCCTAGGTTATGATTACATTGTCTTCCAGCAAAACGTACCTGCATGCTTTTGGAAAGCAACATTTTATCTTCTACCATCATCAAAGTGTCAATAAACCATCCTGTATAAGATGCTAAGCCCCTGGCAGGCACAAGAATGAGATGCTTAAAGACCCATACCACTACTGTATTTTGCCTCTTTCAATCTTTCATGTGTGGATCACAGAGAGCATTTTTCAGTGTTTTGTGACCTGTTTTTGTAGTTATGTGAACTAGCAACTCCTCCAGATAATGTCAGATTCAAAATAAATTCAACCTGGTACATCCTACGGATGCTGCAGCTCACTTATAACTTGTCCAGTCCTCTCTTCTATTAGCTTTTTATAAACACAAGTGCAGGTGAATTTCTACACCTAAGGGAATAATAACTTATGTTTGCCTGATTCCACAGAGAGTGTTGTACTGTGGTACATTGTAAGTAAAAGAAGAACTGCTAGGCTGAATATGGTGCTTAACTTTATTATTGATGTACTGAGCACCTTCTGCCACTTTAGCCAATTCATTTACTCATTTATTCCTTTCCTCTTTTGTTCATTCATTCCGTCATTTACTTTTTTTATTTTAAAAAATCAAATTTAAAAAATTTGAGTCAAAATATCACAACCTTTCCTCTCAGCCAACTTTTAAGCCAGATTAAGGTCTCCAACGTCATAGATTATCAGAAATGGTAGACTGTCTGAAATTTGAACTGAAAATGTATTCTTTATTAAATTTCTTACATATTTGCTGAATTAACCAAAACCTTACCGTCCCTTCTGCAAACCCTATAATTTCTTTACACTTGAAACATCTTTAACATTTTAATGATATTAACTCATATCAGTTTTAATCTCAGGATGACATTTTGCAGGATGATATGTAAATAGTAACTATCATGTCTTAAAATATCTGGCACAATGTTTATTCTATACACTAGAGGCAAGGTTTAAAGAAAGAAACCCCTTGTTGGATCAGAATGTGAGCACAATTTCAAATCTAAGTCTGAAATTTTCAGGGGGATATTCAGGGGACTCTGAAATTAGGCGTTCAAAATAATTAAATAATTCTCAGTTGAAATAATTAATTTGTCAAAGGACATATGCTGAGAACTATTCAATTTCTAAACTTCCTGATTTGAGTGTGCTAGAGAAGTAGATGAAGGAAACCAACAAAGTGTCATCACCTTTTGATAATCATGCCTGGGGTATTTTCCAAAAATTTAAAATTCTATAAGAATGATAGGATGAATTTGGTAACTCTAATTCCAATAAATCTGCGCTAGAGATTCAAGGTCAACCTTAATTCAGGGGGATATTTTAGAAGTTGGTTGTAAGGTATTAGAAATATTGGCATAAAATTAGATTTAAGGGCCTCTAAATTTCCGTATAAAATCTAAAATGCAAGTCAGTTTTATTATGATCGTTGTTAATCTAGAATATAAATTATATTATCTATTAATATTTATACAATGAATAGAGCCTAAATGTGGGTGTGAAATAATGCAAATGCAGTATTTAAGTAAAATGAAACCAAAGGCTCAATCTTTCAAATGCAAATCTAATTAAGTGAATAAATCAGACTAATGGATTATATTTTACCTTGGTAACTAATCTTCGATATGGCTTTGTTTTCTAGCTTAGTTGAAGAATTAGATGCCAAAAATATAAATGGACTGTTGAATCACTTTTAAAGTTGAATTTAACTTTATATATATATTACATATATTATATATATTACATATATAACACATATGAAATATATATTCAGAATTCAGAATCATCTTCTTAAGATATCTGATTATATTTTAAATTACTCTTTTCATACTGTTCCATACTGGTTGATATATCATTTAGTTGGTTAAAATTATTGCTATTATTTATCTTTTTTTTTTTTTTTTTACTTTTTGTTGTCCCACAGTTAGACTTAGTTGTCCACGACAATAAAATGTCAAGGAAAACTAATCTCAATTTAATTTTGAGATGACACACATAGGAACATATTTAATTCAAGTGATGTAAGAGATAATTCCAATATGCTACAGTAGTTAAGGCATGGCCTTTGGATTCAGACACAATAAAGTTTATATTCTGGACCTGACTTTCCATTCTGTTATCTACAATCTCTGAATGCCTCAAAAAACTTCTGTAAGAAACACGTGAAAAAAATGTCTAAAGTGCTAAGAATATTTCCAGGCTTATAATAAATAAAGAATGTATATTAGCAGTAAATATCATTATCATTATCAAACTTTCCCTAAGAGAAGACTCAGTACTTTCTCTCTCTTTATTTTTTCTTAAAACAAGGTCTCACTCTGCCACCCAGGCTGGAGTACCGTGGTGTGATCACAGGTCACTGAAGCCTCAACATTACAGGTTCAAGCAATCCTCCTACCTCAGTTTCCTGAGTAGCTGGTGCTACAGGTTCCCACCACAACATCTGGCTAATTTTTTAATTATTTGTAGAGATGGGGTCTTGTCATGTTGTCCAGGCTGGTCATGAACTCCTGGACTCAAGTGTTCCTCCTGGCTCTGCCTCCCAAAGTGCTAGGATTACAGGTGTCAGCCACCAAGCCCAGTCTCATTATAAAATTTTAAGAGTTTTTTATTCACCTGAGAATATATTTATTCACAAATTATATACTAATATTATTTTGCTAATATAATCTGCACATCATAAACAATACAAAAATATATATTAATAAGGGATAGAATGAATTTAGTATAACATTATATATAGGTTTGGTTGTGTCACCACCCAAATCTCATCTTGAATTGTAGTTCCCATGGTTTTGATTGTCGTGGGAGGTACCCAGTGGGAGGTGTTTCAATCATGGGGTGGGGGTGTCTTTCCTGTGCTGTTCTAATGATAGTGAATAAATCTCATGAGATCTGATGGTTCTATAAAGCAAATTTCCCCTACACAGGCTCTCTTGCCTGCCGCCATATTAGACGAGACTTTGCTCCTCATTGGCCTTCCACCATGTGTGAGGCCTCCCAGCCATGTGAAACTGTGAGTCAGTTAAACCTCTTTCCTTTATAAATTACCCAGTTTCCAGTATGTCTTTATTAGCAGTGTGAGAACAGACTAATAGATATTGCAAGATCAATTTAAACTTTTGATGGTATATTTTTTTATCTCACTAAAAGTATTATTTATCCCATTTTAATGAAAGCAATGTGGTTGATTATTTTTCTTTGGAAATCTTGTTTTAATACTTTGAGACATAGCAATTTAAAAATCCAGTTTGAAGTTCAATTTATTTTGATACATGATTCATAATCACCATTGTTAAAAAGGTATATTTCATAGTAAAATTTATAAAATAGAAAATATATACTTGGGACAAGTTCACCATTAACAACAGTGAATACAAATCTATATTAGAAATAACATTTTTATATTTAGAAATTTTTGGCTAATTTTGTCAAATCTGTTTAGTTTGCCATTACTGTTGTCTAGTAATGTAGCTGAGGAAAAGTTTATAATATAAATTAAAGTGTCATCTCTGAGGAATCACATTATTAGTATTATTTTCAATTTTGTTTTCTTTTCAGGAATTTATCTAATCCACTTCTTCACTTTCAGAGGATTAGCTTTAGTTAAGACTAGATAATATAATCCATAAATCCACTTAGCTGGTGACAAATACATTTTAATCCTTTGCAGATGAGGGTACTGCTGTTTAATCTCTGAATTGTGGAATTTGTAATTTTCCTTGAAGAAACCCATACATACTCCAGCTGATGTTAGAGGACATGAGAATTAATCTATACATTAAATATTAGTAAAACTTAATTTTATATGCTAGATTAAATTTAATGGAAATTGCAATGAAACACGTTCTTTCTGTTCACCCATGAATGGTCTCGCACCTTCCTTAGGGTTGTGTATCGTCTTTCAAGTTCACTGGTATACAGTTTGTTCCTCTTCCTAAGCCTTCCCGTTGTAACACTACTCTTTTAATGGAATACACACATTTCCTAGATTCTGTAAGCAGTTAAATTGGTTCTTTACTGTGACTCTGTAAGATCTCTTGTGTCCATGGCCCAAACAAAAAACATACAAAGCAGAGTAAGACCCCATAGTGACATAGCATTTTAGCTGTTAACTGGACACTAAGAAGTGAAGAGTGAAAAAAAAGTGTTCTCTTGTTGTGAATGAATTCAGCAGCTTGTTTGTCTGGATTCTTAGGGACTGGAGAATAAACAACCAAAATAATTTTATTGATAAACAATATAAGTATTTTAAAAGCTCAATTAACAGCAATTACATGAAAGCAATTCAGAAAAGTGTGTTATAAATTACATTATTTTATGTCCTCAACAAAATGGCAAAATCTGTAAGTCCTGCTAAATCTTCCTTTCTGTTTTCCAACATCATTGTCAATGACCAACAGTTTACATCAGTCTGAAGACAATTGATTCTACATTTACAAATCCAAAAAATTATCTAGGAATTTAGCTCCAAACCCAGTTAAACCCAATCCATGTATACATTTGTACATTTCTCCAAGAACTAGAAATCACAAATTTTAGGATTGTTGAAGCAAAGGGACTAGAAATGGAGGAAAACACAATTACCCAATTTTAAAAGGGACAAACATATATGAAAGTAAGTCATATCGAATATAAGATTTGTAAAGTTGGCTGGGTATGATGGCTCATGCCTGTAAGCCCAGAGCTTTGGGAGGCCGAGGCAGGAAGATCACTTAAGGCCAGGGGTTAGAGATCAGCCTGGGCAATGTAGCAAGACCTTGTCTCTACAAATTTAAAAAAAATTAGCTGGTCATGGTGGTGTGTTACTGCAGTCTCAGCTACTCAGGAAGCTGAGGTGGTAGGATCACTTCAGCCCAGAAATTCAATAAGCAATGATCACGCCACTGCACTCCCTCCTGAGCGACAGAGTGAGATCCCATCTCTTAAATTTTTTAAAAAAATTATGTATAAAATTCTTGCAAAACTGTGTTGCTGAGGCCATCTGGTTACTTCATTGTAAAGAAATAAATGTTTCCAGATTGTTATTCTTATAATAAATGTGAGTTTGAATTGAAAACCTAAAATTTTATATGAAAACATTAAAGTACTTTTGGAATAAATCGGTATTTTTATATTTTTGTATAGTCATCTTTGCTTGGAACTCTTACTGACAAAGCAATTGTCTATTTACATTTTATTTTACTTTTTTATTTGAAGAATTTCTTTTTGTAGAAACCATATTAAAACCAAAATCACCTTGTTTTTACAGGCATCTCTTTTGAATGCTGCTGTGCTTTACAATGCCTGCCTGCTTCTCATCCTCACCAAGCTCACTCAGCCTCCCTATGAAGGTGGTTCTCATGTTTGTCTAGAAACATTTTCGAGATTATACCTCGTCCCCACTATAGGGAGGAATTAGGCCCTCATCCTTTAGAATCCCTTTCTACCATGTGCCTGTCTCAGGATTGTTCTTACCAATATCATGTGGTGTTGTATTAGAGCTTAAGAAAAACGATGAGTTAATGGGTGCAGCACACCAACATGGCACATGTATACATATGTAACAAACCTGCCTGTTGAGCACGTGTACCCTAAAACTTAAAGTATAATAATAATTTTAAAAAATCAGTAATTTACAATTTTGATATTTTCTTCGTTATAAGATTTTTGCACTGATGTTGATTTTTTAAAAAAATTACATCAAAATATGATTTCTGCTGTTTACTAAGGTTTTTTTTTTTTGGCATTGTCTTCACCTTTGTACCTGAGATAACTAGCTTCACCTATTCTTGAACCCGCTCTTTACCATGTATGGGTCAAATCTCTTTATATGCCTGTCTCCTTTCTATAAACTGAAGACTTTCTGGGAGCAATGGCCAAGTCTTTGCATCTTCGAATCACCCAGTAGAGTACCAGCATTTTGTAAGTTGTACAGTAAACACTTAATTGAATACAGCTATACATATGTGCCTTTAAGCCCTATGTATACTTAAAAAAATCATTCTTAATGAGTTCACTTGGCTATCAAATCTAATTTTTAAAGCCAGGAAAGATGGTCATTATATATACTTGATTTTCAGGAATGGCATTAATCATATTACTTTTAAAATTCCATTTTCTATGGCATCATACCCAGCTCACATTGACTTCTCTTGCTAGAGAAAATTGTGAACATTCCCCTAATTGGTCTACCATAACCCATATTATTTTTCAGTTTTTTTTATTAGCTTTATGTCCGATTTAATTGCATTTATTTTAAATGAGCTGTTGCCAAGTATCATTAGAGCTTGATCTACATCTCAATAAGGTGTGCAGCAGGGCATATAGGTGGGTCACAGAGTGGATGGAGAAATGGCAGCCTTGCAGAGAATCAGCAGAAATGACTAGGTAAAGGCAGGCTTTTTTCAAAAGGAATATAAAAAAAGAGACGAATTAAATTGGAATCTGAAAATGAGGGGATCAGTAGCATAAATTAGGATAAAATAGGTGCCTTTGTAATTAGAATTTTCTGCTTTATTATTCTAGGCTCTCAAAACAAAAAGCCTTAATATTAATATTTAACTTGGAAGACTTCCATATTTGAGCACATAGCTGATAGTGTAAGTCCTATCCTTGTGAACAAAAGTGGTTAGTATAATGTTCCAAATCAAAATATTTGATAAAAATTTGGTTATGTAAGTCTATACTAACACATTTATTGCCTGGAATATTTTAATAGATGATAAAATTTATGTTTTGAGCTTCCCTTCCTCAGTGCTTACCTCAAAAATAGAGAATCTAGTGGTATTATGCTACTCTACGGTTTGTACATATGAAATAAAACTAAAAAAGAGTACATGCAATTATAGATCAATTCATATAATTAGAAAAATAAAATAAATGCAATAGTTCTGAATACTTACATAAATCTGTGTATATTATTTCTCTCATATAAATTTTGCCTAAGCATTAGAGTAAAATTTTGACATAATGATCTCATTGGTACTATCATTAACATGTATATGTTTGAATATAAAATATACATTATTAGGTATGATATCATAACTACTGTCACATATATTATGTAATAAGTATTTCCTATGTAGCAGATGTTGTCCTAACATATATTCTACATATAAGCATACGTAATGTAAGGCAAACCTGGGATTCAAATCCAAAGAAACATTGTGATTTAAAACATGAGATACTCCTTTAAACTTTCCTCAACTGTTTGACAATTTATTTCTCCTAGCAGTTTGGGAATTGTGATATGTGAACTCTCCTTTCAAGACTCTTGGCCAATTGTCATCTGTCCTCTGATGAATACATTTTCTGAAAGAAATTTATCTCCTAGTGAAGAGACGTCCATATTTAACAGTTTTAATTGTAGAGAAACTCTTCCTCATAGTGCCCAGCATTCGTTTTCTTCAAACCTATTCTTGTTTATGTAGGACTTTTCCTTCCTAGGCCACAGAAAATGCTCTAAAGTATTGTTTGTACATCAGACCTTAAAATATTAGAAGCCAGCTATAATTGACTTTTCCTTTCCATCTTAAATTCTTAAACACTTCTAGATCCTTCATCTCCTCTTTAAATGACACAATGTGACATTCATTATCTAGTGCAGTTAGGCTTTTCCAGATATTATCCTGTTTTTAATATTTTTAAACCAAAGTTGGCTAAAGTTGAACACCTTACTGTATGTGTAATCTGCAAGAAGCCATAATTTTAGGAACGAAGTGGTCTAGACACTAGAAACTATATACCTCCAACCAGTTTGCCAAATTCGTTACCGCATTTAAGAATTTCCCTTTAATTGTCTGTTATGTTATTTCCACAGTTTATAGTTGCTCTTTGCAGGAAGAAATAAATCCATACTAACTTGTCCAGTTCAGAAGTCACAATAAACTTTTAACTTGCTCTGCTTTTATCTATTCTCTGCTATTATTATGTTGTTGCAAAAGTAACTGTGGCTTTTGCATATGCTTTCTCAAATTAAAATCTCAGATGCAACCCTCCTAATTCAAATGTCCTAATTCATCCCCATTTCTTAATATGTTAAACTTCAAACTCCATAGATGAAAATACAAACAATTTTTTTCTAAATCTGATCCCTGCCCATCTTGAAACCCCTGATATTATCCCACAACCATCTCACACATTAGCATTACACGGTATTGACCATACTCTGAAATGGTGAGGTCATCCTCTCCTCTCTATTTGTAAGTGCTTTTCTCTTCCCCTCAAACACTCTCCCCTTCTGTGTCATGCAGGTTCCACTTGGAAAATAGAAACAACGTTTTCATTTTCAATTAGAAACCTCTAATAAAGAGAATCACATACAAAGTATTTGAGAGGCTGAAAGAACAAAAAAGTAAGGTGCATTCATTGATGAAGATATCAGTCACCACAAAGAGACCTTACCTGACGTATGCGAGGAGGAATATTCGGAGAAAAAGCAGGTCATTTCACCAATGACCAACTCACCAAAAGGCAATTTAATAAATGACTCATTTACTGAATGATTTTTTTTTTCCAATTTACTTGTTTCCTGTAACTATTTAGCTTAACCTGACTGGTTTCACATTTACATAGCTTCATTTTATGAAATATTTACATTTATTTCAGTCAAGCTCTCTTGCTGTGGCTGGAGATTCAGGGGCAGAGAGGGAAAGAGTCTGTAACTCCTAAAAAGGTATTCGTAGAAAATATGTCCTTAAATTGTTTTCTTAATATTAATATAATCATCATTAATATGTTATTAATAATGAAATATATGTGATAATTATATATATTCAGAAACATACTTCCACATTTTTGATGAATATATTTTTGACATATACTAGAATATATTTGGTAAACATATTTTTCTGAGGAGTATACATATATATATACACACATATATATATGTGTGTGTATATGTATATATATGTTTTTTTTCTGAGATGGAGTCTTGCTCTGTCGCCCAGGCTGGAATGCAGTGGTGCAATCTCGGCTCACTGCAAGCTCCGCCTCCTGGGTTCACACCATTCTCTTTCCTCAGCCTCCCAAGTAGCTGGGACTACAGGCACCCGCCACCACGCCCAGCTAATCTTTAGTATTTTTTTAGTAGAGACAGAGTTTCGCCACGTTAGCCACAATGGTCTCGATCTCCTGAAATCGTGATCTGCCTGCCTCGGTCTCCCAAGGAGTATATATTATTTATAAACCTCAATAATAATATATTAATAAAATATATTAATATATATTTTATTATATTAATATATAATATATAATATATAGTGTGATATATTATATATCATATATTATATATTATATTATATATCACATAATATATAATATATGATATAATATATATTATTATATAATATATAATATGATATAATGTATATTATTATATAATATATTAATATATATTAATAAAACATATTTGTATATTTTATTAGATTATATATAATATACATTATATTATTATAAATATAATATATTATATATTATACATAATATACTATAATGTATATTGTATTAATTTTGGTGATGTTTGATGGAGGGGTAACACTTAGCAATATCAAGTAATAAAATGATTGGGATAGAATTCCCAGTTATTCATAATTATGGATATCACTAGGTTCCCATGGGACCAGATGATGCTTTTTGACCACTAATGTTAATATGTTTGCACATTGGTTTTTGACTTGGGAAGGAAGACATTTTATTATGCATAATCCTGACTACATTGGCAGAGCAGCTTTGAAGTGTTTGTTTATAATAATCTCTGTGGCTTAACCAGAACCCTGGTACAGGGCTCACAGACAGGACGGAGCTAGGCAAGGTATATCAGCAAGAGACATAGATATGGGAGCAAAAATCTTTATTAACTAAATTGAGAATCATATAACAGCTATGTTTGTGGCAGGAACTTCTGTTCAAATCATTGAATTATTTCTAGGGTAGGGGCAGCATATCATGGTTACTTCATCTCAGAAATTTTACAATTCTATTCCTCAGCAGCCCACAAAACCCGCCTAGGTCCAACTGGTGCAATGACCCTGGCAATCATTTCATTTGAAAAGGACAGCAAAGTCTCAGTATCACTGGAGAAATTTTCTAAGGGGTTTATCCACAGCAGAGTTCGTGAAAACAGAGATTTTTTAAAACTCTAATCTCTGTACTATAAATTATGATTGCATCATTGTCCTATGGAGGGAAAGACAATGTCACAGGTAGCAGAGGTGGGACAAGAACCTGGAATTCATAAGCAGCTACTACATGCTCCATGACAACTGGGGACACTAAAGCCTGAAGAAGAGAATATTGAACAAAAATATAGGTGTTTTTTATCATCTAGATAATGAGTATTGCACCTTGATGACAGCATAGGCAACTTGAAGCTCTGTTGAGCTCAGTTGAATCCCGGATACCAGGAGAAGCAGGAATCCTCCTCAAATACAAAGCCATGGAACATAACCCTTTACTTCCTCTTCAAAACAAAAAGAAAGGTCTGGTGCCCAATGTTCAGTTTGTTGGAAACTCTAAAATTTAAAATAAAAGCATGCCAAGTTCTGAACATGAATGTATTATACCAGCTATTAAGGATAGAGAATAAGCAAAGAAACATGCACTTACGTACATACATACAAACATACGTATGCACACCCATATAGTAAGTTGTGGTCTTAGCTCAAAGAATTGTAGAAATAAACTAATTCAGTTCTCCTATTCATTGGTAAGAGATTTGTTTTTACTTTATTATGCAACCCCCTCTACTAAGTATTATATAAGCAGTATAAGTGATACTTTGGGTATATTAACTTATACATTGGGTGTTTAATAAAATGACTAACTGAATAAAGGAATAAATGAAACACTGGGCATCAGAGGTTGTATCATCCTCAATCACATAGGATTCAGGCCTGCAGATTTCCTATTCTTCCATCTTGTATTGAACCGGAATAACATATTTCAACGTTCAAGTTAGATGGCTTATAATTGATCCCTAATAGCTTCAGAGGGCCTTAAAAATCTGTTAGTACTTCAAGACTTTGATATTCCTATTGAATCAAATGATAAATATAATAACTTTGGAGTACATTGTTCAGCACATTTTTTTCTTGAATTCTGATTATTATCTAGGAAGGAAAAGGTAGACCTGGAGAACAGGTGAAATGCACCAAAGGATTCTTCTGAACTTTATTCTCCAACAAGTCTTCGAATCTCTCCCTAAAGTAATGCGGGTCAGTAAATTTCTGAAAGTTCAGAAACATTTTCCCTGTCCTGCTTTGAGTCTAGTTGAGGCGCTGATGCTGCTAGTTAGGAATTGTAAGGAAACTAAATTATGATTTGTTATTTAAACATAAAAAGTTACTGGTGGCTTGGAGCTAAATAATACTACTATGCTAAACAACTAGATATTAAAAAATAAAAAGTTAAAGTTGTTTATCTCCTTTAAGGGGTCATTAATATTGGAAGGTCCAATATCAAAATAGAAACGTCTGCAGCACTGAGACCTGAACTGCATGGAGGAATTGGATTTCTGCAATTAGAATATCATGTGTGAAAGAAAAACCAAAGCAGGACTCTGCAATGTCACTAGAAGAGCAAGCATAATAAATGTGAAGAAACCTAAGATCATAAACATGACTATGTCATTTACAATTCTGATGATAACGACAGACATATTTGTGACTTCACAGCCTGCTATTAATACTATAAGCTTCAATCTTTATAAATTCATTTGTTTTATCATCTGAGTGAGTGCATAAGGAAACTTTTTCCTTAACTTTGATGTAAAGTCTAAATCAAATGCAATTTTAGTGATCTCCCATGGCACATAAAAGAAGAGAGAAGAGATTTAGATTGACTCTAGGTTTAATGGACTCTCAAGCCACACACATAATGGTAGCTCTTATCATGAGACTACCAAATAATGTCAGCCATTGACAAGGTTTAGATATGTTGCACAGCCTGTAGGTTTTGAGTCTTCAGGAACAGCGGTGGTACTCCAAAAAATTACTACTGGCCACCTTAAAGCTAATTCTAATTTGCTCAATATTTTTATCTCTGCTAAATTGCACCTCACATAAAGTTTTTCATGTCTAAGACCATGGATGAAAAGTATCCTTGAATGCATATTGTGTTACAATTGAAAAGCTATTATATTCTCTGTTTTCTAGAATGTTTGAAAGAAACGAATCAAGGTCCAATATAGAATATGCTTTCCTGTCTATATAGAAAAGATGCCAATGAATTTATAGTAAAAGAAATCAAGGTGAGAGAAAGATTTTATAATGGCTGATCTACTTTAATTTTTTTATTCAAGTTATTATTTCTTAATATTAATAAATTCTACTCTGATTGGATTTCTAACTTACCTATAGACTATCATAGCTCTTTTAAAACTGTGGTCATGTAGTCAAACCACTACAAAATATTAACAAATGGCATATTCACATGGTACCCAAGTATACAGTTAAAATTTCCTCAAGAGAAACAATGATAGAATATTATTTCCTACACTTGATTGTGTGAAGATTAGGTACCCAATTCAATTGCAAGGAGACCAAAATTAAGAAATGTGTAGAGAATTCAAACTGCCCCTTTCATTGTGGGCATATAAGATTCTTCCAGTTGCACACTGTTGTGTAATAAGTCACTTCAAAACCTAGTGTCTTAGAAAAAATGTACTATTCTCATAAATCTGCACTTCAGGCTATCTGTACTAAATTTTGCATTGGCTGTGACAACTCAAAGCATGGGATCTAGTATCTTCTGTATGCTTCCTCATTCAAATCTGATGAATGGATTAGAAAGATTCAAACAGCTGAACGATAACCCAATAGAACTTTTGCCATTTTAGAAACTTCAATGTGAGTTATACAAACCATCTGCTTTTCCAAATAAAAAGAAAGCATAAAACTAGAGTAGATACACCTCCACAGAAGAAAACACAATATTTGTGTTCTAAGGCAGAAAACCATAGTTTAAGGTTCTAAATAATTACTGTATCCCCTGACCCATCTGACAAGCATATAATTCAGTAAATCTATTTCAAACATAAATGCTCCATCAAAAACCATTAGTAATGATTAGAAAGGAAAGAAGAGAGAATCGATAAATAAATATGATCCAAAAAATTGGATAAAAGACATAATAATAAAATTAAGATAAACATCATATATCAGAAAAATTGCCACAAAGTTTAGAAAACAATATTAAGAGATTTTTCAAAACACAAGTGCCTTAGATAAAATAAAATTGAATTAACTCAAATTCTTTTTTAGTTAAAATAAAATAAATAAATAAAGTAAATTGAACTAATAAAAAGATAACTGTGAAAATAATAAATAGGGGAATAAAATAGAGCATACCTTGGAGATACTGCAGATGAGCTCTAAATCACACAATAAGGCAAATTCTGCAATAAAACAAGTCACATGAATTTTTTGGTTTTCCATTGTATATAAAAGTTATATATATATACTACACTGTAGTCTACTAAGTGAACAATTGCATCATGTCTAAAAAAATACCTTATTTTAAAAGTGCTCTATTGCTAAAAAGGCAATCATCTGAATCTCCAGAGAATGCTAATATTTTTGCTAGTGGAGAGTCTTGCCAGTGTTGGTGGCTGCTGACTGAACAAGGTAGTGGTTGCTAAAGGTTGGGATAGCTGTGAGCATTTCCTAAAAGAAGACAGCAGTGAATTTTACTGCATCAATGGACTTTTCCTTTCACAAAAGATTTCTCTGTAGCATACCATGCTGATTGATAGCACTTTACCCATAGCAGAACTTCTTTCGAAATTGGAGTTAATCCTCTCAAGCCCTGCTTCTGATTTATCAACTAAGTTTATGTGATATTATGTAATATTCTAAATCCTTTGTTGTCATTTCAGCAGTGTTCATAGCTCTTCACCAGGAGTAGATTCCTTCTCAGGTAACCACTTTCTTTGCTCATGCTTAAGAAGCAACTCCTCATCTGTTGAAGTTTTACCATGAAAATGCAACAAATCAGGCCCATCTTTAGGCTCCATTTCTAATTCTAGTTATCTTGGTATTTCCACCGTATCTGCCATTACGTACTCCACTCAAGTCTTGAACCCCTCAAAGAAATTCTTGAAAGTTGAAATCAACTTCTTCCAAACTCCTGTTAATGTTGATGCTTTTATTTCCTCCCATGAATCACAAATGTTCTGAATGGCATTTAGAATGGTAATTACTTTCTAGAAGGTTTTGGATTTACTTTGCCCAGATCTGTCATAGTAATCACTATTTATGGCAATTATACACTTAAAAAATGCATTTCTTAAATAATAAGACTTGAAAGTCAAAATTATTTCTTGAACCATGGGCTAGAGAACAGATGCTGTATTAGTAGGCCTGAAAACATGAATCTTGTATGTCTCCATCAGAGCTCTTTGGTGACTAGCTACACCTTCAATGAACAGTGATATTTTAAAAGGATTTTTTTTTTCTGAGTGGTAGGTCTCAACAACGGACTTAAAATATTTAGTAACAAATGCCATAAACAGATGTTATATCACCCACTCTTGTTTAATTTATAGAGCAAGGGCATAGTAGTTTTAGAAGAATTCTTAAGGGATTTAGGAATTTTAGAATGGTAAATGAGCACTGGCTTCAAATTAAAGTGACCAGCTGCATTAGATCCTAACAAGAAAGTCAATCTATCCTTTGAAGGTTTGAAGCTCCTGGAGATGACAGTCTTAGATGGCATTTTCTTCCAATATAAGGCTGTTTTGTCTGTATCAACAATCCTTTTTTTTTTTTTTAGTGTAACCACCTCCATCAATGATCTTAGCTAAGATCTTCTGGATAACTGGCTGCAGCTTCTACAGTAGTACTTGTGGCTTCACCTTGCACTTTTATGTTATGGAGACAGCTTATGTTATGGAGACAGGGTTATTAGTTGGTCTAATTTCAATGGTGGTGTGTCTCAGGGAATAGGAAGTCCCAAGAAAAGGGAGATAGATGAGGGAACAGCTGAAGGGTGGAGCAGTCAGAACACACACAACATTTATAAATTAAGTTTGCTATCTTATGTGGGTGAGGTCCATGACACTTCAACAAAATTACAATAGTAACATCAAAAATCATTGATTACAGATCACCAGAACAGATATAATAATAATGAAAAACTTTGAAATATTGTGAAAATATTCCAAGAATGTAACAGAGGCACGAAGTGAGCACATGCTCGCTGTTGGATAAAGGGCACCAATAGACACTGAACGCAGGGTTACCACAAAACTTCAGCTTGTAAAAAAAATGCAATATCTGTGAAGCACAATAGAGAAATACAATAAAATGAGGTATGCCTGTATATGAATGACAGATGAGGAAGTAGGACATATGCATAATTGATAGTACTAAAGAACAGAATAAATTTATCAAATTTTTTGAAAACACATGTTTGAAATACAGAAAACCTAGAACCTGCAGGAAAAAGTACAGTATTTAAGGGATAAAAGGATAAGTAATAATTACTATCTATCTATCTACAGCGGTAACATTTATTTTAAAAGTCTTTGAAGATAAGGATAGAATACAAAAGGCATCCAGAAAAAAAAAGTTTTGTCACCTATAATGGGGAAAATATCAAAGTGATACCAGCACTCCAAATAGCACATTTCATGCTGAATATCATTTCCAAAGAGAGAAATTTTTCATTTAAAAGAGTTTTGCATAGGAACCAAGATGGCCAGCTAACTGCAGCCAGGAAGAACTTCCCACACTGAGAGAAACCAGACCATCAAGTAGACTGACACACTCCAAACAGATTTTCAGAAAGAAGACATTAAGAGTAGACAGAGGGAGGACACAGACCCCAGGCTGAAGTGGGAGGAAGCTGGGAATCCTGCACTGAGTCGCTGAGCACAAGGAGTTGTACCTGGGCAGGGCTGCCTTGCCCGTGAGATGGGGCCAGTCTGATCTCTGAGTACCTGCCTACCTGCCAGCCTCTCCAAGAGTACCTACCTGGTTGCACCCACTTGCAGTGCAGCCTCAGCTGCCCAATTGAAGTGTTTGCCAGCAGCTGCCATCATAGCTCTTTTGCCAGCAGATTCAGCCTACCCATCAGAATGCTTTTGCAGACTGACTCCTACCAGTGTTCACCCACCCACAGCCTTCCCCCACCAGCACACACTCATCCACAGCCTCCAACTGCCACCCTAACAGCTTGCATCTGCACAGGGCCCCACCACTGCCTTATCAAAGAGTTTTTGCTGGCAGCTCCATCGGAGTGTTGGTAGAGAAGACTGGGAACACCATGGCCTCTCCAGTGCAGCAGGTGCTTAAACTTGAGGGGCCAGAGGACAAAGCCACAGGCTTGGTTCTAGCCCCCTAGGGCAAAATCATGCAGCCCAGGAGTGCTAAGCCAAGCCTTGATCCACTGAAAACATCCAGCAATGAAGCCAACTGACTGAATTTAACTTACACTGCAGTCACCCCCTCAAGGGCATCAAAGAATATCTAAGCAAAAAGCCCGTTCCAAATGACAGAAACCTCAAGAATTAAAGGAATATCAGCCCACTCACATGAGAAAGAACCAGCAAAAGAACTCTGGCAACTCTAAAAGCCATGTGTCTTCTTATCTGCAAATCACCGCATTAACTCCCCAGCAGTGGTTCTTAACCAGACACAAATGGCTGAAATGAGAGACAGAATCCAGAATCTGGGTGGCAAGGAAACTCACTGAGATATAGGAGAAAGTTGAAACCCAATCCAAGGAAAACAGTAAAGAGTCCAAGAGTTAAAGGTGACACATCCATTTTAAAAAAGAACAAAACTGAACTTCTGGAAATGAAAAATTTACTGCAGGAATTTCAGAATACAATCAGAAGCATTAATAATAAAATAGACTATGCTTGGAATGTCAGAGCTCTGAGACCACTCCTTTGAATCAACACAGGCAGACAAAAATTTGAAAAGAACAAAACAAAATGAACAAAGCCTGCAAGAAATATAGGATTATGTAAAGAGGACAAGCCTACAACTCATTGGCATTCCTGAAAAAGATGGAGAGGGAGCAAGCAACTTGGTAAACAGATTTGAAGATATTGTCCACAAAAATTTCTCCAACCTTGCTGGAGAAGTCAACACGCAAATTCAGAAAATTCCCACAACCCCTGTAAGGTACTATACAAGATGACCACCCCCAAGACACATAGCCCTCAAATTCTCTGAAGTCAATGTGAAAGAAAAAATCTTAATGGCAGCTAGAGAGAGACAAGTTACATGCAAAGGAAATCCCATCAGGCTAACAGCAGACTTTTCAGCAGAAACCATACAATCAAGAAGAGATTGGGAGCCTAGATTCAACATCTTTAAAAAAAAGAAATTCCAACTAATAATTTTATATCCATCCAAATTAAGCTTCCCTAATTAAGCTAAGGAGAAATAAAATGCTTTCAGACAAGCAAATGCAAAAGGAATTCATTACCACAAGAACTTCCTTACAAGAGATCCTTAAGGGAGTGCTAATCATGGAAATGAAGGCTGTTACCTGCCACCTCAAAAATGCACTTAAGTTCATAGCCCACTGACACTGTGAGAAACCATACAATGAAGTCTATGTAACAGCCGGGTGACAACATGATGACAGTATCAAATTATCACATATCAGTATTAACCTTGAATGTGGATGCACTTAATATCCCACTTAAAAGACAGAGAATGGCAAGTTGGATAAAGAAGCAAGACCTAACTGTATGCTGGCTTTAAGAGACCCATCTCACATGCAATGACTACACTAAGCTGAAAATAAAAGGATGGAGAAAGATCTATCAAGCAAACAGAAAACAAGCAAGAGCAAGCATTGCTATTGTTAGTTCAGATAAAACAGATTTTAAGCCAATGACTTTTAGGAAAGGACAAAAAAGGGCATTACATCATGGTAAAGGATTCAATTTAACAAGAAGACTTACCTATCCTAAATATATGTGTATCAAACATTCAAGCACCCAGATTTGTAAAACTAGTTCTTAGATACCTACTAAGAAACTTAGATAACCACATAATAAGTGTGGGAGATATCAAGACTGAACTGATAGTACTAGACAAATTATTAAAGCAGAAAACTAACAAAAATATTCGGGACCTAACTCAACACTTGACCAAATGAACCTAACAGACATCTACAGTACTATTTGCCCCCATAAAACAAGAGTATACTTTCTTCTCATCTGCACATACTCTAAGATCAGCCACATCCTCAGCCATAAAGCACTTCTCCACAAATTCAAAACACCTGAAGTCCTACCAACCATACTATTGGATCACAGTGCAATACAAACAGAAATCAATACTATGAAGATCTCTCAAAACCATACAATTACATGGAAATTGAACAACCTGATCCTGAATGACTTTTGGGTAAAAATGAAATTGAAGCAGAAATCAAAATATTATTTGAAACTAATGAAAGCAAAGATACAACATGCCAGAATTTCTGGGACACAATTAAAGCATGTTAAGAGGAAAGTTTATAGCACTAAATGCCTACATCAAGAAATTAGAAAGATCTCAAATTAACAACATAACATCACACTTAGAGGAACTGGAAAAACAAGAGCAAGCCAACCCCAAAGCTAGCAGAAGGAAAGAAATAACCAAAATTAGAGTTGAACTGAAGGAAATTAAGGCACAAAAATCCATATCAATGAAACCAAAAGTTGGTTTTTGAAAGAGTAAATAAGATTGATAGATGGTTAGCTAGATTAATAAAGAGAAAAAGAAGATCCAAATAAACACAATCAGAAATGACAAATGTGATAATACCACCTCATAGAAATATAAAAAACTGGCCAGGTGTGGTGGCTCATGCCTGTAATCCCAGCACTTTGGGAGGCTGAGGCCAGCAGATCCTTTGAGGTCAGGAGTTCAAGACCAGCCTGGCCAACATGGTGAAACCCCATCTCTACAAAAATACAAAAATTAGCCAGGCATGGTGGCACATGCCTGTAATCCCAGCTACTCAGGAGGCTGAGGCAGGAGAATCATTTGAACCTGGGAAGCAGAGGTTGCAGGGAGGCAGAGGTTGCAGTGAGCCGAGATCGAGCCACTGAACTCCAGCCTGGGCAACAGAATGAGGCTCCGCCTCAAAAAAAAAAAAAAAAAAAAAAAGAAAGAAAGAAAAGAAAGAAATATAAAAAAGCCTTCAAAGACCATTATGAATGCCTCAATGGACACAAACTAGAAAACCTAGAAGAAATTAATATTTCCTGAAAACACACAGCCACCCAAGATTGAAATGTGAAGATATTAAATCCTGAACAGACCAATAATTGGTTCAAAAATTGAATTAGTATTTAAAAACCTAGAAACTAGAAAAAAAAACCCTAGAACATTTAGATTCACAACCAAATTCTACCAGACAGATTAAGAAGAGCTGGAACCAATTCTACAAAAATCACTCCAAAAAATTGAGGAGGAGTGACTCTTCCCTAAATCATTCTAAGAGACAAGCAGCATTCTGATACCAAAACCTGGCAGAGACACAAGGAAAAAAGAAAATTTAAGACCAATATCCTTGATGAACATAGACACAAAAATATTCAACAAAATTCTATCAAATCCAATCCAGCAACACATAAAAATGTCAATAAACCATGATCAAGTAGTCTTTATTTCGGTGATGAAAGGTTGCTTCAACATACACAAATCAGTAAATGTGATCTATCACATAAACAGAACTAAAAACAAAAAATCACATGATCATCTCAATAGATGTAGAAAAAGCTTTTGATAAAATTCAACATCCCTTTATGTTAAAAATTCTCCACAAAATAGGCATTGAAAGAACATACCTCAAAATAATAACCGTCTATGACAAACCAACAACCAACATCGTACTAAACAGGCAAAAGCTGGAAGCATTCCCCTTGAGAACCAGAACAAGAAAATGATGTCCACTCTCACGACTCCTATTTAACATATTACTGAAAGTCCTAGTCAGGGCAATCAGACAAGATAAGTAAATGAAAGGCAACTGATATGGATAGGATCTGTATCCCTACCCAAATCTCAAGTTGAAATGTAATCCCCAGTGCTGGGGGTGGGGCCTGGTGGGATGTGATTGGATCATGGGGGTGGTTTCTTATGGTTTAACACCATTCCCCTCGGTGCTATCATGGCGATAGTGAGTTCTCGTGAGATCTGGTTGTTCCAAAAGTGTGTGGCACCTCCCCCACTCTCTCTCTTCCTCCTGCTCCAGACATATAAGATGTGCCTGCTTCCCCTTTGGCTTCTGTCATATTTGTAAGTTTCCTGAGGCTTCCCCAGAATCAGAAGCAACTATGCCTCCTATACAGCCTGTAGAACTGTAAGGTAATTAAATCTCTTTTCTTTATAAATCACCCAGTCTCAGATATTTCTTTATAGCAGTATGAGAACAGACTAACACAACATCCAAATAGGAAGAGATGGGGATAAATTATCTTTGTAGATAATTTGATTCTATACAGAGACAACTCCATAGTCTCTGCCCAAAGGCTCCTAGAACTGAAAAACCATTCCAGTCAAGTTTCAAGAGAAAAAGTCAATGTGTAAAAATTAGTGGCATTTCTATACACCAATAACGAACAAGCTGAAAGCCAAATAAAACCATTCACAACAGCCACAAAAGGAATAAAATATCTAGGAATGCAGCTAACCAGGGAGGTGAAAGATCTCTGCAATAAGAATTACATAACATGGCTGAAAGAAATCAGAGACAACACAAACAAATGGGAAAACATTCCAGGCTCATGGATAGGAAGAATCAATAGCATTATGATGGTCATACTTCTGATAGCAATTTACAGATTCAATTATATTCCTATCAAACTATTAACGTCATTTTTTAAAGAATTAGAAGAAGCAATGCTGAAATTAATATGGAACCAAAACAGAGCTTGATAGCCACAGCCATTCTAAGCAAAAAAGAACAAAGCTGGAGGCATCACACAAACTAACTTCATATACTATGAAGACACTTAATCAAAACAGCATGGTACTGGTACAAAAACAGACACATATACCAATGGAACAGGTTAGAGGACCCAGAAATAAAACCACACACCTACAACTTACAAGCCACACACCTACAACAATAACCTTGCTATTGTCTACAATAACAAACAATGGGATTAGGGCCCCCTATTCAATAAACAGGGCTGGGATAACTGGCTAGCCACATGCAGGAGATTGAAGCTGGACCCCTTCCTTTCACCATCTATGAAAATAAACTCAAGATGGATTAAATACTTACATGTAAGACCTGAAACTATTTTTAAAACCTTGAAGAACGCCTACGAAATAGCATTCTAGACATAGGCATTGACAAAGATTTTATGATGAAATCCCTAAAAGCAATTGCAACAAAATCAAAAATAGACAAGTTAGACCTAATTAAAGAATTTCTGCACAGCAAAAGAAACTATCAACAGAGTAAACAGCCTACAGAATGGGAGAAAATATTCACAAAATATGCATCCCACAAAGGTCTAGTATCCACAATCTGTAAGGAACTTAAACAAATCAACAAGCAAAAAGCAAAGAACCCAATTAAAAAATGGGCCAAGTACCTAAACAGACACATCTTAAAAGAATTTATACAGCATGGCCAACAAGCATATGAAAAAATGCTCAACACTTCTAATCCATTAGAAAAATGAAAATCAAAACCACAGTGAGGTAACATCTCACACTAGTCAGAATAGCTATTATTAAAAAGTCAAAATATGAGAGATGTTGCTGAGGATGCAGAGAAAAAGGAATGCTTATACACTGCTGGTGAGAATATAAATTAGTTCAGCCACGGTGGAAAGCAGTTTGGAAATTTCTCAAATAACTTAATACAGAACTACCAATCAACCCAGCAATACTATTAATGAGTATATACCAAAAGAAGTGTAAATCATTCTACCAAAAAGACACATGCACTCATATATACATCACAGAATTATTCATAATAGCTGAGGCATGGAGTCAATTTAGATGCCCATCAATGGTGGACTGGAGAAAGAAAATGTGGTATTTATACACTATGGAATACTATGTTGTGATTAAAAAAAAAAAAGAACAAAATTGATATGGTTTGACTGTGTTCCCACCCAAATCTCATCTTGAATTGTATTTCCTATTATGTCTACATGTCCTGGGAGGGACTCAGCGGGAGGTAAGTT
Source organism: Homo sapiens (assembly GCF_000001405.40). Taxonomy (NCBI): domain Eukaryota; kingdom Metazoa; phylum Chordata; class Mammalia; order Primates; family Hominidae; genus Homo; species Homo sapiens. Next base: position 60,780,749 of record NC_000018.10, read on the forward strand.
AATCATGGAGGTGATTACCCTCCTGCTGTTCTTGTGATATTGAGTGAGTTCTCATCAGTTCTGGTGGTTTTATGAGTCTTTTCCCCCTTTGGCTTGGCATTTCTCCTTGCTGCCACCATGTGAAGAAGGATGTGTTTGCTTCCCCTTCCACCATGATCCTAAGTTTCCTGAGGCCTCCCCAGCCATGCTAAGCTGTGAGTCAATTAAACCTCTTTCCTTAATAAGTTACCCAGTTTCAGTTATGTCTTTCTTAGCAGTGTAAGAACAAGCTAATACAAAAATTATTATTATTATTTGCACCAGCATGGATGGGACTTGAGACCACTATCCAAAGTGAACTAATGCAGAAACAGAACATCGATTACACTGGGAACAAGGAAGAAAGAGTAGACAGTGAGCCCTACTTGAATGGGGAGGGTGAGAGAAAGGTAAGGGTTAAAAAGCTACCTATTGGGTGCTATACTCACTACCTGGATGACACAACCATTTGTACACCAAACCCCAGTGACATGAAAATATTCATGTAAGAAACCTTCACATGTATCTCCTATACCTAAAATCCAAGTTGAAAAAATAAATATATATATATATTTAAAAACAGCTTCGTATTTAGCCATATGTCATTTAAATATTCTGATATATAAAAGCTTTTGAATAATATAGAAACCATTAAATTTATAGGAAACAAGAAACTCCCTACTTAAATAAAAGTAAAATGCAATAAATACCTTCAAATAAAGTAAATAAAAAGGATTGGGCCAGACACGGTAACTCACACCTGTAATCCCAGCACTTTGGGAGGCGAGGTGGGTGCATCGCAAGGTCAGGAGATCGAGATCAGCCTGACCAACATGCTGAAACCCCATCTCTACTAAAAATACAAAAACTAGCCAGGCATGGTGGCACGCGCCTGTAATCCCAGCTACTCAGGAGGCTGAGGCAGAAGAATCGCTTGAACCCGGGAGGTGGAAGTTGCAGTGAGCAGAGATCGTGCCACTGCACTCCAGCCTGGGTGACAGAGTGAGACTCCATCTCAAAAAATAAAAATAAAAATAAATGAAATAAAAAGGATTGGAGGGGCAGAAGATTTGAAATACAATGTAAAAAGCTGTGAAGTGATTGCTTCTATCTTATTGACAACCTAAAGCCATTATAATCCATTAAACCATAACTTATTTTCAAACCCTTGAAAGGCAGAGGTCTCAAGACAACCAAATAGCCTTACATCTAAAGCAGGGCAAGGGCCTACAAGCAGAGATATGAGATGAGTTCTGGATTACTTTCAGTAGAGCAGATGAGGAAGATGGAACTGCCATACAGAATGGTAAGAATTCAGCTACAATGTCTAAAAAAATTCTAGAGGCCAAATGTAGGCTAGTATGACAGTATAGAAATCCTGGGAGTCATAGACAAAAGAGGAGTTTGTGTTCACTCGCAAATCCTTTTCCATGGACTTCACCAGTTACTCAAGAGAACTACAGGGACAGTGAAGAAGCTGAAGAATGCTTCCCACAGGGGCAGGCCCTGGGAACAACAACAGATTTTGCTATTTGATTTTTCTCCTCTATTGAACAGAAGACTATGTAACTGGAAAAAAAGTAAACCCTCTTTCCCCAAGGACCAGGTGAAGACTCATGGCAGCTACCAGAAGAAAAGACTAAAATAAATAAATAAATAAATAAATAAAACAATAACAAAAACACCTCTACCCTTAGAGGAGGGGCAGAAAAACTTCCTGGTCCCAAAACTTAGAGAATCCTCCCATTGTGGGAGAGGTATGATCATTAAGAATACCCTCCCCATGAGGAATCTAATGGACTAAAGCTTAACAAAGCCAGCAGAGGCTTTCTTTATATCTCCCATACTGCTATAGAAACCCTCTTAATTTTTCAATACTTAGCCAAAATATCACAATATTTTATTGTCTTCTAATTTCTTCCTATTATAATATTCATTCTTTCTTTCTTTCATTCAACAAGTATTTGAGAATTTGCTATATGTTGCTAAGTATTAGGTTGCAGGATTTAACAAAATAAAGAAATCCTCAGCTTCAAAGTGTTTGTATTCTAATAAAAGGCACAGAAATAACCAAATAAATATACACGTTACCCAGAAGTAAATAATACAAAATCACTATAAAAAAATCAGAGTGACAGATAGAGTACACATAGATAGGGTATTCAGAAAGCCTTACTGAGGTTTACTTTGAAGCCAAGATTACAAATAAGCCAGAAAGCAAGGGAGGCAAATATCTGAGGAAAGTGCATTCCTAAGAGATGAGCAGGTGAAAAATGCCCTGATGCTGGGATATACGTGGTAAGTTGAAGGCACAATAAAGAGACAGGTGTAATGAGACTGGGTAAATGAAGGGGAGCACAGTGTTTATTCCTCTCATTCTATTACACGATCCCCTTATACCTTTCACATTGTACTTACATTATTAAATAATTATATGTTGAGGTGTTTTGTGTAATATTGTTATTGCCTGGCATAAATTATAGTCATACTCTCACTCAACTATAAACTGGAAACATACCATGTTTTATTCATTTGAAACCCTCAATACCTGACAGTAAATGTTAGTGTAATTGAAATCTAAGACAAGTGATATGGTTAAACTTTTTGTCCCCACTCAAATCTCATCTTGAATTATAATCCCCATAATCCCCACGTGTCAAAGAAGTTACCTGGTGGAAGGTAATTGGATCGTGGGGGCAGTATCCCCCATGATGTTTTCATGATAGTGAGTGACATACGATGAGATTTGATGGTTTTATAAGTGTCTGACAGTTCCACCTTTACAAACCCACTCTCTCTTGCCTGCTTCCACCTAAGACTTGCTTCTTCCCCTTCTGCCATGATAGTAAGTTTCCTGAGGCCTTCTCAGCCATTTGGAACTGTGAGTCAATTTAACCTCTTTTCTTTATAAATTACCCAATCCTGGGTACGTCATTATGAGTAGTTTGGTCAAAACCATTCAACAAGTCTCCAGGAAGTTCTAAGCATTCCCACATCTTCCTGTCTTCTTCTTAGCTCTCCAAACTGTTCCAGCCTCTGCCTGTTACCCAGTTCCAAAGTCACTTCCACATTTTTAAGTATCTTTACAGTAGTACTCCACAACCTCAGTACCAATTAACTGTATTAGTCTGTTCTCACACAGGGTGAGGTGGTCTCAGATAGAGATCAGGAACTTCTTGGGAGCTGGAGCAGAGGTCACTTTTGCTATGCTTTAGCAAAGAGACTGGTGGAATTTTGTCTCTGCCCTAGAGATCTGTGGAACTTTGAACTTGAGAGAGATGATTTAGGATATCTGGCAGAAGTTTCTAAGCACCAAAGCATTCAAGAGGTGACCTGGTTGATTTTGGAAGTGTTCAGTTTTATGCATTCACAAAGAGATGGTTTGAAATTACAACTTATGTTTAAAAGGGAAGCAAAGCATAAAAGTTTGGAAAATTTGCAGCTTGATCTGTAATAGAAAAGAAAAACCCATTTTCTGGGGAGGAATTCAAGCCAGCTGCAGGAATTTGCATGAGTAAAGAAAAGACTAATGTTAATAGCCAACAATGAAAAAAATGTCTCCAGGGCATGACATAGACCTTCACAGCAGCCCCTTACATCACAGAGCTGGAGGCCTAGGAGGAAAACATGGTTTCATGGGCTGGGCCCAGCGCCCTGCTGCTGCTCTGTGCAGACTCAGGATTTGGCATCCTGTTTCCCAGCCATGGCTAAAAGGGGCCAACATACAGCTCATGCCATTGCTTAGAGGGCACAAGCCCCAGGCCATGGCAGCTTACATGTGGTTTTTGGGCCTGGGGGTACACAGAAGTCAATAATTGAGATTTGGGAATGTCCGCTTAGATTCCAGTGGATGTATGGAATTGCCTGGATGTCCAGGCAGAAGTTTGCTGCAGGGATGGAGCCATCATGGAGAACCTCTGCTAGGGCAGTGTGGAAGGGAAATGTGGTGTTGGAGGCCCCACAGAGTCTCAGTTGGGTCACTGCCTAGTGGAACTGTGAGAATAGGTCCATCAGTGGACCCCAGAATGGTAGATCCGCTGACAGCTTGCACCATGTGCCTGGAAAAGCCACAGACACTCAATGGCAGACTGTGAAAACAGCTAGGAGGGGGCTTATACCCTGCAAAGCTGCAGGGGTGGAACTGCCCAAGACCATGGGAGCTCACCTCTTGTATTACAGTCCTTTGGATGTGAGACATGGTGTCAAAGGAGATCATTTTGGAGCTTTAAGATTTAATGACTACCCCACTGGATTTCAGACATGCAAGGGGCCTGTAGCCCCTTAGTATTGACCAGTTTCTCCCATTTGTAATGGGAGCATTTATCCAATGCCTGTACCCCCATTATATCTTGGAAGTAACTAACTTGCTTTTGATTTTACAGACTTCTAGGTGGATGGGACTTGGCATGTCTCACATGAAACTTTGAACTGAGACTTTTGAGTTAGTGCTGAAATGAGTTAAGGCTTTGGGTGACTGTTGGGAAGGCATGATTAGTTTTGAAATGTGAGTACATGTGAGTACATGAGATTTGGGAGGGGCCAGAGGTGGAATAATATGGTTAGGCTTTGTGTTCCCACCCAAATCTCATCTTGAATTGTAATCCCCATAATCCCACATTCCGAGGGAGAAACCTAGTAGGAGTTGATTGGATCATGGAGGTGGTGTCCCCCCTGCTGCTCTTATGATCGTGAGTGAGTTCTTATGAGATCTGATGGTTTTATAAGTGTCTGACAGTTCCTCCTTCACACACTCACTCTCTCTTACCTGCTGCCATGCAAGATGTGTTTCTTCCCCTTCTGTCATGATTGTAAGTTTCCTGAGGCCTACCCAGCCATGGGGAAATGTGAGTCAATTAAACCTCTTTTCTCTATAAGTTACCCAGTCTTGAGCAATTCTTTATCACAGTGTGAGAACAGACTAATACACTGAGCATTGGTATATTAAATTATTTTCTAAAGCAGGAGAAAGAAAATGCAAAATGATTTCAGCCTTACTATTGAAAAAAGATCCTTCCATATGACTCTTCCATGAACACACCAATCATTAGTTCATTTTTCCAGGGATGCCATCCATTTCCTCTGTCCAAGACTATATCTGAAACCAGTTCTGAGTCACTAATAGCCTCTGCTATTATTGCAGGAGTATAGCTTATCCAACCCAGATGACCAGATATATTCATGTAACAATTCTAACTTTAGCTCCATTTCCAAAGTAAGAACTGAAGGTTTGGTTGAGAGAAAAACTGGTTCTGCTTTTGAATTTTTGAATATCTGGTTTAGAAGTCACCATGATTCTCCGGTATTGGTCTATACTTGGGCAAATTTCAATAGATTAAGGTTCCACTGTTAGGCTTCTATTAAACTAATAACAATCCGTCAATTAATTCCCACTGTTTATAGGTGGTGAGTTTGTTTAAAAAAATTTAGGGTCTTGAGCAACCAAAATAGATAAAGGAGGCAACCAATATAGTCCCTTATCATTAATCAATTTTCTCATTTACTAATGAAGGAGCTTCTAAGATAAAATCTATTCCTTTATTGTTCCAGCCTTCCACTATCCACAGGATTCTGATAGTAAGACTCTGACAAACAGGTATTTAATTCTAAATACAATGGATTCTGTGAATTTGCTTCTTTGCACTTTTTCTGTATCTTAAAGCAAAGACTCACATTTTATACTAAAAATAGAAAAGAAGTTACAAGGGAGAAAAATAATATTGGTAAAATTTCATACATCCATGTTTGATACTTCACAGAATTAAAACGCTCAATGAAGATTACAAAAGAGAGGTCAGATAGTTTAGCTTTGATATGAGAAACCATTTTAAAATTCTAATTAGATGAAAAAAGAATATAGTTTTATAAATTAAATTCTGTAATCACTTCAGTTTAAATTTCCCTTCTGTTAATTTTTTAAAGCAAGAAAACCATATGCAGTGTGTTAATACTGATACCGTACTTTTTTTATCTACTATGTTCCAAACAACTGCTGATTAAAAGAATAAAATCTCATCATAAGAGGGAAATTTAATGAGTTCTCATGAACAATTAAAAAGATTATTTGCATATTTTTAGCCTATTGGAGGAAAAAATACCAAGCAGCAAAGGTTTAGCAATAATCACATGCTGAGAAGGAGTGGAGAGGGAAACATTAAATAGTTTTCTTATTCCTTCTGAAGCCATGGATAGCATTTCAGGAGGCTTATTAACATGCACATTTGAGTGACCTGGTTTACCAGTTCTCTGCACTTAGACTGGTGTTTATTACAGGTGCTCCATCTTTGGTATTTTTATCCCTCCAAGAAAATTTAGGAATACAGAGAAGACTCATGCCTGATTATGTTCACAGTAGTATATATTACAGCTAAGGGGAGAGGCAAATTCAACCCAAAGCAAGGCTTGATAAACGTTTGATAAGCTCTCTTTGAGAGCCTATTCTATGACATTTACTCTGTCATTCAGCCTATGGTACATTGGAATTATGAAAACATCTGTCTGTGAAGTCAAGGTAGCAAAAGTAAGGATCTGAAAAGAACATAGGCTTTAGATTCAGAACTGATGAGCCACTTATTACCAAATGATCTCAAACAAGCAACTTTTCTCTATATCTCCATAAGTCATACATGTATAAACATTGTAATAACATCTATCTCTTAGAGTTGTTGTACTGATCAGGGAGAATGTCGTTTTCCAGTTTACTGTGTATAGAAGAAATGCGTTGCTTGGCAGCTAGAGACATAAAACATTTAAATAATAATAAAC